>NC_000003.12:187455574-188705574 GCF_000001405.40 Homo sapiens | reverse complement strand
GTATTTGCATAAACATGAATATTGGATGAATGGTTGCCAGTATTGTTAAACTTTAAATTGCATACATGTGACTTGCTTCCAGGAAAATTGTACAGAAGTACTCATACAAGTGAATAAAATTAAATGACGAAGGTTGGTCACAGGAGCCATATTTGAGAGGAGGAACAAGGACTAACAAGGTAAACTAACCAGCAAAAGAATCACCTAAATAGACAATGACAGATACGTACATTGTAAATCTATGGAACAAGCCTGCAAAGATGAACAAGACATGTTTCATAAAGAACAAATCCAACTGCAGAATAGGATAAAGTAACTACAGTTTATTTACAGGTCTATATAAAGACCAGGTACGGAAATGTTAAAGGAGATTCTTTCTAGCAGGTGGAATCTTAGGGGACTTTCACTTTCTACATTTGTTTCTTTATTGTACAGCAAGTAGTTCTACTTTTGTAATCCATGAATATAAATCTTTTTAAACATGATGACTTCAAGTGATAAAGATATGCTAGACATGACCCGCTATCCTGGAGCTTCCAACCCAGGCCAAGTGAAGGACCCTGAGAGGAGCACAGTTTCAAAGTTGAGACGTAGTTTGGTGTGAGTGGGAAAAACTACAAGTGGTTCAGTATTTCGGTCTGGACAGGTGGAAAAATAGGAAGGGTCAGTTAATTACTGCTTCCATGCCATGCTGAGATGTTTAGGGCTTCTCGGTGAGCTAGGGGCTCCAGGCCTTGGGTAAGAACGTGGACAAGTCTCAAAATCTAATGTGTTAAACTGTCTTTTGACAAAACAACAACAACAACAACAACAACAAAACAGGTATCTGCAGTGTACACAAAATTTACTTACAATTTCAAGAAGTTCACAGACCACGGGGAATATATTTGCATGTTCTCAATTAGGAACATCCAGGCATTAGAAACCACGGTAAGTGTTTTTAGAAGAGTGTTCTAATCATATTTAGAAAGTTCCCGCTGAAGTAGAGGGTGAATGGGAGAGCAGCAAGACTGAAATGAGATGGTGAGTTTATCTAATATACTGGTGGCCAGAGATAAAGGAATACATTATACGGCAGTATCATTAAGGTTAGAGACAGAGATTTGACTATGACCTTCACTTGGCATCCTTAGGTGAGCTTGTCAACCTTTCATAACTTCAGGTTCTCTTCTATCAATGGACTTGCCAGTGGTACCTCACAGTCTCTGTAAGAATTAAAGTGAGATAACCCACATTTCATGATAAATAGAGTTTAACTACTTTCAGACAATTGTAACAAAGAGGATCTCTTTGAATCTCTCAAACTGCCTCTGAGGGAGTGGATTATTACAGTTCAGGTAGTGGAATTGAAAATGAGGTTGGGAAGTGACCTACACCTTTTCTCCAGGCTTGCAATACAGGGAGACCTTGAGCCCAAAATATGGTGTCACCTGTCTCCAAGTGCCATGCATTTTTTCCCCAAGCAAACGATGCTTCCCACAGAGAGTGCTAGAAAAGTATAAAATATTACCTCTAATAATAATGGTGCAAGTTGTTTTAATTAAGCCAAACGACTGTTAGAGAAAACTTGATAATTCCTGTCTTCAGTCTTAGGATGGACCCTCAGAGAACAGACACAATTTATCATTGTCTCAACCTAATATCAGTTTCCCTTTCAATATAGACAAGGCAGCAAGAAGGCCGATCCTGTCCTTTATAAATCTAAGCCAGAAATTTAGATTCTACCCCTAGCACTTACATTTCAAGTATAAATCTAATTTCAAAGTACTTACCTTGTCAATATTTCACAGATTTTGAGAAAAACGTTATCATTCTTTTTGTTCTCTGAATACTCTATTTGCTTGCTATGCTGTTTCTGAAATAACACTTGGAAAGGCTATTTTCTGTTAGATTCTACTCTTTTATCTAATGCTAATTATGGATTCCTGTTTTTTTCTTATGATGAAAGATTCTGAGAGACCATTTCTTTCAGTATTTCTGAAGTTTATTTGGCTAGAGAACAGCCTCCACCTCCACTCCACGGCTGTCACTAACCCAGTGCAGAATACTTAACACCTGTGGAATACACCATGGAGAAACACAGGGTTCCTCCGTTAAGAGTTGTCTCTTACACCAAAGAAGACAGCTTAAAACTTTCAGTGTTCGAGCCTAGAAGCAGTAATCCAGTACTATTCTTACTGTCATAATCAGAGACCTACTCTAATACCTCTCTCTCGATAGTGTTTAGGGCTCAATACCTCCTAAGAAAAATGAACAACTGTGTCCAACTTATTTGTTAATAAGCAACTTCTAGCATATTGTATGGGTAATAAAACACGATTGAATATTTGTGGTGGGAGGTGCTGAAAGGGAATAGTTTGTGTTATTTTTGTTTCTCGTTTCTTCAGAAGTAGAAGTGTGAGTTGTATCAGCAACATATTCACTGTAGCATATTAATTCCTCATGTTTGCAAGACCCTTTTCAAGATGCCTACTTTCACAGATGTGAAATCTCAAATGCCTACACAACAGCCCTGTATGACATGTAATCCTATTTCTGGATGAGAAAATAGAGACTTAAGAAGATAAGTGAGCAACCTTGTAGAGGTACCGCTGCTTAAAAACAGCAGAACGTTGAAACTGGGGTGTGCTGAGTTGGGCATACTTCTTCACTGCAATGCCTCTCGGGGTTTTGATATCATTGTCTCCAAGACTTTCTAGTTCTCTTACTGTGCGGCTGTTTGGATTTTAGTCTGAGTCTATTATCTAAGCAAAGATTTCTTTTATCAGAGTGGAGGTTTGCTGCCAAATAGCAAAACAAAGACATTGTGAAGCAAACCTTTCTCTTAAAAAAAGACATTCTTGTAAGTATCAATCTTAATCACTAATATGTTTGTTTCTGAAATACCCGAATCTCTTACTAAAGGCAAGTTAACGTTATATGATCCACAGGTGAGTTACTGAGCGACAGATTTTAGAGGACTCCGTCAAAATTGTCTTAACATAAATCTCCTACGGGATTACCAAGTGCCAAGAACTTTAAGTATAAAGACAAATTATTCAGAGATCCTGTCTCTAACAACTCACAGTTTGGGAAGAAAGAGACATGAAAATAGGCAATTACAATAAAGTCTAAGCTCTAAAACACAGGTATGAATTCAGTGTTCTGAGACGGAAGAAGGCTGCCAAAAAAAGATGACCTGTAGTTTGATCTTGAAGAATAAATTGCGTACAACAGCCGGAAAAAAAAAAAAAAGAAGAAGAAGAAGAAAAGAAAGAAGGAAGAAAGTTAAAGGCATTTCAGGAGGAACATGTATATCTAAAAAACTGTTAAGAGGAAAGGCTGGGCGTGGTGGCTTACGCCTATAATCCCAGCACTTTGGGAGGCTGAGGGAGGCGGATCACGAGGTCAGGAAATCGAGACCATCCTAGCTAACATGGTGAAATCCCACCTCTACTAAAAATACAAAAAATTAGCCGGGCATGGTGGCGGGTGCCTGGTGTCTGTAGTCCCAGCTACTCTGGAGGCTGAGGCAGAAGAATTGCTTGAACCCAGGAGGCAGAGGTTGCAGTGAGCCCAGATCACATCATTGCATTCCAGCCTGGGCGACAGAGCGAGACTCTGTCTCAAAAAAAAAAAAAAAAAAAAAAAGGGAAAAAAACAGAACTAGGATGAGAAAAGAGAAGTAAGATATGGTCAATGCCAAGCCTGTTTTAAGTAATGGGAAGTCATTATGAGATTTAAAAATGGGAGCTGAGTTTTTATGAAAGTCATGCTTCTGAAGTAAGTGTATTGGCAAACATCTTCTAACACCAAGACCACTGACACTTTCAAAAAAAAAAAACGCAGCCAGATATCGTGGCATTCTGAGCAATTTAGTGGCTAATATGCTTTAAAAAGGACTGATGTTTACTAAGCATGGCAGAGCCTGCTAACTGCTCACCAAAATCCATTTCCTCCTCTTGCTGGGCACACTGCTAGACTACATTTCCCATGCTCCTTGCAGTTAGATGTGGCCTTGTGAGGCACAGGAAGGATGGAGACTGGGCCCTGAACTACCACATGGAGATAAGTCACTCGCTGGCCAGGCTGACCTGCCTTACGGCAATACAATATGCTCAAAGGTTAATCGTTGAAAGTCATGGGAAATTGAATGCTTTATATTCTTTCTATGTTTCTGTATTTTCCCTTCTTAAAATAAAGATTTTTTTTTTTTCAGCTGAAAATTATCTAAAACTGGTTCTTCTTTGCCATTCCTCTTTTCTTGCTAGGGGCCCAGGTGATTGTCATTCAAGAAAATACTTAATATGAAGCCAAATTTACAGCCAAATCTGGGTCTAAATCCCTGGTAAACATTATGGGTGGGACTATGCAGTAATGAAGACTTGCTTCTGAAACAAAATGTACACATGAATAGGACCCTTGATGAAGAAGGAAACTCCACTAGATTAAGAATAACATACATAACAGTATCTGTCATATTCATATAACACTTCATGGTATTTGATTATACATTTACATAGAAACCCATAAATACAGAAGACCTGACTATTCAGAATATCTTTAATCTTAGTTCTGCCTTTAAGTTGTCCAGTGATTTTGCTCAAATCATTTCCATTTTCTGAGCCTCAGTTTCTTTATGTGTAACATGTTATTTTCAAAGCTTCCTTTGGTTCTACTCTATCATTTTTTTGTGCCCATTTGTGCCCATAGTATGCAAGACACATATCATTACCAATCTTTAGAGTGAAATCACAGATATTCATATTTACAGATCCTTTGTAGTCTATAAAAATAGACACACTGAGTAAGTGGAAACCTCATTATGACAGAGATTTCCATTTATGAGAGGACTTAAGCCAGTTGTCAGCATCCCCTGAAACATCCAGAACTTCATTCAGCATTCTGAATCTGAGTAAGCAATGGGCAGGTCACAGGGTTTCTGCAGCCTACTGAACTTTCACTACACTTGGGGCATGAAATCAAGAACACACAAAGGTTAATCACCTTATCATCCCACTGCCCCTTTTCTGAGTGGAGAAGAAAAATATCCATCATCCTTTCTAAAGGAAAAAGGAAGCATGGGAAACAGCCCGCACTAAGGTGCAAATGGCTCCCAGGAAAACACCACACCATCTTGCATCTTTGTTACTACAATTTACCTACTTTAACCTGTGTGCTAAGGATCCAATTTACAAAATGGATACCCACTATCTGTCGCAATGTCAGCCCCCTGAGTTCCTCTGGGGCTGACCTTGGCGTGATCATTTTTCTTTCTTGAGTGCTTACCTGCTGTTGATTTCTTTGTTACATGGTGTTAGATAACTCAAATTTACTGCAAATCTGAACCTTACCAGAAAAGCACCGCTCAGGCGGATAAAACACCGGGAAAAGGCAGCCAAGATATTCAAAAAGATTACATGATAATGAATACTCTATCACTCTGGGTACCAGAGCTGCTCATTTTTCTTGTCCATTTGTAGTGATGTACAAGAGGTTCCTTCCCTCAGAGGGAAAATAACTTCAATTATGTGTTCTTGAAAAAAAAGAAACATTGAAATTATCTTCTTTTCAAAAGGTAGAATTAGCCCCGTTTTAGAGCTGAAAGCCTGCCAGAAAAAATATATTTCTGATATTTTCGTTCTTTTCCCCCCTTCTATTTAGCTGTGTCAAGTCTGCAGTTTGCAATTTCCTGTGGCTGCTTCTACTTTTTGACTCTCACTGAATTATACTCTACTCTCAACATCTCACTGCTTAAATGGAAGGAGAACCCCTTCTGGCCAGGGGCAGATGATTTGCTGGATACCTCTTCTGTTTCAGGTTAAAAGCGATGGCCACAGAGAAGGAAAGAAGTGGAAGGTGGATACCTGACTATCTGAATTGAAATCTTCTAAATGAACACTCCTCACAGCTCCTTGGGATTAGAAAAGCATGCTCTTGGTTCTTCTATTCTTATGTTCCATTTTATTGAAGAATGAATTTTAAGGACACAAAGAGGAAGACCCAGAAATTTTGACTTTAAAAGTTTGATTCTTGCTTTGAAACTCATCCCAGTTGATCTTCAACTTTCGAAATCTTGATTTTCTTAAAATCTCTACTTCCTCATATTCCCTTTCTCATGCCATGCATCGATGCCCATAAAATGCCTTTTCTTAAACCAAATTTGGAGTCATAGCCAAGGATGGATGATTCTGAATTACAGACAGGAGGAGTTGTTGGAAGAGTTACTGCAGCTGGGAAAAGGCCTGGGCATCCAGTCAGGGGGCCCTGGTCTCTGCACACAAGGGTTTTATCTAGGCTGAGCTGGGGGAAAGTGAGGTCTCTCCACACCCACCTCTCTCCGTCTCCACGTGTCAAGGCAGCTATAATAGTGCCTGGGCTTGGAGCATCTGGCTCTTAGGCCTGATGTCTAAGATACTACTTAAGTTCTCCAGTGATTTCTTTTTCTATTGTTGATTTTCTCATATATAAACTGGAGAATAATAATATCTGATTCATATGAAGAAGCTTTGTAACATATTAAATATCAAATAGATGTCAGTTATAATTATCAAGAGGGACAACTTAGAAACCACTAACAAAGATGATTTTCTTCTTGGAAGCAGAATGTTTGCAGAATGAGATCTCTCCAGTAACTCTCCACTTTTCCATCTGCTGATAAAGGACTTCAGTGTAGTGTACCCGAATTTCACATTAATTGTTGCTTTAGCAAGGGATGTAATTACTCTGAGTACTTTTTAGCTACAAATCTTGAAATTCATGCCATTTGGTGAACGTATGCCTTGCTGCCTCTCCAACTATTAATTCTTGTACAGTCTCGCCTTTAGGACCAAAAGACAAATAGTAAAGTAAAGCTCATGCTTGGCTATTTAGAGCAGAGCAGCCTCCCTTAGGCTTCGGCAGACAAGGTACAACCACTGATGTTATCCTGCCGGGTAGGCAAGAAGTAAGAAAAGCGAGTCGCAGAGCAGAAGCGCCAAATCCTCAGAGTCGAGGAGAATCTAGGTCAAAGATCTCCTGCCAACCTTATTCACAGTTCTCATTTCAGGGTTCCTTCCCTCTAAACCTCCATGCGGGCCCTCCGTAAAGGAGAAAGCGAGTTTTCTCGGTGGGGTGAGAAGATCTCTATTTGTGTGAAACTAAAAGAACCTATTTCCACAATGTTATGGCTAAAACATACACTCAGTTTTTCCCATTAATTAGGCTTTATGGATGTTATATATTAGAGATTTGACATAATAAAGGCAAGAGAATTCCAAGACATTATTTCCATTGGATGGCTTCACCTAGGCAAGACCCATGACCTAAAAGTTTGATGAATAGAATGAACCATTATTCAAGGTTGGGTTTTCAAACTAAAACCATATTTTGGCCTTTGCTGTGCCCCACATGCCTGGCAGTGACTCCAGGCACACGTTTCATCTTCATTTGGTTGCCTGGAAGAATGCAATGGGCTAGTTGCTCTAATGTCGGGAAAAAAAGGTTTTATCACCATGCACAGCTTTCTATGCATTGTCCCATAGAAAAACTATCCTCAATTACAAGCTACAGTTTTAATAAAGCACTATCAAAAAGACGGCACAGAGTTTCGGTTGCCACGGCTCCAGCCCTGACTGGTTCTAATTTCCTGTCTGCTCAAAATAAGATTTTATTAATCTGTTATTTTAGATACTTGGATTGTCATAATTCTTGCCATTATAGTGCCAAAAAATAAGAAGATATGAAAATAGTACATCTGATAATTACAAATGTATAAAAATATATATGCAAAAGGGCCAGTATATGTTAGCCTATGTAAGTATTATCAAACAGCTACTAGAAGTGAATATATCCAAATGTTAACAAGACTTATGTCAGGATTGTGATATTATGATTAATTTGAGTTTTTCTCTTTATAATTTTAAAATTATCTAAACAGAATATTATAAAAATGGATAGCTCTTAGAAAATAACAGGAAACATACTTTATAAAACATGGGGTTCCAGACTTTTCTTTAGTATTTTCAGGTATGAACCTAGGAGAGATTGGAGAGCCCAAAGTGTGGACAAGTTGCTGATAAAAATAAGGCACCTAGATTTTCAGTCTGATATGCATAAAAACACTTTCCTACTGTACAAGCTGTTTCTGTCTAGTGGGCTTGACAGATGCCTGAACGTGACACAAGACACTGAAATAACATGCAAATCAGTTTTCGGTTTTAATATGCAAATATGACGCTTGGCACATCACTTTCCATGGCGAGGTAAATTTCTGTTTTTGAGTTTTTCGTGGGAAATGCAAACCAGCAAACAAATGGTTAACTCCCCATCTTTCACCTAACACAAGGTGGTTTTCATTTGAGTCAGAGCGGTTCTGGCTCAGCAATCCAAGACACTTAGGATGCAAAGAAAGGGCATGTGTTTTGTTCAATAACAATGCCACCCTAGGCAAGCAATCCTACCTTCTGACAGACACACCGATCACACTGAATTTTTGGGCCTCAGCAGGGAGGCAGACAAAGTGCCTAAGTGAAAATAACAAGAACATGTTTTTTTGCTTGACCAGTGAAAATCAAATCAAAGTATCTCAACATGGTAAGAAGATAAGCTTATAGCCAAAGAAGAGAAAAAAGTCAAGGGTCCTTGTTTCTAGAGTACACGAGCAGTGTAGCAAACTATAGCCTCCTATGAAATCTATATTAAATTATCCACAAATAATAGTAATTAATTAGGCATTAAAGCAGTCATCAAAATGAGTGAGATGCAACCAGTTCATAGAATTTATAATCCAGTCAGGAAATCAAGGTATATGAAGGAGAAATAAAAGAACAAAGCAAAAAATTGAACGTTGATAGTAATCAGTATGCCTTAGATATATAGGTTCTAGGGTCTGCTTACTTGGGTTCAAATCCCACATCCACAGCTTACCAATTGTATGATCCAGTGCAGGATGCTGAATTTTACTACCTATTAGTTATTTCAAAAATAAAATGGGGTAAATAGAATTTACTTTGTGAGTTGTTGTTGTTGTTTTAGACGGATTCTCTCTCTGTTGCCCAGGCTGGAGAGCAGTGGCATAATCTCAGCTCATTGCATCCTATGCCTCCCAGGTTCAAGCAATTTCTCTGTCTAATTTTTGTATTTTGAGTAGAGACAGGGTTTCACCGTGTTGCCCAGGCTGGTCTCTAACTCCTGACCTCAAGTGATCTGCCCGCCTCGGCATCCCAAAGTGCTGGGATTACAGGCATGAGCCATAAGTTAAATGAGATGGTCCAGCCTACACCAATTAAGAAACTAATATCATCCTTAAAGATATACTATGATGTATAAATATTATTCAAGTGTATCAATGGATGATACAGATTAAGAGAGACAGAGAGAGAGAGAGAGAGAGTACTGTGTGCTTAAAGAGCTTGAATTAGGACTTGAATGAGGGACAGAATTCAGAGGAACTGAGGTGGCATTCTACTCTATCAACCATGGGATTAAAATTCCTTCACCTTTCTATGTGCTTTTACAGTCAAAAGATACTTGGGTGCAACACACACACACTAGATTATTTAATATTGTCCAATGCATGAAATCATTTCTTCTTTCTGTAGAAACCAAGTTAGTGGTTTGTTAAGTGATTAGCCAAAATCATACCCATATTAAGTGGCAGAACCAAGAGTTAGGCAGGAGTCTTTTGATTCCAGCTTAGTGTTTTTCCACTAATTTACAGCCATCTCTATATATTCATTTAGAAATATGAAACTTACATGGTCTATCGTAAAGGTTAATCAAGACAGTCAAACTCACTGATTAAAGTATGGTGCTAATTAGACCAGAAGCTGGAGACCAATGTGGCCTTTTTTACTTTCAGAAATATTGATTGTGGTATAATGGAGAAAGCGTGGGCTTCAGAGGCAGAACAAGCTGGTTCAAATGCCAAATTATACCTCCAGTTTTGTATAACATTTCACAAGTTTTTTGTTCCCCCCTTTAGCGTCTTCACCTGTAAATGGAGTTGGGAAAGTAGGCAGAGGAGCTGGGTAGATGCCTTCATCTGAGAGCCACTGTGAGTAATACATAAGAAGACACATGGCATGTGCTAATATTTGACAGTGGCGCACGATTATTTGTATTAAATGCTCACACACAGTCTGTCAAATATGAGCTATGGATGTCTTTCAAATGTGGCAGGAAGGTGGATGAGAGAATATGAATGACTCAGTGTTATTCGTCAGCACTGCAGCCGAGGGGAAGAAAGATCATGCTCTGACAGTGAATCTAAAGACCAGCAACATTTAATATTTCTAATCAATCACTGACCATGATTAAAATAATAGTAGTCATATTGAAGGAATCTTTTATCCATTCCCACAAACTCTGAAAGGTAGAAATACATTAGTATTTAATTTATGTATTAATTTATGTATAATTTACAAGAGTATAAATAAGGTATTCTGAGTGCTTAGTAGGTGTTCAAAATGTTTTATATTGAGTAACTTATTTCATCACCAGTGCAACCATATTAGGTGGCTTCTATTCTGAATTTACAAATGAGAAAGCTGGAGTACAAAGATTACCGTGATAATAAGTGGAGAACCTGGGATTTGAATCCAGTCATCAATTCCAGAAAGGGATGCTTAACCGCAACAAAAGTGCCTCAGTCTCTCAACTCATCTGCCTTTTGCCAGTGAGATTTAACAACCCATCCACTTATTTGTAGTGGAATTTCACATACATTACAAAGTCTTGAACTATCAAAAGAACCTTTCTTAAGGACAAACATTTTTTAATGATATAGTCTCTCTGCGCACAAAGATGGAAACCAAAAATATTACAAGTACCCCCAACTAATTCTGATGCAGGTGGTCTGAGTACAAGGCTTTGAGAGACATGGTTGTTTTTTAGTTTTTATTTATTTTTTTTTTTTTGAGATGGAGTTTCACTCTTGTTGCTCAGTGTGCAATGGCAACATCTCGGCTCACCGCAACCTCTGACTCCCGGGTTCAAGTGATTCTCCTGCCTCAGCCTCCTGAGTAGCTGGGATTACAGGCATGTGCCACCATGCCCGGATAATTTTGTATTTTTAGTAGAGATGGGGTTTCTCCATGTTGGTCAGGATGGTCTCCAACTCCCAACCTCAGGTGATCCACCTGCCTCTGCCTCCCAAAGTGCTGGGATTACAGGCATGAGCCACCATGCCCGGCCGACATGGTCATTTTTAATGTCTTCATTCATTCACTTGACTCATCAAAAGAAGTAGAACTGCTCTTATCAATCTGAGATATAAGCTAGAGAATTAATGTTAAATCTTAAAATAGTAAAATAAAATAATAAATAGTACTGTACCTAAAGGTGGGCAAAGGGAAAAACAGGTAAATAATACTATATTCTTTCACATTAGAAGCTAAAGGACAGTGTCATTTTCCAGTGACCAAACTGAAAAATTTTCTGCCGGGTTCTTACCATATCATGAATAAAATGCTAAGAAAATATTCAATTCTACAACAACTTAGGCCTTTCTAAAATGTGGGAGGCAACTTTAGATTCCCTGCCTTCTGTGAATTTCAGAAACAGAAAAGACACTGGAGACCATTTAGTAGTACATGAATCCCTTCATTTATAAGAAGAAAACTGAGTGTCAAGGAGGGAAACTGAGTTATTCAAGGTCATCTAGAAAATAAGGAGTAAAATCAAGAAGAAAGCTCACATCAGGAAGGAAGGTCTAATTCAATATTCGTTTAATTCTCTTTGCACCAATAAAGATTCACTCAGAAGAGTGACGCATTCTTGATGCTCTGTAAAGTATGCTCATTCTTGGCAAAAATTTTGGGAGCCCTAATCTACATTTATGCAGCATTCTGAGATCCCAAGATGGAAGTTGCTATAAAGTGAAAATCATTGCTGTTATTCTCGGCGAGGCGACACACACTGACAACAGCTGGCATGAACAGATGTGGCCCACAGAGAATTCTGTCGGGCTGCGCTGGTGCCATCCCTTTGCAAGTTTCCTTTTCCTCGACAAACAAAGAGTGTTTCTCCTCAGTCTATGCAGCCCTATGGTCTTCTTGTTGATAGGGCTGAGTTCAAAGCCCTCATCAAGCTGGCCTCTATCTTGCCTCCCCCCTTTCATCTCAACAACTATTTCTCAAATAACATGCCTTTCAGAGAGAAACATCTCTGTTAAACGGTGAAAGTTTTCTTGACTTAGGGCCTTATGCAAAGCCTGGTGGTTGCAATAGTAATATTTATAGAATCACTATGCACTATGTCCTCCCACTTCTCAAATAATACAATGAAATAAGTACTCTGGCTGCCCCACTGTACAGATTAGGAAATTGAGACATCATGAAGTTAAATTACCTGCCCAAGTTCTCAGAGCTGATATGAGAAGGAGCTAGGATTTGTACCCGACCATTCTGGTTCTAGAAATTGCTTCCCAAGTTCTAATCACTAAACATTAAGACCAAAAAGAACAGGATTCAAGGTGACACTCTAATGAGAATAAAATGAGTTTCATGTAATTATGTGCCATAAACACACAAGGTGTTATTTTCATGATACCACCATGAGTATCATCAAAAACTCTAAATGCTTCTGCATCTCCATCATTCTAAATATCCTGGGTAATAGGCAGAAAACAAGTTATAACTGGCTTTATTCTTTTTTCTAATCAAATCATCTAATGTAGTGACTGACCCAGGTCATTCAGGACTCAATTCTGCTGACAATGCTGAACGTATGAACTCAGCCTCCAGTGCTTCTTGCATAGAAAGTCATTCGGAGAAGAACAAGTACATGTGAAGGATCACATTGTTTCTCTTGCAAGATGCAACCTAGCAAGCTTCTAACACAAAAACTACATATACCTGAAGAGATGATTGCAAATAATACATTTATTCAAAGGGCACTTGCTGAGTGCCTAGTAAGTGCCATGCTAAAGATATTGAGAAGTAGGTCTTGCCCTCTAGAAGATATAGTAGAAAATATTAGACACACAAAAATGTCCATCAATCCGAAGTAAAATGTTTTAATGATGTGCTATCAGAGCACAGAGAAAGGGGAGATGGTTGTAGCTCAGGAGATGAAGGGACATTCTCAAGAAAAGGTGGCATTTGAATTAGGTCTTGGACAAAGATGGGATTTGCATATCCAGAGATCTAGCAAGAACAAGATTCCAGGTGAAATCTCGAAAAAGTACATCAAGTGAGTCAAGTCAACAAGTTAGCATGTTTCCTTTCAAGTAAATGCAAATGTAAATGACCTCCAACCTTTATGTCCCTCTTTGTTCTTTTTTGTTTGTTTCATTGTCTGTGCTGTGCATGAAGATGTCAGTGATGTCTCGAAGGTGAGGGAATTCTTTGCTGGTAAAGTCAACCCATATATGAGGCTGCATGACAGCAGCTGTCTGCAGATTACCCAGGACCCTGGCATAGCAGGCTCTATAGAGGCTGAAGAAAATGAGGATCAACGTGGCTGTGGTGATTTTTTGATGCTAACAACTCAATGCTCAGAGGAAGGCCAGGGTGGAGAAATACAGGTATCCTGGGGTTTCTCTGCAAGGGCTATGCTGACACTCTAGGGGCAAGCATCATGAAGGAAGCCAAGATTTTTTTGCAGGTTCCATAAAGTTATGAAAAGTGGTTTTTTTTTTATGTGCTGTCTTTACATAAAAGCTTAGCTGTGAGTTTCCAGGAATACTTCCCATCCACTCCTTAAGTACTTACGTTTCAGTGGATATGAGGCACTATCACACAAAGCCAGCATAAAAGCCAGACTGAAAGAACTTAATGTGCTCTACTGTCTCTGTAGCTTGGACCACAATGTTAGATGGTAACTAGGAGTCAACAGTGTCCTTTTCCAACAAGAAAAGTATAGAGAAAATAAGAATAGAGCAGCCTGGCTGCTAGAGTTCTATGTTCCTCTCTATCATAAACTTTCTGGGTGCTATTTAGGAAATCATTTCACCTCTCTGGGTCCGGTTTCCTCAAGTGGGCGCAATCATCTTCAATCTTCTAATGCACATGTTTCTTGCAACAAATAAACCAAACAGGAGAAGTAGGACTACTCAAGTAATTTGTGAATGGCAATATGAATAAAGGGACACACAAACCATCATCATGTACATCGTCACCATCCACCTTTTTATTATTACAGCTAACCTTTGGGCCAGGCCTTACTCCAAATGCTTCAGATGTATTTCATCCACCCTGCATCTTGATTAGGTGGTTACTTTTATTGCCCTCATTCAGTGCTAAGGAAATTAAAGCACAGATTTCTAAGTAGAGCACTCAAGGCACTGAAGCCTGGATTCCAGTATGACTCTATAGTCCATGGCCTTCACCAGTCAGCTACATGTAGTATTACAAGAGTGGCATTATCAGTACCTATTTGTTATCCCTTCTCTACTTTCGAACTTTTAGCTATGTCATTATATTGCACTCATAACTAAAAATGAATAAAGTTTAACCCAAATTGTATTTACTGAGCAGGCACAAGGTGGCAGATACTGCATTAGTCAGCACTTTGATGATAAAGGTAAGGATAAACTTAGAAATGCAAAATAGTCATGACACAGTAGCTTAAACTGACAGGCAGGAGTAGCTAATACTGTTTCTCTCTAGGGAAAAATATGGATAGAAGTATCTTAAAGGAAGAAAGAAAGGGTCTCAGATGAAGATAAAAACAGTCATGAGAGATAACCCATAATTACCTACTTAAAATGTATAGGGATTATACTAGATGAATGTTCTAAAAACTACACATAATATTGTTAGCATCCTTCTACAAATAGAGGCCCATGAAAATTAAGGAGTTCCCTAAAATCTAACAGGTAGTACAGGTAGGGCAAGACTCAAGTCTGAGTCTGTCTGGGTCTAGCAACTGTGTTCTTAACTACCAAACTACCCCTAAAAGAAGAAGAAGAATGTGGAAAGAGAGAACACTTTGACTATTCTCTCCTTCTACCAGGGTCTGACTACAGGGATTTTGGTAAGTATTTATAGAACCCATCTACATTTTACACAGCTATTTATCATCCTTTAAAATGTGTTATTGCTTGTGCTCAAAGGGAACACGAAAATTAGGGCACCGTATCCATTCCAACTTGTAGATTAAAGGAACACAGAATGTTTTTTGAAACATTAGAAAAATTAGATGTAAAACCACAAATAAAGAAAAAAACTTATCTTTCAGGGAGCAGACCCCTTGAAACAACATATTTTTTGCTTCAACAAATACTTTCTGCTAGCATTACTGTGGCATACTAAGAAGTTTATCGATTTAGAGTTATCAAGCTCTAACCTCCAAAGGAAAAGCCTAACCCCGAGCAAACAGCAATACTGACATGTCACATAGCGTAATGAACACTGGACTCGGGAGCCAGAGGACTAGGATTTATGCCCCAAGCCTGCTGCATACTAGTCACATGACCTAGCTATGTCACATAATCTCTCTGCATCTCGCCTGCTTATTCTAGACTAGGTCAATTCCATTTGCACTTTATAAGGTAGGTATGAAGATGATGACCTTTGGGAGCATTATGCACATCTTTCAGAGTTTGTCACATGTAAATATTGGCAATATCTTGGGTTACCTTGTGATAAAGTCAGGGAAACAGATGCAGTGATTTCACAGGTCAGAGAAGGATATTCAACTTAAAAATCCCATTCTGGATTTTCTAAGGTCACTTATTGAGCCAAAAAAAAAAAATGAGCTCAGAATTCCTGATATACCATCATGTGTCAATGGGACAAAAATTACTAATATTTATCTCACTAGTTTCTGATACAACAGGAAACCTCTAACAAACAGGTAGCATAATAAGCTATATGGATTTGGGCAAGTCACTTCACTTCTGTGGGTCTCAACTATACCCATTCCTCCGCTCACTTGTGATTCAACAAATATAGTAAAGGGTACTAATTCTTACCATATGGACCTCAGAGAGACTATTAGGAACTGTGAAGTGAGATAATGAACTGTGAAAATTCTCCGAAAACAATGAAATGTCAAACAAACCTGGAGGACATTATGTTGAGTGAAATAAGCCAGGCACAGAAAGATAAATATTGCATGATCTCACTCAAGTGTGGAATCTAAAAAAGTTGATCTCATGGAAGTAGAGAGTAGAATAGTGGTTAACACCTCCTCTAAGCCACTGTGAGAAGGACTCCATCACTTGCAAATACAATTGATTACACAAAGCACAAGCAAGTCAACTTTTCCTGCCAAGAAGATTTGTTGCCCTTGGTGAAATAATAGCATTCTGGCCAGAAAGGAAATTTCATCATTTTCCTATGACTTCGATTCTGACTTTTGCAATATGCATGCCTGGGCTTCAGAGTCCAGAACCCAATTCTGGCCCTGTTAGTTTACAGCCTAGAGCCAGTGATTTGATCACTGACTGAGCTGAGGATAGATTTGCTAACTACCATAGCTGGGTGCCAGGCCGACCCCAGGCTCAAATCCTCCCAACACTGAGGCTGCATAGACAGGCTCTCCAGCCAAGCAGGCAGCAGAAGTGTCCTGAATGTTTACCATGTACCAGGCACAGAGATAGAGGAGGAAATAGCATACACAGAGCTCCTGCTGTGTCAATCACATCTCATTCTTTTCTCGTTTAATCTTTCCCTGATGAGGTAGGCAGTATTAGCTCTGATTTTCAGAGCAGTTAACAGATGTGAACAAAGTTAAAATAATAGAGGCGGGATTGTAATCTAGGATTAACACTGAAATTTAAGCTCTTTTTCAGATGAACGAAAGTGCCTGCCCTCCAGGAGCTCACAATCTAGTGGGAAAGTCAGAAAGGTAACTCAATAGACTGTGAGCTCCTTGAGGGCAAGGACCATTTTAAATTTTTTCTTGTATCTTCAGCATCAAGCATGTTGTCTACCATGCAAAAGGCACTTAATAAGTGCTTGCTGAATAGACAAGCCATATTTAGATGTTGCCCTTCATAAAATACAAACCTAATTATATTACTCATCTGACTTCACAAACCTCTTCTAGCTCCTCTTTGTCAAACTCCTGAGTACTACTTAGAAAGTCCTTGAAGGGCCTGCCTTCATAGTCTCATCTTCTGTGATTCCCTTCCACATCCTCTGTGTACCACACTTCCATCTTCCAACTATCTTGGCATATAGGTGGTGTTCAACAAATGTTCATTGAATGGGCAAACAAAGCCAAGAAGGGATATATCTGCATAACATCAGAGGCATCAATATAATGCCTTATGAACACCAAGGGTAGATTTATCCAACTGAAGGCATCAGGAAGGTTTCACAGAAGACAGGACAATTGATTTGAGTCATTAACTCTAAAATCTCAAAGGCTAGATGACATTGCATAGGGAAAATTCAATCCTCTTTTGCTATTAATTAGGCAAATGACATCATAACAAAACATTTTTCTTTAAACCAGAATATGAGCTGTGCCAAATTCCGTCATCTAAAGGATATGGGTTTAGGCCAAAAGCCCATCATATAGATTATTGTTTTTCTTCTCCCAAGTACTTTGGAAAAACTAAGTCTCATTTGGCATGCAGTGCCTCTCAGCAAGGTCATGGTTCTTCTGCCGTGGTGCCTGGGGCAGTTAAGGTAAGAATTGTGTTTCAAAAAAATACCTCAGACACTGTTAAGAATAAGATAACGTGGTGAAACCCCGTCTCTACTAAAAATACAAAAAAATTAGCCAGGCATGGTGATGGGCGCCTGTAGTCCCAGCTACTCGGGAGGCTGAGGCAGGAGAATGGCATGAACCCGGGAGGTGGAGGTTGCAGTGAGCCGAGATCGTGCCACTGCACCCCAGCCTGGGCGACAGAGCGAGACTTCATCTCAAAAAAAAAAAAAAAAAGAGTATAAGACAGCTGGTTAGACAGGATGACATGGGAATATTCAGAGCTTTGGTCAAGAAATCAGACCAATGAGTCAGTAAGAAAGGGTCATTGAATTACTCCATTTTCACACTGCTATAAAAAACTTCCCTGAGAATGGGTAATTTCTAAAGAGGTTTAACTGACTCACAGTTCCGCATGGCAGAGGAGGCCTCAGGAAACTTAAAATCATGGCAGAAGGGGAAGCAGGCACCTTCTTCACAAGGTGGCAGCAGAGGGAGAAGCGAGCAAGAGCAAGGAAAACTGCCTTAAAAATCTCAGATCTCATAAGAACTCCCTCACTATGAAGAGAACAGCATGGGGGAAGGGCCCCCACGATCCAATCACCTCCCTCCCTTGACATGTGGGGATCACAATTCAAGATGAGGTTTGGGTAGGGACAAAGCCAAACCATATCAGCTAGTAAGAAAGTGGGGGACACTCCCAAATTAGCACTTTCATCCTTGATCCCAGCATTAGAACAGACTATGGTATACCAGGGTGGGGGAGAGAGGAAATCTGCCTCCATCTAGATCACAGGCATCACTGGGTTTGCTCATCTGCAAAATAAAGCAGCTGAAACCGAACTAGATGATCTCCATTACCTGGAAATTGGAAATGAGGGAGCATGGAGAAAAGAGATAAGCTATAACCAGATATATTCATTTAAAGACTCATACACAAGCACAGCAAAGCTGTTGATATTGTGTCCTTTCAGACAGCCTGACATTGAAGCCCTCAGTCAGCACAAATATTTCACTTGAGCACACACATACCAGGTGCCTTAGCTTTTCTCTCAAGTTGAAGTCTTAAAGCCCCTGCCTAATATCTGTTTGAAGATTAGAAGTAGCTTTCACATCCTTGATATCAAGGTCTTCACTCCTTGTTTTTTGTGCTGCTTTTAAATAGCACACTGAGATAACAAATGCAGGAGAAGCAAGGCTTCAACTAGATGCACACTTGTTGAGTGCTTGTTTTATGTTGATTCTTCCCATACTCACCATCAGAGCTTTCCCATGGCCTCCCTCGGCTTCCCATCTTCTATCTAAATCATAGATTCTTAGTCTTGGCTGCCCATCAGAATCACTTGGGAAGCTTAAAGCATAACAGTGACTCTACCCACAAGAACAATTAATTCAGTATCTCTAGGGGTGAGGCCTAGGAAGAATATGGTTAGAATATGCCACAGATAATTCTGATGGGCAACGTAAGATAAGAACTGCAAGTTAAACATAGGAAGTCACGCCCTGTGTTAACTTCTCTTTTTCACTCTCTGGAGTATCACTGGGGTATGGTCTATCCACCCAGTATCTATGCCCATTAAATTTCTCCCCAGAAACAGCTAATAGGGTAAGAGTTGCAAGAGAAGCTGTGGGGACTAACTGAAGTGGGTTACCTTAGTTTAAAGGAGTATAGATCTTGCTGTGCCCTCTCTTTATTGCCATTGCCTTTGGTAAAGGCCTGTGGCTACATAAAACAGAATCAGCCACTGGAAGTGCCATGCACTTTGGTAGAATTCATTCTCAATATTTAATAATATTATTAATAATATCAATGGCTACATTTATTGAGTAATATATTTTGTACAGAGCTCTGGGCTGAGTATTTCATATGAATTATTAATATTTAAAAATCTGAAAATGTTCATAGGAAAGGTATTTATCCCATTATACAGAGGAGGAAATCTGGGATTAGAGAGGTGAGCAATGCATGACACCACTCTAGCTTTAAGACTGTCAAACTTCAAAGCCTGCCCTCATACACATTAGGCCAGGGAAGCGCCTTGACTACATCATTACATCATCACATCATCATGATGGAGGAAGAATGAGGATCTCAAAGAGTGGACATTCCCTTATAGGAAGGGGATAAATAATAAATAAGTCATAAATGGGTAATTTTTTTTTTAAGAAAAGTAGTAGAGAAGCTTGTTCAAGGGAGCTAGGGAAGAATGTATACAACTCAGTATTCGTGGTAATGGGACACCACGTTAAGGCAAATGGATTGAATTTGGGAAGTTTCCTTCTTTGATTGAGAGGTGAATAATTCCCAAGGAAATGGTCCAGCTTGCTTAGCTGGGTTTATCCATTTGAGGGTGTTCCCTCAGGACTGCAAGTTTAGCAGTTAGCTTTCTGACCTCACATCAAGGGCTGCTGTGGATGGAAGGCATTCTTGCCATGCGGGTCCCGGACCCGTAATTGCCTAGTGGCCCCATTAAACAAATTAGATAAGGTATACAGACTCTTTGGCATGGGGCTCAAGGTCCCTCAGATTTTGGCACTAAATTTGTTTTCAATCTTATCTTCTACTTACGTGTACACCCTATTCCAGACCAGTTCATTTGCTCTTCTCTCAATTCAACCACAGAGACCATTTTCCACACCGAGGCTGTGGACCACACTATGCTCACGGCTGTGAACACCAACAGCCAGCCATTCTCTGTAGGGTCAAACATTCTCTGTAGGGTCAATTCTGCTAGTCTTCAGATCCTAGTCAGATATCTTGTTCATTAATTCACTGGGCCCCAAACAATGTCCTCCTTCTCTCACTCCCTCAGAGCACAGTGTCGTCATAGAGAGAACATACTTCAGAGCCCACTGTCTTGCACCACTACAATTGATAGTATGACCTTGGGCAGGTTCCTTACTTTCTCTGTGCCTCAGCTTCCTCAATGCAAAATGGAAATAATCACAGTACCCACATTTCAAAGGGTTGTTTTAACAATGACATGGGTTAAGAAAACACATGGAACAGTGCTTGACATATAAGTATTTGGTAAATGAATAAATACCTAACTCTTCTGAGGCACCAATTACTGACTAGCCAGTAGTGTAGTTATATGCTTTTAGCACATATTCAGGGATCTTAAAATATTTGTTTCATTAATTCTGCCAATTGAATACCAACAAAAGAGTCTTTGGCTAAGTTTGAGCACCATCATCATCCTATACCATGCATGAGAGATGACACAGTAACACAGGGAGAGAACTAGTAAAAAGAAAATTTTGTTTTTTTTTTTTTCAGTGTTGTATAATTTTGGTCTCAGATTGACAAGCCTCAGGGAATAAAATATGTATTTACATAAAAATTTCTGGTAATGGCATATTGAAAAGTAATTAAATGAAACAACAGATTCTATTTGCTGACGGCTCCATTTCTAACACTAACAGCGTATGGGACAAAGTTTTGACATAAGACCTGGACAGCCCCTCTCCCAAGTGGTTTTTAGCTATAAGCTATCAGTGAAGGACCTGACTCACCTATGAGTTTTCAAGTACAGAAAGACCTTTGGAACATGGAAGAACTTAATAGGCATTAGGTCACTGGCATAACTCCATGGATAAGGTGAACATAGGTGTTTCATAATGTAAAAAGGTGTACTTTCTTCTTTTTCTCTGCCAGTTTTTTATCCCCAAAAATGTTCAAGAGAGAATTTAGCAACTGAGAACCTGGAGAAAATTTTAGAAATTTTGTAGCTTAATGGTTCTCAGCCTGTTGTACATGGAACTTGATGTGTCCGTGATAAAACTGTCTAATGGAACTTGAGAGGCTGATTTCAAATTTTTAAAAGTCTAAAAATATGCAAACATTTAACCGAGATTAGACTGTTTATTGACTGAATATCAACTCAGTGCAGTAAGAATGGTTATGTCATTTCTGATCAGCCAATGCGTATGTGTCTTGCAGTTTGACTGCAGAATCTTCAGCACAAAGAGTTCGAATATGAAAAATAACACAAAGTTCTCTTGTTCATGTAAAGATATAGCCTGAGATTAAAATGACAACACTCCGGTTTCCCGACTTCAAGTCTAGTGTTTCCTCAACTATACCATAGCTTATTGGAGGGTCTTTGAAGGGATATTTTTGTGCCTACGTGTAAATTGTATGCATAATGTGTTTGAATCCATAGAATAAGGTTTCTTGACCCTCCCACTGTACACTTACAATGGCTTTGTTACAGTAGGCCATAAATCTGTAGACAATTAGAAACATACAAACACAAATGTATATCATGCTCCCCACCCCGCAACACAACTCTGATTTCCTGACGACACATTTTCATAAACTTATTTTTTAACAAATTACAAGGGGTCTTCCTTCATTTGGGGCCCTGTGCCTTTTTGTTAATTTAGGAAATAATCAGGGTATACAGTCAAATAAATACCCAAGTGAACAAGGCAAATGGACACAGCAACTCCTACAGACTATTTCCCTAAGAAACCAGGCAAAAGGCAGGCTTTTGACTAAATATAGAACTAGCAGTCAAAATGTGCAAATAGAAACTTCCAGTTGTGGACTGGTGGGAAACCCCAATAGGCCATCTCAGCAAACCATGTACAGGAGGTGAAATCAGTACTTCCTTAAAAGATAATTCCAGTAAAAGGAGCACATAGGGTTCTCCAATGTGTCTCCTAAGTCATTTATGAGAAAGAAAAGGGGAAAAAATGAGTCCTGCTACCACTGAGACGCCCAGGTCCATGGCCCACAGTCTGACTCACGGTCAGAGAACTAAACTTGAGAATGTGTATAGACATCCCTTTACCTCATTATGCTTGGTCTAAGTGAATTTAAAAATAGGCCTTGGAGAGTTCCTGGACTACTCACAGCCATTGCCACAGAGTCGGTAACATAACATGTGACTTAAGATCACCTTTGTACAGTTTTGCACTGACTCATTCCTACCCAAATGGACTTTAGATGAAAAACTAATGCTAGCTTTCCCTCATGCTTTAATTTAGGATCCTATGCTACTGTATACCTTATTCTTCTTTGTGGTCATCCTGTTTTAAAATATAGGAAAAAAGAGAGGTGCTTGAGAACAGAAAGTGATGGCTGCCCCACCTCTATTTTGCTGCCAAGTATGATATACACATCCCTAGTTTCCTGTGTGCATTAGGGCCTGAAGAGTTGCCCTTCTCTGTCTCATGCATATGTGCCAAATCTGTCTCCAGTGACAGAGAGAAACTGCATGTGGTGCCTGGCTTCCGTTTCAGTAAAAAATATATTTATTTGGATTTCAAGATGATTATTGACATCCTTGGACATTCAGTACAACTTAGTAATTTGCATGGGTGTTTACTCCGCTTGCCAACATGAGCTACAATTAGGGTGAATATCAACTTTTTACAAAAACAGACTGGCCTAGTTCTACTCCTGAAATGCCTGCTCTCCAGCTTCCCTCAAACCCCATTCACTTGCCAAGGTAACCATAACAAATGCTGGTGCCTGTTGCTTGGCCTTAGCCTGACCAAGACACAGCCCTGATAGGCACCTGGGATAGTCAGGGCAGGGACAGCCTACAAAACGAATTCAGACTGGAAAAGTACAAGGTGAGAGCTGCACGGTGTAGATGTGTGTGCACTGACACATATGCTAATAAACGCAAGAGATGGAAAAGAAAGGCTCTTCCTCCTAAAAATCACACAATCTGTGTTACCATTGGATTGAAAAGTCAGTAATTTCTTGCATATGCATCATGAATTTAAAATTGGAAACAATTTTTCTTTGTGTGACATTTCTTGCTTTGCTATTAATATAGCAAATTCCCAGAAGACAAAAAGGAGAGAATAAGGAAATAGAAAAACCTGAATTCAAATCTTGCCATGGCCAAAAACTAGCTATGCAAACCTGAGCAGGTCTCAAGGCCTCAGTTTTGCCATCTGCAAAAAAACGAGGATACAGTATGAATACGGTATTCACTTCACGGGATTATGGTGAAGATCAAATAAGACAATATTGTCATTCATTCTTCTAACAAACATGAATTAGGTTCTTCCTCCTTGAAAGGTGCTGTTCAAGGTGCTGGGGATACAGCAGTGAACACAACAAACTCCCTGTACTCATAGAATTTGGATTTGTCAGTGTTGGGGCTGCTGTATGTGTGAGAGACAAACAATATGCACACACATTAAAAACATACATACTACACATCATGCAAACAATATCAGGATAGTGGTGAAAATAGATGTGAAAGAATTTTGTATATAGAAAAATGGCGTAAAAGTCAAAGTATTATTTAACATTATTACACAAGGGTCCCAGACATAAACTTTCTGCAATTACACGATTTCCTTCCTCCCTCCTTTTCCTTCTCCTTCCTTTTTTCCTCCCATAAGTATTAGTTAAGAGCATACTTTGAGAAGTGCATCATGGTGTAGTTTCTTAAGGGAATCTGATAAATTAGAAGCATATCCTGTCCGCAGGAAGCATACAGATGGCATAGAGTTAAGGCATTACAAATCTTTACCCTAGGTACAATGTGACAAAAGCTGCTTATCTTAGAGAAGGTAGATCAAATGCTATGAACATTTTGGAGGGAAAGGCTCTTCCTGAACCTTCTGGAGGTAACTCAAAGGGGACTGGAGATGTTGAGCCACTGTCCCAGGCAGAGTGAGCAAAGAACTGTGCATCCTAACAAAGACTTCTGGTACTCGGTAGCTCCTAGTGTACAAAAGGGAAATGCGGCCGGGTGCGGTGGCTCACGCCTGTAATCCCAACACTCTGGGAGGCCAAGGTGGGTGGATCACGAGGTCAAGAGATCGAGACCATCCTGGCCAACATGGTGAAACCCCATCCCTACTAAAAATACAAAAGTAGCTGGGCATGGTGGTGTGCACCTGTAGTCCCAGCTACTCGAGAGGCTGAGGCAGGAGAATCACTTGAACCCAGGAGGCGGTGATTGCAGTAAGCAGAGATCATGCCACTGCACTCCAGCCTGGTGACAGGGCGAGACTCTGTCTCACAAAAAAAAAAAAAAAAAAAGGAAATGCACCTGGGAAGATAGAGCTGGGGGTCTGTCAGCTGGAGCTGCATTCTCACTTATGCTCCCAGCTCCGTTTACTCTGTACCAGAAAGTCTTCATGAATGCAAGGATACTCAGTGCTCCAGCGCTGAGTATGAAAGATAAAACTTGCGTTTCATAATGAGACTTTCCCAGATTTCAAAGTTTGAGGTGACATTTACAGAAGCTCCTTTTTGCTAACAACAGCACAATGATCCTTTCAAAGATAATTTCTAAGTAAATGATAAGTAAAGTCATCTTCCTCTGTTGGGTGTGCAGCTCCAGTTACTTACTTCCTAAAGATAGGCTTTTAAGAAAGCTGAGACCTTTCCTGTAAACTTAATAAAATTATTATTTTCTCTTTTTGCTGTCTGAATGCATCACTGTTATTTTCTGCTACTGATTTGAGGGTAAGGTGGGGTAGTAAAAAAATGTTCTCCCACTATTGCAGGCATCTGAAATATGAAGTTAGAGAAGTAAGTTATGCTTTTTGGCTTTATTTCAAATACCCTTCTTATTATGAAGAGTGTGAACTGGAAATAAAGATGTCTTCTTTCATATGAAAGATTGTGAGCATTCTTGCTTGATAGTCCAAATAAATGGATGAAAGCTGCCAACAGTATGTGGCTTCAAATCAGCTTGTTCTTAAAGTCACAGAGAACTGAGACAATCTGAAGCGATCCAATTTAGAAACACTCCTCTAATTGTTACAATTTCAGAACAAAATCCCAGCAGAGGGTAAGTAAGAGCATATGAAGTCATAGTCCATATTTCCAGTTTTCATGAAGGTTGGAAAGGAAAGAAAAAGATGAAGAAAGAGAACGGAGAAGAAAAGAAGGGGGAGTAGCAGCTCTGGGTTTATAAAATAGCAATTTTTCAAAATAAAACAACATTTTTTCCTCTGATGAGTGCTCCTTTGGGCCACTAGTGAATGTTTGTTGACTCCTATTCACCAATGATTCTAATGACAATTTTGCTGTTTCTTCCTCATACCAGAGGAGATTAAAACCAATGAACTTTAGAAGGTAGTGGGAAAGACTGTGAAAGGCAGCACAGTGACAGCAGAGATGGCCGCTGACAGCCTGGGGGGATAGGAGGAAAAAATTACTGAGTTTCAGCAGAGCATAACAATAGATGGTCATGGTGATGACCCTGAGTCATCAAAAGGTTTCAAATGCTTAGAATAGCCCCATAAGAAAAAAGAAAAATATGCCATGCATTTTAATAAGGTTTTTATCCAAAATCTTAAAAATTGTTTATTATTAATTTTGTCTCTGATGGAGGAAAAGTCAGATGTAAAGTACAAAGTGACTAACCAGAGCATCCATGTAATGTATTCCTGAGCACAGGCAAATTTACCAGTTCCTCATAGTGGTCAAATATTTTCAACAGCAACTAAACATGCGCGCGCGCACACACACACACACACACACACACACACACACACACACACACAGAGTATTCAAAGTTTTGGCAAACTAAGACAGGACGACGAGAAAGACTAAAATGCTCATTTGCTTGGCTATGTTGTCCACAGGAGTGGCAAAAGGAATACCATAATTTTAATAATAAGTGAAAGGACAGAGTCATAAATTGAGTGGCTCCTATTATATTCTTGACAGTAAAACAAAAACAAATAAAAAAAAAACAAGTGAACTTTTCCATGAATGTTCACAATTTTCAACCACACCTGTGCTATTATCTGCATCTGTTCTAATCACTTCATGAGGAAGGCTTTCCAGTGATGTCCATTTTACAATTGTGGAATCCAAGGTGCCTATGCAGTTAGTAGTTGGTCCACAGTCACATGGCTTGTTGGGTGACTGGAGACCAGATCCACTGAGTTCCAATCCAAGTCCACATTCCTTCCTCTGCCCAGCACTGCTTCTTCCTTAGGCAGGGACTCCTCTCCCAATACCTCTGAAGATACCCCAGAGCACATGTTAACATTTCTATTATGGGTTGCCTATTAAATGCCAGCATCTTCCCATGTGTTCTCATTCAATCCACTCAACCAGTCTATAAAGCAGAGATTATTAACTGCCATTCTTCAAGTGAGGAGACAGTTCTTGGAAAGCTCAGGTTACCTACCTACATCTGCAGACTTATAATCTAACTTTACTCATTTGAGTCTGGCTTTCGTTTTGTGCATCTTTTCTATCTTCCCACAAGACTAGGATTTAACCTATTTAAATCTTATTTTTCCCTATAAGGGCAAGATCTAGGTCTTATTCATCTACATATCCCTCATCACATCCAACACAGCGAATGGGCCATTGAGGGTGCCCAAAAAATGTTCACAGCTGAATACATGTATGAATGTATGTATTACTTATGTATGTATGTAAGTATGCTGTATTCATTTAATGGAAAAAATATAAAGTTTGGAATCAGAAAGACTAGGATTTACTCTCCTTCCTGCCATTTGAGAACTGCGTGTCTTTAGGCAATTCCTAAAAACCTTCACAGATTTTCTGCTCACTAGAGTAAGGCAGAAATATACAACATATGCTGGTATCAGGAAATAGTCAATATTTGCCTGGCTAGGTTACAGTAGAATTGATTGCTCCATATTCTTTCTGGTGACCCATTCAGAAGTGTTTTAGGAATAGTTTAACAAAATGCTTAACCTATAGAAATAAATCTGAGCTGTATAAAGCTACATTAAATGTAATGTCCCGCAACAGAAGAAGACTTTGGTTTGTTATGCTAACATTTCAGCATCCTCATCTGCTCATTCATTCAGAATTGAGGAAAGCGTGTTGTAAGAGAGCAGCATGACGGAAACTGAGTCTTCAAAGAGGGGCTTTGCTGGCATTGGAACAGAAACTATAAAGCAATGTGTTAAGAGTTATAAGGAAAGTATGAATTGCTGCTTCTGGGAAATTTCCAAGATAGGTACTCATCTTCCAGTTGGCTGGGTGAATAAAGAAAAGCTACAGAATGTAGTTGAAGATTTGGCCGTTTCCACATAAGTCAGAAGCAAGACCACCCTGGGACCATGTTTGGGCTATTCCAGGGCTACAGTTTGATTTCAAGTATCAGCGTCCTCTGTCATTTCCAAATTGTCAAGCTACTGTCTTTGAGTAAACAATCCCAGGCAACCACCCAGACCTAGGGTAGGTGGGAGAAACAGCACTGATGTAAACACCTTAAACACATCCATCATTTAGATGACAATGGACAGTCCGGGCTCCTGTTGTACTTCCATAACATTTGTTAGGCTGAATTGTGATTTGGTAAGATAGATCCTAAATTTCAAAACTCCTCTTAATGTAAATTCAAACTTAATTTCACTGGCATGCAAATGACAGAGCAGCTCATGGAACGCTTCCCTCCCCCTCTCCCATTTCCCAGCAGAAGTTCTGTTATATCATCTCTAGGACAGCCACAGGAAGATTTAATAACAGCTTTTAAAGAAGCCCATTTCATGTAATTCAACTTGATTCAACAAGTATTTCTCTATCAGTTTCAATCTTATTCAACTTCCATATACAGTAGAGTAAGAGGGCATCTCTCCTGAAGAGATACCAGAAACTGAGGAGCAGATTTATGAATTTCACAAAGCCACAGATAAATCAAATATTAAATAAAAGACCCTTAATGATTTTGAGGATGGGGATAACAAGTCACATTCACTTAGTAACTATTATGTAGAAAACGAAAGGTGAAGAAAATGTTAGATTCTAAAAGTAACATAATTGTATTAGCTATCTATAAAACAATAAAGACTTGGCAGAGTAAAACAACATACATTTATTATCCCACAGTTTCTGTGGGTCACAAGTGCAGGTATGGTTTAGATGGGTCCTCTGCCTCAGGGTCTCATTGTCTACAAGCAAAGTTAGGCTGGGGTGGCAGTCTCAACTGAGGATTGACTGGGGAAGGATCTGCTTTCAAGTTTGCATGATTGTCGTCAACAGTCGGTTCCTTGCAGGCTGCTAAACTGATGGCTTCAGTTTCTTGTCAGCTACTAGGTGCCCTCACTCTTTACCACATGGACCTCTCCAGGTGGCAGCTGACAACATGGCAGCCTGTTTCTTTAAAGCCTACAAGGGTGAAAGTCCCCTCATAGAACAAATGTTACAGTCTTATATAACACAATCACACACAAGTCATCAAAGACTACATGTGACCTTTGCTGTTTCTATTGGCTAGAAATCATAGGTCCCTCCCACACTCATTGGGAGGCAATTACACAAAGGCATGAATACCACCACGTGGGAATAATTGAGGGCACCTTAGAGTCTGTCTAATGTCATTTTGTTCCCTCTGTATAAGGATCTATAAGGCCACATTGGTCTTTAATGCAGGAGAGGGGCCTTCATTTTCTGAACAAGAAAGACCTTTAGATGTTGATGGAGATTTTACCCTTTACCCTGGCACAATTTGTTTAAAACGTAATGCAGAATTTTACCTTTTTCAAGTACAAAGACATATAACAAAGAACGAAGAAAACTGTTGTTTGTTTTAATCTTTTCAAATATAATTTTTGCACAGGGTTAGAAAATACACGTTTTTTGGAGATGCATTAATCCCATTCTGGAGTTCAAATGTGTTCTCAACTTCAGTGCTAATGACCTGTCTTCTACCTATCTAAATTACCTAAGATGTGGCGACACGGAGTAGACTATTGAAAACACTTAATTGACAGCTTGTACCCGCTGGCTGCCCTTTATTTACATCTATGTAGCTTCACCTGAATACAATGTAGCTGTTTCAGTATTTTAGTGTATCTCCCCACTATGTGCAAGGCAGGATTTTGTCTAGATTATTCCATGAATACACAAATCTAATCTTCAAGAATTCGATTCCACCAGAATACGGTGGTGACTGCTACCTATTTTTTTTAAAAACGTTTTCACTTTTCTAATATTTTTCCCTTAAAAATCTTTTTATCTATTACAGACCAAAGCCAATTCTCATTTAGAGACTAGTAATCTTTCATTTCCAGTATAGTAATCTTTCACCCCTAGGATTCTTTCTCTTAAATCAAAAAGAGGATTCCAATCACCAAAACTTAAAACAGAATTCCAATGTAAGAGAGAGGATTGCAGCAGTCGGGGCAGTACAAGAAAACACTAAAAATTAGGAACTCTGAAGACATGATTCCTGGGTGCTTTCTATAACAAAGTCAGGCTTCAACATTTCTGAGGAAAAAGAACATACCTTTTCTGATACATATTAAAATGGTTAATATATGCCTATGTAATGCAAATGAGCAATCAGAGCTCACTAAGAACTTTAGAATTATTAAATGTTGGAGTTGAAATAGAACTTTTTATTCATCCAGTTCAATCCCTGTAATTCCAGAAGGACATTTGGGGCCTGAACGGTTACATGACTTGTCTAAGGCTATAAAGCCACTCGACAGTAGAAATAGAACTAGAACAATGATATACTGGCTTCTAAGCTTAGCACAGATTACTACCAACACCCCTTGATGTGTTGTCCTTCATATACAAACATACATCATCCAGAAGGCATATACTTGAAGCTATTTCTCTAATTTGCTAGGAGCTATTCACAGTCTTAGCCCCACCATTCTTTATTTACTTCTTTGCTTTGTGTGTATGCGTGGTTTGTTTGTTTGGTCTACTTGTTGAGCAGTTAAGGAAGCCAACTAATGAAAAATGAAGATCCAGGCTAGCTGTCCAGATTTTGCCATACCTCAGGGCTTGCCGCAACCCACTTCATTCTGTCTGTGAGAACTTCCCAGTATACCCTAGCCCACACTGGCTTGACACACTGCTTCATCTCTACAAATGACTCTAATCAGTACCACAAGTCTGAACAGCTGTTATGTAATCGTTCAATTCCTCCATCTTTTCATTTACCTTCCAGCAGGGCTGGTCCTCTTCTTTTGTATTATACTCATAACTAAGGCTAATGCTGTGGGAGAAATTTCTTCAAAAAATTTCTGAATTACTCCTATGCCCTCGTAATCACAATTATTCCAAACAGGGCAGGATTAGAATGGCACCTAAAAAGTAATATTGCCAAGGACTTATGCAACACAATAGTAATATTCATTCACACACTTCTAGTTGCTAAAGCAGCATGCATGTCCTGTGATAATAAACTTTGAAGTAATAAATATGTCACAGCCTCGGAAGGTTCCAACACTTGATCTTCTGGATGGTCTTTCTATGAGGTGGAAAAAGCATAGACTTTGAAGTCAGAGATGCCTAGGTTCAAAGTTTAGCTTTGCACACCTACTCTCGTACAAGGTATTTAATATCTCTGGGCTCCAGATTCCACATTGCAAAATGAGATGGTAAACCTTATCTAGCAGGGTTATTATGAAGATTAAATGAGAAAATGTAAAGAAGAAACCCAGCCCAATGTTTGTTGAAAAGTAGGTACTTACATAATCGTTTTCCTTTGTTACCTTTACTAAAATCATGAGATTATGTGAATTCAGCTAGAGCTTCGGTGCAGCAGTGTTAACAAAACCAATTGAGGTTCCCAAATTAAACATTTCCTTATGTAAGTTACATTGTGGTATGCTAAAAGATTTAAAGGCGTGACTCTATACCCAAGGCAGATTGGAGAAGGAAGGAAAGCTAAGACATTCCTGTGATGAGTAAAAAGAGAAGAGAGAAAGAAGAGGAATTAGGCACAAAATGGTAAAAAATTTACTTTTCGTGTTTACAAAAACAAAGTTGGGAAACATAGAGTTGAAGAGCAGGAGAAGGAAAAATTGTCAGGGAAGTCAAAGGTAGGAGCTTTTGAGATATAAAGCTTCCATCTATGTTCTTTTTTAAATTGTTGCAACCCTAGTATCCCAGAGTGTACTGTGTGAAAACTTAACCAAGTATAACTAGTTCAGAATGTGGCCACTCAATAGGCAGAAGGGCTTTTAGGCAAATTCAGCAAAAAGCCAAGGGCTCAGCAGTATATTCCAGAAAGGTATTGTGTTTGTTATGACATGCCCAACAACAGTAAGTGCTTATAATGGGTTTGGAATGTTCTTCCCTACACTACAAAGGAGTAAGATGCAAATGACCCAGGGGGTATATTTCATCAGTCATCTCCTAGAGAGACAGAATCTTATGCAATCTTCTTTGAAAAAAAAAAAAACAAAAAAGAAAAAAATTACAGAGACAGAAAGAAAGGGACTCTACCCTTCCTTAAGAGACTGAGTATTGGTACTGCTCATATTCCAATTTTTCTCTTTTCAGTTACTCCAATAAGTCCCGCCTCTCCTTCCTCCAGTTTGGCTGGACAAGCTAAGTTTTCACATCATGCACTCAAAATGGGGAAGGAGAAACTTGTCCATTTTCTCTATGTCTGGAGGAGCAGGAAGAGCCACAGTATCCAGAATCATAGCTTCAGGGAGAGGAAGAATGGTCACGATCTACTGGCTAAATGAACTCTTAGCTGATACCTGAATCCTGAAAAATGCCCCCTACCCATAATGTTTTAAAAGTCTCAGAGAGACCAAAGCATGAGCCTAATTATGATTGATGTTGGTACTAATTAAAATGGGGAAGTATTGAGAAAGTGCTACATTGATTAATTATAGAGGCTGTACACTGTCAAAGAGTTTTATAAATATTTAATAATTTATCTTAATATTGATGTGGATGAATACCACCTTCATTTTTCTTTGATATGACTCTACAGTGGTTTGTTGTTGTTGTTATTTGTTTCCACATATAGGGCCCTATGTCATTCATGAGATGATGTAAATTGACCAAGCTCACAGGGCCCTCAGAGTTAAAAACAAACAAACAAACAAAAAAACGGTACTTCTCTATTATGAATCTGCCCAGCTCACATTTAACTTCTCGTGACTGGAAATAAGCTTTCTTTTACTTGAACTTCCACAGGTTGTTTAATTTGTACTCCTTCAAAGCATATAACCAGTGATAAGAAAGTTATTTATATGCCTTTTTCTCTACTGGAACAGACAGACCATGTTGCACACACATTAATGGCCCAAATGGGACTTAATATAGCTTGGGGATTCTCAGTACACGAGTGCTGAATGGAAACAGAAAAAAAAAAAACAATAAAAGAAAACAATTTTTTCCTTAGAAATGGAAGTCAAAAACTAAATTATAGATAGTAAAATATAAAGTGATTCGTATATTATATTGACTCAATTCCTCCAGTTCCTCTCCTCCCAGGGTTTAGACCTTTAAAAGAGAAAACATACTATTGTCTTGGCAGCAGCTCCAGGAGCAACTCTAAAAGGTGTTGTCAAAGCAGTGGAGAGAAGGGAACGAGCTTATGGAAAGAACAAGCGATTGGAAAACAGTGAAAGGCACCAATCTTCAAAGGTATAGGAAGAGGAAGGGCACAGACAGCTTATTCTGCTCCTGCCTGCAGGGCAGCCTCTGCCCAGGGTTAAGAAGCAAGCTGGTAGCAGCAAATAGAAACAAAAATGGAGCAGGTAAAATCACCCTCTATCCCCACCACCCCCTCCATCAACGTACACACACTGTAAGTGAAGAAGGGGTAAAGATAAATAGCATTTTTACTCCAGTCCTTTAACCCTCCCTAACTCCATCCAACGACAACAACAAATTAATAAGAAAAAGTTGCATAAACAAAACCAAGCAAAACATGAGCCAACAAGATAATGTACCAAACAGGGTAAGCTCTGGAAAATGAATGGGGGTATGGGTGCACTTTCACTTTCTTTCATGAACTTCTGCACTGGATGATTAAAAAAAAAAAAGAGTCTTATAACAAACATTTGAAGACAAAAAGCTCACCATAAATAGCATTTGGGAAACAAACTGCCTTAGTATCAAGAAAGATTATAAACGTGAGTTTTGTCTTCCAGGAATGCAAATAGCTTCCTCATTTCTACCCCTCCCAGTTCTTGCTTAAATTCTTACGCAGTCAGTTCAGACTTGTTCAGTTTGATACCTCAAGTGTGAGCAAGAAAGCATTCAAAATGCAAACACGAAAATTAATGGAAAATTTTCAAGCGCTTCTATTTAAACAATGATTGCTATATGTCTTTTTGCCCTTCAGTGGCAGCTTTACTAGCAACCAATGAAGAATACTTATTTTCTTTATAATTAGATGCTCCACAAATGCAGTAAATGACACAAAAAGAGCATGTTTAGAGCTCTCATTTCTGGCTGACTAATTAGTCAATATTATATTCAAATGCAACTTCTGGTATTTCACCCATTCCGGGCCTAGAGTCTCCTGCACCTCCACTGAGGGTGGGTGCCTAGTATAGTAATTTGTCTGAAACAGACTCATAGTTTTCAGGAGAGAATGGGTAAACTGCTCTACTGTTACATCTCAAAATGCAAATAAGGAAGAGCAAATAATTAACTAGAAACTTAAAAAAAAATAACATAGGCAACTGCCCCTTGATTATCAGAATTCATGACTTTCTGGGCAAAGGGGGCCATGGAGCAGATTCTTAACATTAACGAAAGCTTGTCTCCTTTTATCATGTCAAGATGTAATCTTCCTATTGATGTAGTAAGGGAAAGGGGGAGGGGAAGGCATTAATAAATGAGATTTGTGATTTGCATAGAAAAAAATGGCTGATTGGTTTCAATTTAAATAAATATTGAAGTTTGATAAACTGAAGTAAATGCTGACAACTCTGCCAACACAACTAGATGTTAAATTTTTATAGCCTTTAACTTGATTGCAAAGGGACTCCTGTGAAACTTTTAAAAGACAAGGGATAATATGCCAAAATAATTTATTCCTTACACATTTATTAATTGAAAGAGGCAATGCTAGGTCCTATGGGGATAGGACAAAGGAATTCAAATTGTTATTCTTTTCAAAGTTTTAGTATCTATGGTCGTTATAATAACTATAATCCAAGGTAGATATTAAATGCCATAAAAGAGGCAGAGCCATTTTCAGCTGCGTAGTACTTGATCTAAGACTTTCAAAATTGGAAAGATTTTAGAACGTAGAGAGAACAATCTGGCAAGACTTAAACTGCATAAACAAATATGTGGAGAAAGGACAACTTATGTAGAAAACGCGGGGGAAACTGAAATTGCCCTATTGGGTTAGAAACCTATAACTGCCCAGAAGTAGCAACGGAGCTGAAGTCAGAAAGACAATGGAAGAAAATGATGGAAGTCTTAGGATGGCAACGAGGACACATTAATCATGGTAGCGCTCCAAATATAAAGCCTGTGGTCATAAGATGTGACCATTTGGAATCCCTTGACTTGAGTTTGTTCCCGTCATCCTTCCAACCTTTCAGTTTGGAGGCAAAGGAGGTTGTATCCAGAAATAAGTATAATCTTCAAATGTGCCTGTGGTCAAAGCCTTAGCACCAACCACATGAGTTTAATCCAACGGCAAAATTATACAGTGGAAGAGGAAGTAACGTGCGTGCCAACGTGGAGGTGAGTTTAGTTCAACATGAGGTCCCAGTCTCAAAAATGCTCTCATCTGAAAAGAGTTCAAACCTCTGCTTCTGGCCTGAGATAGCCTTGAATAACAGTGGAGAAGACAAATAACAGAACTAAAAGGGTGGAAAAACTATTGGCTTGAGTGATAAAAAAACAAAAAAAAAAAAAGAGAGAGACCTGGGTTCTTATGCTGATTTTCTCAGTAAATGATATTTGACATCTATGTGACCATTGGCAAAACCCTTCCTCACTCTTTCTCCCATCTGTAAACAAGGAATTTTGACTGGAAGATTCAGGGCATGTCTTCTAACTTTAATAGTGTGACTTTTTAAATTTTAATTAACTAATTAATTTATTTTTTTATTATTATACTTTACGTTCTAGGATACATATGCACAACATGCAGGTTTGTTACATATGTATACATGTGCCATGCTGGTGTGCTGCACCCATTAACTCGTCAGCTACATTAGGTATTTCTCCTAATGCTATCCCTCCCTCCTCTCCCCAACCCCCAACAGGCCCTGGTGTGTGAAGTTCCTCACCCTGTGTCCAAGTGTTCTCATTGTTCAATTCCCACCTATGAGTGAGAACATGTGGTGTTTGGTTTTCTGTCCTAGTGATAGTTTGCTCAGAATGATGGTTTCCAGCTTCATCCATGTCGCTACAAAGGACATGAACTCATCCTTTTTTATGGCTGCTTAGTATTCCACGGTGTATATTTGCCACATTTTCTTAATCCAGTCTATCATTGATGGACATTTGGGTTGGTTCCAAGTCTTTGCTATTGTGAAGAGTGCTGCAGTAAACATACGTCTGCATGTGTCTTTATAGTAGCATGATTTATAATCCTTTGGGTATACCCAGTAATGGGATGGCTGGGCCAAATGGTATTTCTAGTTCTAGATCCTTGAGGAATTGCCACACTGTCTTCCACAATGGTTGAACTCCCACCAACAGTATAAAATTGTTTCTATTTCTCCACATCATCTCCATCACCTGCATCACCTGTTGTTTCCTGACTTTTATTTTTTATTTTTTTGAGATGGAGTCTTGCTCTGTCACCCAGGCTGGAGTGCAGTGGTGCGATCTCGGCTCACTGCAAGCTCCGCCTCCCAGGTTCACACCATTCTCCTGCTTCAGCCTCCCGAGTAGCTCGGACTACAGGTGCCCGCCACCACGCCCAGCTAATTTTTTGTATTTTTAGTAGAGACGGGGTTTCACCATGTTAGTCAGGATGGTCTCGATCTCCTGACTTCGTGATCCGCCCGCCTCGACCTCCCAAAGTGCTGGGATTACAGGTGTGAGCCATCATGCCCGGCCCTGACTTTTTAATGATCTAACTGGTGTGAGATGTTATCTCATTGTGGTTTTGATTTATGCGGCTTGCTCTGAGTAAATAAGACTCTTGATTACCAATCTCAGGGTGAACATGAAATTAAAAATGTCCTCTTCAGTGTCATGGTCCTCTTGTTTCTGTCCAGTCTCAAAGGGCTCCCCACTCACTTCCCTTCTCAATTTTCTGAAAATCATATGTTCACATGCTCCTTCTTTAGTACTCTATACACAAGTTTAAGATTTTGATGAGCCCGTGCTTGTCTTTGACAGGTCTCCTAAGATCTTACAAATAATGATCATTCAATAAATATTAGTGGAATGAAAAAATGATTAAAATGCCCATTTTCAAGTAATGCACAAGGTTATATTCACCAAAAAGGATTTCCAGGAAAATCGTGGAGACAGTATAAACAATACACTTGATCTTAGCCAAAAAGCTGAGAAGCGATAAAGAGTATGAACAATAAGCAGCAAGGAAGATCACATACTGCTGCTCCTGATATTTTTTACTTTGGAGTATTTCCTAGGAAATCTGCAGAAAAAGAATAAGTAATTGTCCCACGGAAAAACAGCAAATGACTCAGTGATCTTGCACGTCTGTTCCAGATTGTAATTCCTAGCTAAAGGCTTTATCCGCAGATTGATGCATCAGAGAAGCCTGAGGATCTAACTTTCAATCTTGCCTCTTCTGCTCAAATACCTATTAAGAAGGAAGATTACATCTCGGCTGTTATAATGGCACTGGAAATTATGGAATTAGAGTTTTTTGGCACTAAAAAATTACTTGTATGGAAGCAATTATACATACTGCACCTACAAATCTTCCAAACCTTTAATACCTGAAAAGTTACATAGCTTCCAGAGAGCGGTTTAGAACTTAGTTATGGTGTTTGATATAAACACCTCCCAACACCCACTTTGCATATCATATGGCGAGTGTAAACTAAATGATTTCCTATTGTACATTGTTCATGTCCAGGCATAAAATTATAAGAGCTTCAATCTTCAGAGTCAAGAAAAAAAGCTAACTTAACACATCATCTTTAAGAATAAATGAGGTTACAAATCTACATTTGGAAGAACAGAATCTAGTCCATATGTACCAGATACCATTTTTTTTTTTCAAACTTAAACTCCGGATTCCAAAATGTATACTCTCTCTATATACTGAGGTAACAGCTTGTCAGAGAAATGTGGCAAGCAACAGCAGGACTAGCACAGCAGATGGGTAGTATTTTTATACTGGCTTTTAAGTGATAATGTGAGTTTACATAGGGTCATCCTAAATATTGTTTAAGTGCATGGAATGACTCGAGTCACTGTCTAACCTTGAGTAGGCTGTTTTGCTTTCAGTTCTTGTCTTAATTTCCAACCATCAAGGCTTCATCAAGAGAAATCTATCTTTTATTTGGAAAAAGGAGCTGCACAAATTTCTCAGAACCTCTCTTTTCAGATTCACATGTTTTACATTGCCATTAAAAACAATACGGAAGAAAAAAAAAAACTATAACAACTTTCCTGTTAACACAGTGGACTAAATCAGTCTCACTCAACAGGTCACAAATGGTATCTGTCCCAGGAAGAAAAACAAAAACAAAAAAGATTAGCACACTAGATGGTGAGGTTGAGAATACCAAGTTCTAATTTCAGCTCTTCTACTAACTGGCTTCATAGCATTTCTAAGCCACAGTTCCCACATCTGGAAGATGTGCTTACCAATAACTATGGTACAGAGTTGCTGGGGTGGGAGCTGTCAAAAGGGAATCTATGTAAAACTGCTACCAAAGATGTTTTTTTTTTTTGAGACAGAGTATCGCTCTGTCACCCAGGCTGGAGTGCAGTGGTGTGATCTCGGCTCACTGCAAGCTCCACCTCTGGGGTTCACGCCATTCTCCTGCCTCAGCCTCCCAAGTAGCTGGGACTACAGGCGCCCACCACCACGCCCGGCTAATTTTTTGTATTTTTAGTGGAGATGAGGTTTCACCGTGTTAGCCAGGATGGTCTCTATCTCCTGACCTGGTGATCTGCCCGCCTCAGCCTCCCAAAGTGCTGGGATTACAGGCGTGAGCCATTGCGCCCAGCCAACTCCTACCGAAGATTTTAGGACTCACATCCTTCCACCTTGTGCCTGAGACTATTTCACTTGTTGATAAAATGAACTTCTAACTTCAGTGTCAAAAGATTCCATGGATTTTAAATGAATCCTACGTAATCAGAGCAAAGTTTTTGTTCACAAATGAGAATGTACAGCAACCTCAAAATCTTAAGAAAGTGATAACTTTTATCACTGTTTTACTGTGTGCAGAAAACAGTGATAAAAGATATAAAATACAAACACTATTATATATCCACTATATAGTGGCCTCCTCTAAGGTAAGGTTTCCCCAATGGGGATGGTAGGTGGAAGACAGTAAGGCAGAAATTTTAGGATTTCAGATGGTATTAGGTACTATTACCTTTGAAAATCTCCTCTTTCTCCCTGCAGCATAACACAACCAGAAATGTAAGCACCCAGAGGGCAGGAATTTTTATGATTGTATTTACTCCTGACTTCCAGTGTGTGGACAAGTGATTGGCACCGAGTAAGCATTCAACAAGTATTTGATGAGTGACTGTTGAATAAATGATGGCTCCATGCAAGCATTTCTCTTTCCTTCTTTCCTGTTGAAAAATAATTGTTATAAAGAAATCCGTAAGGTATATTCTATTTCCCAAAGAAGGATATACTGTGTTTAAAATTAAGCATCTTACCTAAGTTTACACAGCCAGAGAATTACTGAGGCCAGATCCCACCCCAGACTTACAGTTTCTTATTCTTTCTACTAAGTTATACTGCCTTGATGAACCTTTTAAATCTAGAGGCATGGGTCTACTCCTGTGAACAAAGACAAGTCTGTGTGAATCTTTCTGGTCCTTCAACTTCCACACCGTTAAGGATGACATAATAAATATAATACTATAGAGCGTCACTGGCTAGAATGAGATCAAGTCATAAGTTAGGAAATGGTGAAGACTGAATAGCTTCTGAGGTCACTTGACTACAAATAGAATCACACAATTTTGCTTGTTAATTTGTAAAATACTAGAGAAATATAAATAGTTTATAACATTACAATTCTTAGTTTACAAGCTCCTTGAGTCAGGACACTTATGTTATTCATCTACTCATGAATGAATTGGCCAGTCCTTGATATTAGTATCTGGCAAAGTTAGTATTCTGAAATTGAATGACTGGATAAATGAATAAGAATGGCAAAATGTCAAAGGGATAAATGTAAATGACTGCATTTCTGACCAAAACACTAATTGTAGAATTATAGGATGGATCAGATCCTGCCAGATAAAGCACAGGCTAAGATAAAATTATATACTAAATGCAAAATTTTCCTAAAATGCAAACTTTATAGTTCCTCACTTACTTTGTTAACAAAACTGACTGATGTTACAAAGGAAAGGACAAGTTAGTCTCAAGACATGTGCTTTTAAAACTGTATTTAGGAACAAAAGAGTATGTTAGCTGGCCGGGCGAGGTGGCTCATGCCTGTAATCCCAGCACTTTGGGAGGCCGAGGCAGGCAGATCACGAGGTCAGGAGTTTGAGACCAGCCTGGCCAGCATGGTGAAACCCCAACTCTACTAAAAAAAATACAAAAATTAGCCTGGTGTGGTGACAGGTGCCTGTAATCCCAGCTCCTCGGGAGGCTGAGGCAGGAGAATCGCTTAAAACTGGAAGGTGGAGGTTGCAGTGAGCCGAGATTGTACCACTGCACTCCAGCCTGGGCAACAAGAGCAAAACTCCATCTCAAAAAAAAAAAAAAAAGAAGAAGAAGAAGAAGGAATATGTTTGCTCTGTTTAGAGAGGAAATTACAATTTTCTAATAAAACAACTACTCAGACAAACACATAGAAACTATGTTAAACAAAGTGATTTATGGAAACCATTCTTTCCTTTTTCCTAATATTCCAGTTTTTAGATTTTGTGACAATTTTATATTTTCTGGAAATTAATGATATTTTGGGTATTACGGGGTATTGAATGCCTGTAGCCCATTCAACACAGAAAAGGGGCATATACTTTACAAAAATATTTACCAACATTCAATTTCATTATAATGATAAGTCTAACAGCAAAATTTGAATTTGAGTGGAGCAACAGAAAACATAAAACAATACACCATCCTCAGAAAACCCTTAATCACACTCCATTTTTGTGCACTAAAAATCTAGACAGTGGCTCTCCAAAGACGTGGTCACTGAAGAAATGGATCCCTCTAGAGGGCGTACTACACTGGGTGTGTGGGGAAGATGCTACCAAAGTGTAAAGGCTGGAGACCTGGCACACTCAGGTCCTGCCATGTACAGGCCATCCCCACACAGGGAGGAACTCTCTTGCTTTCAATGCCGGTAGCACCAGTAGAAAAACAACTGGCTACACTCTAAGTTACTCCCAGTTTCCCCTAATTTTAGTCCCTGGTAATATTTTTATACCTAGCTCATGAAAAATCACTATTTGATCCAAAAAAATCAGTAACACAGAATATAATACAGAAGATATGGATAACCTCAACGTTATTTAAATATTTTTTGTTTCACATAATTAAAAGATTGTGGCAATGGGTCCATGTATCTCTTCTCTCTCTCTCCACACACACACACACACACAGACACACACACACACATACACATATATCCATCTTCCCCACCAATAGCTAAAGACAATACTCAGGAAAATGCTAAGGGTAAATATAATTTTTAAAAACAGTTTCTATCAGGCCATTGAGTAAATCAAAGTGTTAGAATACACAGGACTTGAACTTCACAGTTGTTTTATTAAAACCAGAAGTCTTTTGGTAGTCAAAGAAATAGGTGAACTTGAAACACCATGTGTAACTTTATTTATTCAAACAAGGCTATGGGATATCTTCTAGGTTTTACACATTTAGCGGCATGCCGAAATGAACCAGTAAGAAACACATCTTCACAGAGCTTTATCTCTAAGAGGGGTGCTAAGCCAAATGGGTGAATAACATTAATATGAAGGAAAAGACTAAAACTTTCATTAAAGATATACAATAAATGGTAATAGGATTTCAGAAAGAGGACACTTTTAGCTCAAGGATCTGAAAAAGCTTAGAGGTGAGTTGGCACTTAAAACCAAAACCTCATTGCAGCTCTGTCCAATTATGACAAGTGACAATATGTGGTTTGTAATAGGTTTAGTGTGCATATCAAGTGACATTTAACAGTATAAATTCTGTAACAGGTGTCCCCAATCCCCAGGCTATGGACTGATAGTGGTCCTTGGCCTGTTCCTAGCAGGTGAGTGGCAGGCGAGCCAGCATTACAGCCGGAGCTCCGCCTCCTGTCAGATCAGTGGTGGTGGCATTAGATTCTCATAGGGGTGCGAACCTTATTGTGAACTGCGCATGTAAGGGACCTAGTTTGCATGCCCCTTATGAGACTCTAATGCCGATAATCTGAGGTGGAAGAGTTTCATACTGAAGCCATCCCTACCCCACCAACCCTGGGTTCGTGGAAAAACTGTCTTCCAGAAAAGTGGTCATTGGTGCCAAAAAGGTCGGAGACCACTGCGTTACAAGGTCATTTGCCCAATTACAGTCCTGAAAAAATCCTTACTGCAGCTTTTCTCTTTGGGTCAGAAGATGGTAACACAGCATATGTTCTGAAAATATGCATAATATATATCATGTATATACAGACCGAATTTAATAGCCACTCTACCCGTTGGAGTTTTAAGTAGCGATGTACGTGACACTCAATATGACAGCATGGGAGGTGGAGAAAAGAAAAGTAAAAACTTGTTTGAAAGAGTTTTATCTTTAATTTATCAGGTACCAGGAGATTTTGAAGGCAAAAATAAACCCTCCTGTGGAAACATTTCATTTACCTAACAGCTTGAGATCTTTGCTGTGGATTATCTTTTATGTGACACTCCCCCATCCCTTTCTTGAGTCTGTATATGCAATTAAGGGAAATACAAAGCTGTAAATGCCAGACACCACAAGGCCCTTTAATCAGATCCAAGATGTCTCACATGGAAAGACCACCAGGCATCAACACACGTGCAGGTTACTGCACAGGCTCACATTCACACAGAGATGCCTTCCAATGATTTTAATCCCAGCCCCCACAGTTCATCATGTTTGTTTGTTTGTTTTTCTCCCCACTTGTTTCTTCTTTCCCTTTGGACTTTGTAGTGTCTTCTGTTCTCTTTGATGACAGTTTGTCAATTAGATGCATTCCATTCAGTTCAGAAGTTCATTAAATTCAGATAACATACTATTCTTGCAAGCTGACTGTGTTTATTAATGTAACATGTGACACAGGTAGTACAACAGGGAATTTGATCTTTTCTTCGCATTACTCAGACACCTGGAATAATGCATTGCATCTGCTATTCACTAAGGGACGTTATAATATTATTTACATATTTAAAGATTTCTGGAGAGTCACATGGCTTTGAGAAATTCACGAATGTGTGCATTGCACAAAGATAAATTAGATATAGGCAATATGCTGATTCACATATCTCTAAATAGCTTTAATTTTTGTGCCTGCTTTGCAAGGGGATGGAGAAGAAAAGGGGCAGGAGAGAGGAAATAAGAAGCTCTTTACATAATTAAGCTTTGGGTATTCAACAAGATGTTGGAACTATTAATAGCTACCATAAAGTCAATCTTTAAATTTAAACAGTAAGTCCAAAGTATTTTCCTCTATTTGTTATCTCATTAAACTGTTTTTTCTACTCTGCCTTTCTAAAGAATAAAAACAAACAGAAATGAAACAAATTCTATCAGGCCACAGTCCCTCACAGAACCTCACCAGCAGGAAAGATTTCCAAAGGCATGCAATGGAAGAACTGAGATGCAGCAAAGTCCATGGTATCTATGGGACCTCTGACTCTCCCAAATCTTAATAACTGTTTGTGCCAGTTGAACCCATCAGGATAAAGGCAGTTTGAAGCAGCCCAACGATGTTATATCACTTCAGGATAAATAAGGCTAGCAAGTTTAATTCAAGAAACATTGCTCAAATGCATATTACCTGCTGAGCACCTTGAGATTCTATGAGATGCATCCTTTCCCCTTAGGGAGCTTCCAGTTTAGGAAAAAATAGAAAAGCACTATGTCGCATAACTGAGAGAAAGTTTTAAAATATTTTTATTGTTTCACATAAGGACAGGATTGAGTCAACATTTCTCCCTTCTTTTCCTTTCTCTTCTCTCTCTTTCTGGTCACACTAACAGCAGATGTTGAAATGTTCATGTTTGTGCAAGTGCACTGCAATAACAGTCAAAAGCTTGACTTAAGAATGCAAAATAATTAAGCACTAACTAAACATCAGAATATTCCTTTTATATCCCCAAGTCTGCTGCCTATTAAATGAATGAAAGAAAAATGAGTTAGGAGTTCTCCAAGATAAATCAGCTTCCCTCAAGTTAGTCGCTTAAGCCTATTTGAAGACATGCTATAGATGAGGCAGGGTGCATGTCAAAAATGCATCTTTGTCAAGCGTTTATGAGAAGACAAGCCACAGAGTGGGAGAAAGTATTTGCAAACAACACGTTTAAGAAAGGACTATTATTATTGAAAATATCCAAAGAACTCTCAAAACTTAGTAAGAAAAACAACCATTAAAAATGGGCAAAAGACCTGAACAGACACCTCACCAAACAAGATATACAGATGGCAAATAAGCAAATAAGCCTGCTACCACAGGCAAAATCCAAAAGTCTGACAACACTGATACTGACAATAAAATTCTGGCCACAATGTTGTAGCAACAGGAACACGCATTCATTGCAGGTGGGACCGCAAAATGGTACAGATACTTTGGAAGGCAGTTTGGCAGTTTTTTACAAAACTAAACATACTCTTACCATACGATCCGGCAATCACATTCCTTGGTATTTACCCAAATGAGCTGAAAATATATGTCTACAAAGAAACCAGCACGTGGATGTTTATAGCGACTTTATTCATAATTGCCAAAACTTGGAAACAACTAAGATGTCCTTTAGGAGGTGAATGGATAAATAAACTGTGGACATCTATATAATAAAATATTATCCAGCATTAGAAAGAAATGAGTTACCAAGCCATGAGAAGACATGGATGAACCTTGAATGTATATTATTCAGTAAAATGGCAATATGGAAAGGCTGCATATTGTAGGGTCCCAACTATAAGACATTCTGATAAGGCAAAACTATGAAGCCAGTAAAAATTTCAGGGGTTACCGGGGTTGGGGGAGAAAGTAATAATAGGCAGAGCAAGGATAATTCTTAGGGGCAGTGAAAGTATTCCGCATGATTCTATGACGGGAAATAAATGCTACACACTCATCAAAGCCCACAACATGTACAACACCAAGAGTCAATGCTAATGTAAACTATGGACTTTGGGTGACAATTATGTGACAATGTAGGTTTATCGATTGTAACTAATGTGCCACTCTCGTCAGAGATGTTGATAGTGGGAAAGAATATGCATTTGTGGGATTTGTGGGGATGGGGGTATATGGGAACTTGCTTGTATTTTCTGCTCAGTTTGACTGTGAACCTTCCTTTTAAAAGTAAAATGCCTATTTAAAACACACACACACACACACACACAGATCTTTGGAAAACCATTTCACACTAGAGATGACAAGAAGTCATATGATGCTTACTACTGCAGCCTAAAATAGTTGAAAGAGAAGTTTAAGACAGAAATAATGAATTTGATTCTTGGTTCTGATTTTAACTAGCTATTTAACAACCCCTCTAAACATTGATTTCTACATGCATACAATGGGAACAAATATTTACCTGAAAGGAGTTTTGTGACTATGAGAATAACATAATGAACACACAAATATTACACACACCTCAAAGCATGTACACATTATTGAATGTTTTTGCTTTTAGATAGGTTGAAGCACCTTCTGCAAAGAATTGGCTCCCCAGATCTTAGGTTTTCTGTTTGCATATGCCAACATTGAACAATATCATGCTGTTGCAATTATTGTAGGTAAACAAAGTTGGGGAAGGAGTCACAATCCTGTGATTGGTGGCCTTAGGAGCATTTTCACACATCAGGAGAACCAAGGCAAAAGTAAGGAGAGAATGTAAAACCAAAAAGCAAATCTATGAGAAATACGGGTAATAAATATGTGTAAAACTAAAAAGCAAATGAGAATTTAAAACTAAAAAACAAATATGTGAGCTGTGCTCTGTGCCATTCCATTCATTTTATTCTCTCGTGCTTACGCTTTAAAGGACCTAACCAATGTAGTTCAGAATAAGCTCACTCCTGTTACACATAAAGTGAAAACCATTTGGATGAGAGACAAAGAATGAGGAGGAAATGGATTGGGAACAGTAACAATTACAAGCAGAGGGCATATAGATTGCAAAATAGTTTCCTATTCTTAAATGATGTGTGTGTGTGTGTGTGTGTGTGTGTGTGCATAGGATCTAACCCCACAAGGAGAACTAATAGTATAAAATGAAAATGGAATAAGCTAATCAAATATTCATATGCACAATGGGTTCCATGAGAGAAGGCTGATAGCAAGATCCCTTGCCAAGCTGCGAGTTGGAGCAAGGATTTGTAGCAATCCGTGGGGAGTTAGGAGCAAGTCTCTGGCTGCACTTCTGTGCTGTAGTGGATCCCATCCCAAGCTACCAACTTGCCTGCTTGCCTGCCAGGCTCTCATTTTTTATAAATCTAACTTGGAAAACAATTGAAGAAACATTTGTTGAATAAATATATTCCGAACATATATTAAAGGCCACCCTGGATTCCTTTGTTAGCAGCTAGTTAACTACACAGATAACTATATTTACCGGCTTACTTGATGGTTACATAAAAACAGTTCCAAGGTGGAAATGAGTAATCCTATTTTATAGATCCAAACTGAGGTTCTGATAAAAGACGTAACATGTAATTAATGACTGCCTTGCTAGAAAGCAACTGAGTCTAGGTCTCCTGACTTTGATAATCATGTTCCATCTACTGTATAACATTCTATTCACCTGTATTCAACGATCATTAGGTCCCAGGGACACAGAGAAATATATCATACATAAACAGCCATCTAATGCTGAAGAAAAATTATCCCTGCTACCTAACAGGTTATTTTACACCATAAAGAATGCATCAAGATGCACTATTATTTTTTAACACTTACTAAGCATCTAGACTATATTTGGAAACATAAAGTTGAGATGCAGGGGAGGCTGCTAGCTCTGTGGTCACTAAGAGCACCTTGTGTTTCCTGAAAGACATGAAAAATCTTCAAATCACTCCATCATTATTTCATTAAATCCATTTTTGCAGCTTTTAAACCTAAGTGTTGTGTGGAAATGGGGCTCTGGAGTATCATCAAGTAACTCTTTTGGCTCAAAGGCAAATATAATCAACCTAAAACAGCAGGTCAGCAGGTCAGTAATGCAGCCAGCCAAAGGACCAGATTGTCACACCTTCTGGAACACTGCAAGGACTTGAAGATAATGTCCAGTGAAAGTCCCTTTTCTCAATTTTGGAGGGAGATGGGTCAATCCTTCCCAGAGTAGGAAGCTCTAAACAGTCAAACATTTATATGGATGGCATATCCGTGTCTTTTGTGTTATTAATCCACAGATAATGTCTAAGATTTATGCCTCCAAAGATAGAAATGCATTTCTGTTTTAGACATGAAGCTGTGCAAATGCCAGGAAGAAGCAGCCAAGAGTGTCTTTCGTGAAGTAGGATTGAGAGAGTGGAGAGAGGAGAAGCACGGAGGGTATGTCGTTTGTTTTAGACTCATTAGTCCTATTAGTTTGTTAAGCCAGTTGCATGTATTAGTTTAATTTAAAAAATAACTTCAGTTAGGAGGCCAAGGCAGGCAGACCACCTGAGGTCAGGAGTTTGAGACCAGCCTGGCCAATATGCCGAAACTCTATCTCTACTAAAAATACAAAAAATTAGCTAGGTGTGGTGGCAGGTGCCTGTAATCCCAGCTACTTGGGAGGCTGAGGCAGGGAGAATTGCTTGAACCTGGGAGGCAGAGGTTGCAGTGAGCTGAGATCACGCTGTTGCACTCCAGCCTGGGCAACAGAGCAAGACTCTGTCGTTAAAACTAAACTAAACTAAACTAACCTAAACTAAACTAATAACTTCAGAAATATGGAACACTTCTTCAAATGTTTCAAAAACAAAACACTGGTTACTCATTCGTTGTCACTGTCACTGTGTTGATTGATAAACAAATATGTCAAGTAATCCCAACACAGTCACAAAGTTCTAAGGTTAATAGGAATATTAAGATGACACATATCTGAGCTGCACCATTATGTATTTTTATGTGTCACTTTTCAGTTTACAGTATCTACTCTAACAATGTTATAAGAGAGGACCAACGCTGTAAGAGTACTATGAGCATGCATATTTACAAATGGAAGAATCTGTAAGAGTATTATCATAGAAGTGGTGTTTTTGAGCTTAGCCAACTTATATATATTTTTAAAGGTATTCTCTATAGAGAAACAATTGTATTAAAAGCAGAGGGATGAATGTAACGGGTTAGTGTGCTTGGGGACTAGCTCTTTGTTTAGGTTGGACAAACTATGGATATCATGAAGAAATATGGGGTAAAAAGACTAGAAAGGCTAAGAAAAAAAGGCCCATAGATATCAGGCTCTGGAGTACAGACCTAATCCCATAGCCATGGGAAGCTGTTCAAAGATAAACTCACGAGTAGCAAACTGACAAAACCAAAATAAAAAGAGCATATCAAATACGCAGAATCCACTGGTAATGCTAAATTTATACCAGCCTGTGATCAATGATTTATAATGTCGAGGAAAGCCAAGTATAGCAAATAACATAAGGGCAAAAATTTTGAAATTAAAGTTGTAATGACACTCACAGAATTCTTTGCCTTTTTTATACATTTTTTATCCATATCAAAGTGAAACAACTGTAGTAAATGTACTATACTATCTGCTTTTGGAAATATATATATATATATATATATACACCTTGACAGCTCTTGAAAACTTATACATCACTACAGTATTACAAAGAATGTGCATGCTCGAGGGGAAAGAGGAAAAAAATAATTGAATTCAGATATAGTCTCCTTAGACAACTTAAAACCCCTAAACAATTCAGCAATTAATAAAATACCTAAAGACCAGCAAAATGTTCCATGGAAATGGGCCAATGTGGACTCTATTTGGAAAGCCCTGTGAGAAAGTAGGGATCAAATATTATCTTCAAAGGAGGTAACAGAATATCCTTTTCAAGAGCTACTGAATGAGTGGTTAGCTAGAAGTGGTATCATGTAGTAGGAAGAACAAGGGATATTGGAAAGCTTGAATTCTCACTTCATAATTTACTAGTCCTGTGACTGTGAGCTGGTCCCTTCTCTAATCCTGTTTCCTCATCTCTTTCACAGAGCTATTGGGCAGCCCTCAGTGGCATGCTGTGCAATGCCAATGTTAGGTATTACTCACTATTATTCCTTCAAGCCAGAAGGCTTCAGAGAACCTGCATTTCAAATGGAGGAAATGAGTGTGATGTGCTTACAATCACAAATCCAGTCAGTGGGAAAGTCATGTTAAGAGCAAGAACTCCCAAATCCCTCCAGATTTAACCACCAGGAAATGGGTCACCTGTCAGTAGTACAAGAAGGACACTGTCTGATGTGATTTGCTACAATTTGGCAAAAACAGAAGCTTAGCCACAAGGCCTTGGCAGGTGAGCAGAAAGGTTGTTGCTGGTTTTTTCCAACACTTTGTTTTTAAATGTAATTGTTTGTTTGCTTTTTTTGAGTCTACACAATCTGTTCTTTGATTTGGGATCTCAAACAGTTTGCGATTGCTTCACGGCTTTGAAGATCAACTTTAAGAAATGAAACCAACTTGCTGTCACAGGCTGTGAGCTTGAAGGCAGCCAATATTTGCAGACATAGCATGTGGAAGGAGGCAGTCAGGTTTGTCTTCAGAACCCTTCCTCTGAGGCCTGGCAGCACCTGGGAGCGCCTGGGCACAGACCTTCTTTCTAAAATCAAAGTGTTTTTTTTTTTTTTTTTTCCTTTTGGAGACTGAGTTTCGCTATTGTTGCCCAGGCTGGAGTGGAATGGCGTGACCTCGGCTCACTGCAACCTCCACCTCCTGGGTTCAAGCAATTCTCCTGTCTCAGCCTCCTGAGTAGCTGGGATTACAGGCATGCACCACCATGCCTGGCTATTTTTTTTGTATTATTAGTAGAGACGGGGTTTCACCGTGTTGGTCAGGCTGGTCTCAAACTCCTGACCTCAGGTAATCCACCCACCTTGGCCTCCCAAAGTGCTGGGATTACAGTTGTGAGCCACCGCAACTGGCCCAAAGTGTTTTTTTAATGTGAGATTAGCACCGCTTGCACCTTGTATAAGGAAGCACTGAAGTCACTGGTAAGAGCTGCATATGGTAGGTTTTGACTGAAAAGTTCAAAATGGTATCAGGATTATTTAATTTAAATAAACTTGTGTATAGACCAATTCTCTCTATTCTATAGTAGATTTCTAGTAGATATCCTCCTTGATCCTTGGAGAAGAACTCATTGAACTTCTGAAATTTAAGAAAACTTAAGGTTGGAAACAACCTTCATGGTGATCTATTCAACCCAGAGATCTGCTTCAGTTGGTGACTAAATCCCCAGTGTAATGTTCCAGCATCCCCAGGGGTGATAATCACACTATCTTCAAAATAAAATCGTCATTGAGATAATCCATGCTTCTTCCATGCATCTTCTACCCAGCATCGTTATATTGTGATATTGATTAAGCAATCTCCCTAATTCTGTCTGCCAATTTTCTCTTAATCCTTTTCTAAAACCCGCCTTATGCTGTGTGTCTTCCTTGAAGTGAACAGGATAATTCTACTTTTTTTTCTGATGTCCTTTCCCTCATCTTGACCCTGATACCACTTCCTGATCAAACTCTGGCACTTTTTAACGTGCTGCTAGAAATGGAAACTTCCCTTCTGGGCACTTTTTTATTTTCTAGTTAATGGAAGAACAGGGGCCTATTTTACATGCATATCAATGTTCAAGTGACTAGAACATGGAAGCAGATCAGTTAAGGCTAAAGGAAGAGAGAATATCCTGCCCTGTATTGCAAAACAAAACATGAGCCTAAAGAACAGTTCATTTTGTATCTTCTGGTCATAGTTGACTTCTCTATGATATATATGCATTCACCTGATTAATAACTGGTGCCATTTTATTTTACATGCATATTACACATATGTTTGTTCCATATAAATTATTTAATTTATGCAGTTTTCCTTTCTAAAGGATGCTGGTCAAACTCCATCAAACTCCTGGACTACAATATTCCATTGGTATTAGTATGATTAGGATTGTTTCCTTCCTGCTGGGTATAACCAAATTGAAGCTATCTTCCTAATTTCTGACTCACTAAAGACACTGCAGGTTGGAGTCCTCTGGAATTTATTTGTGAAAGGATTCTTGTACTTGCAGATGTAGAATCTGCGATCATTACTTATAGAGGAAGAGACTGGGTAAGCTATTGGGGGTCATGCAGAAACTCAGCAAGACTGAGAAATATTGATGGACTTACAACATTTTGCTGAGTGCAGTGCTTAAGCATGCAGTTTCTTGGAGAAAATTGTGGAAAATTGCTCCATTTGATATTGTCATTGATTTGTGGAGATATGTGGAGTATATGTGTGTACGCATACACACACACACACACACAACACAGAGAAAAAGAGTTAATTGTCTGCATTTTAAGGTCTTTGTTGATTTTCACCCTAAGGTGTGTAAGAATCTTGAAGTGAAATGTCGCTAAATTCGTATGATGCACCATTTTTAAGGCATTTTAACACAGATTCAATTTCCAGAATGTTCTATCTCCCTGTCTACTTATGTTATTTCCTCTGTCAGGAATGTCTCTTTCCTAACACTCCTTTCCCTGAGGTCACTGATTGTCCAAGCTCAGTTGGCCAGATTCAATCAACACCATTTTCCTTCTGAACCTCCTCTTAATTCCTAAAGAACATCGTTTCTCTTCATGGCACTTAAATATATTTTGTTTTGTGTATTTGTGCAAATCAATTGGATTTCCCTTTGTGTAAACCACAGAGCTATAAACCACAGTACTTTTCCTAGCTCCACATAATGATGAGGTCCTCAGGAAATCTTTGTGACTTCTATTTCCTAAGTATGAAATAAGGGTCATGGGCATTTTAGAAAGCACACAAGAAAATTTGTTCACTAAGACTAAGGTCACAGCGGACAAGGGATGCTGGCATGATAATCCTTTACCCTATTCTACCACCAAGCAATGGCAGTGGTGGCAAATCACTAACTGAGCTTTAGCTAACAAGCCTGAGGACAGATACGATGGCACAACCAATTAAAGATTTGTCAGTTTTGCATCTAAGACTCATAAGCAGATCCTAGCCAATCTACTGATCAGAGATTCTAATTTCTTATTTAATAAACAAAGAGATAAAAAGATCAAAATGCAAAGAAACAAAAACCAAGAAGGAAAATAAATTTACCTCATAAACTTAGTAACTGAGGGCTGTATGTGATGTTGATTGGTTACATTGGGGCAGGTGCGTTAGATGTGCCTATGAATGCAAGCTCAAAAAGACAGTGCATTTAGTAAAAAATATTTTTGCAGACTTTCAATTATCTTTCACAGTCAGTCTTCTACTCCAAACTGGACCATCTATTATATATGGATGACTTCAGTCCAAGAGTTTCTTTGTAACTCATCTGTTTAGAACTCAGGAATTCATTCTCTCATTAAAAAAAACAGTGCTATAATTGTGTGTTATGTTCACAGGCTAATCCAAAATTTCTATTACACCTATAATTATGTTAACCATATTTTCTGAACCCAAAATAGAAACATGGTATGACAAGTTCAAGTACAAAAGAAAAGTAATAACAAAAACTTACACAGCCAGAAACTTAACATGTGCTCATTTAATCCTTACAACAGCTCAATGAGGGAAGTCCTGTGATGCCCCCTTTCAGTAGATGATGCTTGGGGAGATTAGGAGAGGTGCTCAACATCCAGAGCTTATAACTGAAGCAGTAAGATCAGAATCTTTGTAGTCTGATTCCAGAGCCCATCTCAACCTCTATGCTTTATAATTTTTTGCTAAAAGAACATGTAGTGAAAGCTTCAACCTATTGTCTCAAGACGACTCTTCTTGAGGCAAGAATTGGCAGTGGAATCAGTCTCTGCTCCAGCTGCCTGAGGAAAAAGACACACACTTCCAAACCAGTGTTAGAGGTTCCATGGCCCAAGACAGAGAACTGAGGTGTGAGGAGCTTAGACATTTGGGGGTAGGGTTCTGGATAGAAGACTGAGCACATAAATGTAGAAGTAGCTCCTAGACAGGGCGTGGTAAGAGGAGTGAGCATAAGGGATGGAGACCTATGGTTACCAGCATTGTGAGTAATAGGACCTGGTAAATGGTGGGACTTGGGATACCTCTTTTCTCAAATACCAGGGGATGTTTAATTATTATTTCTTAAAGGCTTCATCAAGGCAGTTAAATGACTTGTTCAAGGTTTCACTGCTTATAAATGGTAAAACTTACCTGACCCTACTTCTGACTCTAAAGCCACAGGGCTGTCCCCTCAAGTCAAACTTTCTGGCCTAAGTCTACAGATATTCCCCAGAATTTAGAATTGATCTGAAATGCAAGAGAAAAGGGTTTTTTTTGCATTTTACAGAATCGGTTCTGTTTTGCATTATACAGAATCTGTTGTACAGAATCTGTTTAATTGAACAGATTCTCCTCCCTCTGGCCAAAACTCCACCTGAGAAGGAGAAAACCATGTGATGAAGAAACCCAACTGGTGACAGAGGATCTATAGGCTGGTATCAGAAACAAGGAAAGGAAAAGAGGACAGAAAATAGAGAAACCTCCAAGGAAAGTTGAAAGTAAGGGAGCCCTATGACAGTCTAATAAGAAGAGCCATATGCATGTTCGGTGAAAGCATATGAAGTCCAGATCACTATTACTTCCACTGGCAGCATGCGCAATAATGTCAGTGGCAAAAACAATTTCTTGGCAATGTCTGGAATAAGGCAGGTTGCTCCAGTGCAGGAAAATTCAAAGACTCTTTTCTCTTGCATTTCATGTCAATTAGAAATTCTGGGGAATACCTGTAGACTTAGGCCAGAAAGTTTGATTTAAGGGGACAGTCCTGTGGCTTTAGAGTCAGAGGTAGGGTCAGGTAACTTTTACCACTTATAAGCAGTGAAACCCTGAAAAAGTCATTTAACTGCTTTGATGAAGCCTTTTAAGAAATACTAATAAAATGGAGATAATGATTACAACCAACCTCTGTTATAAAGACCAAAAAGATAATGGATAATACTTTAGAAACTGTGGTGCCATTATAAACACACTGATAAGGTTTGGCTGTGTCCCCATCCAAATCTCATCTTTAATTCCCATGTGTTGTGGGAAGGACTTGGTGGGAGGTAACTGAATCATGGGGGCAGGCCTTTCCCGTGCTGTTCTCATGATAGTAAATAAGTCTCGTGAGATCCCATGGTTTTGAAAATGGGAGTTTTCCTGCACAAGCTCTCTTCTCTTGTCTGTTGCCATGTGAGATGTGCTTTTCACCTTCTGCCATGACTGTGAGACCTCCCCAGCCATGTGGAACCATAAGTCCATTGAAACTTCTTTATTTTGTAAATTGTCCAGTCTCAGGTATGTCTTTATCAGCAGCGTGAAAACGGACTAATATACACAACAAACTATTTCAAGATAGAGTTGAAGCTTCTAGAAATAAAACGATTGTTTCTACCCTTGCCCGTCTATCATGAGTTCATGCTTTCAAACATAGTTTAAGTTTCTACTGTTTTATGATATCTTCCCCAAATTCCCAAAAGCCAGGCCATCTCTACTCTCCAACTCTTCTCTGCCTCATTATCTTATCTCATATACAGCATGAGTTACACAAAGGAGTATTTGCTGCTTTCTATGTCCATCTCCACTAACAGACTAAGGGTTCCTGGAAGGCAGACTGCGTTATATATGTCTGAATATCCCAGCATATGGCAGAAATTCCTGAAGCACACAATATCCTCAGAACAAACTGGTTGAAGTTGAAAGGGAATTTGTCTATCATCTTAGCCCAGGTTTTATTTTTTCTTTTTAATTGTTCTACATCATTGACTGAGTGTTTCAAAACTGCATGCTGTATAAATTTAAAAATATGATTAGGGTCCCTATTTATTTTTTCTTCTCCTTCAGGATTAATTCGTTTTTATAGAGGGTCAAGCCTTTTCAATAAAGAGACGGTAAATATTGCAAAGTTTGTGGGTCATTTGGTTTCTCAAAACTAGTCAATGCCACCAAGTAGACAGAAATCAGACATAGACAACACATAAGCAAATGGGCGTGACTGAATTCCAATAAAACTTTATTTACAAACACAGCAGTGCACTGGATTTTGCCTATGAATTATAGTTTGCTGGACTTTTTTTCTGGACATATAATACAAGTCCCTTCTTTTCTATTTCCAAGTCACTCAGATAATGTAAAATCCTAATAATCAAATGCCCTATTGCTCTGCCAACCAATTTTAAATTGCAACCAAATGCTTATTATTTGTGAACATCCTTGTGGAATCTGATTTGTAGTCTCTCATCTTCTGACAGCACTTGGTATAGGTCCATTAGAATGCAACCAACAAGGACAGAAGATAGCAGAAAAAACAAGCAGCGGAGCAAGTGTCCACAACCTTTGACTCTGATGGGCACAAGCATAGGTCTAATCACCAAGAAAAGAGGTTTAGAAACAATGTCTCATGATATCAGAAGATGTTATGTCCCCGCTTTATGCTAGCACATCATCTGATACAGAATAAAACGCAGTAAATCAGGGAATAAATGATGAGTACAGGGGATTCTGGCTCACAAAAAAATCATTTTCAGCATGGACTGCCTGAGTTTATGATAATATTGACATCACCTTCAAGAAATTCTCCCTGTTTTTTTTCTTTAACTCATCTATGGAGTGATAACATTTTCTTAGCTGTTTTTGTCTCCATAATTAAAATAGGTATTAGTGCCTAAGTGAATTCTGTAGTAAGGATATAGCAAAATGCTTGCCATATAGAGGGCATAACAGTTTGTAGAATGAATGGATGGATGGATGCAAAACATCAGACAGACTGTTTCAAGTGAGAAATCTATCCTAATCTGAAACATACCATTAGGTAGGAACTCTAGACAGACAGATGGATAGATAGATAGATAGCTTTAGCTGTAAATATTAAATAATAATAGAGACATAGAAACAAGACAAGGTGGAAGCTTAATAATTATTACCTATAACAGAGGAATTCCCTCAGGAAGAATTTACCTAAGCCTTCTATGTGCTTCCTTGGTTCCTTGTTCATTATGACATTTAGCTTAGGAAGTTGGAATTAGTTATTTCTGCTTTGTCTCCATTTCTTAATCATGAGACTCTTGAAGACAGGAATCATAGTTGACTCAGGAATTATAGTTGTTTCATCTCTCTCTCTCTGTCTCAGACCCCAGTGCATTTCTTCTATGACTCACTGCAAGGCTTTATATAATAATAAAAAAAAACCTTCACAACTATTTGAAGAATAAAGGATTTTGGATGCCTGGCAAAAGAATGTAAGTGCTATCACTTCAGGACTACCAAGATGGTATTTCCCTAGCTCAGAGTTTCACCTGCGGTTATCACTTCCCGCATGGAAAGGGACTGGGTTTCACTGCAGGAGCTCTGAGTTCTATTGTGGTTAAGTCCAGTCCCCTTTGGTGAGGCTGAGATGAGGACTAGTCTGGATACAACTCCTGAAACTAAAGGTGCATTAAATCACAGTGATGTAGCTGTCATCCAAACACTGGAGGCCACTCTGGCAAATCATCCTAACCCCTTTGTCCAAGGATATATTTTTCTTTGGCTTGAGTGTTTACAATGTAACCATAATCCTAGTTAAGCATCATCCTTTACCTGTAAATGCTACTGTCAGAGCATGACATACTGGAAACTTAAAGCTATTTTAAATGTAGGGCTTTGAGAAATAAAAAAACTAATTAGCTTCTCACTATCAATATTTTTTTGCATTTGAAATTTCCTTTGTTGAGTTTACTTAAAATATGGAATATCCTTTGTGAAAATGGAACATTCCTGCTATTAAACTGAAAATGACAATGACGATAGCACTTTGACAAGATAACACAGTGATAAAAACATTTTGTAGCAAACACTTCATATGCCAGAATTAGAATCAAGCAAACACTCTTTTCCCTTCCTGAAGCATTACAGAAAAGAGGAAAAACCTTTTTAGAGAGGAAGAAAAAATATTTTTTGACATGTGCATCTTAGCTTGGTTACAAGAGCTAAGAAACCAATACAACCTAGCAACATGCTGGCCCAAACTGGCCAACAATAAAATAGAAAGGGGAAAAAATAAACCTCCAGTGCCAGATCCATCTCAAGTGGAAATTTTCTTGGTGCTTGAGCACCAGAGTCATCATTAAACTCTGGAGAAATTCCCCAGCCTCAGGAACACTGGAAACAAATACCCAAATGAGGGTACTATTTATTTAAAATAAGGGTACCATACTCAAAGTGATTCAAGAAGTATGAAGGCTAGATAGAGCAAATGAAGGAATGAATGAAGGAGAGACAAACAGGACAGAAGACAGAGATCTTACTGCAGTGGGCCAGAGATGATATCTGGGTGTCTGGATACGACGTGAGTGCAGCAGTACACATGAACAGCTCATGGTTCCCCACCAATCCTCCTTGATGAGTATTCATTGTCTGAAATGGAAACCTCATAAGCCAGTTATGAGCACTAAGCAGGATCTAACTTCCCATCCTGATTTGGCATTATGTAAACCTCTGTGAGCTCAATGGATTCCCAGGGGCCTAAGGTCTTCATCTATGGAGTGGGAGTAAGGCATGATCCTTTAGGAGCCTTTGCTAGTGGTGAAAAGAATTCACCATCCCTATGTAGCCCATAAAGATTGTAGAATCACATGATGGCTCGTTTTTTCTAAGTAATACTTAGTGAAAGTTTAATCTAAAGTCAACTACATCATGTGCTCAAGTCAACTAAAGTACTACTATAATGCAGAGCACCAACATATTAATGGAATATGAGGAAGGTTCCATTAAAATTTTCCTATTTATGTAGTGTTCTATTGTCCAAAAAGTACTTTTTCATTGAGTCTCATGTTTGAACCTCACAACAAGCAGAGTGAAAAAGGTCTAATGATTATTCCAGATTTACAAATGAGAACATTGAGGCTTAGTAAGACCAAACGATGTAACTGAAGACCCATCTTTGACCACAGGCCTTATGTGCTGACCATATCCCACAGCTTTTTTCATCCAGTCTTCCCTCACCTTTAATTATGAAAGAGGAACACTTTTTGAGAAAAATATGCTAAAGTAGCCACGATAGAGCAGAGAAGGATCAGGTCAGGACAGCTGTGATACATTACAGAAATGACCGGCAGTGACTCTTCTTCAAAGAACGTGTTTGAGGTAAGCTCAGGTGCTCAGATGCTCTCTCTTAAATCCATGCAGACAGGGTGGAGGTGATGCTTGTTCTGAGGTCCCCATAATAGCCAGGACTAATGTGAATGCACTCTCTGTCTCACATCCACACCTCCTTTATTGTCTCTTGAAAGTACACAAAGGGGACCATAGGGAATGGCAGGGAAAGCTTTCTTAACCTTGGAAAGGCATTAGTACCAGCTGTGTCCTGAGGTATAAACACGCTAAGTCAAACAAAACCCAAGAGAGGGCAGGAGAAAAGGAACAAGTGAATCAAGTCTTCTGTTTACAGTCCTTGCAGGCAAATATTTTTTTTTTTCAACTAATGAAAGATCCATTCATGAAGCCCTATCTCCCAATTAAGCGGGCACTTTCCATCAGGCACCGCAGCAGACGCTCTTTACCGGATCAAGCCAGGCCCCCGGATACAGTGAGCCCTGTGTGAGGACCACAGCTGGCATCCCAAAGTCAGCAGAGTCCTGCACAGGGTGGGCCCAGGTCAGAGCTGGATGGTGGGAAATGCAGTGTGTTCACCTCCACCCTCTTCTGCAAGTGAGCTTACACAGGGAAATCCAGAGTAGAAGTGAACAGTTCAAAACAGGGGTTCCAACTGTTAAGAAGAAGGGTGAGTGGATGAAAAGAAGTAAATATTAGTTGAATACCTATTATGGGCCAAGAACTAGGCCAGACACTGGCATGTTATCTAGCTCAATTAACAGCAACACTCTGCTTGGCACATATTCACAGTAAGGCTCAGGCAGGGGAAGCAACCTAGCTAGACACAAATGTCCAGGAAGTGGCAATGAGATGTGTATTGAGGTTGCAATGATTCCAGAGACTGTATTTGTTTGTTCCTTTTATAGCTTCCTGATGATTTGTTCGGTTTATGCATCTAAGCTTCAGCACCATGTGATAGAAAGGGAACTTGTGTTTTGTTCCTAGCTGAGAAACTTTTTGGCTTTCTGCCAAATGTGGGGCATCAGTTGAGGTGATTTCTAAGGAACATTTAAGATCTGGTAATGTTCTAATTCTGTGGCATATAGGAGCTTTTTGTACTTAAATGTAGCAAGATATCAGTGGTTTTGAGGTTGTGCCCCACAAAATACCAATTTGCTTTGGGTAATTCTGTATGCACATCCTTGCCTTTATAGGCAACCTGACTCCTACGGGCCTCAGTTGCATCATTAGTAAAACAGATAACAAAAACTCTGCCTACAATCATTCAAAAATATGCAGGGAGAACCAACTGAGTTTATAGTACTTTGTATGCAAAGAATTATTTTACAGATAAAATCAGCATCATTGTTCTTCCAGGGGCTAGCTTATAGGGTTCCTGATCATTCACTGGTAGCCAGGACTGCCTCCGTAAACAGAACTTTGGGTATGGTTCTGTTTACCATATTATGCTCCAGGTGACCAGCTGAGGTTCTGGCTGACCATCCTTGGTCACTCCCTGACTAAGGAATAAATCCTGAAGGAAAAAGAAGAAAACACTGATACTTTTACCCTAGGGTGAATGAATGAAGCTATGAAAGTATCTGTCCCTAGCAGGCTGAAACACAATATCCATAATATCATTTCTTCCTAACAACAACCCTGATAAAAAGAAAAAATATTTTCTTCATTTTACAGGTAAGGACATATAACAATGTCAAAATCGGAAGAAATCTTAGACATGATTTCATTTATTTCTCTGTTTAGATTTAGGAAAACTGAAAGCCAAGTCTTGGAATATGTAGGCAAAGCTTTAAAATATAAAGAAAATATAAAGATAAGGTCAGAATTCTACTTTTACCTAATGATTATAAACATTTTTTTTCCTGAAAATTTTGCTTAGATTCAGATCCATTTGTCTGATATAAATTATTTAAGGAATTTATTTTCTGTTTTTTTTTTTGAACTTATATTTGTCAATCAGGGCATGACAAACTTTGCAATCCTCTCAGGGTAAAAGAAGTATATAAAAATTTTCTTATAAATGCACTATCCCTTTAAAAATATTTTCCTATGAACAAGAAAAGAAGGGCTCAGTAGGTTTATCTGAAGCTACTCTGGGTTACAAAGGAGGGCACTGGCAAAACTGATATTAAAGAGAAGGGATCCACGTTCCCACACTGTAGGTATTACTGCGCATTTGTCTCCTAATGAAAAGTGACCTTGTACTCCATGCACGAGACCACACCTCACATAACAACATCTGATTTTGAGCCTTATATTTCTTAACAGGGATGAGGACAGGACCCCGAATACAGATGCTTCAGATGCTTCTGAAAATCATATTTATGAAGAAGTGCTTAAGCACTGAGGATGGCCATCCAAATGGAGAGACGACTGAAGAGATTTGTGAGTATTGTCTTCAACGTATCTAAAGAAAGCATACAAACAAAGGTGCTTTTCCTCTCTCTCTCTCTCCAACCCTTCCTTATTTCTTTCCTTCCATTAAGGAAAAAAAAAAAAAGTTCTAGAACTGAGAAGTAGGACAAGGGTTTAGAAATAATGGGAAAGAGCTTTCACTTATTCAAATATAAAAGTACTTGCTTTGGAAGGTAATAAGCATCACATCACTGGAAATAGTAATTACAACGATAATAAAAATAACCAGTAACTGAGTACATACTATTTTCCAGAAGCGGCTAGGTATTCACATGTATTTCTCATTTACTCTTTACTATAATTCTATATGTAGATGCCATCGTACCATTTTGCAAACAAGAAAGTGGAAGTTTAGAGAGCTTCAATAATTCAAGGTCACACATAGTTACTAGAAAACAGAGACAAAATTTGAGTCTAGCTTTGCCTGATTTCACAGTTTACACTAATCTCTTTCTTCCTGTTCCCTCTCTTGTCTGCACCCTGCACCAAGCCACAGCTACCTTGTAATAGATACGACCAACAAATACCAGGTTTGGAAGAACTGGTCACCCTTTTGTTGAGTTAATAAATCTATGTAGTAGTTGGCCATCTCCTCTCAGCATAGATTCTTTTTTCTCTTTTCTTTTCTGATAAAAAATTTTGGCTTCCACATTATAAAAACCCACTCTTTTGCAATGCTCAATCACACAATTTTATTTTAGTACTTTTTTTTTAAAGCTTGGAATAAATAATAGATGAATTTCAGTGACAGGAAGAGAGAACCATTCTTAGATTACATATCAGCAATATTGAAAATATACTTTTTTGTTATACTAAGCGGCCTCCAAATTTGAGATTAATTCAGGAGTTTCTCTAATCTGAAAGGAACATCATTTCCCATATCAATTTATTTTTATCTTTGCTCAGAGTCACAAGGTTCTCCTGAAGTCCACTAGGGTGTTCAAAATTCTTGGATCAATATTTAAGCTTCTCCATAAGATGGAACCATTTCATCCTACCAAACGTTTGTTTACTTCTTTCACTAGAATTGTTTTCTTTAGCTAAACTGGATACTCATTGATCCTGAACTTGTGAAGTACATTCCCAGGGCTACTGCCTTAGATCCTTTTGTTCTTTCAAACCAGGATGCTCTAAATTGTTCTTCTATCCAAATCATCTCTATTTATGAAAGTCTAGCTCAGATCCCTTCTCCTCCAGGAATTTCTTTGGAACACAGAATAAGCGATCTTACCTCTTCATCTTTTATTAAAATATGATGATCATGAGATTCTTACTGGTAGGTATGATGTAGTTTTTCTTTCCCAGTACTAAAACTGCCTTATAGTTCAATATTTCATGGATAGTGGATGATGTTACTGATCTTTGTTCATGAAAATTCCTCTAAAATTCCCAGTCAGCAGTATTTCTGTCTTCCTTTAAGTATCAAAGGTTTTATCTCTATCTACCTTGGTACTATTTTCTACCTTGTGTCATAGCTATTTGGGTTACCACTGGGTTCTTCCCAGTAGACTTCAGGTTACTCAAGAAAAACAATCTCATTGCTTTTTGTACTCCCAAACAGAAATCCTAGCACATAGACGCTACTGAAATACGGGGCATTTTAAAGTGATGGCTCAGGGGTGTCTCATGGTCTGCCAGAATCCTAACCTGCCTGAGCACAGGACAGGAGACATCACATTTATACTCCTGCACAGGACAGGAGACATCACATCTATACTCCTGGGTTGCATATACTCTATCTAAAAAGGCGTCCAGAAAAATTTTGTTTCATTTGAAGGAATCCACAACTACTTATACTTCACTTCTTGTAAGAGTATCAGAGAGCTTCACACATGCTCATTCTCAGATTTTTATAATATGTCTTCAGCAAGGCAATATTATCTCTCTTAAGTCATTCAGTGGTGAGACAGTATTCCCAGCTGATGAATCTTTAGGTGCATTACTTATTTAATTGAATCTAAAAGCCTAAGACAAATGAAGAAGTGACAGTCTTGGAGCTTAAAATGCACTGGTCTCAGCACATTTTACTCGTCTATAAATAGAAGAATAAAAATGCACCAAATTAAGTGAAGTAAGTTCTCTTAATATTTGCAGCAACCTAACTGTGTGGCCCTGGGTACAACTTTCATCTCTGAAACTTTGACTTTCTCCTCTGTAAAATGTCTGGGCTAGAATAATGAATATTCAATTTCTAGCTCTAAACATTCAAAATTCTAAAAGGAACCTATGTAGTAAGAATCAAAAGTTTCCTCTCATTCATTCCTAGTCTCAAACTCGCTTCTTCTTGTACCCAGGCTAGAGCAAAATATTTCAGTGGTCAGAAACTGTAAATTCTTTTAGCATTTTGGCACTTTTATAACTAAAACTCAATTATCAGGTTAATTTTTTTTTTTCCCTGAGATGGAGTTTTGCTCTTGTTGCCCAGGCTAGAGTGCAATGGTGCGATCTCAGCTTACCGCAACCTCTGCATCCCGGGTTCAAGCAATTCTCCTGCTTCAGCTTCCCGAGTAGCTGGGATTACAGGCATGTGCCACCACACCCAGCTAATTTTGTATTTTTAGTAGAGACAGGGTTTCTCTATGTTGGTCAGGCTGGTCTCAAACTCCCGACCTCAGGTGATCTGCCTGCCTCGGCCTCCCAAAGTGCTGGGATTACAAGTGTGAGCCACCGCACCTGACCGATTATCAGGTTACTTTTATGGCGTCCATCACCCACAGCATGGCATTTTATCCCAATTGTTGACCTCTTGAGTTAAAGATGTCATCACGTCAAATAATAAGTCTCAGGGATAAAGCTAAAATACTCTGAATCTTTAACATTAAAAGCTTAATCTCCTAAAGGGAGACTTCACCAAATACTGTATGAGGACATTTATTCCATTTCTTAGTCCGGCACTGTGTGTGGCTTCAGGAAAGTTGTTGACTACTAAACGTTAACCAAACATCCTATTTTTAGAAGAATATTTAGCTCCATCTTTATAGTGTCTGGACCTGTAACTATCCATTTCTCTAACATTATGCTGAGCCACATGAGAAAATTAATACAGTGATAATATTTCCAGGGCACACTGAGTCACTGTCCAATGTCTAAAATGGGAAATAAATAATTTATGAGGATTTCTTAGCTCAGTGAGAAGAAGGGTACTTGACTACTGGTTTTCTGAAATAAACCTCAGGGTTTAACTTTGGAGGAAATACTCTATTCCCCAAAACTGGGGATGTTAGCTTAAAAAAAAAATTCCACTTCAGGCTCATGAATATGAAGTAAGCATGGGCAGATGTCAGTATCACCAATAATTATCAAGCGCAACTGCTATAAAAGCAAGGATGCGGTTTGCTTCTGATGGTAATAGGCCTTCTTTGGGAAATGAAAGATCAGGTCCGTTCCATCCGGTAACCAGCCACGGGAGAGGCTAAGGATCAAAGACCTCCAGATTCAAATCCCAGGCCACACAGAAAGCAGGGAGTTTCTATCAGAACAGGATGAATGTCACAGCCATTGTGGGAGGCTGCCTAGTCCCCATGTGAATTAACAGAAGTGTTGTGTCTATACTTGGTCCATCCGAAACCTTCCTTTGCTGCCAACTTTACCTCAAAAAGAAAACAAAGAAGAAAAGAAAATAATAGTTACGCTTCTGGATTCTGAGTCCTCACAGTGCTGCTGCACAAAATTATTTTAATGGCAATCCAAAGAGCCTTGCAAAACACATAATGAAGCCATAATAAAATGGGATACGCATCCTGCTGCTCCGATTAGACCACTTCTATTCAATAGTTGTAACTACTGACTTGTTTTTCCTTTGGTATTAGGAGCCTTATTACTGTGCTGAACATAACATATCTCATTTTGTTTTCCTACCTGTGCTTGCCTCTCTTACTGATGACTGAAATTTGACATTTATGAAATCACATAAAAATACTGTATAATCCTCCCCACTAACCCCTCCCAAATCGTATAAAAATTTTCAGAGGACAATAGAAAGATGTACACTTCTATGCATGTGTCCTCTTCTCTAACCACTTCTAACTGACATTCTTCCTCTCACTCTCTCGCTCTGGCTGGAGAACACACTGTACTTTGGAGATAATTGACTGTGGAATATGATTATGTTTATTCAAAAACAGGTCACACAGACTGCAATTTGAGAGTCTTCCTTTATCCTCTTTACTTATTTTCATCCAAGGGAAATGCATAACGCAGTTTCCTGCAAATCAGAAATGTGGAGCCTTAATTACTTCTTTAGATTTAACCTTCTGAGAAAAATCCACTGCAAATGTACCCTCCTCCCTTGTGATTGGAGAGATTTGGAACATTCATCTCAGATTCTCGTTTAGAATAAACTAGAATGAGAGTGAGTGTGCACTCACATCATTCTAAGAGTATGTTCTACTGTTTCTGAAAAAACACATTATGGCATTTGGCCTTATTTTTTGGAGAATAATACAAATAGTAATTTCTGTATGGGAAGTTGTGATTACAATAATCAGTTGTGTTATCAATAATCACTGCCATGGTATAGACATGTAGACAGATTGCTCTTTGGCTTGAGGTCAGAGCTTTTTCTCCAGTGGCCAGTTACTATCATTCTGATATATTCAAGTTTAAAAAAAAAAAATTCCAAAAGAGCTATATGGTAAGGCAATGAGACTCTTGCTATGGGAAGAGTAGCCCATATAAATCACTTCTATTGTAAAAAAGATACCCATATTGCACAGGTTGGATTTTCATAAATTAAGGTAACTTTTATGGGATACCATGAGGGATCTGTTTCTTTTTTTTTTTTCGTCCCAAACTTTTATTATTATTATTATTATTATTATACTTTAAGTTTTAGGGTACATGTGCACATTGTGCAGGTTACTTACATACGTATACATGTGCCATGCTGGTGCGCTGCACCCACTAACTCGTCATCTAGCATTAGGTATATCTCCCAATGCTATCCCTCCCCCCTCCCCCCACCCCACAACAGTCCCCAGAGTGTGATGTTCCCCTTCCTGTGTCCATGTGATCTCATTGTTCAATTCCCACCTATAAGTGAGAATATGTGGTGTTTGGTTTTTTGTTCTTGCGATAGCTTACTGAGAATGATGATTTCCAATTTCATCCATGTCCCTACAAAGGACATGAACTCATCATTTTTTATGGCTGCATAGTATTCCATGGTGTATATGTGCCACATTTTCTTAATCCAGTCTATCATTGTTGGACATTTGGGTTGGTTCCAAGTCTTTGCTATTGTGAATAATGCTGCAATAAACATACGTGTGCATGTGTCTTTATAGCAGCATGATTTGTAGTCCTTTGGGTATATACCCAGTAATGGGATGGCTGGGTCAAATGGTATTTCTAGTTCTAGATCCCTGAGGTATTGCCACACTGACTTCCACAATGGTTGAACTAGTTTACAGTCCCACCAACAGTGTAAAAGTGTTCCTATTTCTCCACATCCTCTCCAGCACCTGTAGTTTCCTGACTTTTTAATGATTGCCATTCCAACTGGTGTGAGATGGTATCTCATTGTAGTTTTGATTTGCATTTCTCTGATGGCCAGTAATGATGAGCATTTTTTCATGTGTTTTTTTGGCTGCATAAATGTCTTCTTTTGAGAAGTGTCTGTTCATGTCCTTCGCCCACTTTTTGATGGGGTTGTTTGTTTTTTTCTTGTAAATTTGTTTGAGTTCATTGTAGATTCTGGATATTAGCCCTTTGTCAGATGAGTAGGTTGCGAAAATTTTCTCCCATTTTGTAGGTTGCCTGTTCACTCTGATGGTAGTTTCTTTTGCTGTGCAGAAGCTCTTTAGTTTAATTAGATCCCATTTGTCAATTTTGTCCTTTGTTGCCATTGCTTTTGGTGTTTTAGACATGAAGTCCTTGCCCGTGCCTATGTCCTGAATGGTAATGCCTAGGTTTTCTTCTAGGGTTTTTATGGTTTTAGGTCTAACATTTAAGTCTTTAATCCATCTTGAATTGATTTTTGTATAAGGTGTAAGGAAGGGATCCAGTTTCAGCTTTCTACATATGGCTAGCCAGTTTTCCCAGCACCATTTATTAAATAGGGAATCCTTTCCCCATTGCTTGTTTTTCTCAGGTTTGTCAAAGATCAGATGGTTGTAGATATGCGGCGTTATTTCTGAGGACTCTGTTCTGTTCCATTGATCTATATCACTGTTTTGGTACCAGTACCATGCTGTTTTGGTTACCGTAGCCTTGTAGTATAGTTTGAAGTCAGGTAGCGTGATGCCTCCAGCTTTGTTCTTTTGGCTTAGGATTGACTTGGTGATGCGGGCTCTTTTTTGGTTCCATATGAACTTTAAAGTAGTTTTTTCCAATTCTGTGAAGAAAGGCATTGGTAGCTTGATGGGGATGGCATTGAATCTATAAATTACCTTGGGCAGTATGGCCATTTTCACAATATTGATTCTTCTTATCCATGAGCATGGAATGTTCTTCCATTTGTTTGTATCCTCTTTTATTTCCTTGAGCAGTGGTTTGTAGTTCTCCTTGAAGAGGTCCTTCACATCCCTTGTAAGTTGGATTCCTAGGTATTTTATTCTCTTTGAAGCAATTGTGAATGGGAGTTCACTCATGATTTGGCTCTCTGTTTGTCTGTTGTTGGTGTATAAGAATGCTTGTGATTTTTGTACATTGATTTTGTATCCTGAGACTTTGCTGAAGTTGCTTATCAGCTGAAGGAGATTTTGGGCTGAGGCAATGGGGTTTTCTAGATATACAATCATGTCATCTGCAAACAGGGACAATTTGACTTCCTCTTTTCCTAATTGAATACCCTTTATTTCCTTCTCCTGCCTAACTGCCCTGGCCAGAACTTCCAACACTATGTTGAATAGGAGTGGTGAGAGAGGGCATCCCTGTCTTGTGCCAGTTTTCAAAGGGAATGCTTCCAGTTTTTGCCCATTCAGTATGATATTGGCTGTGGGTTTGTCATAGATAGCTCTTATTATTTTGAAATACATCCCATCAATACCTAATTTATTGAGAGTTTTTAGCATGAAGGGCTGTTGAATTTTGTCAAAGGCCTTTTCTGCATCTATTGAGATAATCATGTGGTTTTTGTCTTTGGCTCTGTTTATATGCTGGATTACATTTATTGATTTGCATATATTGAACCAGCCTTGCATCCCAGGGATGAAGCCCACTTGATCATGGTGGATAAGTTTTTTGATGTGCTGCTGGATTCGTTTTGCCAGTATTTTATTGAGGATTTTTGCATCAATGTTCATCAAGGATATTGGTCTAAAATTCTCTTTTTTGGTTGTGTCTCTGCCAGGCTTTGGTATCAGGATGATGCTGGCCTCATAAAATGAGTTAGGGAGGATTCCCTCTTTTTCTATTGATTGGAATAGTTTCAGAAGGAATGGTACCAGTTCCTCCTTGTACCTTTGGTAGAATTCGGCTGTGAATCCATCTGGTCCTGGACTCTTTTTGGTTGGTAAGCTATTGATTATTGCCACAATTTCAGATCCTGTTATTGGTCTATTCAGAGATTCAACTTCTTCCTGGTTTAGTCTTGGGAGCATGTACGTATCAAGGAATTTATCCATTTCTTCTAGATTTTCTAGTTTATTTGCGTAGAGGTGTTTGTAGGTTTCTCTGATGGTAGTTTGTATTTCTGTGGGATTGGTGGTGATATCCCCTTTATCATTTTTTATTGCATCTATTTGATTCTTCTCTCTTTTTTTCTTTATTAGTCTTGCTAGCGGTCTATCAATTTTGTTGATCCTTTCAAAAAACCAGCTCCTGGATTCATTAATTTTTTGAAGGGTTTTTTATGTATCTATTTCCTTCAGTTCTGCTCTGATTTTAGTTATTTCTTGCCTTCTGCTAGCTTTTGAATGTGTTTGCTCTTGCTTTTCTAGTTCTTTTAATTGTGATGTTAGGGTGTCAATTTTGGATCTTTCCTGCTTTCTCTTGTGGGCATTTAGTGCTATAAATTTCCCTCTACACACTGTTTTGAATGCGTCCCAGAGACTCTGGTATGTTGTGCCTTTGTTCTCATTGGTTTCAAAGAACATCTTTATTTCTGCCTTCATTTCGTTATATACCCAGTAGTCATTCAGGAGCAGGTTGGTCAGTTTCCATGTAGTTGAGTGGTTTTGAGTGAGATTCTTAATCCTGAGTTCTAGTTTGATTGCACTGTGGTCTGAGAGATAGTTTGTTATAATTTCTGTTCTTTTACGTTTGCTGAAGAGAACTTTACTTCCAAGTATGTGGTCAATTTTGGAATAGGTGTGGTGTGGTGCTGAAAAAAATGTATATTCTGTTGATTTCGGGTGGAGAGTTCTGCAGATGTCTATTAGGTCCACTTGGTGCAGAGCTGAGTTCAATTCCTGGGTATCCTTGTTGACTTTCTGTCTCGTTGATCTGTCTAATGTTGGTCTTTTGGTCTTTGATGATGGTGATGTACAGATGGGTTTTTGGTGTGGATGTCCTTTCTGTTTGTTAGTTTTCCTTCTAACAGACAGGACCCTCAGCTGCAGGTCTGTTGGAATACCCTGCCGTGTGAGGTGTCAGCGTGCCCCTGCAGGGGGGTGCCTCCCAGTTAGGCTGCTCGGGGGTCAGGGGTCAGGGACCCACTTGAGGAGGCAGTCTGCCCATTCTCAGATCTCCAGCTGCGTGCTGGGAGAACCACTGCTCTCTTCAAAGCTGTCAGACAGGGACATTTAAGTCTGCAGAGGTTACTGCTGTCTTTTTGTTTGTCTGTGCCCTGGGCCCCCAGAGCTGGAGCCTACAGAGGCAGGCAGGCTTCCTTGAGCTGTGGTGGGCTCCCCCCAGTTCGAGCTTCCTGGCTGCTTTGTTTACCTAAGCAAGTCTGGGCAATGGTGGGCGCCCCTCCCCCAGTCTTGCTGCAGCCTTGCAGTTTGATCTCAGACTGCTGTGCTAGGAATCAGCGAGACTCCATGGGGTAGGACCCTCCGAGCAAGGTGCGGGATATAATCTCGTGGTGCACCGTTTTTTAAGCCCGTCGGAAAAGCGCAGTATTCGGGTGGGAGTGACCCGATTTTCCAGGTGCCGTCTGTCACCCCTTTCTTTGGTTAGGAAAGGGAACTCCCTGACCCCTTGCGCTTCCCGAGTGAGGCAATGCCTCGCCCTGCTTCGGCTCGCACACGGTGCGCGCACCCACTGACCTGCGCCCACTGTCTGGCACTGCCTAGTGAGATGAACCCGGTACCTCAGATGGAAATGCAGAAATCACCCGCCTTCTGCGTCGCTCAGGCTGGGAGCTGTAGACCGGAGCTGTTCCTATTCGGCCATCTTGGCTCCTCCCAGAAATTCTTAAACATAATCCAGGGATCTGTTTCTTAATCTGAATACCATCCTTCAATTTCCTTTTCAACGATCTAGGCTAGGCATTGGGTAAAACAGGTGACTCTAACACAAAGAGTTTATTACTTGCAAGCAGCTTCTCCACATAGTCCTTTTTCCAGTAATCTGACACCACTTTTTATCAGCCCGGTGACTGGAATTTCTCCAACACTAAATTCAAATCAGGAATTGGAATTCACTTCAATAAACATTTACTGAGTGCTTATTGTGCCACTGGGGAAGTGCTAAGTTAAGGAATAAACTCATTTAAACTCGACTAAAGAACATATCATTCTCCCACACCCCAGGACATCTTCTGATTTCTCACTATATCAGATTCCAAAACCAGAACTTCTAGATTCTGATACATTAGGAATGAGAGCTGAGATGCTGATTTTTTGAGACAATTTCCACTCCTCAAAACACGAGAAATGGAGCCTCTTAGAGGCTCAGTAGCATTGTGTGTATTTCCCTTGCACACACACGTTCATTTCTCACATGGTTCGGAACGCCTTGTCTGAGCATGTCAAAATAATCTGAATAAGCCTGTTCTCACAATATTTGTGGACAGACTAGAACCAAACGTACTGGTAACCTCTTGAGAACAAGCTGTCTCGTGAGATTTATGCCCCACAGTTCAAAGGAAAGGAACTTAGAAACATATCCAAACTCTCAGTATTTATTTAGATGCAACGACAAGCTTTCTAAGCTGTCCCCACTGATGCCCAAGAAGCACTATCACAAAATAGAACCTTTCAGACAATGCAGCATGTGAGTTAGAGACTTCTGAATGCCTAGAGGCATCAGAAATCTAATCGTTCTCCTAAATGTCTATGAGATTAATATCAAACACAAAATACATATTTTAATAATATAATTTAAACATGGAGCCCATAAAGTTTGCAACTCACAACAAGAATTATTTTACTCTAGTTGTAACTCTTCTGCCATGTCCCACATTAGGGAGATGGAGTGGTTGACAAGAACCAGATCTAGAAGGACGGCTGCACAATCTCTTTCTGGTCCCTATTCTATCCTCGATGCCAGTGGTCCCCAACCTTTTTGGCATCAGGGACCAGTTCTGTGGTCTCCAATTTTTCCATGGATTGGGGCATGGGGATAGTTTCAGGTTGATTCAAGTACTTTACATTTATTGTTCATGCTATTTCTATTACTATTACATTGTAATATATAATGAAGTAATTATACAACTCACCATCAGTGGAATCAGTGGGAGCCCTGAGCTTGTTTTCCCAAAACTAGATGGTCCCATCTGGGGATGATGGGAGACAGTGACAGATCATCAGGCATTAGATTCTCATAAGGAGCACGCAAAATATATCCCTCGCATGTGCAGTTCACAATAGGGTTCACGCTCCTATGAGAATCCAATACCGCTGCAATCTGACAGGAGGTGAAGTTCAGGCAGTAATGTGAGTAATGGGGAGTGGCTGTAAATACAGATGAAGCTTCGCCCACTTGCCCGCCACTGACCACCTGCTGTGCAGCCTGGTTCCAACAGGTCACGGACTGGTAGAGGTCCATGGCCCGGGGGTTGGGCACCCCTGCTCTGTGCCTGTAGGACCATGAGCAAATGACTTCAGGCCTCATTCTCTTCATCTATTTCTTCTGTCACTGAAACCTTTGAGGGCAAGGGATTGTGTCTTCTCTACCTCCATTCCTATCACAGGGCCTGGCACACAGTAAGTGATCAATAAATGTCTGCAGAGCAAATGAGAAAAATAATAGCTTTAAGCCAGATACTATATAAACGCCCCTCCAATGCTAAAGTTAATTTGGCAAAGAAAATATCAGAGTGGTCATTTGAATCGCTGAGAAAAGAAACGAAAAGAAAGAGAGCTTTGATTCCAGAATCTGAGACACTAAGTGCTTCCCAGTATTTTCTTTTTATTAAGGTTTATGTAACTATTCTTTATATGGAATATTTTCATGCAGACTTTTGTGTAGATCCCCTTAAAATATATCTTGTGTTGACCGACAGACTGATGGTAGTACAGTTTTGGTCTAATCAAATTATGCATTTTATCTGATAGTTCCATGGCAGAGAGAGTAAGCCATGTCTGGAACAAAGTGAAAAATGAGATCAGAAGGTTAAAAGCCTTCAAATTATTTCCATGAGCAAAAGAGTAAAAAGGAATAACTCTATAGTACATTATACAACATATTGAAGAGGCATCAGTCAAAGATGGAACTGTGATAACAGCTTGAAGAATGATATGAATGATATATAGATGATATATAGATGTACTTTCAATTACATCCCTGCCATTTTACTTGTAAATATTGTGACTGTATTACCTCCATTTGGCAAGAGTGACAGATTATTTTTGTTAGCATGCCCCTCCTCACCCTATCTGACTTTATTTTAATATACTCATGCCATTAGAATATGTTATCTGGAAAAAAATCACTGTGGGAAGAAAAGATGAGCGTGTTCATTCACTGTAGACAGAGGACCAGGTTTTGTATAGTCTTTCTTATTGTTACTCCAAAGAATGTAGTTCACAGCCATTCTCATCGAGAGGTGTGCTAATACTGCTCACAGGAATGCTGTCTGCCACCAGTAAGCCTTACAATACCAGTTATGTAAGTAACTGGTTATTAATGCTTTTGCTTCTCAAATTACAGCAAGAAGAGTGATAGAAGCTTTGACAAAACAACACAACAGCATTTACATGGTCTGTGTAAAGAACTGTGTCTTAGCAGTGACGTGGGAGGTGACCCGGGTGGGTTCTGTTTAGACTGGTTGATGCCTGTGTGCTACCAGCATATGTGGTGAATTTTACTACACAGTTCCCTGTTCTCAAGTACTCATAGCCCAGTATGATAGTGACAACATATCTTGTTCAAGATTGAAGTAATCAACACATCTATATGACTTGGAAGAATCATTCAAAGACTGAACACTCAGATATCCCTACTGGTTCTGTCACTAGGTCACACTGGGTGATGGCTGGCCAACAACTTTCCTCAGATTGCATAAATAAGATAGTATGTTAGACTTTTCTCCCTCTGGGTCAAGGAAAGTTCAGAAAGAAGGCCATGCTTCTATGTCGTCTATGAGAGAGAGAAGAGCCACCAGAATAAACAAATAAGCAGGAAATGGGGGATGAGAAAAAAGATAATGAAAACGAACGTGGGGTAGAGTTGAGGGCTAGCAAGAGAGAAATGGAGGAAGACAAAAGGGGCGCTACAGAAGAACTACCAAATACAACTGAAGAATACCTTCCACTTGTCCGTAAGTGTTAGTATTGAAACGTAGAGTCTTAGTGAAAACAGTTAACGTAAGCCCTTTTCTGGTGACTTGGATAAAGCTTAATTCTTTCAGATGTTGTCACAGAAACAGCTTAAGGGGTTCCAGAACAGAAATGTGACTGGATGTTCTCAGCTTCAGCTGAGAGAGGACATTCTCCAAAGGAACTGAGGTGGCCACAAAACCAGAGTTTCTTTTAGTACATTTGCTTTGCCATTACCCAGGCCAAGTAACCAAAAAACTTTAACTGTTACAGATAGAGAATACATGTGATAGAAGTCCCACCATGTGCAGCACCAGCACACTGGAATGCCTTTCCATCTCCCAGTCTCCCCACCCAGGCCCTATCCTACCGGTCCTATAGGTTAGATCAAATGCTACTTCCTCATAAAGGTTTTCCTGAACATTCAGCTGAAGGTGGCCTTTAAATCACCAGGATAGCTAGTAGATTTTATTTGTAACCACTTAGGTTACCCATTACTTTCTATGCAGTGCTGTAGACATCAGCATATGTATCTTATTCTTCAACATGGGGTCTAGAATATAGTATACACTAAATAAATGTTTGAGGAAAAGACAGAGGTAAGGAGAGAGGGAGGGAAAAAAGGAAAGGAATAACTATTTCTGAGGAAGTATCCAGAGTAAAATAAATACTTTTAAATAAACATGCTTTGACGAGGAAGGAAATGAAGCTTCAGGGGCCCTCATGTACACTGGCCCCTACTAAGGTCTTGGGAGGGGACCAAGCTGTATGTTCACTATGGTTCTTCTACTCTGTCTTCTGTGTACGCTCATGTAGGGAAATGTTAGAATCAACATGTGACCTTTGAGATTGGTTAAGAAAGGTTGAGTCAGGGAGACATTTAGCTGAGTGTCATGGGATATATTTACATGGTCTGCAGTCACTATGGTGTGTGCTTAAGTCATCACCCATCGTCATTGTATAGGAATGAGTTCCTGGAATGCTTCAATGTGCCTGGGCCCATTACTGTCCTAGCTCTGTGACACAGATTTGTGGGACCAGAAGTCACGTGTCATTAATGTGTCCTATAACACCCAGCATGGAAATTAGACTAGTAGAGGAGACAAACAGGAGTAAAATGCATAGAGACAGAAATTGAGTCTGCTGGAAATTCAACCAATAGTCAGATGTGTAAAAGTATACATGTGGAGTACTACTTGGTTTTCGATGATGCAAATGGAGATACTTTCTCTTTAGGAATGTGCTTAGTAATGCACTGAACACAATTATAAATGCACGGCTGACTTGATTTTTCTTTTTGATGCTAATTGCACAAAATAGAACTCATCAGCTATGAATCTGCAGTAAGAGTAAGGGTGTTGTAATAGCTCACAAATAAAAGAAACTTAATAGGAGTGTCCCCAAATTTGATTATCTTAAATTTCAAACAACAATACTAATAAAAGTTGTGCAGATTAAAGGCAGTTTTCCAAACTTTTAAAAACTATAATAATAAAAAATGTTTATCACTCAGGCTAGAAGAAAGATAATTTTTTTTCTAAGTATAAACATTATTTTCTTTCTTTTTCAACTTTTATTTTTGTTTCAGGGGATACATGTGCAGGTTTGTTACATCAGTAAGTTGTGTGTCCCAGGGGTTTGGTGTACAAACTATTTCATCACCCAGGTAGTGATCACAGTACCCAATAGATAGTTTTTCGACCCTCACCCTTCTCCTAGCCTCTACACCAAGTATGTCCTAGTGTCTATTGTTCCCCTCTTGGTGACCATGTGTATTCAGTGTTTAGCTCCCACTTACAAGTGAAAACATGTGGTATTTGGTTTTCCGTTCATGTTAGTTTGCTAAGAATAATGGCCTCCAGCTCCATCCATGTCCCTGCAAAGGACATGATCTCGCTCTTTTCATGGCTGCACAGTATTCCATGGTGCATACATACCATATTTTCTTTACCCAGTCTATTATTGATGGGCATTTAGGTTGATCCCAGGTCTTTGCTATTTTGAATAGTGCTGCAATGAACATACAAGTGCATTTGTCTTTTCATTAGGTTTCTGCCATTACTTTTAATGGCAGAAACCACAATTACTTTTGCACCAACTTAATAGAACAATTTATATTCCTTTAGGTATATACCCAGTAATGGGATTGCTAGGTCAAATGGTAGTTCTAGTTTACATTCTTTGAGAAATCCCTGAACTGCTTTCCACAGTGAGACTGAACTAATTTACATTCCCAACAGGAGTGCACAAGCATTCCCTTTTCACCACAACCTTGCCAACATCTATTAATTTTGACTTTTTAATAATAGCCATTCTGAGTGGTGTCAGAAGGAATCTCATTGTGTTTTTGATTTGCATTTGTCTAATGATTACTGATGTTGAGCATTTTTTCATATGCTTGTTGGTTAATTGCACATCTTTTAGAAATGTCTGTTCATGTCCTTTGCCCATTTTTAAATGGGGATGCTTTTTGCTTGCTGATTTGTTTGAGTTCCATATAGATTCTCAATATCAGACTTCTGTCAGATGCATAGTTTGCAAATATTTTCTCTCTTTCTATAGGCTGTCTGTTTACTCTGTTGATAGTTTGTTTTGCTGTGCTGCAGAAGCTCTTTAATTAGGTCTCACTTGTCAATTTTTGTTTTTGTTGCAATTGCTTTCGGAGACCTCATATGAAATTTTTGCCAAGGCCTAGAATAGTATTTCTAGAATATAATTTCCTAGGTTTTCTTCTAAGATTTTTATAGATTTAGGTCTTACGTTTAAGTCTTTTAATCCATCTTGAGTTGACAAATGTTGACTATCAATGGTTGTAGGTGTGCAGCATGATTACTAGGTTTCTCTAGCTTCTTTCATTGGTTTATGTGTCTGTTTTTGTCCCAGTACCATGAAGTTTTAGTTACTGCAGTCTTGCAGTTTAATTTGAAGTCAGGTACTGTGATGACTCTGGCTTTGTCCTTTCTGCTTAGCATTGTTTTGCCTATTTGGGCTCTTTGTGGTTCCATATGAATTTTACAATATTTTTTTTTTCTAATTCTGTGAAAGATAATATTGGTAGTTTGACAGGAATATCACTGAATCTATAAATTGCTTCGGCCAGTATGACTGCCCCAAATTTTAACAATATTGATTTTTTTCCTATCTATGAACATGAAATGATTTTCCATATATTTGTTTCATCTCTGATTTATTTCAGCTGTGTTTTATAATTCTCATTATAGAGATCTTTCACCTCCCTGGTTAGCTGTATTCCTAGGTATCTTATTCTTTCTGTGGCTACTGTGAATGGGATTGTGTTCCTGATTTGGGTCTCAGTTTGGACATTATTGGTATATAGAAAGGCAACTGATTTTTGTGCACTGATTTTCTGTCTAGAACTTTGCTGAAGTTGTTTATCAGATCAAGGAGCTTTTAGGCAGAGTCTATGGGGTTTTCTAGGTATACAATGACATCATCTGCAAACAGAAATAGTTTGACTTTCTCTCTTTCTATTTGGAGCTCTAGAATTTCCAGTACTATGTTGAATAGGAGTGGTGGAAGTGGGCATCCTTGTCTTGTTCCAGTTCTCAAGGGGAGTGCTTCCAGCTTTTCCTGTTCAGTATGATGCAGGCTGAGGGTTTGACATAGATGGTTCTTATTATTTTGAAGTATGTTCCTTCAATTTCAAGTTGTTGAGGGTTTTTAACATGAAGCGATGTTGAATTTTACCAAAACCCTTTTTTGCATCTGTTGAGATGACCATGTGGTTTTTTGTCTTTAGTTCTTTTATGTGATGAATCACATTCATTGATTTGTGTATGGTGAACCAATTTTGCAACCTATGGCTAAAGCCTATTTGATTGGGTTGAATTAGCTCTTTGATGTGCTGCTGGATTCAATTTGCTAGTATTTTGTTGAAGATTTTTGTGTCTATGTTCATCAAGGATATTGGCCTGAAGTTTTCACTTTTGGTTGTTCTATCTCTGTCAGGTTTTGGTATCAGAATGATGCTGGCGTTATAGAATGATTGAGGGAGGAGTCCCTCCTCCTCGATTTTTGGAAGCTATTTAGTACGATTGGTACCAGCAAGTCTTATTACATCTGGTAGAATTCAGCTGGGAATCCATCTGGTCTATCCAGAACTTTTACTGGTTGGTAGGTTTTTTATAACTGATTCAATTTTGGAACTCATTATTGGTCTATTCAGGATTTTAATGTCTTCCTGCTTCAATCTTGTGAGGTTTTATGTTTCCAGGAATTTATTCATTTCTTCTAGGTTTTCTAATGTATGTCTGCAGTGCTGTTCATAAGAGTCGCTGAGGGTTTTTTGTATTGCTGTGGGGTTGGTGGTAATGTACCCTTTGTCATTTCAGAGTGTGTTTATTTGGTTCTCTTTGTTTGTTCTTTATTAATCTAGCTAGTAGTCTGACAATCTTATTTATTCTTGCAAAAAAAAACAGCTTTTGGTTTTAGTGATCTTTTGTATGGTTTTCATATCAGAATTTTGTTCAGTTCAGCTCTGATTTTAACTATTTATTTTCTTCTATCAACTTTGGAATTAGTTTGGTCTTGTTTTTCTAGTTCCTCTAGGTGTGATGTTAGGTTGTTGAGATTTTTCTAACTTACAGATGTAGGTGTTTGTCTCTACAAACATTTTTCTTAATACTGCTTTAGCTGTGTTCTCTGGTATGTTGTATCTGTTTTCATTAGTTTCAAAGGATTTTTTTTATTTCTGCCTTAATTTCATTCTTTACTCAAAAGTCATTCAGGAACAAGTTGTTTAATTTCCATGTAATTGCATGGTTTTGAGAGATCTTAGTATTGATTTATATTTTTATTGCACTGTGGTCTGAGAATGTGGTTGGTATGATGTCAGTTATTTTGAATTCTTTGAGAATTGCTTTATGAATGGGTGTGTAGTCAATCTTAGAGTATGTGTCATGTGCAGATGAGAAGAATGTTTATTCTGTTGTTGTTGGGTGAAATATTCTGTAGATGTCTCATAGGTCCATTTGGTCAAGTGTTGGGTCCCAAATATCTTTGTTGGTTTTCTGCTTTAGTGATCTCTCTAGAAATGTCAGTGGAGTGTTCAAGTCTCCCACTATTGTAGTTCTCTAATAACCTGTTTTATAAATCTGGGTGCTCCCTTATTGGGTGCATACATACTTAGAACTGTTAAGTCTTCTTGTTGAATTGAACCCTTTATCATTATGTAATGCCCTTTTTTTGTCCTTTTGAATCATTGTTGGTTTACAGTCTGTTTTTTCTGAAATAGAATAGCAACCTCTGCTTTATTTTGTTTTCCATTTGCTTGATAGAGCTTTCTCCATCCCTTTATTCTGAGCCTAAAGGTGTCACTGCATGTGAGATGGGACTCTGGAAAACAGCATAGAGTTGGGCCTTGCTCCTTCATCCAATTTGACACTCGGTGTCCTTTAAGTGGGGCATTTAGCCCACATAAATTCAAGATTAATACTGATATATAAGCATTTGATCTTGCCATCATGTTGTTACCTGGTTCTTATGTAGACTTGATAGTATAGTTGCTTTATAGTGTTAGCAGGCTATGTACTTAAAGGTGTCCTTGTAGAAGTAGGTAACAGTCTTTCATGCTTATCATTCCCTTAAGGACCTGTTGTAAGGCAGGACTGGTAGTAATAAACTCTCAGCATGAAATTATCTTTGTATTCTCTCTGCAGAAAATATTATGAAATTAGGTTGTACAGTTAGTTAATCAATGAATATGCTGCTAAAAATGTAAGAAAAAGTAATCAGGAATTTAATTCATAAGAGTGTTATTTTTCAAGATTTTTGTGATTTTTGAGGTATTTCATAGCTTTTATTAATGTGATTTTTGAGGTATTTCATAGCTTTTATTAATTTATAACATGTTGCATTTCCTCTGTCATTTAAAATAAATGTTCATTTGCCTACATAATTGTTATGAGCTGAGTCATGTCTCCCTTCAAATTAATATGTTGAAGTCCTAACCCCTAGTATATCAGATTGTGACTGTATTTGGAGAAAGGGCCTTTAAAGAGGCCATTAAGTTAAAATGAGAGCACTAGGGTGGACCTTAATCCAATACGACTGGAGTTGTCCTTATAAAAAGAGGGACTAGGACACAGAGAAGCAGAGGAAAGACCATGTGAGGACACAGAGAGAAGGTGGCCATTTTTATCCAAGGAGAAAGCTCTTAGAGGAAAGCAACCTTGTGAGTACCTTGATCTCAGACTTCTAGCCTCTAGAATTGTGAGGAAAAAAAAATCTGTAGTTTATGTCACTCAGTTTGTGGTACAGTTGTCCCTTCATATCTGCAGGGGATCAGTTCTAGGACTCCATGCAGATGCCAAACTCTATGGATGCTCAAATCCCTTATATATATGATATGCTATACACGTAACCTACACATATCCTCTTACATAGTTTAAATCATCTCTAGATTAGTTAAAATACCCAATACAATGTAAATGCTAGGTAAATACTTGTTATATTGTATTTTGAAATTTGTAGTATTTTCTAATATTTTATTGTTACTTGTTATTTTTTACAAACACTTTCCATTGGCAGTTGGTTGAATTCTGAATGCAGCCTACTTGAATATGAAGGCCTGACTGTATTTTGTTATAGCAGTCCTACCGAAATAATATAATACTTTTATGCATACAGAAGTTATTTCCACAGTGATAAGCTTCAAAGCTTCAGGTTTCATAAAATGTGAATATATCTTAACACACACACACACATACTTATAAATTAATCTCACTGCTCATTATTGAGAGTATTAACTAAAATAGGTAAGGCCCATTCGGTTTGTTAGAAATCCTTTATTTTTGCACATACATTTTTACAAATGCTTTCCATTTAACAGCCATTTACATCATAACTACCAAATGGTTAACAGACTTGAATCATTTAATCACAACATTTATTTGGCTTCTGAAATATGTGCAACCTTATCATCTATGGAGTCACTGTCTGCAGACACTTCTTGGATGGAATACTAAGTAATACCTAAATATTAGTCCAGGTCTCTTATTCAGTTTCCTGTTTAATGAATTTCATGTTTATCAATCTAAATGTTAAGCAACTGGAAATGGGCATTCTATAGGCAGAAAAGTTGGAAACTATGATTTCAAGTTCCACATATTTCATATTGTTGATTCTGTATATAAGGGACAAAGATTCAATGATCTATATAGTATGAAAAATTGGAAAACTGACTTGCCTTCTCCGAAATGTTTCATCATCTGTAAAAGAGGATGAATATGCATTATCTCATCATCTCAGTGAGTTCTTTTTTGAGGACCAAATTCACAATGGTTATAAAAATGTGTCCCATTAAAATGGTTTTACTGTTATTTTATCAAAGACAGTGATAAAGTATATATCAATGTATTATCTTAAATATCCCAATACCAGAGGTTTTATGGATTTTTGTTAAAGTCCTAATTATACTGTGAGGCCTTGGGTAGTCATTCTGTGGGTCTTAGTTTTCTTATGAATGGGCAAGATGGCATCTTTGAAAAGCAAAGGCAACATATTTATTTCATCTCTGAAGGTCTAAATATCAATGAATTTCCCATCATTGAACAAATATTTTGGGGTAGCTATTATGTTCTAGAAGAGTATTGACAAAGTTATGTCTTAATTTATAGGACATTTTTATGACTGAAATTAGATAACCCTTAAAATAGAAAACTAGACATCTGTCTTTAATAAGAAATGCTAACACTAAGAATAAAGGGATATAGAAACCTAAGACTTCCCTCACATGATAACATCTTGCTAAAGGAAATAGAAATCATGTGGTTAAAAAAGAAAAAAAAGGAAGAAGGAAAGAAGGAAGGAAGGGAGGAAAGAAGGAAGGAATGAAGGAAGGGAAAATATTTGCAATCTTATCTGTAGAGTCACTGTCTGCAGATTATTCTCAGCACACCAAAGAAGAGAGAAAGAGAGAGAAGGAAGGAAGGAAGGAAGGAAGGAAGGAAAAGGAAGGAAGGAGAAGGAGAAGGAGAAGGGAAGGGAAGGGAAAGGGAAAGGGAAAGGGAAAGGGAAAGGGAAAAGGAAGGAAGGGAAGGGAAGGAGGGAGGGAGGGGAAGGAAGGATATTTCTACTTGACTCCCTATTAATAGTCTGGTACTAGAACTCACAGAACTGCCACAGAAGGCTGAACAGTCCTGGGCTTTTCACATGATCAGGTTCGCACTTCCATGGTTCTCCCAAATATGGCTTTCTAAACAAACTTGGACTAGGCTCACTCACTTGGCATTTCTCCTGCAGGAATGCAACTCAATGTTCTATCCAAAGGTTTCAAGAACGACAGTTTTTGGATGTTTATTTAATCCTCTCTCAAGCCGTGTTTGTTTTGAATAAATGGCAAATGTGATTAGTAAATGGAACATTCATTTTGTTAGACTGCCTCTAAACTCCAGATATAAATGGGCTGGATTTTACAGCTTATTTTAACATTTCCTTTTTCCTATACCCTTTCTCTGATCAGCTCTTCAACGGTGATATAATTTCTTTTAATGCAAATGTACAAAACAATGTTAGTCCTGACTTTTGGCAAGCAGTTCACAAGTTTGGGTGAAAAGACATTGCTCTTGAAAAACAGGTCATTTTTAGTTTTGCTATGTCTTTCCTTCTCACTAGGACATATTGTGCTGATGCAGAACAATGGAGCTAAGGAGGTCTTTAGCTTGTCTTGCATCTATCAGAACTCAGCAGTACTTTCCTCTTTGAGGTTCAATGTTATTGGCTAAAATTTTTGATATTCTGCTTAATTCCACTCTATAGCCCACCAAATACACCCCTCGCCTTGCCGGTTGATTCATAGGTACTTGGCCAGGGCAGGCTAGAAGATGAAAAAGGAAGAGACGACCTGAAGCTCTGTATTAGAGAAACAACTAGGAGGATTGTCTGGCACACACCCGCCCAATGGCCTCATGTTAAGGAGCATCCTCAGCAGCTTAACATATATGTCCTGCTCAAGATAAAAGATAACTAGGTTTAAGACTTAAAGTTGAGTTGCTGCACAGCAGTGACAATTTGAGTTGCTGCACAGCAGTGACAATTTTTTAAAACATACTTTCGCAAGCAGGCAGTGTAGTATAATGGGTATAAACTTGAGGCATGCAGTCTTCAGCAAATAATTTTTTCCCTTTCTCAGTTTCTGACTCAGTAAAAAATCAAGATGTTTATAGTATCTTCAGCCGGGCACGGTGGCTCATGCCTGTAATCCCAGGACTTTGGGGGGCCAAGGCGGGTGGGCCACTTGAGGTTAGGAGTTCGAGACCTGCCTGGCCAACATAGTGAAACCCTGTCTCTATTAAAAATACAAAAATTAGCTGATTATGGTGGCGCATGCTTGTAATCCCACCTACTCTGGAGGCTGAGGCGGGAGAATCACCTGAACCTGGGAGGCGGAGGTTGAAGTGAGCTGAGATTGTGCCACTGCACCCTAGCCTGGGAGATAGAGTGACGCTCTCTTTCAAAAAAAAAAAAAAAAAGTATCTTCATAGACTTTTTGAGGCTATATGAACCAATGTCCATGAAGGCAACACATACAGGAAATAATAACTAATTGGGTGCTTCCTAGCATTTACACTTAAGAGCCACTCTTTAAGCCCTTATGTAATTTTTGTTTTAAATGATCTAGTCATCCATACAATCATGGGGGCAATGTCTATTTCCTTAAAAAGTGAAGATGTTAGCTCTCTCTTTTTTTTTTTTTTTTTTTTAAGATGGAGTCTCTCTCTGTCACCCAGGCTGGAGTGCAGTGGTGTGATCTGGGCTTACTGCAGCCTCCACCTCTCAGGTTCGAGCGATTCCCCTGCCTCAGCCTCCTGAGTAGCTGGAATTACAGGCATGCGCCACCACGCCTGGCTAATTTTTGTATTTTTAGTAGAGACAGGGTTTCACCATGTTGGTCAGGCTGGTATCGAACTCCTGACCTCATGATCTGCCTGCCTCGGTCTCCCAAAGTGCTGGGATTACAGGTGTGAGCCACTGTGCCTGGCCCAGCTCTCTTTTTCCAAAAAGTAATGTTTCACAATAATGAGAAACATCTATGAGTGGGTGGAGTCCAGCATCACCAATAATACATATCGATTTTGAGGACGAGCTGAGTTTTTGTTCATCATTGTATGTCCTTTGGCATCTGAAAATATATGCTAGGTATTTATTGAAATCAAAACTTAAAAAAAAGCAGTAATATAGTAACATTGCAAGTATAACAAAAACCACATATTTCCTCCACATTTTTTTCCCTAGAAATTACTATGAAACTAATATATGCTTGGCTGTGGTAATGCCATAAACAATCTGGCTAAATGACATATGTCCCAACTAGACAGAATTACGTTGTAAGCAGCTCATGTGCTACGTAAAAAGTCCTTGAAATGCCCCAATGTTAGTTCTGGAAAATGAGCCTATTAATGAACACGAAGAGAATACAGAGTATTGGGTAAGTCATGTCAAGGCACAGCTATAACTTGAAAAGGGGAGAAAGAGGAAAGTGAGGAAATATCAAGCTGATGACAAGAGTCCAGGTTAAGATGAGTGACACTGGTGTGAACATAAAGTCTGCAAAAACAGATACCATTATCTGCCTTTTACTGGTTGTATTGCCATCTGGGTGATGGCTGGATGAGACCAACAGAATCTCTAGCTGCTTAGAAGAATGCTCTTGTTAACCCAACTGATTTCATCATAGAAATAGAAATAGACAAAACTTTCATCTTTCACCTGTGCCCATGCCATCCCTGACTTTTAGAGCATTCAGTTTTTAACTGCTAAAATGCCATTAAAAAATAGTGGTGTAATCCCAGCCTGTAATCCCAGCACTTCGGGTGGCCAGAGTGGGTGGATCACCTGAGGTCAGGAGTTTGAGACCAGCCTGGCTAACAATGCGAAACCCCATCTCTACTAAACATACAAAAAGTAGCTGGGCGTGGTGGTGCATGCCTGTAATCCCAGCTACTCAGGAGGCTGAGGCAGGAGAATCACTTGAACCCAGAGGCGGAGGTTATAGTAAGCCAAGACTGCACCACTGCAATCCAGCCTGGGCGACAGAATGAGACCCCATCTCAAAATAAAATAAAATAAAATAAAATGGAGTCCATCTAAATGAATACTAATTTATCGGTTACACGCACTAGGATGTGAATGGTAGAAAGATGAAGAACATAGCTGGAAATGGTAGACTAGATTTAAAAAAATGTGGTACATATAAACTATGAAATACTGTGCAGTCAAAAAAAATCATGAAATCATGTCCTTTGCAGCAACATAGATGGAGCTAGAGGCCATAATCCTAAGCAAATTGATGCAGGGACAGAAAGCCAAATACCACATATTCTCACTTATGAGTGGGAGCTAAACACTGAGCACACATGGACATAAACTTGAGAATAACAGACACCACAGACTACCAGACGGGGAGGAAGGGAGAGGGCACAGTCTGAAAAATTACCTATTGGATACTATGCTTACCACCTGGGTCCAATTACCCATGTAGTAATCCCACACACGTATCCCCTGTATCTAAAATAAAAGCTGAAATTAAAAAAAAGAACATTTATAAAAGCACAGCTATTTAAGCCCACATAAACGACTCTTTTTTTTTTTGGAATAAAATTGCTTTTTTCAAAAAATTTAAGTTCTGGGGTACACGTGCAGAATGTGCAGGTTTCTTAACACAGGTATACACATGCCATGGTGGTTTTCTGCACCCATCAACCCAACAACTCTTGATAATAGGAACTCTATGTGGTTCCATGTCAATTCAGTAGGTGTTATTTCACTTGTTGGTTGACTCTTTCATTTATTCATGAGTGCCTGATACATGCAATGTACTATATTAGGCATACAGAAACAAAACTGAAACAGACATGGTTTCCACTCTTGAAGAACATGGATTTGTATTTGAGAGATAGACACATAATATGAATAAAATCAAATGCGGTGGGAGGTTGCAGAGAAAATGAGATCCTCATACCCTGCTGGTGGGAATGGAAAATGGGGTAGCCCCATTGGAAAGCATTTCAGCAGTTCCTCAAAATGTTGAACATTAAATTACCATGTGACTCAGCAATCCCACTTTTAGGTGTATACCCAAGAAAACTGAAAACATATGTCTACTCAAATATTGATAGAAGCATTATTTATAATAGCCAAAAGATAGAAAAACCTCAAATGTTCATCAATTGATGAAAATATAAATATAATGTGATGTATTCATACAATGGAATATTATTCAGCAATAAAAAGGAATACAGCAATCACATATGCTACAACATGAATGGAAATTGAAAATATTATACTAAGAATCCAGTAACAAAAGACTATATATAGTATTATTCCAAATGTCCAAAATTGTTAAATCTGTAGATACAGATATTAAATTCATGGTTACCTAGACTTAGAGGGTTTGGGGAAAAAGAAAAGTCACTGCTCATTGGTAGAGGATTTCTTCCTGGTGTAAAGAAATTGATTGTGATAATGATTGCACATATACTATATTTAAGAATACAGTAAAATATACTGTGAATATACTAAAAATAATTTAATTGTGTTAAATTAAATTAATTTAATCGCCATTTAATTTAAATGGGCGAATTATACTGTATGCAAATTATCTTAAAATGTTATTATATAAAAATACTGAATGAGGTGCATATTTTAGTGCATATTTTAGTAAATGAATGAAAAAATGCTATGAGAAAAAATCAGAGGAAAGATAAGCTAATAATATGTGGGAACTGGAAGAATGGTCAAACTTCTCCAAGAAGTTAATATTAGAGACAGATCTTGAAGTTTAAATAAGAGTTTACCAGGGTGGGAAAAAAAGGAGGGATATAGAACCTACTCTGCACATAGCATGTTAATTTTTGATTTTGATATTCTGTTCTTCCTTCCCTGAAAATTTCCACTTACTGTCACAACTTCTAATTTAAGATTCAGGATCTGCTGGACAAGAAATAATATTAAATAGTTCAGGGATGTTCAAGAACTTTTAATAAGAATCTAAATTTCATGACGTTCTTCCCATATTTTTGACCAGCAGTCAACAATGTTTTTCTGTAAAATGATATACAGAAAATGTTTTAATATCTGTAGGCCATACGGTCTCTGTTGCATCTTCTCAGCTCTGCTGTTATAGTGTGAGAGCAGCCATTGATAATATGGAATGAAGCGAGTATGGCTGTATTTCAAGCAAACATTATTTACAAAATCAGGTGGCAAGTGACATGTGGCCCACAGGCTGTTGTGTGCTGGGTCCTGCTTCATATTCTCTGGGCTGCCTTCCTGAACTCCTCTCCAGTTCCCATTTTTCTGCCCCTGCAGAGACCACCAGCCTCAGTTGTCTTCTAGTAGCTTACTTAACTAATATTTTGTGTGCTTTGGATGGGGTGGGTAGCAGGATTATAAAGCATGGTTTCTGTCCAGGCGTGGTGGCTCACACCTGTAATCCCAACACTTTGGGAGGCCAAGGTGAGTGGATCACCTGAGGTCAGGAGTTTGAGACCAACCTAGCCAACATGGTAAAACCCCGTCTCTACCAAAAATACAAAAATTAGCTGGGCCTGGTGGCAGATGCCTGTAATCCCAGCTACTTGGGAGGCTGAGGCAGGAGAATCACTTGAACCCGGGAGGCAGAGGTTGCAGTGAGCCCAGATTGCACCACTGCACTCCAGCCTGGGCGACAAGAGTGACACTCTGTCTCAAAGAAAAAGAAAAAAATAAAATAAAAAAGCATGGTTTCCTCTGGTAAAACCTACTAATATCATCTATAGTAAACTTATTCAGACTTATGTTAAAATTGCATTATGAACCACAAAAAATAAGTAACAGCTAACTGATAAATCCATAAATAAAACAACTACCACACTTACACCTTATCCTTCTTGTTTTACAATCATCTTTAAATGTGAATTTAAAAAAAGATGGTGTCATATTTGAGGAGGCATAAATATACCAAACACTTATAAAGACTGAATAACAAGGGACCTCTTACCTTGAATTCAGACTTAGGGTATGCACAGTTTCAGCTCCTTAACTCTTAATAGCAATGTTGACTGAATCTTGGGTTTCAAATAATGTTAAATATATGTTATGTCCCGGAAATACTACTCAGAAGTTTTAGTCTCTAAACTCTGCGCCAAAGGAATATTTTATGTTTGGACAACTCTACACAAAATAGAGCTAATATATACAAACACAGACAGCTACAAATGGAGGCAAGTTTCACAGAGTGGAAAGAACACTGGGCTGGCAGTGAGGCGACGTCAGTTCTTACCCTCCCTTAGGTATTCAGTATTGGTAGGATACTAAAGAAGTTGCCTCTGAACAACTTACAGAGTTTTTCTTATATGAGAGTGTTTCGTAAATTTTATAAGTGATTGAAAAAGAAGTTAAATGTTATTATCTCATATTTTCAAAATTTTGTTTTAAGGAAGCAACCTTCTGAAATAAACCAAACTGTATTATTTGAAGATCATTCTCTGAAGTCCAAAGATGAAACAGATCAAACACTGTATCATTTGTTAAGAGTACTTCTAAAAGTTGGGGTTGCTGTACTCCAGAAAAATCAAAGAACTAAGGTAACAAGTAAATCTTTGTATGTGGGACAATGGCACTTTTGATACTATAGTAGTAAAAATAGTGTCTTTCACTCTAAGACACTTCCTAACACTGTGTGTGCAAAACATTTCAAAGCTTTAATATTCACCAGAAATTATTTATCAATAATGGTTCAAATTTCTTTGTTTGGTGAAGAAGAGAATAACCATAGTCTCTTGTTGAAATTGGACAGTATGAGTGTTTGTAGCTGGCCAAGAAAGAAATGAGATTCCCAAAGGAATATATCAATATGTCAATAAGCAAAATAACTGCTTTGCTTAGAACTGAAGTAAAACAAAACAAAGAAAAAACACTGATAAATAGAATTTCTCTCACTCTGTAAACACAAAGAATTACATATTGCCAGAATTACCTGTTAAAATGATTTGCTGAACTTTCCAAAGGGATTTGAGACCTGGGGTATTTTTAAACAACCAAATCTATGAAAATGATTAGATAAGTAAAATAAATAAATAATATTCACAGACATTTCTTAGTATACCAGCACATCCATTCTGATGATAACTTTTAAAATCAGGATAGAGAGATTATGGACTGAGTCAAAATTACACAGAGCCCATGAACGAGTGTTTTCACAGGAGCAGCTGTGAGACAGAATAGGGAGCACCAGAATCGGAACCATTTTCTATTATTCAGTGGCCTTACAAAACTGATGATGGGGTTCTAAAGATAGGAAATAAGATCATCCTGACAATAGTTATTATTACACCTTTTAAAGGTCACTTACTTCTGACCTCCTCTGTCTTGAACTATCCTTAACCAATATAGAGAAGAACTGCAGAATAGAAGAGTTACATTTTGCATTCACATGAGGTCATTTACTAACCACATAACTCTGAAAGTCACTGTAACTCTTCAGGCCTCAGTTTTCTCATCTGTAAATGTAAGGGGTTAAGACTTATGATTCTGAAAATCGCTTCTATGTCTGATGGTTTACGTAGGCTAGCCTATGGAAGTGGAGAGGAAAGGTTCTTATTTTTTCCAACTTATTTCCTTTAAAGTTGTATCACGCTGTTTCTTTTTCAATCAGCAAGCAAATCTTTCAAACATAAAATGTTGATGAATAGGCTTATCCATAAAGGAAATAAACAATTGCATCAACAATTTTCAGATAAAATGATCAGGTAGAATTGCCTAAGAAGTCTTATTAAAGAAGCTAGTACAACTATTACATTTAACAAGTTATAGGATACAAAGGGAGTATATAAAAATCTATTGCTATTTCTATATGCTAATAACAAATGATTATAAACAAATTTTAAAATACCATTTACAATAGCATCCAATATTTGAAGTGCTTAAGGACAAGTTTACCAAAATATATGCAAAACTATGATATGTAGATGAGAGAAATTAGAGAAGACATACATAAATTAAGAGATAGGCCATCTTCATGGATTGAAAAACCCAGTATTGTTAACGTATCGGCTCTTTTCAAATTGATCTAAAGATTCAAGGTAATCTCCAAATCATAGCAGCCTATTTTGTGGACAACAACAAACTGATGCTAAAACGTATACGGAAATGAAAAAAAACCCATAGAAATGAAAAAGAGCCTGTACAGACAAGGCAATCCCAAGCAAAAAGAACAAAGCTGGAGGCATCATGCTACCTGACTTCAAACTATACTACAAGGCTACAGTAACCAAAACAACATGGTACTGGTATTGAAACAGACATATAGACCAATGAAACAGAACAGAGACCTCAGAAATTACACCACACATCTACAACCATCTGATCTTCGACAAACCTGACAAAAACAAGCAATGGGGAAAGGATTTCCTACTCAATAAATGGTGCTAGAAAAACTGGCTAGCTGTATGCAGAAAACTAAAACTGGACTACTTCCTTACACCTTATACAAAAATTAACTCAAGATGGATTAAATACTTAAATGTAAAACCCAAAAGCAAGCATAAAAACCCTAGGAGAAAACCTAGGCAGTACCATTCAGGACACAGGCATGGGCAACGGCTTCATGATGAAAACGCCAAAAGCAATTGCAACAAAAGCCAAAATTGACAAATGGGATGTAACTAAACTAAAGAGCTTTTGCAAAAGAAACTATCATCAGAGTGAATAGGCAACCTACAGAATGGGAGAAAATTTTTGCAATCTACCCATCTGACACAGGTCTAATATCGAGAATATACAAGGAACTTAAACAAATTTACAAGAGAAAAACAAACAACCTCATCAAAAAGTGGACAAAGGGTATGAGCAGCCACCTCCCAAAATAAGACATTTATGCGGTCAACAAACATATGAAAAAAAGTTCAACATCACTGATCATTAGAGGAATGCAAATCAAAACAACAATGAGATACCATCTCTCACACCAGTCAGAATGGCTATTATTAAAAAGTCAAGAAACAACAGATGCTGCTCTCTTTTTCTCTGGTCTTAAAAATGAGATGACATCTAGCAGGTTAAATGCATCCTTAAAGGAAAATGCACCTGAGCTGTACAATGTCTTAAACACTAATAGGGCCCTACAGAGTGTCTACCAAAATTCTTCAAAGTGAACACAATGTTCAATAAACCTCTGCTAAATAACTAAGCATATAGTTACTACATACATATGTTTCTAGAAACATAGGATATTCTCCTAAAACTTAGTCTAATATATGCTTGGATATAGGTTGATAGAAGACAGGAACACAAATGACTCCAGTACAGTAAAAGAGTGAAAACATCTAAAAGAGAGGGTGAAATAACACACAACTAGCTTTTAGGAAGAGGAGAAAACCTTATGGGAGAAATTAACACTGTAGCTGGATCTTAATGGGTCACTTTTAGATGTGTAGATTTTATTTGGGGAAGGACTGGGAAGAAGGAACTTGGTGAGCAAAGCCATAGAGGTGAGAATTAACTAAAAATGTAACATATCAGCTGGAATCCAGGATACTGGGGAGAGATAAAACTAGAAATCCAGTTTGGGATTTCAATGTATTCTGCAACTGGTTGGGAACTTATTAAGGTTTTTGCAAAAGGCAATTAATGATAAGGTACCATAGAAAGATTAATCTGGTATTACATGTAGGATGTATGGGTACAGAGATGACTGCCAGAGGAAACCCTAAGTAAGAGGCCATTTCAATGGTTCAAGTGAGAAATGGGGATGACTGAACTCCATATTAAGTACTTAGTGAAGGTAGAAAGAACCTCGGGACAAATTTTATGTGACTGATGGGGATGGGGAAGTATAGCTCTAAGGCACCAGGCCTGGGTGCCAGGCAGGGATTTAATGGGTGCTTCCCCTCCAACCGCTGATTTTATCCAAAGGCCATGGTGACTGCCTAAGCCCACTTTAATCTCTGCAGGTAACATGGGTCACAGTGGAGCCATGTACACTGGCGCTGATGAGGAGCTCCTGCCATCCAAAGCATGCCAACATTCAGTCACTTGCCACGGTCAAAGCATGGGAACAATCTTTAGAAGACCTGACTTGGAGCTGTGGCTGTCCGATGAATTTGACATATGACGTTAAGTGAGTGGCTCTCATCACTGGGCTTTTGAACCCTCATCAGAAAAAGAAAGACAAAGACCTCTACTTGGGCTTAATGATCATGGATTTTGTGAGCTCCACAAAGTGCTTTGGAAACTAAAAAGTCTGTACAAAGAGGAATTACTAATATTACAGTCACTGGCCTCAAGCAATATCTACCATTCTCATCTTCACATGTATTCTAGTGTTAGCTACTGACTTGAGGGATCTATCTGCATTCATTCCTCTGCCCACCCTAATCATCTCTTCCATTTTGTTTCTCTGATCCTAGAATTGAGACATAATTAACACAGGGATTACCATACGGATAACTCTCTCCAAATGCCAACAATTCTTTAGAGTGCAATCAATGTATATAACTTTCTCTTTTCAAAAATTAAAACAGGCTGGGCATGGTGGGATCACACCTGTAATCCCAGCACTTTGGGAGGTCGAGATGGGTAGATTACGTGAGGTCAGGAGTTTGAGACCAGCCTGGCCAACATGGTGAAACCCTGTCTCTACTAAAAATATAAAAAGTTAGCCAGGCGTGGTGGCGGGAGCCTGTAATCCCAGCTACTTGGTAGGCTGAGGCAGGAGAATCACTTGAACCCGGGAGGTGGAGGTTGCAGTGAGCCGAGATCACGTCATTGCACCCCAGCCTGGGTGACAGAATGGGACTCCCTCTCAAAAAATAAATAAATAAATAAATAAATAAATAAATAAATAAAATTAATTTAAATATTCTCATACTACTGGAATGTTCAAAGTGGTAGTGTATGAACATTCTCTGTTTCCTTAATCTTAACAGAAATTACAGATCTTAAAGTCCTTCAACACTGACCACAACAGTTCATTACCTCTACACTCTTCTCTGACCCATAAAATATGCCCCAAACTCGAAATCCAAATGAAAAGCAACAATCTGTTCTAATTCTGGAAAAGAAAAACTTTTAGATTTACTGAAAGATGGTTAGTTGACCTCCAAGGTCTCATCTTCCTGAAATATTTTCCAAGAAAATTTTAATAGTAGATGGTTTCAGAATTTAACATAACCTCTACACTAATTGGGACAAGATTCTCCAACTTCCCTGGAATGCACAGCCCCAGCACTTCTACACATTATGTAGCAAATACCTGTCCCTTTAATAGCTGAGGCTGACGGAGATGAGTTTTTATGATAATTGGAGGCTAAAGTTGCCTGGTCACTTTAGACTTGAGAGTTGTGACTAGCTTCCAGGTCCTAGCACTGGAACTTTCAAGCTGAGCCACCTTATCTAAATACTGGAGAAAACGTGGCTCCCAACTCACAGCGATATATATAGATATAGATATAGATATAGATATAGATATAGATATAGATATAGATATAGGTATAGATATAGATATATAAAATGCACAGGACACGAGTTCTGTGAACTACATGGCAAGATGTAGCTGACATTAGCTTTTATAAATCAGCAAAGAGAAGAGATTCCACTGCATCTTTAAGAGGATTTCCAGTGAGAAGAGAACATTTCTACCTTATAAAGACTTATTTATAACACTATTTTTCAAGGAACTCTGCTCAGATGGTATAGGAAATACAGTATGGCCCACTGTAGCATGCAAATTCACTGCTTAGCACATTATGGGAACATAAACATAATCATGATCCCCTAAGCCTTGCAGGTTCTCATTCTGCCTCTTTCCTTTCTTCATTTTTTCCTTTTCATTTTTTCTTTCCTTTCTCCTTTTCCCCATCCTGTCTCTCCTCTTTTTTACTATATCATATTCCTCTTTTTATACTATCCTGATATAGGAAAACTAAAGCAGCTCATCTCAAATATAAGGGAGATTTATTTATTTCATCTTTTAAACTTTTTCCTTAATGGGTTAAATGCCAAACTCCCCAGAAGCACTCAATGTAATAAAGTATAATTGTTTTCAGACATGAGGGTAAGTTTTCCATCAGTGACTAAAAAAAATTAAAAATAAATGAAAGCGAGTGGAAAGCTGAATAGTCTTCACTTGGCAATTATTCAGCCTTTGGAAATTTCCAAGCCTTTTGCAATCATTAATTAATTAGTAAAGATGGTGTTCTACTTTACTGAGGTTTGAAGCATGACATAAAGAGGTCTAGAGGTTTTCCTCAAACTGGAAGAGGAATGTCAAGGAAAGAACTGGGATAAGAATTCGGAGCTCATTTCTCATGCCCGTAGTCACATAATTAAGCCAAACAGTCAATATAAGGACAATAAGGTCCTCTGTGCACAGGTGCAGTAGAATACAGTAGTGTTTTGCTCAAAGGCCAACTGTGAAGGAACCCACCCTTTCATCAGCCAATGCCCTCACAACGCGCCCAGAATTTATCCATAACTTCATCAGCCTCTTCCCCCTTTCCCAAAGCACAGACAGGACAGATGGCTAAATATCAACCTCTAACCACTCTTAATAATCAGAGTGAAAAGTACATGGTTTGATTTTCATTTTTTCAATGCACAGCCGAATATGATGTGAAAACACATGAAACTGTTGAAAAACAAATATATCAAAAATTTTAAAAATAACATGAAATCTACTGATATCCAAAATCTGTAATCATCTAATAGATCATCTTGAATAACCACCTTGCTCAAATAAGAAGTAAAATAAAGTTCCATGTTTTCTGATGAGTGGTTTATAAAAATTCATTCCATCTCCCTGTGTCAGTTGGTGAGGACAGGCCAAATGTTAGGGATGTGGCTGGACCCAGCACTTTAGATCCAGTTCTAGCAGTGGGGGCTGATTCTTTTTCCTACACCAATGGATGGGTTCCAAATGCTGAAGAGAGGCTGGCCAGAGTGCCCAGTGACTTAGTGAGAAAACAACATCTGAAGACTAGCTCAGTACCTCTCACCAGGTGAGTCTCATCAAGACACATAGTTTTGCTTTCTCTCATGTCTGGTTCCTATGTGGGATAACACAATCCTCCAACAAGGCAGACACCATGTCATTCCTTCAGGAACATCACTCAGCCATCCTTTCAGTCACCCTGTTTTGGGCAGGGCTAAATTGTCTGTCTAGTTGAACTTAAACCTTGACAGCAGTTGTTCTGACCTAAAATTTTATTTTACTGTAATCTTCCCTGGGTAAATCTGTTGCAATTGTTGAAAACAAAAACTGTGGTTAAGTTGAATAATCTGTTTCTCTGAACTGGTTGTTTTGAAAATAGACTCCCCTTGACTGGGCCAGGAGGCACTGGTGCAAATATACTGCGACATTAACAAAGAGCAAGGCTGTCCAGATTGGCTATTATGGACAAATTCATTTTAAAAAGAAATAAAAAACTGTAATAACATTTCTTTTCATAGAGAGACTTAAGAAACTGAGTCATGTTTAAAATCATTTAAAATTCTAATTTGGAATCTATCTATCGGAAAGGGATCATGGCTGGCCAATTTCATATAGTGGTCACACATAAGGCTATAGGATTTCTCCAGCTCTTCACAGTCCCCACTGTCAGGAAGAGCTCTATTCCCCTATAGAATGTGAAATTCACATAGGACACCATTAATATGGCAGACGCTTTCATATAAGAAAAACAGTTTAGTAAATACCCTATAAGGAAATTTTTGATACAATGTTGAATATGTGAATAGATCTGTCTTGAAATGGACAATCTTGTAAAAATGTGGAAAGAATTTTTAAAAATACAGTCCAAACTTCTACCCAATCCATCCCCCAAAACTACCATTGAACTTCTAGCTAATTGAGGGCTCTCAAATTTCTGATTTCTCACAGTTCTAACTGAAAAGAAGCAAGGGCACTCTTCCAACCCAAGTGGCTGGAAACTGGCTCAGTTCCTCTATTTTCACCGATTCCAAGTTATTCTTATTGGTTCCTCTAGTCATAATGGGAGGAATCAACATCGTGTTGGTTCCAGTACTAATGAAAAATCCAAGTTGTGGTGAGTGGGCATGTGTAGTATTACACCTTACCTATTCAGACGAAGTAACAGAGAGTGTTAACTTAAAAGGTCCACATATGGACAATTAAATCAAATAAGAAGTAACTGTCACTCATAAGGAGTTTTTAAACATTGCTTAATAGTGCTAAAGGCTGAAGAATAAGATTCTTTCTGGAGGATTAGTAAAATGAATAAACAAGGGGTCACAAACAAGCTGCATTATACTGCAGCCCCTTCTCAAAGGAGAAACTGTCCAAGGCATTTGCATTATCTTAGACCTGCTTGGCCTCACCCATTTCCTGGGTCCTTGGCCACTTGTTCTGGCCCAGCAACCGCTGTGGTACCAACATTGCGGGAGTTATAATCGCCTTCACAGGGCCACAGCCTGACAGCAGTTCACTCAGTTTTGCCCTCCACATGTCTCACCCATAGATCACTACCCTTGCTGAGGCTTGAGATACTACAGACCTGTTTAATGTCCAAGCAAATGCAAGGTGTAGAGGAAGTTTCTGCACAACAGAGGGAAGCTTTAACCAATATAGGGAAGGATGTGAAAAATAAATTATTTTCTCTTTCTCCATCAGAACACTTTGTCCTCAGATGCTATGGTGTCTGTGGGCTTTGGAAGATGATTCTCTGAGATTGAGCAAGCAATTCCATTTGATACTAAACAGTGGCCATATTAGTAACATACTAAGTAGTCTCTCTCTCCTCTCTGGCTTCACTCATCCTTCCCTGGGATTGTATTTGTCAGTGAAATAAAAGTAACACACACACTTTTGCCTTAGGCTTCGCTTCCTGGGGAAGGCAGACTAAGATAGGCACCCCTGTATTCTCCTCCTTATGTTACTGAGTTTCTTACCTTTGGCTGCAATGGTGGCGCACAGGGGGCTGAAACAGGATCTGTGATATAGGTCTTCTTGGGACCAGTGACTGGATACATCCCAGGAGGGTTCTGGTTCCCTGCTCCAGGAGGAGTGTACCCTGGTTCCCGTTTCCAGGTATTTGGGTGACCTTGTTGACCATAGGTAGGGTCAGAGTCATTTCTGCCCCCATAGCCTGGCCCTGCTGCATAGTAGCCTTCATAATAGCGTCCCTGGTTGGGGGCATACCCATACCCAGGCTCCGGCTGAAGTCCTGGTGGTGGAATGTAGGCATAATCCATGCCTCCCCGTGTTGAAGGAGGTGGACACTGCCCAGAGACAGGAACTGGCTGAGTGTTATAGCCCTGGGGCCCTGAGCCATAAATTTGTCCTGATGAAGGGGCAGCCATATAATGAGGGCTGGGCTGGGCTGACTTCACCTGCACATTAAAGGTAGGCCTTGAAGAAGTGGAGGCCGTGGTGTAGGAGGCTGGGACTGGCTGAGGCTGGGGTTTGAGTGTTCCGATTGGAGCCACAGGGATGGGTCCAGCCTGGGGTGCAGGCTGTGGTTTCAATGTAGACTTCTTGGTTGCTGTTAGAGGGGGTTGGTTCGGGATGACCATTCTCTTGTGTCCTGTGACTGGGGTCGAAACTGGAGGAGAGGCTGTTGAACCAGTGGAGCTCTAAAAAGAATAGGAAAAAAAAGAAAGAAAGAAAGCAAAAATTACTGCCAACGAAACTCAATAAAAATGAATAAATGAAAAATATTAATAACTGCTAATTATTATTTATTACTATGTAGAACACAAATAAGGCATAATCTTGCCTTCAAAGTGTTCACAGATGAACACAAAAATCAGTTGTATATCTGTGCACTGCCGACGAATAGCAGAAAAGGAAAGAAAGGAAAAAATTCTACTTACAGTAGCATAAAAAACTTGGAAAAAAGTTATCTAAGGAGGAGAAAGATTATATACTGAAAACTATTAAACATCGGTGAAAGAAATTATACAAGACACAAACAAACGGATAAACATCTGTGTTCATAGGTTGAAAGACTTGATATTGTTAGAATGTATATCCTACCCAAAGTTATCTATAGATGCAGTGAGATCCCTATCTAAATACCAAAATGAAGTTTTACATACATAGAAAAAACAATTCTAAAACTCACATGGAACCACAAAAGACCACAAAAAGCCTTATCAATCTTGAAGCCAAGAACAAAGCCGGAGGCATTACAATTCCTAATTTCAAAATATATTACAAAGCTACAGTAATCAAAACAGTATGGTACTGGCATGAAAAACAAGATATACAGACCAACAGAACAGAGAGCCCGGAAATATATCCACGTGTATACAGTCAATTGATTTTTGATGAGGGGGCAAAGAATAGATGATAGGTAAAGAAAATTTCTTCAATAGATGATGTTAGGGAAACTAGAAATACACATACAAAAGAATGATATTGGACCCTTATCTGACATCATTAACTAAAACTGGGTTAATGATTTAAAGATGAGAAAGGCCTGAAACTAAAACTTCTAAAAGAAGTAACATAGAGGAAAAGTTTTGTGACAATTGGTCATGAAGAATAGTGACATAAACAATGTAACATGTTATCTGAACTTAAACAAAAGGGGAAGTGGAGGGCCTGCTCCAAGAGAGAAGGCAGACACACAGGGGTGCACCTTGTCTGTTCTTATCTCCTGGCCACAGCTAATTCTGATTGAAAATGTAGAAATCTATTTGGTCTAATCTATTGTGCACAGCTTCTCTACCAGACTGGGGGACAGGGAGAGACACACTATTCATCATCCTAGGACACCACTCTCCCCCCATTAACCTCACAGAGCTTTACATGTTGAAGAGGCTTAGAAAATGACTAATGGAAAAATACCACATAAAAAAAGGATTGCTACAGACATTTAAGTCTCAAAAAATAACATATTTGCATATCTGTATTTATAGATGATTGTATAAATAGATTTATATACACATAACAAATCATAGATAAATAAGTAATCTGTATATGTAAATTTCTATACCTGCATTTTTATTTTCAAAATAGGTGAATTTTGAAGTATCTGTTTTTGGGGGCAGACTACAGCTACAGCAGAGTAATTTTTAAAATGTGCTCGATTTTCAAAATAAAAATGTTAAATCATAATAAAACTTCAAAAATTCCTGCAAAAACAAAAACGAAATGAAATGCCAAAAATAAATGCTTGGAAGCACCAAATAATCCAGTAAGTAGAAAAGATTCACTATGTATTTAATTGAATATGTGGGCCAGAAGAATGTTGGCATAGTTTTCTTTAACCATGAAGAACATAAATAAATATGCTTTAAAATTATTCCTATTCTCTACCCCTTCCAGCTCCCGTGATGTAAGGCACGTAAAACTGCAAAGGAAAAAAAAATTATATATATATATATATATATATATATATATATATATATATATATATCTTCTATTTTCAAACATACAGTTATAATATGTAAAATATTCAGAAACGTGCTCACACATACACAATGGAATTCATAATAAAGTTGAGAAAAATCTTCTCATCTCCAAAGAGAGCTCTAATAGTGAGGTATTTCCTAGAAGAAAGCAATGGCTCCTGAAATTGTGCCCTGTTGCTTTAATTCAAAGACTTCAGGATGTTTAAATAGTGTGTGTGTGTGTGTGTGTGTGTGTGTGTGTGTGTGTGTGTGTGTGTGTCTTCACCAAGAAAGAGACTGAAAGAAGAAACTTATAAAAAAAAAGTTACTTTTAAGGAGTTAGGTCTATATTCTTTTTTGTTAATGAATGTTATTGGTTTTCAATTTCAAACTATGCAAATTTTGAACTGCTTTCTTGGGGCAGACTTTACAGCTGCAGCAGAGAGCATGCCTGTCATCAGCCCAGTTGCTCAGTCACTGTCTCCATTTATAGTTGGGTTTGTAAAGTGTTCAAAATAGGAACTCTGGGTTTCTGCTGATCTTGAGTCATCAAAGAAAAGCAAAGCTTTATTCCCTCTTTCATTCAATGCCCATCTACGCTGACTTTTTTATGACTGGCATTATTGACGAGAAAAATCTGACCTTAAATTTTTTCTAGGTTCAAAATGCCTTTTCCACGTCCTCTGTAATAGAATGTTGGAGTCTTAACTGAGTATTTTTTAGGAATGTCTTGAACATACATATTTTAATAAATTGCTTAATGAGGAAACTATGTTTCTATTTAGTACTATTGGGACCACCTTCAAGCAGAAAGGTAAAGCCCCTCCACCAACAAGACAAGAATATCCAGGCTGCTTAAATTACAAAAGTAAATGACAAGTTTACCCTTTTAAAGACGAATATCCAAAAAAACAGAACAAAACAAAACACAAAAACCAACCAAACAAAAAGATACCACTCTATCCAAGAGCTTCTTGTAACTTAACAGGAAGCTAAATCTGGAACTATGAGATCCCTAGGAAACTATATTTGAGACAAATGATATGTGGAAAAGATAGCCATAAGAGTCAGGATTCAAATAAAAATGACAGCACACACCAACTAGGTCTTCTCAAGGATCTGATTTACACAGGTATTATGTACATGGCCCCATGTAATTGCAGAGGAGTCACGAAGGACAGGGAAATAATATGGAACTAGCAGAGGCAGAGCCGTCATCTCCTCTAGGTTCAGGACAAAGAGAGTACTGTGGAGGTGAAAATCTAGAGAAGGTCTGTGACCGTTCTTGACAGTCAGCTCGGAACTTCACAATCAGCAAGCCAGAGAAACATATGTGGCACAAGAGTTTATCAGTGTCTCTCAACAGAGTACTATGGTCTTCTTGAGTTTGACAGTAATGTATTTTGCTCCCTACCCGATAAATGATAACAGTGTCCTCCAGTCATTGTGACAGTTTATAAAAATGTGCCCATTCATTTCCAAACTCCCCATCAGGAGGTGGTTTCCTCTCTAGTTGAGAACCATTGGAAGTAAAATGTTAACCAAATGTCCCTGGGAATTTTTTAATCTTTATCTCTGGATCAACCTAGTTTACCAGAAAGCTATCTATCTGCATCAAATGGAATATTATCTTACGAAAAATAAAATGCTTCTTAAATCTTTCTGTGAAATTGTTACTAATGACAATACCCAATATATTGCTCAATAGCCGCTGAATAATGATTCCCTTTATTTGACACCAGATCTCTGCTTTTGTCTCTCGATTGTCTCCAGGACCATGGCCACAACTTGATATACCTTCTATGTTATGAAGACTTTAGAATTTCTGTCTCCAGAATTCATCTGTATTCTGAATACTAAGCCCAAATCCTCAACTGTCTATTTCATGTGTCTGCTTGAATGTCTCATATGCTTTTCAGACTCAATATATTAAAAACAGATTTCATCATCCACCCTGATCTGCTTTTCATTTGGTTTTCTCATCCACCCAGTTGTTGCTCAAAGGAGAACACTGGGAATCATTTCTGAGACTGCCTACTTTCCATTCAAGAACTAAATCCTGTTGCTCCTACTCTCTAAATAGGGAATTCCATAACTCACAAATATGTCCACATTTTACCATTTCCACTACTACAATCCCATGCCAAGATTCCACCATTTTTCATTATGAATTCTCTAAAAACATCCAAACTGGTCTCCCAATGTCCACGACTGTTTTTCAATGAGTCCTTCATTTGGTAGCCAGAGTGATTTATTGCAAATGCAAATCTAATCATATTGCTTTCCTGCTCAAAAATCTTCAACAGGTTAGGGGAATGATGGATGCAAATCCACCTCTTCTACCTCTCTTTGAGATACATTGACCTTCTTTCATGTCTATTGTGCCAAGCTCTCTCACATCTCAACAATGATACCTACACCAATGCACTTCTCCATTGTCTTTGAATTATCTAGCTGATTCCTAGGAATGTCTTACATCTCAAGCTGAATGTCAGGTTCCTCCGTGAAACTTTGCCTGAATCCTCCAGCACAGTGGGTGCTCTTTACTTCTCCCTCCCTGTACATATCACATGTGCATATGTCTGCTTCTATACTAGTAGAGACTGTCCTTTTTATTCCCTGCTGCTTCCTCATTATGCTTCATCATATCATAGCCCATAAGCTGGCATTTAACAAATATTTGATGAATGAATGAAGGTTAATATCCCAAGAAAAATGCATTTCTTTGGTCAGATTATAACTGACCATGAAAAAATATGAACTATCTTATTTTCCTTATTGACTTGACAATCAAGAAATTCTGTAAAATATGTAATGTGTGCCTAATTACAGTCATCTCATTAGTGCCCCTCCACCTCTAAATAGTTTAATGATTTTAATTTGGAATGTATTGATACTATTATTTTTCCAGGAAGACTTTGAGGTACTTGTTTTCATTTTTATGGCCATACTATATGTGTAAGTTTTACTTGATGCTGACTCAAATCCCCTCTGGAAATAAAGGGCAATTTTTAAATAAACTTACTAAGAAAGGAAAGAGACGAATGCATTTAAAAATAGTATTTAACAACATGTACTAAAACAAAGTACATTCTGAATTTACTGCCAAGTAAACACAATACCACAAATCCCAGAAATTCAATCCAAATTATTTATTCAATAGAAATTTATTGAAAGTCTACTATGTAACAGGCATTGAGCTGCTTACTAGATTCACTATGAGACAAAGAAAGTCACACTCATTGCACTCAGAAAGTTCTTAGTTACAGAATATTTGGGGCAAAATTTAGTGTGATGAGTAAAAGTGATTTCTACTTAGAAAATTTTCCAATGTAACAGAAGGAGAAAATAGACAGTAGCAAAAGGTCAACGTTTAAACAGCAGCACGAAATTCAAAATCATTTTATTACATTTTAATTTCAGCTACATGACATGGGAAACTGCTTAAGATTTAAATGTAAATTTTAAATGAAAAACACATGATGTGAATTCATTTGTACAATACAATTGAGGCCATAGAGAATGATATTTTCATATGGCCAAGGAATATACAAAATATCAAAAGGGGGATGGTTGACTTGCTAGAAGATTAAGATGATGAATATTTCCATTTCAATTATATTTTCATGACAATTATTTGAGTTATTTGAAGAATACCTCAAGTGCTTTTCACTTTCAGTTATCTACTTTGTCTGGACATCCCTGTGGCAGAAAACACAAGCTAAAATACCTATTGGTAACCCCAAAAATGTGTAATAATAGCAAACATTTATATAGAAATTACCTGGTGCAAACATTTTGTGTTGAACATAATTTATATATAATCCTCACAGTTACTCCTGAGACGGAAACCAATCCTCATTTTCCAGAAGAAGATATTGACGAGAGATTAAGTAACTGCCCAAGGACACATCACTAGTAGGTGGCAGATCGAAGGTTCAAGCCTGGGTCATCTGGCTGCATAGTTTGGGGTTTTAAAAACCATCCACCTCTCTCAGGTAATAAAACAGTGAAATATAATAGTTGACATGTTAAAAAAAAAAAAACCACAAAATTCTTTATCAGTCTATCCGTAGTTTTCCTATTTTTAAGAGATAAGTGATCAAAATGTAGACACTGGAAAATCTTTCTCTCTCCTAGAAGAAAAATTGAATAAATTGGAGAATGAACAGAAAATGAGAATGCCAGTGTCTAGGAAACAACAAAGTGATGTGAACTATAAAGCTGAAGAGTTTACTCTGTTAAAAAGGCAGCTGCTATCCCATGCCAGCTCACTGCTGACATGTGGAATATAAATCCAATATTACTCTTCTGACTTTAAAGCTGTGTTCATTATTATTATTATTATTATTATTATTATTATTATTATTATTTCAAACACAAGGAAGAGAAATAAAACAATTTCTGCAGGTCACCTGTAGTGCATGAGGTGCACTTTACAATTCCCAGTTGAAGTTATGGATACTGGCAAATGTAAGTATCACTAGGAAGCATGCAATTGAAGAGTTGTGCACTGGAACTTGGGAGACCGAGAAAAAAAGTGCCAGCTTTACCACTGTTTAGAATTTAGTGACATTGGGAAAGTCACGTGACTTCTCTAGACTGACTCTTCATCTGAACAACAAAGGAGGGGAAATGCTAAGTTACTCTTCTCCTTTTTTTTTTTTTAATAAATAATCTTTCTCTTCAAATAAAAAAATATTTCTATATCACTCAGGAGAAAAAAAAAGAGCTTCACTGGGGTCGAGGTACCTATAAAAGAAGATACTCTGACTCTCAAAAATCCAGTGATTCCAAGAGTAAATGTGCAATATTCAGAGTTTTATTGCCCAAGAAGAGCTTGGTCTCATTATTAGGGATTCATATCAGGTAGGCACTTAATAAATAATGGCTGGATAAATAAATATAATTGGTTTCTGAGTTTGTACAATGAGCAAAAATGGAAACACAGCTAACCTATTTCAGTTATAATGAAATCCCTAATTTGCTGCTTCTTTTGGCTCTATGCAAAAATTACATCATCATTTTATCCTAACCATGACTAGAAGAATAACTAAATTTGCTTTCTTGAGTCATCTCACTAATTATCTTCCATAATTCAGGGTAAGTACCCATATCTCCATTCCTCATCCAACCAGGCCACTTACACTATCCACTTGATAGATGACCCCATGAGTTGGAAAACAACCTAACAGATTAAGAATGTCATATATATATATAATATATATATATTATATATATATTATATATATATGAGATTAAGAATGCTATATATATGTGTGTGTGTGTATATGTATATGTGTGTGTATATATATATATATATATATTTGAGATAGAGTCTTGCTCTGTCACCCAGGCTGGAGTGCAGTGGCACTATCTCAGCTCACTGCAACCTCTGCCTCGCGTGTTCAAGGAATTCTTGTGTCAAAGCCTCTCAAATAGCTGGGATTATAGGCACCCACCACCACGCCAGCTCATTTTGTGTTTTTAGTAAAGATGGGGTTTTCACTGTGTTGTCCAGGCTGGTCTGGAACTCCTGACCTCAAGTGATCCATCTGCCTTGGCCTCCCAAAATGTTGGGATTACAGGCGTGAGCCACCACACCTGGCCAAGAGTGCGATATATAAACATAATACCACACATTTAGAAAAGCATTTCTTAAATCTGACTGCACAACAGAATCATTTAGGGCTTTTTAAATGCAAGTTATTGTAGATAAACCCACTCAACAGAGTGAAATCTGGAAATTCAAAAGGGAAGGGGCAGGTGATTGTCAGTTAAAACCAGAGTTCAAAACTACTTTTAGATACTGTTGCTAAAGCCGAACAGGAAATCCCACTTGGAATTAGGGGCTATGAGTGACATAATGGTGTGACTCCACTTGTCTTAGAAGGAAAACTGATTATATAATTTAGATTTAGGGACGAAGTTAATGTTTGTTTCTATAAAATTTTTATGGGAAATCAGTGGTGTAATTTGGTGATATGTAACAAAAGCCCTAATAAAGTTTATACTTTTTAAACCCATAGTTTCATTTCTTAAAATTTAGCCTATGGAAATGACCAGAGAGCATAAATGTTTAGTTTCAAGAAGCTCCGTGTTAATAGTGTACTTTATAAAACTAAAAGATAATGGAAAATTTAAATAATCAATACATGAGGATTGTTTATATACATTACAGTATAGTCATATAATAGAATACTACACAGTCATTAAAACAATGCCATAAAAATATTTCAAAATATATCAATAATCTGGCAATTCAACTTCTGGGTAGATACCTAAAATAACTAAAAGCAGGAATGCAGCTATTTGTACAATCATGGTAATATGTTCATAGCAGTATTATTCACAATAGCCAAAGGAAGAAGCAATTCAAGTGTCCACTGATGGATGAATGGATAAATAAAATGTGATATATATATATACACACACACATCTATATCTATCTATATATCTATACATATATATACACACACACAATGTAATAAGAAAATTCTGATACATGCTACAACATAGATGAAGCTTGAAGAGATTAAGCTTGAAGCTTGAAGAAACAAGCCAGTTACAAAAACAAAAAACAAAAAACAAATACCATATGGTTCTACATATAGGAGGCCCCTAGAAGAGTCAAATTTATAAAGCTAGAAAGCAGAATGGTGATTGCCATGGGATGGGAGAAGGAAGAATGTAGCTAGTGCATTATTGTTTAATGGATATGTCATTTCAGTTTGAATAGATACAGTTCTGCTGGTGATGGTTGCACAACAATGTAAATGTACTTAGTGCCAGTGAATTATACGCTTAAAATTGGTTAGAATGTGAAATTCTGTATTATGTATATTTTACCACTATATAATAAAAATAATAATATGTATCAAAATTTTTCTTTGTTTTAAAATTCAGTTAGAAAATATTGTTTTATACCTGTTGATAAGTAATGCATCTATCTATATCTCATATATACATATGCATACATATATGGCTAGAAGGATCTATTCCCAACTGATAACATTGGTTATTTTAAAGGGGTTATTTTTGGCTATTCTATATACTTTTCCTATTTTGCTAAGTGTCTACCACATATTACTTTTTCACTCAAAGGAAGAAATATATATTATATAGGCATAGTATATATTATACATTTCTTATATATAAATGTATAAAAATAAATATATATTTAACATAATATATATCAGAAATATATACATTATTTTAAAAACCAAGCAAACACACTCTAAAATATTGTGGTATTCCAATGTCCATGTGTATGTACATACAAAAAAAGGAAGAAGCATAGCAGAAAATTAAAAATGGTTTCAATGTATTTTAAAAGGTTACAGTTTTACACTAGGTGAGGCAGTTAAGAGAAAATTTTGTTCTCCATTTTATGTTTTTGTTTATTTTCCACATTAAAGAAAAAAAGTAACCTTATAAATGAGGATAAATAGTAGCTGAAATCTGGTGATGAGTTAAAATAATCTCAAATATTATGCACGAAATAAAAATCACACAATTTTAGTTGGTGCCACCGAGTTCAAAACATTGCTGCCAATATACTACTAATACTAATTTTTAGTCCTCAATGAACACATAAAGCACACACCACACACACACACACACACACACACACACACACACACACCCCTAACGAGTCCCCGATAGTTTTTGCCAGAGAGATGCACACATAAATATCTTACTTCTTTGAAATGTATCAGCACTTATTCATTTCACAGCCTTGTGCTCTGCTAGTGACGGGTTATTCTTAATAGCTTCAGAGCCAGAAATAGTTAAAACAGTATAGTCTGGTGTGGCACTTCAGAGCAGTTTTTGTCCCAGAAGCTTTTCCATTTAATCCTCACAACACTTATGATAGGGTATATGACACTGTGAAGAAAAACATCTCCCTGGACTTCTAGAGACCCCAATGTTGGTATGTCAAGGTAGTTTTCTCAAACATAAAATCAAGTCAATTAGGAGCACCCAGATGCTACCTTGAAAATCTTCATTTTCTAGTTCCTATTAAAAAGAGAAGCAACGATCCAGGTGAGGGCCTGCACTCACATCTTCATAAAGCTAGCATATCATCAGATTAAAACTAAGAAATCCAATATTTTAAGGAGTGTCCTCTCCCACCCCAGTGACTTTCAAATGAGATAGAATGCCATCGGTTTTGAACTTGAGAGGTCTCCAAGGCTCCTGTTTATGTAAATACCCAGCCATGTATAATTATTTCCTAGAATGAATATGGGTATTATAAATACCCATACAGTACACTCAGTTCTTAGCATGCATGTGTCCAGCACTGGATAAAATGCCATTGTGATGAAGGTGAAATCAATCTGAGTGTGTTCTATCATCTAGAAATGTAGTGAGAGAAGAGCCTATTTCCATAACAAGCGACCTCGTTTGCTGAAGCATCTCCTCAAGGGACCAGACACTTTTCTCCAATCAGGCCAGGGGTTTAGTGAAAAATACTGTGAGTTCAACCAATTAGGCAAGAAATAATAAAACTCAATCCCAGTGGGAATATTACAGGTGCGTTTTTATATGACTGGTAGCACTGAAAATTGAAATGATTCTTTTGGTGGACAAACTTGCAATGAAGAGCTATTAAAACGCACATAAGTGATTTTACTTGTTTATATTAAAGGAAAAATCAGAGGATGGTTGAGAAAATCCTAGAACATTGAGCTAATGGAATGGTATGCAGCTGGAAAGCCAGAAAACATTAATTCGAAATACCAGTTTAAAAGAAAAGTAAGATAATGGTTCATATGTATATTGACAAAAACTATATAAATCAGTTATGTTTCAAGGTTAACAGATATTTTAAAGATTTTAGCAATGTGATTATATGTTATAAACGTGATCACAATTTTTTTTCTCCTCTTGATGCAGTAAAGCTTGTTAATTCTCTCTACTAGTTACCGTCAATGTTTCTACTTCTATTAACTTATTGGTGCCCTAGTCCAGTCCACTATGATTAGTGACCTAGCTTACTGCAACAAACACATACACACGTATATGTGTATTTTTAAAGAAACTGACTGCTTATTGTCCTCTAGTACGTACTCTATTCTAAAATCAAATTTTAAGAACTCAAATATGATCATTGCCTTCCTGTATTAAAATCTCTCAAGAGTTCTCATTGCTCTTACCATGAAGTCCAAATTCTTTCCTGATAGAACTACTGTTTATCTTCTTAGCCTCCTCTCTTACTTTCCTCTACACAGGAGTCAACACTCCAGCTATCCTGTGGTTGCCCTGATTTGAACACTTTCCAACCTGCTTCCATCTCGCAACTTCTAACTGGTTATTCATCCTTCAGATTTCAAACGAAATGATGCCTCCTTTAGGAAGCCAATCTGGAACCTCCAAAATTAGACAAGGTGCCCACCATTAATGTCTCTTTAATAGTTTGCATTATCCTTATGATAACCCTTACGTCTTGTTTTGCAATTACTTATTTAGTGTTCCTTTCCTCTCTAAACTCCATGTGGGTAGAAATTTGGGCTTTCCATCCTTAGGGTCTAGCAAAGAGATTTTTCCATATGTTTTTATTCAATAAATTAGTTTTTTCAATAACATATTATTGAAATCAGTTTTTTCAATAATGTATTATTGGCAAATTCCATACAAGAGAGAAGTGTTTAATCAAATGAAACAATAAGGGAAATAGTTCGGTAACAGAATTGCCCACACTTCCCATCCCCCATCAGTTTTGTGCACCATTCATCTAAGAAGATTTAAGTATGATAGAGGGTTCTGTAGTTCAATCTAATTTTAAAAGTTCTGAGTTAGTTTATAAACATTGGGTTTCTTAGCTGTAGGTAGCAGGACATTTGGAGAGTGTGGTTCACTAGTTTTTGGTTATAATCAACTACTGTAATAGAACCAACCATTCCTATCTTTTACTGCTACTCGGAAGCCATAAAAAGACAAAAGATAATAAAATAGGTGGGATCCCATCTCTCAGGAAACTCTCAAGTCATTCAGGGGTTTCTTATCACTGAAATTTGTGTATCAGTGGCAGAAATTAAAATGTGACCACCTTGAGACAAGTGTCGAAAAAGAGCTATTTGGGGAATAATTTTTAACAGAGGATTCTTTGAGAAGAAATAACTAATTTATCTGTGCATAACTGAAACATACAGTATTCCTCACATAACTGTAGGGCGTAAGAAATGTGAATATCACACATCTCTACATTTTCCTCAAGGAAACAAGGCTCAGGAAAGATTTGCCCAAAGTGAGAAGGTCTTCAGAGGGTCAGGATTAGAACTCTGTTTTCCAGAGTCTGAAACCAGCGTTCCTAACCTCACACCAGAATGCTCAGACTTAATAATAAGCCTACAAAAAAGTAACAAACCCAGTTTTGTTCTTTAACAAAGTGGATCTCAGTGTATACACACCAGGCAGCAGGGCATGGAAATCACAAAGTAGGCTCAATAGGGACAAATTGGGTTGCTGTATTTTCATACAAGAGTTTCTAACATATTCACGGACTTCAGTAAAAGAAGCCACCAGTGTGAGCAAGTGGCTATATTTGCTTCAGTGGAAACAAACAGACCCTCGTTCACATATTTCTAAAAAAATTTGGGTGACCGAAAGCAAAGCGAAAAAGGAATAGGTGGTGTGTTACAGTTCTCAGAGAATTCCATGAGCAAAATTTTCTAAGACCTATCAAATATTTCAAATAAAATATTTGAAGGACATCATATTTAGAGCACATTAAGCTCCTAACAAAGTCACTAGATGTTTGCTCAGTTTTTTTTTTCCTCTTTGCAGAAAACACTCTCATTTTATAATGATCACTGTATTACGATGATTTGAATGTGTATCAGTTACACTGTAGATTGTATAGGAGAAAAAAATTCTTCTTCTAACGTATTTGTTCTTCAAAATGGAGTTGTCTGTCCACTGATTGTAGATGGATAAAAGGAATGGATCCCAGAAAGGTATAATTTCCAAGGAGAGAGCACTTTTGCCACAGAGTAGGAGGAAGGGTAGAAAATGTTTTCATGAAGAGTGACTATTAGGAACAAATAAGAGCTCTATTCACCAAACCTGTACACATCCCTTTATCCCTGTAAAACAAGCTATGAAAGCACATAATGACTAACTGCAGCAAAATTACTCACATTCTAACTTTGCATAATCACTAAAATGGCTCTGGTTTTTTAACCCTCCCCCTTCAACAATTCTGCACTCTTAAAAAAATTTTTTTCAACCACAGCACAAATGGTTACAGCAAACGGGTGTACCAGGCACATCTGCTGCTTCAAAAAGAATTCACTCCCCTGTGCCAAATCCATGTCTATCGGAAGAAATAAAAATAAATTGCGAGCAGGTTCAGCAAATGCCCAGATAAATCCTGTAGTGACCACATGGGTTAGATTCATTTCTGGTAGTCGGTTTGTCCTGAAAAGGGTGAGGCAAAGGAGGGGTGATTTGGAAGCAAGGGACTCTCTCTCTCACGCCTGTCTTTGTCACTCAAGAACTGAATACACAGTTAAGGTAGCTCCCTTCTCGATTTTCTGCACAACTATTTAAAAAATAGGATTGCGTTTATATAATCCCATAGGTGAAGGGCAGTGGGCAACATGTCTTGCAATATATGGACAGTGTCCTTTAAAAACAACAATAATAATGAGAACAACAACAGTCTTAGTTTGAATGGTCCCACAAATAATCTTTCCTATTTTTTCTATTTATATTTCTAACAGCTTTGCTGAAAGCGCCTACTTGATATTTTAGATCATTCAGTGCAGTAGATAACCTAGAATTTGGGGTACTAAAAAATTATGTTTTCTCTTTTCTACACACTATTAGCTGGAAATCTAAGGATGGCTTTTGAAAGAGAGCACCATTATTTTGACCATGGTACAAGGTGACCAAGCTCCATGGCAGAGCAAGGGGAGGGTGGCTAGCCCAAGATCAAGGTGTCAGCACAACTGCTGAAATCCTCATCAGCTGGGGGATACGAATGACTGATGGGGGTTCATTCATTTGGGTCTTATTCCTCCAGTGAAACTTCCTTTTAAAGGTAAAATGAGGAATTAGTTTATTATTCTTCTTTCCTTTTTAAAAGAGCAAACATCAACAAATTCAAAGATAAATATTCTTTGGGACACAATTTTAAATTAGGACAACAAGTACTGAAATTCCTGGGTTCAAACAAATTCACTTATATTGTTTCTTGGGTTTCAATTTCCTCTTTATAAAATTAGGGGATTTGATTGAAAGAATTCAAAGAATTTGGGTAGCTTAAGGTACCTAAGGGACGTTTTTGGGCTCAGATAAATTCTGATACCTAAGGTTCTTTGGAACAGCATATAAACAGAAAAACCTTCTCATTCAAACATTATTTTCATAATTTATCTTTATAAATATCAGGAACTGTAGAGGTAATAGGATACTTAATCCTGTTATGCTATAATGTTTCAGAAAAATAACAGGATATAAATTCATACATATATCATGATAAAAGTCCTATATGTGAATAAGAAAAACAAAACAAAAATTATGAGTGGTAATTATGAGTGGTGTCAATACAGATATTTTGCTCTTTTTTCTCCTTTCATTTTCTTTTATAAAATGAGCATGTATATTTATATTTACAACAAAGTAACTTTATTTACAGAAAAAAATAATCATATCTCCAAATATGTTTTCCTTTCAGAGAACACATTGGATTTTTCCCAAACCACCCAAAACCAAAGAAATATGATGTTTAGTTGGCTCAAAATTTAGACTTCAGATTTCTTTTTGAAAAATGCAATCATTCAGATAGTCATTGAGCATTTACTGATCACTTTCTAATTACCAGGAATGTTGCCAGCTACTGGGTAAAAAGTTACCATTTTTGGCCTCAGTGAATTCAAGTATAGACAGAGAAACAGGCAGAAAACCAGTAGAATTTTTTCAGAATTCCAGAAGTCTTACAAATCCTACTTGGAACACAGCGCTCCACTGCAACCCATTCATTTTTTAAACAGAGAGCTGAGTTCTAGCCAGCTAAAGAACACTGGCTTAAGAGCAGGGAACCAGGGTCCTTTTCATTCCACTCTGAACTGCTGAATTGCTTTAGGCACATTCTTGTCTGTGTGACTCAGTTCCTTCCCCTTCAAGATTCTGGGTAAAAATAATTCTTTATACTTTACATGGGCAGCTGAATTCAAACGTCTTCTCCTAGTCTGTTCTCCCTCTTGATATTCCATGTGTAAGTGCTATGGCCTAGGTAATTCTTACACATTCTTAAGTTTGAGTACCATTGTTCTAAGCTATATAACTCAGGAAGGGGGCCATGTTCTAATATTCCTATCTTCAGCCTTTCATAACACTTAGAACATGGGAGCACTAAGTCTATGCCATAGAAGAGTATCAAAACATCATAGAGCTCTACTTACCATTTGATCCAGCAATCCCACTACTGGGTATCTACCCAGAGGAAAAGAAGTCATTATTCGAAAATGATACTTGCACACGTGTGTTTATAGCAGCACAATTCACAGTAGCAAATCGTGGAACCAACCCAAATGCCCATCAATCAATGAGTGGATAAAGAAACTACGGTGTATACATATACAGTGGAATACTGCTCAGCCATAAAAATGAATGAATTAACAGCATTTGCAATGACCTGGATGAGATTAGAGACTATTATTCTAAGTGAAGTAACTCAGGAATGGGAAACCGAACATCGTATGTTCTCACTGATATGTGGGAGCTAAGCTATGAGGACGCAAAGGCATAAGAATGATACAATGGAGTTTGGGGACTTGAGGGAAAGAGTGGGAGGGGAGCATGGGAAAAAAGACAACAAATATGGTGCAGTGTATACTGCTCAGGTGATGGGTGCACCAGGATCTCACAAATGTCCGTTAAAGAACTTACTAATGTAACCAAATACCACCTATACCCCAATAACTTAGGGAAAAATAAAATTAAAAAAGAAAAAAATTATCAAAGAGCAATGAATGAATGAATATATTAAAGTATGAAATTATTCCTCATTTTCCTCTCTTTACTTAATTTTCTCTATTTAATCTGTGTGTGTGTGAGAGGGAGAGAGAAGAGAGAGAGAGAGCAAGAGTGAACACCTCTATGGGATCTACAACAATTGGAATTATAGAAATAAAGGAACATGATAAGCAGATCAGCTACATCATTATTAGGCAGGAAAAGGAGAGAAAATCACAAGGGAAGAAACACACACACACACACACACACACACACACCAGGCATCAGAGGTGTAATCTATACAGTTATTCATTCTATTCCTAGATTTCTTCATCCAATAACCTAGAAGCAAATAAATAAATGAATCAGAAAAACATACACTTTTCCATGGATACAATTCATGGAATGGTAGGATACAGAATTATTCAAGAAGAATTTTTATTATTGTAAGAGGAGAGTTCAACTTTGTATTCACTGTTTTCATGTTTTTAAATAATGTTTAAATAAAATAATATTATTCATTGTTTCTTAGACTTTTGAGAGAGCTAGGCAAGCCCTCGTGTAAGACAGTGTATTCATTAAAACAATGATACGCCGGGTACAGTGGCTGACACCTGTAATACCAGCGCTTTGGGAGGCCAAGGCAGGCAGATCACCTGGTTAGGAGTTCAAGATCAGCCTGGCCAACATAGTGAAACCCTGTCTCTACTAAAAATATAAAAATTAGCCAGGCGTGGTGGTGGGCACCTGTCATCCCAGCTACTCAGGAGGCTGAGGCAGAATTGCTTGAACCCGAGAGGTGGAGGTTGCAGTGAGCTAAGATAGCCCCACTGCACTCCAGCCTGGGAGAAAGAGTGAGACTCCATTTAAAAAACAAAAACAAAACTAAAAACAGTGATACTCATTGTAGAAAATATGAGAAGTAATAACAAGGTTAATAAAGAAATAAAAAACACTCGTTCAAAACTTTAGTGATAACAACTGTTTTGGTAACTTTATTTTCATGGTTTGTATTTCTATGTATACTTGTATCTGTGTGTAAGTGTGTGTGTGACTGTGTGTATGTGTGTGTGTGTGACTGTGTGCGTGTGTGTTTTGTATAGGTGATGGTGCTTAAATGTGAACCCTCTTTATGTGTGGCTTTGTATCTTATTTTTCATTTAACATTATATCAGAGATTATAAATTTTAAAATTCTTCAAAAATGTTGTTTATAGTGTGATAACCAAGCAGTCAATCTGCTTTAACAGATGCATATGCTCCAATGCACTAATTTCCTATTTATCATACATATTTAGTTGCAAAATCAAAACCAGAACAAAAAGCACTAAGATTTTTCCGCTGTCCTGTATTATGCTATTCTATCATCACAAAGTAGTTTGTTTCTGTTAAAAAGATTTGAGGAGGTGCAATAGTATATCAAAATGCCAGGCATGCACTTCTAACAAAATGTCAGCTCCCACCTCCACACTTCTCATGTGTATCAGATAATCTTCTTTCAATCAGTCATACAATATACATGCAATTCAGACCCATGCCAAGTACCTCACAGTTAAACCCTCTGATATTGAATTCAAAAAGCCTTGTTGTCTCAAGACAATTGATATTAGAGATTAAATATCAAAGACCAGTCATTTATTGTTGTTGTGAGTACCATTATTATTTGTATTATCACATTCCTTCTGTCTCTGTATCAGGTAGACTGTGAGGAACTCAATTGTAGAATGACAGGATCAGGGCTGTGTTGAAAAAAATATTAATCTGGCAGCCATATGCTTATGAAGGGCATAAAGGAAGCCAGCCTGGAAGCTACTGCAATAATCCAGGCAAGAAATGATGAGGCCCTAACTAGGAATAGAGAGTTTGAAGGAAAAAGGCTCCCAGAGCATTAACTACAGAACAAATACTGTCAGAAATGTTGTTCCAGCATATCTTTTACTAGCATCTTTTACTTTGTACAATAATATTTCCTAATATGAATATGTATGGAGCAAATGAGATCCACTGGCTGGTTTAATGGAAACATTATGCTCAAAGAGATCTGCATTAAGAAAGGTACTAGACTGGGGCTTCAGAACAAAGGCAGATAAATGCAATAACAGAAAAAGGCTATGTTAACACTGAAGGCCTACATTCTGCTAGTCAAATTAGTTGATGTTCTTCATATTTAATAGTCTGGATCCTTTAAGAGAAAGGGTGATTTATTTCGTTTGGGCAGTGGTCATGCATATGTCTTAAAGAAAATGCTAGACAATTTTGTGGGAAAGCACAACATAAGTGTCCAAGTGACCTAAATAATTTTTCCTCAGACCAAAATTCCAAGAAATAATCTTGCCTCCAATTCTGAAAGTAATCCTCTGGCTGTGGAGGCTCCTATGTGAACCCTCAGAGGGAAGGAGGAAATATAAAAGGACAGAAAATCAACAACAAAAATCCTCAAGCTCCACTGTATTTATTTCACACACTTCTTAGATTTGTCTAAATAGTTTAAGTAAAACTGGGAATTTAGGGTCAGAAAGGACCATCAATTTGCCTTTGTGAAATAAAGCACTAAACTGACTCAGTTTTCCAGTGGTGCTGAACCTCATAATTGAAGGCCTTAGAGATCACAGGCTAGTTAAATATAACTTAATTCCAGAGACCTAGCAACACTGGGTCTGCATTCCTACATGCAGCCTGGGTTAAATCTGGGAGGTTGGTGAGCCCTCCTGCTTGCCACAGTCTTCACCACTCTCTAGTATTCTCCAATCAGAGGTCAGTTGTAAGTTAACCATTTATCTTCTTGCTTGCACTGTGGTCTGTCCTATAATAAAGGGTGAAGTGAAATACTTCTTTTGCAATTATGTCTTTTTATTTTTTTAAACACAGCCTTGCTGTGTTGTCTAGGATGGATTGCAGTGACGCGATCTCAGCTCGCTGCAACCTCTGCTTGCCAGGTTCAAGCGATTCTCCTGCCTCAACCTCCTGAGTACCTGGGATTACAAACATGTGCCACTATGCCCGGCTAATTTTTGTATTTTTTAGTAGAGGCAGGGTTTCACCATGTTGGCCAGGCTGGTCGCAAACTCCTGACCTCAAGTGATCCACCCGCCTCGGCCTCCCAAAGTACTGGGATTACAGGCATGAGCCACAGCGCCTGGCCAAGAATACATCTTTTTTAAAAATGAAAGAGTATTTATTTTAAAAGATCTTGAAGAACATGTAGATTGTTCCTAGATATTCTCTATGTAAACAAAAAGCATCTATATGAGGAGAACACAGCACACAATACCATTATAAAAGAAATCATACATTTTATCTGCTTCAACTTTTTACATTGCTCACCTGGGTCTGCTACACTGCAATTACCACCCTAGAATAAATGAGCTGTCATTCAGCAGTGCAGAACAAGAAAGGTTACTTAAGTATACGAAAGAGTGCTGTGCAGTGCAACGTAAACAAAAATTAGACATGACAACAATGCTGCAACAAACTGAACTACAAAAACAGAGCAAAAGGGGAAAACAAAAATCAGGCAAAACTGTTGTAAACAATAGCAAAACCTTCATCTTTTCAAATGGAGCTACACAAGCTACACATTTCAGGTCTTTAGTTCAAAATATGCTTTTTAAATAAATCTACAGGTTTTATTTTAAAAATGTAATAATAAAATATTCCCTGATAAAATTTGTGAAATTACCAATTACCATGTTTTATGATTTGTTTTTAAAATATGGCAAATGAGTAGCTTCAATATATAAAAATTAAACTACTTTGAGCCTCGCAAGTTTTCAGTGGTAAAGAAAAAAATGCAAAATAACTTTTATCATAGGATACAGGATGTTAAAACTTTATTTCAGGATATAATCTTTTTAAAGACATACTGGCATTCGAGTTTTCAAAATACATCTATTGGGCTTTAACCCACATGAGCATGACAGGAAAATCATGCAGGCATTGAGAGCTTCATGTCTATGTGCATAAACCATACGCTTATACATATCTTATTTATCTAATTATCCAGGATAGAGAATTGGCATTCATAGGACAGAAGGTAACAGATCTGCTTTCATTTTTCTTTAAATAAAGGAATTTGTCATTCTTTTGCAAAACTTGAGATCTAAATTAGGGAAGAAACTCAATAAGAGGAACTCACATGTTGCTTAAATGGACTAAATGCATTTCTTATTTGTGTTCCTTTTAATTTTCAGATCTTTGCCAATGCCCGGAAGTGATAGGCTTAATGCAAAAATAAGGAACCACATCATGTACACTCAAAAGTATATCAAATTATGTGTACATATATATGTACATATATATGTATATAGATATAAAAAAACACCCTCTCCCCTATCTATTACTAAGCACAGCAGCTCAGCACAAGGCACTGAGCTTTTTGTAGTAGGGAGAAATTTATCACAGGAAGTCCATGGACTCAAGAAGTCCACACACCAGCAAAAGAGGCAAAATAAACTTGAAAATAACTATAAAGTATAGTTGCAAATGCTAAGTAAGACAGAGAAGTGTATGAAAGTTCCAGATGAACTATGCTCAATCTGGCAAGCAGAGGGTGGCTCTCTGAGCCGTATCTTCGGAGGTGCGTGGAATCACAACACATGGATGGCTGTGTGTTTGTGGACACACATACACTGGCCTTGGAGGAGAAGGGTGGATCCTGTTTCCAGCAAACAATGTGAACAGAGACATAGACAAAAGGCTAAGGTGTGTATGGAGAACAAACAAATGTGGCAGAATTTAATAACAGCTAGTACATACAATCTACTAGTCCTTATTTAAATGCTTTACATATAAGTGAGGAAGAACCTATTATTATCCTCATTTTGTAGATGAGGAAACTGAGGTATGTGAGCTTAAGTAATTTGACCCAGGTTTCAGCATAAGCTACTGTTGGTATCTGAATCTACACATTGTGGCTCCAGAGTTGTTCTGTTAGCCACCTCTACACTCCATAAAGTAAAGAAGACGAATCAAGACTGAAAAATTAGACCAGGACAGATTGTGAAGGATAACATCTACCTTTAATTTTAGTTGACAACTAATTTAATAGAATTAAGGGACAAATATTAGGGCATAAGAAGGGCAGGGGAGGGACACAGTGATGAAAATAATACATTGTAGAGATAGCAAATACTTTCTGAAGAGAGGGGACCGTTTTTTCATTAAGAGTAAGGACACACACACCTCTGATGCAAATTACTTCTGTTTAGCTGAGGGTGACATTTTGTCTTGAAAAACACAGCTTGCAAAATGTTATTTTACTGAAGCCCTATTGTCAGAGCTGTATACGCTATTCCATATCCACATAGGATCTCAGTTTAAAAGATAACTATTATTTTTAAATATCAGAGTTTGTCTGCATGTGAAATGTGAATTTAAAATTCTTTCTTCACAGGACAACTAGGGGAATTTAAGTATCAGGTTAACACATTGTGAAAATTAAAACATCAATGATGACCACAGAACCAGATGCATGACTTTCCATTCATTAAGAAATATCATAGCCCAATGTACTGTATATTTGGAATTATCATGTTTTGTATTGTTTGAGGTTTTTACAAAGTAGGGTTGGGGGACACAAAGCGAGTAGGTAAATTATTCCCTAAACCTCTTAAAGAGTGAGCTCATCGACAAATAAGAAACCTATTTTATTTTAAAGGAAGCCAAATAATAGTAGACCCTACAAGATTCGCAACTTATTTAAAGTCCTGAGTACATTGCATCAGATAATTCTGGCCCACAATCTCTTAATCTAAATTCCAAATTCAACAGATACAAATCATATAACCACTTTACGAAAGGCTGTTTCAAAGTACAGTGCCTTTTTATTAGCCTATTATACAAAATTATGGTAATTTCTTAATAAAGTTTTGGAAACAGACCACATTATTAATTGTATGGCGTATATAATATTTAATTAAAGATGCATTATGCTGATAGAATTTAACATCTGGCACTCTGGTTTTGCAGACCATGGAGTGTAGTAACAACATGAAAATAAACAATCCCTATAAATGTCTTCTTGGGCTCCAGTCTTCAGTAGAGCGCCAACTTTCTTTTTTTTTTTTTTTTTTTTTTTTTTTTTTGAGACGGAGTCTCGCTCTGTCGCCCAGGCCGGACTGCGGACTGCAGTGGCGCAATCTCGGCTCACTGCAAGCTCCGCTTCCCGGGTTCACGCCATTCTCCTGCCTCAGCCTCCCGAGTAGCTGGGACTACAGGCGCCCGCCACCGCGCCCGGCTAATTTTTTGTATTTTTAGTAGAGACGGGGTTTCACCTTGTTAGCCAGGATGGTCTCGATCTCCTGACCTCATGATCCACCCGCCTCGGCCTCCCAAAGTGCTGGGATTACAGGCGTGAGCCACCGCGCCCGGCCAGAGCGCCAACTTTCTTTAAAACAACACTTAAGGGGCAAGCGCGGTGGCTCACGTCTGTAATCCCAACACTTTGGGAGGCAGAGGTGGGAGGATCACGAGGTCAGGTGTTCAAGACCAGCCTGGCCAATATGGTGGAAACCCCCGTCTCTACTAAAAAATACAAAAATTAGCTGGGCCTGATGGTGCGTGCCTGTAGTCCCAGCTACTCGGGAGGCTGAGGCAGGAGAATTGCTGGAACCCAGGAGGTGGAGGTTGCAGTGAGCCAAGATCGGGCCACTGCACTCCAGCCTGGCGACAGAGCGAGACTCCAACTTAAAAAAAAAAAAAACAATGTTTAAGGACTATTTTGCTAAAAATACCTACGAGGAGGGGAGAAACTCCCAGGGAACTGTCACATATTACACTGCTCAGCATTCTGCAGTTTCATTTCTCATAGAAATATCTTTTCTCTAAGCATGTTTTAGTAAAATGGGTGCTGCCTGAGGACCCTCACACACAATTAATAATTACTAATTTTTGAAACAGACACTCTAACGACTTTTATTAGTTTAACAGCAAGTTGTCTTACATGTACTTTCCAAAGTTTTCCAGACTCCTTTCTAATATCAATTAAACATGGTCCACAGTGGACTAATGAGGCCTATTTAGTAGCAATTCATAATTTACTGTGCTTGTACTGTTCCCTGCAGGGCTTTTTTCTCTCACTAAACCATAATCATATCTCATTACCATTGTTTCATTACTACATTTTTTGGTTTAAATTTTGTTGCTGGCATTTAGTTAAGAAAAAGACTCTTTCATATTACATATAGAACATTTTCCTCTTAAAATGTCAAACCAATATGTTTCCACCTGAAAAACACTGCACTCAACGTAAAACAGGCAATCTCAACAACAAAAATAAAAACAACAAAAGAATATTTTTTTCCTCTGATTTAAAAGTTATTTGATTTTGCTATAAAAATGGAAACAAACCTCCATAAAGCTAATGTATCTGGTAGCAATTTAACTTGTTGTACTTTAAAAGTAGAATGCAAAAGATCTTCACACCTCTTCCTGCCCCAAAGAGACCCTTTCCAGAAAGCCTGCCATCTTTTATTACAAAATGCAGTCATAGACCTTATGCTATAGCACCTTAAAGATGGATGCACAGCCTGTAAAACAGTGTTATCTAAAAATGCTGGTCTCCATGTAGACTTATATCTGTACATAAATATACAGGTATGTTTACATGTGTGTTTGCATATATTTCAAACACATTCAGTAAAGAAACAGAAATAATCTTGGAACTTCAGACATAAAACAAATACATTTACATGTTTTCTACTTTTTCCCTTATGAAATACCTGTATAAATATACAGTAATAGCAGGTTTTTAATTGTAAATGGTTTTGACGTTTTCAACTTCAGAATTTTAAAACATGTATTTGTAGCCCAGGGGCGAAAGCAGTATGTATGTCTAAGCTTTAGGACTAAAAGAAGAATGCCAAGTCCCCTGTGCTGGTCCCTTCAGTTGCAGAAGGGACCATTTCTCTTTGTCTCTTCCCTTTTTTACTAGGGGGCAGTGCTGTCAGAGTTGTGAGAAAATCTTTTCTACTATACTCCCCATGAATTCATTCAGTTGCCAAGGATATGGCTCAAGCTCAGAAGTCAGCCTTCAAAATAAGGAGAGGAAGAAGGAAAAACAAGTAAAATAAACTGATAGATCCCAACATAAAATGATGCATCTTAAGAGTAGAAAAATACAAAGGGGAGAGGGTTAAGACAGTGCATTTTAACAACCCATTGAATCTTCTTATAAAAACAAGGCATTGACATGCTAAAGGCAACAAGCTTAATAAGTTCTAACATGTTTTCCACCTTTCTGAGGACTCTGATTTCTCTAAATGAGTCACTGGTTCTCTGCAGAATCATATTAAAGTTAGATTATGCCGTGTGATTGACTTATTTATTTGTCCCTTTAAGTTGCCATCTGAAACATGAGCTCTGAGAGATCAAACTTCACCAATACTTGCCAGTCCTCAGTGGAAATCCTAGAGTAATTTCTTAAAACCAACAGTAAAAAAATTTCTAAACGCTTTAGGCAGTGATGCTTCATTTCAACTACATGAAAAAACTTTCATCCTAGTTTTAAAAAGTGTTATAAAAATGTTACATGAATGGAATTTTTCAGGGAGGGATAAATTTATATCACAGAGAGAACTCAGGCCATCTTCACCAGTTTTAATGTTTCAAAAAAGGTTGGTAGAAAAGAAGAGATCTGGGGCTCCGAAGTAAGATGATGTTGAAAGTATTGAAAAGACCCAAATAAAGAAAATGAAAGGAAAAAAAAAGAAGAAGAAAGAGAGACAAGCAAGGGAACAGGATGTAGAAATGAATAATTTAGATATACAGCATGAGGAATAAGCCATGCCAATAAGTAAAAAAACATAATTTAAATAGAAAATGGCTTGAGATTGTATTAAGTCATGGCCAACTTCACACACACACACACACACACACACACACACACACGACTAAAATTAAAAGAAACATTTAAACTTATTTTTCTAATCTAAAATGGGAAAGAAGCGCTTACTTTTTAAAGAAAAATTCCTCATTTAATTCTTTCTCTTATCAGAGAACCTTCTTTGTCAGTTTTAACAGCAGATTAATCACTTTCGCAACCTACGGAAAAAGTTTTCTGGAAAGCATAACAGCCTGCAAGTGTAAATGACAGTATTACTTTTCCTGCAGCTCACCCGCCTACAAATTCTCTCTCATCCATGACTCAGCATGAGGTAAAAGGAGCTAATGAAAAGGGCCACATTTCCTTTTAAAAATTGTGAACTTTCTTTCAAAGTGCAGAACTATTAAAAAAAATCCCCCAAAAGCTTGACAGAAAAATGAAGTAGCTCTCCATGAATGTTTGTCAGTTATATACCTAGAAAATTTCTTCCAAGTAATGTTAAAAATCAGCTTGCTGTTTGACTCCCACCCGAGGCCAAACGCTGTACTTGATTGGGGATGTAGTACTTACACATATCTATAGTACATTTGTAGGATTATGGGGGAGCAGGGGGCAGGGATAGAAATGTTGCTTTGCTGAAACCAAGACATCAAGAGGAAAGATGAGAAACACAGAACTTTGTGGTCAAGAGAAGGGACTTGTCCTGGGGCTTTCCCTCCTTGTAAAATACCAATTAATTTGATTTTGTGAAGAAGCTCTCTAGAAGCAGTCTGGTTCCTAGGGAGAAATTACAGAGGTAAGAAAATTCTATTTTATGATACAGAAGGAAAGATGGGATCACTTTGTTGTATGTGCACTGGCGAGACAGTCACACTATAAACATTCATCAAATATTTACTGAGTGTCCGATCTCTGCTAGACACTGTGCTAAGCTCTTGGCAGCTGAGACTAAGAAGTTTAACAACGCGGTCCGGGTCAATGGTCATCGTCCTCATGGAACTTAAAATGGGTGGAAAGAGGTTATCATTTGGGAGAGGCAGTGAGATAATGATCATTTGCAGGGTGGAAGGTGTAAGGATTAGGAAGTTCAAGGAGAAAAACACAGGAGAACACAGCAAGGACATTTAAACTAAATTATACCAGAGGAGTGTGCTGAAAATGTCTTAAGGGAAATGGCGTCTATGTTGAGACAAGGCAATAAAAGACTGAGGTAGTGAACAATGTTCCAGGCTAAAAACAATATCATGTGACTCTCCAGTGGTGGCTCAATGTCTCTGGGGATCAGAGCAAAGGCAGTGTGTGACTATAGCATGGTGCATAAGCGGGGTGGGAATGAGATACTACACATCTTCTTCATGTATACCAGAGAGGTATGCAACATCTAAAAAGAAAAGTTCAATTACTGTTCCTATTTCGCACGTGGAAAACAAACCAAAAAAGGTTATTTTGTCCAAGATCACATAGTTATATGAGATTCAAACTCATTTCTATTTGACTTCAGAGCCTGTTTTCCTAATCACTGTCTTATACTACAGGAATAAGGAGATAACATATTAGACAGGAAAGTAATACAGTCAGACTTGCATTTTAGGAAAGCCTTGGTGGATAGATTGGGGCGATGGTGGGGAAATGGATACAAGGAAACCCGTTAGGGGGATATCACCAATGGTCCATGAAAGATGATGCTGATCTGAAATCACGTACCGCAGCAGAAATGAGGAGAAGTAGAAAGATTGTGAAATATTTAGGAGGTAAAATTGATAATAAGGGAAAGAGAGGGCTTAGAAATAATACCTAAACTTCTGGCTTAGGAAACTGGTTAGATGGTGATGCCACATACCGAACAACATTGGAGTGGAAAAAATTCCTGAGAGAAGTGGATGAGTTTATTTTGAAAACATTGAGGCTGAGATTTCTGCAATACATCCAAATGCACCTGAGCGATAAGCAGTTAGAAACAATTGAATCTGAAGAGCAAGTTTACTGAAACAAATTTATATCATATTGTAGAGCTGATAGTTGAGGCCATAGTAGTTAAAGGCTCTCTTAACCAAATGTGGGAAGTGAAACAAGAGCAGGCCCTAGGAAAGACACCCCTCCCCAAGCCCCACCAAAGGAAAACAACATTCAAGCCCAGGCACGGTGGCTCATGCCTGTAATCCCAGCACTTTGGGAGGCCGAGGTGGGTGGATCAGTTGAGGTCAGGAGTTCGAGACAAGACTGGCCAACGTGGTGAAACCCCATCTCTAATAAAAAGAAAACAGAAAAAAGAAAAAAGAAAAAAAAATTAGCCAGGCATGGTGCACACCTGTAGACACAGCTACTCGGGAGGCTGAGGCAAGAGAATCGTTTGAACCTGGTAGGCAGAGGTTGCAGTGAGCTGAAATTGCGCCACTGCACTCCAGCCTGGGTGACAGAATGAGAGTCTGTCTCAAAAAAAAAAAAAAAAAAAAAAAAGAAAAAGAAAAAGGTAAAACGACATTCAAGGAGAGGGAGACGAAGAGCCACTAAGGAGAGCCCTGAAGTGAAATTGTTCAGAATGGTAGGAAGAAAACCAACAGAGTGTGGTGTGCAATAACTGTGAAAAGTTGGCAAGATGGCCTGACTGTGCCACAGATTTACATAAGGGCAAGTACAAAAGGGAAACTCTGAAAAAAGCCTACCGAAAGAAGGTCATGTGTTGGAAGAGTCGGCTGAAGTATTGAACCACAGACTGTAAGTTGGATAATAAAGGAAATATAAGAGACTGGTGAGGAAAAAGAAAGGTAATAGAAGGTAAATATGCTGAAGAAAAGTAGAATAGGAGTTACCTGAATGAGAGAGAGTGCTGGAAGAATGAGGGGTTGTGTTCCGAGGCTGGTTTTAATTTTTACGATTTAGGAGGTAAAATAGAGCGAAGCAATGATAAGATCCAGGGTATAACCAGGGGCTGTAGAGGCTGCAGCTGAATGGAGATGAGAGTTACAGATGAGTGAGTTGGGCCCTGAGCCTCCCAACAGGACTAACAGCCTGGGTAGTGGCAGGAGAGAGTTGAGCCACTTGTCCTGTGGTCAATGAGTAAAGTCCAGGACCAGGACATTAATGAATGACAGCAATGTGGAGAAAAGACCATTTAGTCGAATGTCTCTAACCTTCAAGCAGAATATAAACAGTACTAAATTGCAAGTTAAGAATGCAAGAGAGACAATCAACTCTGTATTTAAAACTAATACAAAAGACTGTCTGACCCACTGTGGTTCTGTTTCCAGGGCAGACTGGTGGAGCCTATCCAGGTCCAAGTGTGCCCGAGGTAAAATGCCAGTCTGTCCACATTTACTGTTCCCTAGACCTATCATCACTTCCAGTCACCATCTCCAACGACAATGCTGGCATTCTCATGGTTCTGCTTGAACCTTTATGCTCTTCCTGGACTTTTTTTGCCCTGAGGTATCTGTTGCTTCTCTACCACAGATTTAAATTCTGTAGAAAAAGACTACCCTCCTGTGATGGTCCATTTGTGTGTTAATTTTTTCAGGCTAAAGTCTCCATTTATTCAATCAAACTCCAATCTAGATGTGGCTGGGAAGGTGTTTTGTACATGTGATTAAAGCCTCTAATCAGTTGATTTTTAAGTAATGAAGAGTACACTAGATAACCTGGTTGAGCCTGATTCAATCAGTTGAAAGGTCTTGGAAGTAGAGCTGAGGATTCCTTAAAGAAGAAGGAATTCTCATTGTGGCAAGTAGCTTCATCTCATGCCACGGAGTTACAGCCTGCCCTTCCTAATTGCCTAATCTGTAGATGTTAGATTGCCTAGCCAGCCCACAAAATCATGCAAGCTACTCCTTCCCAATTAATGTCTTAATATATATCTTCTACTGATTCTGTTTTTCTGGCACTATTTTCTGTAGCCATCATCCATCATATAGGCTAATCTTTGACTTTTGGTGGGAAACAAACCATTCATAAGGGGTGCTGATGTTGCTGCAAGACCAATATGTAGACCACTCTTGCTACATAATGATTCCCACCCTAAATACAACAAATACTGCTTCTGAAGAAACATGCCTTCCTAGTATAAGCTGAGAACACTACCAGTGAATTTTCATAAGGACCTTTCAATAAGATGGAAACTCTCTGAATCCTTTAGAAGGTGTCAGCCATCTCATAAGGAGAAGGAAAGAAAGTACACAACATAAAAAGCTACCCCAAATGTCTTAATACTCGTATAGACAATGAGGTCATCAAAATCAGGAAGAGACCAGCAAAAGGTAGAGAAAAACATGATTAAAGAGGCAGAGGTTCTTGATCTTACTGATAATCTTTTATAAATTTTATCTGCCTATAATTATAATTAAATACTAAATGTTTTGAGTAAGTTTTTTTTTTTAATTGAGAAACAATTCTATTGAGAAAATACTTAATTTCAAGAGTATGACTCTCATGGAAAATATAACACAATTATGTTATTTTTCTGGTTAAAATAGGTGTTGGTACCTTGTCAATTCAGTTATTGCACGGTAGTACTATGGTTTGTATAAGCCGAGGTTTAAACCTGAGATCTTAACACATTGGGGTTTTTATTTTATTTTATATATGTGTGTTGTGTGTGTGTATTTGCTTATTTAATTAGAGGCAGGGTCTTGCTCTGTCGCTCAGGCTGGAGTGCAGTGATACAGTCATGGCTCACTGTAGCCTTGACCTCCTACCTCCTGGGCTCAAGCAAGCCTCCTACCTCAGCCCACCCCCAACCCCCCCAACCCCCAATGAGAGTGGCTGACACAACAAGTGCATGCCATCATGCCTGGCTAATCCTGGCTATTTAAAAAACTTTTTGTAGAGACAGGATCTGACTATGTTGCCCAGGCTGGTCTCAAACTCCTGTGCTCATGGGATCATACCGCCTCAGCATCCCAAAGAGCTCAGATTACAGGTGTGAGCCACGGTGCCCAGCCTCACTGGGGTTTAAAAAAAAAAAAAAGCGAGATTTAGAATTGTTAATAAAGTTAGATATTCAGTTACTAGAAGTACTATATTTAAAAATAAAATTTTAACACGATTGCTTTTATTGCTCTTTAATTTTAGTGTAGTTTTGTCCAGTTAACACAGAAACATGATGAACATGTATGATCTTTCTGTTTTGAAATAATTTAAGTAATTACAGAATGTTTTTAACATTTCAACATGTTAAGACCTTAATATGACACCCTTATTGTTCACATGATACCTGAAGTTCCAAAGAGGACACATTACTTTTCCAGTGTCATAGAGATTGGGTGGAACCCAGTCTAGAATGTCACTTTCCGACCTTTTTTCCCAGTGTTCTTCCCACTGCTCAGTGTTGAGTAAGAGAGTTTTAAAACAAATTCACACACACACCTCCATGTTCCCTGCTCTCCCCACCCTTAGTAAAATCCCCTGGGATGCTTTTGGCAGGATTCAGCGATGGCTTTGGCAGCTCTAGCCACGTTCCTGGAATCCATCTGCAAGTGCTGGTCAGCAGAGCCTGCTTCATTCCCTTTTTGGTATTAGTCAGTAAAGGTTAAGTGTATGTGAATTATCATAAGTTTATTTTTAGTCTCCCACTACCCCCTTTTTTTTTGGTAAGTGATCAATGACTACCAGGCACAGGAAATACATTTCACTGAATGATTTTCTAAAATCAAAACTCCATCTGGGCTGGAACTGAGACAGGATTAGGAATGACCATTTATAACATTAATATCAGCTACACTAAACTACTGAAAGATGCTTAGAGTGGGGAAAGGGTCTTCACCTTTGCCTGAAAGTACTTCCAAGGCTGAATCCTGGCTCCTCTGCTAGCCAATGTGTTGTGTGTAATAGCAGCACATGCAGCTGGTGATCACATTGTGACTCAGTGCACCACGGGGAGAGAGGGTCGGACGGATGAGGAACTAACTCAGAATTGTAGAACAGAAGTCTCAGCTAGCAAGTACTAAATGTGGTCTCCTTAGTTGAACAAATCAAGTTGAAAGAAAAAAAAAAGTGAGGGAATGAGTTGCTAAAGTTAGTTTCCTTAAAGTGAGAGATAATATTTCCCCTTTAAAAAGTAAGACACACAAAAAAACCTGTCGCCTTCATTGTGGATTAAGTTAATATTATAATAACTAAAACTAGTAGCATAGCATGGACTGATGAAGACAGTATTATAAAATGAAAATTAGTGTCAGTATAGCAGGGGTAGTCCTGGGATGGGGAGTAAAATTCATAGCCACAGCCATCTGGAGAAAGAAGAAAATAAAGTATATAAGCTTTAGCTATTAGGGACCCAAACTCCTGGCTGCTAGGAAGGAGGCCAATCAAGATTTTATGAACCTTAAAAGAAAAAAGGAAAGGAAGAGAAGGAAAGTGGGGAAAGGGCAAGGGAATGAAAGGAAGGAAGGGAAGAGGAAGGACCATAGTGGCCACTCCACTTGAAAGGGGTTTACTGCAACCACCAGTCTTATGTGTAAATGCTCTCTCTCTTCAGGGTAGTAGGCAAGGATGGTCACTCTATATTGAAATTATTATTAAAAACAATAGTTATATCTTTGTTTTGAGATAGATTCAAGTACAGAGACAAGGACAAGCCATCATCTTTCAAAAATCTCATCTCTTTTTCTACTGTAGTACATTTAAGATCTAGGTTTCACAGTTTATTCTGTGAAAGATTCTGGTTAGTGACTTTCTGGAAAGAAGGAAGGCGGCAGGGAGGGAGGAGAGAGAGAGGGAGATGGAGGTGGGGAGAGGAAGACAGAAGGGGGAGAGGAAAAGAGAGAGAGAGAAAGGGCAAGAAAGAAGAAGGAAGGGGAGGGGAGGGGAGGAAGGAGGGAGGGAGGGAAGGGAAGGACAGAAGGAAGGAAGGAAGGAACGAAGGAACGAAGGAACAAAGGAAGGAAGGAAACCAAAGAGAGGAGAGGAGGGAAACAGTAGAAAGGAAGGGAGGGAGAAAAAATGTAATAGTTTTTAATTTGCCTTTGTAGATATTTATTACTAAAGTTTTTTTACTTGCAAAACATATGTATATACATACATATACTTATATAAATTTATTAAAATATATAGTATACATACATTTATAAATATATTAATTACTGTATGTAAAACAAAAGCAAAGTAGGCTCATTAGAGAAAATTTAAAGATAAGTAGAGAAGTATAGAAAGAAGCCTGTTCCCAAAATCCCAGAAATAACTGGTTAGTGTATATTGACCATTAGATTTCAAGAAATACACACATGTACTTCTATATGTATGAAAATATATTCACAATTCAGATAACATATAGATTTGTCAATCATATTAGGCATGGAAGTAACTAGGGTGTATGTCTTATTTCACATAAGAGAAAATTAGATGAGAATAATTTGTTATTGTCAGGGAAATAACAGAATTAGGATTTTTTAAATCCAAAGCCCTACAATTATACATAATGAATAGCAAAGATATTTTCAGATTAAGTCTTACAAATCTAGAAAGTGTGAGGCAGAAAAAGCCAGTGTTTGAGAGCTCAGTGATCTTAAAAACAGCTACTGTCTTACAGGGGATTATTGCCACTTTGCCACTTCCAAAATGCTTCTTACTCCTTTCTACACAACACGTCTGTATGATTGCCAATGTTATCCTTCCATTTTACCCAAGGGGAAATGAGGCTCCAAGATAACCACGCTGATTAATGTCACCAACGCAGTAAATCATGGAGAAAGGACCTGGATGTCTGAAAACAAATTATTTTACAAGTGGAAAAGTTAACAAAGAATGTACAATGTTTTCTGAAAATGTGTAATTCTCTTCATCGTTTTGAACTGTGACTTCTGGAAATCTGCTCACTGGTGATGGAGATAGTCACGGAAGTATCACCCATCAGGACACAGTAAGATGCAGCCTCTTCTCCTCCCTGATTACTCTCATTTTGGACAAAATATGCCTACGATATGTAGCAAGACTAACATAATTTTCCTGTTAGAACTTCAAGAATTAAGATTCAGTGTTGCTAATCCTTGATTTGTTTTCTGCGATACAGAAGACAGGCCCTGAGACTCTGGTGACTTGGTGGTATAAAGTGAAGAGCACTGGACTGCAAATAAGGAATCCTGTACTCAGAACCCTGCATCACAGAATAGCCTTGCAAATGAGCAAGCCCGTCTCCTTACCTTTACCTACTCTACAAAACAGAAAATAAAGCGGATGAAAATCATAGAGGTACTAGGTAATGTGCCTGGCGCCATGTGTGTTATGCAGAATGAACCACTCAACATTCTACCAGCCTACCGTTTACCATCTCAGAGAGTGAGCCCACAACCCACTAACATATAATGAATGTCCTTTCCTCCAACCTGGTACCACTCAGTTCAACAGTGGCCATATCAATTCAATTGTTTAAATTCTGTGTACTTAAAGGAAATGCACCAATTGGTTTGAACTAAAGCAAATTCCTGCCCTATTAGAAGTGTGCAAAGACCAAAGAATATCAAAGGGCTACGACCTTTCCTGAATCAAGTCTGGATTTAAACCAATGGCCTTAAATAAAATAAGAAATACTAAAATAGAGAACATTAGCCTCAGTAGTTAAGAGCAGGGCTTTAAATCAGTGGACCTTGTGTGCTTGGGGGTGGAAAGTATCCAGATGACAGGCTTCTTCTCCAATAGGGCTTCTTTCCAAACATTTCCATGCATGTCTACTCACTACTGAAAGCTCAGGGTCCTAAAAGATCATCACATTTTATTCCTCAAATCCAGTCAATCACATAGAGGCATTTTCTTGTTTGGCTTGATAGAATAGATGAGAATGATCCCACATGATCCTAAGAGGCAGGAACAACTGGTGAGAACCCATTTCTCAGCATGCTTCAATCAAGAAGTCCACGTCATCAGCAGCGCTAATTTAATTTAAAAAAAGCGGTGGTGCTATAATTGGCTTGCCATTCTAGCTAGTGGGTTTCCAGGGTAACCGTGTTCTTGCCACAGATAAAATCTACCTAGTAGCACAAAGACTAAGGGTTTGAGAAGAGTCAGCATCAAATGAGAGGTCAAGAATTCAGCCTGAAGAGAGCTACATCAAAAGCATATTTAGTTAAGGTGGACCGGATCCAAAATCTGAGCCCTGCCACGTACTAGCTGTACCATTTCAGAAAAAAATATTTAACTTCTCTAGGCCTTGTTTCCTCATCTGCAAGATGAACACAATAATGGAACCTGTTCTTGTAGGATTGTTACAGGAATAAAACAGAGAACTTAAACATTAATTTGTACATTTTAAATCCAGACTAAACGTAAAATAAATAAATAAGACTATGACAGATGTCCCTAAACCTAGACATTCAGAGACTAGGAAAACTAAAAACAAAAAATCAAAATAAGTTTTGTTTTCTTTTTAATTTACAACTTCAGAGAAAAAGCATCCTGAAAGCTTCTGAAAAGAGCACAAAATGGCTTGTAAAACTACGTTGTTATACAGCAGTGCTCATGTTATTACTGCCTCCCAGGACCTGACTCCTGGGAATATGCTGCCATGTCAGAGGCAATTTGGAAAGTCTTAATTGAGGAGAGCCACAGCTTTTCAGGCCGCAAATTAAGGATGGGGAAACCTTCCTTGCTTAGGGTGTGACAGCCAACTGGAATGTTTCATAGCTGTAAATACAGCAGGCCCATTTACCACGATTCCCCTCAAGGAAGAGACTCATCTGCCGCAAACGTAACAGTGATGAAAAAAAGGGGGAAATTTTGCCTCTGAATGAAAAAAAAGACAGAAAAAAAGTGAGCAGTTTGAAGGGGTCTTTAATGTGTAAATTTCAGGAGGAGGGTATCACTTTTATTGTCTTTATTTCTATTAGAAAAGATATCTGAAGATGAATGAGTATAAGCTTCAGCTGTAAAATCCATCATGTTACACACCCCCCTTAGCCCCCACAACACACACACACACAGGAAATTACGCTGGCAAAAGAGAAATGGAATTACTTACACCTGTGCTCACACTGACAGAACAACTTTCAGGCAACAAGCAGCAAAGCAGTGAGAAACAAAGTTTGAGAGCAAGAACATGCACACACAAAAAAGTTTCTGTTGTCCTAAGATTAAATGCTGAGGCAGGAAGAGATACTATTCTTGAATCAAGTGAGAAAAGATGGTAAAGTGCGATATTAAAATGCAGCACACTGGAATAAGTTTGCCTCTATAAAAACTGTTATGTTCTGTATGTGATTTAAATTAATGCCTATATTTGTGGGAGATAAAATTAAAATGAAGATAAATGGTGCCAGCATATAGCGTGTTCGCTGGAGCAATAAATAAGGCAGTGAAAGGTATTTTACATTTCAGTCACATCTATCCAAACAGGGAGCTCAAAGCACTTGAGGAACATTTGTTAATTAAATGCTATAATAGATTTGTGAGTCACCCAGACGGTTATTATATACGTTTTTCAGAAAGAGACAGAGAGGTGAAGTGACCCAGGGTCCTCTGGATGCCACTGAAGAGGAAACCCAGGGTGCTGAAGGCATGCTTTCTATCCAGCTCAGCTGCTTCTTGGCCTGGTGGGAGGGCTTGGAAAGAAGCCTCTCTGGTTGCTGTCCCATTGAACAGAGCTCACAGGCTTTGGTTTATTAACTACCTCAATAGCAGGCAAGATTACAGTTGGAGCTACGGAGAAAGGTAATAATTCTGGCTCCCTATTAACAACATATTTCTCCTTTTCCCCCTTACATTACAAGAATGTCCTATGAATGATTAAATATTGTCATATCATTTATCTTCCACTTGCAAACTTGTCTAAACTATTGATTAGAGACGCCCTCTTTTCCAGTTGAAGCCCTTCAATTCTGTCCTCCACATGTCCTCTCTGGCCCTCCCCTGGTCACTGGCTTCCTGTTTTAGGAGCTCTATACCCCGCAACCCCAAGAACACAGTTTGTGTTCACAGCTCAGCTTGACAAGCAGCCAGATTAACTTGCAAAGTGAAATTAAGCAAGATTGAGAATGTATTGGTAATTGTGTATTGATCATTGATAATGGAGTAGACTGTGGCCACTCTACTGTTCTTCTACACGTTAGAAAACTCCCAAAATAGAAAGGTTAAATAAGTCAAAGGAGGAAGTATCTACCGAAACGCTGGGACAATGCCCCTCTGCTAAGCTACGACGTAAGTCAGTGGCCAGGAGAGGGCCCCTGGTTTCTGAAGATGAGGCGCCAAAAGAACACAGCAGTCATTGTAAGTGTAGGTCATTTGGGGCTGATCCAGGTGAAATTTTAGGGAGGCTTGGGGATCACCAAACCTCATCTCTTATTTTTCAGAACAGAAGATTCTCAACTATATTTGTATCTTCCTTTTACATTTTAAAAAATGCATTCAAATCCATTATAGTTTGAGACACACATCAATGTCACACAAGCAAAATCCCTGCTCTGTCTCTTCTGTGCAGGTTGGTCTACCCTTTTGTGCCTTGGGTTGTCATCTGTACAATGGGAATCATGATCATACCCACTTGATGAGTACTAAAGGACTCTACCCATCTAAAGCACTTACAACAGTGCCTGGTACTAAGAAGCACACAATGATTGTCAACCATTATTACTATTACAAACTTATTGACACTGTTCTCCACATATTTCCAGCTCTCTGCTCTGTGGCAACCCTATGGCTAGGTAGGGCCATGTGAATAGTTTTGGCTAAGGAGCTATATAAGAAGTGACATGTATTACATCCAGGTCAAAGTGTGGAATTGCCAGTTTGAGACCCTCAGAGCTCTTTTACTCTGGCATGGAGGTCAAAAGTGTTGGAAATGACAACTATTAGTCTGCAAAGAACTCCTTCTGTCCTATGATGAACAAGTAGCATAAGTAAGAAATAAACCCTTGTTTTCAGTACCGAGATTTGGTAAGTATTTGTTACTACAGCACTACCTGAACTATCCTAACTAATAATTCTTACTTGGATTTACAAAGTGCTTACACCCCTATCATTCAATTTAATCCTCATAATGAAGAGAAAAGGGCAGAGTACACATATTTAGCAGACATGAATTTCAGCTCAATTTCATGCAATATTTACTGAATGAAATTCAGTAAGTCATAATGATACAGTTACAAATCAGGTTCTCTAGACTTTTGGTCAATCCAAAATATTCTTTCATTGCACTCTGCTCACATTAAAAAGCCTTAGGACCCTTAACTCTAATAATGTGTCTACCGACATTAACCTCTACCCAAATCCTAATGAGGAGTCTAACATTTATTGAGTTCTTACTACACTACCCCATCAAATCAAAGATGCTACTGATTATAAAATACACCATTAGCTATTACAAAACCGGAAACAAAAATTACTACCATTTAAATTATAACATAGGGCTTTGTCGTTAGAATATATATTACATGTTTGTTGAAATAAATGGCTTAAAATTATCCATAGTTTTTTTATCATATGTCACCCCTCTACATACATAAAAAGCAAAATATAAGTGCAACAAATGAAAGCATTCCAAAAATTTCTTTACGTTTAAATTTCAACCCTTTGAATTACTTTTCAAGTCAAAATCATGGAAGTTCTATGTTTTCCTCATTATACTGACCTCTGGGCCATCAAGAGTCTTAATAAAAAAGGGGTCCACTATTGACTCCAGGATTTTCTTCCAAGTCACTAATCTCCATAGACAGCAGATTTTGATGTACAAGTACAGACAATGGCCGCTATGTCATGATTACCACGTAACAGTAATTAGTCAGAAATGTTAAGCATGTGAATCGGTCTCAGAATTGATGACATATGTGAGAGGAACAGCGCCTAACTGATGTCTCCGCAACTGTATGAAGTAGGCATTGTATTACTACAATAATTTTGAAGTCAGGAATTGAGGCATGGAGAGATTAAGCTTCCTGTTGAATGTTACCCAGCTGGCAAGCGGAGGATACAGAGTGTTCCATCTAAGGCAGTCTGACATCTTTAGAGGAGCTGCTCTTAGCAAATACGCTGTATGACTTCTCATAATAACAATTAGATTGGCTTTTTATTATTTATTTGTTTACTTTTTGATGGTGGGGGCATAAGACTTACAAACTCTAAGGGAAGTGCTCAAACACTTAAGTCTTATACAGTTTACATAATGGGCTGTTTATTTTGTTTAAAGCAAACCAAAAGGAAATTGGCTCTAATATTACTACCAGCTCATTTTTGAAACAAGTAGAAAGACCTCAGGGGTTCTTTTTTTTTTGTGATCCTAGAAAGAGATATTGGAAACATTTGCATACAGTCCTATCTTCTGAAAATATTGGGATGTAAGTGCAGTGAACACAGATATATAACATCTATCTATACCTACTAGGACATACATGTGGTAGATCTTAAAACACACTTTTATTGCATTTAGTTTTATATTGGTGTCTATGTTTATACATGAACATGAATGTGAGAAAGGCAAAGAAATCACCACTACTAAACATGGGAGGGCCAAATGTGTGCTTGATCCTCATGGAGCATGAAATAAGACTTAATCTTTGCCCAGAAGGAAAATCTTCCTGAACAAGTATAATGATTGATTTTTTTTTCTTTAGCAGTTCTTTATCTCTTCTCCTTTTTTAAGGACAGTTAGCACAACTGAACAATTACTTGGGAGGTACAATACAAAGCTTTGAGCGTAGCTCTTTATACACTTATCAAATGAGTATAATTTGCTATAATTCTTCCTCCTGATTATATACAGTAGCTATTTCATTCTCTAAATAATATCTTATACTTTTTTTTAGAAGTTGGTTAAATTGCTTAGGAGGAGAATATTAGGCTCAGTTTCTTTGAAGGGTAATATAGTGGGAGTGACTGTATAATTATCTCTAGCGGGCTTTCACCCACCATACAATGTCGTCTACTAGATCTATTGCTTTCCTGTTGAGAACTCCAGTTAATCCTACTAGCTAGCACACAGGAGAATGAGGCAGGCAAATTTTATTTTTAACTAAGGACTGAGAGCATAAGAGAAGGAAATACTAAGATTGATTAAATCTGGTGCATTTGCAATTTTTATTTTAAGCCATTTCAGATATATGTGCTACCCAATAGGTACACTAATTGAGACATTACAGTCCTTTGTGTAGCGTGTCCTATCTGGTACTCTCTGCCTGAGACCAATTGTCCTTTAAGCCACTCCACAGCTGGGCTATTTTATGCCTTGCAATTACTACTCTATTCTGGATGGGGAGTTTTATTTTATTTTAAATTGATGTGGATTTTATTCTCAAAATGCCAAGCATTCCAAATGCTTCATACATACTAAGTTTTTAAAAACAATTCAATGACTTCCAGGAGAGAGAAGTTTAACATAAGCCATTCACCAAAAACATCAGGATTTCTACAATAATTTCTTTCTCCAATATTGCTTAATAGTTTGTCTATGTGCCTTACCTGCAAGACAGAACTCCAGGGTAGGGTCTCAGGCAGTCTTACTCATATGCCTTTGACCAATGACTGCCACAAGGCCTGTCACTTTTACCCTTCTCTGCATCAAATTATGAATAGAGTACACTAATTGCATGCAGAAGTTAGAAATGATATGGTCAAACAATGTTATTCTCCTGAATTAGTGATTAAGGCTATCAGATTGTGACTACTCAAAAAAAAAAAAAGCCATTAAACTGAAGTTGCCATTCATACAAACTGACTACCACTAAAGTAGATTTGAGGTTATCTAGGGTTAGAGTGAGAATGGGAAGCAAATGAGCATGGACTTTTTAAATGTTCTAAAATTAAATTGAGGTAATGATTGCATGACTCTGTAAATAAATTACAAATCACTGAATTGTAAAAAAGCAAAATAAAAACTTTTTGCCAAATATCCCTCTTCACTAACACAGGGACTGTTAGTATTTTCAGTTGTGCCTTTAGTGGCCAATTCATACATTTAGGCTTTGGAGCCAGATGGCCGAGGCTGAAACATGACCTCTGCCACTTAGTGCCTCGATGAGTTACATACAACCTTCTGGGCCACAATTTCCTCTGCTGAAAAATGGGAGAAATGACAGGCTACATCATTGGATTACTAAGAAAAATAAGTGAATTGATTTGTGGAAGTGATACAGTAACTTCTCAATAAATGTTTAGTTACCAATCCATATCTTTTATTTAATTATAATTTTTAATATCAGAAATAATTGGCTATTGCTGCAAAGGGTTAATCTGATGGGGAATTCTACATAAAATTCTTTGTAGATAAGCACTATCCTACACAATACAGATGACATACTTCTAATTTTCATTCACAATCCAGGGCCCCTCCAATTCAAGTATATTCAGATTATCTTTCTAAAGCATGCTTCTCATTTTTTCCTCAAACTTTCAATGCTCCTGTCTTCCCCCCAGACTCCTGTCCCTAGTGCCTGCAACTGCCTACAAGGACAAGGTACAGAACATATAAAGTCATTGCATTGCACCGAATCCAATTGTAAGCGGCTCTCCGAACCCTCACCAATTTATTATTATTATTATTATTATTTGGCTGTTTTCTTTCTCTGTGCCACTTACTCCATTTTCCAGATACTTCAAATTCCTCACTCAGCCAAAAACACCATTCTTTCACGCAAATCTTCCTTTCACAATTGCAATTTCTTCTGCCTAGACTGTGGTCAGCCTTGAAAAACTCCTGTACATCCTTTGTGACCCAACTCGAATGTCACATCCTCTAGCTGACCTCAATCTTCATTGTGACCTCATAATAAGACATATACACCCCTACTGAAGCGTAAGTTCCCCCTCTCCACCCTTCAGGCCCTGCAGCCACTGTCTGCCCACACAGTCCCAAATGTTATCACAATACTAAGCTATTGTGCATTATATGTGATTCACCTCAGAGCCACAGCATATTTTCTTTTCTCTTCCAGAAAAACTTCTTCCTCTCTACTTTCCCCAAGCCACTCACCTCGCAAACTCCTACAAGTTTGTCAGACCTCAGTTTAGTTCAGATCGGATGCATTCAGGGTGTTATGGCAGGAGACAGACATGATCATAGGAAACTTCCTCAGATCTTCCAAGACTAGGTTTGCTTTGTCCCTGAATATGCTTCCAGAGTACCCTCTGCTGACCCTGAGTACTGGTCTATAGCACCAAATGGAAGACTGTCTGTCGATACACATTTTGTGACAGGCTCAGTTTTGTATAACTATTGTCAATCTCCATAACCCTAGCACATAGGAAGTCTCTGGCACATATCAGATGCTCAATATCGGTTGAGTGAATGTATTAATCATCTCCTTTAAAACCAGAGTCAGTGGATTGAAGGGTAAGTATATTATATCTCAAAAAGCTATTATTTAAAAATAAATCTGAATTACCAGTCTATCTTTCTCATTGTAGTTTTACCTCTCAGTTGCTGGACAGAGGTCTTACATGCTTGCATCCCTATCGTGGAGCCTGAAACCTACAAGTTGCTCAATAATGTTTACTGAAATTTCATAAAAATAAAATATTATGCCAGATTCTCAGCCACTGAACTACTTTCTACAAATGACCAATTTATATGAAGCTCCTCAGTAGGTAAATTGATAGTGATATCACAAATCAAGCAGCTGGAAGATTCACTGCTTTCAACATTCACATTTCACAACTAACAATTGGGTCCAGTAAGTGAATTACCCGAGATCGTGCAAATAGGATCACAAAGAATGCCTTCTCCCTAATCAATATCATTAGTGGTATCTAACTTAGAAAGACTGTTGTAATCACAGTAGTCAGATTTAGTGTTATGAGTATGGACTCTGCCAGCAACAAATCACCAAATACAGGTGATGAAAGCTATAGCTAGAAATAAATAGATCACTAGTGGGTTTTTGAAAACATGATCAGATTAAACAGGTGTTGATATGCATGAGAAGAGGAATAAACTCTTGGTTTGATGTAAGTCATTATTTGGCAGTTGTGTAATATCTGATAATCCTTCTAGGCTCTATTTACTCAAAGACCAGGAACTATAAGTATATCTGCTTCATAGGACAGAAGCCAGTGAAATTGGAGACAAATATTTTACATACCACAAATATGGTATTCAGGCAATGATGATAACAGCATCATTCTATAAGACCAACTGTATGACAGGCTTTGTTTTAAGCACTTTAGACACACTTTACACACGGCTTTGACTATAAACTGCATCTTTTTTTTTCCCTACTAACCTACTAACAAAGAACCAACAGGTGTCACTTAATATGTGTTACAATGGTTTCTTACCACATCAATCATAGGATGTGTTTCAATTTTCAAGAAATTAAACTGTGAGAAAGATATTTTATAGGATACAAGTAATAGAGTATAATACATTTAATAGTCCTAACAATCCTATGAGATGGGTCCTATTATCATCCCCATTTTAATGATGTGGAAGTTGAGGCGCAGAGAGGTTAAGGAACTTGTTCAAGGTTACATAAAAGCTTTAATGACGAGAAAAGTTTAACAGAGACTCAAAAAGTTTTACAGCGTCATCTCTCAGAAGCCCATAAAATGCTAAGAATTAGGTTTGTTTCTCTAAATCATACAATTGAACCAGTAAACTTTCCTCACTGAAGGGTATGGTGTCCTGAGATCTAAGAATTCTCATGGCAAAGTATTATGAAAATAAAAGTAGAAAGATAGCAATTTTAAACTCTTCAAGTTTTTATAATTTGCATCCTCTTTGCATTTATATAGCTCAGTTTGTATCAGACCAATTTGCACTCATTTGGATTTTGCTTTTAAGTTTTCTAAATCCTTTCATTTATCTGTTTTCTGTATGCATAAAGATACTGTAACTATTCTGGAAATGATAGTGTATTTGTTTTTCGATCTCCTTACTCCCCTTCTCCACCCTCCAAGCCTTGCTCTGAGCTTAGTGGGCATTAAATAAGTGTTGCTGACTAATTAAAGGCAAATTGGAGATCCAATTTGGCATCATATCCCAAAGCATGATATTAAAAAACACACAACTCAAGCATAGATTGTTAGCTTCTCGTATATGATTAGTGGTATTCTTGGTATAATTTACATAGTGAGAGAACATGGCTTTTTGAACTAAGCAGAAACATCCAAGGATTTGGTATGAATGTTGGAGGGAGAGTTGGGAGGAGGATCAAAGGAACACATTAAGAGATGAGACTGTGATTTGACTATGACTTGATCATCGAATAGAGTCCTTAGGCTGATCACAGTTAAGATACATATTTTTAAATCTGAGTTATTTGGTGAGGTAATGAGAGCTAACTAATAAAGCTAACATGAAATATGATACAGAAAATATGACACAGTTCCCATCAATGTTCATTTTCAAAACAATATTATTTTATGTATAAAATCATCTCTAAGCACAGAAAGGTTGTTTGCTGACTCTTGCTCCCACATATGAAAGTCAAGATATGATATTCCAGATCACCTGTGAAATTCTAACATGGTTATTAGGAACAGCAATCAAAGTGTAAGCACTTTTCCATCGTCTTGTAATCGTGCAAGGGAAGATTGAAAAGAAACACAACTGTATAATTTTCAAATTTTTCCTCATCAAAGACACTGGTTAATTGGGAAGTTATTGAGAATATAAAGTTAAATCTTGTTAATCCTTTTCCTATCATATGAAAATTCCTATTAACCACACGATGAAACCTTCTTTTCTCACACGCAGGTTAAACTAAAAGCTATTCCAAAATCCCTCACCTCTAAGCCCTAAGTGACACTGTGCAATCTCCTACCCACACCTCTCTTTACGGTAAATAGAGAAGAGGTGCACATTCTGGCAAACACATTAGTCCTCATCTACCAAAGTGAAAATCTGTGAGCTAAGAAACTTCTATACATTGTCCAGTAGTACATGTTTATAAAAATAACCTTGAAGCTTAGTCAAAGTCTCTCTGAAGTTATCAAATATTGAATGTTTTTCATTATTTTAATATCAAATATGTCTTCATTCTATTTGGTACTTTAAGTTTCTTTGCCATAATAAGATATAATATACATCAGACAAACATATTTAGGAAAAAACAAAAACCCCGTTCAGTTTTAAAACTGCCAAAAATGTTAGCTTTGAATGGGCAAAAATAGAATAAAGCTTCTTGAAAGTTATCAAAGTCTAATAGTATCTCACGATTGCTTTCTAATGGGCTCATTACTATGTTAGTTTTGCTTATCAGAAGTTTAAATTACAGGTTTACAGATAAACCGTTTTAAAACCAGAATGAAAACTAAATACTAGTGGAACATTGGTCTACAGACCAAAGCAAGAGGCAGTCAGAAAGTGAGAGGAGCGGATCTCTAAGGTCCACAACTTGTTTACTTGCAAACATCTGGGGTGAAGTCCCAGCCTCAGATATTTGGTTTGCCTTGACTTTATAAATTTCTCTCTGTGATAGAGAAGTACATACAATGTTGTCTCTACCACACCAACCACTCTGTTTAAGCAAAACCCTCAAAAAGTTGCTTGTTTTAATAACTACATTGCCACAGTTTTGTAACAGGTAATTCTGCACTCTGGCCACAGCTAGTTGGATCAGACATTGAACCCAAACCAGACTAGATACCCAGGAGCTGTGTTGGAGGAAGAATTCCTCCTCCATGTGTACTGGAGAAGAACCAGCTAAAATAATGGTCCTGTTGGTTCAGGCTTTTCAGTGTAAGGATACAGAAAAAGAAAAGCTGGGAGCAGAGATGGAATGGAGCAAAAGCCAGAGACACACGGCGTAGGATGAGGAGGCCATGAGGCAGGAGGACATCATATAACGAACATCCTAGTGTTCAGAAGAAGACTAAACAGAATCACTAACAGGAGCTGCCACAGAAAACAGAAGGAAAATTGAAGAAAGCTAAGTCCTTGTCCAACAAAGACCCACCGGACAAGGAAACACTGGATGTTTATTTCTGAGGAATGACAAAATCAGCTGCTGTTGTGTCCTCAATGATATTCCAAGTCTCCATGAGGCTTGGTTGTCTAGTTGCTGACATGGGTTTTTGGACTTCCTTCCTTCTCCCTGTATATTACCATAAATTCCCATCATCTAAAGTCATCTGAGGTAACTTTAAGCACATCTTGGTTCCTGCAACCTGAAAGGACCTAACTAAAACAGACCCAAGAAACGATTTCTTTATTTTAAAAGAACTTAGACACACATAATTCTGGCTCATCCTGGTATATTATGGTTTTAAAAAATGACTAAATCTATTAACAGAAGGAAAATAAATAAATAAAAGAGAAGGATAGGGGAGAGAGTTTATTTTGTGTCTCTCTGCTTATAAAGCACAACAACACATTATCTGTGATTTGGGAATTATCCGTGAGGATGCTCCTCTGCGATCTGTAATATCATAAAAGCTAGGCAGATTAGCTCTATTCTCTTACATACCTACATTTTCAGATATTATCCCCTACTAATTACCCTCAGTAGGACCAGCTGCGAATGGTGGAAAGAAGGAGTATGGCATGGAAGGTGGACCTGACTCTGGACCTTCCTATCATAGAATCAGTATAGAGAATTCAATTATATTTTTTAAAGTCTGATTATGCAAAACACTTGTTTCTTAACAAAAAATAAGCTAAAGGTATTTTTTAGTGCATTGCTACATTTGCATTTTTAAATTATGGTAGTTATTTTTATTGCGTTAAGTACCTTATTCTATCTCAGCGAAGAGTCGTGGCTGTTTTAAGTAAACAAGACTGTTACAAGAATACCCTACTCTTCTTCCATGGTGAGTGCCTGTATTCAAACCACAGTGCCATGGAAAATAACTTCCCCAACATTTACTCTCTTGGCCACAAGTGTCTGTTTAGAGAAGTGTCTGGCTTGGTCTGAACAACACATCCCCAAGCAACTAAGTGGAAACCCAGGTCGATAACATGAGCTAAGATGAGGATTCTAACATTTGCGATGATGGCCCACACTGAATTTTGATAATCTCAAAAAAACAAAAAAAAAACAAAAAAAAACACAAGCAATTCCAATTCTGGATTCACATGTACACAAAGATACATATGCAAGGAAGCTCATCTTAACATTGTTTGTAATAAAGAAAAGCTGAAGCTCTCCACTATAAAAGAGACTCAGTGATGAACCCTTACACTATGGAGCACTATACAGAATTAAAAATAGTATGGCAAATCCTTTTTACTGACATGAAAAGATCCAGAGGAAAAGAACTGAAAAAAATAGATAATATACCACACACACACACACACACACACACATATATATGTAAATGTATACATAAATGTATAGATACATGCTTGGAAAGATGCACAACAAAAAGACAATGGTGATTACTCTTTGGAAAAAGAGTTGGGGTTGGCAGGGGAGAAAATGAATGGGTACTGAGGGAGGGCTGTTATGTTCAACTTCATATACTTCTCACTGCTGAAATCCGTTGTGATAATTTATTTGTATATTGCCAGCATATATATGCTTCAGTAAAGTTAAGGAACAGGCTGGTTCCACAACGTGGTCCAATGTACTGCACACATGTTTGGTTGGTGAGCCAGCACAGAGAATTAGAGGAACTATTCCATTCAAAATCAACAGGACCAAGAGTGAGGCTCAGTTCTACCATTTTAGAAGTAGTATTTAGCGTAACTCACTCAACCGTGTGTGTAATAGTGGGATGATGATTTCTGGCCAGGCAACCTCCTAGACTTGATGTGATAATGAACATAAAGCCACTCGACAAACTGCTAGGCACTCCACAAATCTCAAGTACTACTATTATTACCGTTTATATTATTTGACTTCCCAAATTTCCCTGGAGAGATATGGCTAAGTGTGTAATAACAAATCATTTGTTTTCAACTTCTCCCTTTGAACAACATTGTTTTATCCTATTTCCTTTCACTAAGGTCTGAAACTAAACATCAAACGAGGCCGTAGGATTTTATTTTATCTGTCACATACTGCTGTCATTAAACACACTTAAAATGAGTGGGTTCAGTTCAAATAAAACTGCTTCTTTCCCAAACTAACAAACATGAAGGGGAGAGAAAAGGAAGCTTGCACTTGAATCACATTCAGAAGTGCCGCACGTTACATTTCAAGGAGAAGATCCATCTGGCAGGCTGACACAGTAATCAGTTTTTACAATTATCAGGTCAGGCAGATTACAGATCCAGGCTGTCAATTCTTTCATTGCAGTTTTATTTTGTTATTGGTAGCTCATTCAAAAGAAGAAAACCCCTCCTAGTTATTCTATGTAAAAAAGCTATCTTCTCTCCTTTCTAGGATTGACTTCAGTAGGCAGCAATTCAGTCCAACAAATAAGGATCTATTACTGAGCATCAACTATGGTGAAACTGTGCTTGGTGGAAGTTCAAGAATGAATATATCAAAAGTCACGTCCTGCAGGAAGTCACAACCAACAACGGAGATAAACTGTTAAACTGAAAATGATCCTTGTATGAATTAAAGATGCTGGTACACTTGATTTTCATTGTCTTTTTTATGGAACTCCTTCTCAAATGTTCAGATCTACTTAATCTTGACAATTTATCTCTTTGCTGGCTGAGGTAAAAAGAGCAACAGGCAGTATAGGTCGTCAGGAGACCCTGAAAAGGGATGAGTGTGTGTGTTTGTATGTGTGTGTGTGTCTGTGTGTGTCTGTGTGTGTCTGTGTGTGCGTGATTATAAATAGTACACACTGTAGAAGCCTCCACATTCAGTCCACACTGCCCTCTTCTCAACCTTAACGCCAACTGCTCACAAGTCCATGCGCTGCAAATTCTCCATGAATCTCCAGGTTCTCATTAGAAAGTGCACTTTCAAACTGCTTTATCTTTACTCATAACAGTTTCCTCTTCTGGAATGTCTCCCTCCTCCAAATGCCCATTACACTTTAATTATGTTTCACATAGTCAGTGCTCAATAAATATCTGTGGAAATAAGTGAAGTCTCCTATCCTTATATGTAATGAGTATTTCCTTGCAAAATTAAAAAAAATGAAGCAGAGTAATTTAATCAAGTGGGAAGTAGAACATGCTAGACAATTTACCAAATAGGGTGGAAAAGAACCTTAGAAATGATCTACTTCAATGCTTTATAAAACATGAACTAGATGTTCACAGAAGTAAAGCGATTTGCCACATTCCAAATAATTGGTAGAAAAGGAAGGTCTAAAATCTGCTCCTCCGACTTTTAGTCCAGTGCTTGTTCTATACATGCTGTTTCCTTACATTTTTGAGAAATGACAGGGATGTGTACTGACAAGCTCAGTGGATTAATAAGTATAGAATGGATTTCCATTAAAGGAGAGAGGAGAAAATTCAAGGCTGCCATTAAAACTACGGCATTTTCTTCTACAGTAACTACCTATTGAGGCAATGTTTGGGACAATACACACTCAAGTATCAAGGGGACCACTCTCAATGGCCACGTTTTTTAAAAAAAGTTCACTGCCAAGTTTTGCAGAAGCCAATGGCAATGGTAAATTTCTACAATGAAGTGAAATATCCTTCGGGCTTAATAAGGAATTTAAAGTTACAAGTATATTAGAAAATGAAGAGAATGTAGATCCTACAGGCTTAAGAAAATGTTTGAAAGTTCAATTTCATTCTCATGCAAGAAAAACCAGATTTGTCTAGGGACTAATGAGTGCACAGACATTCAAACTTGGATTGGAAATCACATTTACATTCAGGCCAGGACCTGGGATTGGGAGAAGGATGCTGCTTGAAATCCAAGCTATGTAACTAACACCTACTGTGGGACTCCTGAGAACATCCTTTCATCTCCCATCCTGTTTCCTCATCTCTAAAATGTGGGTAAGAATCCCCATCTTCAGGAGTTACTACTGAGACTTCAATACTAATGAATAAATGAAGATACTTTGTAAACTCCCAGATATTAGGTAAATGCACTGACTTATTATCAAGAAGGAAGGACAGCCTTTGTAGAGGTTCTAGATCAGCCAGGCTCAGAAATGTTACTACTTCAGGGGCAATGGCAAGAACACATAGACTTTGAATTCCATAAAAAGAAGAAAACATAGAAAAAGATAGGCTTCATTACTTGAATATCCAGTAAATCAAAGCATAAGTGCATCAGCCTGAACAATCTATGTATCTCTGGAGAGAACTAAGGTATAGGATTGTCATTTAAATATGTGGAAGGATATGACTTGGCATGGGTCAAAGAGTAGGTTTATCTGAGAATCGGAACTGGAAGCCAGGACTACTGGAACCCACTTCATGACTCTTTCTCCTAAACTACATTACGTAGGAGATATGAAACAGTAGTAGCATGAGAAACAGATAAGGACATTGACATCGCATTGCTGCTGAATGGTTGTTGAGTAGTGATTTGAGACCTCACTGAATTGCATAGAATCCCAAGTGATGACTGCAGACCATTTTCCCTCTTTATCTGTGCATAGACGACTCCTTGGTGGTAGCATAGCACAGAGATAAACCAGTGAAGAAGCAGAGATGCGTCAGAGACCCTGGACCATCTACAGAAGGGGAAGTAAACCTGCACCTACTACCTGTCAGTCTCTGTGTTAGATGCTCTCTATGCATTCTCTGTAATTATTCTAGCCATGTCAAAAAGTAAATATAATTATTCCTCTCTTACCAGTGAAGAGATTAGGATCTGGAGAAGTGAAATATCCTCCTAGCATTCAAAGAGCTGCTGAGTGGTGGAACCAGAATTGAGGCCCCAGATGCCACAGTGAGAACAGAAGCTCTTTCCACTTTGCCAAGTGGACAGCCACATTCCAAGTGCCAGCCCACAGACAGAGGGGTCTGAGGTCCTGGAAGTAGGAGGTCAGGAAAGCTGCTATGTGAAAAGCTGGCATTCAAAGAAGAAAGCGGTTTGGGGGAACAGTGTTACATTCACATTTTCTTAAGTGAGTTTATGTGAGGTAAGTGTTTTTATATTCTCGGACGAGAAATTGGAGGATTCTGGGTAGCTTTTTAAAAGTAAACATATTTCCCATTGTGGTACTGGCATAGTAAAAGAATAATAAAATATGTATAAATATAAATATAACTGGAGGGGGTGAGGTGTTGAATGACTCGGACAGAGGGGCTAACATCAGGTCTTGTCTTCCTGCCTTGAGTGAAACTATTGACTCTACGAACACGGAAATACAAGAGTGAGAAACAACATTTTTAATTGTTTTCCTTTCTATAAAGACTAAGACATACTATAGTTCCAGGCTTCATATAACTAGAGCTCTTATAGTACCATCATCTTTAACTCATAAAAATCAAATTGTATTACTGCCTTATCATAATGTGCAAAGTGTTTCTTGCTTGGTGCATATTTCACACATCATTTTACACTCACACGAGATCCTGAACAGGTTACACTACATATATATCTGATAGAACATTTAGGACCCAATTTTCACCATCATTGAGCAGCCTTATGCAATTCAAATATTCAAAAATGTGTGAATAATCTGGTGCCTGTTGTCACGATGGTGAGCCAGTTAACAGCTGAAGGTTGAGTCATATGTCATCACAAGGAATTACTCTGAATCCCACCTAGAATTCCAGTCTAGGATGCTTGGCTGCAAGAGCCACTGACAATTAACTACATCAGCTCCCTCATGTTACATCTGGGGAGACTAAGGCCTAGACAGAGGCAAGGAAATGTTCAAGGTCATATAGCTAGACAGGGGTAGAGGCAGTGCAGGCATTAGAACCCATGCATTTCATTACCTAATCTCTATAATACCGTCCTATCCTCTATTTGATACAAAAAAGTCAAGATCTTTATCAAAAACTCATCCTTTCCACCACGAATTCAAAATAGAACAAAAGCAGTGCTGCTTGGACAAAAGCTGAGTCATACACATTTCTTGGTAGGCAGAAATGAAATAAGTTAATAATAAGTTGTAACATCATTGCCCTTTAGATTCATCTTTTGACCATTGGCAAATCTGTGGTTTTATTCCACTTTTTTTGAGAACAGCAAGTGGGAGGTAGAAATGGCAAATTAACTGTGGTCTGTCAGTCATGGTAATGCTATTTACTATTTTTCTTAAAAAATGAATATTAAAGGTTTGAGTTTTTTACCCATTTGTTTTCATTTGTTCAGCAAACATTTGTTGATTGCCTAACCCATGCCAGATACCACAGGGTTAGACACAGTGGGAATCCCAGAAACGGAAGCACACTCAAACACACTTCCTACAATTCACAATTTTCCAGCCTTGTCAAGGAAGTTGAATCTACACAGCTGACCACAACCATAACAGGGTATATATGTGACAAGTGTCAAAAGAAACGTGTACAGCAACTCATACGGGGTAGGAGGCAGCTCCTCAGGTAAAAAATGAAGGGTGAGAGTGGCAGGTAGGAAGTGATGAATGGCATTGCAGGTAGATGATACGAACAGAGAAACAACCAAGAGCTAGAAAATTATAGAGCTCACTGAAGAGGTGTAAAAGAAGAGAGGATATGAACTCTACAGAGTACAGCACAGTGAGGTGGGAAAGTATGGTATGAATACATGCGTTTTCGTTCTGGTGTTTTTATTATATCAGTTTATCCAGAATGAGGGAGTTAGTTTAAGAGAAACACTCTTGTTTCTGTAGAAGGACAAAAGAACTCAGAGACAGATAAGGAACTTACTGGTTGAGGTAGAGATACTATTTTGTCGGAGTGCCTATGTGGAGTAAACAAGAAGGTGTACAAACACGCATGCTTTCTGCTCAAAAATACTGATAACATCCATTCTCTTTCTGGTCAAAAATACTGATAACATCCATGCTTTCTGCTCAAAAGTACTGATAACATCAGGGATCTTCTCTTTACCTGCTTGATGATTTATAACAAGAGGTACTGAAACTGGGCCCTCTCAACTCTTGTGTCTTCTGATGTCTTGTTTATTACAAGTACAGAAAAGAGAGCGCCAGAACATTCATATGCACATTCTGGGACTAGATAATATCTGGAATAAATTATGGCATTAGCAACAATAGAATTTACTTGTACAACCTCTAGTTTCCCTCATGTTCTTCTTGTCTCTCACCCTTACTCAGACAAATATGTTAGCCAATGTACAGTGTTTGTGGCATGGACTACACAGAGAGAGAGAGGCTAGGTGAGAAGTATAAATATAGCTTCTTTATTAGAAACTTATTACTCCTGACAAAGTAAACCAAGGAGTTGAAAATATTACCTTTTACCATCCAGACTACAACTATGTGAGCAAGGCAAGAATCAGCTGTTGCCATTTATGAATTGGCACAGGAATTGCAACAGATATTTGCTCATGATATCTCATTCTGTCCATGGACACAGTTCCTAAAATATACCACTCATTGCTGGTGTTGTTGCTTAATGTAGTCCTCCTAGCCCGGTGCTTGATTTAGATTTGCAAAACCGCTTTTCAAGAATCTAATAAACACAGTTTTGCTTTATTTCAGGTTTGTAAATAGTTACCTTTATTCGTGCATTTCAAAGAAGATAAAGGAAACAAATATCAAACCATCTTTTTTTTTGTAACGCATGAAGGCACGTCTGAAGATGTTAAAGGCACCATTATTTGAGTTTATAGAAATATGAATGAGAAGAATTCAACATAAGAGGCCATTTTAAGTTCTAGGTCCCAGAAATAGAAAGGGAGGGAAGACTTCACAAAGCTATCTACCGTAGGGCAAGAACACCAATCCCAAAGGTCAACTATCCTGCATGATATACCTCAGGATCACTTTAAAAGGTGAGAAAATTACAGAGGGTCATGCCTGTGAAATAATTTACAGAGAAAAGGAACTCAGATTAACAAGACATTAACTATTATTTTAGGAAATTTAAGTCATTTATTTATTTATAGGTAATTCCAGTAATTAAGAGTTTACCCTATCACTTCTACATTAAGTATTGGAATGACCTTGAAGGTGAAATGTCAATCAATCACCAGGGCATTCAGAAACCTGGATTTCAAGCCTGAAGTGCCAAAAGTGCCAACCCTTGCATAAGGTTCTAAGATATGAACAAGCTATGGTTTCGCAGAGCATTCACAATCTGGAGAACTATGTGGAAGTAATTAGATCATAATGAGGTTAATTCATGTAATGATTAAAAAAACTGAAAAAAAATCAAACCAAAAAAACAAAAAGGCAGAAAATAGTGCAACCGACTCAAGCACAACTCTAGAAAGAGTTTGTATGATTTTCAGGGTAAGAAGGAAATATAAGTCAGGTGTAATTTTATAGATGTTAGTGATCATTTTATTCTTAATCACTAGAGCTAACAATTATTGGTAATTTACTATATGACAGACACTATGGTATATGTTTAATTTTTGCAATCTTCCCAATAAACCTATGAGACAAAACATATCATTTCTTTCCTTTCAAAAGTAAAACAAACAAACAAAAAAAACTGAAGCACACAGAAGGGTTAATTAAACTTTCCAAGCTCAAACAACTAGTAAATATGAAACTAGGATTTGACCTCAGACAGGGCAACTCCAGAGCCCTTGTATTTAACCAATATTTAGAGGGGCCTCGACTTTGACAAAAAGTAAGGCAAGTGTGAGCAAATAGCTCAGAAGAGTAACGATAACTGTTCTTATCAAGGCAATCCTCAACTAAGATCTAGATCCATTGGTCCAACTTTTAATCCTCATGGCATTTGATCCAATGGTGTGGATACCTTGATCACACACTCACTCTTGAAGCACATTTTTCACTTCATTTCTGGACACCACTGTCCTTTGCATTTCCTCCTACCTCAGTGTTTCTTGTCCCAAGCATTCTTTAATAGTTCCTCTATTTTCTCCATGACATCAAAATATTCATGGCTTCCTCCATTACCTTAGGTGATATGATCCAGGCTCAAAGCTCTAAATGTATATCTGCTGACACCTACACCTATATCAAGTCAAGAGCCTGCCCTTGTACCCCAGACTCAAATATACAGCTGTCTACTCAACCAATACTCGAATCTCTAAAAGATAGCTCAAATATAACATATTCAAAGCCAAATGGCTGATCATCCTTTCTCCTTTCTCTTCTAAACAACAAAAACAGAAGCAAAATTAATCTTCCTGTCTCCAGAAATCTCACTAAATAGCAATTCCATTCTTCTCCTTGCTCAGGGTAAAAACCTAGGAGCCATTCTTGACTCTTCTATTACTCTTATATTCCACATCTGATCTGCTCACAATAGTTGTTGAGGCTGCAATGGAAATATATCCAGAATCCCACTACTTCTTATCCCCTCCCCAACACCAACTATACCTACCAAGTCCAACCAACTATCATTTTGAGTTTGATTGTAATTTCTAGTTTGTGTTGTCACTTCTGGTTTGGATTACCACATAGCCTACAGAAAGCTGCCTGAGTGATCCTTAACATAAGCCTGATAATGTGACTCCAAATGCTCTCCATCTCACTTAAACTAAGAATAAGAGGTCCTATGAGGTTCTATGTGATCATGAGGGCCCCTGCTACCTCCCTAACCTTATTTTTCCTCACTTCCTTGGGATCACTTGGCTTCAGGCACCCTTGGCTACTTCACTCTTTCTTAAAAATGCCAGATGCCAGCCATGATCTTCTCAGACTTTTCACGCTTGTGCTTCCCTCTGTCTATAACATGCTTATCCCAAATATCTGCAGAGCTCACTTCCTCACCTCCTTGAGATCTCTCCTCAAATATCTCTTCCTCTTAAGGCTTTTCTTAACCACTTTGTGCAGAATAGCAACTATGGCTCCACTCAACCCAAAGCACTCTTTCACTTTTATCTTGCTTTATTTTTCTCTATAGAACCTAACATGTTTACTATGCCTCTCCCACAGTAATATAAACTCTTTTAAGAAAATACACATTGTTTTATGCATAGCTGTACCCTCACCCTCTATAAGACAGCTTGCCACCCAATAAGTCTTCAATAAATATGTCATAATAACAAAATAAATGACTCCTCTGGTTATTCTTATTGGAGTTCTAGAAATAAGACTCAACTTGAAGAACCCAATAGTATAAAAAGTAATGCAGCAGTGTAAGCACTTCTAAAACTGGCTTGTTGATTTGGAATCAAAGTAAAATATTATATGTCACCATAGATTTGGATTGTGAGTCATAGACTATTAAACTTGGGAGGCAGCTGTGCTGGACTAGAAAGAGAGTAACTTGGAGTCAGGTGATGATAGTTGCAGGCTTGGCAGAGCCACTGATCTGCTGCAAACCTTCAGACAAACAGCTTCAACTCTATGGGTTCTCCTATTCCATCTAAATAAAAGAACGCATCACTGTAAATCTCTAGTGTTCCATAATCTGGTATAAATTGAACTACAACTTGTTCAAAAATATTCTTTTGGGGTTTGTTTACAGGACATATCTTGCTGTTGTCAGCTCTATTTGCAAGTTAGAAAAGAAGTCACATTTGAAATTGTGTGGCTATTCTGAAAAATTATGTCACATCAATAACACATAAAGTAGGGGATAGAAGGTTTTTCCTCTCCATGCACCACAGTGGGTGGTAGATATTATCAACTACAACACAGAAGAAACAAGTTTTCAGGAGGCTAAATTCTTCCAGAAAATCTTTCTTTTTTTTAAAAAAAAGCATCAAATTCACACGTGAGAAACAACTTGCAGTTTTCCTTCAAATGTATTTATTTCTGATTCTTGATATACAGTCTCACAGATGCATGGGATGTGATACATTGTTTTCTCATAAGCAATAGAGATGACCTTTAAAAATGCACCCCCTTTTATCCCCCAGCCTGCAATCCCATGAAGATGAAAGCCAGTTTGCTATTCTGCATTAACATTTCTGTGATCAGATATAGTGTGGGCACCTCAATTCTATCTGTGTCAAGACATTTTCACACAAGTGACTCACTCGGTAGAAGCTCAGGCATTGAACACCACTCTGACACCATCTCCTTTGAGGTTGATTCCACTTTGCTGGTGTTACCAGCCAACATCCTGTTTAGCTGCTTTCCTCTGCAACACAACAGTGTAATTGGAAGTGACTGAATAATAAATCTCAATTTCTCTGTTTCATCAAGAGAATCTTCCAATTTACTAGGCTTCTTCTATTCACCAGTTCATCTTCTGCATTATGAATCATTCTTGAACAAACACACAAGTTAACTGTCCGTTCCTATGTTAAAAACACGGTGTAGCAGGGATAATTCTTTCATTAGATTTCCTAGATCTGTTTTGTGGGGATCTCAAAGAAAAGCTAGTGTTGAATATATAGACAGGTCATCCACCTCCTCACATGGGTAATGCCAGCTCCAACATGCACGAGCTCAATGTGCGGCCATTCCAAGGCATCTCTCTGTCCTAAGTAACCCCCTCCCTGCTACCAAGCTTCAGTCTTCCAAATCTGAGTTACCTTTGCTTAATGTAGGTCTACCTGAACTTTTTACCCAGAACATTATAAATCATGAATGGCATTCTCACAGGCTAGAGGAAAAACAAGTAGGAGGAAAGGGTAGAAAAACACATGATATGGGAAAATAATGATAGGTACATGGCACTAATATGTGTCCCAAGTATACTGAGTCAAAAAATAGTCTTCATTTTCCCATGTTTAAAATGCGAAGGATGGTTGGGTACCACAAGCTACCCACTTCAATTGTTTGACATCATTATAGATTAAATATTCCTCTACTAGGTAGAATTGAATAGCTCTCTATGGCCATCAGAATAACTTCAGAACTCTTTACATTAGCACGAAACACACTTTATGACTGGCTGCTTCATTTCTTCTCACAATCTCAGCCTCCATGCATTAACGTTGTGAACTTATCTACTTTCCTAAAAACAGACTGTGATAAGCATAAGAACAGCCCTCCCCACCCCGCCAAGAATGTACACACTCTAATTCCTCGAACTTGTGAACATGTTGATTACAAAGACTTTGCAGATGTGATTAAGGTTAAAGATTTTGAGACAGGGAGATTAGCCTGAATTATCCAGGTGAGCCTCATCTAATCACATGAGTTCTTAAAAGCAAAGAATCTTTCCCAGCTGTGGTCAGAGAGACATGACTATGAAAGAGTGGTCAGAGAAATGCAATGTCACTAGAAAGACAGAGTCCGAGAGCCAAGAAATATGGGCAGCCTCTAGAAGCTGGGAAAGGTAATGACTATGACTAGAGCCTCCAGAAAGGAACGAAGCTCTGCTGACACCTTCATCTTAACCCAGTGAGTCCTGGACTAGAATTCTGACCTACAGCACTGTAAGATAAGAAATTTGTGATGTTTTAAGACACCAATTTCGTGGTATCTTGTTACAGCAATAATAGAAAACTAATCTGTAGACTAGGCCCACTCCTATTCTCCAGTCTTTGCTCATCATATCTTAGGAGCAGTTAATGGTCCTTATGGCATCCTCTACTTAGTTCCCATAAAGTTTTCCAGATGACAGTTAAATCAGTAATATATGACTACCCTCCCAACCCCAGCACACACTAGATTTTTCATTCCTTGAGTTTATCCAATGCTGGGTTGCTAGCTATAGAGCTACTGTAGAAATCACTTCAGTTCTACTATGTGATCAGTAAATAATTCTCAGGGAGAAGTTAAGATGTAATAATTCTGGGAATTGTAAAACATTAGAGCTGGTCACAATTTTGGAGATTATCAAGTAAAATCTCTCATTTGACAGAGGGGAAAATTAAAACCTAAGGATGGGAAGGTCCCACAGATACAATGCAATATTTTTTTCTGTTTTCTGTTTGTTTGTTTGTTTGTTGTTGTTAATGTTCAAACTTTTTGCACAAACTCCTTTGCTTGACTTACAAGGGCCTCCAAGATGGCATCACATCATTCTAATTTGGATTTTTACCATTGGTCTCTCCCTTTTCATACCCTACTCTGAAGATAAAGCTAAGCTGTTTATGGTTTCCTGAAATAGTTTATGCCATGTCTGCTCCTGAAGCATCACTCCAACCTACATTAGTGAATGTCCACAATTGACCAATGGAAAATTGATCTCTATGGCAGAAAGTGACTCGTCAGTAGCTGTCACCATCTTCCGCAACACACAATCTTCCTCAACCCACAGTACACACCAAACTGTACATCTCCATTCTCCTTTTACTCTGTAAAGGACCTCCTACTCTGTAATCTCTATTAGTGTATATGTTATATTTTCCCTACTAAAACGTAAGTTCCCTATGAGAAGGTCCATATTTTACAGATGGGTGATTATTACAGCATTTGTTCCCTATATCTCTTAGTTGGATAAGAATCCAAAATATTAAAATGAATTTGAAAATAATAGATAGTATATAAGCAATTAGGTTTCTCACTAAGCTTGTGATATGGCTTGGCTCTGTCCCCACCCAAATCTCATCTTGACTTTTACCCCATAATTCCCACATGTTGAGGGAGAGACCCAGTGGGAGATAATTTGAATCATGGGGGCAGTTTCCCCCATACTGTTCTCGTGGTAGTCAATAAGTCTTATGAGATCTGATGGTTTTATCAGGGGTTTCTGCTTTTGCATCGTCCTCATTTTCTCTCACCACTGCCATGTAAGAAGTGCCTTTCGCCTCCCGCCATGACTCTGAGTCCTCCCCAGCCATGTGGAACTGTAAGTCCAATAAAATATCCTTTTCTTCCCAGTCTCTGGTATGTCCTTATCAGCGGTGTGAAAATGGACTAATAGAGCTTAATTTTAAAAAGACCAGAATTTGATCTCTCTCCATGAGTTAATAGTTTGGGCACTACTTTTTTATATAAAAATTTATATAATTCTTATGGAAAACATCTTATGAACCAAACTCCTTCTGTAGAAACAAGCTCCCTGAAGTTCATAAGGAGACTCTTTGCCAAAAGATATAGTGACACCAACTAACGTTTCAAAATGTAGTATAACACATTTATATCATATCGTTTAAAACATAACCCTATGGGTTAGGCAGCACAGATACCATTGAATACATTCTAGAAATAAGGGCTGCAACCTTTTTAAACCATAATCTATGTGTCGTATCACCTCTAAACTAACAGCCTTTCCAGTTAACTAACCAGCAACCTAAAGCCAGTAAGTGCAGCTAACCAGCTAATTCCTGCTTTACTAAGATTTACCTAAAGTAAATACATACTTAGGGCATGATCACTATGGTTAATATCCAAAGACTTGTTCGATTTTTTTTTTTTTTTTTTTTTTTGAGATGGAGTCTTGCTCTGTCACCCAGGCTGGAGTGCAGTGGCGTGATCTCGGCTCACCGCAACCTCCGCCTCTCAGGTTCAAGCGATTCTCCTGCCTCAGCCTCCCCAGCAGCTGTGACTACAGGTACATGCCACCACACCCAACTAAATTTTTGTATTTTTAGTAGAGACGGGGTTTCACCATGTTAGCCAGGATGGTCTCGATCTCCTGACCTTGTGATCCACCCGCCTCGGCCTCCCAAAGTGCTGGGATTACAGGCACGAGCCACTGCACCTGGCCCTTGATTTTTCATTAAGTGTTGCCTTGTTAGATCCTGTATTATTTTTCTTATTCAGCTATAGTTTGAATTATGCCTTTGAAATCGTATACAAATTGTTATTTCTCACAGAGGGGTTTTGTTCCATTAAAAAATTTATGGGGGATGTCCAATAGGGGGATTCTGTAAGATTGGCTTTGAAATATTTTGGTCGCATTAATACAAAAACAGCATCCTCTTTGTCTTACCATAGAAGTACCATGTCAAGATACTGCATTATCTAAGACCCATACAAAGAGAAAGCCTCATGACAAGTGTGCAAATTGCTGGTGAAAATATAGTAACAGAGGTCACAAACTATACTTTCTATGAAAGTAGACACTGACTTTAGAACCAAGATTTTAATGCACACTAAGCAAGGCCTTTTATTGCCAGAAATTGCAGAACAGGGTTCGAGAATTGATGTGCGAGGCTGCAAACATTTATTGTTGTTTTATCCATTGTGAAAAAGGGTATCAGTTTAGCATAAGAATATACATGAGTAAATACAATTTATTTTTAATGAAAAGTTCCATTGCCATGTGAAGAGGGAAATGAGTGGTAGTGGAGACCTCTGTGCTACTCAGTCTCAGGTAAACTGAGTTTGTATTTTTTGGGTTTATCACTCTTTTCTCTTACCAAGATCTTGTACTCTGGAGACAAGGAGATAAAGCACAATGCTACAGCCTTCATGGTAAAGTCAGAGCATGACTATAAAGCAGAATTAACAGGTAGTCAGATTTGGAACTAACAAAGACCTATAAAATTTTTCTTTAAAATCGCTACTTACAGGTCACTGAACTATCAGTCATGCTAACATCCTTTTATTCCTATAGACAGTGGCTCAATGGCACCAGACCAAAAAACAAACAAACAAACAAACACACAAAATAGAGAAGTAGAACCACCACAGTGAGGCTCCATCAATTTATAGGTTTCTTAGACAAATTTTTAAATAACACAGAGCTTTAATATACAGGTGGGGATGATGTATTCCAGCACAGCCATTCTAACTTAATATTTTCCAGGCCAAAAAAAAAGATAAAATGATTAAAATACAACAAGGCTATACAGACTTCTGTTAAACTATCCAGCAACATCCAGCTTACATGAGAAACTGCTTTTTTTAAATTAAAAATAATTATACCTATTCATGTGGTACACAGTGAAATTCCATACATATAATGTATATTGATCAAATCAGGGTAATTAGCACATTCATCATCTCAAATATTTATCATTTCCTTTGTGTTGAAAACATTAACTATCTGCCTTCTAGTTATTTGAAACTACATCACACATTATTGCTAACTATAGTTATCCCACGTGGTATAGAACACTAGAACCTATTCCTACTACCTAGATGTAATTTTGATTCCTTGAGGACTGGACCCAAAGACCTCCAAGGATCCATCTCACTTGATAGTGTTGGGCAGAGGAAAGTTGAAACATGCAGCATTTTATAAAGGATCTGCAATCACTACCATCTGCGGCCTCTCCCAGTTTCTGCCTTGCCTCTCTTCCTACTTTTTATATTCAAATCCAGTCCATCCTGATTCTTCTGGAAGAGGCACAGTTGCTGATAAATGTTATAGTCATGGCCCTCCTTTTCTGCCTTCTCTTTCCTCTTCTTCATCCCAAAGATTTCTAAACTTATTATCCCCAAATTCAAAATATCCCCCCAAAAGAAGGCAGGAAGTCTAATGAAATGTTTGAATCCAATGAACCAATGCATGGATAAAAAGAGAGTAAGCACCTGAAGTGCTGCATGGTGATAACTCGCCCAGCTCAACAGGTCAAACTCCCTCAATCCATGCAATATGATAGATACCTCTAAAACATCGACCGCAAGAGGTCATATTAGAGAGCGTAAAACACTAAGGTTGATCCTCCTTTTGGGACCTGAGGTGGACTAAGCTATGTGTCTTACCAAGAAAAGGAATCACCACGGAATGTTTTTAATCAGACGGTGAGGAGACAAGAAGTCCAGTTCCCTAGTTTATGAATGGAAACCGTGGCACAAGAGAAGTGAAATAGCTTGCCTGCTAAAAATCAAAAAGTGAGTTAGAAGCAGAACTAGGAGAATTCACATGCTCCATCTACCACACCATATCGCCTTCACCATCTTCTTGTTCTTTTATTCTCTCTGTTACAGTCTCAGGGGCTGGGCTTTGATCCACAGGAATTTACGCTAGGATCAGAAGGAGAATGCTAGGGGAGATCCCACGTTAACAATGGCTGTCTTCCCACTTCAGACAGTAAAATAAGCATTAGGTCTTTTCTGAGTGCTCCAAGGTTAGACATAGGTAATAAGCACACTGCAGTTGAGTGGTTTTCACAACACTAGACATGAAGAAGCCTCAGGGCCGTTTCTGGAGTGAGCAAGAAGATGCTCAGCCACGCTCCAGAGCCCAGACTCCTTATTTCAGTCAGAACACCTCAAACTCTGCCATTTTATACATCACACTTCTTATTAAGGTTCACTTGAACAGAGTCCCCAGCTACGGAACACAACTGATGTACTAAAAATGTACTAGGATTTTGCAAAAGAAGACACGACTTTAAGGATTAGATTATTTTGTTTTATTTTTGTAAAAATTAAGAGCAGTCATTTCACATTTCTGGGCCACAATTTCACTATATATCAGGTGGGTTAACAATTAAATCGCAAATGCCAAGTAAAAAAAAGAGACAGTGTATTGCAAATGTGCTTTGTAGCAGTAAAGCTCTTGCAAATCATGAATGTTACCACATGATCCTGTTAGAGACAGGCCCGCAGCTTTATAAAAAGAGGGAAGCTAGATAAAAGGAGGCTGACCTTGGAGAGCCTAAGTAACTTACGGTTGGTGTGATTTTATCCTGAGGGGTTATGGGACTTTCTAGCCCTGACAGTTTTCAGATGAGCTATTAGTTAATTGAGGTTTTGCACTGAGGATAAATAGAGGGATTGTAGAGGAATTTATATTGTGCATGTGTGTTGTTTGTTTCCTGAGATTCCTGGTACTGAGTCATCATTGTGTATATAAGGCAGACAGGAAGACAGAAGGAGGGAATGCATTTGCAGAAACATATCTACGTGCCTTCCTTTCCAGGCTTATCACTTGCCCTACATTTTCTAAGCTCCAACTGGGCTGAACATTTCCAGTTCCTGTAATATATATGCTTAAATGCTCTGAAAAGCCCCCTCTGACCTCTCCAGGAGAATATTGGAGCACCTTCCGCTAGGCATCCATACAGCCTTGTTCATAGATTCATTATCATATTTATCACATATTCTTGTCGTTATGGCTTTACACATCTTTTTCTTACAGTAGAAGTCCCTTGTGGTGTGAGAAAGGGTATAAACTGTGTTCCCCTTGATTGTAATCTGCAGTGTCCTGCATTCAGTAGGGGCTTAACAATTGTTGGTTTGATGAAGTTTACAATAAATAAGTAAATTTTAATAACTGATACAAACTAGCTCACAAGTGACTGTGGATTTCCTCAATTTGTAAGCTGGACTCTGACAAACATCCCAATATGGAAGAGTTAATTGATTGAATAGATCACCAGATGGAATACCAGATAGCTAAACTTTTGTGGAACGAGAATAGATGCCCCTGAATTTCATTAGTCTTCAAATATTGGCCCCTATTTCCAATTTTTTTAAAAATATCGTTACTTACTCAGCTGCCTTCCCTAGATTCCGTAGACTCCCATATGTCTTATTAAATTAAAGGCAAAATCATTAAGGCCAATATAAACTCTGTATGGAACTAGTGAAATGTTACGTTGCTTCTTTTCTTGAGATCTCCTAGAACTGGTCCAGGAGCACTTAGGGACAAGCTCAGACCCACCTCTCTCAAAGGTAATGATACTCCTGCATGTGTTTCCTCCCTATCCAGTCTGATATCCAGTCCTTATCTACCCACTTTCTCTAACTGAGATACAGAGACAGGGATGGAAATGGTGATTAGTAACAGCATGGCATAAATATTATTTAAGACATAAAAACAGATAACAACATAGAAATAATCTGGCAGAGTGGTGAAAAGTATGGGATCCAGAACTAGATTGCCTGGTTTTGAACCTGAACTCTGCCACTTATGAGCTGGTTTGACCTTAGGCAAGTTACTTACCATCTTTATAACTTGGTTTTCTCGTTGGTGAAAATGAGAAGGACCACGTCATCACAGGGTTGTTGTGAGAATTAAGTCAACTTTAATACAGAATATACATGTCTGGCAGATATTAAGTCCTCCACAAATGGAAACAAATACAACATAAAACATTAAAATATGATGTAGTAAAATGTGATACAATGCAATAAAATACAATATAATGGCAGGCTGTACTGTACACAGATGGTCACGACAGTGTCTCTTGCCCACAAACTTGTCTGGAGCCTTACTACAACCCCAACAACAAAGGTGGAGACTAACCCCCTGTCTTTGAGCCCAGGTGGACCTCAATCAACAGTGTATAGTAGAAAGGACACTCTGTGTAAGTTCTAAAACTAAGTCATAACAATGCTGGCATTTCTACCTTTCTCTCTTGTGATACTTGGCCTTGGAACTCATCCACCATGCTGTAAGAAAGCCCTAGGAGCCTGTAGAGGAACTCACATTAAGAGAAACTAAGGTCCTGACACACAACTCTAGTCGCACTTCTAACACCAAACTGCCAGCCATGAGTAAAGCATCTTGAAAGTGAATCCTCTGCACCCAAATCGAGGCACATGGGCTCATTTCACAGAACAGAGTTAAGCTATTTTCATGGAGTACTATCAAAATTGCAGATATGTGAGTAAGGTAGACATTACTAAGCTTTGGGATAATTTATCAAGCAGAAATAAATGGCTGATACAGATACAGATGGAGATAAAATTGTATTTATATGAACCAGTACTTATCCCTTCTGTCAAAAGGGAGTGCTTGTTTTGCCTCAACCTACACATTAATAATTTAAACAAAGCTTACTTTTTTTTCTAAAGGCTTTTATAGCTTACAAAGAATTTTCTTTTTTTTTTTTAATGTTTTTTTTTTTAATTATACTTTAAGTTTTAGGGTACATGTGCACATTGTGCAGGTTAGTTACATATGTATACATGTGCCATGCTGGTACGCTGCACCCACTAACGTGTCATCTAGCATTAGGTATATCTCCCAATGCTATCCCTCCCCCCTCCCCCGACCCCACCACAGTCCCCAGAGTGTGATATTCCCCTTCCTGTGTCCATGTGATCTCATTGTTCAATTCCCACCTATGAGTGAGAATATGCGGTGTTTGGTTTTTTGTTCTTGCGATAGTTTACTGAGAATGATGGTTTCCAATTTCATCCATGTCCCTACAAAGGACATGAACTCATCATTTTTTATGGCTGCATAGTATTCCATGGTGTATATGTGCCACATTTTCTTAATCCAGTCTATCATTGTTGGACATTTGGGTTGGTTCCAAGTCTTTGCTATTGTGAATAGTGCCGCAATAAACATACGTGTGCATGTGTCTATATAGCAGCATGATTTATAGTCATTTGGGTATATACCCAGTAATGGGATGGCTGGGTCAAATGGTATTTCTAGTTCTAGATCCCTGAGGAATCGCCACACTGACTTCCACAATGGTTGAACTAGTTTACAGTCCCACCAACAGTGTAAAAGTGTTCCTATTTCTCCACATCCTCTCCAGCACCTGTTGTTTCCTGACTTTTTAATGATTGCCATTCTAACTGGTGTGAGATGATATCTCATAGTGGTTTTGATTTGCATTTCTCTGATGGCCAGTGATGATGAGCATTTTTTCATGTGTTTTTTGGCTGCATAAATGTCTTCTTTTGAGAAGTGTCTGTTCATGTCAGCTTACAAAGAATTTTCATAAAGAAAAGTTAATATGTTCATCAGACATAAATGAATATACATGATAATGATAGCTTCATGTTATAAACTGGGTAACCATATATCAAGCTTCCTTTACTTATCACTTGCTCAGGGTGACACAGCCACTCAGAGGCAAATCAAAAGTTGAACATGTGTATCTTTTCACTCCAAATCCAGAGCTATATTCATTACATCAAGCTGAAAATCTGTACTAAGTCAGGAGTTTGTGGACTTTGTTCCAACTCATTGTTCAGCCACAACTTCTGGCCTGAGTAAGGCCCTCTATATGCTTTGGACTCCTTGAGAAATGGAGGTGGTTAGATCAAAAGACCTCCTAAACCACATTCAGGTATAACTTTCTTAAATTCTGGAGTTCTTCCTACATCTGTTAGTACCTTTCATTACCTGTTACTCCTTCCAGATTCTATTCTTCTCATGATACCCCACATGCCTCCTCTGCTTTCTGACTTGACAGATTCTACAAATAAACTTACATTTGCACTAAATCCCTGTGGACAGTAAGTCTAACCTCACTCTCTTTTGTGATCGGCAGGTTTATAAGATTCCCCCTAGTATTCTTAATTCCTGGGCTTCACATTCTTTTACAATGCCATCTTTCTTAGTGTGGGCTAATCCTAGTCACTTACTTCAAACAAACAGACTATGGTAAGTGTGATGGGCTGTCCCCTCCACATTTAGGTTTCAAATGATTATGGCTTCCATCTTGTAATCAAACTCTACCTATTGCTTGCTCAGCTTCCATGCTTTGATGTAGTGAGATGCCACATGGAGAGGCTCCCATGACAAATAACTGAGGATAGACTCCAGCCAACAACCAGATATAAACTAAAGCACTTTATGCAACTGCCTGGAAGAAATCGAACCATATAAAAAAATTAAAAACCACCTAAGCAAGGAAGCTGATCGTTCTCCCGTTGAACCTTCAGATACAAGTGCAGACTGAGTCAAAACCTTGATTGCAGCCTTGTGAAAGACCAAGAAGTTGGTGGTCCAGCTAAGCTATATACAGATTCCTGTCTCACCAAGAACAAAGAGAAAATACGCGTTTTCAGCTGCTTGGTTTTTAAGCAATTTGTTGCATGGCAAAAAGAACAAATACTTCTTACTGTGCACTAATAGGGAGATGCTCTGAAAATCACTAAAGGGAAAGACTCACTAAAAATATAAAAGCCTCTCCACCCCTCAATCCCCCAATCCACCAACATCTCTATCCCAGGGGATTAAAGGCAGGACATGGCCTCTTCTATTTCCGATCATACTAACAGAAACGTAAGCCCTAAGAAATTGAGAGTCCTAGTGAAGACCAGTCACATCCTAAAGGAAAGACATGTCAGAGCTTCACTGCAACAGGCTGAATTGCAAAGAGCAGTCAGACCTGAGGCATGAAAAGAAAAGTATCTTAGCAGAATAGAGATAGATAAATGGGGATACTCTGTTCGGACTTCTTCATCAAGGTGAAGGTCATCTTCTGAAACTTCCTTTTAACACTGAGAACACAGACATTGAGAGTGGAAGGCATGAGAAAAGACTAGATTTCGATCTATGTACAAATGTACCTGAGGCTTCAAGAAAGGAGCTGACTTACCTAACACAACCTGCTGGTTACACAACTGGGAAGAGGACCCATTGCTCTTGGCTCAACTCAACTCCCTTTTCCAAGTCAAACGTCAAAAACAAAAACAAAAAATAATGCATTTCAGGCAAAACAGCAACTCACTTCATTCTTAATACATGTGGTGTGTAGGATGTCTTGCATAAAAGGATGTTATGAGAAAAATTCATAATATATGTTTATGTTTGTGACCACATCTCACATATACAAAAGTGTTTAGATGCATAAATGGCTAAATGACAAGCTTCTTAATTGTTTACTTTAAAAAGCAAGAGACTAGAAAAGAAAAAATAATCACAGGAGGGAAATAAAAGGATTCTGTGCACAAGGCAAGTAGTTCACAGTGCACTATTTCCTTCCTGAAAACAGTTAGAAAAGTCAATATTTACCCTAGCTGAGAGAGAGAAGGATGTGCCTATCATAAAACAGATGATGTTTAACAAGATATTGTGTGTGACAACTGGGATGAGAATGCAAAATAATCTTTGTATAGCGCTTTATAGTTCACAAAGCACTTTAATGTACAATGTGTCATTTACTTCTCACAATATCATATATGATAAGCAGAGGAGGTATTAATATCATGGACAAAGAAAATGAGGTTCAGAGAGATCAAACAGTTGACATTCACGTTTCTAGGTATGGCAGAACTGAATTCGGAATTCTAGTTTTCCAAACCTAATAGTTCTTTCAAGAATTGCAGATGCAAGTGTATTATAAATTTGTTGGGAGATTTTAAGTTTTCTCACCACAAAAAATAAATATGGGAGGTAATGCAAATTTTTATTAGTTTGATTTAGCCATTTCACAATGTATACATATATCAAACATCATGTTCTACACCATAAATCTATACAATTTTTATTTGTTTTGTTTTTGTTTTTTTGTGTGTGTGATGGAGTTTCGCTCTTGTCACCTAGGCTAGAGTGCAGGGGTGCAATCTCGGCCCACTGCAACATCCACCTCCTGAGTTCAAGCAATTCTCCTGCCTCAGCCTCCTAAGTAGCTGGGATTACAGGTGCCCGCCACCATGCACAGCTAATTTTTGTATTTTTATTAGAAAGAGAATTTCAACATGTTGGCCAGTCTGGTCTTGGACTCCTGACCTCAGGTGATCCGCCCTTCCCAGCTTCCCAAAGTGCTGGGATTACAGGCATATTTAATATCAATAAACATAAATTTACAATTCTGAAAGACAGAATGGCAGGTACAAATCTTTACTTTTTTTTTTTTTAAAGGGCATCTTCCAGATTCTGTCAATGTACTATGTATGCAGGGAAAGATACTTCTCTAGGTTATGGTTTTTCCTCCTCTAGAAAAAAGACATAAAACTAGCATCCACTTTTGACACTAGGGCAAGCCTTAAGGGTGTGCAGCTATAGAAATAAGAGAACAGAGGAAGACAGTGCTGCTTACAAACATGTGACTGACAAGAAGCTTTAAAGGGTTCACAAAGTGTGGTCCACACCAGAGCAACACTTGAAATACAAATTATTGAGCCTCACTCCAGCCCTACTGAATTGAAAACATAAGGTAGAGCCCAGTAATGGCATTTAACAAGCCCTCCAGGTCAATCAGATGAACAATAAACTTAACTATTGCTTTACATGCTTTAGCGTCTGGGTAGGTGAAGCGTGACAAGAATAACTTACATCAATAGGCCAATGATAGGGTTAGTAAATTGTGACAAATTAATAATCTATGAGTCATAATTTTTGCATTTAAGTGAAGGTTGTTCACTTATCAGAGGAATTATCTTGTTAACCACAGAAACATTCTAGCAATCAACATGTCTTTCAGATGGTAGGACAAGACCATTATGGCTCTAGCTGTAGCTTTTGGCTCCATGCATTAGAAACCAAAGGGGGCTGGGCAAAGCACAAGAACAGAGAGATGTCCTCAGATATCATAAGTAAGATGCCCAGCTGAAAAGAGGTAGATAATCTATTTCAGAGAGTTGGATGGGACATCATGGGCCAAATTTATAAGTCAATCTTCTTATATAAAAGCAGTAACTCAGACAATTTAAGAATAAGCACGCAGCTAACAATAAGATCTTCTAATGCATATGGTGCTAAATATGTCAAACACTGTTTCAAGTGCTTTATACATGGAAACTCATTTAGTCCTCATTACAATCCTGGGAGATAGATACTATAATGGTCTTCATTATAGAGATAAAAGAACTGAGGCACAAAATGTTTAAGTGACATCCCAGGCCACATATTTAGAGTCAGGGGAGTGTGCTCCCAAAATCCATGATTTTAATTACTATAATATATCTTAAACTCTATGAAATTAGTTCCAAATTATCCTGAGCACAATGAATTTGGGTTCACATTATCTTGAACAACATGAACTTGGTCTTTAAATTTGTGAATACTTCCTTATGTTTGCATATAACAAATCCATATAATTGGGTTGTATATCATCAACTCCAACCGAATGTTAAAACAAAATTTTCTATAGTGAAATAACAAAAGCAAAGAAAGAAATATCAATATAGTTTTTCTTTAATACGGGGCAAAAATAATACCAACTCAAAGATAGAATGGGCATGAGAGATCATCTAATTCCACAAGTCCAGTTTGCAAACCAACTGAAAGAAGCCCAGATTGAAAGAAACTCAGAGACTTCTCAGTGTTCACCAAAATTCTACTGATACCCACAGGGGCCAGGTCATGTTCCAAGGTCATTGGAGGTTCTTGTCAGTAACAACTTTAACAAATGAAACATCTATACCAGGTATCACAGCAAATTGTGCAAAGTCATGATTGAGGCTGAGCAGTTTGCTTTAGGCACAGAAATAATCAATTTAAGGGCCTGGAACAGAATGAAGGTCTTCTGTTCTTCCTTCCAAGTTTTATATGAGGAAACAGAAAACTCCAAGAATGAGAGTTCTTGGAGTTCTGTAACCAACAATGGGAGTACCATGAAATCCTAGCATCATTCAAATGAGCTCCCATCTGTTGCCTAAATTCCTTTCCCAGAATTACTGCCAAGATTCATTTGATAATGATGTTGGTGGTGAGACCAACAGTAATAACTGTTTATTATGTACAAGATATTGTATTTTCACATTAAACACACACTTATTATTCCTTGTGGTCCTCATGTCAACTCTGAAATGTGTTATCAACTCAGAACACTGAGATTTAAAGAGTGTGAATAATTCACCTTGTAAATACCAGAGTGTCATTTCAAATGCTCCAATGAAGGAAAACTTGCTCTCTTCTCAGGCAGCCTAAGTTGTACTTCAGCTGCCATTACTTTTAGAAAAATATTGACCTTACATTGCTGACTGCCTTCCTCAGTTCCTAGATACGGGTTTTCATTCTGCTTTCTCAAGCTACACGAGAGTCGGATTCTTCTTGCAAATACTCCCTATCCACCAAACACCTTCTGTGATCATCCAGGTAGATTTCTTCCTTTTCCCATTCAATAAGCACCCTCCATGTGCTTCTTTCTTACCATGTACGCTTAAGTACTATAACTGTTAGATTGCATTTTTCCCCAAGAGATTGTAAGCTTATTCAGAGTGGAGGCCACTCCCAATGCCATGTGTGTATTCTAGGCAAATTATTCAATACAGAGCCTTTTAAAACAAATTTTTTAGTTAAGACATGATTCACATACCATAAAATATGCCCTTTAAAAATGCACAATTTAGTGATTCTTAGTATATTCAAAGAATTGTGCAGCAAATTCCAGAATACTTTAATCACCTTTCCAAAAGAAATCCTGTACCCATTAGTAGCCACTCTGTATTGTCCCCTCCCCCTGGCCACTGGCAACCACTCATCTTTCTGGGTCTCTGGATTTGCCCATTCATATAAATGGAATCATAAACTGTGGTCGCTTTTGTCTGGTTTCTTTCGTATAGCATAATGTTTCCCAGGTTCATCCATATCGTAGCATGTTGCAGAGCTTCGTTCCTTTTTATGGCTGAGTAATATTCAATTGTATGGATACACCACATTTTGTTTATCCATTCACCAACTGATAGATATTTAGGTTGTTCCCACTTTTAGGCTGTTATGAATCATGTTGCTATGAACATCTCTATACAGGTCTTTGTGTGGTCATATATTTTAATTCCCTTGGATACATAAATAGAAATATAATTGCTTGGTCATGTGGTAACTATGACCAATTTTGAAGAATTGACAGATTGCTTCCAAAAGGGCTATGCCATTTTACAATCCACCAGCAACGTATGATGTTTTCAATTTCTCTACCACATTGCCAACACATGTTGTCTTTTTTTATTATAGCCACCTTAGTGAGCGTGAAGTGATATCTCGTTGTGGTTTGACTTGCATTTCCTTGATCAATAAATATGTCCAGCATCTTTTCCTAGGCATATTATCCACTTGTATATCCTTAGGGAAATGTCTATTCAGATACTTTGTTTCTTACTTAATTGGGCTGTCTTTTTCTTAATGAGTTGTAAGAATCTTAATATATTCCAGATATAAGCCCCTTAACAGATACATGATTTGCAAATTCCACGGATTGTTTGTTCACTTTCTTGATGGTGTCATTTGAAGCACAAATTTGGTTAATTCTGAGGAAGTCCAACTCATCTATTTTTTCTTCAGTTGTTTGTGCTTTGATGTCATGTTTAAGAAACCACTGACTAACCCAATTTCATGAACCTCACTTCTATATTTTCTTCTACAAGTTGTATAGTTTTATCCTTTACATTTGTGTCTTACACTATGAGGTAGGGAGTCCAGCTTTACTCTTTGTAGATATCTGGTGGTTCCAGCATCATTTGTTGAGAAAACTATTTTTTCCCTGTTTGAACGTCACAACACCCTGTTGAAAATCAATTGTCCATAAACATAATGGTTTATTTCTGGACTCTCAATTCTACTCCATTGATCTTTATGTATATCTTAGGCCAATATCACACTGCTTGATTGCTGTCATTTGAAAGAAAGTTTTGAAACTAGGAAGTGTGTGTCGGAAACTTCCTCATCTTTTTCAAGATGATTTTGGCAATTCTGGGTCTCTTGAACATCCGTGAATTTAAGGATGTTTGTCAATTCTTACAAAGAAGCCAGCTTAGATTCTGATAGGGATTGCTTTGCATCTATATATCAAATTGGGGAGTATCCCACTTAACAATATTACATCTTGCAACTAATCAACAGAAGATGTCTTTCCATAGATTTAGGGCTTCTTTAATATCTTTGAACAAATCGACAGAGACTTTGTATTCAATTAGTAATCAGTGAATAAAGGAATAAATGAGTGAATAAGCCAAAAACACAAATAAAAAGGAGCATCCAGATGGCTCTTAGAAATACATACACAATGGCCACTGTCTTGAATCCCATCTCACTTCTCAGAAAGCCACTGTTAATTAGTCACAACTTTCAAAATACTGATTTCAGCCCCTTTTTACATAACTTTTGTCATAAAATCTATTGTTTCTTTTTCTTTTGCCCATGTGATACGATCAATAATGCTAGAAAGGCAATGGCCCTGAAAGATACATCTCTATCCACTCTTCCTTCAGAAGGCACTCAAGGAAACATGTGCTAGCACAGCTGCAAACAGACCACTCTGATTTTCCTATCTTTCCTTCCTTCCTGGTTGGGAGATCTCATTCACAAGTGACTGTAGATCAACAAAGTTAAACATCATAATTTTAGCTATGCTAGACTAGATGATGGGAGAAAAAGCTCTAAAATTAATATTACATAGAATATTAAGTCATCCAGGATGCTGTTTATAAAAATTGTTTCCTGGCTTGGACTGCCTTGGTAAGCATCAAGTTAACATAAGTTGGCCATTTGGGAAATAAAACATAACTCTGTGTTGGCTGGGTGACGGAGAGAGCCAAGAAGAAGATTCCTGAATGGTAAGAAGCTTAGCACCTCTAGCAGTATCTAAGAAGTAACATTTTTCAGCATTTTCATATAAGCAGTACAACATCAAGATGAAATTAGAAAGAGTTCAAGACACTTCACAAATGATTTACTTTATGGGTTCATATATCTGACTATACAGGCTTCAAGCTTTATTGTTTCTTCAACTTGTTTCTTAAAAGGAACAAGTAAATATTATATCTTTTTAACCCACTTAAATCTTATATTTTATTTACACCAGCAGAATATGCTACTTTAATGGATCCACTGTTTACCATCAATATAAGCAAAGAATCCATTTAAAATTCAATACTCTCTTTTTAAAATTGTCCGAAGTTTAGATATATTTTTAAGATGTTTATAGGCAAATATATGTGTATGGACACAAAGTTTATTTCCACTTAAAAAGCATGACTTAGATTTAGACAATTAATTGGTTTTGACATGCTTTATAATTGGCATATATTTATCACATTTGAAATACTGGGTCAAGAAGTATCAGAAATAAATTGGTAAAGGAAGGAAGAGGTGAATCTTAGAGGCTTCTTTTAATGAAGCAGAGCTTCCTGGCAGTAAACGCAAAAAAAAAAATCTTGTAATATGGCCGGGTGCAGTGGCTCACGCCTGTAATCCCAGCACTTTGGGAGGCCGAGGCGGGCAGATCACCTGAGGTCGGGAGTTCGAGGCCACCCTGACCAACATGGAGAAAACCTGTCTCTACTAAAAACACAAAAATTAGCCAGGCGTGGTGGCACATCCCTGTAATCCCAGTTACTCAGGAGGCTGAGGTGGGAGAATTGCTTGAACCCGGGAGGCAGTGGTTGCGGTGAGATGAGATCATGCCATTGCACTCCAGCCTGGGCAACAAGACTGAAACTCCATATCAAAAAAAAAAAAAAAAAAAAAAATTCATGTAATAATTATACAGGTGTTTTGGTTGATGTTGTTGTTTTCTGAAAAAAGGAAGCATATATCAGTACATTCGGTAAGCAACTTCTTTCCTCTCACTGAATATAAGGAATTTATCATATTGGTCTTTATTTAGGAAATAGTAACATAATAGTCCTCTGTTTTCTTCAGTTCTGTGGAGAATATAGAAAAAGAGTTGATATTTCTTTCTTATGTTATCTCAACAGTAACAGAATTGATATAATATTGAATTATACCTCATGATAACATCATCTTCTTAACAAAATACATTGTCATCAAGTGATATAAGGCAATATAAGAGTATAGCTGAAAATTTTGGATGAAACATTGGTTACCATTAGGTTGCTCTTATAAAAAAATATTCACTTCGGCCACACTTATTTTTCTTAATGCAAATACATGTTCTTTATTTTAAAAAAATCACAAAGCAGCTATAACTTTGTCATGTGCTAACTCTATATCTATTACAGATTAGCTTTTTTAGCATATTTCTAGAATGGAAATGTAAAGATTTGAAGACAATATTTATTTATTCAGCAAAAATAAATTTGTATGCCTCTCATGTGCCAGAAAACAAATGATAACCTTGCCTCAGGGACTTCACAGTCTGGTACTCATCACAATTATTTCTTTGTTATGCAAACCGAAGTCATTTTATACCTATCTACTGTTCCTGTAAGGTATATTCTGTTACGTAAAACTTCCAAAATTTTTACTTTACATTGAAATATTTGTGACTCAATACAATGAAACATAATTCGATCCCCTTCTGCAGTCTGGAACCTCAACATGACCCCATAACTTAGGTGCATATTGGAGTGTGAGTGCAGGACCCAAAGCAGAGAGACCAAAATGCGCAAATGGTTCTGTCCGCATTTGTAAATGAAAACTGTAACTGCTGGCTCAACAGCAACACGTGCTCACTTTGTATATTTCATTTCAATAGTTCCAGCTTACAGATTCATAAGGAAATATGTATGTTCAAATTATGCAACATAAACTATAGTTTTGTCTTTATAATTAATATACCCACTGAAAGGCAGTGTTTAACTTTACTGGTAATTTTTCCATAGTGTGAAGAACCTTAGCAGTTACATTCCAATGTGATATTTTGTGTGGAGGGCAAACCAGTTACTCACCATGAAAAATTGTGATATGTAGGATGAGTTATTAACCACCTCCAACCTTCTGTCTAGAGATCATCCTTATTATCACTATACTCTAGTTTGGCTATAAAGTATATAAAGAAGTAGATGTCAAAATGGACAAAACAATGACTACAAATTATCTGAGACACGGCTTTTTCTCTTAAAACACAACAATCCTACATATTTGCTGTGGTTATATCTAGTCATCTTGAGTTAAAAAACATAGCTAGACTTGTGTTTTCTTGTTTATTTGCTTTTTAAATCAGAAAAGAAAAGAAAGGAACTATGGGGTTTCATACTAACACTACCACCAAAATAGATATTTAAACAGTGGGAGAGGAAGAAAGAAACAGAGAAACCAGTCCTAACAAGAACACTCTTTAATTTTGCAAATGTGATGTGTGCTTCTGCATAGACATAGGACTAATTATTTCCACTGAGATACTGTTGTAAAATAGAGAAACTCAACAGGCAGCTTTGTTCGTTTCTTTTCAAACCAATGTTGGATTGAGTGATTCAGTGTAATGTAACATAATCATCTTGGAGCCAAGGACTCATCAAGGTCAAACAAACAAATCACAGTTAAAGGCTACCACAAGGACCATGGCTAGAGAACCACAGAAGACAACCCCCTCCCATGCTTTAGCTGAATGAACACCCCATGGCACTCAGCAGCTATCTGCTCAGCTGCCCTCCCCTATCCCCACTAGGAGCTAAGATACATTCAGAGCCAGCTCTTACACTGGGACAAATGAAATGAATATTTTTGGGCAAAAGCTTTGTAGAGGTGCAATGCAAGGTAGATTTTTAGGCTAAATTTCCACTCTGAAAATGTTACATTTTCATGGCACTCAAAACAAAATTTATTTAAAGCTAACGTTGATTATGCTTATTACGCATGACACAAACACATCATCTTCTAAAAAAATGATGAGGTATAAATGTTATTGAAATGCAATTATATACCATCTAAAAATTAATTGCCTGTCATAAAAGTCATGGCATGCAACTCTGAGTCAGCTAACCACTCCTCCACCCCCAAATCATTGTTATTTAACTGTTGAAGTTTTCTGGCGGGTACAGGCTAATTCAAAACAACACAGATCCTCTAAGTAAAACATGGGCATTGTGAAGAATAAGATCCCTTTCTCTTTTAAAATGGTGTTTTGCAAATTTTATTTTACTGTATTCCACTTAACATCACATACCAGAGGTTTCTACAAGGTTTCAACTTTTACCATAGCTCTCAAAGAAAGTTATTATTAAGCAGACAATGCCAATACATAGACAAATCTATTTCTCAGCAAATCATGAAAAGCTCCTAAATTTTTCCTAAGAGAATATAGGAGGAGGAAGATGCCACTATCCACACCTATTTTCTTTTTCAACAGAGTATTTATTACCCAGTTCCTATCTCAAGTCCCAAGCAGCCTTGCCAGAAACAGCAAAGTTTCTAGTCTGTAGGGACAGTCTATGTCTCATCACACAGTATCAGCATGTTGTAGTTTTCATCTCCCAGTAGCCTACATGTTTGACTTGCATTGAATAATATGAAGCATTAAACATTTTAATTACTAATTAATCTCCCCTGCAGCTCCTCATGGCGTTTGCAAGCTAGAACACAGAACACATGAGAAGGGAAGATCCAGGGCACCACAAGACTCCACCCTGATTACACTGCACCCAAGCCCTCAGACCACATGAATTCTTATAAAAAGCTCTAAATACAACACACATATACCTGAAATAATTTCTCAGGTTGCCTCATACATTATTGCTCTATGAAAGGAACCCAGTGTGGGAGTGCTGGGACTGCAGCTAACGATGTGTCCATATGACCACACAGCATTTCAGTACTCAGTTTCCAAATAGACTAAGAAGTTAGAATAGTTTTTAAAGTGAGGAATTAAATATATCGTTTATAGGATGAACAGCATTCAGAAAGGACCAGCCCCCAACCTTCAAAGGCCTGAAGTTTTAAAACAAACTCCAGACACAAGCTAACAATCCCAAAATGAAATGGGAATGACTGTGTGAGCTGTTGCTTTGAGCCATCATCTTATTTCTTGTAGCTTGAGAATACTATTCTATCTTTTGAAAAGGGGGAATGGAGTGTAGTTACCCTGCCCATTTTTGAAATAACCAAAAGGAAGCACAAACTGGTAACATGGACAGGTTCACACAAATGGAGCTCCTTTCAGAGAGGGGACCTCAGGGAATCAAGAAGCCAATGCTCTTCCCGTTGGCAAACTTGGAGACGAGGCTATCAAACTATGCCCCACCCTATTCTTATTTTCAAAATATCTCCAAATTTTTCATATTAGTTGAAGAAGAAAAACTCACCTCTTTCCTCTATGCTACTCACAGAACACTTCACTTCTATTGATTGATTGATTGATTGATTGATTGAGACAGAGTTTTGCTCTGTTGCCCAGGCTGGAGTGCAGTGGCACAATCTCGGCTCACTGCAACCTCTGTCTCCTAGGTTCAAGCAATTCTCCTGCCTCAGCCTCTCGAGTTGCTGGGACTACAGGTGCATGCCACCACCCCCAGCTAAGTTTTGTTTGTTTGTTTGTTTGTTTGTTTTTAGTAGAGCTGGGGTTTCGCCATGTTTACCAGGCTGGTCTCAAACTCCTGACCTCAAGCAATCAACCTGCCTCAGCCTCCCAAAGTGCTGGGATTCCAGGTGTGAGATACCATGCCTGGACAGAACACTTTACTTCTGGCACTAAATGTGAGGGTTTTTTTCATACATCAACTGATTCTATGGTATCAGATGGGTGTTTTATGACTCAATTCAGTTCTGACACAATCTACCTGGAGTTACTATTACAGATCCCACAGGTTAAGGGTTCAAGTCCCACAAGACTGTTTCCACTTCATATGTCAATCACAAGCTGCGGTGGTGGGGCAGAGTAGGGGTGGTCACCAGTTACCCAGACTTCTGTCTGATTTGACTACAAATTGGGGTTTGCCATTATCCCCTTCCCAAGTTTGATAATATGCTAGAATTACTCATGAAACTCAGGGAAATGCTTACTTACATTTACTAGTTTATTATAGAGGATACGATAAAGGATAAAGATGGACAGGCAGATGATGAAGTGCACAGGGCTAGATCCAAAAGGGTCCTGGGTATAGGAGCTTCTGTTACCATAGAGTTGGGGTATGCCACCCTCCTGGCATAAAGATGTGCTTAACAACCTGAAACCTCTCTGCACTTCAGGGATTTTTATACAGACTTCAAAACATTCAAAACATAGGCATGATTTGTTATTCATTCAATCTCTAGCCCCTTTCTCATCCCCAGAGGATGAGAGGTGAAGATTAAACTTCCAAGCTTCAAATCATTGCTTGGTCATTCTGGTAACCAGCCAAAATCCAGGAGCCCACCAAGAGTTGCCTCATCAAAACAATAGATATTTCCATCACTCAGGAAATTCCACAGAATTCAGTAGCTCTGAGTCAGGAACCAAGGTCAATAACAAAATAATGTTAGAACAAAAGATGCTACCAGCACCCCTATCACCTAGGAAATTATAAGGATTTACAAACACTGATTCAGAAACTGGAGTAGAAAAATATATTTATATATTATTTCTTATTATTTCACAGTATCACACTAGTCTAAATGAGGATAGTGAAAGCCCATTTAATCAATTCAAAAGCAACTTGATTCACAAATTACTAAATCTCCAGCTACCATGAAATATTAACGTAAGACAGTTTATTTGAAAAGTGTTCCAAGTCACTCAGTCATCAGCTCCAATCCTACCAAACTTACTTGGGGAAAAAAAGACAGCCCTGTACTAGAAACTAGAAGATGAATACTGTACCCTAACTCTGATAAAAGAAGGAACACAAAAGTCATTAGTTCATGATTGATCTCTTGTCTTCTAAGAAATAGACAGAATTTCGTTCCAACCCCTGCATAGCTTCTAGAGGCTAAGCTGTACTTATACTAACAAATCATGCCTACCTAATGGGTTGGGTTTAGATATATACTAGCTTAAAGATGTTACAACGTCATAAGTTTTCTGTTTACCATTGAAGTACGTCTTTGATATGCCTAATTCTTTGTTATGTGTTTGAGACTTATTTTAAAGAAGACGCCATAAAAGAAAGACTTTTTGGAATAAACCAATTGTGATACTAAAGGAAACCAAACTCTCCCCTGGTCGTGGTTATCATCAAGCTGGGCCTTTGTGTCATAGTTCGGGGAAAATACAAAGAATCACTGAAACTGTCTCTAAATGAGCCTCCTTGAGTGTGTTCTTTCCCTCTCTGGGCAAAAGCTTTCCATCTGTAGAATAAGAGTTTGGCTAAGTGAGCTGGAAGGCCCACTAAAGCTCTGATATTCTATGATCACATTTTGTCTGCAATTCACTCCAGGATCACCTCTGAACTTTTCACATCTGTTCTTCTAAAACTACTCCCTGACAAACACATTTAAAATGTTTAGAAATTTTGGTTTCAAACACTAATGTAATTTAATTGCATAAATCCATGCAGCGTCATGGAGGATTTTTTTATAAAGTAGCTGTAAGCTAAAGTCATTACTCCAAAATCACTGCAGCCAGTAACACTGTTGCTATCCCCCTGTAAATTTCTCTTTCTAACAATGAAAGCCCTTGGGCATCAAAAGGGCTACTTAGGTACTGCTAAGTAAGTTTGAGTTTTTCAGCAGTAATCCCATTTACACTTTACATACCCCATTAGACAAACTTATTCTTCAAATAATATTCACTTTCCACGTTCCTTGACTTTCTCACTCTTGTTATTCTTGCACCTTGAATCCCATGCCCTTCCCGTAACACTTTAAGCCAAGTTAGCTCAAATACTGCCTGCTCTACGCAGTCCTCTCTGACACTGAAAGGTATAAGGTACAATGTTGGTATTCCTGTATTTTATCTCCCAATAATTTTGACACGTGGTGATTTACGTGACAATTTAAGTAGCACATTGAAGCCCTTCTCCTGTGTCCCTTTGGGTTACTTACGGGCTTATCTCTTCTGTAAGATTAAATATCACTCTAAAGGAAAGACCTGTTGATACTAACCTTTAAATCTCCAATGACTGATCCAGAGGAGGATCTCATCAAATGTTAGGTGAATGAATCAATGAATCAATGAATATGTGGAATTAAGCCAAATTTCCAAAATCAATATAGGGATTAGTAAGTGAACATAACTAAAGTCAGAAAATTTGGGAGCGGAAAATACTCCCTAGAATAAAAGGAAGAAAATGCTTTAGCAAAACCTATTTTCAAGAGCTCACATTTTTCAGACTTGTTTTGAGAATGGAGCTCCTTGGAACCTCTTACCATATAAACATTCCACATATATATCATTTTTCCTAGACCATGAGTCAAAGCAGCCTTCCAAAGATGATAGAGACATGGATTCAAAAAAGCTTACAACACATGTTTGACTAATGAGAAATCACAGACCTACTAGCCTATTTTAAGTAGTCAGGTGATTCTATAGGTTTTGAAATTTGCTTTGAACAAAAATAGAAACATCAATGTTGGGCATTAACGGTCTACATTTCTAGGACTTTTCAAGTACCTTTCAATTATAACACAACACCGTCTACTATAGACATCATCTTCTCTTGGCACATACTTTTAATATTTTAAGTGTGTGATTATTGTTCTCACAGCCTATAATTATGTTAACCAATAAATATTAACACATCTAATTCAGTTCCACCAGAGGGAAGATAATTCAAAAGGATGAGATATATCTCCCAATTAACTCTTGCTTTGTTAAATCATAGTAATAGAAAAAAATTAGAATGGATCATCCTTTAATTTCTGAATGGAACAGGCACATCGAAAGTGTATTTTACCATAATTATGAACTTATTCTACTTAATGGCTATTACAATTAATTTTTTTTGACCTTCTGAATGTTTTTCTTTTTATGGGAAAGCAACATTCAAGGGACAGTGTCACTCAGATGACTGATGCCAGCTTTCATCGATGGTAAAATCATTACAAAAACAAAGACAAAACCTGACACCCTCAATCTGGTGTTTAGAACTTAAAATCAAGCACAAGCCAAAATTCAAAGTCCAGTTGTGCTCACGCAGTGCTCAAACATATGGCCAAGGAGAAACCATTAATCTTCTTGGTGAGTCTTAGTTTCATCATCCCTGAAAGGAGCACATCACGCACATCTCAGAACTGAGATATCTATATCTCACTCAAGTGAGAATATATGTGAAAGTGCTTCACAATCAGTACTGTCCAAATATCAGTGATGATGAATTTGTGTGCTCAGAAAGATTCCTCAAACAAAACGTAGCTGCAGAATAAACCTATTAAAATGCAATGGTTTATGAGAGGCATGTATAGACACAACCTTCAAGAATAAAGGTTGTATTAAACAATAGACCTCAAAGCATGATCTCCTCAGTGTCTATTAGGTTATAAGGATTTAGGGGAGGAAAAAAAAGATTTAAATGAAAGCTCCGTTTAAAAAAAAAGCTGGGGGGCGGGGAGGGGCAGGGCACGGTGGCTCATGCCTGTAACCCCAGCACTTTGGAAGGCCGAAGTGGGTCAGTCACGAGGTCAGGAGATTGAGACCATCCTTGCCAACATAGTGAAACCCCATCTCTACTAAAAATACAAAAAATTAGCTGGGCATGGTGGCACACACCTGTAAGTTTGGCTAAATGACCTGGAAGGCCCACTAAAGCTCTGATACTCTATGCTCACATTTTATCTGCAATTCACTACAGGAATATGTCTGAACTTTTCTCATCTGTTATTCTAAAACTACTCCCTGACAAACACTTTTAAAATGTTTAGAAATTTTAGTTTCAAATATTAAGGTAGTTCAATTGCATAAATCCATGCAGTGTCATGGAGGATTTTTTATAAAGTAGATGTAAGCTAAAGTCATTACCCCAAATTTACTGCAGCCAGAAACACTGTTGCTATCCTCCCTAAATTTGGGAGGCTGAGGCAGGAGAATGGCTTGAACCCAGGAGGCGGAGGTTGCAGTGAGCCGAGATCCCACCACTGCACTCCAGCCTGGGTGACAGAGTGAAAACCCATTACAAAAAAAAAAAAGGAAAGGGAGCACAAAAAAGCATTTGGGCATGATACTGCTGAGTCCAGTGGCAAAGTCAGTGGCCTTCCTGTCTTCAGATATGAGATGAGATTTGGGGCATTTGCTTGGGTGGAATCAAAAAAAATTGCTGAACATCAAGCAATGGTCAGAAAGTATGAAGAGTGGCTTGCTGGAGAACATTTTTCTGACCTGGGCTCATTTCCTGCATCATTCTAGAGTTGGTCTTATTTCCTATGTTCCTTTTTCAGAATGAATTTTAGATTTCCCTGATTGAGAACCTTCAAATAATCCCATTATCTACAAAAGACAGATTAAAATCATAATCTGGCATTTAAACGTGTCTACACGCTGTCTGTAGGAAACTACCAGACTTATATTCTCTCTTTTTTTTTTTTTTTTTTTTTTCAGATGGAGTCTCCCTCTGTCCCCAGGCTGGAGCGCAGTGGCGTGATCCTGGCTCACTGAAACCTCCGCCTCCCGGGTTCAAACGATTCTCCTGCCTCAGCCTCCCGAATAGCTGGGATTACAGGCGGGCGCCACCACGCACAGCTATTTTTTGTATTTTTAGTAGAGATGGGGTTTCACCATGTTGGCCAGGCTGGTCCCAGACCTATATTCTACTCCAAGCCTTCAAAGGCTTCATCTGCAGCCATCTGGTTGCTTACAGATCTCTAAATGCAGCCTTGGTGCTTGCTTGCAGCCCTGTGGCTCAGGCTACTCCCTGCTGCTGTCTCGAACGATACAATTCCACTCACCCCTCCAGATGAAAATGCAAGTCTTTTGATAAGAATTATCAGACTGTGTCACCTTCAGAAGAATATATCACTATCTTCTTTGTGCTCCTGCAGTATAGGCCATATCCTCACATATAACATTACAGGCTATTAGAAGATTACAACGGAGTCCTATTTCTCTTCCTCTCAACTATCCACCTTTTTTGCCTCATCGGTTCCCCCAAAAGACCACAGTGCCTTCTACAGATGAGTTCAGTACACATTTACAGGGACAAAGTATATTTTTACTGCTCACAGGATGGATAGAGCCAAGAGCAGGGTCAGTGAGGAAGAGCTAAGTGGTAGTATATTTTGCCATGAATCCCACATGGCTAACAATTCCATTATATGTTAAGAAAAGGTACAGGGAATGTATCTAAAGAAGACAGCAGCTACGCACAGTGGCTCACACCTGTAATCCCAGTACTTTGGGAGGCCAAGGCGGGCAGATCGCTTGAGGTCAGGAGTTCCAGAGAAGCCTGGCCAACATGGTGAAACTCCATCTCTACTAAAATACAAAAATTAGCTGGGCGTGGTGGCAGGCACCTGGAATCCCAGCTACTCGGGAGGCTGAGGCAGAATTGCTTGAACTCAGGAGGTGGAGGTTTCAGTGAGCTGAGATTGCGCCACTGCATTCCAGCCTTGGCAACAGAGAGAGACTCCATCTCATAAAAGAAAAAAAAAAGAAGAAGAAGAAAGTGCTGCCACCTTATGAGCAGTTAAGTATTGAAATAACTGACAGCAGAGAAACAAGACTGGTTCTTAATTTAAGAAAGGAACCACTGTAAATACAGAAGCTGCCACTCAAGAACTGGAGTGAGGCTCAGAGGCTCTATGCACTCTCACTTAGTCAAACAAATGTCACGCAAGAGTCAAACAGCACAGTGACAATACTGCTTCTCTAGCGTTTGCAACTACAATTCTGATGGCTGTCTTCTGAGGAATTGGAAGCCCTGAAACAGATTTGCCACAACCCTTTCAAGACTTTAGAGAGGCAGGGAATGATCACTAGCAGTGGAAGATCAGCTTCTGGAATGCAGATATTAAGTGAAGATGCTGAAAAATAGCCAAGCTCCAAAGTAGGCAAAAATAAAAAAATTAAAAAGCAAAGAAAAACTAACAAGGCACCATTTGCACTTACAAAACACAGATTAATTGCAACCATCACATTCTAGTGAACTTGAGGAGAAACTGATATATTCAAACTAACTGGTGGTACCAGTATCAACTATTCACAACCTTAGGAAAGAAAAGTAAATAAAGTGGTCTCATTCATCAATGTAGCAACCCCACTCCTAGAAATCTGAGGCCAGGAAATAACCCCAAAGAAAATATACACAAATATGTCCCCTGTAGCATTATTTAAAACCATGACAAAAATAATGAAAATCACCTTAATATCCAACAAAACTAATTTCCTTGCAAAAGACACAGCCCTTCACCTTAACCTTACATAGCCAAGCTAAGTCATATTTGTGAAAACTATAACAACATGTAACAAAATATCCATATAGACAAAGCTGTAAGAAGAGCAAGGCAATGGAATAAGAGATTTACTTTTTTATATAACATTTTTGTATGATGTTGTGTTATTTTTAAAGAAAGTACTCAAAGAGTCAATTTAAGAAATTTCTGCCAGTTGACTAATACATGTTGATATTAAATAAAAAGGCAACTTAAATCATTGACTCTAAGAAGATCAAGAAAGAATAAAAGGGCCGGGCATGGTGGCTCAGGCCTGTAATCCCAGCACTTTGGGAGGCTGAGGCAGGCAGATCATGAGGTCAGGAGTTCGAGACCAGCCTGACCAACATGGTGAAACCCGGTCTCTACTAAAAATACAAAAATTAGCCAGGTGTGGTGGCAGGCGCCTGTAATCCCAGCTACTCAGGAGGCTGATGCAGGAGAATTGCTTGAACCCGGGAGGCGGAGGTTGCAGTGAGACAAGATTGTGCCATTGCACTCCGGCCTGGGCAACAGAGCAAGACTCCATCAAAAAAAAAAAAAAAGAGAAAGAAAGAAGAGAGAGAGAGGAAGGAAGGAAGGAAGGAAGGAAGGAAGGAAGGAAGGAAGGAAGGAAGGACGGACGGAAGGAAGGAAGGGGAAATAAGCTCTCAGGTGCAGCATGTTCTTTCTGATAAGAGTAGAATATCTGGGAATGGCTGTGTGGAGATGATTGTGGGCTGCACTAACCTGTGGAGGCCGAGGCTTATAGGGGGAGCTGCACTCAAGGTCAGCCAAGATGCTGGTCAAGGAGTCAATCTCAGCGTCCAGGCTGGAGCGCCTCTCCTCAAGTGTCTTGCCTCCGGGATTCCCCTGTTGGAAGCAACACAGACATGTTAACAAAGGAAATTTCCCTTGATATCATTATAAGTTCAAATTTCTCAAGTTATAATGTGGCTTTGTCCAAGTTTTTCTGCACCTCTTTTTTTTTTAATTAAGCTTTCATAAAATCTCAGTGAGGTAGGCTGAGATAGAATTATCACTTTATGACAGATATGAAAACTGAAAAATAAAAGATGATTTTTCTCAGGTCACACACTTATTTAGCAGTTTTGTCGTTGTTGTTGTTTAAAATAAGTATACAAGTAAAGGAAAATAAATGTCTCCATTCCTGCACCTAAAGAACAGAACCAGCTGAAGAGAGCTCACAAGCACTTGGTGTTTAGACACCACTGCCTAGAATAATATTTATTGGAGTAGCAAGGAGCAGGGAAGGAACACGGACATTCCAGAAAGAGGAATCAGCACTTGAAGACATTGGAGCATGCCAGTGCTTGGAAGTCTCAGGTCCAGGGGGTATTAGGTATGCATGTGTGCGAGAGATGGCAAGACCCAAGAGATGCACCTAGAACATGAACTGGAAAGAGACCTCTTAGGGTTCTGCCAAGGGGCTGCAGGGGAAGCATGTGGCAGTGAGCATGGACAATGAAGTCAGGATCTCCGGATTTCCTATGTCAGAACCTCGTATTACCTGCAGTCAGAATCAACAGGAGAGTAGAGGACAACAACATCGACACAGGGTGTTTCCAGGAATTATGATCAGGTTTGGGAAAAAGAAGCAAAGAATCTGTCTGGATTATAAAGTGAGATGACCCTAGTATTTGGAGGCAGGGTGAAGTAAAAAAATAACCTTTTAAAGTGACAATTTAATAATGATCATATATGAATATGGAAGAAGCTCTTAAAACTTCATTAAGAGACCAAAGTGTATCTTCAGCAAGACTCAATGGCAATACAATAGTGGAAAGTTACAATAATCTAATCAATTCTACTGGACTTGTCTAAGGACGTAAAATATCAAGAGAGTATCTAGTGTCTGCAAAAGAGTTTAGAAAAAGCATTAACCAACCAAGAAACTAGAATATCTTCAGTAACAACAACAAGTAGCGTGCCATGACAGGCTAGCACTAAATCTTATAACCCTTGAAGTCAATCTGTCGTTTTAGTGAATATGTTGAAGCAAGCGTAAAGGGTAATGGCCTGTGAAGACCACTAGTTCCGTATGCCCTAGTAGCTTACTCACCAAACCACCTTACCTGAGTCTTGGAGCTTATTTAACTATCTGTGTAAAAGAAACATAAAGGGATCTGGTGTTTTGGTCATTCTTTTGGGAACTTAGTCAGCTTGAGTTAATCCTTCCTGGGCCTGATTTCTCTCAAGCACAGTAACATCAACTGTCTATGAAGTTGTGGCCCAGGTCCTTGGAGCCAAACCTACTTCAAGAGGCAGTTGGCTTCCTTGTTTGTGAGCCCTCTTTAAACATGGATTTCAGGACGGGCGCGGTGGCTCATGCCTGTAATCTCAGCAGGTTTCGAGGCCAAGGCGGGTGGATTATCTGAGGCCAGGAGTTCAAGACCAGCCTGGCCAACATGGTGAAACCCGTCTCCACTAAAAATACAAAAATTAGCTGGGTGTGGTGGCAGGCCCCTGTAATCCCAGATACTTGGGAGGCTGAGGCAGGAGAATAGCTTGAGCCCTAGAGGCGGAGGTTGCAGTGAGCCAAGATCGTACCACTGCACTCCAGCCTACATGACAGAGCGAGACTCTGTCTCAAACATACATACATATATGTATATACACACACACACACACATATATGTCTCAAACATATATATATACACACATACACACACGTACACACACATACACACACACATACACATATATATATATATATATATATATATATATATTTCATATTATCACATTATCTAAAACAGCCACCTTATGATTTTCTCCTTCTGGATGTATTATTATGACCCCTCTACATCACGTCATGTTATTCCCCTACCCTTTTAAATCCATTTTTAAATAATATCTGCCACCATGTGTATTTTTCTGTTTATTTTCAGTCTCTCCCCTAGAACATATAAGCTTCATGAGAAGCTTTGTCTGTTTTGTTCCTGTTTCCTTGGACTCTCTTTCAAGACCTAGCCCAAATAAGTGTTCAGTAAGTATTTTTGAATAAATAAATCAGTGAATAATGACAGACTGTGACACAGGCAGTAACCTTTCTCATAGCACTATCTTTTGGGTAAACACAGTTAGAAGTACAACAATAAGCAGTGGATACTCTAGAATTTGATATAAAAACGGAACCAAAGAGGTTCAGTGTCCATCTGTGTGTGCACACACACGCTCACACTGGTAACTATGTGTGTATCATCAAGCTGGACGGCCCAGATTTGAAGGCTAGCCTTGTGAAATTGATAGATTTTCTTCAACTCTCTTGTCATAGCCAAAAATAGAAAAAGAGTGACATGACAGGTTGGTTGAAATTTAGACTTTTCTGAGTCTGAATTTCCAGTCTGATTAAACTGTTTAAGGCCAGCAGGTCTGTATACTGGAAACAGATGTTTTCAAGGTGCTAATCCCTCTATCAGAGGAGATTTCATGTTTATATCAAAGGGCAGTAATAACTATGAAACACTGTGGTATTATTAAGAAAAATTCCATTTAACATTTAAAATTCATGTGAACATTCTGGGTAATGGGGGTCCTGGTACAAGGAAAGACAGGACATTATTGTTTTGGAATGCAACTAAAAACTGAGTAAAGTTGATCCTCTTGTGCGCAGATATAAAATATTATAGTAGACATAAATTTGGTAAGTGTATTTCCACATACTCTTAGATAGTCCAATATATTGGCAAGGGTGGTAGAGTGTTGTCTGCTTAAATCTTTCCCTGGGCCATAGTTTTCTCATCTATAAAATGAAGAGAATATCACATGTTCTATCTAAGCCAGGGTGATGTTATAAGATTTAGATAAGAAAATGGATGGGAAAATACTCTGTAAGTTGTAAAGTGCTATAATTATGATGATTTTCCTAAATAGCATTAATTATAGCAACCAGTAACTATAAATTAATATGAATAATATAGCTATTGTTAATTATTCTTCTTCTTGAGGGAAGCATCATTCATTAAGTGTTCCCTTGGGGTATTAGTAAAGAGACAGGATTTAATCAGGTCTTCTACATCTGTACTTTACTGAAGCAGAAAGTACATCAACTGACTATGCCTGAAGTCACTGCAATATCTAACCACTGAGACTCAACAAGTCACAGAATTACCCTGAACTACACAATAAAACAAGTAATTATGATATGCAACCAGTCTGTGCTTGTAAGACATCAATTAGTTTCCAGGGTCCTTATTCTCCCTACCCTCTAAGTTCAGACTGCTCCCTATTTTCAGTTTCTCAAATTAGGTTGATGCAATTTATCACAAGTTCCAGTCTAATGCTGTGTGATTTTGCACAAAAACTGGATAACAGGGGAGCGTGGGGTGAGAGGGGAGAAGATTGTGCAAATACTATAGTAGCTTTACTCCTACATTTCAATTCCATTATGAATTAGAATAGGCCTTTTTTTCACTCTTGAGTCTCAATTTTATATCTCAGTTCAAATAACTGTTGTCCTGCCCAAGTCCTGCCACGAATCTGTAGATATTCATTTACCTTTCGATTTAGGGGATCTTGCTACTCTCAATCCCTTATAGTAGATACCAGGATCCAAAGTCCTATAACCAAGCAACAGAATCCTATAGACTTACCAACATGTCTTTCTCCTAACTCCCTATCTTTGTAGCTGTGCTAGTTACCTGACTGGTAAATGACCTTCCCAATGCCAGCAACAAGGAAGATTCTCCTGACTAATGCTTTTTCTAGTTACCACCACAAACTTTTATAAAGTAGTTAATGTAATTATAACAATCCCCACACTCTTTAACCATCACTAGAGAGATTTCAAAGATTACATCGTCTTAGTCTGTGTTCTGCCAAGAAAAACAATGCCTGTGAGAAAAGCTCGCATGTTGGCCATTTATTTTGGGAATCAATTCTGAGAAACAGTACTGAGGGACTAGAAGGAGTTAAGCAGAGAAGGAAGGAGATATGGTTTGGCTGAGTCTCCACCCAAATTTCATCTTGAATTGTAGTTCTCATAATCCCCATGTGTTGTGGGCAGGACCGTGTGGGAGATAATTGAATCACGGGGGCATTTTCCCCTATACTGTTCTCCTGGTTGTGAATAAGTCTCACAAGTCTCAGAAGTTAAATGGTTGCAGAGAAGGCCCGGCACAGAAAGTGAGTGAAAGGTGTTGCAGTTGAAGCCAAGTGCTACCAGGTCACACCTGTGCAGAGCTGATCGCTGTAGCAGCTGCTGGTACACGAAGGTGGGAGGGGAAGATGCGAGGTGGGGCACCAAAGGTGTCTACTGACAGCGTCCCTTTACCAAGGACCACAAAAATCCTATGAATAAACCATTCGAACATGTTATTTTTATATTTATTTTTATGCATTATCTGAATACATATGTGATAAAAAGCTCACCAAACCACAGTTGGGACTTATTATGACTTGACAAATCATAATAAGTGCTGCCAGCAGAATTATAGGATGATGACTCCCCCACTGTAAGTACATAAAGACAGTCCAATAAATAGCCCAGAACCAAAATGTACAGCGTGTGAATGAAATGAACTTAGGCCATTATCAAGAGTCTGATTTTGAATGGGTCATATTTCAGGCCAACTATCACTAACCCACTAACTACAGGTGATAGACGAGGAGTACCAGCAATTGGTTATGAAAGAGCATTCATTTGTATTTATTTACTTTTTCATTCTTTATATCCAAAAAATTTAAATTCACAGAGAAGTTGAACAACTATTAAAATAAACTCCACTCACCCATCCTTCACCCAGATTCATCAGTGGCCACCATTTCATCACACTAGCTTTCTGTCTACATAAATTAGATTTGCTGTTGCAATTGAACCATCTGTAAGATGTTGCAAAACCACCCCCCGACATCCCCCATATGCACCTCAGTTTGCATCTCCTAAGAATTTCTAATTTTTTCAAAACCATTCTCACACTGGAGAAATTTAACATAGAAACAGTATTATCTAATATCACCCATACTCACATTTCACTAGTGGTGCCAGTAGTGTTCTTTTATCTACTGTTAATTTTCACCCCAAATCCAAGGATCACATCATAAAATGATATGTCTTTTTATTCTCTTTTAATTTAGAACAGGCTCCTAGCTGATTTTTGATTTTTATAAAGCCAACTTTTAAAATAATTCTGGTCAGGTGTCTTATAAAAAGTCCAACCAATCTGGTTTTTCTTGATGACTGGATTCAGATTAAATAAGTCAGGCAGGAATATCACATGCGTGAGGCCACATCCCTTCTGCTGCATCCCATCAGGAAGCTCAAGGGTCAGTTTGGCCCATGCTTGGTGATGCTGAGTTTGATGACTCGATTAAGGTAGTGTGTACCAGATTTCACCATTTTAAGCATGACTGCATGATTTTTAAATTAAAAATAATCTGTGAGGTGATATTTTGGGGCACTGTGAGTATTCTACTAGTCAAAAACCTTTCACCCACCCAGTGGTTTTAGTGTCCATAGATGATCTTTGCCTGAACTAACTATGGCCTTAATGATTGTGAAACGGGATGAAAATAAACATATCTTGCCTAATACGTTAACGATTTATTTGTTCAGTATTCATTTCGGTTTCAAGGTAGGGGAGCAGGACTAACTGAAAAGTCCTGTGCTATGAAAAAAAAATCAGAAACTTAATCATCAAGTAAAAACTGTTACATAGGAAAATCTTATCCAGGATATTAAAGGAAACAAAAGGCCAAGGGGAATGGTCTATTTAATTAAGAAACAGTCTCCACCCTTGGATGTTTATATACTAGAATTAGATCCAATGCCCAGCGTCATACTCAAAACATACATGACCATGAACTAATCTTCAACAACCTTCAGAATCTCTGAGGTAGACAACCATACTGACACATTATAGATTGTGAGTTCAAAAAGCCGGAATTTGAATGTGACTGCTCAATTACAGACCTGAGAAAGTAACCACATAATCCTATTTTTTTCAACTGTGCTTCACAGAGCTCAAGGAATGTCTTACCACTGATCCCATATGGAAAACAAAGAGGTTCCCAGACCCTACCCAAGCTTGAGCTTCCTTTTGTGATTAATTAGAAAAGCTTTCCCTGATAACTTAGGAATATAAAACTGTCTTAATTTAGTAAAACCTAAGAGGCTAATAATACAAAAATTACATTGTGTTTACATACAACTTTTCTTTTCAATGGTAGTTTCATTTAAATTTAATAATACAACAGGAATTTCACTGTATTTTTTTTCTATTATGGTCAGTAATGTTTATTACTCTCTTCTTTCTAATATCAGTGGGGGAAAATGGTGATAACTAAAGGAATTTTGAAAGTGTGTGCTTTTTAAGTAACAAAACACACTATGTTTGTTAGTCTGTTTTGCATTGCTATAATGCAAAACTTGAAGCTGGGTAATTTATAAAGAGAAGAGGTTTATTTGGCTCATGGTTCCGCAGGCTGTACAGGAAGCATGGAGCTGCCTTCTGCTTCTGGTGAGGGCCTCAGAAAGCGTTTACTCATGGAGGAAGGTAATGGGAGGCAGCATGTCATATGGTGAGAGAGAGCGGAAGAGAGAGCGAGGAGAGGTGCTATACTCTTTTAAACAATCAGCTGTCCTATGAACTAACAGAGAATTCACTCTGTATGACCAGTACCATGGGGAGGTCACTGATACAGTTTTGCTCTGTGTCCCTATCCAAATCTCATCTTAAATTGTACTCCCATAACTCCCCATGTTATGGGAAGGAACAAGGGGGAGATAATTTGAATCTTGGGGGCAGTTTCCTCCATACTGTTCTCATGGTAGTGAAAAAGTTTCACGAGATCTGATGGTTTTATCAGGGGTTTCTGCTTTGCATCACCCTCATTTTCTCTTACCACCGCCATGTAAGAAGTGCCCTTCACCTCCTACCATGATTCTGAGGCCTCCCCAGCCATGTGGAACTATAAGTCCAATTAAACCTCTTTTTCTTCCCAGATTCGGGGATGTCTTTATTAGTAGTGTGAAAACAGACTCATACAGGCACCAAGCCATTCATGAGGGACCTAAATACCTCCCACTAGGCCACATCTAAATATTGGGGATTAAATTTCAACATGAGATTTGGAGGGGACAGATATCCAAACTATTTCTATCTAGTTTCTCTTGAAAGTGTAATCATTTTGTTGTAAGTTAGATCAATCTTTTTTCCATCATCTGTCTTTGATGAAATTGGGGAAACAATCAATATTTATTTGTCTATAATCATTTGTATTAAGTAATTTCCTCAAAGTATCCCTAATAAAAAAGAATACTGGTGAAAGCTTTGGAGTCAGGCTGTAATACCTGTATCTCCCAATTGCTGGCTTTGTGACCTTCAACAATTCACCTGAGCTCTCGGGTCCCTCATGCAGTTGTAAAAATTAAATAGGTTTATGCATGTCAAGTAATATTCACATAATAAGCATTCAATAAATGCTAGCTATTTAATTGTTACTTTGACAATAGTCTCAAAATAAATGCTTCTGTTAATAGTCAGGCAATTGAGTATGTGACTTTATAAAGTACTTTGATCAAAAGTAAAACTAAGTTACTGAGAGGCTTCAGTAGATGGGGCTTCTATGCATCTGAACATGTGTAAGGGTGCCAGGAATTAACCATAAAGAACACAATCCTAGATCAGTGTTTTTCAAACATTAGCCTATACAGAACCACCAGGAGGACTTATTAAACCTTAGATTACCAGGCTGTACCTGCCACAGTTTCTTATCTGTACATCTTGGGTGAGGCCCAAGAACTTACATTTCTACCAAGTTCGTAGGTGCTAGTGATGGCGCTGGTATGGGGATGTTCTCAACATCCCCAGTGATGGTGCTGGTCTGAGTCATTCTCAAAGTGAGGTGTTCTCACTTTGAGAATGACTTTTCTAAGTGGATTTCTAACACAATGAACATTTAAGTGTGTGGGGCAGGGGGAGTAAGGGTGGGTACTGAGTGAATTTATAGTTTATTTCCCTTAAAAACAACCTATATTATGTCATATATATGGTTAATGATGCCATGAAAATACCAATTGACACACCAAATAATAGCTAAGAGGTATTTGGATAAAAATAAAAATGAAGACAGTAACATTTCTATTTAATATAATCTCTCATGCTGTATAGTAATATGAGCAGCCTCACCAAACGGATCCTGGTAATGTTCAGTGGACACAGGCCGTATTCAGTAGTGAGAATTGCAGAAAATATGATCTATTTTATCTAATAGAAATATCATTTTATGGAAAGAGATACAAACTGTTGTAAGTTAGGGAAAAAATGAATGCATTCCTATTGGGATGTGTATCCTCTTTCCCAGTCATTCAGTTGAAGTGTTTAGCTTTCCAAAAACCTTACCTATCTATCTCCCCAAATGTACCCTTCTCCAGGGGAGGAGGACTTACAAATAACCCACTAACTTGATAACTGACTCCTCTTTGTCTAATTTTCCATGACACCAATGTTCATAGGGTAACTCTCATGATGGATTTGAGTGGATGGCTTTTCTCCCATGCTGCTCTAGAAAATAGTTTATGCTAAGTAGTATGCAGTGTAAAAAAGCCATGATACCCAACCTTGAGGAGTTTATATATATGTATTCTACTGAAAAATATCACTTGCACTTTTGCCTAGAGATATCAAATTCACTATGTTATTTGATACTCTTTGTAAAACTATGTGGAAGAGACACAAATTTAAAAACAAAAACAGTCCCCTTCCCTAAAATCCTTCTTATCTAATGGCCAACAGAAATACAATTCAACTTTTCTAATATGCAAAACCAGGCCTAAACTCAAGTCTTATTAATATCCGAGAAGGACATCTTCTCCACATGTTAAAGGCAGTGGGAAAAGTTGTCGCAAAAGCTGTCTTGGGAGCAAACACTAGAGCATTCATAAGGGGGAATACATTTCCATAATCTGAAGTGCAATACTGGCTTGACAACTGAGAACACAGCATTAAATAAACAAGAAATAAGGTAACAACAGAAGACAAGAGTTTTTCATGATAAAGCACAAAAACGTTACATTAGGCCATTTTTGCATCACTATAGAACAATAGCTGAGGCTGGGTAATTTATAAAGAAAAGAGGTTAAATTGGCTCATGACTATGCAGGCTATATAAGAAGCATGGTGTCAATATCCAGACAGTTTCTGATGAGAGCCTCAGGAAGCTTATAATCATGAATGAAGGCAACAGGGAGCTACCATGTCATATGGCGAGAGGAGGAACAAGGCTTGGGGAGAGGTACCACACTCTCTAAACAACCAGATCTCGTGTGAACCCAGAGGAAGAACTCACTCATTACCAAGGGGATGGCACTAAACCCCCATAAGAGATTCACCTCTGTGATCGAGTATCTCCCATTAGGCCCCACTTCAAACACTGGAGATCACATTCTGACATGATTTGGAGGGAAAAAGCATCCAAGCCGTATCAAACGTCAACATAGAACATAAATGCTACGCTTGATAAATGCTTGAATTTTTTTTCCTCACAATTTACATTATTTCATCCTTTTCAGCCCTAACACACTCACCCAGTGTTAGCAATGTTTGGCCAACCCAAATCTCCTTTAAAGGAAATGGTCCTGCCCCCATTCTTTGTTGCCAAAACAGCCATGTTTTCAACCATGCGACTCCATTTCAGAACACTGAGGCCCACAGAACCAAGGGTCCATAAATAGGCTGGTGAACCTAACTTTTGGACAGTGACAAGGAGATTAGATGGGCAAATAAATCTCCTTCTCTTATGCGTTTGGACTGAAAAACATGTAACAAAACTGCCGCCAGGCACGGTGGCTCATGCATGTAATCCCAACACCTTGGGAGGCTGAGGCGGGAGGATCACCTGAGGTCAGGAGTTCAAGACCAGCCTGGCCAACATGGCGAAACGCCATCTCTACTAAAAATACAAAATTTAGCTGGGCGTGGTGGTGGGTAACCGTAATCCCAGCTACTTGGGAGGCTGGAGGCAGAAAAATTACTTGAACCCACCCGGGAGGTAGAGGTTGCAGTGAGCCAAGATCTTACCACTGCACTCCAGCCTGGGCAACAAGAGTGAAACTCAAAAAATAAAAAAAAAAATAAAATAAAAAATAAAAAATTGCCACAGGGATGAGCTATGGCTGTGATCAACCAAAAAGATGATGTACATGGTTAATTATTAACAATCCAAACATACAACAGGAGGTAGGAAGTCTATCATTGGGTGGAGGAAAACAATGAACAAGCGAACACTAGAGAAGCAGAGGAATGGAGAGGAGAGGAAAAGAGGAAGGGAGAGAGGGAAAAAAAACAATGAGAAGAAAAATAGATGGAAGAGTTCAGCCACAGATCTGCCCTGACCCTGAGCTTCCTGATATCAGATCTCATTCAGATCCATCCTTAAGATAAACTCCATGATTCAGCGCTACTCCAGGGGGCCTCTGTTTCACACAATCAGCCCTACTGAAGCAGCCTAAACAAGACCAAGTCCCGCTGATATTATCAAGCAGTTTCTTTGACTTTCTGGAACTCAACTTTTACCTCTACAAAAATGAGGGTATGCACCTTCCAGGTCGTTTTCTATTTTTTTAACCTCTAATACTGCATAGATCTATAATGACATTTCACAACTTGCCTGTCACTATCTTTGCTGTTCAAAAGCCATCAGACTAAACCCGTAAGAGTTAGGCCAACTCCGAGTTTAAGCCAACTCTTTTATAAGTAAGGGCAGGGTCATGGTTAAAGTGATCTGAACTTGGGTATACACAAGTAGCCTCACTGTTCACTGTTCTATTCAAATAAGAAAGCAAAACTAAATATGCAACAAAAACCCCTCACTTTTCACAATATTTACCTACTCGTTGAATGATTTCTACTGAATTCCAATCCTTATAAAATAAAAATAATATAAATAATATATTTTTAAAGTAACCCCTTACAATTAAAATAAAGGTCAATTTGCATAGATAATAATAAGGAACAATACATATATTATCTATTCATCAATAAAACAGGAACTCTAAGAATAATCACAATAAGATGAACTATTTGACAGTAAAATAGATATTTGGCACCCCCTTTTTAAGCAGCAGATCCCCTGGTAAAATGAAATCAGACACGGAAACCCATTGTATGAAACATATACAGACAGAGCTGCTTTATCCCCCATCTCCTTTAGTAATATTTCCTGAAGCAATTCTAAGAAATTAATAGTTTAAAAACCACTGCTACAGATTATCTAGGCAAGCTGTGCCATCCTAGAGCGTCACCTTACCAGTTAGTCCACACACACAGTTTAGCAAACTCTAAATGAACTGTCTTTTCTGAACTCTGTGTTTGTGCATAAAAGGGAAATACATTTATTTGAAATTTCTACATTGAAATACCTATAAAGATATCCATAAGATCATCTAGGATCATGGATATTTTTCCAGGAATCCTTTGCATAACAAAATAACATGAAATAATAAAATTGGTAGACAGAAGTTTTTAGAGGTAGGGGAGAAAAGGTTTACTTTTACATTAAGAAAACTTTCATATGTGGTGAGGGGGCTGGAGATGTGCAACAATTGTGTGGATTTATGAATCAAACAGAACTTGTCAGGTAATTTTGCTATTGATTTTGTTTTTTAAAACCTCAAGGAAGACATGTTTCTTATTTTTCATTTTGGTAACACAGGCTTAATAAGCTCAGGCATGATACATTTCAAAAGCCACTTTCTCACATTCCCCAAAATTCAAATAGTTAGAAATGTGATGTTAACTTTATACATTAGCTCATCATTTTCAAGTATTTTTTTTCTTGAACTCTTGTTTGACCCCTTAAATGTTACCAAAATTGGAAACCATAAAAAAGTATTCAATTCCCATGTCCCATATTCCATATCATGTACTCAGAGATATAAAGCAAAGCGTCATGCCATGGAAACGTACAGAGGGTGGGAACTTTATTTATTTATTTATTTATTTATTTATTTATTTATAGACCGGGTTTTGCTCTTGTTGCCCAGACTAGAGCGCAATGGCACTCACTGCAACCTTGGCTCATTGAAACCTCCGTCTCCCAGGTTCAAGCAATTCTCCTGCCTAAGCCTCCCGAGTAGCTAGGATTACAAGTGCGTGCCAACACGCCTGGCTAATTTTGTATTTTTAGATGGGGTTTCATCATGTTAGCCAGGCCGGTCTCGAACTCCTGACCTCAGGCGATCCACCCGCCTAGGCCTCCCAAAGTGCTGGGATTACAGGTGTGAGCCACCATGTCTGGCCGAGAATTTTCTTCAAACATTTGTGGTTCTGATTCTATATGTTAAATACCATTGATGAGGATGTGCAGATAAAAGATGTTTGAACAACTGCAAGAGAATCATTTATAGTTGATAAGCATAGAAAATGGAAATAAGGCTCATAAAATATTAGAACTAGAAGGGGAATTTACGTCGCTATTCCATCATTTTCATTTAAAGATAATACAATTCCCCCAAAAAGGTAAGGTAGTTTGTATAGTGAAGGGGCTGAAGTAGGACTAAAACTTTAACACCTCCCACTGTGAAACATCTTTTCCAAAACGACATCTCGTACATTTCAACTGATCTTCTTAAGAACATATAAAACAGGAAATATCCTACAAGCCAGCAATATTACTAGGCAGCTACCCAGTCCACTGCACACAGCCTGGGACATAGTCACTACTGGGAAAACAAGAGGGAAAATATCATAGCTCCCTCTGTACGGCCATTATCACAGAGAAGTGCTCAGGTTTAGAAAAGCATTTTCATATATACGATCTCATCGAGCTATTCCAGCAATCCTAGAGATTAGTAGATGTTATTATTCCTGTTTTCAAAAGAGGATAGCCCAAGGATCAGAGAGAAAAAGAGAACTTTCTAGGGTTACTCGGGCAGTAAATGGAAGAATTGGAATTTGGAAATCAAACATTTTGCTCCAAAGCTCTAGCACTTTGCATGACATTAGGAAGAAAACACAAAAGGTGAAAGGTCTTCCCTTCTAACACCAAGCAGAGATTATATGGGCCTATTAGATTACCAAAAATTAGGTCATGGCTACAATTACAATTGAAAAGCCAAGCTCTAATACCCTTTTTTGCCATCTACTTCTCCATTTAGGATAGGTTTCATTCACTTTCCTATAAATATTTTTCAAATATTCAAGACACACTGATATGAAGTTCAGGCAAGAGGGACAAGGGAGGGAGGGAGGGAGAGAGGGGAGGGAGGAAGGCAGGGAGGGAAGGAAGGGAGGGAAGGGAGGGAAAGGAAGGAGGGAAGGGAGGGAAGGGAGTGAGGGAGGGAGGAAGGGAGGAAGGAAGGGAGGAAGGGAGGGAAGGAGGGAGGGAGAGAGTCAGGTAGAAAGGAAGGAGGGAGGGAGGGAGGCAGGTAGGAAGAAAGGAGGGAAGCAGGTAGGAAGGAAGGAGGAAGGAGGGAGGGAGGGAGGGGGGCAGGGAGGGAAGAAAGAAAGGAAAGGAGGGAGAGGGAGAAGGAAGGGGAGGGAGGGAAAGAGAATGGATCAGGGGTTCTCTGCCAAGAGCTTACAGTTGCATTGAAGAAACTAGTTTATCCACAAATGTCCATATTAGAAGGCAGACTACATGTAGGTAAGACACACAAGATGTTCGAGAAAAAAGCAAAATGAGAGAGAGGAAAGAGAGAAAGTAGCTGAATAGAGAAATCAGAGAGAGCTATATGGCGACAGAATTGAGAAGGCCTTAAATGGAGAACAAGTATTTAACATATTTACAACATGAGCATAAAGATATAGAAGGAACTCTGCAATGTGCAAGTGTACTTGGCAAACACGAGTGTTCTTTAAGGTAAAAATAGAGTAAGAGCAGACTCAAAGGGTCAGCTGTGGTCAGACAATGCAGGTGTGCAAACCAAGGCATATAAGGAGATTGGCTCTTACCCAAGGTGCTGATATCTAAAGGATAAACACATTCCCCATGACGAAGGAGAGAGTGGGCAGGGGTAATTGTATCTTGGGACTTAGTGTTGATGTGGGAACAAACACATGGTATGAATCACACATATTTCAGGCTGAGCACAGACAATTTATATTAAAACACTCCCAGCAGAAATTCCTATTTTTAGGAAAAAGGTTGCCATTGATAAAAAGTGAGTGAGAGACCGTATCAGAAAGCTACTGATTTCACCTTAATCAGAAATGAACGTGATTCCACAGCACAACAAACAAGGGTTATTGGAGCACGTACACATTTCTGCCTTAGACCCAGGGAATACAATGCAACAGACTGCTATGACAAGACTTTTACTTTGCTAGGTGGAGGCTGAAGAAAGTCTAAAGGAGGCAAGGAATAATGTCGTCTCAAGCTTCACTATTCTTGTCTCAACTTAAAAATCATTTCTATACCCCAGAATTCTGCTCATGTCTCATTTCAGGCTTTCTTATGAAATGTTCCTTTTTTCAAAAAATATTCAGAGTCAAATAATAATCAAATGTCTACTATTTACTCAGTGACAGTTTAGTACCTCGTATTAAAGAAATGAGACAGGCCCGGTGCAGTGGCTCACGCCTCTAATCCCAGCACTTTGGGAGGCCAAGGCAGGCGGATCACAAGGTCAGAAGTTTGAGACCAGCCTGGCCAACATGGTGAAACCCCATCTCTACTAAAGATGCAAAAAAAAAAAAAAAAACAACAAAAAAAAAATTAGCCAGGCATGGTGGCACACAACTGTAATCCCAGCTACTTGGGAAGCTGAAACAGGAGAATCGCTTGAACCCAGGAGGCGGAGTTTGCAGTGAGCCGAGATCATGCCATTGCACTCCAGCCTGGGCGACAGAGTGAGACTCAAAAAAAAAAAAAGAAAAGAGAGAGAGAGAGGAAGGAAGGAAGGAAGGAAGGAAGGAAGGAAGGAAGGAAGGAAGGAAGGAAGGAAGGAAGGGGACAAAAAAAAATGAAAAGTTGAATTACTCACTTCCAACTTTCCTTTTCACCTCTCCCTTGTTCCAATGTGAATGTTTTTCTTTATGGGACGGGTCCACTTAAGCCGAGTTTACAGTCTCTACTGTCAACTGCAAACTCTGTCAGTGCCAAAAAGAATCCCACCTGTTGTTCAAACTTAAAGTAAAATATATGCCTAACCAGGTTAAGATAGAAAGGATTAAACTGGATGTGATGTTTGACCAAGTCGTATACTCTTAGTTTTAGTGTCTTCTTATGAAATAAGGGAGCAATAATACCAACCCCACAGGGATATTTTGGAGACCAGGTGAAATAAGGTAGTAGAAATCATGTGTCCACTAGAATGCTAAGCATACGGTAAGTCTTCTGCACATGTTTTCTGGTGGTATGTTGTGTATAAAAGAGGATTACAGGATTATACTTGGTGTGTTATAAGAGAATTTGCAGCTATTAAATAAAAAGCCCTTGGTCTCAGGTGAAGCTAGATTTTGGTGGCCAAAGATACGTCCTAAAATAAGAAAATACTGGAGTTTTGAAAGGAAGCTAGCAACCTTTGAGGACAGAAGCACCTTCGATATCCATGAACATAAGATTTTCCTAAGCCCCCTCCTAGATTTACCAAATCTAAACCTTTGAAGGCAGGGCCTAATAATTGGCATTTAACAAACCCATCGGCCTCACCCCAATTCTTGTCCATGCTAAATTTGAAATCTGCTGGCCTAGAATTTGGTTGCCAGTTGCTAATCCAAGTGCTAACAATAACTGGAACAATTTAATTAAAATCCCACAACTCTGAACACATTAAAGAATTCTTTACTAATGTATTCTAACCCAATTCCAGGGGACAAGGAAAATACTTTTCTCTCATTCGACAGTTTCTGTGTTCTCACCCGCAGTGCCAACAGAGAAAACACAATCTACTTCACTTCTCCTCATCTGTCGAAATGGCAAAGACGTTTACCACCTCGAAGGAGTGCGAGTTTCCATTTACTGGTGTTAATAAAGTCTTCTGAGTGTTCTCATAAATCAACTATAAGTTGGCATTATTCATAGCACCCTGTTGGAGCTTAATACATATTCAATTAAAAAACAATGACAACAATACAGCAATATCCACAAATTAGCATTAATTATAGCAATGCATTATTCTCACCCTACTGCTACAATTTTGTCTAGGCAGAGCTGTTTATGTCTGGAGACTGTATAGTCCCTTTCATTAACAAAGGGCAATATTTGCTCATTGGTATCAACATTTCCTCTAGTAACATTCACATCACACCTGCTTCAAAGTCCTCATTTTTTTCCAAAGGATTCTTCCATTTGCCACATACTAGGACAGGAAGGATATGTATTCTCCCTGAAGAAAGTCACAATCCTGCCAAGCATCCTGGACTCTTCTCTTTCCCATAAGCCCCCTCTTTCCAAATTGCTTTTGATTCTTGTTCCCCTTCTCCATGGTCATGGCCACCACCTTGGTTAAGGTCCTTGTCTGCCTCAATGGACCCCTGAAGGTGACTCCAAGACACTCTGTCATCACCATTTCTGATCACTTGAGTACCACTATGTTATAGCAATCCATCTAAATACAGATCAAATCATTTTATTTACTAGCATAAAAGGCTCTTTATCGTGTCCTAATGATATAGCCTTAGATTGGAAAAATCTCCCAAATGCCATCACAACTATTAAAGAAAAATTATTTATTTGAATTGGGGGAGTAGCTATAAAGCAGTCAGGGAAACTTTTACCAAGGACAGAAACTGAAGCAAAAGGAACAGCTTAAGCAAAAAGCTGCAAAGCTATGTGTCTCTTTATCTTAGTTCAGGTTTCAGCCTTTTCCAGGGGGCAACGATCTGGTAGTTGGCCAAGTTCCCCACTAAATATGAAAGAACATCACCATTCCCTTCCCTGCCTTCCCCACCTCCGCCACCCATCCGCGCTTCTCTGGGGCACCACAGCTTATCTTGCTATACAAGGTTTTGCTGACTCTGGTCTCCTGTTCTGCATGAGCCTTTCACATGCATAGTTGAGGTTGAGGAATCTGTGCCTAGTGGGTTTGAGGTTTCATCAAGAGAAAAACGGGAAACTTATGTGATTTCACTGAGTAACTATTTTCACTACAAAAAAAAAAAATTCCCATATTTATTTTTTCCCCCTTTCGAAATGGCACTAAGGAAACACATGCCAGACTGCCATGAACAGAGGCTGTACTTTCCAAACAGTAGCAAGGACTAAAAATAGAAAAGCTTGATTTGCTCAAGATGTATATAACTTCCTCTCCCATTTCCTCTCCCCACCACCCTGAGTCAGTATACAGAAGCAGTGCACAATGAACCCTTTGCATGCTTACAACAACCCCAAAAGCATCAAAAGGGTGATAAGTATACAGACTTCATAGTCCTTTCCCAGAGAATTCCTATTGCACAGTCGAAGAAAGAATAGATCAATCAAGCCACAAATATCAATCAAGTAGCTATTCTATCTTCTCGCAATAAAATAAAGGTTATGGGCCGGGCGTGGTGGCTCATGCCTGTAATCCCAGCACTTTGGGAGGCCGAGGTAGGTGGACCACGAGGCCAGGAGATCAAGACCATCCTGACTAACACAGTGAAACCCCGTCTCTACTAAAAATACAAAAAATTAGCCAGGTGTGGTGGTGGGCGCCTGTAGTCCCAGCTACTTGGGAGGCTGAGGCAGGAGAATGGCGTGAACCCGGGAGGCGGAGCTTGCAGTGAGCCGAGATTGCGCCACTGCACTCCAGCCTGGGCAACAGAGCAAGACTCCATCTCAAAAAAAATAAAATGAAATGAAAATAAAGGTTATGGGTGATACAGAAATATGGGTTGTGATCCTGCCTTCAGGCAATTGCTAAAATAAATGAACAAGAAGGTAATGGAAAGAGCAGAGGCCTGGGAGTCCAGAAATCTCTAGTTGTGGTTAGGACCAGCTCTCCTAGTAACTGTGTCACCATGAACAGTTCACTTAAGAAATTTAGGCTCCAGTTTCCTCATCACAAGAAAGGGCAGAGGGGTTAGGACCATGTCAAATCTGGTGCTCTACGATTTGTGATTTTAAATAATTTCTACAAGTCTCCCATGTTATTTTATGATTCTGGCTTATAAAATAAAGTTTGGTGGCAAGATTAATGTACATGCAATGATTACATTACCCCACAAAAGGGTATATATTAAGTGGCAGAAAAAATCAAACAGCATTAATAAATCTATTTATTAACTGACTCATAGTAGCCTTTACTCTGAACCAGCAGTTGTTGGATACTCTACATTATCTTAATTAGTCCTCAAAATAACCTTCTAAAAATTGTTATTAATATCCTCATTTTTGCATGTAAAGATGGGAAATGCAGTGATAAGCAACAGAGCAGGGTTTCTTAGCCCTAAACCCTGGGCTCATGCCACCACATCACATGACTCAATCAAAAGACTGAGGATGCAGAGAAGAGAGAGATCAAGATGATCCAGTTGTCAGACACGTATGAGTAAAATAGTAGAGTTAGGCTTCTAAAAATGAGGATATGAGGGTTCATCAGGTATTGAGAAAGACACAAGAAAAATTGGCTTGGCATATGAAGCTGACAATGACGATATGAGCTTCAAAAGAGCAAGGACTGTATAAAAAGGACAGTGGGAGATACAGTGTGCTACATAGGATGAGGTAGGTCATAGAGTACTCTGAAAAATAAACCAAGAGGAGAAATTTAATGTGGAAAAGCCAAAGGAAGAAAATAATATTTTTTAAACCACTAAGTGGTTACAGATATGCAGTTGGAATGTGAAAAAGATAGAATGAAGGCAATGAGTAGGTTGTAACCCAGAAGATATGAACTAGGATGATGGGCAAGAAAATAAAGAGATTGAAATAATCCTGTAAGCCTTGGTGATAGATATACAAAGAAAGCAAGATATATCATCAATGAACACGATTTAGTTGGCAAGACTAGAAAATATAATGGTATGTCTAACAGAATGTAAGCCTTTGAGTAAGATGATGAGTAGAATTAGGGATACATTGAAAGTGAAAAGGCAGGTGTTATCTATGAAAAGATCTCATGGATAAATGAAACAAAACTTGTCAAAGGAAAACACAGTACCAAGTCACAAGCAGTTCAAATAATTAGATAAAGAAAGATCAAAGTTGATCTTATTAGAGTAGTGACATCTACTGAGAGAAAACGGAAGGTCAAAGTGAGAACTCTGAGTGGGAACCTAAATTTAGAGACAGGGAGAAAGGAGGAGGGGGTGGTAAAGAAGGGAGAAAAGGAATAGTTGCAGGCATGGCAGAGGAATTAAGGAAGTTAGTTCTGCTTAGTAAAAATCGAAGGAAGTGAAAGGGATTCTGAGAATATGGCAAAGCAGGAGGCACCACAAATCTGTCTTTCCACCTAGACAACGATTGCACTGCCACCATCTATATCAACAACTTATTTTGGAAGTCCAGAGTCTATTAAAGGAGTCTACTTTCTGGAGGGAAGCTTTAGATGGTAAGTTGTGGTTAATTTAGGTAAAGTTTACATCTCAGCACAATAGCAACTACCTATACCCCACCTCTTAGATCCTTGGCAGGCATCTGTGCACATGTACTTGAAGCAGCTTGCATACAGCTTACATGATCCAAGCTGGGCAAAAAGGACCTGTCTTCCATATATCAAGGATCTGTGGACTGAACATTAATTGCTGCTTTTAATCACACACATAAAGAAAAAGGGGCAACTATCATTAGTGTTGCCCCTCTCACTCCAGCTGAAGTGACTTCCATGGGACTCAAAAGGCCAGTCCTTTTTTTTTTTTTCTTCCTTTATTTTTTACTTTTTCTCATTTTGGGAGACAGACCTTGATAACCAGGGCATTTGAAAACAACAGAGGAAATGAGAAAGTCATGGCACATAACCAGGGAAACATGCAGGCTCAGAAAATACTTAAGACCACAAGTTAACAAAAAAAGCTAATACTTAGCACAGAGACTGGCAACAATAACCCCACAAAATACAAACGGTAACAGTAAACCTTGGGGAAGAGAAAAGGTCTGATTTCCAGGGCTCTACATTATTAGTTTCAAATATGCAATTTTCAACAACAACAAAAAATCAAAAGACATACAAAGAAACAGGATAGCACGGTCTATTCAAAACAAAAATATAAACCAACAGAAACTGTCTCTAAAAAAGACCTGATGGGGGATCTACCTGACGAAGACTTTAAAACTACTGTCTTAAACATGCTGAAAGAACTAAAGGAAGCAAGGAGAAAGTTAAGAAAACAATGCATGAATAAAATGGGAATATCAATACAGAAAAAGAAAAAAAAGCAATTGTGGAAATGAAAATTACAATAACTGAAATAAAAAATTCACTAGAGGAACTCAAAGACAGATTTAACAGCAAAAGAAAGAATCAGAAAACTTGAAGAGAGGTCAAAGTAAATTAATTAGTCTAAGAATCAGAAAGAAAAAAGATTGAAGACAGGTGAACTGAGCCTAAGAGACCTGTGGGACACAATCAACTATACCAAAGTATGCAGCATGGAATTCCCAGAAGTATGAGACAGAGAGAAAAGGCAGGGACAATACTTGAAGAAATAATCACCAAAAACTCCCCCAAATTTGATCAAAGCCAAGAGTATAAACATCCAAGAAGCTCAAAAAAGTACAAGTAAGATGAACTCAAACAGACAAATAGTGAGGCACCTTCTAATTAAACTGTCAAAAGACAAAGACAACCGGAGAATTTTGAAAGTTGCAAGAGAGGTGACTCATCACATACAAGGGATCCTCAATAAAATTATCCGGTTTTCTTAGCAGCAGCCTTAGATGCCAGAAAACAGAGGGCCAATATATTCAAAGTGCTAAAAGGAAAAAAAATTATCAACCACGAATCCTACATCTGGCAAAATTTTATTTTAAAAGTGAGAAAGAAAATCAAAATGCCAGTCATGAAAAAAAAAAAAAGAGGTGAGAGAGTTCTTTATTACTGTTAGATTTCTCCTGCAAGAAATGCTAACAGGAAGCCTGCAGGTTGAGAAGAAATGATACTACAGAGTAACTCAAAAATCATACAAAGAAATACAGATGTCAGAAAAGGCAAATAGGCAGACGCTTATAAGAGCTAACATCATTGTAATCATGATGTGTGACTTTACTTTTTGTTTTCTACATGATTTAAGAAACTAATATTTTTTTAAATTACAAATTTAAAATCTCATATTATTGTAATTTGATTGGTAAGCCCAATTTTGTTTTCTACAATTTAAGAAATGAGTGTATTAAATTATTAGCTTATGTTGTTGTGTACACAATGTATAAAGATGTAATTTTGTTACATCAACAACTGAAAAAGGAACAGAATTTTGTATGTTATCTAAGTCAAGCTGGTATGACTTCAAATTAGAGTGTTATAACGTTAGGATGTTAAATGTAACCCCCATTGTAACCATAAAGAAAATAGCTACAGAATATACACAAAAGAAATCAGGTAGGAATTTAAATATTTTACTACAAAAAATCAATTGAATACACAAAAAAAATTATATAGGAAATAAAGGACAAAGAAACTATAAAGCATATAGAAAATAAATATAAATGGTTTTATAATCTTATAAATTTTATAAGGGTTTGACTTACAATTTTTTTACCATATGATGGTGTAAAAGTGATACACATTCATTAAACACGATACTTGAAGCATCTATTCTGTCTTTCACTTTCAGTAGAACATACAATAAAATACATAAGATAATTAAAGCTTTATTATAAAATAAGCTTTATATTAGGTGATTTTTTTCCAACTGTCTGCTAATGCAAGTGTTCTGAGTATGTTTAGAGTAGGTTAGGCTAAACCATGATGTTTGGTATGTTAGGTATATTAAATGCATTTTAAATTTACAATTATTTCAACTTAAGACAGTTTTAGTGGGACATAACCCCATCACAACTTAAGGAGCATCTGTAGGAAAATAAGAAGTAATTCTCTACTTATCAATAATTACTTTAAATGTAAATGAATTAAATTCTCTGGTCAAAAGACGGGTTGGCAGAATAAATTAAAACACATAACCCAAATATATGTTGTCTACAAGAGACTTTATATCCAAAGACACAAACAGTTTAAAATGAAAGGACAGAAAACACCATTTCATGCAAATAGTAACCCACAAAAAGCAGACTAGCAAAATATCAGAGAAAATAGATTTTAAGTCAAAAAAGGCTAAAAGACAAAAAAGAGATGAAGAACATTATATTAATAAGAGGCTCAATACATCAAGAATATGTAACAATTGTAAATGTATACACACCTAATAAAAGATCATCAAAATATATAAACCAAAAATTACCAGAATTGAAGGAAGAAATAGACAGTTGTATAATAATAGAGATTTCAACGTCCAACTTTTAACAGTGGATAGAACAGCCAAACAATAGGTAAGTCAGGAAATAGAGGACTTGAACAACAATTGAATACACCTTCTTCTCATGTGCACATGGGACATGTTCCAGGATAGAACATGAATAAGCCCATAAACTAAATAAGGGTCAATAGATTTGAAAAAGTAGATGTCATACAAAGTATCTTCTCTGAGCACAATGGGATAAAAATAGAAATAAATAGACATAAGTAAAACTGCAAAATTCACAAATTTGCAGTAATTAAATAATATACTTGTTTGTTTTTTTTTTTAATGGAGTCTCACACTGTTGCCCAGGCTGGAGTGCAATGGCACGACCTCAGCTCACTGAAACCTCTGCTTCCTGGGTTCAAGCGATTCTCCTGCCTCAGCCTCCCGAGTAGCTGGGATTACAGGTGCCCACCACCACGCCCGGCTAATATTTTGTTTTTTGGTTTTTGTTTTTTTTGAGATGGAGTCTTCCTCTGTCACCCAGGCTGGAGTGATCTCGGCTCACTGCAACCTCCGCCTCCAGGGTTCAGGCCATTCTCCTGCCTCAGCCTCCCGATTAGCTGGGACTACAGGTGCCCGCCACCACGCCCGGCTAATTTTTTGTAATTTTAGTAGAGACAGGGTTTCACCGCGTTAGCCAGGATGGTCTCGATCTCCTGACCTCGTGATCCACCCGCCTCGGCCTCTCAAAGTGCTGGGATTACAGGCGTGAGCCACCACGCCCGGCCAATATTTTGTAATTTTTAGTAGAGATGGGGTTTCACTATGTTGGCCAGGCTAGTCTTAAACTCCTGTCCTCGTGATCCTCCCACCTCGGCCTCCCAAAGTGCTGAGATTACAGGTGTGAGCCACTGCATCCAGCCAATAATATGCTCTTTAACAAACAATGGATCAAAGGAGAAATCACAAGGGAAATAGAAAAATACTTAAAAATGAATGAACATGAAAGAAAACATACCAAACGTATGGGAAACAGTGAAAACAGTGCAAACGAGGCAATTTATAGCTATACACCATTAAATTTAAAGATAAGAAAGACGTCAAACCAACAACCTAAATCTACAGATTGTGAAACTTGGAAAAAAAGAAAGAAAAAACCATACCCAAATCTACCAGAAGGGAAGAAATAATAAAGATAAGAGTAGAAATAAGTAGAATGGAGAATAGAAAAATAATAGAGAATACTAACAAAATCCAACAGTTCTTAAAAAAGATCAACAAAATTGACAAACCTTTAGCTAGATGAAGTGAGAGAGAGACAGAGAGAGAAGACTCAAACTACAAAAGACAAAAATAAAAGTAGGGGCATTACTAACAATTCTACAGAAATAAAAAAGATTTAAGAGAGTACTATGAGCAAGTGTGTGGCAAAAAATTCGATAACCCAGATGACAGGGAAATTTTCAAGAAACACAAAATGCACCAAGACTAAACCACAAATAAAAAATCTGAATATGCTATGAATACTAAGAAGATTGAATCAGTATCCAAAATCTGAGTAAGAAAAAATCTGGAACCATGGCTTCACTAGTAAATTCTACCAAACATTGATACATGAACTAACAACAATTATCCTCAAATCTTTCCAAAAAATTAAAAAGAAGGAAACACTTCCTAACTCATTCTGTGACATCAAAGTCCGACAAAGATACTACATGAAAAGTACAGAACAATATCCCTAATAAACATTGATGCAAAATCCTCAATCAAATATCCCAAGTCAAATTTAATAGCATATTACAAGTTTGATATATCATGGCCAAGTGAAATTTATTATTGTAACGAACGGATACTCAACAAACAAATCAAGGTTATATATTATATTAACAGAATGGAAAAAAAGTTATCTTCTCAATTGACACAGAAAAGCATTTGACAAAATTCAATATCCTTTCATAAGAAAAATATTCAACAAACTGGGAATAGAAGAAAACTATCTCAACATAGCAAAAGCCACAGATGGAAACCCACAGAGAAAATCATACTCAATGATAAAAGACTGAAAGCTTTTCCTCTAAGATTAGGAATACCAGCTTTTGCCATAACAATTTAGTGTAATACTGGAAGTCCTCATCAGAGTAATCAGGGAAGAAAAAAAAATAAAGGTGTCAAAATTAAAAAGAAAGAATTAAATCATCTCTTCTTGTAGATGACATAATCTTATATGTAGAAAACCCTAAAGATTGGACACAAAGACTATTAGAACTAAATAGTGAATTTAGCCAAGTAGAGCATATAAAGTTACTACACAAAAATCACTTACATTTGTATCAACAATGAACAATTCAAAAAGGAAATTAAGCAAATCATTCCATATACAATAGCATCAAAAAATAAAAGACAAAATACTTAGAAATTAACGTGAATAAATAGTTAAAAGCCTTGAACAATGAAAACTTGAATACATTTCAGAAAGGAATTAAAGAAGACATAAATAAATGGTAGACATCTCATGTTCATAGAATGCAAGACTTAATATAACTAAGATGTCAATATCAACCAATATGATATCCAGACTTAATGCGGTCCCGATCAAAATCCCAGTGACATTTTTTAAAAAGTAGAAAAACCTATCCTAAAATTCATATGGAATATGAAATGACCTAAAATAGGCAGAACAATCCTGAGTAAAAAGGAACAAAGGTGGAGGACCGACACTTCCTGATTTCAAAAATTAATACAAAGCTAAAGTAAGCAAAACAGTGTGCTATTGGCATAATAACACATAAGAGACAGTCCAGAAATAAACCCTCAGATATATGTTCAAGTCACTGCCTACAAGGGCACCAAGATCATTTAATACAGGAAGGACAGTCTTTTCAACAAATGGTGCTGGGAAAATTTAATATCCACACACAAAAGAGTAAGGGTGGACTCTTTCCTAGCATAATTATAAAAGTTAACTCGAAATGGATCCATGACCTAAAGGTAACATCTAAAATTGTAGATTAGAATAAAACATATGCAAAAGCATCATGACATTGAATTTGGCAACGAATGTCTTAATATGACACAAAAGGCACAAATAACACAAGAGACAAATTGAATTTCATAAAAATTAAAAATCAAAAGACAGTATCAATGGAGTAAAAAGGCAATCTTCAAAATGGGAGAAAGTATTATCAAATCATACCTGATAAGGGATTAATATTCAGAATATATAGAGACCTTACAAAACTCAAAAAGAAAAAAAAGTCAAATTCAAAAATGAATAAAGAACTTGAATAGACATTTCTCCAAAGAAGATATATATATACAAATGGCTAATACATACATGAATAGATGCTCAAAATCAGTAATCATTAGAGAAATGCAAATCAAAACTACAATGAGCTATCACTCTGCACCCATTAGGATGGCTATTATCGAGACAAAAAACAGTGTCGGCAAGGACGTGGAGAAATCAGAACTCGTGTGCTGTTGTGAGGAATGGAAACAGTACAGCTGCTGTGGAAAATGGTATGAATGTTCCTCAAAATATTAAAAATAGAACTACCATGTTATCTAGCAATTCACTTCTGGGTATATACTCAAAATAACTGAAAGCAGGGTCCAAAAGAGTGATTTCTACACCCATACTTATAGCAGCATTATTCCCACAGTAGGTAAAATGGGGAAAGAACCCAAATGTCTATTAACAAGAACGGATAAGCAGAACATGACATATATATAGCATGACATATGCTACAACATGGATAAACTTTGAGGACATTATGTTAAGTAAAATAAGCCAGTTGCGAAGACAAATACAATCTGATTACAATTTTACCATGTGCTCGTGAAGTTAAAATCTTAGAGACAGAGAGTAGAATGGTGGTTTCAGGGGCTGGCTGAGAGTGGAATGGGGGGTTATTGGTGAAGCGGTATAGAGGTTCAGTTTTGCAAGATGAAATGAGTTCTGAAGATGGATACTGGTGACAGTTGCAACAATATGAATGTACTTCATCATATTGCTACTGAACAGAACATTAAACGGTGAAGATAGTAAATTTTATATTATGTGTATTTTACCATAATTTTACAAGCTGGGGGGGAAAAAAAAGAACATAGGAGGTTCAAGTCATCAAGAGTTGTGCCTGCCTGGAGGAGGTAGAAGACGCTGTCAGAAAAAGAACAATTGTTGCAGAATCAGAGGTGGTAAACCCATGCAACAGCCATTTCCCTAGTACTGAAATGAGCTAGTTCATGTTGGGACTGTTGCTTAAATCCTCATTATAGCAGAAACACAGTGGGTGTTAAGGGGAGGAGAGAGGGTCTCATTTAATGAATCTGTAACTCTATGAAAATACTTCTATATAGTTGCCGTGGCCCAAAACTGGTTTCTATCCCCACTGGGCAAGAAGAGAATTACTAAAGTGACACTGTATGACTTTCAATGAGCTAAAAGGAAATGAAAACAATCCTCTAGACACATCTCTACTTATAAAATGGCTTGATATAAAATGATAATAAAAATGATGAAGTCTTCTGAACATGCACAGTGAAAAACTCTTCTGGTTGCTGTATTTTCTGTTCAATTGTTTGATCATCTCTCCATGAAATACCTAACTCTAGCTGGCCAGACACTCTATGAAGTTCTGACACTGAACTTTCACTCTGAAGTGCGTATATTTTAGAAAGTGATGGCTTGAATCACTAAATCTCTATTCAGGGGATAGTTTCTCATTCTCTTTTCAATATACACCATACCATCAAATACACAATTTAAAAGTTATGCAATTATTCATTGCTCTAAATATGGGGATGACATAATTTCTAATGGAAAGAATTAAAGCTCACGAATAATGAAGAAAATACTAAAATTTTATTTTTTAAGATAAATCCTTCACTTGTTTAGAAATGCTATGAATGTCAAAAAGCCCAGAAGGCAGGACATGTGGAATTATCATACTATCATACCACCTCTACGGCTAGACACTGAGATTCGACTCTGAGGCTTGATCTACCCCAAATCACATCCTGATGTGTCATCTACAGTTCAGAGAGGAAGTGGCTGTAGGATAGATTCACACTCCTTTAATCCCCAAGGGAACGACAGAAACTATCAGGAAAGAAGGGAATTTATTCATTTTTTAAGCCTCTCATAAACCAAATTTTTATTTCAAAAAAAACCACAAAACTTATATTTCTTATAATATGAATGCTCTCATTCTTGTATCAATCCTGTATTCCTTAAAAAAAAAAATGCCACAGAAACTTTTTTTCCACTAGTTGGCAAAATTTAACTTATTTCCGTAGTAAGAAAGATTGACATTGACATCTTTACTAAATTTCATTAGTAAAATACAAATAAAACTAACTAAAAATTATGAAAACATTTCCATTTAACAGGTCTGTACACAGTTTTCCTGTATTTTCCACCACAGTGCTTTCTTCCAATATGTAGAGATACATTTTTTAAAATCTGAAGACAATATTACAATAGAGGATCCTGCAACAGAACTGGTGACAGCAAATAATGAAACTACTGGGAAAGGAAAGTGACAACTGCTGTTTTGTTTCCTTCACTAAAAATGAATATAAAGGGAGAGTAACAATACAGCAGCGATGGCAATGGAGAGAGAAATGGACTGGCACGTCTCAGAGAGCTTCATCCCTGCCTGGGACAGTTAATGCCATGGAAACCTGGAATGCTGCTTAACCTCAGAGCCCCAGAGCCTTCACTGATACAAGATGGAGAATCCTCCCTACCTTTCCCTTTGCAGAAGTTGTCTAAAGGTTCAAGTGAGATAAAGTATATGAAAGTCTTTTATTAAAAAAAGCAATGTTTGCTGGGTGCAGTGGCTCACGCCTGTAATCCCAGCACTTTGGGAGGCTGAGGTGGGCAGATCACGAGGTCAGGTGTTCGAGACCAGCCTGGCCAACATGGTGAAACCTTGTCTCTACTAAAAAAAATACAAAAATTAGCCAGGTGTGATGGCACGTGCCTGTAATCCCAGCTACTCAGGAGGCTGAGGCGGGAGAATGGCTTGAACCCTGGAGGTGGAGTCTGCAGTGAGTGGAGATCATGCCACTGCACTCCAGACTGGGCAACAGAGCAAGAAGACCCTGTCTCAAAAAAAAAAGACGTCAATTTTGAAATTTGCAGGCTAGGAGGCCCTGTACAAGTCAAACTCACAGAAGTTAATGATAAAATAATGATAATAATAGCTTAACCCCTCAAGGATTGGTATAAACACCCCATGCTATAATATATTTTAAGTTATATAGTAAGAGTACAAAAATGCTTGACTTTTGAATGGATCAAGTGAAATCAGCTATGAACAGAAAACCTTCCTAAGACACTAGGGTTTCAAAGTACTATATTCAGAGATAAAATATGAGTTAGTGCCCTAGGTTTTTGGTGTCAGCATCCTCTACTCCCTTTCACTCCTTCTTTCAGAACAAGGTGTTTCTGTGCCCCTGTTGATTGGATTATGTAAATTACAAAAGAACCGAAAGATTTGTGGGCCCAATAGGGCTTTCGTACCAAATCCATGGATAAAAGGTATGTGATACAATCAACAAGGGGTTTGTCAGAAAATATGCTAGAGGCCAGGATGGAAGATGTGCTAATCTTCCACTAAAAAATTACAAAGAAAACTACCTCGGAGGTTCATGGTTACTAAACATCAACATATATTATTGACGACAATGGCTGCTTTTTGAGGATTTAAGAGTATCCACATTCTCTCATTTGTAAAAAGTCACCGAAATGATTTTGTTATTGTCTATTTAAAAATAAGTAACTGCTTTCATGACAATTATGAGATCTAAACAAGTTCCTTCAACTCTTGGATCCTCATTTTTATTTCATTAGTTAAATTATACTTGTGCTGTTATAATGTATTTTGCAAATTATAAATCACCATGAAATTACAAAGAAGTGATATTTTATTACCAAGGCACTGAATTTTAGAGCTGTAAGAGAGCTACATGATTATTTAATTCAATCATTCATTTTATAGAGGAAGTTTGTGGGAGTATTTCTTCTGCAAAAAAAAATATATATATATTTATAAATATATATATTATATATTTATAAATATATATAAATAAATATAAATATAATATAAATATATAATAAAATATAAATATAAATATATAAAAATATATAATAAAATATAAATAAAATATATATATATATATATAAAATCCTGAACCTTATAATAGCAAGGGATGGGATCACGGGTTAACTCTGAGGAGGCATGGTGCAAATCAAATGTCAGTGACAACTATGGCAAAACCCAGCACAGAGACCTGCTAGCCCAAAATATCACAACAGTGAAAATATTTACTAAGTTTTAGGACATGTCAATTACATAAAATATTCTTTATGTGCATTATGTCTTTGAAACCTCACAACAATCAATCACCCATTTTACAGAGGATTTAAGTGGGCCACAGAAAGGTTGAGCAGCACGTTACAGTCATGCAGCCAGTAAGCAGGAAGCCAGATGTGTACCCAGGAAGCCTGGAAGAGCACTTGCAGTGTTAACCATCGCATTATGCTGTCTCTGAAGCTTTCTTTGGCTTAGATAATGCTATCAGAGAGCACGTTTTCTGTGATGAACTCCTCACAGGCAGCAAAGTGAGTTTGAGATACATAGCAAAAGACACCAGGACCTGAGCAGGACACCAGGAACTGTCATAACAAAAAGGGTGAGGGGTGGGGCAAGGCTCTTTAGAATGGACGTTAGGGGTATTTAATGAAAGTCAGTCAAAAGTGATTTGACTGAAGTGATTTAATGAGTTTATGCTTTCTAACAAAAAGGACTCTGCCACAATTCCCAGCACCGCTGGTGACAGTGTGTCATTGAGAAGCAAAGTCACCGATGAAAACACAATGAGGGAGGAAATCAAAGGGGCTTGAGAATTCAACTAGAGATCAATATACATAAGCGCTGGCCACAGCTCCTGCAGCCCTCACCTGGCATACATGTATGGCATGTAAGGGAGGGGCTTTGCTACCTGCCTATGAATCCCCAAACCATTAGCCTTGAGGACCCAGATTAACCTTGCTGGTCTGCTCTTGACCTGTGCATCTAAGGGCAATTCTTCTGCTGGCCTGCATCCCCTAATTACATATATGGTTGAAGACTGAACGTATATACCCTATGGCCACCCTGCATTTAAATAACTATATATTCCCATTTCAGATAAAAGATAAAGGTTTAAGTGCAAGCTAGCTACCCTGAACAACAGATATCCAGAGCCACTCCTACCAAATACTCTCCCCAAATTCAGTTTTATAGAGCATTTATAAGTCAAAAGCAGACTATCACCACAAAAATTAAGAATATAAAAGGGAAGTAAGCAACAGAAATCCCTCCATGTAGTAGAACTATTGGAAAAAGAAAACTAATATGAAGAATAGAGAAGAAATCCAATTCCATATAGTAGGAGTTCATAAAGAAGAAAAAGGTGAATGAAAGATTAAAATATATTTTCAACATATTATAAGAAAATCTTGACTGGGAGCAGTGGCTCACACCTGTAAACCCAGCACTTTGAGAGGCATCAGGACAGGAGAACTGCTTGAGGCCAGGAGTTCAAGATCAGCCTGGCCAAAATAGCAAGACCCTGTCTCTACAAAAATAAAATAATAATAAATAAATAAATTAGCTGGGCATGGTGGTACACACCTTTAGTCCCAGCTACTTAGGAGGTTGAGGCAGGAGGATCACCTGAGCTCAGGAGTTCAAGAAAGAAAGAAAAGAAAGAAAGGAAAAGAAAAGAAGAAAAGAAAGAAGAAAATCCCATTTACATAAAGAAAACCTTGACTTGAGTAGAAATAGCAGAATAGGTAAAAAGCGAGCTGTGTCTAGACACAGTTTAGTAAAATTGCTGAATCCCACAAATAAAGCCTATAGACCAAACAAGAAAAATTTACTAAACTGGAAAAGGAATCAGACTGGCATCAGATTTCTCATCTGCTGCACTGAATACTAAATGATACTAAATGATAGTGTGCAAATCTTGGTACAATACTGAAGTAAAGCAAATTTGACCCGAGAATTCTACTTATAGCCAAGCTTTTACTCAAATATGAAGGCAATAACAACTCATTTTAGATATACAAAGACTCAGGAAATACATCAAGCATGTAGCCTTCCCATAAAATTACTTAATGAAGTACTATGGCAGAAAAAAAGAACAAAAAAGAGAAGAATCAAGATGATGAATACAAGAAAAAGATAGTAAATAGAAAATAGCACAGCAAACAGGTAAAAGTTACAGTTTATTACTGATGTGGTTATAAAATTTAATGCAAGAAACAATTCTCAAAAGAGATTTGCTATAAAGTTAAAAATGTTACAACATATTCTCCAAATTATTTTAATAGAATGTGGGATGGAGCAGGGAAGAAAAGAATGTTCAAGCATCATTTGGCGTGTTTATTGGGAGCAGGACATATAAGCAGATCATAATTTTTCCCTCATAGAGAAATAAATTTGAAAATATCTAATCTACATCGTTTGATTTTTTTACGTTACTGTTTTTGTTTGTTTGTTTCTTTGAGACGGAGTTTCGCTTTTGTCACCCAGGCTGGAGGGCAATGGTGCAATCTCGGCTCACTGCAGCCTCTGTCTACTGGGTTCAAGCAATTCTCCTGCATCAGCCTCTGGAGTAGCTGGGATTACAGGCACACACGACCACACAGAGCAAATTTTTGTATTTTTAGTAACAATGGGGTTTCATCATGTTGGCCAGGCTGGTCTCGAACTCCTTGACCTCAGGTAATCCACCTACCTCAGCCTCCCAAAGTACTGGTATTACAGGTGTGAGCCACCACACCCGGCTGACATTACTTTCTTATAAGTAGAAAAAGACCCACTACTTTTTTGTAAGTTAAAATAAAAAAAACAATAAGTACATTTCACCTTTGAAGAAACCACTAAGACTCTTGATGGGAGAGACAAATTGGGATAAAACTTTCACTGACTCAAAAAGAACCAACTATAGTCTCACTTAACTTTGAGCAAAGGAAATGTTCTGAAATATGCAAGCATAGTATATTACTCCCTATACAGAAACTCAGGAGCTAAGGCAAAGCTAACCTCATTGGTTATCCCTACATTCAACAGAACTAACCACCATCAATTCCCCACAAGACTTTTTTTTGTCGAGCAGTTAACCAATCTTTCACTGCAGAGAGTATAAATGTGTCACAAATTATTTCAAGGTAGTGGTGGCAGTGGTAATCAGGTTGATATAGGTGAGTAGGTGGGTATGTGTATATGTACACATACTCCACTATCAATCCCAGGGGAAAGTTTTACCTCTTTAAGTTCTTAAAAAGTAAAGAAGAGAAACTATGATATTCCATTAAAAGTTTCCTAATGCTAAATGAAATATTGGAATACTCCCCTGGACTCTAGGTCGGCTACTGTCAAAAGGGTTTTTACAAGTCCAGACAACAAAAATGTCCATCTTCTTATCTGAATAACCAATCAGATGATGATTAAGAGCAAAAAGCAACCAGGAAAACTGTGACATTCGCTTCTAGAAAGTCACAATGACCAGAGCCAGTGACATGCTAAGAGCCTACCCAGCCTTAATAAACACACAATGACCTACATATGTGGACCATAAAAATAGGAGATAATTGCAAAGCAAGCTGCTGCTGCTATTGCTGCTTCTGCTGCTGCTGCTGCTACTGTTGCTGTCAGGGTCACAAACAAGCTACAAATCAACTGGGGTTTGCTGACCCAAAAGGAACTAGGCAAAGGGCCAGGAAGAAATAAGCATCTCAATCATCTCTTTGGTATGTTTTCATGGATCAAGATATCCTTGTATTCTCACCCTTTTGAAAACAAGCATTTTAGAATACATTAAAGCTCTTGCTGACCATGTTGTTTTTGCCCTGGCAACACTGTCCACTACCTCTACTCTTAATCTCCACAGCCGACATCTCTTTTCATACCCAGCCTCCTCCTCCTTTATCACACTAACCGGCAGCAGAAAGACAGACTTTTATGATAAGGTGGTCCAACCCACGTAAAGCCAGTTCAGCTGCCTATTTCTGTGAGTTCATGAATGAATGTGGCCATACTGTAGGTTTGAGTTCCTTATGTCTAAAAATAAAATCCTGTTGTTCTGTACCTGAGACCATGATAGTCCTACATGGAATCACAAGACAAAAATTCCAGTGCCGGCCAGGCGCGGTGGCTCACGCCTGTAATCCCAGCACTTGGGAGGCTGAGGCAGGCGGATCACGAGGTCAGGAGATCGAGACCATCCTGGCTAACACGGTGAAACCTCGTCTCTACTAAAAATAAAAAACTAAAAAAATTAGCCAGGTGTGGTGGTGGGTGCCTGTGGTCCCAGCTACTTGGGAGGCTAAGGCAGGAGAATGGCATGAACCCAGGAGGTAGAGCTTGCAGTGAGCCAAGATCACACCACTGCACTCCAGCCTGGACAACAGAGCGAGACTCTGTCCCAAAAAAAAAAAAAAAAAAAAATTCCAGTGCCAGTTTTGCTAAAACTTGAATTGATTTTCAAATTATCATTGTTAAACTAAACACATAAAATTAGTAAGTAGGAAAATGAGGCCGGGCATGGTGGCTCATACCTGTAATCCTAGCACTTCGTGGGGCCGAGGTGGGCGGATCACCCGAAGTCAGGAGTTCAAGACCAGACTGGCCTGTGTGGCGAAACCCCATCTCTACTAAAAATACAAAAAATTAGCCGGTCTTGGTGGGGCGTGCTTATAAAGTCCCAGCTACTCGGTGGGCTGAGACAGGAGAATCGCTTGAACCCAGGAGGCAGAGGCTGGTCAACAGAGCAAGACTCTGTCTCAAAAAAAAAGAAAAAAGATTATAAGCCACTATTCATCATACACATATATGAGCTTTGAATTGTTTTCACAAGAATAGATGCTCAAGAGCTTTTGGAGGCTGACTTTAAAATAAACAATTTCAGACATTTCTCTACTTTTCCACTAATTCTGGGCATAGCTCATGTTACTCTGTGCTTACTCACTCCTTTGAAAAGTAACATCTTTCAGTAGCTTTACTCATCAACTCCTTGAGACATACAGCACCTATCTCTCTCCTGGCCTGGTCATTCCTCTGACTTTGCATCACTTTTTAAAAGGGGAAAGAAAACCAATATGAGGACATCATAAAGGGACACATTTCTACTCAATAACAAAGAGAAATGTTTAACATTTGAAGTAATCACCAATGGACAAAACCCCTCTGTTTTCTAATGTGGAGGGCCTGGAGTTACATTAGCAAGCCTGGCCATTTTGCAGGACCAAACAGAAAAGGAAAGATGAAAACCAGAGGTATGCAAATACTGAATAGTAGGCAAATGAAAGCAAGCCACAGGACTGGGAAACAAACAGAGAAGCAGAGTTAGAAGTTGTCAACTGGAAGTCACCAAGAAAAGACGAACAAAGATATCATAAAAAGAGGAAGTTAAATATTGAGCCCCTGAATTCAAAGCCATCAGATGTCAGCAGGTAAGTCCCCATGGATCTGAAGGAAGTCTACCAGACAACTCAGAATTGTTTGCATGGGGTTTCCTGCAAGTGCAACATGTTTTGCCTTAATTTATGTTAACAGTATCACTTGGCATCCAACAACAGTTCTGGGGATATCACCCTTATATTTAAAATAATAACAAGCCCCTACAATAAATTGTCAATGGTTTCAGAACAAAGAGTAGGTTCCACAGTTAGAAACACAAGGCCTACCACACTTACTTTGAGCTCTCCTTCCTCTGTGTTTTAATTCTTTTATTTTATTGCTGAAAAATCCACTCACCTATCTGAAAATTAAGGTCCCACCCAGCCATCAAAGTTCAGTTCAATTTAAATTGTTTCTATGAATCCTTCTTGCCTCTCTCCAGTCACAGTTAATTTACTTCCCTCACTCTCCACCACTAACCTAGGACTTAGATTATGCTTCTGATCAATGTATGATGACCAAAGCATAATTTACCATAAAATGACTTAAATGACTGTGTATATGCATCTTCCGAATGTGATTCTGAGTACTGTACTGATCCATCTCCTTATCCTGCAGCACTGCCTCACCTATCATAATTACCCATAAACATTTTGTTATGTAGGAAAAAATTACAAGATTCAAACAATAGAAAGGAACTTGAATGTATTAACTCTAATTCTCTTGCAAGTCCAAAATTCTGAGACACGTGACTTCTTTGTAACTACCTTAAGCAATGTTATATAATACTAATACTTGCCTATGGCCTGGCTGAAAAGAGGAAGAAATTACCAACTGTGGGGTCAGATAAGAATAAAACTAACTGGCCGGGCGCGGTGGATCATGCCTGTAATCCCAGCACTTTGGGAGGCCAAGGCGGGTGGATCACAAGGTCAGGAGTTTGAGACCAACCTGGCCAATATAGTGAAACCCCATCTCTACCGAAAATACAAAAAAATTAGCCAGGCGTGGTGGTGGGTGCCTGTAGTCCCAGCTACTCAGGAGGCTGAGGCAGGAGAATCGCTTGAACCTGGGAGGTGGAGGTTGCAGTGAGCCAAGATCCCGCCACTGCACTCCAGCCTGGGTGACAGAGTGAGACTCTGTATCAAAATAAATAAATAAATAAATAAATAAATAAAACTAACTGACCGTCCCAAGGCTGAGACTCAGAGCATTAAACCTATGATGCCAAGTTTTAAGGCTATAATCACTAGCATATATGTCTACTTACAAGAAGCATTCAATTTACACTGAATGAATGAAGAACAAATGAATTAATAAAGTGATTGCTGAAGTGTCACTACAAACATCACAGGCATGGAGGTCACGTTGATCCTGACAGAAAAGCAAACCAAATCCTTCCCCTGTTTTCCAAGTTGCATCTTCCCACATGAAAATGAGAACTGTTAAACCAAGAATCCTTAAGGCTAAATATTTATTTGCCTTTTTTGAAGAAATAAAAGCTTATAGCATATATCAAAAATTCAGACAGCCAAGCAAAACTCCGGCATCACCTGCTCCTTCCAAATAAAAACGTGTAACCCTCTGCAATGAATCTCAGAGCCTTGAAGTCTGCTAGAGGACTAAAGCAAAACCAAGTTCATGGGCCATCTGGGACAGCAGGAAGAAGGTCAAGGCCAGGAGTCAAGATTTTTCAAATTCAATAAGACCTCTGTCAGAAACCAGAGGATCCATCCCTTCTTGGGTCTCAGTTTCCCCATTTCCAAAAAAAAAAAAAAAAGGAAATTAATTTAGCAAATACTTGAAAGGACTGTAACTAGATGCCTGGCGCCAGAGTTGGACTAAATGATCTCTAAGGTCCCTTTCTGCTCTCAAAATCTTACAACTCTTATAATCACTCTTAGTAGACGTTCTTTTGGCTCTGACCTGAAAATCTGGCTGGAAACATAAACAGTCTTCTGCATAAAAACACACATTTACCAGCTATAATTTGGACTTGGGAACATGAGGTTTTAACCATAGCCGAGAGGAAACTGCGCAGAATTTTCTCCAGTGATCATGCTACTTTAGGCTCTACCATGGCTCATTTCTATAGCTGGTACAAACCTGGGCCAGAGCAGGACCAAGCCGCTATCACATCTAAGTCACTTCTGCACAAGGGGAGGGCATGTTCGTTTTCTTTTGAATGTATCAACAATCTTCCATATGAAGCGTCTCAAAAATAACAGGCCTCTCCCTACCAGATTTGTCCTTTTCCATTTGGCAAACCGTATTTTATTTTTTATCCTCCTCCCTTCTGTTTTACAGAGAACTTAAGCCAACATGACAACAGGCATTTTGTTTATTTCCTTCCTCTTCAAAAACAAAGCCACGGCTTGAGTACATCTAACAGAACAAGGTCCACCTGAAAAAAATTCTTCATTATCTTTTGAAAGCCCCATGGTTGAATTTTTTAATGGAACCCACTGGAAAATCCTTACTAGTCTTCTTACATATTAATAGTGATTATTAATATAACATCAAAATATTTGTATAGCCCTTTCAGTTTAATACTTTCAAATCCATCTGTATTTCATTTAATTGTAAGAGGTATATATATTTGTTTTGTTTCTAATGAAGAGGAAACCGGGACTCAGCATGCATTGCGCAAGATCACACAACTAGAATAATCTATGTAACTAGTTTTCAATCACGAGTCTTCTGTCACTACTTCAAATAACATTGTGAGAACTAAAGATTTAAAATGCAACAAAATAGTTTCTATGACAATCTAAGAGAGGAAACAGAGTCAGTGACTTTAAAAATTGTACATATTAAACAATATGCAAAAAACCAACTTCAGCAAAGTAAGACCAAAGGTATATTAAAGCCAAAGCTAAGGATTTCCTCATTTTATTAAAAAATGACTAAAATTAAGAAAAATCACTCATATTGGTTTTATTTGCCAAAGGTTCTATCTGTTACATAAAATAAATACAAACTTTATAGGACTCTCATTCATCACTGGCATCTGATAGTTGATTTTATTAGTATACACCAAAATAAAATGCAAGAAATTCATGGCCTATATTTGCAATACACATATTTTTCAATAGCCTTAAAAGATCTAGACTCCAGAAACTGAATTGGTACTTACTGGTTACAACTGCAATTTACTGATTTCAAATGATAGATAATATCAAAAGCCTTTTCTACTTCTTAATATCTACTATATGAAAATACACTCCCCAAGAAATCTCTAGAGCTCATTCCCTCCTCTCCTTCTTCAAGTCCTCATTTAAGCGTCGCCTTCTCAGTGGGGCCATATTGATAATGCCCATCCTAGTAGGTAAGCCTTGACCCCCTCCCTGTTTCCCCACTTATCCACTCTAATGTACTTTGTAATGTGCGTATCTTGTTTATTTCCACTAGTCCCACTAACTTTTACGTTCCCTGAGGACAGAGTGGTGTCTGTCTTTTTTGCTATAACATTCCTAGTGCTTGAATAATGCCCACATAGGAATACAGAATATTTGTTGAGCGAATGAATCATTTCTTTCTTTGTCTCCTTCAACCTCAAATTTAGGAGAAAGAAAGGCAAATAATAGAACAAACCATTTAAGCAGTTGTTCCCTAAGACTTTTTCTCTTTTACACTTCTTATTATAGGATATTTTAAACATATACAAAGGTATATGTTTAAAAGACTGTATGCCTATATCAAAATATCTCATGTATGCCATAAATACATATCCTACTTGTAGCTACAAAAATTAAAATGAAAAAATAATACTGTAAAACAAATGATAAAATTAATGAGCAATAATTCAATATATTTTATGTTCCACAAATGATATTAGGTATTTTTTAAAAGGTAGACGGAATAACAGAATAAACTTCCATGCACCCAACAGTTATCAAATCATAACCAACCCTATTTCACCCATGTTCTCACTCAGTAGTTTCCAACCCTTATTATTTTGAAAATAATTACCAGACACCATTCCATTTTTTTTTTTTTTTTTTGAGACGGAGTCTCGCTCTGTCGCCCAGGCTGGAGTGCAGTGGTGCGATCTCGGCTCACTGCAAGCTCTGCCTCCCGGGTTCACGCCATTCTCCTGCCTCAGCCTCCCAAGTAGCTGGGACTACAGGCGCCCGCCACTACGCCCGGCTAATTTTTTGTATTTTTAGTAGAGACGGGGTTTCACCGTTTTAGCCGGGATGGTCTCGATCTCCTGACCTCGTGATCCGCCCGCCTCGGCCTCCCGAAGTGCTGGGATTACAGGCGTGAGCCACCGCGCCCGGCCCATTCCATTTTATCTACAAACATTTCCAATGTTTCTCTGAAAGACAAAGAAGACTCATTTTTTTCTTCAATGTATCTATGCGAACATAGTCACACCTAAAACTATAACAATAATTCTATCACTTTATTAGATTTTCTTCTTGACATAAAGCACTTCTTCAGCTTAAATGGTGGCAGCTTTCGGCAGTTACCGATGATCACAGTCTGAGAACCACTTCTAATGTCACATCTGATCCCAGCCCCGAGTTACTTTGCAATTACCACTCGCTGGAACCCAAGAGTTCTATATAATTGATAAGTATGATGTGCACCCTTGAACTTACCCAGAAGAGAAAATCCTAAGGATATTTGATGTTGCTTTTGCTAGAAAAATGTTGCTGACCAAAAGGATCCACATTAACCAACTACAGCCTTAAAATGTCAGCCTTACTCACTTGAATGCAATGTTTGAAGATAGAGAACATAGCAATAAAAAGACATGGCTGTATGTCCTCCAAAATAACAAGGAAATGTTGCCTTCTCAAATAGTATTCCTAAAAAAAAAATGGCTTTGGGATCTGAAACAAAATTAGTAGGCAAAAGTATTTTGAGGGCTTCAGAGGGTAAGCCAGCAGAACTCTGGGAAGCTTGAGTTGGGTATGTTGCATTAAAGTACCTTAGATCTTCATAAGTTGTAAAGCTCTCAATAGGCTCTGGATAAATGTTTATCCAGCACAGAAACACTCATGAAATTCATGAGCTCCCTAGGATGGCTTATAAACATGACTTTAACTTCAGCTCTTACCTAACATGACTTTAACTTCAGCTCTTACCTGTACTTTGAAAGCCTCTTCATCAAGAGGTGGTGGAGGAGGAAAGTTTCCAGAGATAGATGGAAGGGCACTGGAATCATCTAGAGGTGGAGGTGGGGGTGGAAGAAAATCACCTACAGAAAAGAAGTAAACAACATGAAGTTAATAAGGATGCAACGTTATAGTACTCGTGATATATTTGCTGGCATTTTACTTTTTTATAATTGGCTTTGACACATAATTTTGTGTTGTATAGCAATTATTCCCCATCTTAGTTTAATTAGTAGCCTTAATTAGTAGTCTTAACTTTCAGAAGAAAGAGTATCGGATTTGATATTTAGAAATGGTATAAAAGCTAGTCTAGAGGGGTCAATATATTAAGCAAAGCGAAGAATGAGCTTGGGTGGGAGATAGAGTTACTGAATTTTATACACCTTGGTGCTTGCCCTCAATACATTTTCAATCAAATAGAGGAGGAAGAAAAATTGTACAAAACTAAAGATAACACAAGGTGTAATTTATAAAGATGCATGAATAACCTCTGGAAATTAAGATAAAGTGGAGGATCATGGAAGTCTCAGTGGATCATATAATTTTCCTGAAACATGATGTAGAAGGTACGTCCATCCTTGGTAGAGAGACAGGAGAATGTAGGCATGGCGATCAGAAAGTTCAGAGCATAGAGAATAAAAAGCAAGTCATGACATAGGAAAAACATGGGACACAGGAATGTAAAATAATGCCAGTGAGTTATAAAGATTAGATATGCGATAAAATTAAGGTTTTTACATGTTGCACATCAAAAAAAGGGTTTGAATTTTATCATGCATGCAGCAGAGATCCACCAAGGATTTCTGAGAAAGAAACACTTGGTTACAATACGATTTACTAAAGACTAATGTAAAAGTCCATGCAGGACAGATTAGGAGAAATGAATAAGAAACACCCAATTTAGAAATCTATACATAATCCAGGCAAGAAGTAATGAGACTTTGGGATACCGAGAAAAACCTAGCATCTCTTACCAACAAGAGAAGCACACTGCTGTCAGAGTTATTGAGGGAGTGAACCTGATCTCTGTGATCTAAGTTATACACATATATCCAAGAGCTTTATGGTTCCTGGAATGAAACCTTTTTAAATAGTCTGCAAAAAACTGTATTGGGGAAACAGAAACTTCTACCTTTTAACCTGTTCTTTATTTGTTATTTTCCTATTAAAAATAATGTTTTTGATGTGTTGGAGAAGAGATCTTTTCTATTTATGGAGGAGTAGCCTTTCCTTGCATTTTAGTTGCTCAACACTTTGTGGGTTAGGGCAGCAGTCTCCATCATTAAGTGAGTTGCTTTTGGATATTATCAAAACATCACAGTTTAGGCCCTGAGAAATAGAAGTATAAGAATGGAAGAGTGAGCACATTAGAATGACTGTGAGTAGGTTTTGTTGTTCTGATACACCTTTGAAATGGTTCAGTTTGCCTCTATTTGCCTTATAAATAACAGTCTTAGAATTCAAAGTGTAGCTAAGCCAAGAACTGTCAGGTCTAGCCCCAAGCCAAATTCAGACTGCTAAGCAATCAAAAGCACTATCTCTCGAGTACTCCGCTTACTAGACTCGCACCATGCCAGGCAGTTTGCTAAGATTTTCATACACTGCCACCGAATCATACAACAACCCTTAAAGCTGATGGTTCTCAAACTTTAGAGTTCATCAATATCTCTGGAATGTCTTTTTAAAATACAGATTTTTGGGTCCTGGATCCAGAGATTCTGATTCAGTAGGTCTGGGGAGAACTCCAACCATCTTCATTTCTAATAAATCCCTGTGTGATCGATGCCTTTGGGTCTGACAGCACACTTTAATAACCACTGCATGTTGTTACTACTTTAGACCCACAGGATAAGAAATGTTCAATAACTTACAACATAAAGAAAATTTCTACTCCTCTTATTCTCTGGGTGCACAAATCTGTGGAAATAATTTGTACATATCCTTATGACAATTATAAATCCCATAAATCTGTATGCATTCCATTCAGTAGTTTTAAACATTGGTTAAATACCAGAATCACCAAAGAAACACATTCGAAAATGCTGATGTCCAAATTCCATCTCACAGCAATTCAATCAGAATCTTGGGGATAGAAGACAGGGAGTGAGGGGGTCAGGCACCAGGACACCTATAAAACCTAAGGGATTCGAACCTGCAGCCAGGATTGAGAAACTTTCATTTGGCCACAGACTGCATGAAAAAATATTTCATATCTGTTAATTAAAAAGAACTGTCAAGAAGTTTTTTACTGCCTTTAAAGGTCATATGTATGAAAACAGTGCTCACAATGAGAGCTTAGGCAATGAGGCAAAAAAGGTTTAGGTTGCTGTTCACAACCTAATTTCCAAGTTCAAATGTTCTATCTGAATCTATGTTGTATGAGTCTGTTCTCTCACTGCTATAAATAACTGCCTGAGAATGGGCAATTTATAAAGAAGAAGAGGTTTAATTGACTCACAGTTCTGCAGCCTTGACAGGAAGCATAGCTAGAGGGCCTCAGGAAAGTTACAATCACGGCAGAAGGTGAAGGGGAAGCAAGCACATCTCACATAGTGGCAGGAAAGAGAGAGCATGAAGGGGGAACTGCCATATAAGTTTAAACCATCAGATCTTGTGAGAACACACTCACTATCATGAGAACAGCATGGAGGAACCACCCCCATGATCCAATCCCCTCCCACCAGATCCCTCCCTTGACACATGGGGATTACAATTCAAGACGAAATTTGGGTGGGGACACAGAGCTAAACCATATTACTATGTCTTCTTCATACCCATTTTATAAAAGGATTCCTGGGTCCCCTCTTATACTTCATCAGATTCTGTTACATCATGGGAAATTTTCAGAGCATCAGACAGTATCAGAACTGAACAAAATCTTGGAGATCATATTATCAAACAGAGGCCCTGGGTGATTGATGTGACTGGGTCTGAGATCGCACTTTGAGAACCACAACATGTTATTCCTACTTTAGACCCACAAAATTGGAAAGGTTCAATAAACTATGTCATAAAGAAGCTACATGAAAAGTCCAAAATGTCACAACAAGTAAGTCTTAAAAAGTACAACTGTCTGTCCCTTCCAAATATATCCTTCTTTACTCTGTTTCTCTAATAGAACTCAGACACAGTGAGGCACAGGCTGCTGACAATCCTGGGAGGGTCAAAACGAACAAAAAAGAAAAGTGGAATGTTTTTGGTTTTTTTAAGAAACAACTTGAAAAGATGGATTCTATATTCTAAGCATGAAAAGGCAGATGTTTAAAAGCCCTCGTGATAAACACATAATTATCTGCTTTATTTAGATCAATTATTAAGTCAGACCAAAGTTTTCAGTTCTTTAAGCTTAACCATCAAAGGGTCCTTACTGCATTCCTTAGAGAGGTGCTCACGTTTTCAAAAGATGTAGAGGAACGGGCAAATGTCTCAAAAACAGATACAAATCTGATAAAAGGAGAGGAAATGGTTCCCTTGGAGAGAGGCATAAACTAACCGGGAGAGTTTCAATGAAAAACTGCTAATAACTATCCTAAATCAGACTAAAAGTTTAAGAGAATTCTAACTCAGAGCTCATCATTTTCATAGACAAGTAAATAAAGGAAAATGCCTCTAAGTTGCAGTGAAAATAAGTTCAGCTTTAGAGACAAGGCAGAATTATCATGTTTAAGAAAAATGGGAAAATGAAAAGAACTGTATTTATATATGATTAGAAGAAGGGGGAAGGAGGTCTTCTCCATTCTAATAGATTTCTGAAAACAATGAAAGAATGAAAGAGCATGCGGCTTTCATTCCTAGGTGGTGATCCTTCTGGAGGAAAGCCCCTGGATGAAATGAAATGCAGTACCTTCCAGCCAGCACAGCTAAGCTGTAGACCTTCATATTAGTGCATGCCCTGTCCTCTCTGCCTTGCCTCCCAGATTCTGTGACCTACAGGGAAATTGCAACTCACCTCCCAGATTCTCTGACCTACAGGGAAATTGCAACTCACCTCTCAGACTCTGAGACGTACAGGCAAGCTTTTAAACAAAACAAAACAAAATGCCATCCGGCAATTGGCAGCGATGTATCAAATCTAAAATGGAAATGTCCAGTTTTAGAAGCAGTAGAGTGGTCATAGACACGTGCCTTCAGACCTGGTCCCTCCATACTCCTCCACTCATCCTCCAAATCCTACCTACATACAAAATATATTTATGCCTCAATTTTCATGTAAAATGGTTTATTCAAAGTTACATAGCTGGTGAAATACAGAGCAGGAAATGGATTCTCACTCTTGGAGAGATGCTGAGACATATCTTGCTTGATTTGCTCCATGTGAACCCAAATCATTCAGCTAATATTCAAAAGGTTTTTGCTGGGTGCAAGAGGTAGCAGCAAGAAACAGTTAAATGAGGAGTTGGACAAATCAAGTATTCCATCTCTGATTCCCAAACACTACTTACTGCCAATTTACTTCAGAAAACAGCCTGTTAGGCATATTGTTAACTCAAAAAGGGAGTGAGGAAAGACTCCGGAGGACCTAGCTATGCATATTTTCTCAAGCTCTCCCTTTTAATCTAGGGGTAAAAAGGATGCGGCCTTGAGAAGCAGGGATGGTTAGCTGGGACCAGCTGAGCTATTCCCCACTGTGGTTACCCTAACACTTGCGTCAGTCAGATACGAAAGGCATCTACCTAACGCAGAGCTTGCTTAGCCCTTTATGAAACAAAGGCCCCCATCAGAGGGTGAAGATAACAAGAATTTACCTGCAAAGTAAGTAAATTACTAGTTATGGGTAATTGTGGTAGAAAAACACATGGGAACAATTCAACTCTGACTATCAACAAAGTTTGGATTCATTTACTGTGGTACAAAAAGAAAACAAAGAAAGCATCATGCTCTTCTTCATCTAAATATCCATATAAAACCTACACACACATCCAAGGATTTAGATAGCAGCCCTTTTTGCGTCTCATATACAGTTCTATCAGAGCATCTGTAATACTTGATTGTATTTGTGTGTTATGATCACTCCCTCCTGGTTAGAACTGCAGCTTCTTACAAGTAGAGTCCACTCATGATTTATCTTTATATGCCCATCTCTAGTCACAGGTTTGGGCCAGAACATCCTCAGTAACTGTAGGTCGCATGACTGAAAAATAAAAACCCATTCAATTCCTTAACTGATGTTTTAATAAATGACCTGGTGTCTTTGACTCGTACATCTCAGATGTCAATGTTCCAATCATCGGGGAACCTAGATCAAACGCAGACTCTGATTCAGGTCCACACTGGAGCCAGAGATTCTGCATTTCCAACATGCTCTCAGGTGTTGCTGACATAGACCCATGGGCTGCACTGGCAGTGACATGTCTCTAGCTTCTGCTAGCTGGCAGCTATTGCTTCTCCCACTTTGTTGAGGGGAGAATTTTTGGTTGTTGGAGGAAAATCTAACTATTAAGGTAAGCATAAAAGCATGTAGATACTCCACAAGTTAACTTTCTAAATTATGAAGTCAAAAGAGACTGGATTGGAATACCTACACACACACGCACACACACAAGGTGAACACTTTTTTAATCATGGTTAGCAAAGCATAAGTTTCAAGTAAAGACGGTTATTCATTTCCATTAATAGTAACTAGTGGCTGGGTGCATGGCTCACACCTGTAACCCCAGCACTTTGGGAGGTCGAGGCAAGCGGATCAGGAGGTCAGGAGTTCAAGACCAGCCTGGGCAACAGAGTGAAACCCAGTCTCTGCTAAAATTACAAAAATTAGCCAGGCGTGGTAGCAGGAGCCTGTAATCCCAGCTACTCAGGATGCTGAGGCAGAGAATTGCTTGAACCGGGAGGCGGAGGTTGCAGTGAGCCGAGATGGAGCCACTGTACTCCAGCCTAGGCGACAGAGCAAGACTCCATCTCAAAACAAGAAGAAAACAAAAAAACAAAAAACTATATAGTAACTAATACAGAAAAAAATATATGTTTGAAAGGAAAATAGTACGAAATTTTAAGTCCAAAAACTTAAAACACAAACCCCAGCTCTACCCTTTATTTCAGGCAAGGCAATTCTATAGTCCCAGACCCAGTTTTCCTCACCTATGAAATGAGGAAAACCACAGCTACTTCACAGTGTCAATCTGTGGATCAAAGCAGCTAACACAGTAAGTCTGAAACTTTTTGACCACAACCTAGATTAAAAAAATATATTTTATATAATGTGGTAATATTGCTATCTAGATATGTACACGTACATGTATACTAGAAAAAAAGGGTTTCATGAAACCATACCTACTATATAAATAAAACACACATTGAAATGCTCTGTTATTTGAAAAAAAATTGGTTCTGACCCACTAAATTGACTGTGGCCCAGAAATAGGTCTCAATTTACATTTTGAACATAACTGAGCTAAATTACGTGCAAGTGATTAGTACAATGTCTACATTATACATGACAATGCTTTCTTTTTCCTTATGCACAAGAGGGCAACTGAATCTAAACTTGATCACTCAGAGGAGGAGACCAAGCTCCCTGAACAAGGTCCCTTAAAGAGAAAAAGTGAGAGGATAAAACAAAGGTAACAGCAATGATGATCTCCATAAGGCAATGAATTATGCCACAGCTATAATGTACACTCCACAGACTACAGGCAATTTATTATGAAACTAAATAAAGGAAGACTTCACTTCCAATTTCAACTTCAACTCCATCCTCAATCTGCATCAAAATATGTGTGCCACCAAGAAAACTGTACCAGAAAGCACCTTGGGTGAAATATTTTTAAATGCAGCATTCAAGGCCTAGGACAGCATGTATAACGTTATCATTTATTTAATAATGTATACACATATATGTATGTATTATCACGGACTATCTTTTAAATGGAGTCCCAAACTATTGATAACAGCAAGTTGCCTCTATGAAGCTAAATTTTGCAACTGAGGAATGAAAGTAGAAGGGAAATACTCTCCATTATACAAATTCTTAACCTGTCATTATTTTACCCATTTATAATTTTTAAATAACACATATGCACAAAACAGAAATTTTCAGTACCTGAAAATGTGTCATCTCCAATTGTTCAGCTGAGTAAGGTTTTAAAAACCACCAGGAAATGCATTACAGCAAAGGCCAAGAGAAAAATTGAGGATACATCCCATTTAATGCATCACTTCTCGGCCTTCTCAACCTATTTACAGTGCACTGGTTGGAACTAACAATATGAAAGCAATTGCACTGACTTGCTCAACATGCTATTTCTATTAGAGACGAAACCTTTTCAAGCTCTTTTCCTGTCCCACTCTGCCCTTCTCTCTGACAAGGAAGGGGTTATTAATTTGACTGATCCAGCTACTACTGTTAAAGTCTCAGTTTTAGAAAGCAATACCCAGGAAATCTCCTTCTTAAACTTCCTGCTTCAGACCTCTGAGCATCTGGCTCCCAGGACAGACCAGCTGGAATGTTGTACTTCTTGACTCTAAAGCAAAGGATCAGAATGTCAAGCCAGGTCTTCAGGAGCTGCAGCTCACTGAGTATGTTGACTTCCAAGATACAGTGGTGTGAGGAAGATACCGGATACAAATTCTACTTATTCCTAGAGCCAAAGCCTCTGCACTATGTCAGTGGGATCACAGACCTCTGTCCCAGAGGGAGAGCAAGCACTTATGAAGCTATTAATAAAGCGGCACCTGGATTCTCATTTTGCTCCCGTTTCTACAGCGTGAAACTCCTTTGAGAACTCTCTGGGAGAGGGATAATTATCAGGGCAAGGCTTGGCCATTCCATGTTCTCTGTCCTCATTGTCATCAAAATAGCACAATATATCTCCCTTCAGTGACACATCTTCCTCTGTAAATAAGATATGTGACCTTGACCGAGGAACATTAATTTTTTAGTTATCATGCTAGATATCCTTAAACTTCAGGTTCCTTTTATACATTAGAAAAATTAACCTTTCTATTTTTCTTCCATTTGTATTTTCTGCTATTTAACTAGAAAACATTACTATTAATTTTGATAATACTCAAGTTGCTAACAAATTAATTAAAAGGAAGGACTAAGATTAAAAATATTGATAAAACACAGAATTGATAATAGTATAGGGAAACCAGCATTCTCATATGCTACTGCTACTAAACTTTTCTCAAGAAAATTTGGCAAGAGGAATCAAAAGCCTTAAAGATATTTATAAACTTTAATTCAGCAATATCACTTTTAATAAATTATCCTACCAAAGAAGTAACTTAACATGCAGAGGAGCATGTTAAGGAAACTTCATCACAAAGCAATGTAATGCAAAAACTCAGAATGTTCATTAACAGGGTACTGGTTGAAAAATAAATTGCAATCATACAGTGGGAAATTGTGTGGTCACCAAAATAATGATGTTGATCTACATCTTACAACTATTTATTCATCGAGTGCCATCTATATATCATACATTACTCTAGACCCCAGGGAAAAACAAACAAATAGAACTAACAAAGTGTGCTTCTCCACGAAGCCCCATGGAACTTATACTCCAAAGAAGAATAATGCTTAAAAAGTAAATCAAACGGAATATCACATGGTGAGAAGGGCTATGATGAAATGTAGGGCAAGTAAGGGGGTTGGGACTGTTAGGGTGGTGGTGGGAGTTGCAATTTTAAAGAAAAAAAAATGAAAATGGCCTCACCAAGGTGATATTTGGGGAAAGACTTAAATCTAGTAAGGGAGTAAGTATTGGCATATCCGGGGGAAGAACATAAAAAATTGTTTTTCATATCTTTTTTGTTTGTTTGTTTGTTTTTGAGACAGAGTTTTGCTCTGTCGCCCAGGCTGGACTGCAGTGGCGCAATCTCGGCTCACTGCAAGCTCCGCCTCCCGGGTTCAGGCCATTCTCCTGCCTCAGCCTCCCGAGTAGCTGGGACTACAGGCGCCCGCCACCACGCCCGGCTAATTTTTTTGGATTTTTAGCAGAGAAGGGGTTTCACTGTTTTAGCCAGGATGGTCTCCATCTCCTCACCTCGTGATCCGCCCGCCTCGGCCTCCCAAAGTGCTGGGATTATAGGCGTGAGCCACCACGCCCGGCCTGCTTTTCATATCTTATCAGGTAAGAAACAAGGGAGGTTATTGAATAGTGCTTATAATATGGTCCCAATTTTATATAGGCCTGTATGTTAACAGGGGTTGTCTACAGCTCATGAGATGCTAAGCATTGTTTTCAATTTTTTATCCTTTTGGCTTAATTATTATACAATAAGTGAATTATAGGCATGCATTTTTTTAAAAAACCAAAAATAAGATACTTTAAAATGAATCGCAGAATCTACTCAAACCCAGCGTTTAATTTTAATGCATCAGTATATGTACTCAAGCCAAAATTTAATGTCCCTGTCATCTTTCTAAATAACTTAGCTTGAAATGCTCTTTGAGATTCTCAAATTAAAAAGCAAGAAGAATTATCTTTAAAGTAGATGACGTCTCCCTGATTTTAAATTGGACAGTTTCACTCCATATTTAGCTAATACAGAATATATCTGAGACTTTAAAAGTCCTCTTTTATAATCACAAATAAGTACCCTGTACAAATGTGAGACACCTCAGTGTATTACATGAGATACAAGCATACTATAATTCTCTGTCATGCAGTGGTTGGATAACAAATTCAATTTCTCAGTAGAAAACATTAAATGGATTTCAAATCGTATGAAATTAAGACAATAGTCTAGCTCTGCACATCGACTAGAACCAAATAGCACTTTTGAATCCACCAAGTATCATTTGTTTTACAAAAACATAGTAATTGCTATCCAGACAACAAACCACACCATATATTTTTGACTTCCAAAGATGAGCATTCAAAATAAATAGGACAATGAGTTGAGCTTAATGCATCAGTCTTCTATCAGCTAGTGAGATATCTTTAGCTCCAATGCGAAAAAGTAAAATTACCTCGGTTTAAAAATGAAACAAAAATCTAAAAATTCATGTGATGGACAGAAAATGAGGCAACATCCCAGGAAAACAACAACAAAAAGTCTTAATTTACCAGTAAAAACAAAGAAGCTTGCAAACAAATATCAGAGTGCTGACAGAATAGTCCAAAAACATCCTTTCCCCTTAGGATTGGGACATTACCCTGTGGTGGTCATTAAGGCCAGAAGCTTACAACCCCTCCAAAGACAATGATGGTGCCTGAGGGAGCGTGGTTTCATAATAAAAACACTTTAAATAGGGCATTTAATTTATTTCACCACTGCTGTCTTTGGCTATAGAGGGAACCATTCTCATGTCAATGCATGTCAATGCATGTCAATGCATTGTCAATGACATGTCAATGATAATGCAGGCTTCCTTCCTGCTGAAGCTCTATTACAGCCAATATTCTGCTCTTTGTTAGCTTAATTGGATAACTATTGGTTTCCCCTACCTGATTAACAGCTCCTTGAGGGCAGACTCTCTGTTTTATAATCTCTACATAAAGCATATAGAACACATATGAGATACTCAGTAAACAGTAATGATATTATTGCTATAAATTATTATTGGTACAAAACTACCTATATTAAATTGAATAGAACTCTTGAGACAATGAACACATGAACTTTTCCCATGGTCAACTTTGCCACTTTTCAAATATTGACATAAGGTCAACAATGTACTACGGTGGGTCATAGGTCCTTCATGATACCAACAGCTAGACAGTTAATAACCTGTCTTAATGTAGCCATCTAGCTAGGTTTTTTGTTTGTTTGTTTTCACATTATCTTACTGAGGGTATGTCTTCAAAGTATAGGAACAGAGTCTTCATCCTCAAGTCACCACCTGGTTATGGGGGCACCCTAGCCTTCAGAAATATTGCAACCATCTGTACTGTATTGATCTTCTCCAATAAAAGATCTGTTGATAAGCCTTACCCAGTATATGTATATCCCTTAAGAGTATAAAGAGACATTTAAATTTGCTTTTTAATCCCATAAAAGAGAGATGGAGATGAAGAAAGAGCAGAGAAATGAGGGAAGGGGAAGGATACATGTCATAGACAGAATTTGAAAATACTTAGCTTGAGGTATTGAAACTCATCTGACTTTTAACCAGTGGTGTGTATCGGAATCTCCTGGGGCACTTGCTCACACTACATACACCCAGACTTGACTTTAGAATCCTTAATTCAGAATCTTTGGGGTCGGGACCCAGACAAGGACCTTGCAAAGCTCCTTCAATGATTCTGGCGTATAGCGCTGGTTAAGAATCATTGACCTTCTGGAAAAACAAAGATTGAACAACTCTCTCTCTGAAATTAAAGATGACTAAGGTGACAAGGCAATAAAATGCAATATGTGATTCTGGATATAATTCTAGACCAGAAAAGAGACATCACTAGGACAATCAATGAAATCTAAATAAGGTTTATGTATTAGAAGGAAGTATTATGTCAGTGTTTACCTGGCTTTGGTAACTCTACCGTGGTTATGTAAGATGTCAATACTTGGGAAAACTGGGTGATGACTAAATGAGAATCCTTTATACTATTTTCAACCGTTCTCTAGGGTCTCAAATTATTTCAGAATAAAAAGTTAAAATTTATGTTTTAAATTTTAAGGAAAAAGTAAGTCATTGAACTAGTCCAATAACTTTTTTTATAGATGAATACATTTTCCACCATGGAAAAAAAATAGAGAAACAGTCAAAGAATGTAGAACCACACCAGGCAGCCCACTGTGACCCCAAATATCTTAACTTCTAGCTAAGGACACACTGACCACAGCACATGGCAGACTTAGTGTGAGAAACTGAGACTTCTTGGGAATGGTGAGAAAACCCGCTACACCCCTACAAATTCAGAAGACTATGAAGAAGAGAAGAGGTTCTTACTATTTAGGAGACTTGGAATAGACGAGCAGGAACATGTAAAATATCTCCAACAAAATCCAGGCTGAATGCAGCATGGCTAGGCTGGTAATCCTGCCTCGATGATCAGCAGCAATTAAACCCCATAAAACTTCCTTTTCCCCAATGTTGGGGCTCATTCTCTTGCTTCAAGAGAATCCCCGAAGACAAGGATGGCTACATGAGGCCAGGGGCCTTCTGTGATTTATCCAGTATTCATCTTTTATGCACAAATGACTTCAAATTCTTCTCACTGAGAAATTCTTGTTACTATTTATATAAAATGATGCCAACCATTACTCACTCTCCTTCAACCCTGACATTTATTTCATCAAGTCTGAAGCTTAGCAAATGCATGAATGCTTTAAAAATAATCAAATAGAGACACTCATTTCATTTCAAGGTGGTTGTTTTTTGGCATGTATTTTTTTTTTCCAAAGGAATACTGGAGCTGACAGGTACTTGCTCTAAAAATTTACTTCACCACCTGCTAGCTGAAATATTGCTTTCATGGATTTATATTGTATTAAAAGGTCACTGGCTGTTTAAGTCTTAAACAGTTTTAATCATTCTAAAAGTCTCTTAACAGTAAGAAAAGGAAGCTCAGAACAAACAGCAGCAGGGACTCTAATTAAAAGGGCCAATTCATCTAATTTTATTTGGGGTTAATTATTCAGGATTCACTCTTTGATGTGTAAGGAATAGCAATTAGTAATTTTAGTGATTTGAGAATCATTGGAGGTGTAATCAGTTAAAATGAGTGAGTGTTTACAACACAAGATGGTGAATTAGTCTCTCTCAGCTGGAGAACAGGAACATTAGGCTCCAAGAGATCAAGGCTAAGGATTTCAGATCCTAGTAATAATAGTCACTTCAAAATAAAACACATGTCAACAGCCATCTAGCACTCTGTTTACTCTTAGCTGAGGTAAGGCACAGAAGCCTCATGAAGCTGCCTTTATCCAGATCTTGATTTTTGCTGCTGTCCCCAACTGCTTCCCAGTATCTGGCTCTTGTGCCATGGTAACCATAAATGCATTACATTAAAAAAGCAATTCTAAATAAATACACCATTTATAAGTAAAATAAGACCCAGAATAATTGTGGTACTCATTGATTTCACCTCTGAATTTCTGATTGCTGAATGAGCATCATCAAATGAACCTCTAGCTCAGTGCTCAAATCTGAATTTAGATAGGATAACCCACAGACCTGCTAACCTCCTCTTGTGTGCTCTATTTTTCTATTTACCTTATCACAATTCTCCCTATCACAAAGGTGGAAAACCCTTTTCCTTTTTATCTTAACCACCCACTCTGAATACAAACAAGCTATATTAAATTACACCAAATTTTTCTAATTCATTTACTGCTCTGCATCTCCTTTGCCACCAAAATACCTAATGCATAGTTACCTCATATCTAGACTAAACAAATAGCCCAGATAGTCAACATTCTTCCTGACCCAGGTTTTTCCAATGTATTTGATACAACTGTTGCTAGATTAAAAATATCATGGCTCTCTTTGAATAGCCAAAGCAATCTTGAAAAAAGGACCAAGTTGGAGGACACTCACTTCCTGATTTCACAGCTTATCACAAAGCTACAGTGATCAAAACAGTGTGGTCCTAGCATAAGGACAGACATAGAGACAAATGGAATAGAATACAGAGCCCAGAAATAAACTCTCTAATATATGGTCAATTGATTTTATGGCAATTATGCTGAAGTTTTAGAGAATTATGGTTTGAGAGTATTATTGGAAGCTTGGTAAACGTCTGTTCTGAGCCTCCCAAGATTTGACAAGATCTCATTCTGAAAAGGAGGAATCCTCTAACTGGATGGGCCTCTTATGAGGCAATGGAGAGAAACTTGATAAGCTTTGTTGTCAAAGTTTGTCAACAAACTCTGGAATGTACTGGTGAGTATGTATCCTTTGAGACTAATACTGCAGACAGCAGCACTGGACATTTTATATTTCAGAATAATGACTTTTGCTAAGCCACATACCCGGTAATCTGCCAGAATGCTTCCTCTGGCTTCCTGGACACCAAGACTTTGCTCACACCTCTGTCTCCGTTAAGAGTTTCCTCTCCACTATCTGAGCCCAAGCTATTCTTGGAGGCCCATGTCACCCTACACTACTATCCTTTGCCACCAGACGAAAGCATCTTCCCACCTTCAGCCCTCTATAGTAACTTTAGAGCATTATCAAGGTGGATCTTGTGGAATATTCATGAGACATTTACCTCACTAAACTGTGTGCTCCCTGAGGGCAGACATCATATATGAGTCATCAGTCTATCCTAAAAGCACCTCTTCCAATGCCTCACAGAGTTGAGATGGAGAAGATTTGGGAAAATATTTCCTGAGTGGGTATATGCAGGAATTTTTGACAACTACACCCATAAATTCTAGCCCAATAAATTAGTCTTTAAAGGAAGATTGAGAAACTGAGTGACTACCAATTTCAAAATGTGTGTGTATGTGGTTTATGTGTGCGTGTGTGTGTGTGTGTGTGTGTGTGTGTGTGTGTGTGTATGAGAGAGAGAGAGAAGAAAAGAGAGGTTGAAAGATTGAAATAGGGAGACTCAATTGAACATCACCATAGGGATGATCTCGGCAATCACTGCTGCAGTTAGGTAACTTACATATATAAAAAAATAGCTCTGCGACATTAAAATGTGTAAGTTTTTGTCCACTTGGAACCATTTACTAGATGTGTGTGAACCTAGGGAAATCATGAAACTTTTGATTCTCAATATTTTTGTTTGTAAATGAGAGCAACAGCACTTACCTTTTATACTACCCAGGGTTGTGTAGACCAAAGTATTTAAATTTAAAAATACAACACCCTGGTTTTTCTTCAGATGGTATAAATCTTTCGCCTTTTACTGAATTTAGAAATACCATAAAAACTATAATGTCCTACATAAATATAAGTTATTTTTACTGTGAGATTATTCTTTATGTGACTTGCCCAGAAACACATTCTTCACAAACATTTAGAAGCTCAAATATAAAATATAGTTAAGTGTTTATTGAATAGATGCTTTACTGTTAACATGGCTCTTAGCACACCAGGGCTCCAAAGAGTTAGGGGTAAAAGAAAGACAGGGAGTGAGAGAAAAGCATAAGACCGTAACTAAAACGATAACAAAACAAAGTCCTAGAAGCCAAATAAACAAATATTGTGTTCTCCCCAGAATGTTTAAAAATCTTGGAAAGGAACTGCATACGGAGCCTCGGGGTAGTACTGACTTGGCATATCAAGCCCTTGTGCAACTGATTAACCCGACATTCCCCTGGGTAGGGGAGTATTACTAGGTCACTTTTTTCTTTAATGGACAAACTGTTCTCGAACAATTTGCAAGACATAAACAAGCTATTGTAACATACCAATCAAAGAGGGTAGTTTTGTCCTCAAAAATGCGATGATGTAACCAAGTCAAAACAACCGCCACCACCACAACCACCACAACCGGGCAATCAGACAAACAAACATATCCCAATTCCGTCTGCCTAGCTCTGGATGGGCTCTTCTTTACCCACTTTGATGTATAAACACACAGTCCCACATCTGCAAAGGTTAAGTCCCAGATCAATAGCAAAGTTTACAAGACCTCCAAAATCTATTGGATGTTCTTCATCCAAGAACTTAACGGTTTTTGAATTAGAATACAGAGTTCACAATATAAAGGGTTCTCTTGAAAAATCAACTTTTGTCTCTAAGGAGGCCCTCCATAAAAAAGTCAATCCTTGGGTTTCATTCACTCTGCTTTCTTCACTTCCTCAGATTAGGAAGTCATGGGATAGAAGACAGTCCCAAATTGCAAAATTTGGTGACGTGTTCTGAGCAGAAGTTCAGCCACCTTGTTATTTTAGCAGACCAGGTCGGCCAGCCCAAAGACATAATTTAGCTGAGTGAGGAACTTGTTCCCTCCTCCTGCTTCATTTGGCCAGCTGCCTCAGAAGGTCTTTCATTCTGGAGTGCAAAGGATTTATTGCTCCCTTTTATTCCTCCAGCAGTAGTTCCAGTTCACTGAGTTTCAAGTTCAGCGAGCTCAGCTTTGGCATTCAAGGATCTCCTTATGTCTCATCCTAAAGAGAATTTGTCCCAGGTCCATTTGCCAAGGACATGGTGACAGTCCCCTTCCTGGCACTTGAGTCTCCAATATTATGCTTCTTCTTATAAACAGACCCATCCAATCACTTGAGTTCCTTCTTCAGGTCTTACTGGCACTTCCTTGGCTTAACTGACACGGCACAATGTTATAAACTGACAGAATAATCATATTAGACAGGAATTAGAACAGAATAAAGAGGTCCGCTAGTCTACAGGTCAACAAGCAACAGCCAAATGGCCAAATCCAGACCACCTCCTGTTTTTGTAGATAAAGTTCTTTTGGAACATAGCCAAGGTCATTCATTTACTTATTGTCTATGGCTGCTTTTGCATTCCAGTGGCAGAAATGAATAGTTGTGACAAATACCATATGGCCTATAAAACCTAAAATATTTAGTTACCAGATTTACAGAAAAGTTTGCCAAACCTGATCTAGTCCATAGACTCACATTACAGATAAGAAAGTTAAGATTTAGTAGGGTTAAACAGACAGGAAATAAAATTTTCAAAGCAAAATACCCAGGGCAGTGCCAGGCATATGGTGCATACACACTGAGTAAATACCACCTCTGGTGTTTGACAGGACATTTCGTATTCTTTTCATATGGAAATGGACTAAAATGATTTTTCAAAGATAGCATTGTTACCCTTGAGGAATTCATTGCCTAGAAAGGAGAAAAACATATAAACAGATCATTTTAACATGATATTGTGTGTATTCGTTTTCTGTTGTTACTACAACAAAGTACCACAAGCTTGGTTGTTTAGAAGAACAGAAATATATTTATCTTACTGTTCTATAAATCAGAAATCAGTTATGCATATCAATGCACTAAAATCAAGGTGTTGGCAGGGCAGCATTCCTTTCTGGAGTCTCTCCAGAGAATCCACTTCTTTGTCTTTTCCAGCTTCTCAAAGCTACTCCTCATTCTTTGGCTTGTGGCCCCTTCCTCCATCTTCAAAGCCAGCAAAGACACGTTAAGTTTTTCTCACATCACATCACTTCAAAGACCTCCTCTGTCCTCTTCTTCCATTTGCTATCACACTTGTAATAGCGTTGGGCCCATCCTTATACTCCAGGATAATTTCATTATCTTAGGTTAGCTGATTAACAACCTTAGTTCCATGTGCATCATTAATTTCCCTGTGGCATGTACCCTAACATATTCACATGTTCCAGAGATTAAGACGTGGACAACTTTGAGGGCTATTATTCTGCTCACCACAACATACCATAAGAAGGGAAGTCTGCACATAGTGCTAGACTCAGAGTAGGAACATCAGTGCAAGGACAAGTATAGACAAGAGCAAAAGTTCTTGTATTCATCGTACCTATTTTCCAGAGTTCCTCATGATTTTCTAAGAATTTCTTTATAATTTCAGCATATTTTTAAAAAATTTAAACATATTATTTAAGATACTTCTATTTTTTAATGCATTGTTCTATTCTTTTTGTAACTATAATCTTGCTACCACATTTAAACAAAAAACCCCTATTTAATATTAGATTGAGGAATTTCAGGAAGCAAGTCTGAGTTAAGATTGCAGCTAAACAAGTTTTATATTGTCCCCATAGGATTGCTTTTCTTAGGTCCATTTTATGGATAAGGAAACTATCCCTCAAAAAGATTAGGAGCCTGACCAGAATTATACACACCAGAGCTAAAGCCTAGAGAAAATTGTTCTATCTATTTGAACCTTATAAACAGAATGAAAAATGTTAGTGCAGAGTTTTTGCAATGATTCACATAGCAATGCCATAAAGGCGGGGGGGCGGGGGGAGGTGGTGACAAAATCCATCACATTGAGAAAAATGAATGTTATGATTAGCAAACAGGTGGAGTTTACACAGCATATATATATATATATATATATATATATATATATATGTTCTGAGATGACAGAAACCACTTTTTTCAAGTATATTTAGCTCTTCAGACAAAAATATAACTGAGACTAAAAGGCATAAAAATATGAGCCTCTACTGTCATGATATAGAAAGAAAAATTACAAGTTTATTTAGGGAAAAAAATGAAGAGTTTCAAAGCACCATATTAACGAAGGTATTATCAATAGGTATTTATAAACCCTGAAGATTAAGGGCAAAAATTAAATAGAAATTACCTGGTTTGAGGATGTGAGATTGACAAATAACTGGAAGTATTCAAGTAGAGGCAGGAAGGCCACTTGACATGAATATTATAAAGAAGATACAAGCTTTATTAATCCAAGGAAACTGCTTAGTAGCCCTCTCGACACTGATGGTTTATGATTCTATGACTCAAAATGCAAGGGTCAATTAATGGCAATAAGAGACTAAGGCTTCCTTTAATAGGTATAGCCAGAAAGCTCCTCCTGATGCCATAAGATGGCCGTTAACCTAACTGTAAGTAGGCACTTTCCAGGCACATTACTTAAAAATAATTCTCCAGGCAAGATCAGACAAAAAGCAACCAGTAACGTGGACAATACCAATGAATGACCCTGACTCTCCCATCTCACTGCCGTGTTGAAAATGAAGCCTTTAATATTCAGAAATTTCCACAAAGTTATATTCTACTGAACTATTGAGCCATGATTTTCCATATGACAAATGAGTAGTCACCAGGCAGTCTAAAGGAGAGTACCTAGGATTCTGATCCTCGCAAATCTTGCCCCTTCTTCCTGCCCTGCCAGGAATCCCTAAACCTTCTTCATGGAAATAGCCTATCCCCTTTGACTTAATGGATAGTTCAAGGTCTGGTAGAAAGGCTTAAAAACACGTGAGAACTTTCTGACTTGGCCCTTGATAACTGAGATGCAGGTGATAAAACAACATTTCTAAAACTAAGGTGTACACACTTCCACACTTCACAATGAAAACCAAGTAAAATACCAAATTACCAAGACGGAAAATTCCCACCATGGAAAACAAGAGCTACTCAGAAGAGAAAAACAAGACATCCAGTCACAGGAGCTACACGGCCTCCTATTAAGAGTAAATATACACACATTCCCACGCAGAACTTTCTCCTTCTGAATAGAGCTAAAGGTGCAGGAAATAGTTTAATAAAGACATTATATTACTTAGACAAAACTGAACTAGATTATCTGTTTGTTTATTAGATTGTGGTTTTCGACACATTGTTCTACACTAAAAGCTCTTGACATGAGCCGACACACACATTCTTTGGAATGAAGGCTTTTGTGAGAATATTTTATGGTACTTAGGCTCTTGAAAAGACCTGTGAAAGCAGTCACACCAGAGGATTAAGCCCAGTGTTTGGGGCCACCACATCAGGATGGTCCAATTCACTTCACACAGCCTTAACTAGGACATGTGAGCTTTCTTGGACATAACACCGAATAGTTCCGACTTACTCATTGCGGAATTTCTCATATTAATCCCAACCCACTCATCATAGTTACAAACCAAACACCAGGTCCTGGGTGCCAATAGATGAAAATAAAAACAGAGTAATCCAGAAATGGAATTCAACAAGGTGTCACTTCTATCTGTTACTAAAGGGGGAAGTATACTCTGGATTTTATTTTTATTTAAATTTCAGTCAGGAACATTCATAAAATAACAAATTCCCAGAGAATATCACACTGTCTTCTGAATTCCATGTCATCCTATTATCCTAATTTGATAAAAAGATCATGGTATCCCCTTTTGTTCTACTTTGTTTTGTGTGTGTATGTTTTGGGGCTTGGGCTTTTTTTTTTTTTTTTTTCCATAGTAAGCCTTTTTCAGCTTCAAATTGGGTCCGAAATTAGATTGGTGTGTGGAATCCAAAGGGTCTCATCTTAAGCTTCCCTAACATTTAAGGGACTCAGAATGGAGATTCATCCCAAACCAAATGGGGTGTAAATATGAGAAGACCACATGTTTATAAAAACAGAACATCCAACAATTCATTCAAACACCTGCAGCCTTTATTTTTCTGATACTTAAGGTGCTGTGTTATAGAGTGCCCTATAATCCTCTAAGTTATGAAACAGGTAGAACAAGTATTGATCCATCCTTGTAGTCAATGATATATCTATGTTGTTGCTCTGTTGATTAGTGTCCATGAAATCACTTTAAAACGTGATATCTGAATGTTTCACCAAATATCAATATTTTAAAGGAAGGGTTCTTTGTACTAAAACTTATAGAAGCAATTAGGTACACCTCACTACTTACTTCTCCTCTTCCCCTAAATCTTCCATTTGTAGAATCATCTAGATGGACACTGCACCACAGAACTTTCTGCAGTGGTGGGAATGTTCCATACTGTCCTAATACTTGCAAGGGATGGCTACTGAGCACTCAAAATGTGACTAGTGGCTGAGAGACTAATTTTTACAAATGTTTTATTTAAGTTTAATTAATGTAGATTTAAATTCAACTTCAAATGGTCACATGGGGCTAGCAGCTACCATATCAGGCCTTTCAGATTTAGTCATACTGTATTTAAAATGGTTCACTTGACTCCCTAAGCCATCCAAAAAATATTTTGCTATAAAAGCAAGAAATCTAACTTATGTGTTTTCTTCAAGATTTCAATAACAAATAACTTAAAACCTATTAAACACTGTAGATTAAAAGCTAGAAACCTCAACACATACCTGCTTTTCCATTTATCTAAATAGAATAATAATAGCTTTGGGGAAGGAAATTAGGTTTTACTTTCTTTCAAAACTCCAAATCCAATACTGTATTGAGTCGACTTACAAATGAAAGACTGTGATTAGGGCACACTTCAATTTTCTTAGTATGAATTGGTATAATGCAAGGTAAAAAGCAACATAGAAGCCACAGGTGCCAGTGCTGGCTCTGCCATGAATGCTTAGTGTGAATGTTATGAGGACCAAGTACATAAAGGATGCAAGGGTTTCTCAGGAGATCCTAGTACCGAACAGACACTGAACAAAAGCTGGTTAAATGACCGTTCTCTGCCTCATCAAAAGTAAATTAACAAACGAGCTGGATAGCTAGTACAATTTCTACTCAGGTCTTATCCTAGCATGACTAAATATCATACTGCTTATGGTCTCTGCCAGAGAAGAAAATTTAAGAAAATTAAGTTTATTAATATTATGCAGCATTGGACTCTTGCAAGTCTTCTTTCTTTTTGAAGATATTGCAAAGATGGGTAAGAAAATCTAAAATGAAATGGGAGTGGAAGTTATTTACACAGGAATAAGACGACATTAATGAAGAAACCGTGCACGCAGATATAATTGCCAAATATATTGTAGCACTATGGGAGGCCTAGGTTAATCACTTGAGGATCAACCTGAGGCCAGGAGTTGAAGACCAGCCTGGGCAACATTGCAGGACCCCATTTCTAAACTTTTTTTTTTTTTTTAAATTAGTCAGGCATGATGACACACACCTATAGTCCTAGTTACTCTGGAGGTTGAGACAGGAAGATCACTTGCACCCAAGAGTTCAAGGTCAGAGTGAGCCATGATTGTGCCACTCACTCCTACATGGGCAACAGAGTGAGATCCTATGTCTAAAACACACATACACATACACCCCACACGTTCATACATATGCAGTAAAAGAGACACCACAAATGAATCAGTAAAGGAAAGATTATTTTTGTTGTTGTTGTTTTTGGAGACAGTCTTGCTCTGCCTCCCAGGCAGGAGTGCAATGGCACAATCTCAGCTCATTGCAGCCTCTGCCTCCTGGTTCAAGCAATTCTCCTGCCTCAGCCTCCCAAGAAGCTGGGATTACAAGTGCCCCCCACCATGCCTGGCTAATTTTGTATTTTTAGTAGAGACAGTGTTTCACCATGTTGGCCAGGTTGGTCACAAATTCCTGACCTCAGGTGATCTGCCAGCCTCGGCCTCCCAAAGTGCTGGAATTACAGGTGTGACCCACCGTGCTCGGCTAGAAAAGATTATTTATTAAATGAAATTGGAAAAATGGGTAAATTATTTAAAAATCAATGTAGAGCCTCACCTTTGACCAAAATTAGTTTCAGTTTGATTACAACTTGAATAATTTAAAAAACACATTGAAACAAACTTTTATATGCTTCTAAATTGGAACAAAATTAAAAATAAACACCCAAAAAAGTAACACACACACACACACACACACACACACACACACACACACACACACATGCATATATATATATATATATATATATATATATATATATATATAAAGCTCATATAAATTGGCTAAATTTATATGAGCCATTTGGTGTGTTACCAGGAAGGTAACACACACATATGCTATATATGAAGCTCATATAAATTGGCTAAATATGCTAATGCAATAATATACAATCAATTTAAAAATATTTTTTAAAAAGGATAACATGAAGGGCAGTAGCATATCAAACTGAAGAGTATCATATTTTGAGTAAACTCCAAATGTGACACTAATTAGCTTCACTTCATTAGCTACATTAGTTAGTATCTCTGTTTCTCAGTTACCCCATCTTCAAAATGAGAATAATAATAATAATAATAATGTCTATTTTAAAAGTTAGTTTTTCAAAAAAGAGACGTAATTCTTAAGGAGAATTTAGCACAGTGACTGACTACATGTACCAAATCTATAACTAGTTTACAAACGTGAAAGGAAGTGTTGCCCTATTAATAATTGAAGAAAAGCCATTCTCATAAAATTAGCACATTTTTTAAAACAAAGCAATAGGCACTATTAAATATTACTAATGCAAGTATAATTTGGTAACTTTTGGATTAAAATTTGGTAAATATCAAACTTTAAAACTTCATTGTACCATTTGATCTAATAATTCCACATATGGAAATCAATTTGAAATATTGTGAGAAATATGAGTGAAGAAATGGGTGTGGAGGGGATAGGAAAGCTACAAGCCCAAAGATTTTAACAGATAAAAACTGAAAACAGCCTAAATTTTCCAATGTTAGAATAGCAAAATTCCCTTAAAACCTCATTAAGGTGCTGCCTACAATAACTTTGCAAGACTAGGCATATATAAAAATCTGTGGACAATAAAAAGAGAGCTATTTAAGCCTGAGTCAAAAAACGAAAACCACAATTAAAAATACTTAATAAATTCTGTGTGGTTCCTTTTACATATGATACAAAAATAAGCAAAACTAATCTATGCTGTTAGACATCATAATGGTGTTTTTCATGGGGAGATGAAGTAGTCTGAGTGACTAGTGAGGTTCTATTTCTTGATCTGGGTGTTTTTTAAACAAAAATGCACAATTTGCAAAAATTATTGAACATATCACCTATGATACATGCATTTGATACGTATATTGTAAAAGGTTAAAAGTTACTTGAAAGAACCATATCAATATATTCATTACTGGGTGATAAGAACATGGCTTCTATTTTCTTTTGTCAGAAGTTATTTATTGCCTTTTAATTTTATTTTTTAAAAGACTATGGGAAGTAAGATGTCTAGCCAGACAACAAAAATGTCTTTAGGTTGGAGGGGAAGGTCACCTAGTTAAACCACAAACTGACCCTTGTACATCTTGATATCCTTAGGGGTCACTAGGCTAAGGCTTGAAAATCCTCCAGTGGGAAGGAGCTCACCATCCCCCAGGACAGCCCATTCTACCTTCAGATCACTTTGTCAGAAACTCTTTTTCTGTACTGAATGAAAATTTGCCTCTGTTTAAGTTCTGTATTCTGGCATATTTCTATCCTCTGGAGTCCTCTAAGTCTTCCTCTGGTATCCCTGATTATCACCTTCTTAAAGTCACCTTACAATCTCTTTCAACAGTTCCTCCCAAGACATAGCCTAGTTCTCTCTCTATCTTGGCTGGTCTTCTCCAGATGAGAGTATCTCTTTCACAGTAGAGTAACCAAATTGAATACTAAGTCTACAAGCTGAGGTCTGGCTGGGGGACAGTAAACTTTGACATGAGGCTAACTCCACTCCATTCATGGACACTCCCTGCTCTATATTACTTATTCATATCAACTTTATCCAAGCTATCACTAATTACACAATTTCAGATATCTTGATCATGTTAACTATGTTCCTTGTTTTCCACACTTTGCCATGTTCTTTCAAAATAAAAATCTAATGTGAAGAACATAGCCTATACATACACCTTCAGAAACAAAGAAAATGGTTTCCTAAAATTATACCATGTTTTAAAAGTAATAACACAGAAGCTGGAACTCTACTGCCCTGCACAAGGAATAAAATCAATGTTGATAATGGCCGCAAAAGATTAAAGAGAATTCTGTTCCAACAGTAACTGCGCCTGGAACCAGTCAAGTTTTCTGCAAGGGACAAAGCCTGATTTTCAAGTCCCAACTTCTCCTGGATGAAATATTTAATACCAAGCTAAGTCATTTAAAGTCTTCAAAGGCCAAAGCACAGAGAATACGTGATTATCTTGCTTGATCTCTTTGTATAGGATGGATGAAATAGAATCCAAAGTAGAGGTCCCATTCTCAAGGCACACAGATAATGTGTGAGAAGACCTCTGCAATAGTCTTGATATCTGCACTCCAATTGCAGCAAGTTTAGGTTTATGGATCCATTCAGACTCAAAAACAGGAAAGTTGACATGTCCCAGAAAGCTGATGCTAGTACTGATAAATAGAAAGATGTCTGTAAATCAATAAGGCTGTTGTTTTTCTCCAAAATTTTTGTCATAAGGTGGACAAAACTACAGATAAAATTTTTACATAATTGACTAATTTACTCAGTGTGCAAAATGATTTCATCAAACTGCTGCTATGAAATTGTCAACCATGTCTTCGACAGTATTTCCTTGAAGGTAGATATTTCCAATTTTAAGCAAAAGATACATGAACATAAGAAACATGAGAAACTGACTAAGGCCACACATGGACATATAACCAGGGCATTCTCCTGATCTCAGAACAAAGAACCCCCCCCCATGAATAATCAATATAGATTGCTAAGAGGAAAATAAGTATTCCCTTGATCTGATTCTATTGATAATAATCAGATATTGGGGTTCAGAACTAGGTTTGGTGTTGAGTATTGTCATATCCAATTCTCTGAGTATGAGTCCCCATGACAATGAATTCGAAGAATTTTCTTTCCTATCGTTTTCATTTTAAAAAATAAAACCATACATAGAGAATTATTTTGGAAAGTAGGAGTACTAATAAAACAAGTTTCCTGGAAAAGTCAATACTAAAAAGGAAATATGTACTTTGAACGATGGGAATCAGGAACTGCTACGTAAATTCTTCTTCCTCCCTCCTATTAATGAACTATTCTGAGACACGCTAGTTTATGAGGCCTTTGTGAAGATGTGCTGTGATACCAAGAACTCAGCTGCTCTTGTCAGGAAGCTGTGGACAGCTTGATAATGTACCTCTCTCTATGTGCTCTCTCTCCTCTTTTCTCTTACTTTTCTTTTTTTCCTCTCTCCTGTTTTTCTGGGCGTGTTCATTCAAATTAAGCACATAAGTTGTTACCCTAGGTGCCATTTTCTAGGTAATCTAGTCAAACAGAAACATCTACTATGTTTGGTATACAAACAACCCCCTCCTTAGATTTAGGGAATGGCGGAAGTCTCTGTAATGAAGTATTAGCTATAATAAACTTGGGCCTATTTCAGTAGCTCCACTTACAGTATTTTTTAAATTAAAACCACAACTCTTCTATAAATGGAATACTAAGTGATATTCTAGCTAATTTAAGAATGCCAGTTGTTTGGGCTTCAGTACAAAAGGATTACAAATAAAATCTAGTTTATCTGACTTGTTAACTATAGTAGATCAGATCAACCTGGGGTCTCTCCAAACCACAGAAGCCACATAGAGTTTAAACCCTTACCCAATAACATTCCTACATCATGCCCCAAACCAATCCTACTTCCAGAAAAAAAAAAAGAAGGAAAGAAAGAAATCGGCCACGAAAAAAAACCCACACTGCATTCTTTAATCTCCTTTTCCATAAACAGTAGCCATTCCCATACTCATGCAAAAGGCACAAGATCAATAAACATCTTGCAAAAGAGCTCTCCTGACATGTTATTTATGGTTGAGAGATGTTTTAGACATACCTACTAAAGACTAAAATTTGCAGAAGTGACTAACTGACGTAATATCTGAGACTATCTTCAAAATAATCCAGGGTGAGGGAAAGGAATAGGTGTATAGGTGAAGCAAGACTGGCCATCAGTCAATTATTGCTGAAGCTGGATAATATATTCCTGGCGGTACATTATAGTAATCTCATCCCTTTGTATATGTTTAAACATTTCCATAATAAACTGTTTAAAAATTGAAAAGCATACATTTTTAAAAATTATAATAGTAACACCCAGTACCCTAAGGCTAAGAAAGATAATGCATCTCAACTGTGTTCACTTCCTTTATTAGTTAAAATGCACTATGCTCATGTAGTTTTATAAAAATGCAGACAACTCTTCAAAATCAAGAAGTCCATCTTCAAGTGAGTCTCAGCTAATATTTAATGTTTCATGTGGGTCGAAAGTGCTTAAATCCCTGCTGAATCTTTTATCCATATACACAATTTAGCCCATATCCAAGTTCTCCTTCAATTATCTCTTCAGAAGCTGGAAAATGTGCCTAGTGGATGCAAAACTAATAGTACCACTGTGGTTCATATTTGCTGCAAACTGTTTGCACTGGAACTCTAACTTGTGAATGCCTGAGGTAACTGTGTGAGTACAATATTTGAGTTTGCCTAAGGAAATGAACTAAAAATACAATATCTGCTGCTCCATGTATCAGCTCATAGTTTAATACCAATATGCTTCATATTTCTATCATTAATAATACAATTACTATTTGTATAGCATCAATCCTGTGACCTCAAAGGATATTTTTTGAGACGGAGTCTCACTCTGTCACCCAGGCTGGAGTGCAGGGGCGTGATCTCGGATCACTGCAACCTCCACCTCCTGGGTTCAAGCGATTCTCCTGCCTCAGCCTCCCAGGTAGCTGGGAATATAGGTGTGTGCCACCACGCCTGGCTAATTTTATATATATATATATATTTTTTTTTTTTAGTAGAGACAGTGTTTCATCATGTTAGCCAGGATGATCTCGATCTCCTGACCTCGTGATCTGCTCCCCTTGGCCTCCCAAAGTACTTGGATTACAGGTGTGAGCCACCGCACCTGGCCTTAACTCTTAAATCATACCCCTAACGAGTGGAAGTGTTGGGAGAACTGATACATAAACAATGGGATTCCAAACATGGGAGCATTTCAAGCGCTTAGACCAATGATAGTGAAGAGCTAGTACTCCGCTCCTGGGAGGGAGATGCTTCCTAGACAAATTCTAATTTTAATGGATTTTCCTTTCTTTCAAAAGTAAGATGTAACTGGAACTAGACTGGCACCCAGATGTCCCAGTATCTCAATAAGGTTGTTGTCTTCTCTAGAAACTTTGGAAAATTACATTAGTTAGCTGTACATCAAGATGGTGAGTTTAAAAACGGGAAGTTGTACAGTAGGAAAAGATCTTAATGCCATGGCACCTAACTCACACATTTCTGAAATGTCTCCTTTGCCAGATCTCCCAGGGATGGTACTGTGCAGGGTCAATGTGAAGACGTCAGTGCATTCTAAGAAACTCTGCTCCATTTTTGAGCAGGACCAGATTCTGGGGATGTTTTCACTACTCTGTCTATCACCCATGTATATTCTAAACCTGAATTCTTTCTAATTATTTTCAAAAGATTATCTTACAGATGTAAAATTCTGTGACTCTTTCATAAATTTCTGCTTTGGATACCAAATAATAGTCATGGAGTTTCTGAAGAGTTAATGTCACTATCAAAGCCACCTAACTTCTACAAGGAGTGACTCCAGCTCTGGCTAGTTACCTCTTACCCTTTCCTGAAAAGACTCAGGAACTAAGTGACTGTCACAGCCTCAATATAGCAATCTTAAAAGTAATTATAGACTATTATCCTGTCACTCCACGCATTTATTTTTCCTTGCACTCTTAGAGTTGAGCTCCTTTTCTTAAAAATCGACAGGCGTTTTCTAATGCCTCAGCTCCATTTGTTTAGCTGACTTATTTGCTCGAGGTGCTCACACTCTTCTTAAACTCAGAAGCCGAGGTTGACTCTGCCATCAGTGGCAAAAAGAAACGCAATCCTTCTTGGAAATATTTTCACGCCTTTAGGCATACCTACACACACCAATCCTCACCTGACTCCCCTACCCCAAACCCCATTCAGAATTAACCAACTGCCCAAGTCCAGCCAAAAGGCATCTCCCACACTAAGCCTCTGCTGATATCTTTATCAAATGATTTGTTCATCACATTCTTATAGTAACATACCTGTGTTTCTTTTATAACGTTATCGCTCTCTATGTTACAGTCATATCTACTTAATTATAAGGTCCCTGTTGGTGTAAACTGCTGTGTCCCCATAGCACCTTTTCAGATATTTTAAACCATGACTAGAAGAAAAACTGTACTTACACCAAGATCTAATGAGCACATATGCATGTACACACATGCATAGCTGAGAAGTTTCCCCCAATAATCTTTATACGTAGTACAGGGTTTCTAATATGGTGTCAATAAACGCCAAATGAGGTCAGGCCCATTGGCTCACGCCTGTAATCGCAGTGGTTGGGGAGGCGAAAGCAAAGAATCATTTGAGCCCAGTGCCAACATGGACAACATAGCAAGATCCCATCTCTACAAAAAATAGAAAATTAGCCAGGTGTGGTGGGGCACACCAATAGTCCCAGCTACTCGAGAAGCTGTGACAGGAGGATTGTTTAAGATCAGGAGTTTGAGCGTGCAGTAAGCTATGACTGCACTAGTGCACTCAAGCCTGGGTGACAGCAAAATCCTGTCTCTAAAATAAACAAATAAAAAAATTTTTTTTTAAATGCCAAGTGAATGAATGAGCCATGAACAAAAATAGATTTACCGTTTTACAACCACATTTGACAATTACAGTTCTCTTTGTTCCCTAAGTAAAAAGACCCTCTGCAAAATTCTGAAAAAAACCAATATTCTCTTTATAGGGTAAGTACTGAGAGCTGGTTTTACCATATCTAGAATAGGTTACAGTCATTTTTTGCCCAAAAATATTCACCAACATTGCCCTTCTGATTCTGTAATCAGTATATTATGATAGAGTTCATTTTAAAATCAAGTACCCATACCTACTGTTTTCAATCACAGTCTCTGTCTCGCAGAGAGCAAGTGACTGATAAAATAGCACTGACTCAAATGTCACACATGATATCAATTACTTTGCCAATCAAGGAAATTAAGGATATGACTACACTTCTTCTGAGTGTGTTTTATTCACTCCAAACATTAATTAAACCCTATTATCAGGGATGTGTAAAACCTCGGCTTCAGCTTAAAAATAAATCACTTTCTCCTGGGTGTGCGCATATTCTATTTACATGAACCTTTTAATAATCTTTTTGGGAATAGAAGGCAGTGAATCTGGTCAGTACCTTCTCTTTTTTTAATCCTTGTTGGTGCTTTTTATGTGAGCACTTTGCTAGTCCCCAAATATTACTATTAATAATAGCCTTAAGACTTCATCAGGCTCTCAGCTAAAAATTTTTTCTCTGTAAACTGTCCAGAAACCATGCAACTTGACAAAATAGCACCTGTGTTATCTATTAAACTATCTCCCACTCTAATTGGCCCTAGAGCTATGATTCTATTCTAGCTCAGATCTTGCAAAGACAAACATAAAAGCACATATTAACAATGTATGTCATCTCACTTGTATAAAGGATGCTTCTCCAAATGCTCACTACACTAAGTTGGCTTTCGAATAACATTGTGAACACCTTCTAAAACTTTAGATAAGCAGGTAACTTGATGTGGTTTATTCTAGTCATGGCTTTGTGTCCCCACCCAAATCACATCTTGAATTATACTCCAATAATTCCCACGTGTTGTGGGAGGGATGCCGTGGGAGATCATGTGAATCATGGAGATGGTCCCCCCATACTGTTCTCATGGTAGTGAATAAGTTTCATGAGATCTGATGGGTTTATCAGGGGTTCCCGCTTTTGCTTCCTCCTCATTTTCTCTTGCTTCCGCCATGTAAGATGTGCCTTTCACCTCCCACCATGATTCTGAAGCCTCCCCCAGCCATGTGGAATTGTAAGTCCAATTAACCCTCTTCTTCTTCCCAGTCTCGGGTATGTCTTTATCAGCAGCGTGAAAATGAACTAATACATAGCTCATCCTTGCATAGAATGCATAAAACTGGAGTTGTTTTCCAATAATACAAATTACAATTTTACATCTGAATTCTTCCCAAGCAGGAAAGATTTAGCATTCAGTTTATCTCAAATCGTAAATTTAAAGTCTACAACAGAAAAATCCTTAAAAATATTTAAATCCTAAAACCTATAGAAATGAGATATGTTGGTTTTCCATGGATGAAAGTTACTGAGGAATATCATAGACCACACTTCTCAAATACCATCAACTGAGAAAGCCAGTAGTTTCAGGCTTATATTGTTAGCTCTTGCTTACCTACAGCATTGCACGGCAGTTACAAGCATAGGCTGTGATGCCACACTGCCTAAGCTGGTGTCCTGCCTGTCACCTGCTAGCTGCCTAACCTTGGACAAGTTACATAATCTTTCCATACCTCACTTCCTCATATGTAAAGTGGGAATAGTAACTGTACCTGCCTTGCAGAAATTTTATGACAGCCAAATTAAATAAATGCAAAATATGTCACACAGTGCCTAGGATATGCTAAGTATTCAAAAACATTACACCTTATTCAAGCACCCTGCCTTCAATCATACTACATAAGATAGACATATATGGAATGAGAAGAATGTAATAGGATAAAAAGAGTATGGCATTTTAGGTTAAAATGTGAGTTAGAATCTCCACAGTTCTACATGCTATATTTGTGGCCCAGAGCTGTTTAAACGAAGTCCCATCTCCTTATCTGTAGAATGCTAAGAAGCCTAACAGAAGTACCCACAAAATTAACAGGAACTCAGAGGAAATCAAAATAACTTTCAGCTAAAGAATCAGGGGAGACTTAATAGGGAAGGTACTATTTTGATAAATACTATAGAATAGATTTGTGGAAGTAGAAATATTTAAAATGTATTCTGGACTGAGAGAACCATTCAAGCAAAGACACAGAGGAAGGAAAGCATGGTGTGTTTTCAGAGAATTAGCACATGTTCTAACCTGGCCAGCAAAGAGATTGTAAAGGGAAGCAACTGGCGCTGAGGTGAGACAAGCAGATCCCGTCGGAAGGAGATCAGCATTTCCTGGCCGGATTGGGACTTATTCCCCCAGGCATTGTGAACACATTCAAGATTGTTATTGTCCATGGATAGGATCCGGTCGGTATCATACAAGGAGCTGAGCACAAGGTGAAGAGTGTTTAGAAACCCCAGGTCTACACTCCAGCCTGGGTGATCGGAGTGAGACCCTGTCTCAAACAAACAAAAAAGCCCAGTCCTACAGATAAAGGCGTCCTAGAGATAAAGGCTTCCAGAGTCCATTAAGCATCTAGCCTGTGAAAAGCCAAGGAATCAAGGGGGCACGATGCCAGGGTTGGCAAAGATGGGGAAGTAGATTCATACCTGTATGAATCCGGAACCTAAGGAAGGAAGAAAGAAAGAGTCAAAGAGAAATGACGTGACCAGGAAGTATCATAAACATTCAAGAGGAAGAGCAAGAGATAAAACCAAAGAACCCGAGAGAGGTTGGTCCACCTAAGAAGGCATCTCAAACAACCAGCTACAATCTGCTTTCTTCACACCAGTAAGAACCATGGTCATGTATGGCCATGTGGGCTGACAACTTAAGAGGTGAATCTAAAGCTTAAAATAAAGAAAGAAACAGCATCAGGGGCAAAATAGTACGAGAAAGAGATATAAAAGATTTAAAGAGGGAATACAATATGACAAAACAGAGATTCTTCACAGGATACAGAATAACTCCATCGAAACAAGACAAGGAGAAACCAGGTTGTAGTCTCAGTCCCAGGATGTGAACTACTTGCTTTATATGAGATGGCCACTTCATGCCTCAAAAATTAGGCAGAAGCCAGTAAACAAGCATCCTGTCAACACCAGTCATTCTTCTCTCAAGACTTTAAGGTTAGGGGGCAGAAGTACTGAACGGAAAGCATTAAGTTCTAAAGGTCTGGAAGTCAGGAGTGGAGGAAATTTTCCCAAGTCCTTTCTTATTTGTCATTTTTCCTTTTCGATACACGTCACTTAAATGAGAAGAAGAGGACTCTATCATCCCTCAACAACAACAATAATAAATTCTTAAGGAATTGTGAAGCATCTTAGCTGACAATATCGAATGAGCAAACAATAGCCTGACTTGTCATGCAGCAAGTGAGGCCTTTCTGGGGAGAAAGGAAACAAGAGGAGGTGGGGGCCAGTCAGCCGCACAACATGCTCAGAGCCCACACGCTATCAGTTTTTAAAGCACTTCTTCACAGACTATCTGCCCTTGAACAACACATAATATAATGCTCAGCTAGTGAAAGAGAAGGATACGGAGGGATATTCATTGATAACAGTGAGGAAACTTAATTAATGTTAACGACACATTTCTTGATGGGAAGACTTAAAAATTTTATCCTTAGTTCTACTGGCCCCTCTTGAAGAGGGTGTCAAACAAACTGTAGCACCTTCAGAGAAAGGCAAACAGAAGGTTAAAAGAATCTGAAACCAGATTGTTAAGTACGGCTGTTTCTCTCTGAAAACACACAAAAAAACAAACCAAGGGAGATGAGTGTACAATAGGGCGAGCCCCTTACCTATTTTTTCGGCCTCATCTCAAACATCTCCTAGTGTTCTGTCTTGTTCACTGTCATATTCTAGAGCATAGTAAGCACTCCATAAAAATATGTTGAATAAATGAATAAAAGTCCTCAAAACAACTCTGGTTTCACTATCCCTCGAGGATGCCACATTCCCTCTTGCCTGTGGATCTCTGCACACATTATTCTCTCTGTCTGAATATTCCTCCTACTGCTTTACCTTATCCTCTAAATTTTCTGTCTTATAGCATCCCCAAAAGACACCTGCATCAAGTAAGCACACACAGATCATCTACCCCGTTATATACCAGAGCTCTTCTCCTTTCCCTTTGTAGCACTCATGATAGTTTGTAATTAAATGTTTGCTTGAGTATTTTGATTAATGCCTGTCCCCTTGACCACACTAAAGGTTCCAGAGAAACCACAGGACATGTCTATTTTGTTCACAATTTTGTTCCCAAGTACCTAGAAAAGTTTCTACAATGCAATTGCCATACAATAAATATTGAAAAATGTGAAGGAATGAAAGAAGGGCCCTGAAGTAACATCAGTAAAATGGCCTTCCTTGACAACACCACATTTTCAAGAGATTTTTTTCCCACTCAGAAACCCTGCTGAATAGCCAGTATGCCTCTCTATGACCACAGTCCCAGAGATAGCCATGACCAGAAACAGACACTTAACACTTATGAAACAAATCACTTTTCTTCCCAGTAATTTTGAGAGACTGAATCTGTTTACTATGTATGGAAAAGAAGCAGAAACCAGGAGGTACTAGTAGTTCCATACCCATCATATTAGCAAAAAATATAAAGTCATGCAATACCCCGTGCTGGTGATGGCATGAAGAAAACAAGAATCCTAATGCTTTACTGGGGGAAAGTAACCCTAGTGAAGCCTTTATGTTTAAAAAAAAACAAAAACAAAAAACAAAAAACACAGAGCCTAGTGAAACTCAATATTAAAATGCACTATGATCAAGCACCCTCCCCACAGCCACAAATCCTGAGCTAACTTCTGCCAATCATTAAGAACACATATACAAAATGCTCACGACAGTACATTTGTGGCAGCCAAGAGTTGGAGGTATATGACTACCTCACTTTGAGGTGTATCACTAACGAAATCAATCAGTGAAATACAATGGATGCACACTCTGGAAGACTCTACAGTATTACAAGTAGTAAACCTCCTAAAGGAGCTGCAATGTAAATAGATTTTTTTTTTTTTTTTGAGACAGAGTCTCACTTTGTCACCCAAGCTGGAGTGCAGTGGCGTGATCTCGGCTCACTGCAACCTCTGCTTCCCAGGTTCAAGCAATTCTCCTGCCTCAGCCTCCCAAGTAGCTGGGATTACAGGCGCTTGCCACCATGCCCAGCTAATTTTTGTATTTTTAGTAGAGAAGGAGTTTCACCATGTTGGTCAGGCTGGTCTCGAACTCATGACCTCAGATGATCCACCTGCCTCGGCCTCCCAAAGTGCTAGGATTACAGGCGTGAGCCACCGCACCAGGCCTGTAAATCGATTTTTGAAAGATTATGCTGATCATATAGATAAATGTGAATTAACATAATTATTTAAACTGATGAGCAATAGTACAGCAATAGTTCCTAATCTATGGGCAGGGTATATATTGGAGATACTGCAAAGGTCCTGACAATTCTATGCCTGCTCACTGAGCATTATTCATGTATGTGATTAAATATATTTCACACATATTTGTATCATTTGTAAAAGTATGTAATTGTTTTCTCATCTGTAGAAAAAACTAATACCAATGTCTCAGCGCTAATCAAATTTACAAATCTAACTCACACGAATAATATGTGACATTAAATATTTACACGTTATCTATGTATTATAATTCATAATACAGGTTGGGCGTGGTGGCTCACACCTGTAATCCCAGCATTTTGGGAGTCCGAGGTGGGCGGATCACGAGGTCAGGAGCTGAAGACCAGCCTGACCAACATGGTAAAACCCTGTCTCTACTAAAAATACAAAAATTAGCCAGGCGTGGTGGTGCACGCCTGTAATCCCAGCTACTCAGGAGGCTGAGGCAGAAGAATTGCTTGAACCTGGGAGGCAGAGGTTGCAGTGAGCTGAGATTGTGCCACTGCACTCCAGCCTGGGTGACAGAACGAGACTCTGTCTCAAAATAATAATAATAATAATAGCAATATAAATGTTACTTATTTTTGAGGGGGGAAGACTATGCTGAGCAACAACAGTAGTAAAAAGAGTAAGAAATAAGATCAGATCGATAGCACAGAACCATGATCTAAAGGCACAAGGACAAAGTAGCGAAGAGTGAGATGTACAGTCAGATTGCCTGATTTTAAATCTTGCCTCAGCTACTGACTCACCAGGTATGTGAGCTTAGAAAGTTACTTTCTTTGTGTCTCAGTTTTCTAATCTATAAAACACACTAGATAACAGTCCCTGTCTCATGGAGTTTGTTGTGAGATTATTATAGTTATTACATTTAAAGGACTTGAAAGAGAGCCTAGCATATGGGAAGTGGCTGATAAATGTTAGGCATGATTATTGTGGAAATGAAAACAATAGTATATATTTCTAAAAATTCATGCATTTATAAGTGCTATTCCAAGCCCGTTAGGCTTCTGTGAGGTGGAAGGGAGAATGGAAGAAGGAGAAAGGATGAGGAAAAGAAAAGAAAGAAAAAGAAAGTCAATCAAAAACAAGAGAGAGCCTCTTCAAGGACTATTAATAAGAATTGACCATGCTTGGGGTCTTATATTTAACTCAGCCCAGTGGATCTGGTATACATAAGGGAGAAAGAGCAGAAATATTCATGGAATCATGTCAACAGACGTGCAGTAAAGTAAAAGTTTCAAAACTCCTGGTTCCAAGGACCTCAGAGCTATTGTTGTTGCTTCCAACGTCTTTTGGATTTCCTACCACACAATAAACCAACCTTGACTAGTGTGTCACTTTCTATTTTTTGCTATCTTAGTATAATCTCTGACTACGAAAGGCCCTCAAGTAGAAAAAAGTATCAGAGTTGCTCCATGTTGCTGCAGAAGGCAAAAGATTTAAGAAGGTAGAATACAGTTTAAAAAGACACATTTCTGATTCTAATTCTAAACCAGGTAAATTCCAAGGTTTTTCAGAAAAGCACGTTTCAACAACTCACTAAGATTTTTATGAACATAAAAAGCCTCAGACACACTAAGAAATAGTGCAAAATGCATTTTCTTTACAAATGTTGTTTGGGAGAGGACTACCATTTGCCATATACACAGGCTTACTTGGTTCCTCTCAGTTATAGCACAGGCCACACAAATTTCCAGAGGTGAGATTAGTCCACAGTCTCCTACCCAAGTCCCACTGAACGTCCTAGGCAAAACTGACAGAGATCGTCTTTCTGATTGGTCCCCATATTTAGCCCCACCTTGGTTGCTACAGTAAATGTTAGATAAACTTACCACACTTCAGAATAAATTAACATTTATTTAGATAGATATTTAGATAAAGATATCTAAATATAGATCTTTATCTAAATATAGATATCTAAATATAGATATCTTTATCTAAATATAGATATCTTTATCTAAATATAGATATCTCAATATAGATAGATATTATTATCTATTATGTGTTAGCTTTTGCACGAGTCATCTCAGGTAACCTTCCTAAAAACCCAGGGAAATGAGAATATTATCTCCATTACAAAGACGGGGTGAAGGAAAACTCAAAAGGGAGTTTGTCCACGTTCCCAAACCTCCTAAATGCAAAATCATAACTTGAACCCAAGACGTCTGCCAACAAGTACAATTGTTTTACAACATAACACAAATAGTCCTAATGAACATCCCAAATTTTGAATTACAGAGCCCTAAAGATCCAAATCCTATGACCCTCTTTTTACAATCCAATATAGACCCTGTTATAAAAATTATCTTTATATTTTGAGTTGATAGCTTACAAATTCAACCCACTGATAATGTTGAATAGTTTGAAAACAACCTCCAATCTACTCTTCTATGTGGTTGAGGCTTGGGAATCCACTCTGGCCCCCCAGTACAACAGTAGATAATTTGACACAATCAAATGAGAGTAAATGGTAGTAAACAAAATAGAAATAGCACTGATGGTAAATGAGGAGGCATATGTTCTTGTCCCTACTCTATGGCCATACTGCTATAGAATCCCGGAGAGTCACCTTTTTTTTTTCTTCTAAGATGGAGTCTTGCTGTGTCGCCCAGGCTGGAGTGCAATGGCGCGATCTCGGCTCACTGCAACCTCCACTTCCCGGGTTTTAAGTGATTCTCCTGCATCAGCCTCTGGAGTAGCTGGGATTACATGCCACCATGACAGGTTAATTTTTTTTTTTTTTTTTTTTTTTTGAGGCAGTCTCACTCTGTCGCCCAGGCTGGACTGCTATGGTGTAATCTCTGCTCACTGCAACCTCTGCCTCCTGGATTCAAGTAATTCTCCTGCCTCAGCTTCTTGAGTAGTTGGGATTACAGGCACCTGCCACCATGCCTGACTAATTTTTGTATTTTTAGTAGAGACGGGGTTTCACCATGTTGGGCAGGCTGGTCTCGATCTCCTGACCTCATGATCCTCCCACCTCGGCCTCCCAAAGTGCTGGGATTACAGGCGTGAGCCACCACGCCCAGCCAAGAGTCACTTTTGCTTTGGACCTTATATATGCCCTGTAAAATCAAGTGATTCTCAACCCTGGTTTCACAAAATCATGTGGGAAATTTCTATAAACTACTGATGTGCAGACCCACTGCAAAACAATGAAATCAGAGTCTCTCAAGTTGAAGCCCTGGCATTTGTGTTTTATAAAACTCCCTCCAGGTAAAGCCAGAATTGATTGCATAGATGATCTCTGAGGTTTTTCTCAAGGCTTTCTAAGGTTCTGTATCCAAAGGAATCAGAGTTAGACCACACAGGCCACAAATCACATGTCAGACTTTTTGAAGCCCATACACTTCAAAAAACCTCCTTAATTAAGCCAACTGCTAAAGGAGAGACACCATCTCGTCTCTCACTCGTCCTGTGGTCACCAGCACCTGCTCTTGAGAAAGCAACTACAAAAATGAGAAAAACAGAAGTTCTATAATAGAATCCACATTTCTAGAAAGCTTACAAATGAGGCTTAGAGCTAAAAAGGACATGGAGAAAAGGCAAAAGAAAGCCATGAAAACAATCACGGTCCAATCATTCCCTGGGCAACTCACTCCATTGCCATGTTGAAAACATAGATGTTAGAAACCAAAGGGTTTTTTGAAGAAAGCAGGAGCTGAGTGGGAACTTGGAGAACAACAATGAAAGCAATGCCACAAAGAGAAGCTGACAAGCTCTGGAAGCAGCAAAACATTTTCATCAGTCCGTGAAAAATTAAGGAAATTTGGGGAAATGAGTTTAGAAAAGGAGATTGTTTACAAACAAATAAAAACAAAGAAAAATAAAAACCCACAGAAGCCTTTTGATGGCAATGTAAAACCAGTTACTTCAGAAACTAAAGACAGAGAAGTTAAATGACATACACAGTAACCAACAGGTTACAATGACACTTTTAAAAAGAAAAGGCTGAGATAATCTATGGTCAATTTCATGATGTTTTGACCTTGAGGGCCTGACTGGCACGGCGTCTGGAGAGTGGCAGAAAGAGACACATTTCAGAAAAACTGAAAGTCAAACACCACCTGCTACTTTCACTAGTTCTTCTAGGCCGTGTGAGATTGGAGTGGCAAAATGAAGCTGGGCTCTCATGCTCACTTAAAATGATGGACAACACCAGTGTGTTTATTAAAGAGAGCTGTTTCTAGTCATTTAAGTGGTGTCCCACAAGCCGTAATCAACCAAGCATTGTGGACAAGACTCTCCTGAAATTATTATGCATAGAACACATGTGGCAAGACCGCTGCCTTCAAGCAGACTATGAGAAGGCTCTTACTGAAAAAGAAAAACAGTGGGTGCAAAACTGGCAGAAAACTTCCCCTCCCTGTTAAATGGCATACGGAAGAAACAAATAAAATAATTTATTCTAAGAAGAGAGACCTTAAAAATGATAAAACTGATAGGAAACCATTACATCTATCCTGTATCACAAAAAATGGCCAGGAATTCTTTATCTCATTACCTTGCTGCATATGTTGGAGATGTGTGTGTCTCTGTGTGCCTGTGACTTTCACAGCTTGAGCTATTATATATTTATTTGTTTATAATCTATCAGGAGAGCAAATACTTTGGTCATTGCTTATTCCTGGTCCTAAAACAGTGCCTGGCACATCATGAGTTCCAAACATTGCCTGAATAAATGAATGAATGAATCAATGTCTTTTTTACTTTTTTTTTTTAAATTATACTTTAAGTTCTGGGATACATGTGCAGAACGTGCAGGTTTGTTACATAGGTATACATATGCCACGGTGGTTTGCTGCATCCGTCAACCTGTCATCTACATTAGGTATTTCTCCTAATGCTATCCCTCCCTAGTCTCCCACTGCCCAACAGGCCCCGGTGTGTGATGTTACCCTCCCTGTGTCCATGTGTTCTCATTCTTCAACTCCCAATTATGAGTGAGAACATACGGTGTTTGGTTTTCTGTTCCTGTGTCAGTTTGCTGAGAATGATGGTTTCCAGCTTCATCCATGTCCCTGCAAAGGACATGAACTCATCCTTTTTTATGGCTGCATAGTATTCCATGGTGCATATGTGCCACATTTTCTTTATCCAGTCTACCATTGATGGGCATTTGGGTTGGTTCCAATTCTTTGCTATTGTGAACAGTGCCACAATAAACATATGTGTGTGCATGTGTCTTTATAGTGGAATGATTTATAATCGTTTGGGTATACATCCAGTAATGGGATTGTTGGGTCAAATGGTATTTCTGGTTGTAGATCCTTGAGGAATGACCAGACTGTCTTCTACAATGGTTGAACTAATTTACACTCCCACCAACAGTGTAAAAGCATTCTTATTTCTCCACATCCTCTCCAGCATCTGTTGTTTCCTGACATTTTAATGATCACCACTTTAACTGGCGTGAGATGGTATCTCATTGTGGTTTTGATTTGCATTGCTCTAATGACCAGTGATAGTGAGGTTTTTTTTCCATATTTTGGTTGGCCACATAAATGTCTTCTTCTGAGAAGTGCCTGTTCATATCCTTTGCCCACTTTTTGATGGAGTTGTTTGTTTTTTTCTTGTACATTTGTTTAAGTTCTTTGTAGATTCTGGATATTAGCCCTTTCTCAGATGGACAGATTGCAAAAATTTTCTCCCATTCTGTAGGCTGCCTGTTCACTCTGATGATAGTTTCTTTTGCTGTGTAGAAGCTCTTTAGTTTAATTAGATCCCATTTGTCAATTTTGGCTTTTGTTGGCATTGCTTTTGGTGTTTTAGTCATGAAGTCTTTGCCCATGCCTATGTCCTAAATGGTATTGCCTAGGTTTTCTTCTAGGGTCATTTTTATTTTCTATAATAAATTCATGCTTATATATTTTCTTTCACAAAATCCTAAGAACAATCTAGTTCAAGTATAACAAATGTATTTTCCTATTTAATATGCAATCAACGAGTCGGGCATAACTTTTTCTTTCAAGTTCAAGATTTAAAGGCATTGCTAAAGGTATAAGACTTTTTGGTTTATACTTATAATTTCTCAAAATTTACTTTTATACATACCTCTTATCCTCTTAACATATACATGCAATGATACAAACCCTTACAGCCCTATATTATTTGTATTATTAGAAAAAGAATACAGCTCCACCATATCAATGCTGTGTAGAACAAAAATACATCATCCTTGTAGTTTAAAGTATTGAAATTATTTAGTTATTCCCTTCCCAAGAAGTGAAAAATATCTGAATTGTAAAGAGAAAATTTCCAGGTTGGAACATTTTAATGAAGAGAGGAAAAACACAGCTTCTGAGCAGGTTTGAGGAAGAGTCAAAGATGTATTTGAAAATTATGCACTATATTTGCAAAGTGAAGCATGTCCACTAAAAGTACATTCTTTATACACATGCTAACAAAATTAAGGGCACACCATCCTTTATTGAATGAGAGCCTGTTAGAAGAGCTAGTGTGTACCATTTCCTTTTGTTCCCTGGAGGAAAGCTAAGGGATGAAAAATACTTTGTTAATGAATAATATTAAGCTGCAAATTCAAAATTTTAAGCCACTGAGATTGATAAATTAAGGTTCTGATGGCAACCCAATTCTTTCCTGTCAGGCACATGGTATAGCTATAACTGGAACACTTGTTTCCATCTTAAGGAATGGGGAGGATTGATACAACACGAGATTCAGCATTGCTAATTAGGAAACATCAGCAAAAGTCGTTTGGAAGCTGCTGGAGTCAAAACCACAAAGAAAAGGACATGAAACTCATCCCACCATTTTCTCCTTAGCCCAGAAAGTGAGATCATAACAGTCCTTCATGTTTGTTAAGTACCTACAACTTACGATACGCTTCTATACAATATGTCATTTGAAGGAGAAATAAATGCAGGCCAATACTTTCCATCTCTATTGGATAAATGGAGAAACTGAGGTTCAATAGCGTAAGATAACCCTGCCAGGCCACAGAGCCTTCACGTGATGAAGGCAGGCCTCAAAACCAAGCCAATACCTTTTCACTCTAGAATATGGCATCAGACTGAAGCTATGCAGCCAAGAACTTGCTTCCGCCCTTTCTTTTCAATTGCATTATTTTCAATGGCAAGCAGGAATTGTCATTTTTGTTGTTGTAGATTGTGGTCAATGAACACTTAATAGAGCCCCAGTCTGAAAACAGTTTCTTCTCTTTTTTGCAAGTATTATGTGTACCTTTGTGTACAGGTGTTGGTAATAAAAGCATAGAAGACAAAGTTCAAGTAATGAAAATCAAGTTCTGAGAGAAAAGATCACAATGATCCCTTCATCAACCTGTCCACATGTCTCTGTCTTGCCTTTGAAAACAGAAAAAAAATTTGTGTGTCTCAGAATGCTTTTTATCATCTCCAAAATGGTTTTACAAATAGACACACAAACTCTTTCAACGTGCTCTTAAACAGAAAGACTCCTGGACTCAATCAGCACTCCTCTGGGTAACTCACGTATCTGCTCTTCTTCTTCTTCACAGAGCCAGCTGACATTCTCAAGACGAAACCCCTCAATCTGACATGTAACTGTAAAATCACTGGGCCCGAGGAGTGACTGTAATTAAGGGCTTACGTTGAAAATGTATAAACAGAGCTTGATTCTTAAGTTTCGAAAATTCTTCACAGTGATGGTGTGAACTAAATCCACAGCCACATAATAATCAAAACAGAAAAGCAAAAGAAAGCCACTTCAGGAAATACCACGGTCACACCTCAGTTGGCTTCATGCTACAGATTATAGAAAATATGTTGCTGCCCGGGCCACCAATCTGTTGGTTCACATTACTACGTGAGCAATGTAAGTGTTTGCAAGAAGCCATCCACTATCTAAATATCAGATATAGATGCTCCAAAGCAGCTACGTCAGTGATGAGAACAGAGAAAATACGTAGCAACATTTCATTAAGTTGAATTCTAATACTTAAAAGGCTCCTTTTAGTACTGACATTCTGGATTTTAAAAGTTATGTTGACCGCATGTTCTCACTCACAAGTGGGAGTTGAACAATGAGAACACACGGACACGGGGAAGGGAACATCACACACCAGGGCCTCTTGGGGTGTGTGGGGCTGGGGGAGGGATAGCGTTAGGAGAAATACCTAACGTAAATGACGAGTTGATGGGTGCAGCAAACCAACATGGCACATGTATACCTATGTAACAAACCTGCACGTTGTGCACATGTACCCTAGAACTTAAAGTATAATAATAAAAATAAATAAATAAAAGTTGTGTTGAATTCACTTATTCATTTTTTCATTCATTCATTCAATAGTTATTGCTAAGCACCTAGTGCCCACCAGCCATTAGGCTAGACCCCTAAGATACAATGATGCCCCTGTAGAGTGTACAGCTGAGTCTGTGAGGAAGTTATATGTTCTTTTACACACATACGCAATTAGAAACTGTAATGAGTATTGCGGCCGGGCGCGGTGGCTCACGCCTGTAATCCCAGCACTTGGGAGGCCGAGGTGGGCGGATCATGAGGTCAGGAGATGGAGACCATCCTGGCTAACACGGTGAAACCCCGTCTCTACTAAAAATACAAAAACAAAATTAGCCGGGCGTGGTGGCGGGCGCCTGTAGTACCAACTACTCAGGAGGCTGAGGTGGGAGAATGGCGTGAACCTGGGAGGCAGAGCTTGCAGTGAGCCGAGATCACACCACTGCACTCCAGCCTGGGCGACAGAGCGAGACTCCATCTCAAAAAAAAAAAAAAAAAAAAAAAAAAAAAGAAAAGAAAAGAAAAAAAGAAACTGTAATGAGTATTGCAATGGAAAACTTTAGGGGGATTTGAGAACATCCCTTCAACTCTGACACTGTACCTTCCAGGGACTAGTAATCAGAAAATAGAGGCAACTGTGAAGAAACTACGAATTGGGGTCTGAAGGCCTCTAAATGATGACAAATGCACATCCACTGCAGTTTTATTTTTATTTAAAACGTAAGCAACACTACAAAAGAATACATAAACATTCAACTTTAACCAATCCCTGCTTGCAAATTATCTTCTAATATATTCTGATAAACACATACGCACGCATACACACAGCATGGTGAAGATTACTGTTGTAGGACTTTGAGAATCTGGAATCAGTCCTTGATCTAGAACACACTAGTTGTTGAGATAAAACTGCCCCATCTTTATAAAATGGAGCTCATCATCTCTGCAGTGTCAACCACAAAGGGTTGATATGTAAGAATTCAATGATAGCATAGTATAAATACATTTTGAAAAGTGAATATTTTTTATAAACAAAAAGAAATCAATCCATATATCTGATGTATACAGGCACGCACACACACACACACACACATATTAAGGGAGAGAGAGTACACTGCATCAATCCATATATCTGATGTATACAGGCGCACACACACACACACACACACATATTAAGGGAGAGAGAGTACACTGGATTTCTCATTATCATACAATTTTCTTTTTAATCCCAGCAATTTTGCAGTTGCTCTGTTGCCTTTCTTTATGCAAAGTTTTCTATGCCAGCAGAAGATGGGAGAAGGAGGTAAAGATATGTAAAGGTCATTCTGCCTGACTCCTCCATTCACAGTCAGAATAAACAAAGGACTGGAATCAAACCCCAAAGGTCAAACTGCACCACTGTGTGATGATACTAATTAAGATAACCTATGGTAAAATTGGTACCAGCAGTAAGTTTCAGGAAAAATCTTGTGACTTTAATGTGACCATGAATTGACATCTAAGGGAAAGAGTAGCATAATTTTTACTTAATGTTTTGTCAGCAAGCATGCAAGAATGTCAGATGTAAATAACCGAAGCAGCATATTTACATCTGGTTTCCTATATTTAAAAAGCTGATGTGAAATCCTAGACTGCATGTCTCTTCTCTATCAATCATGAAGGACTACAAAAAAATCCTAGAAGGAAATGCTACTGCTTTGTAAGATCATTTATTAATGATAACATTCAGTAAGTGCTTACTAAGTGCTAGTCACTACTAAAAAAAAACTTTAAATATAATACTTAACCTTGACAACAACCTAGGAAGTAGAAATGGTTATTATTCTCTTTTTTACGAAAGAGGACACTGAAAATCAGCAAAGTTCACTAACTTTTCTAAGATCACACACAGTTAGCATTTACCAAACATACTAAACAGCTGTCATTCATCTGGCACTGTGCTAGGAGACCAGGAAGGTTGGGGAAGGTGAAAGGTAGAAAGGAAGACATTTCTGATCCAGAGATGTGTCACACACTGGTTTTAACCAAAGAACTTGCAGAGAAGCTAGGACATGAACAAAAATTTTGATAATCCAAGGTACAAAAATTTAAGTACCACGAGAATGCACAGTTAAGTTCCATCTCCATGTTTATGTGTATGAGTGAGGGTGGGGGCATAGATGAGATAAATTCCAGACAAAACAAATTACAGAATTAAGTGGAATAATCCTATCCTGCACAACTTTAGACATGTCGGTTACAGATTGATTCCTTTAGGACAGGCCCACAGCCTATGTATTCTCTGAACTTGTTTTCCCTGTGGTTAACTTGGTAATATAGTGAACAATAACTAGGATAGAAGGTTCCCAAGGGCAGCTACCATGTCTGTACTGCATCCTCAGTGCCTATGATGGTATCTACTACACAGCAGTGCTAAGACATACGGAGTTATATGTTGAACAAGTTAAAATATTCATTACTTAATTAAACATTGAGCAAAATAATGAATACAGAAACATAAAGCCAGGTATAAAAGAAGTATAGACTCCACTGGACTTCATGAACTGTCCCCAGGTTTAACTTTGCAAATCTGAGTGCCAAGGGACTTTTGTTAGACAGCAAGTGGGATTTCTCTTGAGTGAGACTACACTAGTTACCTAACTGGTCAATTATCTCGAGACTACCAAGGAGCAAAACATGAAGGTTTGTTTTACTCTCTGCCAAGGCAGGAAGCACACAGCGAAATACAAAAGCTGTATTTTCTAGAACTCTCTTGAGAGCTGTAAAGTAACTCATTTGCAGAAGTCGCTGATTTTGTACATGGGGACTGGTTGGTGAGATTGAGGAAGCGAATGATGGTTGACTTCCTGGAGTGAGTCACGGCTGTAACCCCCTTTAACATTATTAATAGAACAGAGGGAAAATTTCCAGGAAACACCAATTACCACAACAACCAAAATAGAAAAGGTGGCTGGTGACTTAATCACCAAACTTTAGGGGAGACTACTCCCCTTTCTTTATCAGAAAATGACAATAATAAATCAAACTAATACATTTTGAAACTAGTGTACCTGCATGTTTTAACAATTTGCAGAGTTCTTTAATCCTATACTAAGATTTTGCTCTAGCAGAATGACCATACATACTCTGCACTAACTACAGTTGAGCCAAAGTTTTGAAAACATGATTAGACCTCCAAGAAATAGACATATGCATTCAATGATTCATTTAGCCATTATTCCTTGTTTTAAACTTTAAATCAATAGGTATTTAATGGGAACCTGCTATGTACCAGAATCTTATTCTCTAAGAAACAAAGAATTAAATAAATGAGGTAACAACTATAATAAGTGTCCTATCCTCTGCTCACCATCGTAATTCTCTTCACGTGGTTTTTACGTTATAGTGACATTAAGGCTAAGAGATTAGTTCTGTTCTATAGCCTCAGGAAGTGTAAAAAACCTTAGGTCTGCCTAATAAGTTCAAAAACCTATGAGATTCTAGTCCTGTTCTGCAGGTATGCCATGCCTGCCTCCATAGTTTAATCACCTCATAAATGGGAAGAACAGTGTAGTTACTACACGTGTAAGTAAGCTCTGGGGCCAGGTTGCCTGGGTAGTACTACTTAATATGGGACTCAAAGCAAGTTATTTCACTGGTTGGGGCCTCAGTTTCCTCATCCAGAAAATGGATATTAATAATAGCACTACCTCATAATATTATGAGGATTAAATGAGACTGTGTGTGTGTGTGTGTGTGTGTGTGTGTGTGTGTGTGTGTGTGTGTAATGCATGGAATAGTGTCTGGAACACAACACCTTAAAATGTTTTACTAGTATTCTCATTATAATTACCACAGCTACTCTAAGATTGGGCTTTTTCATTAGTCACAGGAATATAATCAGTTCCTCAGTTACACAGCTATGACTGGTCATACATTCTAACCAACCTGTCTGTTTGGTCAGTTATGATCCATCACCATGCTTAGCCATCCTGACTGCAATGAAACGACATGATCCAGTCCAAAAGGATATTATATCCAGGCAGTCTAGTTGGGCCACAACTGATTTATCTCCATTGCCTATTTAAATTCAGTGAGTGTGGCCAAGAAAAATAGCCTGTCCATCCTGTCCCTACCCACCTTATACAAATAAATATCTTCCAACTTAACCAGTTACAAATGTCCTTTTGGCCCCCAAGTGCTTCGGCAAAGCTATCACACTTACTGCAGAATGGAATTTAATTAAAGGGATACATAGTAAATACCAATTCATAGAAGCTAGTAATAGCATGCTCCCAATTTCTTCAACATGTCTAGCTTCTCAAAAAGCTATACCCATGAAGACCTTCATTATGTTCTCTAACATAAAAACACTTAAAGCAGTGAAATAACACAAACGACCAGTAATATGGCAATAGTTCAATAAATTCTGGGATGCTTACTTCAAGAACTATAATGCCATTGCTAAATATGATGGTGGGGAATTCTTATTCTGTAGTATTAAGTGAAAAAAATGCAAAATTATGTCTATCTTTAGTTACATATTATGAAAACTATAAACATATATTGGCAAAGACTAAAAGAGTACAGAGAAAATGGAGTTGATGTGTTAGAGAGACAGAATTGTAGGTTTGTTTTTTAAACAAATTTGCTTTCTTGTTATAAAGTCATTTGTGTACATATTTAAGTGTGTGGAATATCTTTAAACTTACCTGAAGTCCACAAAGAACAAAAATATCCAAGAAGGATTTATGTGATTGAAACATATTAGCAAACATCAAGTGCATATCAAATTATCCTAATAGCAGGAACTTTTCCTGTTGAAGGATACACAAGGCATTACTTAGCATATCATTCAAATGCACGTACTTTGGAACGGAAGCTCTAGTATCCTCCTAGATCCATTTAGGCCTGAATCCTACAGAAAAAGCACTGTACCTAAGTCTCATTTATCAGCAGCATCAAGTGTTATTTAGGAAAGTTGCTCACATAAAAGATCATCATCTTAATTTCTAATTATTACCATGGTAAGCAGCTGTATAAATGGCTAAATAAGGTATGGTTCTTAATTCCAAGGAATTTACATCTTTAACTCACACTGTGGCTCTAGGCTCCAGGCTGAAAGGTTGGCAGAGTCTTTACTCTTTTCCTCTCTGATCCCCTGGATCATCCCTACTGCACCTCTGAAAACTGTTGCTCTGTGCACCTCATGTCCTACCCCCCATCGAAGTCGCCTGTCTCCATTAAAGCTGGCCGTGCCACCCCACACCCCAACCCCACTCTGCCTGCTCACCATCCCACTACCCATCTTCACCCACAGACAATCTTACCTACACAAACTTTAAAGCCCATCTACTTTTGCCCTTGTAGGCCTTAAAATATATATTCTTTTTCAAAATTCATACTGAAATTCAAGTCTGGGCCTACCACTATACACCTAATTATTTTCTAATTGGTTTTCTATTTTTAAAATCTCACCAAAAGCCCTTTTTGGCCTTTTGCATAGAAATCCCAGGCCTTACATTTTTGCTTTTGTTTTCTCCCAAGGCAATTAACAGTACTGAACAGATATCGGGTCCTAAGTAAATATATGCTTACACAAACATTATTTATACATAGAAAATGTTGAAAATAAACAGGAGTTGTTCACGAAATGCAAACATGTTTCTCAAGTAATATCTGCACTGTCCATTGAGATGATTAGAACACAGAATCTAGGAAATGTTAAATCTGGGAATCAAAGATCTGATTCTGATGTTGACACCCTAAGCACTAGTGGCTCCGTTTCTTTTAGCCTCAGTTTCTTCGTGTAAAATAAAATTTACTAAAACTGATAACGTCAATTATATATCAGCCATAACCTTAAGATGATCCACCTTATCTCCCTTGGGTCAGAAGTCAGGAGCCCTGTTATTCTGGTATTGGTATCACAACACTATAGTCAGTGGTACTAGGTGACATTACCTCTAGATATTTCATTTTAGTAATCTACACAATGGAAGAGTAACTCTTGCCATTTACATATCCACGAGTTCCAAGGATCAAATAAAGTAATGTGTGTGCTATGAATGTAAAACACCATATTATAATGAAAAATTGCATTGGCTCCTGTTATTGTTAATATTAGGTTTGGGACAGAGGAAGAATGGAAGTTCAAATGGTGGGAATGTTGCTTTAGAAGCGATCTATGGCAAGGAAACAGGTCAGGAAATGCAGCTGGAGAAAGCCATATGCCTTTTGTCTCTTTAGGACAGCAGGAAAGCTGTAGAGAAAAGGAAGACTGAGTGAGATGTGCAAGTGCCTCAAGCTTCAAGGAAAGGGACAAAATGGAAGCAACATTACAAACACAACATCCTCAGATTAATTCAGGTTTATGCACTTATTTCCTGTAACTGATGTAATAAACAAACCTTAGTCTGATTCAGAAAGTGACATCACAGAGATTATTTCCAATATCCCCAAAAATGTGGGGTATTTCCATGGTTTATAAATTTCTAAAGGTAAAATCAAACTAAATAAAGCCTGCATTAAGAAAAAAGAAAGAAAAAGAAACATATTCAGATATTATTTATCCTGAAAAGAAAACAGGTATTAATTTATATTTCCTTATTTACTTTCCCCCTCCCCCCAACAGAGAAACAAATTATATAACACCTTGTGTTTATATAAACGTGTGTCTCCAAGTAGGAGGTAGTACTGTACAAATACTATTTAATCAAACCTCACCTTATCACTAAATGTGGGCAATGGATCATTATTAAAAAGTCATGTTAAATTGGAAGAAAAAACAGCTATAAAATAATAGGAATATTTAGTGGTAAAAAGTAAACCCTTGTGAGTTCAATGAGGTCAAAAAACAGAACTCAAAGGAGACAATTAAGACTCCATTCTTTGATTCCCTACAACATTTAATCTACCCGGAACATCCTATTATTATCAATATTTTCCTTCCCTCAAAGTCCACAGCAAAGCCTTCCTCCTTATATACTAGTGTAGCATTCAGACATTCTTCCCAGTAAGATTAAATTATCATTTTTCTGAGTTTTTATATTTTACTTCTACCCTACCTGTAGTGTTTAACAAATTATATATTTTCTTCGAATTATGTTTATATGTGCGCATGGTATACTCCTATACCACACTGAGATGTTTGAAGTTATGTACTAAGCTTCAGTCTTTCATGTATACTTGTTCCTAGCACAGATCTTTAAAGAAAGTAGGAAGTCTATCATTCCTTTTCAAGAACTAAATCTTGGAAACAAAGACATTAGACAGGATGGTTTCTGGAGCCCCATCCAGCTATAAATTCCAAGATGTTACAGCCAGAAGGAATTTATGACATCATCTAATTCGATCCATCATTGACCCCAGGCTCAGAGTGAGAAAAGGATGCCATCAAGCGCAACCAAGTCTCCTGAGTCCAGTCCGGTGCTTCTTGAACACACTGTGGCACTTTTCTAAACTGAAGATAGTCCAGGGGGAATTGCCTCAGGTTTATCCCCTTAAATTCCAAACCAGGACAGACTCTTAGGATACATCTACTTGGCAGATGACAAGAAAATATTTAGCTTAAATAGCTGTTATTCTGAACATCACAGTGCTGGCCAAAGACTCTTCACCAAGACTGAACTTGCTGCCTGGCACCACTCTAGTAAAATCAAAATGTAAGGCAAGTGCTGATCCTAGACTGGTGTTTTCAAATGGAAGAATGTAACTCATTAGGGTCATACAATCAATTCAGCAGGTATCCAAAAGAATTTTTGTAATGAAATTGAATAGAAAACATTAGTATGCATCACATAAAGAGCCTATATATGAAAAAATATATATATCTATATATGAAAATTTCACTTAGCATAATATTACATTGACAATATATATTACATTGACATGTACATATATACGCTCTTGTCAATGTACTATGTGTTTCTTACCACTATTTATGTCAGAAAAAACAAAGTTCGAAAGTCATTACTATAAAGACTGCAGTAAGCTGTAGAACTGACTGCTACACGATTAACAAGCAGAGAATTCAAAAACAGGTCTTAGAACACTAATCACAGCATCTGTAGACTTCGTCTTCCTATTACTTCTCAACAGTAATCCAGATCGCAACTGGAAACCATGAGAAACATGGGACACGATGAAGTTATACTACCATTCACCCTCCCCACTTTCTCTCACGATGTGGACTATCAAGTTCCTGTTTTAGGAGACAGGGTTTCTTTTGTCCTCACCCACTCTTTGCCTCTTTCTCTCTTTCTGAAATAAAAATTTTAAAAAAAGATAACACCAAGAGAAAGGAAAACAAAGAAATAAAAGGTTTCAGTTTTTTGTTTACTTCTTTCTGCTTTTTTCCTTCCTTCTTTTCCTTCTCTCTCTCTCTCCCTCCTGTCTCTCCATACCTTCCTCTTTCTCTCTGGCCTCTCTTCTCCATCATCTCTCTCTCTCCTTCCTATTTTCTCCTCTTTCTCCCTTTCCTCTCTCTCCCTCCTTCTCTCTCTCCTTTCTCCTCTCTCTCTCTCTCTCTCTCTCTCTCTCACTTTCTGTCTCTCTCTCTTTCTCTCTCTCTCATCCCTGAGCTCTTTCAGCAAACTATCAGAATATTTTTTTCTTTCTACTTCTCTGGCTGGATGGCTGGGTTTGAGTAATTTTCTTTTTCCTGGGGTTGGTTGCTAAGAGACACTCTATTACTTCCCTTTCTCTTATGACCCGATTACTGTGATCAGCAAAGACGGCATGCAGACAACATCCTGACATGGTTCATACAAGATTGCTGTGCCTGGTTACAAAATGATTGACTTTCTTAACCCTCTCACAACTGTCAGACCAAAATTTCCTAAGTTATTTTTCACACAGGGACAAAGGATTTCCCCACTTTCCTTTGAAATGGTGGTTGTGATGGATTAACTGTATCCATCACTATAACGTTCAATACTCCAGTTGAAATACATTCAGTGAAAGCTCCACGCCACCTCCTTATTCTTAATATATATTTCTTTTCATTTTAGAGGTAAACAGACTAAAAAAATGTTCTGAGTTAATCTCCAGCCTAGATAGAGATAAGGCTCTAAGAGAACCACTAAATAGCTTCTTGGCAAGAGTCCTCCAGCCCCTGCTCGTTTTTCTGGTGTACATAGCCAAAGCAAAGGTCATCCCTTGTTCATTCCTATCCTGCACAGCTCTTGGCAGAATACCTTAAAGGTCCTAGGCACTTAATGGATGTTTGCTAAATGAATAAATGCATGTGTGTTCGCACTGAGCTCTTCTTCCCATCCCTTGAGGCTCTTGTCCAATCCTCCCATCCACACATTTCAGGAAAAGTAAAAAGAAAAGGTTACAAGCTCCTTTTAAAGGTTCTAATGCCATCAAAACAGACTAGAAATTTAAGCAACAACAACAAAACTAAATGTCAAAAAGTAATAAAGATCCTGGGTCTTTATCTAGCATATCATCCCTGGGTGATATTATCCTCATACAACTTGGAAGAACCAGCAAGACATTCATTTCTTTATTCTATCCTCCTCCCCAACACAAGGATAACCTGGAAGAGCTTTAAAAAAAAAAAAAATTCTTCTTGCCGTAGGTCAAATTCACACATGATCACCTATAGCATACACACAAAGACCTCTCTGAATCCACCCTGATTCATAGCTACATTTTTATCTTAGAACTTCGTGCCTTCAGCTAATACTCTGATTTCTATTAAAAATGAAGTCCTTCTGGGAGGGTTCCATTTTGACATACTTTTATCAAAGATTTAGAGGACGTCTCTCCTTTTGATAGCTATCGCTGTATACACAGATATAGTAGATATCGGTAGCTCAGTACATGCACATTTAACAAATATTTTTGTATAGACTTTGGAAGTGAGCAAATGAAATACAGTAGAAAAATCATGAAGTTTGGATTTAGAGATATTTGTGTTCAAATCTAAGATCCATTCTTTGTAAGTCATGATGCCTTGGGCAACTTACTATCTCTCTGAGCCTTAATTTCATCACTTGAAAAATGGAAATATTAGTACCAAACTTCAAATAATGCTATGAAGATGACATACCAGATACCCGGCATACAGCAGGAACAAATTAAGTGTTAGCTTCCTCTTAACTACATGCACTTAAGAACATGAATGTATATTTTGCTCAGGTGTAGAGAAAAAGATGTGTAAGGATATTAGCTTAGAATGAAAGGACATGGGGTTGTCAGAGGAATATACTGAGGGCGTACAGACTGCGGAGACTATGACCCATGTCACAACCTAACTAAATTCACGATATTCTATGGGAACAATTTTACTCCATGCACTTCAGGAGTAACCAATTTTATGCAATATCTGTAGTTGAATCATACTTTTGTACAATCTTAGAGCAGGAAGGAAGTGAAGAAACAATATTGTTCAATCACATTGTTTTACAATTGTGGAAACTAACCCAGAGTCATTTGTTGATTTACATAGGCCTCAAGAATGCAGGGAGTGTCCTTTCCATTCACCCTTCCCTCCAGTGAACTCTTGTCTTGTACAGTAATTGCCATTTTGATTGACTGCCACCTACTTTTCAGCATGGCTAAGATAAACTCAGCTTGACTCTGGCAGACCTTTTTGATGGACCATCCCTGCATAATTCTGAGATTATATTCACAACAAAATCAAATTTTAAGATAAATGCGAGGTCTTCGCTAAAAATCATGGCTCTTTATACTCTGTCTCGTGCTCCTAGGGTTGGGTTTATTCTTGAAAACAGAATGTTTGAAGAGTGTTTCGGTCTTCCATGGTGCCCAGCTTTCAACTACACGTCTTTCATCCTTCCAATCCCTCGGTGACTCTAGCTTTGCCTTTCTCTACTTCTGAAAAAAATGCCCAACTAAGGCACTGGTCTATGACCAACAAGTTTCCTGGCAGCTGTTCCAGTGAATAAAAATTTCTTGGTAGTTCTCAAAATAGGCACAGTTTCTCAGATGTGTTCTCAACCTTGGGCTGGCTGTTTTCTAGGGTAAAAGGCAGTCATTCCAGATGACAACCATTTCACGCAGGTTAATTTTCATCTGAATCATATTCAATATAGAGAAAACTGTATGAGATAAGCTGCTTAGGAATACTATAAACTTACCATTAGCAAAATATGATACCTCAAAAATCCCTATATTTAAGAAAACTGTGGCTGTAGCACTCTAAAAAGAGTAAAAGTATTTGAGAGCCAAGAAATCCTAAAGAAAAAAAAAGTTAATTATGTAATAATTCAATGAATTAAAGGAAAAATTCTGGAACAAATAACTTCTACATATAAAAAAAAAATCTCAATGTTGAGCTGGGTGGGGAAGACTCAACATCATCAGTGATGGTGTAAAGCATTTTCAACTTTACTGAACTTGGCCTTACTATTGGGCTTTCAGTTATGTCTATGCCTTCTCAGGTTGCAACAAAAAGATTTTCAGAAATTTTCAGAGATAATCTTGCCAGTGCTGCTTCTCCAGATGTCTAAGGATGTTCAGTCATCTGCATCTATTACTCTAACTGCACATTATTTACATTCTAAACAAACACATGGTATAACAAATCACACAGGTAAGTAAAAGAGTGCAATGATTGCTGCCACTTCATCATCTTAATTGTATAGGTTGAGTTTAAAGAGTTTTTTTCACTTTTCCAATTAACTGATATTTCAGTCACGGTACAACCAGATAGTGGTGGTGTGTAACTGTAATGCTCAAATAACAAACACTTGGTATAGACAGAGAGAAGGAAGATAACATGCTATCCTACTTTTAAAAATAATTAAAGAGCTGTAAGATAACTTAAACCCATGTACAATATAAGCCAGGGAAAGTTGTTAAAAAAATCACATAGGAAATTCTGATAATTTTCTTAATAATCTTAGTTTTGCCTTTACTATTACTCATTCTGAACTCTAGTTTTTCCAACTTATTTCCTCAAAATTTAGACTTATTAAGTCTAAAGACCTCTATGCTCCTTTAGGCCTAGTAAGTCTAAATTTTGAGGAAATAATAACTTATTTATTAAGCTATAGATAAACCCTATTTGTCCTAATCAATCTGGTTAATCTAATCACAAGAAAAGCTTTTAACTTATTTTTGATCTTCTCACTCTCAGAGATGCTGTGTTCTTTTCTATTTAAAATAAAGGAAGTAGTTCTTTCAAAAATACACACATTTTTTAATGTCAACCATAATACGGCCACATATAACAGTGCTATAAGGAAGCCTGACATGGTGTAGAAAAATGTGAAGGTGCTTCCTGGCAATTGCACCTTTGTTTAGGAAAAGGAATTCTCTGAGAGAACCTTACCATTCCCTTTCTGCATTCAATAGCAATATTTTCAGTTCTTGGTCCTTACAAATGAGGTCTTTCCGGATGTACTACATTAAATAATTAAGAGACTCTGCAGTGGAACTATTCCGCTTAAAGAAAAGAAGACGAGTCAGAATGAAGGACATATCTCTATTATGAAAGGGAAGACGGGCTCATATAAGCAAGATGAATTGGCTTTGTTTTTTGCAATTTATAAGGGCAGGACTAGGAACAAAGGTAGGTTTCAGGAGCAGCAGGTTTTACCAAAACATGGGGAAATACTTTCAATCTAAAGTAAAATGGATGATGCATAAATAAAACATATGCTCACTTTCACCATATAGTAAGGCCAATGCAAACCTAAGATTGCCTAAGAGGACCCACCTGCATCAGGGACTGTTACCATTAAGCCTCGTGTCCTTCTAGAGAGTTTGAGGTCATTACTTTGGCTTTGTCTTTGTTTTTATTGGGATATAGAACAATGTATCTCATTAAATTTGTGCCTAGGCATTTTAAGGTGCATTTTCTCTGCAAAAGGAACTTACTTCCACTATCATTTCTAAAGTATTGTTACAATTAAGGGCATCAGTTTTGCACATATAAATTGAACTGGGCCCTCTTAATAAAACTCATAATTATTACTTATTCAATAATAATAATGTAATGTTTCTTCTGTAACTTAACCATACGTTACACATTGTCAATATAATGATGAAAGGCTTAGAGTTCCAGCTCTCAGTCTAGTTAACAAGGTAACTCTAGTGCTGTCTCACTATAGAAAGTACTTATTTTATTTCTTTGTCTAATTGTTCCTCATTGTTCCTTTCCCTAGGATTTATAACTCAAAAGTGAAGAACAGAAAGGTCCTATCTGATGAGGATTGAGTCACAATTATAAAGACGTGATCAGGTTGTTCTTGTTTTGTTTTTGTTTTTTTGAAGGGCAGGTAGTTACAATTTTAAGTACTAACTAAACTCCATGGCTAGAAATTATAAATTTATAAGACTAAAAGATAATCTCATGTTATGAAGGCAGAATTTAAATAATAATAAATCTGATCTCTCAAAAAATCAGAACTTCCTTAAGACAGAAAGCGTTCTTTCAGTTTCCTGCACTAGAAATACTCAATATAAGCCTGAAAAACACCTTGACAGTGATTATATGAATTCAAGCATCAGTGAGAGATTGGCCTACCTTAGCAGTTCTAAAAATGGATAGTGTTAAAAAAAAAAAATATATATATATATATAGTGCCCATCCCAGAGCAATTACATTACAATACTTGAGGGTGAGACCCAAGACTGGAAATTTTTTGAAGTTCCCCAGGTGATTATTACCAGTGTTAAGAGGATAGAGAACCACTATAAACATGTAAAGTCCACTGCAATACAATACTGTCTGTATTCCGGAACATTTGTAGATTCCAAGTCCCAAAGTAAAAGAAAAATATGGGACTTAGGATGAAGATGGCCAAATAGGAACAGCTCCAGTCTGCAGCTCCCAGAGAGATCAACTCAGAAGGTGGGTGATTTCTGCATTTCCAACTGAAGTACTCAGCTTATCTCACTGGGACTGGTTAGACAGTGGGTGCAGCCCACAGAGGTTGAGTCTAAGCAGGGTGGAGCATCACCTCACTCTGGAAGCACAAGGGGTCAGGGAATTCCCTCTCCTAGCCAAGAGAAGCCATGAGAGACTGTGCCATGACAAACGGTGCACTCTGGCCCAGATACTACCCTTTTCCCATGGTCTTTGCAACCCACAGACCAGGAGATTCCCTTGGGTGCCTACACCACCAGGGCCCTGGGTTTCAAGCACAAAACCGGGTGACCGTTTGGGCAGACACCGAGCTAGCTGCAGGACTTTGTTTTTTCATACCCCAGTGGCTCCTGGAATGCCAGGGAGACAGAACCGTTCACTCCCCTGGAAAGGGGACTGAAGCCAGGGAGCCAAGTGTTCTAACTCAGTGGACCCCACCCCCACAGAGCCCAGCAAGCTAAGATCCACTGGCTTGAGATTCTCACTGCCAGCACAGCAGTCTGAAGTTGACCTGGGATGCTCCAGCTTGGTGGGGGGAGGGGCGTCCACCATTACTGAGGCTTCAGTAGGTGGTTTTCCCATCACAGTGTAAACAAAGCCCCCAGGAAGTTAGAACAGGACAAAGCCCACCACAGTGCCACAAAGGCACTGTAGACAGACTGCCGCTATAGATTCCTCCTCTCTGGGCAGGGCATCTCTGAAAGAAAGGAGAACTTTCCCAACCCAGGAAGACAGGCCAACATTCAAATTCAGGAAATACAGAGAACACCAAAAAGATACTCCTCGAGAAGAGCAACCCCAAGATACATAATTGTCAGATTCACCAAGGTTGAAATGAAGGAAAAAATGTTAAGGGCAGCCAGAGAGAAAGATTGGGTTACCCCACCAAGGTTGAAATGAAGGAAAAAATGTTAAGGGCAGCCAGAGAAAAAGGTCAGGTTACCTACAAAGGGAACCTCATCAGACTAACAGCAGATCTCTCTGCAGAAACTCTACAAGCCAGAAGAGAATGGGGGCCAATATTCAACATTGATAAAGAAAAGCATTTTCAACCCAGAATTTCATATCCAGCCAAACTAAGCTTCATAAGTGAAGAAGAAATAAAATCCTTTACATATAAGTAAACACTGAGAGGTTTTCTCAACACAAGGCCTGCTTTACAAGAGCTCCTGAAGGAAGCACTAAACATGGAGGAACAACTAGTACAGTACTAGCCACTGCAAAAACATAGCGCATTGTAAAGACCATCGACACCATGAAGAAACTGCATCAACTAACAGGGAAAATAACCAGCTAGCATCATAGACAGGAAAAAATTCACACATAACAATATTAACCTTCAATGTAAACAGGCTAAAGGCCCCAGTTAAAAGACACAGACTGGCAAACTGGATAAAGCGTCAAGACCCATCAGTGTGCTGTATTCAAGAGATCCATCTCACATGCAAAGACACATACAGGCTCAAAATAAATGGATCGAGGAATATTTACCAAGCAAACGGAAAGCAAAAAAAAGCAGGGGTTGCAATCCTAGTCTCTGATAAAACAGACATTAAACCAACAAAGATAAAAAAGACAAAGAAGGCCATTATATAATGGTAAAGGGAGCAACGCAACAAAAAGGGCTAACTACCCTAAATATATATGCACCCAATACAGGAGCACCCAGATCCATAAAGCAAGTTCTTAGAGACCTACAAAGAGACTAAGACTCCTACATAATAATAGTTGGAGACTTTAACACCCCACTGTCAATATTAGACAGATCAACGAGACAGAAGGTTAACAAGGATATCAAGGACTTCAACTCAGCTCTAGACCAAGCAGACCTAATAGACATCTACAGAACTCTCCACCCCAAATCAACAAAATATATATTCTTCTAAGAACCACATCACATTTATTTTAAAATTGACCACATAATTGGAAGTAAAACACTCCTCAGAAAATGCAAAAGAACAGAAATCATAACAAACAGTTTCTCAGTCTACAGTGCAATCAAATTAGAACTCAGGATTCAGAAACTCACTCAAAACCGAACAACTGCATGGAAACTGAACAACCTGCTCCTGAATGACTACTGGGTAAATAACAAAATGAAGGCAGAAATAAATAAGTTCTTTGAAACCAATCAGAATAAAGACACAACATGTCACAATTTCTGGGACACAGCTAAAGCAGTGTTTAGAGGGGAATTTATAGCACTAAATACCCACAAGAGAAAGCGGGAAAGATCTCAAATCGACACCCTAACGTTGCAATTAAAAGAACTAGAGAAGCAAGAGCAAACAAATTCAAAAGCTAGCAGAAGACAAGAAATAACTAAGATAAGAGCAGAACTGGAGGAGATAGAGACATGAGAAAAACCCTTCAAAACAATCGATGAATCCAGGAGCTGGTGTTTTGAAAAGATTAACAAAATAGATAGACCACTAGCCAGGCTAATAAAGAAGAAAAGAGAGAAGAATCAAATAGACACAATAAAAAATGATAAAGGGGATATCACCAATGATCCCACAGAAATACAAACTACCAATAAATAATACCATAAACACCTATATGCAAATAAAGTAGAAAATCTAGAAGAAATGGATAAATTCTGCGACACATAGACTCTCCCAAGACTAAACCAGGAAGAATTCAAATCCCTGAATAGACCAATAACAAGTTCTGAAATTGATGCAGTAATTAATAGCCTACTGACCAAAAAAAGCCCAGGACCAGAAAGATTAACAGCCAAATTCTAAGAGAGGTACAAAGAGGAGCTTGCTACCATTCCTTCTGAAATTATTCCAAACAATAGAAAAAGAGGGACTCCTCCCTAACTCATTTTATGAGGCCAGCATCATCCTGCTACCAAAACCTGGCAGAGACACAACAAAAAAAAGAAAATTTCAGGCCAATATCCCTGATGAACATCATTGTGAAAATCCTCAATAAAAATACTGGAAAACCGAATCCTGCAGCACATCAAAAAGCTTATCCACTATGAAAAAGTCAGCTTCATCCCTGGGATGCAAGGCTGATTCAACATACACAAATCAATAAACATAATGCATCACATAAACAGAACCAATGACAAAAATCACACTATTATCTCAATAGATGCAGAAAAGTCCTTCAACAAAATTCAACACCACCTCATGCTAAAAACTCTCAATAAACTAGGTATTGATGGAACATACCTCAAAATAATAAGAGCTATTTATGACAAACCCACAGCCAATATCATACTAAATGGGCAAAAGCTGAAAGCTTTCCCTTTGAAAACCAGCACAAGACAAGGATGCCCTCTCTCACCACTCCTATTCAACATAGTATTGGAAGTTCTGGTCAGGGCAATCAGGCAACAAAAAGAAATAGAGAATATTCAAATAGGAAGAGGGGAAGTCAAATTGTCTCTGTTTGCAGATGACATGATTGCATATTTAGAAAATCCCAAAATCTCAACCCAAAATCTCCTTAAGCTGATAAGCAACTTCAGCAAAGTCTCAGGATACAAAATCAATGTACAAAAATCACAAGCATTCCTATAAACCAATGATAGAGAGCTGAATCATGAGTGAACTCCCATTCACAATTGCTATAAAGAAAATAAAATACCTAGGAATACGACTTACAAGGGATGTGAATGACCCTTTCATGGAGAACTACAAACCACTACTCAAGGAAATAAGAGAGGACACAAACAAATGGAAAACCATTCCATGCTCATGGATAAGAATCAATATCATGAAAATGGCCATACTGCCCAAAGTAATTTACAGATTCAATGCTATCCCCATCAAGCTAGCATTGACATTCTTCACAGAAGTAGAAAAAACTAGTTTAAATTTCACATGGAACCAAAAAAAAGCCCATATAGACCCAACAATCCTAAGCAAAAAGAACAAAGCTGGAGGCATCATGCTACCTGACTTCAAACTATGCTACAAGGCTACAGTAACCAAAACAGCATGGTACTGGTACCAAAACAGATATATAGACCAATGAAACAGAACAGAGGCCTCAGAAATAACACTGCACATCTACAACCATCTGATCTCTGACAAATCTGACAAAAACAAGCAATGGGGAGAGATTCTCTATTTAATAAATGCTGTTTGGAAAACTGGCCAGCCATGTGCAGAAAACTGAAACTGGACCCCTTCCTTACACCTTATACAAAAATCAACTCAAGATGAATTAAAAACTTAAATGTGAGACTTAAAACCATAAAAACCCTAGAAGAAAACCTAGGCAATACCATTCAGGACATAGGAATGGACAAAGACTTTATGACTAAAACACCAAAAGCAATGGCAACAAAAGCTAAAATTGACAAATGGGATCTAATTAAACTAAAGAGCTTCTGCACAGCAAAAAAAACTATCTATCAGAGTGAACAGGAAACCTACAGAATGGGAAAAAAAAGCGTGCAATCTATCCATCTGACAAAGGGCTAATATCCAGATTCTACAAAGAACTTAAACAAATTTTCAAGAAAAAAACAAACAATGCCATCAAAAAGTATGTGAAGGATATTTATGTGGCCAACAAACTTCTCAAAACAAGAGATTTATGTGGCCAACAAACATATGAAAAAAACCTCATCATCACTGGTCATTAGAACAATGCAAATCAAAACCACAGTGAGATACCATCTCATGCCAGTTAGAATGGTGATCATTAAAAAGTCAGGAAACAACAGATGCTGGAGAGGATGTAGAGAAATAAGAATGCTTTTACACTGTTGGTGGGAGTGTAAATTAGTTCAACCATTGTGGACGAGAGTGTGGCGATTCCTCAAGGATCTAGAACAAGAAATACCATTTGACCCAGCGATCCCATTACTGGGTATACACCCAAAGGATTATAAATCATTCTACTATGAAGACACATGTACACGTATATTTATTGCAGCACTATTCACAATAGCAAAGATTTGGAACCAATCCAAATGCCCAACAATGATAGACTGGATAAAGAAAATGTGGCACAGATACACCATGGAATACTATGCAGCCATAAAAATGAGTTCATGTCCTTTGCAGGGACATGGATGAAGCTGGAAACCATCATTCTCAGCAAACTAACACAGGAACAGAAAACCAAACACCACATGTTCTCACTCATAAGTGGGAGCTGAACAGTGAGAACACATGGACACAGGGAGGGGTACATCACACACTATGTCCTGTCAGGGGGTGGGGGCCTAGGGGAGGGATAGCATTAGGAGAAATACCTAATGTAGATGACGGGTTGATGGGTGCAGCAAACCACCATGGCATGTGTATACCTATGTAACAAACCTGCACGTTCTGCACATGTATCCTAGAAGTTAAAGTACAATTAAAACACACACACACACACACACACACACACACACACACACACACACAAAGAAGACACCAAAAAGAAAAATATGGTAAGGAACATTAGCGTAACCTCTTCTATATTAGCAGGGCCACCAAAGAGAAACGCATATAGGTTAGAACACTGGCTGTAATACAGTAGTTCAAGTTCAAAGATGTGCACACGAGGGAGGAAGACCAGAACTATCCAACTGAATGAAGACAGAGAAAAGGGAGCACATTCATTTGAGATTCCAGAGATCGTTACACTATGTAGCTCTGCATGGGATAACTATATTGCACAAGGCATGCATTTTAGGTTGTTAGGAGTTCCTGTTCTTTTTCTTTTTCTATTCTTTTTGTAAAAACCAGAAAACTCCCTAGTCACAATCTCATCTCTCCCAAAACTGCATTTAGTTTAATGAGGTGTTTGCAAACTTCACTGGGATTTTGGGAAGACTGGCAGGAAAGACAGCCTAGAAAAATTATTATATCAAAGAAAAAGCTGTGTCTTTGGGTATTGAACACAGTTCTAGCAAAGACATAAAAGCAAAAGGCAGGCATTTAATGTAAGCTCAAAGGCCCCCACTGAATGCTTATGATTTCCATGTACCATAATCTGCTAACACTAGAAAACAGACTATTTATAGTATTTGAGGTTGTTTTTGAAAACCGTGCTGTCGAACCTTGATTTTCTGTTACTTAGCGATTACTGATGATTACTGACCAAAATATTCTACAACAAAAGGGAACATTGGTAATAATGTTGGCACAACCTGGGAAGGGAAAGATCCACCTCTACTCTTCAGAGACCTAGAGGAAGAGAAAGGTAAATGGGGAAGAGAAAGGTACGTGCATTGGTCAAGGCCAGAGCAAAAGCTGGTACTAGCCCCATGAGAAAAATGCAGAAGTTCTGATTCTCAGCATATACTGTGAACCACCAGCTGTTCTCACTTCCCCTGCCAACAGTGTTGACTTTGGCCAGTGAGGGAAGAACTAGTTTCACAAACAATTATCACAATAAGAAATACGGGTGGGGTACTTAGGAGCCATAACCTTGGTGGACCACTTTTTGACTGTAAGATCACGGCCAGGCTTTAAAAATAAATTTATTTGTTCCTTCAGCATTTTACCGGACATGTTTATAATAAAATCAAGTTGGCAATTATTGGTTGTATCGATGTGGTTGAATCTTTTGTTAAGGAATACAAGAAGCTTAAGCAGATGGAGACAGGCAAAACTGACCAAAATAATTAACTTTCACAATATAAAAGCTGCCATAAGAGCCACCACAAATGAAACAGCAGAAAAACAAAAGGGGATTTCTGCAGTTATTAATTGCTATATTACCATTACTATCATTATATAACCCAGTAGCTTATGGGGAGCACTAAATGGGGTATTTTCTGAAGAGACTTTGGCCAACTAGGTTAGGCAATGGCCTCCTTGAATCAAAACCTATTGCTCCTTAAGGCTTGCTTTCTGCCTTGATTAAACACAGTGGCAGGCTCCAGTTGAAGGGATGATTCTTCTTTTTTGAAGGGAGGTAGAATAGAGTAATTGCCAGATGTTTGCAATTTTAGCTATAAAAAGATGGCTGCTTTCCATTCCTGTGTATGTTGGATCTTTTTTCTTTCTACCCAAGCTATTGTGGTTCACTAAAATAGGCCACTGCACTGATGAATCATCATTCAAGACTGCAGTAATAGAAGCAGAACAAATATGACATTTTAAATTCACGTAAAAGAAAAATAAATAAAAATACATGGTTAATAGTTACATGCTAAGGAACAGAAAGCATGTTGCAGTCTAAAGAACACAATTTGGTTCAAACAAGTTATGCCTGAATCTACTCTGGACTACTTTTTACCTGTATGGTCTGGGGCAAGCCACCTCACCACCAAGCTTCCCTCTCTTCAACAGTAAAATGGGGGGTGAGGGGGTACCATCTAATTCAGCAGAAAGAACCCATGCCCTATTCATTTCTATGCCCTGCCTTACACATGCACAGCTCAGGCAACATGTGCAAATATTTGTTGTGTGAATAAATTAAATATATACATATATAAAATGTGTTTAAAAACCATGTATCATGATATAATTGTGTACACGTTACACTTTCTACTGTAGTTACTACCACCACCACATACTCAGTTTTTGCTACAAACACAGCCTAGTAATGTTGGTAAGAGCAGAAATAAAAACCTGTTTTGTTTATTCAAGCAGCAACAATATAACTGGCTTGAGAGACTGGTGACCCCTAGACAGAGATGTTACTTTTCTTAATGGGTAAGTTAAGAATCTCTTCGAGGGTCTGATGGTGTTGTGAATGCTTTCCCTAAAAAAGACATACACGCAGACTAAGTTTAAATACAATTTCAGGAGACTGGCTTAATCCAAAATATGAATCTCAAAAACGAATGGAACCCAAAATAAAATCCCTAATTAAATTAATTTTTCTGAGATTGTGTAGTTAATAATCCCTAAAATCTCTCTGTAGCAACTGACATTTTGGAAAATTAATTTCTTTAATTAATAAAAATCAATAGTTTCTTTCTGAAATGTTCATTTACATTTTAACTGTACTTATAGTTCAATAGTAAAAACACTACTTTTCAAAGAGATAATATAAACATGAATCATTTTTTGCCACATTGACAAAGTTCAAGTAAAGTAATTCTACTTCTAACAAAGGTGTAATGCAAATTCAAAAAAGGAATCATAATTCTAGCAAGGACAAACATACACCAAGCCAATTCTAAAATCTCTATTAGCAAATACAAAAAGAAACAAGGATACAACTAAGATTATTTTTTAAATGGTCAGCATGAGCTATATGGGATTTTATAATTAAAATTTTATAATCAGAATTTTTTAAAAAAAACTATGGATAGAACCCTCAGAGCTAATGTTCATATTTTCATTTCAATAATAATAGCAAGAACAATGATTGCAGCTTCCACTGATTTTGTCATTATTTTGTCATGACTTAACTTTGAAAACAACTCTTTAAGATACAAATATCTCTATTTCATTTATTCATATATTTATTTATTATTTTTATTTATTCATTTATTTGAGATGGAGTCTTACTCTGACGCCTAGGCTGGAATGGAATGCAGTGGCTTACAGCAACCTCCACCTTCTGTGTTCAAGTGATTCGCCTGCCTCAGTCTCCCAAGTAGCTGGGATTACAGGTGTGTGCCACCACGCCCGGCTAATTTTTGTATTTTTAGTAAAGTCGGGGTTTTGCCATGTTGGCCAGACTGGTCTTGAACTCCTGATCTCAGGTGATCCACCCTTGGCCTCCCAAAGTGCTGGGATTACAGGCGTGAGCCACCACGCCTAGTGCATAACTATCTCTATTTTAAAACTGAAAGAACTTAGGTTGCCACTTATCCTGGTGAGTCCAAGTTTCCAGAGAATTAAGAGGTAAAATCAAAACTCGAAACCCAGATCTATCTGATGCCAGAGTCTACAAGCTTAACCACTGCCTCCCTGAGTCTTTCTTCTCTGTAACCTTCCAATACTACCTTGGCTCCAAGCAAACTCTTTCTTCTGATAGAGTTAGCCATGGAGTCACTTCACAAATAGAAGCTGTACAGTAAAGCTTTATATTGTTAGTTAACTGGGCATTTTCATATGTTGAATTTCTAATGAAAATATAAACTGTTTAAGGGCTAAGACGTGTTTTTACTTTTTCCTGTCCACTACAGAGCCTGGTTAAGTAACAATGGCACAAGATGGAAGTGAATAGGACCCAGTAAAAGAACGGAATTTAATGCAGATGTCAAGATATAAAACAGTGAAATCTTATCTACCAGGAATCACATTGGGTGGCATTCATGACACTTTACTCTCACCTCAAGTGGTGATATTTCTGGGAGACCTCATAGAACTTGGAGATTTCTTTCCCAGGAGGTAATTTTTACAGAGGATGCCCTTACTAAAACCCAAGTCATTACAACATTAACAGATCAATAATAAAAATAATGACGAATTAAAATGCCATTTCTATAGAACGGTAAAAAATAAAATAAAATGTCATTTTAATTCCATTGTAATGTCAATAAAACTACCCCTGATATCTGAAAAGTTTAAGCAAGATGACACAATTCAACTGAACTAAGGAAAATTCCAAATGGTTATTCCAAAGGTCTTGTCAAATAATGTCGCCTTGAGACACTATTTGAGAAACTTGGTAATAACTTCTTGAGACTACTTTGGCTGTTTTATATTTGTATACATCATAGACATCCATGCACAGGAGATTGATTTTAAGCAATTTTCACACATTATTTGGATGACCTTAACCTTCAAATCGCTCTGGATAGTAATAATTCGGGAAAATAATGATGGAAAAATTATTTCATTTAATACAAGTAATAATGGCATTAACATGAGATACAGTGTACTGCTGAGGAACAGCTACAGACTTGGATTTAGGAGACAAGGGTTCAATTCCCAGCTTTGCAATATGCTAGTTATTTCACTTTACATACATTATACTTGGCAGATTGAGGGTGATAATAACTTTTTTACAGAGTAGCTAGAAAGATAAAGTAAGCAGTAAAGCAAAGTGGACTTCAGATGAAATGGAAGCTAATAAATCCACTACAATATTTTTCAAATAGTTAAGATACTGTTCTGCCAGATAAGTTGTTTTAGTAATTGTAATAATTCATTATTACCAAATAGTGTTTATCGTACATTACCAATACTTAAGGGAAGATACTAAAATTTGGTCAAATGTGACTTCTACATTTATTAGCCTAACCTTGGGTCTCTGAATCACAGATTTTTCATTTGTCTTTAGGAACCATAATAATGTAGGAACTATAATAACGTTGCAGGATATTCTGGTGATTAAACTAGATATTATGTGAGAAAGTGCTCTAAAATTTATTCACATTTGTGCACACTCATACAAACACATTTTAAAATTACAAGTTGTAATGAACATTTCACAATAAAATCCTTCTTTCATTGCTTCCTGTTTTCTCAGGATTACCCCAACGTGTGAACAAGTAAGAGAGCAAAACAAAACAAAAAATGATTAAGTTAGCTTACAACTCCATTCTTAAGCGTGTGTGTTTGACTAGGTAAAAAAAGCTGCCTGAAATTATTTCAGGAGATTTAAAGAGAATTGCCTTTTGCTTTTTCTTTCTTGCCTTAGCATTTGTATGCACAGGCACATTTCATTCTAAAATATAACAGACAAGTGCAGAGAGATAGCAATAGTACTTCTGGCCAGTACCTCCAGGAAAGTACTTCTTGCCTGTGGTATAAGATCATATTTCTTGGTCCTTCCTCTCTGAAGCTACCTAACTTCCTGGAGCTATTTCTAGAGGTAAGTTTCAGAGCACGCTAGAACATTTAGGTCTACCCATAGTGAAGTCACTCTGTTCACATTGCAAAGCTATTCCCAGGAGCCCAGATGCATTGCCTGAGGACATCAGCAAAGAGCTGCCAAAATTACAAGGGTCAGGATGGGGGCCATTCTCTGCTTTTGCACATGCTGTTCCCTTTACTTGGCATGCCATGCTGTCCACCACCCTTTTCTGCTTGGTAAACAACTAACTCATTCTCCAACACTCAGATCAGATGTGTCCTCGTCTGTGATGCTTTCCCCAGTTCCTCCTAGAGGACATCCTTCATATTATATTACGGCACTAAATTTACATAATGCAATTTTTATGCACATGTGGTGCCTGTTATATGTCTATCTTGACTAGTAGACTTATCTATTCTGTTTGAAGACAGCGACATACAGAACAATGTAAAGAACATATAATAAGGGAGAGTGCTGGAAGAGCAAACTGCTAGAAGACTCAGGATGCCACATCCCAATGACCTATACTCCTCTGCCCCAGGTGCTGTCCTCAGCCATCAGGTCTCTCTGAATGCAGTAATTTTAAGAAAGGATGATAAAAATATCATACTGATTTTTTTTAAGTTCTTTAGGTTAATCGTTATTCTAGGGTATGATTTCTTTATATGGTATATTTGCCCAAAGGCTCAGGTGTCAGATTTATTTTTATAATGTCCATAATGAATCCATTTTTAGATAATTTACATAGGCCTACTGTGACCCAAAATTGGCTGAGATTTCAGGCATTGCTACCCAAAGCAACACAATAGCAAGAGCTCTGTAATGCAGAAGCTTGTCCATGGCTAGGGCATTCTCGAAGAATCCATTTTTTTGTTGTTGTTTGAAATTTTCTGGTTTTGGATCCCAAATAAAATGACCCAGGACAACATATGCAAACGATTGGTGTCTATAATGAAAGCACTGAGGGAAAAGAATAGCAACATGAAAGATGCTCTAGGTCTCTGAATCTGTACAATGTTCACAAGATAAAGACTCTCAAGACTTCAAAAGCTACCATCATTAACTACGGGAGGAAGAGTACACTCTCAGGACTTGGAGAAGGTTCAAAGGAGATTAAGGCACTGGTCCCTGAAGTTAATGAAATAAATGAGTGGTTCCCAAACGTTGGTTGAGCATCAATCACAATTCCCGGGAAGTTCTGTTTTATTTTTTATTTTGCTTTGTTTTAATGCAGATTCCTGGGCCCCATGGCCAGATATTTTGATTCTGTAAAATTGTGATGGGACCTAGGACTTGCTTTAATTTTTTTCTTTTGAAAAATGTTCTCCAAGTCTTTCTGATGACTGGCCAGCTTTGAAAACCACAGGTTTAAGCCATACATTTTGGCAGGGATACATATAGCAGTGATCTTTCAAAGTATCATGCAAGCAATTCAGATGGCATGTAAGATAGCACTTTGAGTAAGAGAAGAATACATTAAGATATCTATATGCATTCCTTTATTTTACTATTATTAATTTTTTTTTAAATATGGACTCATAGAAAGTTGCAAAAATAGTACAGAGTTTCCATGTACATTTTACCCAGGTTCCCTAAATGGTAATGCTCATAAAGCTGTAATACATTCGAAAACCCAGCAAACTGACATTGTTACCTTATTGTTAACTAGGAGTTACTCAGTTTTTACCATTTTATAACCTGCATTGATTTGTGTGTGCATACAGTTCTATGTAACTTTATCCCATGTATAGATTCATGTAATCATCACTCCAATTGAGGTACAGATCTGTTCCACCCATACAAAGACTCTTGCTGCGTCCTCTTTGTAGGAATGACCAGTACTTGCCCCCCCCCGACCCACCCATTTCTGTCCCCTAGCAATCATGAATATGTCCTTTATCTCTAGAGCTTTGTCTTAAAATGAAATCATATAATACATGTAACCTTTCGAGACAGTTTTTTCATTAAGCATGTCCAGGTTATTGCATATACCAACAATACTTCATTCTTTTTTACTGCTGAATGGTATTATTCCATTGTATGGCTGTACCAGACTTCACTGAAACATCTGCCCATCAAAGGATATTTGGGTTGTTTCCAGTGTTTTGTCATTATGATAAAAAAAAAAAAGTTGCTATGAACATCCATGTACAGGTTTTTTCGTGAACATAACATTTTGATTCTCTGGATTAAATGCCAAAGGGTATATTTGCTGAGTCATATGGTTAGTACATGTTTACTTTTGTAAAATACCGCCAAAGAGTTTTCCATCGTGGCTACAAAATTTTGCACATGCCTACCAGCATTGTGAGAGATCATTTCTCCACATCCTTAGCAGCATCTGGTACAAATTTTTATTTTAGCTTTTCTAATACATGTGTGGTGATATCTCTTTGTGGCTCTCTGTTTATTTTTATTATCAAAAAAGCAATTAAATTCTCTTCAGATGTAAAATACGGAGGGACAATAGTATTGTATATTTGTATAATTCAAAAATAAAGATGATTAATATGTATCTCACCACACAAATCAGCATTAATTATTGTTTTTGAACCATACAAGAATTAGGAGGCACCCATCACCTTATTAAGGAACTCATTTCAGTAGTTAATTAAGCTGACAAGTTACAAAATAAAAGAGATTTCTGTCAACAATACAGGGACTTCTCCTTGTTCTAAAACATCCAATCCACTTTGTTCGGGTATATTAGTTCAATCACTGTAACTTCTAAACAAGTCCCCCAAAACGTGTCTATGGCAACCAGAGAAGGAATCCCCAGGATCATGGCTTGGCTTCCCCACTTACTAATCTGCAATACTGAACAAGCCACCTGCCTCTCTGAGTCTCTGAAATGAAGATTAAATTGTTGCCTGCATTCAAGAATTTTCATTGGTTATTTACAGCACTCCTGGGCAAAGAACCTGTACTTCGCTGAAATGTATTAGTGAATACATTCTCAACTATTCTCATCTAGGAAAGAAAGGGGTTGTATTAGATAACTTTTAAGATTCACCCTGGTTCTAGAATTTTACAGTTTATATAGTGTTGAGGCATTGTGATCTCTATCACTGTTGTTAGAAGCTAATGACATGAGTACTTATGGATAACATGCTAAATTATTATTATACTTATATTATCACATATTCATTACTACAGACTAAGTATCGCATATACAAAACATCTGGGACATGAAGTGTTTCAAATTTCAGATTTTTTGGATTTTTGGAATATTTACACATACCAGCTAAGCAACCCTAATCCACAATACTGAAATCCAAAATGTTCCTGTGAGCATTTCCTTTGAGCATTGTGTTAGCACTCAGAAAGTTTCAGATTTTTTCACATTTAAGATTTCAGATTTTTGGATTAGAGTTACTTAACCTATATTAAAGTATTTTTTATAATTTTGAATAGTTATTGGTAATTATATGTAAAGTTATAAAATGCATTTATTAAATAAATTTTATTTCACAAATGTTATCACTATTATTATTAATAATGTTATTTTTATTATAGCAAGAAAATACATCCCAAGAGGGCAGGAACTAGTCTCTGTTTCACTCAGTGCCATTACTTCAGCCCCTAGAAGAGTATCTGGCACAAAATCTGTTTTAAGTAAATGACTGCTGAATAAGTATATAATAGTAACTCCTTAGAGTTATAAGGTATTTTATGGTTTAAAAACATTTTCACATTTATCATCATATTTGGCTTTCAAAACAATCTTGTGAGGCAGTTGGTATTACCAGCTAATATTTTATGAATTAAAGAGGATATGGATTAGAAAAGCATCATGCCCAAGGCCAAGTGATGAAACTGAAGCTTGAATGTAACTGCACTGACCATCAAGCCAGGGCTGCATCTTGGCACTTTTGAGCATCAATAAGGCCTAAGAATATTTGGTAAGATCTGATGTCACTCCAAGAATTACAAGTTAATTTCTCTGCTGAAAGATGCAGTGTAAAGATCAAATTAATACAATTAATATTTGATCCTTTAATGAATACACAGCTTGTTCTTTTGTCCCCCTGAGGACCTGAAAATTAAAACTCATGCACTGCACTGTGCAGTGATGGATGAGGCTCGAGATGCTTACGCTCATCCAGAAAAGGGGCATGACAGGCAAACCCGAGCTTCATTACAGTTCCTGATGTTTCCGTGAATTTGTGGCTATCCTCATGGCATAACACGCATACTTATACCAAACGTCCAAGATGTTACAACTGCAGTCTCTAATTGCAATTAACAGGACTGTCAGGATTACAAAAAGATGTTTCCCATTTGTAACCTCCAAAAAAGATGTTTCCCATTTGTATCTCCAAAGTCAGAGCAAGATTCTCTTTGCATGGGGAAAAGGACAATAAGACTCCAGAGACAGAAAAGCACACCATGAGGACCATACGTTCGCAGCAAAAATAATGGGGAAAATCCAGTCTAAATTATTCCTTTAAATATAATGCCATAAGTGGACATCCATTTCCCTCACATGTTAGTTATCTGCTAAGAAAACAAATGTGTCCTGCCTACCCAGGATACATGGCTTCACATCACTAATGGCTAATTCTCCACCAAGCATCAATAATCCAGGACTCATCAGTTCCTAGGAACCAAGCTCCAAACTTGCCTGGTTCCCATAAACCACAGTGGTACAGCTGAATGAGTGCATTTAGGAAACCTGGGTTCTGGATCAATTCAGCCCCAAACTCATGGGTAGATTAGCAATCATCTATAACTGTTTCCCCTCCATGGAATAATACATTCGTAACCTCACAGTAGCAGAAAGCACAGAAAGATGTCATAAAAAAATAATCCAGGCTTAGGATCCCTATTTAATATAATTCACCTCACCTATCTTGATCTATCTTGACAAGTCTATGTGAACCAATATTCACAAAGCTGGTTTGTAAAAAGGGTCACCATTTTGAAATTAATTTCAAAGAAGAATCATGAAATAATAAAATAATGAAGTTAAAGGAGACATCAGACTGTGTAGCCAACGCTTTAATAAACGAAAGCATTTAAAATTCGTAAGAGCCCTAGGTGTGAGGGTCTCCCTCTACTCTTTTACTAGCTACATGATTCCTTATTAAGCTCTTCCACTTCTACTACTTACAAATCATCAAAATGACAATAACATCTGTTCTACCTACCTCAGAGAGTGACAGTAAGAATTTTCTACTGAAATGAAAAGACAATGAACATGCAACTGCTAAATAAACTATAAAAGAGTATACCAATATAAAAGGATTCCACCAAAATGATCACGTTGAATTGGTACCTAATGCAGACCCAAAGTCTGAATGGCCACAAACCGTTCCCAATATTTGTCTTTAATTTATATACTAAAGGAAAATGTCTCCTCTTGTATACTCAGAAAAGGTAAAGGTTATTATATTTAGAGAGAGAGAGGGAGAAAGAAAAAGAGTGAGAACTGGCATGTCATGCCAATTTGTTTTTTCAAAAATCTAACATAAAAATGTTTTTTAAAAAGAATTTCAGAAATTAAAGAAAGTGAATTCTAGGCCACAAGACAACTCCAGCTTCACAAACGTGAACTTTACAAATCTTTCCAAATGATTATCTATTTTAATGATGGATAAAAAGTATTATCAAATTTCATTCAGCCAAATTAGAGAGAGAGAGAGAGAGAGAGAGACAGAGAAAGAGAGAGAGAGAGTTATTAAGTTGGTGCAAAAGTAATCGTGGTTTTTGCCATTAAAGGCAACCTAACACTAATCCCCAGAGTGTATTAGTAAGATAATTTCAAAAACCATCTTTAAAAAATTATATTAGTACAGTAGGAAAGTTCATTTGCTTTGCTATTTACCAAAAACAGAAAAAGAACTATACTGTTCTGCCATCAAAGTCTAAGACTGAGTTTAATTGCTGTTGTTGTTTTATTTTTGGGGGTGGGGTGGTTGTTGTTTGTTGTATCTTTTTATTTTTTGATTTGGAGCAGAGTGAAAACCCAGATTATAGGACAAACAACACTAAAGGCTAGTATTTTGAAGACCAGAAGAAAAATTGCATTATCTTATCTTGTTGTCATCAGTTACACAGAATAGAAAGTGATGGAACAACATCATAAATATATACCAAAATAATTTCACAAAAAATGAAATAGTTAACACTATAAAATCTTTAAGAATTGTGCTGCTATAAACATGTGTGCACAGGTGTCTTTTTCATGTAATGATTTCTTTTCCTTTGGGTAGATACCCAGTAGTGGGATTGCTGTATCAAATGGTATGTCTACTTTCGTTCTTTAGTGAATCTCCATATTGTTTTTCATAGCAGTTGTACTAGTTTACATTCCCACCAACAGTGTAAAAGTGTCCCCTTTTCACCATATCTATGCCAACATTTATTATTTTTTTAATTATGACTATTCTTGCAGGAGTAAGGTGGTATCTCAATGTGGTTTTAATTTGCATTTCCCGGACAGTGAGTTGAGCATTTTTTCATATGATTATTGTCTGTATATCTTCTAAATACCCATCAGCCAACAAATGGATAAAAAATTGTGGTATATATACACTATGGGATACTACTCAGCCATAAAAAGGAATGAAATAATGGCATTTGCAGCAACTTGGATAGAGTTGGAGACCATTATTCTAAACGTAACTCAGGAATGGAAAATCAAATATTGTATGTTCTCACTTATAAGTGGGAGCTAAGCTATGAGGATGCAAAGGCATAAGAATGATATAATGGACTTTGGGGACTCAGGGTGAAGGATGGGAAGGATGTGAGGGATAAAAGACTACAGTGTACACTGCTCGGGCAATGGGCACACCGAAATCTCAGAAATCACCACTACAGAACTTCTCCATGTAAGCAAAAACCACCTGTTCCCCAAAAGCTATTGAACTAAAAAAAATCTCTAAGAAGACTAAATTTAATTAAAAAATAAGTATGAGTTCGTAAGCACAAAGCATTGAACACAGAGAAAGCATTTGGAAATGTAGGGGTATTCTAAGTTAGCTATGAAAACACAACTTGTTACAAAATCAGTGAAAAGAAATGAGAACAATGGAAGTAAAATAAAAGGACCCTGAGATCTAAAGAGCTACTAACTGGGAAAAAAAGCATGCCCCACTTTTCAGTGTGCCAAAGCCCTTTAGAAAATGGTTATTATCAGAATATCTTATAAAAGAAATTATAAATATGGGTACCCCAGAAAGATAAGTTGATGTGGAAAACATGTGGGTATTTTTCTACTTTCACAGTCAGAATTAAAACATGGGAAAGCAAACTCCAGAGATTACAGACGTAACACCAAGGTGAGAAATGTAAGTTCAAAGAATGGGCATAGGAAGGAAAAGTAATGCAAAGACGTGGGTTGAAACTGCAGAACCACAGTGTCTAATAAGTAGCTGAGAACCTAGAACCTGTGTCTGGAGAAGTAGGTTTATATTACTGTGCTTTATCAATTAATTCAGTTCTGCAAACACTATTGAGTTCCTAGTATGTGTCAGGTATCCTGCTAGGTGCTGTTGAGGGAAAAGGCATGAGTCAGGCAGCCCCTGACTCTCAAAGTTCAGACTCCGCTAGAGAAGACAGGTGCATATACAAGCAAATCTATTAAAAAACACATTGTCATAAGAATTGTAGGCAATGCATGAGGGTATGGGGTAGTAAAGAACAGTTTGCCATTAGAATATAGTACAAGGTTTGGGTAACTCTAGAGTTAGAGGGAAAAGACTTGAGTGCCAACTCGGCTCAGAGCAGGCTGTGCTTCTCTGAACAAATAACTTACACTCTCTAGACTGCAGTTTTCACATTTACGTCAGAACAAGATGGATTGCGTGATTTCTATTAGTTCTAACTTTCTGCATTTGTGGTTGAGCTTCGTGGAGGTCAACTTTTAAGCAATGAATTAAAAGACTGTAGAAGCAGGAAACTGGGGGACAAGTACACTCTAAAAGCCAAAAACAGCATGAGCTGAGGCAATACAGAGCATAAGCTGGTATCACCAATGCATCCTGGAAATAAAACCTGTGCTACCTACTATCTTGGGAATTTCACTGAGAGTATAGAACATTCTAAATGAAAAAAAGAAACGAAAAGGAATGGTTATAAATTGTTTAAATGTGTAAACAAACACAATAGATGTAAGTTACAAAAATGTTCAGAGTAACAGAATGCACTGATAACATTTAAATTAAATATAAAGAAAAGCAAATCTACTTCCAACAAATACATGGATACATCTTTGTTTCATACAGCAGATGCAGAAATGTAGCTTCTATTTTAAAAAGTCTGAATGTCCATAAACTGTTCCCAAGATTTGTCTTTAACTTATATATTAAAGGAAAATTTCTTCTCTTGCATATTCAGAAAAGGTAAAGGTTATTATATTTAGAGAGAGGGGGAGAGAGAAAAAGAGTGAGAATTGGCAGAAATGCAAGAGAGAGCCAAAATTTCAGAAAACAAAAGACTGAGTTATACCATATTCCAAACTGCTTTGGAGAAGCATCACTGAGCAGTGCACTCACCCAGCCAGCCATCCGCCAGCCATCCAAATATATATGCATACATAAGAACACACAGACATACATTTGACCATATGCAACCATTCCTACTAAAAACACAGTAGCATAATATGAGCTATGAGGAACATAAGGACGAGTGAGAAACCATGTCTTGTTGCTTCAATGAGGAAGCAAAGCTTATATATATTCTTATAAGGGATGCAGGGATGTATCACTGTAATATGGGGTTTGCTGCCACATGTGCTGTGAATAGAAGGACAGGCAGTACCGCATGCTGGATATGGACAGCAGCCTTAGTTCAGAAACATACTCCAAGCAAATCATAGAGAATGTCACCTCCTTTAAGCTTCCATTTCTTTATAAGAAAAAAAAAAAAACATTTTGTAGGGTTACATAAGAAGGCAATAAAATAATAAAGAGAAAGCATAGAGCCTGGCATATACTACATGTTCAATATGGGACAGAATGTAAGCAGGAGCAATAACAAAAGTGGTAGAAATTTGGATAAGTCAAAGAATAAGATGTGGAAACTCGGGAAAGGGAGCGATTAATTCTGACCTAGGCTGCACCTAGCCATTTTGGAGAAAGTGATACAAATAGAATTTTCAGGTAACAAAAACGTGTGGGGTGGCATGTTGAGAGGGGACCAAGGACTGTGCTGCAGGGCACGCAAACAAATCACTTCAGTGTTCCTAGAGAGTAAGACAGTGGGTGAACCACACATAGTACAAGGAGGGCATGTCAAATTCACAGTAAAGGAGTCTAAAGCGAGGCCATTATATGCTTCTCTTCTACCTATCTCATATATGCCATTTATGAGCCCACTTAATATAGGACCTGCCCTCACCATAACGCTCAGGCCTATAAGAACTCTCATACCTACAAAGACTTCCTCACACCTTTGCCTTCTGCTCTATAACTGGCCATGTCTGTATTCTGTTCAGATTAGAGAGAGGTCCACTGAAGCTTTCCCCAAAAGTTAGGAGACAAAATAACAATGCCCCTAGTAAGCTGACAAAGGGAAACATTGAAAACATAAATGAGGGCCAGGTGCGGTGGCTCACGCCTGTAATCCCAGCCCTTTGGGAAGCCGAGGCTGGCAGATCACCTGAGGTCAGGAGTTCAAGACCAGCCTGACCAATGTGGAGAAACGCCATCTCTACTAAAAATACAAAATTAGTCAAGCATGGTAGTGCATGCCTGTAATCCAGCTATACGGGAGGCTGAGGCTGAGAATCACTTGAACCCGGGAAGCGGAGGTTGCAGTGAGCCGAAATAATGCCATTGCACTCCAGCCTGGGCAACAAGAGTGAAACTCCATCTCAAAAAAAAAAAAAAAAAAACAAACAAACAAAAAAAAAAACCATAAATGAGGAAGCCAACATATGGCTCCTCCTGTCCCTATGAAGAGAGATTCTCTTCCAGATCCCATTCCCAAGCCCTGAAGTCACTAAAGAAGGATGAGTCAAAGAAAGCCAGTTCCACTAAGTGCTTGATTAACTGCAAAGATGCAGTCTCTTTCTAAGGCAATAAAACATCATGGAGTGCTACAGAGATTAGTACAGCACCAAAGGCTTCGTTTATTGTTTTTCAAGAGCAGCTTTCTGAGGGTCTCGTTCTTGTACTTTCTGAGGAAAAGGATATCCAAAGATCCACAGCTGCAGCTTAGCCATGCATGCTGAAGCCTGATCCTCTCTACCACCCAACCTAGGTGTTCACCTTACACAAGCTAGACATCTGAACTAGGCTTCTGGCATCAGACCCAAAATACTAACAGACTAGTAAAGTGTTTCCTGGGCGCAGGAGAGGACAGGAAAGAAAAGAGGAGGACTGGACTATATCACAGAGTGTGAAACACTTGCGTGCAATATTGACAAAACAAACATTAATGTCATCCAAGAAGCAACTGGAAACATCATGAAGAGGGTAAGATATTAATAATTTTTTTAATGGTGGGACAGGGACAGAAAACAAAGGGAGTTAAATCTCCTTTCACTGCCTCTTCTCTCTCAGCTCCTAGAAGTCTAATATTCTTCAGTTTTTTTTTTTTTTATTTTAAGTTATTTTTTCTTGAGTTTGAATAAGCTGCTAACATTCACTGGTAAAAATATGGAACCTTTTCAACCAAAGAGTATGGTACCATTTATACTGCCTCTGAGGCTTCGTGTGTGAGTGTATACATACACATGAGAGCTGGAGCTCACGTAGACCTTCAAACTCTACTTGATGTAAACTGAATGCATTGTTATTAAAACCCCTGGAACTAGGCTTCACTCATATTTGTCTGGGAGATTCAACAAATGCAGATCTCACAGAACACTCTAGACAACTTATCCTTCAGCAGCCTAAGGGAAGAAAAACAGCCAGAGGAGGTAAACAATTCCATGCACTTTATTAGGTTCACTTTGTATAAGTTTCTGATTGGACTACTGCTTGGCAGCATTTGTGGACATTTGTCCAACGGCAAGAGGGAGGGATGACTGTCTGGTAGCTAAAACCCTACAAGAGAATGAGCTGGAGGTGGAAGATAACGCAGTAGAAAGGCATTGAGCTGTGACTAAAGAGGCCAGGTTTCTAGTTTGAGCTCTAACCCTATTTCATTATGTAACCATAGCCATATAACCCATAAAAAGTCTTTTTCCTAAAAGACGGGGTTGGTCTAGACTATTTCCGGGGGCTCCTTTACTTTTAGTAGCCTATGACACCCACGCTGTGAATTCACAAACTACGTTTTTCTGACACAACTTTGTACTACAAATCACCTATATAACTGAATTTTCCTACTCCAAGTAACCAACTCTGAAATCCCAGCACTTACCCTCACCTCCAGGTTGTTTGTATGGGTTGTACTTAGGTTTTGGAGCAACTACCGGGGCAAACTTTTTGGGTGGCTGTTGTGTAGACACTGAAATGCTGGGGTTCCCAAAGGAATGGGTGGTCTCCATCCGTGCAGGCACATGGCCGAGGGGCTCACCAGTGCTTTTGGGTGGCAGCCAAGATGGGTGAGACATTGTTGGAATCTGCAATGAAAAAGAAACACTGTTTTTATGGAAGCATGAAAACGAAGACAATACTCCTCATTTCATTGCTATTTCACCTTAATCCATACTAAATGCATCCTGATAAAGTTCTCTGGAAAGAAGGGTGAAAGAAAATGGAAGAAAGAAAAATGAAGAGGCAGAGGAATCATGAATAGAAAGAGGAGGAGGAAAAGGAGGAAGGAGAGGAAAAGGAGAAAGAAAGAAAGAAAGAGAAAGAGGAGGAGCAGGAAGAGAACACTGCCTCAAACTTGAATATCTCCCTTCCAATAGTTACCTATTTTAGTGCCTAGCCACTCTTGGGAAATAGATATGAATAAGAAATGGTTCCTAACTTGAAGGAGATTTTATGGTAGGAGGATGGAAAAGAGCTTGAATTTTATTAATAATCTATTAAATTAATTATCTCACCAATTAAATGGTTATGCCTAAATGAAGTGCTAAGTTACCTAAGTGAGGTTAAGAACAAGTGTTGCTGAGATGCAGAAAAAGATAGGCTCACTTCTTGGTGGGGGCAGAATTAACAAGATTTTATTGATGAGGTGATATACAGACTGGGTTTGAGTGCTAAGTAGGGTTGAACCTGAAAAATGTTGGCAAAATTATACAGGCAGAAAAGTACACAGCATTTACGTTTAGTGTGCTTGGAGGGCGAATAACAGAAAGTAGCAAGCAAAAGAACTAAAAGGTGGGTTGAAACCAAAGCACAGACAGCTCAGCAGCCACAGTTGAGTTTAAATTTATTCTTCAGGCATTAAGGAACCACTGAAAGTTTATTTTGGAAACAGGGTTTTAACAGATACCTGGCAGGACACTTTTAAATGATCCATCTGCAGGAGCAGCTCTGGTCCCCACCAAGGGGTATGTGGAAAAGGGGAAGAGGGGCATATTGGTTGCCCCAACGTCTGGGACAATTATTAGAATTTAGGACCGGAGGATAGAATATTCAACACATGTAATGCAAAGGTCAGCCCCGCACAACAAAGAAATGCCCATCAACTTGTATGTTGAGCTGATACCATGTTGGACCTTCATGAAAAGCTTGCTTAAACTAGGAGGGGAACAATCAGCCCAGCCCAGATGCTGCTCTGATCAGATTGCATATAATATTTGAAGAGAGGAAATGTCTCCTCTGTCAGGGTAAGCCAATCACCTCTCCAGTCAGCCTGCCTGCTGGGGATGAGACTCAGAGGCTGCTGCCGAGGAGGGCTCTCCAAGCCTGATTGCAAGAGCTCTCCAGCACAGGGACGCCCGGAAGGCACCCTGTAAGCGCCCCCAGCCCAAAAGCCACCTACTAATTTATTAATTGAACTGAATTAATTAAGAGGGCTACACAATTACCTCCAGATGTCTGTAAAGACAAAGAGCATCAGAACACAGAAATCAAAGGCCTCAGTACATGGCATAGTAATAGAGAGACAGGGTGGAGGGGAGAGCTGGGAAACAGTGTTGCCTGGATATTCACATCAGTCCACACCACCAACAAGTGGCATGACTTTGAACGGCATCGCCTCTAGAGCCTCAGATAGTTTCACTGTCTCAGAGGACTCAGCCAAGCACAATGGCTCACGCCTCTAATCCGAGCACTTTGGAGGCCAAGGCAGAAGGATCACTTGAGGCCAGGAGTTTGAGACCAGCCTGGGCAATAGAATGAGACTCGGTCTCTACAAAAAATTAAAAAATTAGCAGGATATAATGGCGCACACCTGTTGTTCCAGCTACTCAAGAGGCTGAGGTTGGAGGATCACTTGAGCCTGGGAGATTGAGGCTGCGGTAAGCTGTGATTGCACCACTGTACTCCAGCTTGGGCAACAGAGGGAGACCTTCTCTCAAAAAACAAACAAACATATAAACCTCTGTCTTCCTTAACTCTCAGAATTTTTATGGCAACCAATGAGATGATATTAAAGTACTTTTTATAGTATAGAGTGCTATGCAAAGTGAGAAAAAAAGAAGCCTCTATTCTTGTAGAAAGTCAATGGCAATTTTATGACCATCTTGCTTGGAAGAACAGCTTGATGTATAGTTTTCTTAAAAGACGAGGATAACATGAATCAATGACAAAGACTCTAAACTGGTAATCAGGACACATGCTATTGAAGCCAGTGATGGTACTGGCTTTTCACTCTGGTTACAGGGCCTTTCTTTTCTTTTTCTTTCCCCCGTACCTTTTACATATTCATATATACACACACATACATACATGTATATATATACACACACACAAAGACACATACATACTTGCTAAACTTGAGTTCCTTAAAAGGGTAGGGACCATATTTTACACATTTATAAACTACCATTAAGGCCTAGCACAAAACCAATATAGAAAAACTACCAATGAATGTCTGTTTTACTCGTGGTTTTTAAATTTAGCTGTTCATTTGGAATAACTTCAGATGATTTTTTTTTTCTAAATACCAAAACCAAACCCATCTCACATGGCTGAGAAATGCCAATTTTGGTTTTGCTTTTGCTTTTAATTGAGGCTTGGTCTTCTACTAAATTGGGATAAAAGTGACTGGTTTGCTTTCAGTATGACTAAAGTGAATATAAGTGTGAAATAAAAGGGATCAAGTAAAGGTTTAAAACTTTTAATGCATTATGCACATTGGTAGTATAAATGTTAATTATAATTTTTAAAATGGCTTAATACTATCCTTGGAAGGTCTCTATAAATCTAAAGTCATTTTATAATAAAAGGTTGAAAAATTGGTTAATATAGGATGCAGTATTTTCTTAAGCAAAGATTCACATTTTTCATAGTAATCCCAAGTTACTGACTGACTGTATCATCTTGGCTTTTCGGATATAGCACAGATATAAAGAAACAGGCAATTTCTGGGAGAGTATAAATAAAATGTAAGTATCAATATGCAAATCATTGGCTCCACAGTCATTTCAGTTATCCCCAGCATCATAAATTACCCGCATGCTGCCCTCCATGAAGAAGCACCTCCAGCTGCTCCTCCTGAGAGGCCCATCTTCTGACCAATCATTTGTTTGCAGATGTCCTCCTCAGTATCTTCTCTTACCATTCTTCTGCATGTCAGCAGTGACCCAGTGACCCCATTCCCAGGATTTATAATAAGTTTTCATGATTCTGAACCCTTGCTCATGCTGTGTTCACCATCAACAATGCCGTTTCCCTCTCTTCACGTTCTACCAAGCCCTATATTTTTATATTGTCTCAGCTCAAATGTCTCTAACTCTGTGAACATTTCCCTAACTTCTCCAAGGAAGAGTAGCCTAATTCCTTTTTCTAGGCTCTTTAGTACTTTCGGCATACTTATAACAATCCACAAGAAAGCCATTTATTTACCTGCCTACATGTCCCAACAAGTTGGAAACTCCAACTAGTCTCACTATACCGGCACAATGCCTAGGCAGGAAGCCCCTTAAACAAGTATGTTACATAGAAATGGGAGAATGAATGAACGTTACTCTTTCTTAGTTACTCATATCTTTCTAGAATTGCTATAGCATTCACTGATACAATCATCTCTTTTATCTTCCCTTAATTTGGTGATGTAATGAAGCATGCTGATAGATTTCCAGATATTGAACTATCTTGGCATTTGTGGAATAAAATCCTATCTAGTTACAGCTGCAGTGCCCTCTTTAGCAACCACTGATACATTCAACTCTTTTTCCCTCCCTTAATTTGATGATGTAATGAAATATGTTGATAAAGTCTACATATTGAACCATCTTTGCATGCCTAGAATAAATCCTTTGTTACACTTGTGTTTTGATATATTAATGAATTAACTAGGCTATTTTATCTATAATTTGTGTACATATAATCATAATAAAGATCATTTTATAGCATTTTTTTCTGCTTGTTTTACTTATCATGATTAGGTTTTGATAGGGGAGTTTTCTCCAACCTCCTCTACTGTCTAGGATATTTAATAACTACACTGGAATTATCTGGTTTTTTAAAGGTTATCCAAATTCAGCATAAAGTCATCTAAATACATCTTCTTTTAACAGACATTAATCATATTGCCAGTAACTTCTATGATAATAGTAGTAGTTTTCTATTTATTCTGAGGTCATTTTGCAGTACTTTTCTGATAGAAATTCACATTTTTTTCCTAGGTTTGATCTCTGCTCCCTCTGAAACAAGCTACTTCTTGTCTAAAAATGACTTCCAACATACTATGCATCAATTTAGATCATAAGCATTACTTTCTACTAGTCCTTGAAGGCAAATCTTGCACTATATTCTACAGTTCAAGTTATACATCCTTATAGTACAATCCCACAGCATCTACATACTGTTGTCACATATTCGTCACATGGTGCTCTGCCCATCTGCTTTCCTGTTCCCCAAACTAAACTCGCAAATCCTTGAGAGTGGAAATATTTATCATTTTATAATTCCAGGGGCTACCACATGATAGGTACTCAATAAAAATGTCTGTTAATTTAATGAATGAATGAATTTATTTGCCTGGCACTGGAGCTATAGATGAATCAGATTCTTATTCTTTACTCAAAGAGCTCAAAGACTATTTGAGGAAGAAATATTTATAAATGTGAAAAGAGAAAGAGAGCAACACAGAAAGCACATGAAAAATCTTGGGGGATGTCAGAAAAGCTAGCATAAGCTTGGCAGAGGTAGCCCTTAACCAGGACTTTGAATGCTGAGTAAATAAAAGAAAACTGGAGTAACCAGGGCAAAGATTAGAAATAATACTGTGAGCTTGGGTATGAAGCAAGGCATTTCTGTAGGACAGGGATCAGACCAGCGGCACCAAAATGAGGGATTCAGGGAGAACAGTTAGGGGAAAGTTTTAAAAGATAACATGAGTTCTGCCTTTTAAAGGTTTTATATAAAGATAAGAAGCTAGAGCTTTTATCCTTGAATAGGAAGATAACAAGAGTGAAAACTCCAGGTATTAAAAATTGAATCATGTAGGATGGATCCAAGGAAAGTGATAAATCCAATAGTATAGACATAGAGTCCCTGTGGCCCCAGTTCTAGTCTCAGCTATACAAGTGTGACCTTTAACAAGAGATGACACTCATTTGCAAAATGAATACCTGTAAAGTCCCAATCAGCTCTAATATTTTAGAGTGCTTTCTTTCTCTAAAATCTTCATTACAGCCCTTCATTTTGATAAATGGGTTTGATGAAACTTCACAAGTTTAATGAACAGATGAACTAGCACATATCATTGGGGCTCTTGGCTTCTAAGAGAGACCCATGTAAACACAAAAATAAGCAGTGGTGAGAACTGGTGTTGCTGGACCAAGATTTACACTGCTCTTACTTCCCCTCATTCTAGCTAGGTTTCACTCGAAGTTCATAATCATCATGAAAGCAAGAAGTGAAAGGGAAGATTTCCAGAGAGGCTCTGAGAATACACAACCACCATCAGCAGACAGGAAAGCAAGAGCAGTGGCCCTCCTCTAAGCAAGATGCCTACTGCTGAAGGGAGCTGGGGAGCTGCTGCTTCCTCAGCATTGCTCTTTCAGAAATTGTCACATGCAAGCAATTAAGAAGAACCTAAGAGGTTTCACTTATCAACTCCTCTGCTGCTCTTCTGTCTGTTCCCCCAGCGGTCCTAAGAAGACTAGAGACTGACAATAAACAAGTGTTTATTGAAGGTTTATTATATGTCTAGCAAATTTTCAATGGCCACACAGTCATCCTGACTGCCATATGAGGTAGCACTATCATTACCCACATCTAGCAAATCAAGAAAGTAAGACTGTAAGAGGTTGAATAACTTGCTCAAGGATATACAGCTAACAAATAGCAAAGCTGAAGCTGGGACACAGATCTTTAACTCCAAATCTCCGGTCTTCACTCTGTACTACCTCCCTATTTGGAGAAGAAAGGAAAACACCACAATTCAAAGGAAATCAGCACTTAACAGTAGTTTTTGCTCTTATTATTTCCATTCCAGCTCTTGAATTCTACTTGCCATAATGTTTTCTCTATTCTGTACCCTCAAATCTAATCATAATAAGCCACAGGACCACAAAGTGATGAAGCCAATAGTCAACAGAAAAAAAAAATCAAGGCACAACAGAAAGCAAATAACTACAAAAGGCTATGTGATGACCAGGACCCGCCCCACGTAGGTGGGAAAACTTAGTGCCATAGGCAAACTGACAATTAATACTAACAAAGCTACTAAGCCTCTCTCAGGATACCATGTGAATGTCAAGTCACTGTCACCCACAAAAACAGAAAGAAGTAGTGTTTGGTCATATTTTCCTTTTTTTCGTCCAAATCAATATGCTACTCTTCTAAAAAGATTTATATAGATCACCAAAACTGAAAAACAAACAACCGTTACATCATATTATCCAACATCCAGTGCAATAAACTTAGAGTAGTGTTTATCAAAACAGTCTGCACACTAACCTCATATGGGGATCTTTATGTATATACTCTGATTCAAGGGTTGAGAATAATTGACTTAGAGCATTTCTATTAATCTTTAAATGACATTGTATTAGTCCCTATATCTTCCTGGCAACTAACTCAAGGCCTAGCTCTTGGTCAGTGTGCACTGAATAAATGAATGATATTAGAAAAGGGACGTAGATTAACACCACAGAACTGAGGGACTATTTGACTTAAACATCAGAAGTAGCTGATGGCAGACTAACGTTTAGCATTCATGTCCCTTAGCAACATTTTCTTCATTTAAACAAGCTGTTACAATTTAAATAACACTCTCCTATAACTTTGAAGGTTTTTTTTTTTTAAACATTCTCTTTATACAAAAGTCAGTACCTTCCTGGAATTTCAAAACTGCTTTCCTAATCATCCACTAAAGTGGTATAATGTGGTTTCCCCTCTGGGCTATACGGCTCTCCATTATTGTTCACATCTCAGTATTTAGTGGAAAGATGCCTGATCTTCAGAATTCAGACCCAGCTTCTAGTCTTGGCTCCGCCATGAGCCCACTGTGTAACTTCCGTTATCTCTGAAATCTTGTGTCCTTCTCGAAAAATGTAGTGATGGAATTAGATGGTACAAATGACAACTCTGCTCACAAGCTTTTATGAGTCTATGAAAGATCTTGACTTTACAAGTAGCCAACGCCAAGTAAAGCAGATTCGATATCACCCGTGATTCTCCTCATTGTTTTGATATCATCTGTAATTCTCCTCTTTGCTCATCAGTGAGGAAGCACAGTCCTCTTTTTCTCTTTTTCTGTCACCCGTTTCCCTGACTCTTCTATCCTCCCCCTTGAAGGAAGGATTCTTGGGTTGATCTCAGAGATTAACAAGGTATCAATCAAGATGTATCATGCACAAGTAAATAAGTATTTAGGCAAACCTTTTCCAAACGGGGTAAGTCCCTACCAGCGTAATTGCGAAGCAGATATGCTGTGGCATGTGGTGGAGGCGTGGGAAGACAGCATTGAAGAATAAGGCAGGCTGAAAATTACACACAATTGTTAGTTGAACAGCAAATGTATTCACTCTTCCTCTGAAGCATCAGGTCACATAGAGCCGGAAGGGCAAAGCAGGATCTACCATGGGCTGAAAATGTCAATGTATTCACTCAACTTCTTCTTACAGACAGCTTTGGCCCAGCACTGGCTAAGTGCCCCACTCTCTGCATGGACAGCTGGCATTGCTCAGAAGAGGTAACGAGAGAACAACGCTACAGAAATGCCAAACCTTTATATAGGCTATCTGAGAGACATTTGGAAAAACTGGAAAAGGCACTAGACTTAGATGCAGAGGACTTGGGCGTACTTTCTATCTAGCTCAGTCACTAATTGGGTCTATGACTTTCGTTCTTAACCTCTTTGAACCTCAGTGACCCTTCCTATCTGTACACTAAAGATTAGATATCCACTACCATTCCCTCTAACTCTCATGTTTCCATGATTCTCCCACAAGTCCACAAGTTCAAGGAGCTAAGGTTTCTTACAAAACTATGTTTTAACTCCTATGAGACCAGGGAGTGTAGATGAGGGAAGGTAGGGTTGGAATCAGCACATTAAATGCCCATCTGCCTTGCACAGAGTACCAGAAAAAATAAATTAACACTAATGGTGCACTCCTTGTTCTTGGCAATGCTGCAGGTGACAAGAAAAACTCAGCGGCATTTCAGGATCCAAATAAACTACGAAGCAGCAAGGGAGAGAAGCATCAGGTCTAGACCAGTAAACATTGTCTCAGATAAAGAAGTGAGACACGGCCGGGCCCAGTGGCTCAGACCTGTAATCCCAGCACTTTGGGAGGCCGAGGAAGGCAGATCGTTTGAGGTCAGGAGTTCAAGATCAGCATGGCCAACATGTTGAAACCCCTTCTCAACTACAAATACAAAAATTAGCCGAGCACAGAGGTGCACACCTGTAGTCCCAGCTACTTGGGAGGCTAAGGCAGGAGAATCACTTGAACCCAGGAGGCAGAGGTTGCAGTGAGCCGAGATCGCGCCACTGCACTCCAGCCTGGGAGACAGGGTGAAACTCCATCTCAAAAAAAAAAAAGAAAAAGAAGTGAGACACAACAGTGACATGCCTCCACGCTGCACTTTCACTTCAGATTCAGAACGGCACTCGAAAAGGAAACAATCAACCCTGACAGGGAAACAACAGCACTGAAAGATCAGGACTCTCAGGAGAGAAGGTTAAGGACGGAACAAATACTGACTAAGTGGCCTTTAGTTTGCCACAGTTTCTATCAGTCAAGGAAAAAAAGACATGGTTGACAATAGCCAGGACAGACTACTTAAGAGCTAAAAGGTCATAGAGAACCCCAGCTAGGAGAAATCTTAGGAAATAATTTACGTCTTCTAATTTGAGTATTCAAATACCGAGATTTAGAGAAGCTAAAGAAACTTATCCAATGTAATAGAGCAGCTAGAACATATCAGAGGCTGGGTTTAAACCCAAATATTCTGTCTCCAAAGAGCATCTGCAGTGGGAAAGTTTGATTACACAAGCTTATAACTCTATTGCTAGATTATAACTAGATGGGGTAGGTAAAAGGCAATGGAATAGGGCACAGAAGTAAACAATTTCTCTGCCAAGAAAGTTCGCAACCATGGCACTGAAAATTAGCACAGAAGATAAATGGCCCCAACCTTGCATTCCAGGTCACATTTGATAACAATTGTTCCACGTGGCAAAGTAACCAAGAAAATGTGAATTCTCTCTGGACCTCAGTTTCTGCAGATTTAAAATAATAAGCAACTAATGATGACCTTCAAAATCTCCTCCCACAACTTCTTATGATCCACAATGTTATGGCTAGTCTGTGGAGTGTGCAGTGCTGGCAAAAAAACGGGCTCCTTAGCAGGTTTCTTCTAAGTCCTTGATTCTTATAGACTGCTTTTCTGTTCAAGGCCAAGAGAAAACAGGCAACAATAGCCTGCACCTCTTTGAGTTCAGTAAATCTGCTTCTAAAGGTGGAAATCTGGATTTGTAAAGGTGAGACGCTAAGTGCCTAATTCATAAAGATTTTGCCCCTCACCCAGGAAAAAGTGACGATAGGAAAAATCACCAATATGATCTCTAATGAGACCTAGCAATCTCTTTAACGGTTATCTAGCATCTTCTATTTCTAAACCTACCAATAACTGTGTAAGTCTGCAAGTTAACTGCAGCTCACTTAGCTGTGTTTCCCTGACAGCTTGTTCAAACTTGTATTAAAACATGTAAACACTCCATTTTAGATATCCATTTACAAGTGTGTCATGACCATTAGTCAGGCCATGAGATTTTGCTACCACTTTAGGATGTTCTAATTATCTTAATTTTTTAATGATTCTGTTTGTATTTTTCTGTTTTTGAATATTTATTTTGATATCTCAATAAAATAAGGAAGATTTTAAAAGCAATTTTAGTTATAACTTGAAAAAGTAGAAATTCTTAATTTTTCCTTCAATGAATATGAGTCTACTATTGATGAACGTTAAGACATATTTACATCTGATAACACTGCTTGTGACTGTGAACCAATGTTGATTCAGGCCACATAATCTGCTAAGAGTAATCATAGCAACAAGATGGGGAGTTAGAGATTATACTTCAGCCTTTTGAACATCATATTGTTCACAAAACTGTCAACTGTGTTGTTTGTATCCTACATCAGAACTACTATAAATTAGCTTAGAGCTTTTGAATTGAGTTTGGACATTATAATTTATTTATTTGTTTATTTTTATTATTATTATTATCATTATTATTATTTAGAGACAAGGTCTCACTCTGTTGCCCAAGCTGTAGTGCAGTGGTACCATCATGGCTCACTGAAGCCTGCAACTCCTAGACTCAAGTATTTCTCCCACCTCAGCCTCTCCAAAGTAGTCGGGACTATAGGTGTGCCACAATGTCTGGCAAATTTTTTAATTTTTTTTGTAAAGACAGGGTCTCACTAGTCTCGAACTCCTGGGCTCAAGCGGTGCTCTCACCCTGGCCTCCCAAACTGCTGAGATTAAAGTCATCACACCTGGCCTGTAATTTAAATTACTATTATTGAATTAATATTTTATTGTTATTGTAAATTAAAGTTTCCAGTTTAATCTCCGATTCTCTAATTACATATCATCTTAAATATCTATTAAGAAAAAGCTCAGCTGGGAGCAGTGGCTCACACATATAATCCTAGCACTTTGGGAGGAGACCCTGGATTGCTTGAGGCCTGGAGTTCGAGATCAGCCTGCGCAACACAACAAGATGTGTCTCTGGAAAAAAAAAATAATAATAATTTCTAAAAAACATTAGCTGGGAATGGTGGCTCGCCTCTCTAATCCCAGCTACTCGGGAGGCTGAGGTGGAAGGATCACTTGAGACCAGGGGTTCAAGGTTACAGTGAGCCACGATCATGCCACTGCACTCCAGCCTGGGCAATAGAATGAGACCCTGTCTCTAAATAAGTTTTTAAAAATCAACTTTATTCTAAAGCAAAATATAAGTATATTGCTAAATTTAAAATTTTTAATCCACAAATAATAGAAAAATAAAGTGGTACCAGAGATATAAATTATCAACCTTCAAGGACCATGAGATACAGTTTTAGAAAACAAAGAAATCCAACTTCATGCATTATATACTCTGAAATATAATTTTTATTTAACTCTAATTCCAAGAGCCTAGAGAAATTATTTCTCAGTATTTGAAATGGTATGAAAAACAGGCAAGCTTCTCACTAGTTTTTGTAAGAGAGGCTAGTTTTGCAATTTCACATTTAATAGCAAAACGATTGGAAGCATTTTCAACTGGGGACCTTTTTCTTAAGTCATGTTGGAAGTTGTTCCACTTTTATTTCAAGATTTTGAAACAGAGACAAAATCTGGTTAAGCATTAACCAATGGCAACACAGTAAAAATGAACCAGGCTGTTTCAAATCAGTTTCAGAATCACATCTATGGACATTATCCCTTTTAAGTTTCCCTTGATGAGAGAACTGTTGTAGTAGCTTCTGTATTTTTATCAATTATTGACCACTGTGTAAAAATATAAAATAAAATACATGAAAAATATACTCAGCTAATGTTCTGGGGAAATAAAACACAAATACATACACACACACACACACACACACACACACACACTTTAGATATTTTTAAAGAAGTAGCAAAGGACCCAACATTCACCAATACAGAAGTTTAACATCCTTGAAGTGTGAAATTGTTAATGAAGACATTTTATCTAATGTGGAGCTCAAGATGAAGCTTACCCACCATCTGTGAGTTCATTTGTACATGTCCAATGACAAGGAACTCATTACCTTACAAGACAGCCCCTTCCATGGCAGAAAAGTTATGACTGCTAGAAAGTTTTCTGCAGCTGAAGCCTGTATTCCCATAAGTACCACCTATTGGTCCTACCTGTGCCCTCTAGAATCACAAAACCTCTAATACATAGCAGACCTTTATATATTTCAGGTAATTTATTTGTTTCCCACTCAGTTTACATCTTTATGTGTTTCAGCTTTAATCAGTCTAGTTCTTCCCCTCTTTAAAAAGTAGCCTTACGACTTTATAACCAAATATTAAAGATAAATTTTTAAGTCTCAAACCAGTAGCTTTCAAACTTTTCCTTAGCAAAATAAATGGTTTCTTCATGCCAAATCATAAACAAAACCCCAAGTATAAATAGAAAAATTAATAAAACCATTACAGGGGCATTTAAATCATCACACTTTGGCAAAACATACTTTAATTTGGGGGAAGCATAAAATGCATTATTGCCCTAGTATCTCCAGTATGCTATAAGCCAGACTGGAAACCCACTGGTCTAAAATATTACAATACTGTGAGTGAAGAAAAAAACAAAATTGGTATCTACTTTATCTATATATTCCTAGGACCTAATACACAGTATATCCCATCATCAGATCTCAGCAAGTGATTGTTATATAAAAGAGAAGGTAAACTTAAACCCATGAAAATACTAAGACTTAAGCTCTGGTTTCGAATCGTTTTAATTCACATTTCAAACACTGTTCTTGAAGGCTCTGTATAATTAGGATGACCATACATCTCCAATTTATACCTGCTGTTCTGGTGTAATTATTAACAGTGCCCCTTTGCAAAAGTGTCCCAGTTTTGACGATAACTCATATAATCACCTACTGAAAACACTGTGTTAATGAGGTTTTGGTCGTTTAGTCCAAGTGAATCCTGAATACAGTCAAGTCCTCTCCCAGAAGTTCCATATGGCTAAAGCCCTCCCATACTTTTGGTTCATTACTGGCGTGGATAAGAGGCCACAGCAATTAGCAACGGGAAGTAGAGGAGGCTTTGGGGGCTTCCCTGCTTTAGGAGCATGTGCTCTTAAGAAGGAAAGAAGGTACTAAAATGAATCTTCGGGAGAAAAGCAAGATATAGCAGAAACCTAGCAGAAACTATTATCAACTAACCTATTCACTCAGCCTCTTTCTCCTGAAGCAAAAATGTCACTTTTTCTTAAAATAAAAATAAAAATAAATCAAGAGTGTTTACTTCAATTATATCTTTAACACCTGACCCCACACATACGAGATTATCAGTGATTTTATAATATATACTTGGTTACAAGTACTAGAAGGACAATATGTTGCCTGATTCTTAATTTGGAGCAGGAAAAAAAAAAATGTGTCTAAAATACATCCAAATGCACTCACTAGGGTACAATGTAAAGGTGGAAGGGATTACTAACAACTATTTCACATTTCTAAATTGGGGTTACACAGAGTTGAGGGAAAAGTCAGAAGAATTCAGTGAAGGCTCAACATTTCGGAATGTTTCAAGGTGGTTCTTTTATGGCCTATTAATTCCACGTGCAGTTGCCTTGTGTCTGGGTGGGTTTTGTTACTGCAGTGGCCTCCCATCTATTCCAGGACCACCTCCTTTTTCAATCAAGGTTGCCTTATAAATGCACCTCAGTATCTGGCCAGGATGGTCCCAGTTGCTCATTCTGCTTGTTTTGGAAATTTCTTTTACCTATTTTGCCTGTTTATTGTCAAGACAATTTAGAAATTTTTGGTTAAAATTCAAGAATAACTGACCTGTGAGTTGTACTGTGATTGCATGAAATGTAGGGAAAACAACGGTTTAACAACCTCTATGTTTCCTTTTAAGAATAAGCCTATTTAGTTTGTTATAAAGAAACCATTTTACATTAATTCTCATTGCAAAACTTGTATTTGGCTGGTGAGGAGGAAAGTGGGGTCAAAACAGTGCAGCGAGGGAGCAACAGCATAGAAGGTAGGCAAGCTTTTTTAAGACAGAACTCCCCCCAGACATGGTAAGCACTGATATGTTATAATATCGCATGTCTCCATGTAGTACTTTCCAAGATGTTTGAAACCAAAACAGTTTAGAATACTCTCCCACCTCAGGGTCTTCCCTCCTTACAGCATTTTTCTGATAAATAGGAATTCCCCCTTAGGGATTCCCTAAAGTAAAACTGTTGCAGTCCATTCTGTTATATAATTAACTACACTGACAAGTAGAGATGTAATAGAACGTAATTGTTACTCTGGTTCCAACTTAATATCTACTACACACAAAGCCTTATGGAAGACATGCCCGAAATATGAAAACCATCACCCTTAATGTGGTGGATATGGTAGATCGACACTCAAACTTCCCATATTGCACAGGCTGTCTTGCAGGTAAGGTTTGATTGCAAAAGAAATTCTGCCAAAATATATGTAATTGGCTTGATATTTGAAAGGCAAAAGTAAGATGGAAGACATGTTTCTGCTGTTTGCCCTGTTTTCTGTTAGAAGAATGGTGACACAGACATGGGGTTTTTCAGCATCTGTGTTCTCATATTGAGTCTTCAGCTTGGTGGCTGTCAAAAAGCAGCCGTGACAAAAAGAGTAAGTAGCTGGACTCATGTCTCAGTGTCCAGCTACCATCATTCTGACTATGGCTTTTGATCTCTGTTTCACAAGTTTTGTGATGTATCACTGAACTCAGTAATTCCCATGGTGGCTTCACCATTTTTGTCTTGCTTGATTGTAGAAAATGGAATAATTTTGTGCAGTTTTGTGATTCATTTCTGGAGACAGCCTCGATTCTGCTCCATGCAGTCCATCTAATTACTTCTGTGAAACACCCTGTATTAAGTACCTTCCACTTAAAATATCTAAAGTGGTTTGTTTCCTATAGTGAATCCTGACTGAAACTCCCTCAAGATCCTTACAAACTCCCTCAAGATCCTTATGGGCAATAATGATATTTTATCAACAACAGACAGGTTCAAATTCATCAAGCAAATAAATCCTGAGTGCCTATGCAAAGCACTTGGATCACCTCTAGAAGAGCCGTGCACAGAGCACACCCAGTGCCGTCCCTCTCAAAGCTCCCAGTCCAGGGGGAAGAGGCATGCTACAACTCCAGAAGTACTGAGTGATATGGAGGAAGCCAGCAGAAAGCCGAATCTAGTCTGATCTCCGCACGCTAGCCTCAGCTCTATCACTCACCAGCCCTGTTTTCTAACCCAGGGGGCTAGATGAATGAAAGTCCCTTTCTCTCCAACATTCCACACCTCCACAGATGAGTCTTTGTACTCATGAGGGAATTTACTTGGATTTAAGTCCTAACAAGACTTCCTAAATCTTCAGTTCCCTAAATCTGAAGGTCAGAACACAAAGGTCACATAACACACATGCCCGATACAGTTTAAAAGGGAATAGGAATCTGTGACCCCGAAGTATTCTGTGGCAGCCTACAACTAGAAAGCCTCGAGGAGAAAAATCCAAAATTGTGGTTGCAGTACTTGTTAAGAACAGCAGAGAACAAACAGTGTCTTCAGGGTCTCTCTCTTCTTGGAAAATTTCTGCCTCCATGTCTGACAAGAAGGAAGATTATTTACAGACACTGGTTTCTCTTAAAGTACTCAGACCAATAGGTATAGTAAAAGAAATATTAGGCAAATGCAGTAATGCTTAGATCTCTCAAGAAAAGCCACTAATTTCCTTATGTGTCAGACAAGAAAATCTTTGAAACTCATAAATGAGAAGGAGTTTTTGTAGACGGAAAGAAAAACAGCAAGAGAGATCTAGTAAGACGTCTAAACCCAGTTCTGGCACCCGGTCCAGCAGTGGCTGCAGGCCAGGGCCTTCCAGGCCTCACTGAGCCTTAATTTCCTCACCTGTAAAATGGAGACAACAATCCTGCCTAGCTTATCCCATGGGTGTTTATGCTGATCAAGTGAAATACTAAACGTAAGAGCATTTTGTAAATAGCAGAGTGATATACATGTGAAGGAAGACTATTAATAAAGGAATTTCAAAGGAAAGCTATAAATAGTACTTTTTAAAGCCCAGGCAGCAAAAGAAAATGTAAATATAGCAGTGATTTTACAATTTTGTGATCTAGAGGAAGAAATGGTGATCAGAATTGTGACAAACAATGATGTCCAAAAGAGAAGAGAAACCAGCTCGGCTCTGTCATAATTGTCTCAGTTCCTGTACCACACACAACAATGGAAAGATTGCAGGGAGGGGCAGGAGCAGGCCTGTGACTGTGGCACACCAAAGACACGGAGACACAGCTCCAAGAAAATGACGCTTCTACCTCTGTAATAATAACAGTCAGAATCTCATGCTGTGGGTCCTCTATGGATCTGAAAGTGGCTTATGCAAGTGACTTTACCACTTTCTCAGTTTTATCTCTTGGAAGGAACACAATTGGACAGAGTGAGGCCAAACTCCAGGTTTGCTCACCTGGATGAACAGAAATGCAAAGGCAGATCTCACCCACAGTTAGATTTCAGGACCCAGAGGGGATAGGCAGGTTCAGACAAGATTCAGGCAACAACTCACCCAGATTTCTTTCTTTTTTTCTTTTCTTTTTTTTTTTGAGACGGAGTCCCATTTTTTTTTTTTTTTTTTTGAGACGGAGTCCCACTCTGTTGCCCAGACTAGAGTACAGTGGCACAATCTTGGCTCACTGCAACCTCTGCCTCCCGGGTTCAAGTGATTCTCCTGCCTCAGCCTCCTGAGTAGCCAGGATTATAGGCTCCTGCCACCACACCTGGCTAACTTTAGTATTTTTAGTACAGATGGCGTTTCGCCACATTGGCCAGGCTGGTCTCGAACTCCTGACCTCAGGTGATCCACCCACCTTGGCCTCCCAAAGTGCTGGGATTACAGACGTGAGCCACCACGCCCAGTCTCAGATTTCTAAGAGACCATGGAGGGAAACTAAGCAGGAGGTCAAGCACAGCCAAAACTGCTCAGTGCCCTCCATCCTCAATCCACTGTCAAGCGGTCAGGTTAGCAGACAAGTAGAACTGAGCCAAAAGTCAAGTCCCAGGCCCTTGGGCACAAAGGCACAGGAGAAGTTCTAGTTCTGAAGCAAACCAGTGACCTATTAGTCTGTACTGGGGTGTAGATATCACAAAGCTCTCCAGGGTATTGGGACATCAGGTGACAGAGAGGTGAAATAAGTGAGATAAATTAACTCTACCTATAATTCACATAAAAAGAGACATCAGTGGCACACAAATATACCAAACACACACACACACATACGCACACACATACATACACACACACAACTTAAATAATAATCAGGGAAATATAAATTAAAATAGCCATGAAATGCTTTTTCAAACAGTTTGCCAAAAAAATGAAAGATTCATAAAATTCACCATGGGACACGATTTGTCAGGAAATTAACATTCACAATATTATGACTCTTCCTATAAACCTACATATTCTCTATTTGTTTATATATGAGACATATTACATATTGTCTATTGATGCTTTTGCAGCACAAAGAGTTGAGGACCTGTGACAGAGACCATCTGGCCTACAAAGCCTAAAATATTTACTACTTGGCCCTTTACAGAAAAAGTTTGAGGACCTCAGGTGTAAACTTAAAAGTTACTGCTTTCAGTTACTACAGATATAACAAATTTCTTCTTTGCCTGAAGACTTTTGCAAGTTTTATTTTTTAACATGACCACTAATTTATATCAGGGTTTATTGTGAAACATACTCATGATGTAAGTTTTTCATTAACGCTGACCAATTATCCCAATGCCATGAGAATAATCCTTCCTTTTCGGAATGTAGCAAGGTGGTTCTTTTATTGCCAATTAATTCCACGTGCAGTTGCCTTATGTCTGGGTGGGTTCTGTTACTGCTTTGACCTCCCATCTATTCCAGCACCACCTCCTCCTTCAATCAGAGTTGCCTTATAAATGCACCTCAGCATCTGGCTAGGATGGTCCCAGTTGCTCATTACACTTATTTTGCAGATTTCTTTTACCTATTTTGCCTGTTTATTGTCAAGACAATTTAGAATTTTTTGGTTAAAATTCAAGAATAATTGACCTGAGAGTTGTACTAACTGTGATTGCACGAAATGTAGGGAAAACAACTACTTAACAACCTCTATGTTTCCATTTAGGAATAAGGCATGTCTCAACTTATTCAAACAGTCCTTCATGTGAGTAAAAAATGTTCTAGAACCTTTTATAAGACATGCACAATTGCACAATTCTCACTAAAATGTTTCCTCTTTGATTTGCTGTGAATGGGATCCTAAAGATTGGAAAGTACTCATCTTCAAAGGCAATAAAAAAAAATAACTGGAAATGAGGCATGTGGAAACATATCTAAATTTACAAATAACCAGAGAAATGCTAATACCAAAAAAACAACATATTTAATACTAGCATGATAGGGGAGATGCTGACTCACTCACACATTCCTACTAAAGCTAAAAAAAAAAAAAATCCCTTTCACAAAACAAGTCATCAATAGATAGAAATAACCATAAAAATATTCACCTCTGGGCCGGGCAGGGTGGCTCATGCCTGTAATCCCAGCACTTTGGGAGGCCAAGGCAGGTGAATTACCAGATCAGGAGTTCAAGACCAGCCTTATCAACATGATGAAACCCTGTCTCTAATAAAAATACAAAAATTAGCCGGGTGTGGTGGCGCACACCTGTAATCCCAGCTACTCGGGAGGCTGGCACAAGAAAATTGCTTGAACCCAGGAGGCGGAGGTTGCAGTGAGCTGAGATCATGCCACTGCACTCCAGCATGGGCGACAGGGTGAGACTCTGCCTCAAAAAAAAAAAAAAAAAATTAACCTCTGACCCGTGTGTCTCAACCCTCAGACATCATATATAAGATTATTGAAGAAGTAAGCTACATTTATGCATAAATGTTAATCATCGCAAAATTTTCAAATAATGAAACAATTAAGATATGGCACAATCACTCAATGAAATATTAAAGTTATTAAAATTGTAATCATTCAAGAATATGCAGTGATATGGAAAATGCTTAATGTATGATGTCAAGAGATACACAGCATGATGGGTAATTTATGCTAATAGCTAAAGACTTGAAAGGAATACATAAATATGATCATGATAGATTGCACCTGTATCTGGGTAATAGATTTATGGGTGACTCTATTTTACACCTACATGTTCTGTAGGTGTAAAATTTTACAGTCTACATGTTCTGAACTTGATAGAATGTTGTAACTTCACTTGTACAAGTTTAAGAAGAGGGGACAAATTATTAAGTGCCTTACAGATATAAGGTTTGTAATTTCTTTGTCATTAAAGGCAGGAAAATGAGACTCAACGATAAGAAAAGCCTTTTCCTAAGGCCACAGACTAAGTCACAAGCAGAAATGGGACTAGAACCCAGCTCTCTAGACTTAAGATAGCATATTCTTTTCTACACAGCATTTTGTATCCTTATTTTTCTAAAGGCAAACCAACTTTGGGGTCATTATAATGTCTTCGTACATTATAAATAAGCAGTTGAAAACAGTAATATTTAATTACTCTCTATTACAATAACTGCTTTGAAAACCCTGCAAAATGCTTTGATGGGCTGGAGTTTGAATTAAACTTCTCTTCTGAATATGGCTATTGAACAGAATAATGGGCATCAAAGTATGTCCTTCCTCACAATTTCAGAGCTCAGTTAAAGGTTCATTTAATAGAAGGGGAAAACTGGCTTTGGATGTTTACTTTAGAATATAAAAAGTCTCAGCTTGCATTATTATCATTCTTCGGGGAAAATTCATACAACATTCAGAAGCTAGTAAGAAATATTTCCTTGACTTTTCTCACTGCAGTCTGACAACGATTTGGGCAAAAGAGGTTTATATACCTGCATACACAATGGATAACCACAGTCAGTTTCTAATATTCTGTAATGCCTAAAGATAACATTGGGAGCTCACATCTATTCCAATGTAATGTGAATTTTGAGGGGTTGTAATTAGGTCCCAGTGGAGGTAATATTTAGAAAGGAACAAGGTAAAAGAAATCATCTACTGAAAGACAGTAGAGAATAAATGGCTAATAAGGCAGAGAGATTATGTGTGTGTGTGTGTGTGTGTGTGTGTGTGTGTGTGTGTGTGTGCGCGCATGCTATGACTTAAGTGCTATCTACTGAAGGTGCACTTTCCAAGAGACTGAGCAACCACTTCTAGCAATTGGTGAGATCATTTCCTATTTCCTGATATGCCAGAGAACTTTCTTCCTAATTCCTTGGGTTTTCTCAATGTTGAAATACACATCAATCATTTCTCATACTTTTTTTTGTTCACCTATTGAAAAAAAGAATAAATTCTTCATTCCCTTGTGATATTATTCAAATCATGATAAAATTAAAATGGTGGGACTAGGAGTCAGGGTGAGGGAGAAGCCAAGTAAAATTTGACATACAAAAGAAGAATCATCTCAGTAGAGATAATTTTGGGGTTAAATGCATAAAGAAAGAAGAGTATACTAGCAACTTCATGAGAGACCGCACTCAGGTTAATCTTTTCTTCTCACATATTTCTAATGCAGACTTTATCACAAAGGACCCAGCCTACCTAGTGTTAGAATCTTCCTGTTAAAATATCTATATCCTCCAACAGATGCACAAACAGCTCCTTAGGGCAGAAACTATGCCTTTATCATCTTTTCCAGTCATAAAGCATGTTCCACAACGCCTGGTAAAGAGTCTCAAATATTTGCAGAATTAGATTAAACACTTGCTTCTTTGTAGAGTGAATCAGAGAAATCTGCAGAGATATGTAGCTAATTTTATTTTAGATAGCTTTCCATACCACAAGTATGGAACCTAAGTACAGTCCTCATTCTCTTATTTGTTTGTGACATTTTAATAGTGTTTGTAACTTACGTAAGTTCAGAAAGCACAGCAAGTCTTTCTGCTTTGTGGCCACACTCAGCCCAATTAACCCTCAGGGCCCATCCACCACCAGCAAGGGCCCTTCCCCTCTCAGCTCTGTCACGAGGAAGGAACAAATGAACCCTCTCTTCACACCCCCCCACACGCTTACTCAATCATCCAACAAGTCCTGTGTTAATGCAAAGAGAACTGAAATATCTGCCTTAAAAGAGATTTTGTAAAGTTCATAAATATCTCTGGTCCAAAGTAAAAAGTGAAACATTGAATAAAGAAGCTACAGCTAAAGCACTATGGGAAGGTGAGGGGTTCAGGGGAAGGAAATCAGTTCTCAATTGAGGTGGACAGATAGAAAGAAACCAGAGGAGATTCCATCAAGGAGTTACATTTCAGCAAGGCCATAAAGGATGTACTGTCTAAAATAAGTAAGCAACTAGATCCCTAAAGAAAATAGGGGTAGGTGTGTGTGAACATCCCAAGGAGAGGCAAAGTCTTGACAAGAAAGGCTGGGTACTGGTCTGTATCCTTTGATTGCTCCAACACCATCTCATTTGACCCATAGGGTAAACACACGAGGGACAGCAGCAAGATGTACTACATAGGGCATGCCTCTATCTCTCTGGCCCTTCAAATGCATCATGGAAAGGACTCCGGGACTTCTGAAATTTTTTTTTTTTTTTTTTTTTTTTTTTTTTTTTTTTGAGACAGAGTCTCGCTCTGTCGCCCAGGCTGGAGTGCAGTGACGCAATCTCAGCTCACTGCAACCTCCGACTTCGTGGTTCAAGCGATTCTCCTGCCTCAGCCTCCCAAGTAACTGGGATTACAGGCATGTGCCACCATGCCTGACTGATTTTTGAATTTTTAGTAGAGGCGGGGTTTCACCATGTTGGCCAGGATGCTCTCAATCTCCTGACCTCATGATCTGCCCGCCTCAGCCTCCCAAAGTGCTGGGATTACAGGCGTGAGCCACTGCGCCCAGCCTTCTGAATTTTTTTCTTCTGAATACCTAGACAACTGAAGATGGTTTGAGTCCCTTCGTAAATACCTGGATCATCAGGGTTGCCCATCTGCTAAGTGATTCTGTCCCCATTATAAGCCATATATATATGGTGTGTACACATGTATGTAGATCTATACACACACACACACACACACACACATGCACATACATACACTACCATAACTAAAAAGGCAAACAGACTTGGAAAAAATGTTTGGAACAAATAGGTCAGGCAGAGAGTTAATAAATATTTTGGATCCCAAATAAAGAAAGAAGGCATAAACTCAATAGATCAAATGGGCAAGGGCAAGAATTTACACTTCATAAAACAATACATAAACTTCGTCAAAGACACATGGAGCAAAATATTTCTAATGGTCAGAGAGGATGAGAATTAAAACAATGGAGTACCATTTTCAATATGTTGGGTATCCTATTAGCAAGAACTAAAGAAAAGAAACCATACTTATCTCTTTCTAAGGAGAGGAACGTGTAAAACAAATGTGGTCTGATGAATGAGAACATTTGCTGCTGGTGGTATCAATGATTAACGTCTCTTTGGAAATGACATGCTGTTAGTTATTTCAAGAGCCAAAATGTAAATGCTATTTGACCCAAATATCCCACTCTTGAGATTCTGTCTTAAGTATAAATCTAGTGGAAATAAAAGAATAATAATATATAATGAATTCCAAAGTAATTTGGAATATGTAGCAACATTGACATTTAAAAATAATGTTAAGTGAAAGAAGTAAATTATTCTGCATATATTATAATTGAAACATTGTCAAAATATATTCAGAGTTGAGCAAGGACTGGCTGAAAAGGAAGAAGGAAAAGTAAGGAGAGGTTCAGAAATTGAGGTTCTGAACAGTGGTCTTCTTCATTGCTTTTGAAATTCTTTTGAAAATTTACATAATTGTTGTTTTAATATTATTAAGATTTTTATGTAATTAAAAGGACTGAAGAAACTGCAAAGACATCCATATATAGTATACATCTTTCAGATGAAATGTGTCCCTATCTGTGGCATACCATGCTAAGGAAGTAAGAAGAAAGCAGAGGAAATTGAGAAAGATAATAACAACAACAAAAATCAATTAAAATTAATTAAACATTGTCCATAGTGTCTACATTCAACATGACAAAAGAAACATACTAAATTTTCTCACTAATACACACCAAAATATAGTCTGTGTCTGGTGTCATTCCTGATTATGTCTAGGAACAAATGTACCATAACAGGATAAAAAAGAGAAGCAAATTTCAGCTAGAATTAAATAGAATGGAACCCAAAAATAGAATCCTCATAAATTTTTAATATGTGATCAACGTCAGTAATTTCATCCAAAAAACTTTAAAAATAATAAAGGCAAAAATAGAAGCATAACACCAGTATGCCTTAGTGCAGAGCACTGAATAGGCATTGTTTATAAACCAGCACCCAGATTGACTTGAACCAAATATAGGAGTAACCCTCTCTCGGCCTTACTTTTCTATGAGGCAGTTGGATCCTATGTCCCTACGGGTTTTAAGAGTCAGTAGACACACTAAGGTCATCATTGCTGGGACAGAGTAAGAACTTCAGGAGACATCCACCTCAGATGGTGGGAGGAGGTCACAGGTTACAGAGGATAAGAGGGGGAACCAGGAAAGACAAAGAATGAGTTCTTTAAGGAGACGTTAACATCCCACTAATTTCCAGGAAAACAAAATCTTCAAAATAAATGTGTAACAAAAGGAACAACAACAACAACAAAAAAGTGAAGAAACGAAACCATAATTAGCCCTGTACATTTAAATGTCAATATACATAGCACTGTCTTAGGTATGAAGGAGGGTTAAAAAGAAAAGTGTCCAAAGGCGTTTAAAATCCAAAGGAGTTTAGAGTTAACCCAGAGAGTGGGAAAAAACAAACAAACATCATAATTACACATGTAAATGTAGAAAAAAGTATTCATTTTGTTTTAAAAGGCTCTTTTTAAAGAGCCATCACATCCATTATTCACAGTTAAAAAGTGACCACCAATTCTGTGAGAGAGACAGGGTAGACATTATTATTAATCTCATTTTATTAACTTAGAATTTGATGCTGAAAGAAAATCAATCAATGAATCACACAAATAGCAAATAACAAAGCCTAGATTCAATGCACAGGTCTACTGATCTCTAGGCAAATATGATTTCCACTATATTTAGTAAATGCAGGAGACCTGTACAAACACACAATTCACACAATTGAGTGACAAAAGTAGACTTACAAGAATTCTGAGACCAATGTCTATGGCCTGCATTAGGAAAGATTAAAAGGGAGCATCTGGGCAAATGGGATATGAACTGGGTGCCAAACCGTAGAAGGAATGGAGAAAGCAGGGCTTTTTTCTCTATCTTCAAACATTCCCTGGCTGAACATGATGGCTTATGCCTGTAATCCCACCACACTGGGAGGCTGAGGCAGGAGGATCACTTGAGCTCAGGAATTGGAGACCAGCCTGAGCAACATAGCAAGACCCCTGTCTCTACAAAATCTAAAAAAAAAAAAATAGCTGGGTGTATCGGGTCACACCTGTAGTCAGAGCTACTCTGGAGGCTGAGGTGAGAGGATAGCTTGAGTCTGGAACATGGGCAATAGAGCAAGACTCTATACATATATATATATTTAATTTAAATCAACAACAGTTAATTGTCAATTAAATATTGACATTTAAATAAAGAGTTTCCTAGTCTTGATCTTTCTTCTAATCTCCAGCTTTAACTATAAGGCGATTCATTTGAAAAGCTCTCAAAAGTGAAAAGCTCAAACAACTCTCACGCTACCCCCAACCGATATAAAAGTGAAGCTTCCTTCACTATTTCATATTTCAATGAATGACACAATCCAGTCCCCCGAATCGGAAAGTGGGTACCTACTCCTGTGTACCAGTGTAAAGCACTGGCTTCGGGTACTTTGCTTTCCCCAACCTTCTTTCATGTGTGGTAACTCCTTTGAGAACCTTCTAGAGTAAAGAGATGTTGGCCACAGAAGAGCTGGACAGTCCATTTTAGTAACATGAAAACACACAATTACCAATAATTCCACCTAATCCAATAATTCCAATAAGGTAAATGCTCAGTAATGGTTGCTGAAGAAAGAAAGGAAAAGCAGGAAGAAAGGAGAGCAGAAGAGGAAAGAAGAGAAGGGGTAAGAAGGAGAAAAGAGAAAAGATGAAAATCAATAGCAGAAGTAAAGGTCAAAAAGGAGCATTTTAAATTAAATTTAGAAATTATGTGTTAAAGCCTCATAATCTGACTTTGGTGTTTGCATTCGTGTCACACGTTAACAGCTATGTGTCTTTAATCACAGGACCATCTTAGACATGTTTCACTTCTCTCTGGGCCTCCACTACCCATTTATTAAAGGAGACTCCATCAACTCCAGAGCCTATAAAAGGTAAACTAGAATAGTGCAAAGCAGGCATGAAGGTTGAAAATGCAGAAGGATGAAGACATAGGCTCTGGGGTTAGAGTCCAGGGTCTGAATCTAGGTTCTGTCACCTACTAGCTCTGTGACCTTGGGCAAGTCAACTTAACTACTGTATGATTCAGTTTCCTAATCCATGAGAATGGGCTGTAAAGACTGAATGAGATAACACAAGTCTTCTACAAGGCATAGTGTAAATACTCAATAAAAGTTCAATATTGTTGGTGGATAAATGATTCTTCCCCCTTACAGGGATGCAATCCATCTGAGAATTTTATGGGGGAGAAAAATACACCTCCACACAATTAAAGATAATTTTGCAAACAATTTCAGGAGGTTCATGGACCACTAAACCTTAATTTAATAACATTTGAACCATGTAATCTCAAAAATCCTTCCTCTTGCAAAAGTCTGTGACATGAGTAGCTCAGAAACAAGCAATGAGGGATTTCTCTTGGCTACAAGAGATGCAAACACAGGCCAACTACCCTCGGGATAGCTTTGTCTTCCATTTGATTGGCAGGAATCTGTCAAATGAACATAAGGGACATACTCAAGGCCATGAGTCCAAAGGAAATCAAAACAAGGATAGACTCAATATCTAAAATGACAGGTCAGAGTCCTGCAGAGGCAAACATGTGACCCAGAAGAGGGCCTCTTTCTCATAATATGACAAAAATATACAAAGTAGGGTTTGCCATGAAAATGCTGCCTCATGGCAAGTGCCCAAAGAACAACATTTATAACTATAATCTATCGAGTTTAATTTTCCACCATGCCTCTAGTAGTTTAAAAAATAATTATAACAGAAAACAAATCATCTGTGCTTTTTCTACTTGCTCCAGCTAACAAACATAAAAAGTAAGAGGCAGTGGAATATGAGGGAAAAGTACTTGGGAGGGAGTTGTTCATGATTTCACACCTGGTTCTCCACTACCAACCTGGGGGACCTTACAGCTTCATCAATTTTTCTCATTATGGGGGAGAAAAATACACATCTCTAGTCATATCATTCCCCTCTCAAAAACATCTGCATCTCAGAAAAAGTCCAAGCATTCATAATCTCCATGATCTGCTCCCAACTTATATTTCTAACTTCAATTCCTGTAACATTCCCTACAGGCCCTAGTCAGCAGACCCAATAGTCTACTTTCAACCTTTCAAACACAGACCGTGGTTTCTTACAAAGGTTAATCTCTTAGCTCTCCCTAATGCATCATTTTGGGGTAAACTTGCTTCTATTCTTCACCAATCAAAAGCCTACTTATCATGCTGCAACATAGATGAATCTTGAAAACCTAACTGAAAGAAACAAAGTAACAAAAGACTACATATTGTATGATGTTGTATGATGTTTATATAAATGTATGGACATTTATATAAAATGTCCAGAATGGGCAACTTCACAGATTATAAAGTAGATTCGTGGTTGCTTAGTACCGGATGCAAGAGATTTGGGAGAAATAAGAAACGACCACTATGTGTTTTTGTTGTTGTTGTTGTTTTGGTTTTGTTTGTTTGTTTTTTGGTGAGGGACATATTCTAAAATTGATCTTGGTGACGGCTGTGTAACTCTATGAATATATTAAAAATTACTGAATTCTACTCTTTGAGTTAATTAATTAAATTATGTCTCAATAAAGCTATTAAGAAAACTTGCCCATCCAACTAGTCTCTTCGAAAGTTGTAAGAATTGATTCTCCCCACCCTATCAGGGTTAAACTACTTCCACCAAGCCCCCTCAGAATGTCATTTGTATCTCTGGTTAATATATTTCATTGTGGCTGGCAATATAATTACTTTTGGTTAGTTTTGTGGCTGCCTCACCAACTAAACTACCAGTGCTTTCAGACAAAACCAAACTTGTGTCTTATGTTTCCATACCAGGATCTCTGTTAATCATTAGTATCTTTTGTGCAAATTAGGAAGAAAAAAAAAAAGAAAGAAAATGGTCCTTATCTTGGCCTGGCTAGTGGGGAGGGCAGGACTTCAGCCCCACTTGCGCTCCTGCCCTCAAGCAAGGCACAACTTGAGCAGCTGTAAGCAGTGGCCCTGCCCACACCCTTCCCCTTCTCACCCCCAGGAATCCAATAAAGTAATTAACACATGGAAGGCACTCAATAAACAAAGAAATACATGTGGAATGAAAATGATATGTCTGGAACATAGGGAGGAGGAGCCAAGATGGCCGAATAGGAACACCTCCAGTCTACAGCTCCCAGAGGGAGCGACGCAGAAGATGGGTGATTTCTGCATTTCCAACTGAGGTACCGGGTTCATCTCACTGGGGAGTGCCAGAGAGTAGGTGCAGCAGAGTGGGTGCAGTGCACCGTGCACGAGCCGAAGCAGGGTGAGGCATCACCTCACCCAGGAATTGCAAGGGGTCAGGGAATTCCCTTTCCTAGTCAAAGAAAGGGATGACAGACGGCACCTGGAAAATCAGGTCACTCCCACCCTAATACTGAGCTTTTCCAATGGGCTTTAAAAATGGCACATCAGGAGATTATATCCCCCACCTGGCTCGGAGGGTCCTAAGCCCATGGAGTCTCACTCATTGCTAGCACAGCGGTCCGAGATCAAACAACAAGGCGGCAGTGAGGCTGGGGGAGGGGCGCCTGCCATTGCCCAGTTAGTTGTTTGATTAGGTAAACAAAGCGGCCAGGAAGCTTGAACTCGGTGGAGCCCACCACAGCTCAAGGAGGCCTGCCTGCCTCTGTAGGCTCCACCTCTGGGGGCAGGGCACAGACAAACAAAAAGACAGCAGTAACCTCTGCAGACTTACATGTCCCTCTCTGACAGCTTTGAAGAGAGTAGAGGTTCTCCCAGCATGCAGCTTGAGATCTGAGAATGGGCAGACTGCCTCCTCAAGTGGGTCCCTGACCCGCAAGTAGCCTAACTGGGAGGCACCCCCCAGTAGGGGCAGACGGACACCTCACACGGCCGGGTACTCCTCTGAGACAAAACTTCCAGAGGAATGATCGGGCAGCAGCATTTGCGGTTCACCAATATCCGCTGTTCTGCAGCCACCGCTGCTGATACTTAGACAAACAGGGACTGGAGTGTACCTCTAGCAAACTCCAACAGACCTGCAGCTGAGGGTCCTGTCTGTTAGAAGGAAAACTAACAAACAGACAGGACATCCACACCAAAAACCCACCTGTATGTCACCATCATCAAAGACCAAAGGTACATAAAACCACAAAGATGGGAAAAAAACAGAGCAGAAAAACTGGAAACTCTAAAAATCAGAGCGCCACTCCTCCTCCAAAGGAACACAGCTCCTCACCAGCAATGGAATAAAGCTGGACGGAGAATGACTTTGACAAGTTGAGAGAAGAAGGCTTCAGATGATCAAACTACTCCAAGCTACAGGAGGAAATTCAAACCAATGGCAAAGAAGTTAAAAGCTTTGAAAAAAAATTAGACGAATGGATAACTAGAATAACCAATGCAGAGAAGTCCTTAAAGGACCTGATGGAGCTGAAAACCAAGGCACAAGAGCTACGTGACGAATGCAGAAGCCTCAGTAGCCGATGCGATCAACTGGAAGAAAGGGTATAAGTGATGGACGACAAAATGAATGAAATGAAGTGAGAAGAGAAGTTCAGAGAAAAAGGAATAAAAAGAAATGAACAAAGCCTCCAAGAAATATGGGACTATGTGAAAGGACCAAATCTACGTCTGATTGGTGTACCTGAAAGTGACGGGGAGAATGAAACCAAGTTGGAAAACACTCGGCAGGATATTATCCAGAAGAACTTCCCCAATCTAGCAAGGCAGGCCAACATTCAAATTCAGGAAATACAGAGAATGCCACAAAGATACTCCTCGAGAAGAGCAACTCCAAGACATATATTTGTCAGATTCACCAAAGTTGAAATGAAGGAAAAAATGTTAAGGGCAGCCAGAGAGAAAGGTCAGGTTACCCACAAAGGGAAGCACATCAGACTAACAGCAGATCTCTCGGCAGAAACTCTACAAGCCAGAAGAGAGCGGGGACCAATATTCAACATTCTTAAAGAAAAGAATTTTCAACCCAGAATTTCATATCCAGCCAAACTAAGCTTCATAAGTGAAGGAGAAATAAAATACTTTACAGACAAGCAAATGCTGAGAGATTTTGTCACTACCAGGCCTGCCTTACAAGAGCTCCTGAAGAAAGCACTAAACCTGGAAAGGAACAACCAGTACCAGCCACTGCAAAAACATGCCAAATTGTAAAGACCATCAAGGCTAGGAAGAAACTGCATCAACTAGCGAGCAAAATAACCAGCTAACATCATAATGACAGGATCGAATTCACACATAACAATATTAAACTTAAATGTAAATGGACTAAATGCTCCAACTAAAAGACACAGACTGGCAAATTGGATAAAGAGTCAAGACCCATCAGTGTGCTGTATTCAGGAAACCCATCTCACGTGCAGAGACACACATAGGCTCAAAATAAAGGCATGGAGGAAGATCTATCAAGCAAATGGAAAACAAAAAAAGGCAGGGGTTGCAATCCTAGTCTCTGATAAAACAGACTTTAAACCAACAACGATCAAAAGAGACAAAGAAGGCCATTACATAATTGTAAAGGGATCAATTCAACAAGAAGAGCTAACTATCCTAAATATATATGCACCCAATATAGGAGCACCCAGATTCATAAAGCAAGTCCTTAGTGACCTACAAAGAGACTTAGACTCCCACACAATAATAATGGGAGACTTTAACACCCCACTGTCAACATTAGACAGATCAACAAGACAGAAAGTTAACAAGGATACCCAGGAATTGAACTCAGCTCTGCACCAAGCAGACCTAATAGACATCTACAGAACTCTCCACCCCAAATCGACAGAATACACATTTTTTTCAGCACCACACCACACCTACTCCAACATTGACCACATAGTTGGAAGTAAAGCACTCCTCAGCAAATGTAAAAGAACAGAAATTATAACAAACTGTCTCTCAGACCACAGTGCAATCAAACTAGAATTCAGGATTAAGAAACTCACTCAAAACAGCTCAACTACGTGAAAACTGAACAACCTGCTCCTGAATGACTACTGGGTAAATAATGAAATGAAGGCAGAAATAAAGATGTTCTTTGAAACCAACGAGAACAAAGACACAACATACCAGAATCTCTGGGACACATTCAAAGCAGTGTGTAGAGGGAAATTTATAGCACTAAATGCCCACAAGAGAAGCAGGAAAGATCTAAAATTGACACCCTAACATCACAATTAAAAGAACTAGAAAAGCAAGAGCAAACACATTCAAAAGCTAGCAGAAGGCAAGAAATAACTAAGATCAGAGCAGAATGAAGGAAATAGAGACACAAAAAAACCCTTCAAAAAATTAATGAATCCAGGAGCTGGTTTTTTTAAAAGATAAACAAAACCGATAGACCACTAGCAAGACTAATAAAGAAGAAAAGAGAAGAATCAAATAGACGCAATAAAAAATGATAAAGGGGATATCACCACCAATCCCACAGAAATACAAACTACCATCAGAGAGTACTACAAACACCTCTTCTAAAATAAACTAGAAAATCTAGAATAAATGGATAAATTCCTCGACACATACATCCTCCCAAGCCTAAACAAGGAAGAAGCTGAATCTCTGAACAGACCAATAACAGGCTCTGAAATTGAGGCAATAATCAATAGCTTACTGACCAAAAAAAGTTCAGGACCAGATGGATTCACAGCCGAATTCTACCAGAGGTGCAAAGAGGAGCTGGTACCATTCCTTCTGAAACTATTGCAATCAACAGAAATAGAGGGAATCCTCCCTAACTCATTTTATGAGGCCAGCATCATCCTGATACCAAAGCCTGGCAGAGACACAACCAAAAAAGAGAATTTTAGACCAATATCCTTGATGAACATTGATGCAAAAATCCTCAATAAAATACTGGCAAACCGAATCCAGCAGCACGTCAAGAAGCTTATCCACCATGATCAAGTGGGTTTCATCCCTGGGATGCAAGGCTGGTTCAACATACACAAATCAATAAATGTAATCCAGCATATAAACAGAACCAAAGACAAAAACCACATGATTATCTCAATAGATGCAGAAAAGGCCTTTGACAAAATTCAACAACGCTTCATGCTAAAAACTCTCAATAAATTAGGTATTGATGGGACGTATCTCAAAATAATAAGAGCTATCTATGACAAACCCACAGCCAATATCATACTGAATGGGCAAAAACTGGAAGCATTCCCTTTGAAAATGGGCACAAGACAGGGATGCCCTCTCTCCCCACTCCTATTCAACGTAGTGTTGGAAGTTCTGGCCAGGGCAATCAGGCAGGAGAAGGAAATAAAGGGTATTAAATTAGGAAAAAAGGAAGTCAAATTGGCCCTGTTTGCAGACGACATGATTGTATATCTAGAAAACCCCATCATCTCAGCCCAAAATCTCCTCAAGCTGATAAGCAACTTCAGCAGTCTCAGGATACAAAATCATTGTACAAAAATCACAAGCATTCTTATACACCAATAACAGACAAACAGAGAGCCAAATCATGAGTGAACTCCCGTTCACAATTGCTTCAAAGAGAATAAAATACCTAGGAATCCAACTTACAAGGGATGTGAAGGACCTCTTCAAGGAGAACTACAAACCACTGCTCAAGGAAATAAAAGAGGATACAAACAAATGGAAGAACATTCCATGCTCACGGGTAGGAAGAATCAATATCATGAAAATGGCCATACTGCCAAAGGTAATTTATAGATTCAATGCCATCCCCATCAAGCTACCAATGACTTTCTTCACAGAATTGGAAAAAACTACTTTAAAGTTCATCTGGAACCAAAAAACAGCCTGCATCGCCAAGTCAATCCTAAGCCAAAAGAACAAAGCCAGAGGCATCACGCTACCTGACTTCAAACTATACTACAAGGTTACAGTAACCAAAGCAGCATGGTACGGGTACCAAAACAGAGATATAGGCCAATGGAACAGAACAGAGCCCTCAGAAATAATGCCGCATATCTACAACTATCTGATCTTTGACAAACCTGACAAAAACAAATAATGGGGAAAGGATTCCCTATTTAATAAATGGTGCTGGGGAAACTGGCCAGCCATATATAGAAAGCTGAAATTGGATCCCTTCCTTACACCTTATACAAAAATTAATTCAAGATGGATTAAAGACTTAAACGTTAGACCTAAAACCATAAAAACCCTAGAAGAAAACCTAGGCAATACCATTCAGGACATAGGCATGGGCAAGGACTTCATGTCTAAAACACCAAAAGCAATGGCAACAAAAGCCATAATTGACAAATGGGATCTAAATAAACTAAAGAGCTTCTGCACAGCAAAAGAAACTACCATCAGAGTGAACAGGCAACCTACAGAATGGGAGAAAATTTTTGCAACCTACTCATCTGACAAAGGGCTAATATCCAGAATCTACAATGAACTCAAACAAATTTACAAGAAAAAAACAAACAACCCCATCAAAAAGTGGGAGAAGGACATGAACAGACACTTCTCAAAAGAAGACATTTATGCAGCCAAAAAACACATGAAAAAAGGCTCATCATCACTGGCCATCAGAGAAATGCAAATCAAAACCACAATGAGATACCATCTCACACCAGTTAGAATGGTGATCATTAAAAAGTCAGGAAACAACAGGTGCTGGAGAAGATGTGGAGAAATAGGAACACTTTTACACTTTTGGTGGGACTGTGAACTAGTTCAACCATTGTGGAAGTCAGTGTGGCGATTCCTCAGGGATCTAGAACTAGAAATACCATTTGACCCAGCCATCCCATTACTGGGTTTATACCCAAAGGATTATAAATCATGCTGCTATAAAGACACATGCACACGTATGTTTATAGCGGCACTATTCACAATAGCAAAGACTTCGAACCAACCCAAATGTCCAACAACAATAGACTGGATTAAGAAAATGTGACACATATACACCATGGAATACTATGCAGCCATAAAAATGATGAGTTCATGTCCTTTGTAGGGACATGGATGAAGCTGGAAACCATCATTCTCAGCAAACTATCTCAAGGACAAAAAACCAAACACCGCATGTTCTCACTCATAGGTGGGAATTGAACAATGAGAACACATGGACACAGGAAGGGGAACATCACACACCGGGGCCTGTTGTGGGGTTAGGGGAGGTGGGAGGGATAGCATTAGGAGATACACCTAATGCTAAATGACGAGTTAATGGGTGCAGCACACTAACATAGCACATGTATACATATGTAACAAACCTGCACGTTGTACACATGTACCCTAAAACTTAAAGTATAATAATAATAAAATTTAAAAAAAAAAAACAAAAAGAAGCCAACATAATATTTACTCTGCATTTTCAAAAGGATGTAAAGAAGATCCCAGAAACTTGAATGCACTTAACTTTATTTTGGGAAGAAAAGCCCAGGGGAACACTAATCAGAAGAGAACTGACAAGAGTCTGTTTAGAAAAAAAGAAAAAGAAACAAAAGAAAATGATAGGTCTGAAAACATTTCTTACAACAAGACACTCCCAGATTCAGATTCCAGTAGGAAGCTCAACGCTTTGTATTTGGGTTTTGTTTTTTAACCAGTTGTTTATTTTCATGTTATTTAACAGTGACATGAAGTGTTTTTCTTACTAATTGGATTGAAGGAGCTTGTGTGTACATATGAAATATCGTGAATTATTTTAACAAATCTATATAGTAAGGAATACCATAAATTTATCTTATATTAATTTATAATTACTAAAAAGGGTCATGATACTACGAAAACCTACCATTTATAGAGGGGGACAAAAAAGAAGACACTGAGAGGAGTTTTGCTGTCAAGCCAATTTTGAAAAAGTTTTTTCCCCTTTCAACTTCTACAACACTTGGGTTGGGCATGGAAGGCTTTCTACCTTATATGAGAGGCATCTCTGTCTAAGCTCACTCTCCCATGCCTACATCAACAGGCTAACTCCACATCTTTGGGGAAACATACCTCTCCCCACAAACTAGGCCAGAGGGAGAAAAAAAAAAAGAAAAGAAAAAGCCCTTATAAAATTCCCACAACTGGCCTGGCATAGTGGCTCACGTCTGTAATCCCAGCAGTTTGGGAAGCCAAGACGGGCGGATCACTTGAGGTCAGGAGTTCAAGACCAGCCTGGCCAACATGGCGAAACCCCGTCTCTACTAAATATACAAAAATAATTAGCCAGGTGTCGTGGTGCACACCTGCAATCCCAGCTGCTTGGGAGGCTGAGGCAGGAGAATCGTTTGAACCCAGGAAGCAGAGGTTGTGGTGAGTTGAGATCGCGCCACTGCACTCCAGCCTGGGCGACAAGAGCAAGTCTCCATCTCAAAAAAAAAAAAAAAAAAAAAAAAAAAAAATATATATATATATATATATATATATTTTCCCACCACTCAGTCTTTCCTCTGTGGCACCTATCACAACTATAACTACATAATTATTTGTAAAATTATTAATATGATGTTTTTCTTCCCTAGACCTGAAACCCTGTGATGAATAGGCTTGTACCTGCCAGATGTCCACAGTTCCAGTGGCATGTCTGATACCTGGTCATGGTAGGCATCAAAGATGACTTGACAGAATTAACAAATCTCCCCTCTTCAGAGTATGAGGTTTTTGAAAGCAGGAACTGTGTCTAATTCATTTTGGTATCCCCAATTTTGCCTGGTTCAGTGTAGATAATATCTAATAATTCATATATAAATGAATGTAGATAATTCATATATAAATAAATGAATTAATGACCCCCATAGTGGGTCATTTAATGGGGATTGGACAGGCTATTCATGATAGGTTAATGGTAAAATAAGTACATTGAGTGGGTTAATAGTTACCAGTAACCCTCCATGAAACCTGGTCCCAATAAGAGATCTTGGTACAGCACCATACAGAGAAGGAAGGCAAAGTCGGAAATTGAAGATGTTCGTGGTATAAGATTTATGTCAGTTTCTTTGGGCTCCAAGAGTTAATTTTCTCCCAATTTCCGTGGGTGTGACTCTTTCCCATAAGCAAATGGTCTACAAATTTTGTGTTGTATATAAGCAGAGCCCAAGAAAACCAAGTCTTCAGAAAAAATAAAATAAAACAATGGCAAAGCAAAACAAAGCTGCGACAGCCAAGAGACACCAGTAGAGTTACGCAGGCGTGAGAAAAATCAGGGTCCATATGCCATGTAGAAAGTGAAAGAGCCACAGCTTGAAACAGGTTTCCCCTATAGAAAGACTTGTCCAGATTCATGCCACAGCGACCTCCTCAAATGGCTTTCCCAGCCCCATGTCGGGCAACGAGAAAAAAACCATTCTGCCCAACACAGTTGGGCAGATGCCAACCCAGGCTTCCTTGAGAGGCTCAAAGGATCGAAAGGATGGACGGAAAACAAATTGCGTAAACTGTGAGACACTAGCCTGCATCATATCTTGCATAAAACACTGGCAATACACATTGCAGTACAGAAAACCTACCATCGAGATGCTCGGAATCTAATTGAGGAGTTAAATGATAACAACAACTGAAAACCTAAAAGGCTCAATGATAATCATCATGTTGATTAGATGAGGATGCTGACAACATAACACACCTGGGATTGCTAGAGAGTTACCCACATCTATCTTGCTGCCATCACTCCAGGGCACAAGAGCAACGTGCGAACTCCAGCCCCACCACTTGTAGGCGGTGCAGCCTTCAGGAATTTACATGAGCTCTCTGTATAGCTGTAGAATGAAACTAATGACTGTACTCAGTTAAATGTGGGCTGTGATTAATAATTAGTGACTGGCCAGGTGTGGTGACTCACGCCTGTAATCCCAACACTTTGGGAGGCCGAGGCAGGTGAATCAAGAGGTCAGGAGTTCAAGACCAGTCATACCAAGACGGTAAAACCCCGTCTCTACTAAAAATACAAAAATTAGCTGGGTGTGGTGGTAGGCACCTGTAATCCCAGCTACTCGGGAGGCTGAGGCAGAGAACTGCTTGAATCCGGAAGGTGGAGGTTGCAGTGAGCCGAGATCCTGCCACTGCACTCCAGCCTGGGCAACAGAGAGAGACTCTGTCTCAGATAAATAAATAAATAGAAATAATCAGTGACTTAGCCTGTGGGGCCAATGACTGCCTGACAAAATCACAAATGACAGAACAGAAGAATCCTTCCATCCAACCTGAGTCTGTGATTCTTTTACAAAGAGTAAAATTCAGGCCTAGGGAAGGGAAAGGACATGCCCAAGAACACAGGAAATCACCAGCTAATCAGGGTGAGCTGCCAGTCCTGCTGATTCACAGCGCCCAGCACTGGTCATTGGTACACTAGAGTTGCTGTCAGAATTAAGTGAGCTTATCGACGGAAAGCACTTAAAACAGTACCTAGCTCAAAGGCAGCAGTGTGTGGTTGCTATTATTATTGATAATAACAATGCCTTACACATATGTATGAGATGCTTTGTAGTTTACAAGCCTTTTCATATCTATTATCTCACTTAATCCTCACAACAACCCCAGGAGGTTGACAAGACAAGAATTATGACTCCTGAAGTCATAATGAAAAGACTAGGCCACATGTGGTTCCAAACGATTGTTTGATTTCCCCAGGATCTCACTACTAGTTGGCAGAGAGGTGCAGCTTAGAACCCATATCTTCCATTACTAAGCTTAATGTACTTGCCTTCACAAGTACATTAGCATCTTCTTAATGGAGAATTTAAAAAAAAAAAAACTTTCCTGTGATCCCCAACCTATCAAATGCTTCTGCCTAAAACAAGAAACTCAGAGGCATAAGAACTGTTTTTGTTGCTATCACTAGGTTAAACCTAGCAGAAAGAAAGATCTACCTTGGATCTGACCTTCCTTTTCTGTCTATGCAGTGAGATAGTTCCCCAGGTTTAGACATGGGCAGTGGAGAAAGAAGAAAGAAGCTGTAAATGGGGGTGGGAGGAGAGAGAATCACATGATGATTTATAACCAGGCAATATCCCTTAAGCACTTGGAGATGAGCTAGTTCATCTCATGGCGATAACTGTAAACACCATCTTGATGTAGTGAATCTGTCTGCCTGAAATAAGACAGAGAGATAAAATGTGGCGGGTGACCCTCTCTTTCACACACACCTCTTCCTTTCAGGTAAACCAGTTTTCAAAGTGAATAGTATCAAAGGACTGACCCGAGGTAGATGAAGTTCTTTAGAAAAGAAGACATTCGAGGTCCTATAGAGGGTCTTCTCACCTTGAGCATAAAATGTTCCTAATCATGGCTTTCATCTGTTCTCTCTCTCTCTCTCTCTCTCTCTCTCTGTGTGTGTGTGTGTGTGTGTGTGTGTGTGTGTGTGTGAGAGTGTGTGTGTGTTTGTAGTATAACAGTTATAACCAAAAGAAACAGTTAACCTCTTTCTTTTTAACAGAGTGTACAAACAAAAGAGGCATTGAACAGGTAAATGACAGGTAAGTAAGAGACCTTGACTTTAGTTCTGATTTTGTCAGTAACTAATAAAAAGACTTGGAAAGATTACTAAAGCCTTCTGGCCCTCTATTTCTTCATCTGTCAAGGGTGGGCTTGGACAAGATCTCTGAGGACCCTTCCAGCTTAACGAAAAGCTAATATCCTAAAGACATAGGGGAAAAAAAAAAAGCCATGATGGTCAAGCCAACTGTTTCTGAAAAGTTAAAAAAGGGTGTTGTTTCTTCCACAAGCCCTGGTTTTGAATGCAAAAAAAGTATGCCACAGTTTAAAATCACCCATATTTGTGCCTTTGATGGTGAAAAAGTGTACCACCAGAAGCCAACAAAGTTTTGCTTAAAAACAAGCTATTTTCAGGAACAACTCTCTGAGTTAAAGTGCTAATTCACAAAATTGGTTTGGCCGGTATAACACTGTCTTCTTTCTACAATTATTAAGCTCTGAAAGGTTTTTATTTCCCCCTCCTAACAACATTTCATTTCAAAACTGTTTGATCCTTAAATAAACCTGTAATTTCTCCTGTGGGGAAGGGAGGGCAGATGGAGGTCTACAGTTTAGCCCAAATGACTTTATATTTCACACAAGATTATTATAAGATGACAGATGTGAACCTTAAGAATTTTAACAATAAAGTCATGCTATCCAAAGAATGTTCCACAGAACACAAGTCTGGGAAATCATCCACAAAATGGTTCCATTATAAAATAAATTGGACAAAACCTGAATCTAACATAAGAGAAAAGAAAGTTGTGCTTATTGCTTTTGCCTGTTCGACTTCTCAGAGTTAAACTTGTTGGGGATGCATCAAGAATCTCCACAATGGGTGGAAATAATAGCAAGAGTCCCACAGTGATTTGACCATTTATGAATCTAGTATTTCATGGAGCACATTTTAGAAAAGGCTGCCATGAATATAACAACTGACTAGGATAAGGGCATAGCTTTAGACTTGACAGCATCCTTACTCCTGAATGTTAAGTTCTACAATCCAATTAGGAACTTGTACATTTAACTCTATTTTTATCGACATCATATTTATATATTAACTAGTATGCTAAATTCTATTTTTATCCACACCAGATATATCTATTAACTAGTATGTTTAACTCTATTTTTATCTATACCAGATCTATTTTATAATAGATGTGACAATAGGCAACTAAAATATTTGACACTCAGAGTGATTTCTACTTCTTGAGATTTTCTTGGAATGTAGAAGAAGCCATAACCCACTCTATAAGGACTGGGTTCTCCCTCTGCTACAAACATACCCTGTGATAATAGGCCATGCTAAGGGGAACTTTCTCTCTTCTCTTTTTTTTTTCTAACTATTCATAGGCTTAACTAAGAATCAACTTTCTGGCCAGGTGCAGTGGCTCACGCCTGTAATCCCAGCACTTTGGGAGGCCAAGGTGGGTGGATCATGAGGTCAGGAGATCGAGACCATCCTGGCTAACATGGTGAAACCCCGTCTCTACTAAAAATACAAAAAATTAGCCGGGCATGGTGGCGGGTGCCTGTAGTCCCACCTATTCGGGAGGCTGAGGCAGGAGAATGACTTGAACCCAGGAGGCGGAGCTTGCAGTGAGGCGAGATCGCACCACTGCACTCCAGCCTGGGCGACAGAGCGAGACTCTGTCTCAAAAAAAAAAAAAATCAATTCTTTATAATGCAGCAAAACAGTGAGAAGACATCAGGCATAGAGCTAACAAGGGAATGAGAACTGATGCTGTCCCTGTCTAACTGAAAGCCTGCAGCACAGGCCAATATTTGTCTCAGGGTCTCAGCTTTCTCACACGCATGTGAGCTAAACAGATTCCCCGCTTTCACATCTCATGAGTCTGTGATTTTAGCAGTGGCTCTTCATTATCTCTGAAGACAATTCCAATGTGGGGTTACATTGGCAAATGACAAAATAGAGTTTCCAGCACTCATTCCCTCTCAGAAACTTCTAAACAACTAGCCACACACCAAAATACCTCACACACGTTAAGGAATTCAGGCGAGAGTGCAGCACCTGGGTGGAACATAGAAATAAGAAATGACGCATTGAGGAAGGCAGGAAGGACAGCTTAACATGACCTGTACAACCCCCAGCACACCGCTGACATAACCTCCAGGTGAGGGAAAGAGAGTGCCCTTCACCACGGAGCCCAGCCCCAGAATCCCCTCTAAGGCAAAATCAGTGTCTCAAGGAGACACCTGCACTCCCATGTTCACTGCTGCGTTATTCACAATAGCCAGGATGTGGAATCGATCTAAATGTCCATCATTTGAAGAGTGAATAAAGAAAATGCGGTGTATTACCACGTGGAATGTTATTCAGCCTTAACAAAGAAGGAAATCCTGTCATTTACGAGAAGATGGATGAATCTGGAGGAAATGTTGCTTAAGGAACTAAGCCAGGCACAGAAAAACAAACACTGCGTGACCTCACTGATATGTGCAAATTAAAAAAGTCAAACACATAGAAGCAGAGCAAAATGATGGCTACCGGGACCAGGGGAATGAGGAGATCTTGGTTCTTGGTCAAAGGGAGATCCAGTGATACCAAATGAATAATTCTGGAGATTTAATACACAGTGCGGTGGCTGTAGTTAATACTGTATTGTACACTTGAAATTTGCTAATAGAGTAAATCTTAAACGTTCTCACCACATACACAGAAAGGTAACTGTGAGGTGATGCCTATGTTAATTAGCTTGACTAGGGTAATCATTTCACAATGCAATGTACCTCAAAATATGTTGTATACCTTAACTATACATAACTTTTGTTTCGTCAATTATATCCTGATAAAGCTGGAAATTGATTTTTTAATAAAAACAAAATAAAAGATAACATTCAACAGAGTAAAAAAAAAAAAAAAGAAGAAGAAAAGAAAGAAAGAAAGACATTACCAAGATGTTTTGAGCAACGGGGCAGCAACTTAGGAACAAGTGTTCCCTGTGCCTGAATTCCAGTCTCACAAAGACTGCTGCTCGAATAACTACCTCTTGCAGGTACGTGTTCTAAGGTCTAGGCTAAAACTCCAGTCTCATGATTCTACAGTCATGACATGTAATGTTTGGCCAGCAACACACACATTATGGTGCCTCATCAAGTCACATACTAAAAGTGACGGTAAACTTAAAATCAGCTTGACATGGCAGAGAGCAGAGGCGAGACAGACACAGCGTGGAAACACATTCACCACATACTGCAGGGTTGCTGGTGGCATCCTCTGTTGTCATAATGACCTTCTACAGGAAAAGTATTTAAACATACACTTCTACTGCCCAGAATATAATGCATTCTAGGAAATACTCTCTTGCTGAAACCTACCCAGATTTATTTTTAATGGCAGAGGACAAGAGTGGTTTTAATATTAGCTTCTAGGAAAAGGAAGAGATAAAGAGAGAAAAGTAAGATTAAGAGGTCACCAGAAAAAAAAAAAAAAGCGCTTCTATTACCCTTAAAACTCATCTGAGAGAGGAAAAAAACATAAGGAGGACTCAATAGCCCTTTATTAGCCCTCTGTTTAGTGCTCTAAAGAGAACTCTATGATTCTTCTACAGACATCCAACACTTGCTGCCTCTGTCATTCCTATTCCTGCCTCTCACTCAGACAAAAGAAGAAAGCCCCCTTTGAAATACATTTATTAGAATGGACTCCAGGGCTTCTTCCTCTGTTCATTTTAAATACAAGACATCAATACTATAAAAGCCTCACTCACACATCTACTGGTGCTGGAACTTAGGTCCCACCTACAATAACAGGCCTCCAAACGGTCTGAATGGTGGCCAGAGGGCAGCAGGAAACAAATATGAAAAATAAAATAAAATGTGCAGCTCCAAAACTTCACTCAGCCTGGGAAGTCTTTTCCCCTTTCTGCCAGGTCGAATTCAAATTCTAATGAGCGTGCAGGTTCCAGATCAAAACCCTCCTCCTCCAGAAAGTCTTCCTTTATTTTCTCTCCATTTAACTCCAATCCCAGCCAAAACTAACATCTCTCTCCTCTAATGACTACAAATTCCTCAACTCTATCTCTGAGTGTTTTTGCATGTCTATCTCCAATAGAAGTTTTCTGCATTAATTGTCACCAGCCCCATTCTCCCAGAAAGGAAACCCCATAAGTGTAGAAGCTGTGTCTGGTTTAATTCAACAAATATGAAAATAAAATTTGTCTAAAAAACGAACGAAGGCAAGTATATAAATAAGTATCAAATAAGAAAGGCTCTATTAAAGACAGTAAGACAGGGATAGCAAAAAGATTCCAGGGCAGAAGTTAAGCAAGTCTGTGTCAGGTATGAAACTAGATATGAAGACTTCCAAACACAATGCAATATATTGACTGAAAAGCATGGAGATAGCTAACATTAACTGAGCATAAACAATGAGTCGGGCAGGGCCTTAAACATTTTTGGTAATAACTCTGAATCCCCAAAGTAATCCTTGAGGTAGATACTGTCATTACCTTCATTAAGTTGGAGGATGATGAGGCAAATGAACTGCAGAGAGTCCATGTAACTTGCCCAAGCAAATGGCATTGCCTTCAAACCTCGACCAAGACAGTCCAGCTAATGTGCTTGACCACGCTTCTGCAGAAAACTGCCAACATCTTGCCCAAAGGAACAAGTACATAGTATTTTTTTTTTTTTTTTTTTTTTTGGGAGGGAGTTTTCACTCTTTCGTCCAGGCTGGAGTGCAGTGGCACCATCTCAACTCACTGCAACCTCTACCTCCCAGGATCAAGGGATTCTTCTGCCTCAGCCTCCCTAGTAGTTGGGATTACAGGAGCCCGCCATCATGCCTGGCTAATTTTTGTATTTTTAGTAGAGACGGGGTTTCACCATGTTGGCCAGGCTGGTCTTGAACTCCTGACCTCGTGATCTGCCCGCCTTGGCCTCCCAAAGTGCTGGGATTACAGGCTTGAGCCACTGCGCTCAGCCCAGGACAGAGTACTTTCTAGAGCTCAGTCGAAGGAGGGCGTTTGCAAAGAGACCAAAGACGTAAAGAGCCCATACACCTAGGAAAATGTAAGGGTAAACATCATGCTCTAGGGACCTGAGCTGCCTTGATGGAAATATGAAACTCCTACAGTTTTAGAGGGAAAGAGTGAAGCCACTAATCCAGCTGCAGCCTTTTCTAATTTACCTGATTTCCTCAAATTGGAACTCACTCTTTGCTGAGAGCAGTGAGGCTGAACATCTAGTTGTACTGTTATTTTGTGACAGACAAGAGTGTCGTTTTTACCTTGACTTAGCATTTGAAATGCTGATGGTACCTTCGTGATAAATCCACATGCATTTTCCTTCCAGAAAAGGTTAAAGGCCTTTTAGCAAAAAACCGGGCGTGGAAATCAAAGCTTGAATGGTGAAAGAGATCATCCTGTGGGCAGTCTTAATGACACTTAATTCTCAGATGACAAATTCTGTAGTAAACAACCTCTTGATTCTGTGCAAAACGTTTTTAATTTCATGCCCTGCTAATCACACAGCTGTTAAATTTCCCTTCCCATCAGTTGTAAAAAAAAAAAATAAATAAAATAAATAGATAATAATTGTAATAATAATTTAAAAAACAGTTGGGTCTCAAACAAAATTTGAGCCCTAATGAATTTTCCCATCTGGAATTAATAATGTGGTGGATGGTGAAACTGTCTGGATTCAGTTGATGTGAACTTAGATTACATTATTTTAAAGTATCAAAATGGAAGGCTCTGATCATCAAAAGCTACTGACATGCTGGCCACAGAACGTGGTTTCCACTGCATCCTCAGACAAACCTGGAAGCTGACGTATTCTAACAGATTTTAGCGATTTATTTTCTTCCGCAGTGACCTTATCTCTACTCGGCCACAATGGGCACTATACACACATAGAAGTACTGACTAGACATGGCATTGTGAACTCGATGACTCAGAGCCTGAAGAAGAGAAAACGTGTGTGTTCATATTGTAAACACGTCGATCTAATCACTACAGGGAAATAAAAAGAGGCTATCTTTAACACTGCAAATAAAAACAAAAGCTAAGGAGTAAAGGATGGAAGGGGATGTAAAAGTATCAGGAAACAAGAGAAGGAGGATGTCCAAAGGAGTATGGCAGTGAGAGTAAGGCAACGGTGTAGGAGAGAGAGGCTAATGGCCAGGAAAGAAAATTCCAGAAAGGAAGCGGCAAAAAGGATATCCAGTAAAGAAGAAGACAAACACAAAAAGCAGTCAAATAAGCATAGTCAGATGGATCAGGATATTAGCATAGAATCTTTGGAGAAGATATTCTCATATTTCTACTATCTCTTTTCCCATAACCTCAGCTATAAATAGTTTAAGAAATGCCTAGCGTATTGAAAACACTGTGCCTTTTTCTGGCATGTTTCTACCCTAAATTTCATTTGCGGACATCCTTTTAGTCTTCAAAAGGGTTGTTCAAATACCCCCTCCTTCAGGAAACCCCTCCTTCATACTCACGCCCACGGAAACCCTCCTTCGGGCCCACAGCCTACTATCTGTACCTCTCCTTTGTCGCACTGTACATTTCGCTTGGTGCAAGAGCTAGTTATTTATGTGTTTGTGTCCCCTATTGAACAGTGAACTCTGGGAGGAAAGGAAGTACATTTAGCCATATTTTTATTCCTTGGTGGCAGACCTAGGCTTTGCAGAGTAAGCACTTGAGGAATAGATAGGTTTTCTTAAGAAAACCTAGAGGGGCTAGGCACAGTGGCTCACGCCCGTAATCCCAACACTTTGGGAAGCCAAAATGGGCAAATCATTTGAGGTCAGGAGTTCGAGACCAGCCTGGCCAACATGGCAAAACCCCATCTCTACTAAAAATACAAAAATTATCCTGGTGTGGTGGCAGGGCGCCTGTAATCCCAGCTACTTGGGAGGCTGAGGCATGAGAATCGCTTGGACCCGGGAGGTGGAGGTTGCAGTGAGCCGAGATTGTGCCACTGCACTGTAGCCTGAGCAACAGAGCGAGAGAAAGGAAAGGAAAAATGAAAGGAGAGGAGAGGAGAGGAGAGGAGAGGGGAGGAGAGGAGAGGAGAGGAGAGGAGAGGAGAGGGAAAAGGAAAAGGAAAGGAGAAGAAAGGAAAGGAGAGGGAAGGAAGGAAGGGAGGGAGGGGAAGGAGGGAGGGAGGGGAGGGAAGGAAGGGAATGAAAGAAGGAAAAAACCTAGAGAATGCACCCTTTTAGGCATTTTTGTGATAGAAATCATAATTTTAAGGATTTATAAATTTAACCATAACAACACCCTACGACCCCTATAAATGGCAACCGCTACTACTATTTCATGACTCTTTTCAAGTGTACATGAGAAGTTCAGAATATGAAAGTAATATTCAAAATCTTTATCACAGTTTATTTGAAGAAAAATTATAGTATAAATACAACATTGCTCTTCAACCTAAGCTCACAACTATTGGTATGAGTATCATTTCCAGAAACCTAAAAGAGCTTTCCTGAAATCCCAACATCCCGTCAGCTCCACCTAGTCTTCCATAGTTCATTAAAAACAAGCAGCATTTCTTTCATGCCTCATCATTAATGATAAAGCAAATGAGTCAACTGTACAGAAACAAAGAAAACATCAACAATAATTTACTATTAGCATCATTGCATTTGTGTAGCACTTTATACACCCGCTATCTCATTTGACCTTTTTCATGAGCTTCTGCAGTACAAGGAAATGGAATAATTATTTTAGAGACAAGGAAACTCCAGTCCATAAGATGTCCAAGAACACACGGCTAGTAAGAGGTTATGGCAAGATGTGATTCAGGATTCGAGAACTTTTCATCTAGATTTTTGTTCATTTATGCAAAACTGTCTCTCTTATCTAATAAAAGTGTTTACCAGGCTTAAGAAGTGGATGATGGAGCTTCTGAGATCCACATAAATAAGAAGTTGTCTAATTCAGGCCAGATGTGGTGGCTCATGACTGTAATCCCAGCACTTTGGAAGGCTTCAATGGGAGGATCGCTTGAGCCTAGGAATTCAAGACCAGCCTGGGCAGCATAGTGAGACCCCATCTCCACAAAAAGAAAAAAAAAGTTATGTAATTCAGACAGGATATCATATGGACTTCATGAGAAGAAAGAGAGAGGAGGGTGGGAGAAAGAAGGGAGGAAGAGAAGAAGAAAAGACAAAGAGGAGAGAGAGAAGGAGGCAAGGAAGAAAGGAAAGACTTTGGACTAAGATAGTTAAATATCCTGGAAAACAGAGGTCTTGAACTATGCTTTAAAGAAGTGCTAATAAACATAAGCCCACAGAATGACAGTTTCAGGATCATCTGGGAGTGCAATACAAATTCTCCCACACTCTCTCAGGTTTACTAAACCATAACTTCTGAGGGTGGGATTCCTAATTCCGATGCAGGCCGGGTTTGAAAAGCGTTCCTTCAAAGTTAAGGTAGGACCTAAGCAAATAGCAAGAAGGTAACAGACATGTAACAGAAGGGGGGAAAGTGACACTAACGATAAGGAAGCCTAGAATCCAGAAAACTCAAAATATGTCAAGTAAAGAAGGTCTAAAATAATGGGTTGAAAAAGAGGTATCTTGTGAGGGACTGGGTCTGAAAAGCTATCATCAAGTCATATGTTAAAGTGGAGAAGGCTGGAATGTGGGCAGAGCAGTGCAATATAAACCTGTGGGCTCTAGAGTAACCCAGATCGAGTTTTAGGTCTTAAGGGGAGAAAGAGGTATAAACCTAAAGAACAAGAGTATCGTCATGCAATACAAGAATAGAGTTACAGGGGGCTCAGAGGCTCTTCAGAGGAGAATCTCATTTACAACCTGGAGACAGATGAGTTCAGCAGACAAATAGGGAAAGGAACAAGGGAAAAGCTCAAGTTGTAAGACAACATGATCTATTCAGCACCAGCAAGCCACTCTGGATTCACTGTCCTCACGTATAGAGGAAGAGATTAATAATCCTGACTCCACTGGGTAGTTGAGGGGATTAAGGAAGGGAATTTGACATGACAATTCTAATGACCTGCCCAGCGTGGAATAAGCACTCTTTACAGTCCACTTACTGCCTCTCTTCCCCTTTCGGGCCAATGCAGGGTGAAAGAATAAAAAAGATAATGAGCTGCCCCTGCAGCTAATAGGTCAGGTGCCGACTTTAACCATGTTTTCTCCTAATATGTTCTCAGGGCAGCCAGCTAGAGTTCTTGTGGTTGGCAACTCTCACCCGTATGCACATTTTATTTCAAGAGCTGAGACTCCTTCACTTCCTGCTTCTCACTTTTACTTCGTCAGAGGGGCTGCAGCTCCTCAAGTTTGTTACCTCGGATGCAGCTTGCTTTCTAACTGACACATAACAATTTCTATAGGCAAACGTGCTCTAACTTCTTTCAAAAGGGGACTGTTGGCTGTCCTGAGAATGGAGCAAGTTTTACTCTGAGATGACCTGTGTTCAGCAGAAGCACACAACTTGTTGGAAAGTTTACACAAATTAGTCCAGCTGGTTGGCTGGAAGAGGGCTCCTGAAGTGTGTCTTCTGAGGGATGTTAACAGGGGTTTGCTCAAAGTAAAACAACAAACCAGGTCTACAGTCAAAGAAAGCAAGGTGATTGCTGTCTCACGGGACTTCCTCGAAGACTGGGCATGTTAACACGCACTGTCAGCACCTAATAGAGCACCAGAGGGTGCAGCATTTTCCAGACTCGTGTGGCCACTCTTTCTGGAGTGGTACCTCCTTGGACTAGTCTTTGCGGACAATGCATCAAAAAATAATGAGTTAAAGCATGACAAAAGCAACATTTTGCCCAGGATTGACCTCCAGAGAGATTGCGAATATGCTTTTGGAACGCTTGCATCTTCCCACTCAGATCCCTTCTCAGGGCTTCCACCTCCTTCCACCACAAACCCTCTCCACTCCCCACTTCTCAGCGCACACTCTTTCGGAAAGAATCTGCTAAACTCAACAGCATTAGACTGGCATCTCTTCCACTGTTTATTCTGTTTACTTGGAAAGCATCTCCCTTTACTATAATTCTACTCATTCAAGGCCAAACTAAGTCACTTCCCACAGGAAGCCTTCTTTGACTCCTGCCCTTCACCCTGGTGGAAATAATAGTTCTTTTTTCTTCTCTGAACTTTCTCTGCAAGTTTCTATCTACTTTAAGTTATAGTTGTTTGTGTGTTGTCTCGCCTTCACTAGTTGATATACTTCTTCCCTAATCCTTTCACACCTAAACTCAGCCTCACAACGTACAGGAAAGTAGAACAGGCAGTTATAATTATAATCACCATGTGGAAACAATATAGCTTCGTAGTTAAGAGAGAAGCTGCTGAAGCCAGACTACCTGAGTTCATATCCTGGCTTTAGCTATTATATTATTATTATGTAACCTTGGGCAAATTATGTAACATCTCTGGATCTCAATTCTTCCTCTGTGAAATGGTGATAATAACAGTACCTTCCTCAGAGGCTGGTTGAAAGGAATAAGTGAGGTAATGCTCAGAATGCTACCTAAATCTATAAGCATTTAGTACAAGTCCCAGAGAGTTTAGAAGTGGCCATGTCAGAATTTTTCAGATTCACGTCATTTTTTTCCTTCAATATGTCAATCTTTCAAAATTGCTCATCCATTCATAATGTTTATTGAGCTCATAAATAAGCCAAGTGTGACTCCAGCCAGCTGAAAAACAAGACAGACAAGGCCCTGAATTCAAGATCCTTCCACACTCTAGCAAGGAGTAAAAGGAGGCAGAAGGGGGTTGATGCATAAGTAAAATAAACAGAAAAGATAGCAAACATGCTGTTTTTTTGTTTATTCTCATGTCATACCCTCCAGCCAAATGATTTATTATACTATTCTATTTTGGCCAAAACTATACTCAGAATGCTTTCTGTTTTATTTAAACTGTATTTTTAGAGCTCAACATTTGTTTAGGATGCTTGCCTTATCTCACCAATTTCTTCAGAGAATGAACAAGGAACCACTCCAGAATTTTGGATAAATATCTTGTGCATGGATTTTGGATGAACCCTCTCCAACCTCCAGCCTAAACCCGGGTGCATCCCCAGTGGCTGACATGTGACTTAAAAAAAGAATATTCCTGACTTGGCATGCAACTGCTGTTTCTGGGTGCTCAAGTCTTTAAATTTGTTAGTAGAAGAGCATTTTATTGTGAGAAAGAGTTCAGCATCATTCATAAAACTATAGACGTAACCACTCTCTCCCTTCTAGATTTCAGCTATTAAAAGAGTTGAATCTAATCCCATAGTTTGATTCCTGAGGAACTTTGGAGATGATGTTTCAGCATCTAGTGAAATAGCCGTTCACCTTCTTTCCTGTCTTTAGGGTAGGTTTTCTGTCCATGAAAAATATTTTCTTCAATTTGATTTTTTTATGTTGATACATGAAGGCTTTTTGTTAGTGTCACTAACTCATGCCCCTTAATCATTTTTGTTCTTCTTATAGTCTCTACCTTGGTTTGTAAATCACAACTTTTTACTTTTCTGCTCCACCATGTCTGGGGACATACATAGGCCATGCGAAGAGAACCATGGTGGTGGTGGTAGTTGCATGTGTATGGAGAAGAAGGGAGAGACTTGAGGATGGAAAGCAATGGAATGAAAAGTTCAAGTTGTGGGCATTCACCCACCTCCCCAGAATGGTTGAAACGCTTTGGCCGTACAAAGTAAAATTCATATTCTTGACCAGAAGCAGTTGAAATTCCAGCCAAAGCTTTTAGACTTTCCTTTGCCTGTGTTTCTCTAAATAATGGTCTTTGTCAACCCGAAAATCTGGTAAGTTGGAAAGTTAGTTTATTAAAACTAAAATGATGCAAAGATTAAAATCAGAAACAAATGAGGTCTCAATTAGTAAATCTTATCTCAAATTGAAGGATGGAGAATCTTTTTCCACGGAAAGAACTTCCATAGTGACCAGGTTAGCCAAGAACTATTGCCACAGTTGCCCACTGAATCCTTGTGGGAAATAAGCCACTGACTCTAGATCACTTAAGACAGTGATGCCAACAGGTAGGCAGGTTAAGCAGTAGAACCTTTCTTTAAGTGAAACAGTTTATAAAACTCTAAATTTTAACAAGCGAATAGCAGAGCTGCTTGGTTTGAAGGGCCCAGAGTCCCCACTGCCCACCCCACACTCAATCATTGGAGCTTCATTTCTACCCAGAATCCTAGGGCTTCTAGAGCATAAGTTTAAAAATTCACTGATCTAATCTAATTTCACCCTTAAATTTTCTCCAGAAGACACGGAGGCACAGAGATTAAGTGTGATCCACGAACTAGTGAGTAGCATGGCCAAAAATCCTCCCGAAAGAAACTATGTTGCCCTTTTCCACATATATAATATTTATGTTCTAAGACTCTGCCCTTTTAGTAGGAAAAAGAAGTTGGGATCATCAATGTGCTGAGAAAAATTCAAAAATGTGTCCAAGTTCAACGAATGGGCACTAGCAAATAAGGACATCTGATATCTTGGGAAACTTTGGAGAAACAAAAAACATCCGCGCTATAAGTTAAAGTTTCATTTGATGATTCTGTAGTGAAAACAGCAAAATTACAGAAATTTTTTAAGCTACTATCCATAAATGCGTCAGGCACAAAATCAAACCACTCTAAAATAATGTGAAATCCATTCAGTTTTAAGTACAGCAAAACATAGCCGCCTTTGTGTGAGGTGTGGGAGACACGCAACTCAAATGTGCTCCTTGGGTTAGTAACTTAAGCTAGGAATTCATGAAAAAAGTGTGAGGAGCCTACGAGAGTGTTGAGCAAAAGACATTATGAGACACATTGATAGAATAGTCATATGATTAACAAACTGTCACATCAAACTTTTCTACAACGTGGGAACACTTTGACACTTCATATTTTTAAGACTGACATTTTGATTCATTACTGTAAATAGCACTTTGGGTTAAATATTGTGACAAGGAACAGATCATATATATGTACATATATATGCACTCTATATATTACTTGTATATATTTTTTCTAGCTCTGTAACATTTTATAATACACGAAACCTTTTCCTACATTGACAGTTTGAGCCAGTATGTAAACAGGCTATTTTACTGCTGAAGTACCCATTTCTATGACAAGTAGGCAGATGGACTTTCCTTATTTCTCAGAAAGTCTATAAAGCAGAGGGATTTCAAGAGTAATGGAATGACTTCTAAACAGATTCTGAAAAGTCCCAGTAAGTGATTTTACCAGGGCGTTTTACCTTACTACACCTGAGTTCACAAAATCATTATGACGATCATACATAAAATGTCTCTTCTTTCTAGCCAGGCGCGGTGGCTCACGCCTGTAATCCCAGCACTTTGGGAGGCCGAGGCGGGTAGAACACAAGGTCAGGAGTTCGAGACCAGCATGGCCAATATGGTGAAACCCTGTCTCTACTAAAAATACAAAAATTAGCCAGGTGTGGTGGCGGGCGCCTGTAGTCCCAGCTACTCGGGAGGCTGAGGCAGGAGAATCGCTTGAACCCAGGAGGTGGAGATTGCAGTGAGCTGAGATCACGCCACTGCACTCTAGCCTAGTGACAGAGCGAGACTCTGTCTAAAAACAAAAAAGAAAAAACAAACAAAAATATATATATATACATATGTCTCTTCTGTCTTCAGGGTGCTCCCAATCTACTGGAAGAAACAGACACATACATCCGAAATTCTGAAGAAAGCAGACAGGTTTGAATTGAGGAAGGTACAAAGTGATGCTTTTATTTCCTTTTTGTCCTCCCTGTGTGTGTGTGTCTGTGTGTGTGTGTGCGCGCACGCGCGTGTGTGTGTTCATTGATTAATGTTCCCAGGGACGTTATTCACTGTAAACTGATTCAACTGAATTAAGCAAAGTGTGGGTATCAATGAGGGCTGAAGAAATTTAGAAAGTTTACAAGAGTGCCCAGATTCCTAAGACAAAGTTTCTTCTGAAAGAAACTATAAAGATAGTGTTTGGTTTCCATCTAACTTCAAATAATATAATTTTCTAAAGTTTCACTTTGCCTAAAACTGTAAAAGAAAAAAAACATCCATTCCTCCCCACTAAAAACCCAAGTCTCAATATCAACTTTTCTTTGGTGATTCCAAAGTTATTATATACATTGAAAATACAGAAAACTTTATTTTAAAAACCATAAAGCCACCACACAGAGACACGCACACAAAGTACAGAAATAGGCCCACATGCATCTCTGTCTTACGTATTCAACTTTCCCTCTGGACATTATGCCATTATTATTCAAATTATTCTCCTCCTTAAAAGCCTGGAAAGGTACAAAAAAGAAGCATGAAACCTGTATTTAACAAGATGTTACATTCACTACAGATCAGCTTTGCCTCCGTACTGAAATTTAAATTAGTCAATGGTGTTTTTCCTGAGAATATACATTAAAAAAAGAAGACTGCTCGACATTTGTGTGTGTGTGTTTTTCTTTTCAGAAAGAATATAGAATGTTATCAACAAACCTCATCTAAATCCTATAAAAGTTAGGAAAGTATAATGAATGTCATCTAATGAATATGGCAAATATTGAGAAAACCTACAGAACATCAATATCAGACAAAATCTGGGTTTTAGCTGTAGCATTTAAAAATTCCTGCATCCTTTTTTTGAAACCAAAAAAAAAAAAGTGGTCTAGTTTTGTTCTCAGCTTAATTAGTCAATTCATTTAGGGCAGAGTGCCTTTTTCTTTATATTACATATGTGCCTAAATTTGTTAAAAGTTAAAGGAGTCTTACAAACTAGTTCAAGGCTTATTTCAAATTAAGGAAATTAAAGAAGACAGAAATGCAGTATTTTCCTTCTGGCTTTACTGAAAACAAATCAGCTAAAGTGTTACCCAAAGCATAACAGCATTTAAACCTGAGGCCCCATAATTCTTTTCCCAAACTCATAAGGAGGCAGATTACAACATAAAAAGACTGAAGACTCCTCAGCAGAAGGCTGAACCACTGTCAATGAAGTAAGACCTCTTCGGTATGTAGTGGGGGAAAGCAGAAGTAACATTACAATATTTGGAGACAAAAGATCTAAATGCAAATCAAATCTCCATCACCTGTTCCTAGAGGTAAATTTGAGCAGTCAATTGAATTTTTTTTCTTCATTGTAAAATAAGGATAATAATAGACAGTGTATTGGGTTTATGAAAAATAATCACACATAAGAATTCTTAACAAAATCTAATTCGGTGAGAACATTTTTCCACAAAATAATCATTTGCCAATTTTCACCAGCAATTAGTAAACATTTTTTAGAGGTCATCCGAATCCAACTAAGTTCAACTCAACAAAAACTTACTGGATGCTCATCCTGTGTTTAGATCTCTTCCAGGTGCCTGATTAAAAGGTAGGGCAAGAATAAAAAGTGGAAGGGAGAAAGGCCCATTTAAGTCACAATTTCTGCTCCCGAGGACCCTGTAATCTTGTGGCGGAGACCACATTTCACATATAAACTATTGGAAAAATACTTGACATTATACAGTACTCCAAAAAAAGCATGGTACTGACAATGAACGGCTCTTGTGGAAGTTTTAGGTGAGGTCTTACGTGAGGTCAGAAAAGGGTTCAGAGCAGTGAGAACATGGCATTATGATTATCTATCCCAGCCCCTTTAAGCACTCACTTCTCAAGGAACCCATCTGCGGAATCTGATAAGAAACATTCTCCCCCAGAAAAGTTTCTGTGGATGGACATGTTAGTGGCACCTTGGCCATTTACTCTGGGCTTCTTACTCTCCTTCACTTTCCCGTCGCTGCCTCTGCACTGAGTTACTCTCCGTGTCTTCACCTTCTCTGCCCACTCCTAGGCACGGCAGTGTCACCAGCCCATCCCTCTGCAGCTTTCAGGACTGAAGTGCGCACTCAGGCAGGGCTCAGTGCCGTGCATGCAGCTGGAACATCAACAAGCAGGGAAACAAGACCTGACCTCCTCTCCCAGCCTTCTCTCTATGCACTCTGTGGCCTTGAGCAAGTCACCTCCGCATAATGCGCCTCACTGTCCTCACACATCAAATGAGAGTACGGGATATTCACAAGCCCTTCTTGCTCCTAAACATTCAATGTCTGTGCCTGATCTACAGTTTCCAACCGTTTCCAAGTGGCAACTGAGGGCTCGCCAGTCACACAGCTCCCGAAGAGGCACTGACGTGACCACATCAACAGCTTCTATTGTGGGGAAGGTCAGCGACTCCTTCAGAAAATAGCTGATCTAAACAGAGCCCAAGGAGTGTCATGGCAACACCGCTCACAAGCTGCCAAAGGTGGGGAGAAAAAGCAGCCAATACGTGTGCGCAGCTGCCACATTTCAGAACAGCAATCAAACCTCGTTAATATCATCTTGCTTAATACCAAGTCCCATAGATCATAAGCTATTTTTATTGTGTATTTAACAGATTTGTGTATTGTCTTCCCTGCCAGAATCTTCACAGTCCAATACAGAAGACTCTGCCATCACAGAGCCTTAAGACCTGCGGCCACCCAAGGTTAAGTCAGGAGAAGGAGGAAGGGGAAGAAGCAAAAGTAATAGAAGAAAAATGACAAGGGGGGAGGAAATAATACACGTTGAGGTCGAGGCTAGCTAGGGAAGAGGCAGGAGTAAAATGTAGTAAGTGCAAGTAAAAGCCAATGCTACAGACACTCAAGAACGAGGCACTCAGGTTGCAGCTCTCCAAAGACTCAGATGTATGTGTGGAAAGGAGAGTAGAAGAGCTCAGTCTTCTGGTACACTCGGGTGACCACAAGTCCCCCAACGCCAATTTTGATCACAACTTCTGCTTATTTTCACAGTCTCTACAATCCATATCCCTTAGAAGAGCCATGCATGCTACTCTGCAGAGCCCTACACCCGTGTTCTAGGAGGGAAGCATCTATCCACTACCGAGTGCCTTTCAGAGCTTACAGGAAAGAGCTTCTGCTAAATGTCCTATTTAGAAACAATCTGTCTCCCTCATGGAGGAATGGGAATTCTAGCTTTTGATGACTGACCAAGCTAAACTATGTGAAAACACCTGTCACAAGGCCTGTCACATAACAGACATACAATGAATGTCTACTTCTTTCCATCTGTTTAATACAGCAGCAGCAGCACCTGTATTACCTTTATTCTTAGTGGTCTTCATAGAAACAAGGACTCCAGACAGAGCCTGTAGAGTCCTAAGAAGAGACTCAAGTGCCAACCATCTCTCCAATGCTTGGTGAGATGTGGGCACGATTTGCAGAACTGCCACTAACTATGCAGGCAAATTTAAGTAAGTCATTTCTTCCCTGGGGTGGGGGAGCTGGACTAGATAGGTTTTAACTTCCTTTCCAGTTCCGAAATTCTTTAAGCCTATAAGTCTCATATCCATCTCAGAAACAAGCAATAGGCAGAGAGAAAAACTATTGCAGAACATAGTCATTTGCTTCTCTACTGAGCACTATGTCTGGGGCCCTGTGCCAGGAGCTACAGGGAACTCAGAGAAGCAGAAAGTAATCCTTAAATTCAAAGCCTTTAAAATATGTATGAGGGATGAGATGGGGGTGGAAACATGGAAAGATGGCAATACAAAATAAAGTTTAATTATAAAACAAAGTCCATTGCTAAGACTGAATTCCAGAGCCAAAGAGCAGACAGGGATGACTTTCGTGGGAGAAGGGGTACGTGCTGGTTCCTCAGGCAGGAAAGCAAGGCCCACACAGGCAAAATGGCAAGGGGTGTATTTTATAAGAGCTGGCCCTCTGTGGTGGAAGGGTGATCAATATCTGGGATAGTTAAATCTCTTATTCGTTTTATGTCTTAGATTCCCTTAACATCCTATGTTTCATACATTAAAAACTAGAATAATAATGTCCACCCCACCTATCTTCATCATAATGCTCTGTGGACAGTAAGAAGAATATAAAATAGAGGCAGGACACCTGGGTCCCAGGCCTTGCTCCATTGCTGCTATTCTAGTGCCAGGATTTTGCTAAGTGGATAACCTGGCTGTGTGATAAGAGACTTTGTAGAATTTCAGCTAGAGTTCTTGAGGCTTCCTGAGAACTATCTTGTTCAAAGCTCATATTTTGCAGATAGAGTCTAGGGTTCACCAAAAGGAAGTGATTTCTCTCAGCTACACATGTCTGTGATTGATGCCCAGTTCTTCAGCCATGCCTGATATTTGCCTGCTTCCGAGTCCCACTGCAAGCTGGTTTTTGCCTGACAGAGACTTACTCTTCAAATCCTTGTAATATCTTATCAAAGTCCAATTAATAATCTTTCAAAGCCAGCTCTTGTCCCTAGTTCTATAAGAAACCTCCAATAGGAAAGAGTTCTCCAAATTCTGTCTCTCTCAAAGTATAATTACTGAGCTCACACATCACACCAAGTCTTGACTGGCCCTGAATCAAACTCACCTCCACAGACCCGCCAGCTCCCTCCTTCAATTTCTTAGCAAGCTACCTTGCTTGTAGGTGTTGAGTAAATGATTACTAAGTCACGTTGGTCTGAGAGCCACAGTTCGTGGACACTCAGCCAAGTATCTTCTAAAACATGCCATGTTGCCTGCCTCTGACAAGCTCAGAAGTGTGCAATCCCCAGAGCAAGCAAAATGGTTTCAGCCACCTCCAAATCCATCAAGCTTTTTACTAGACCAGCTGAACGTGCAGCAAAGGAGAAGAGGCATGAAGGAAAGGAGAGGAAGAGCAAAGGGCATGGACTGCAAATTGGATGAACAGCATGCTTGTGAGCTCAGGAGCACTGGTATTATCATTCCAGTTTTACAAGTAAGAAATTTGCAGTGCAGCAATTCAACAGCTGGCCGAGGGCCTCAGACAGAGTCCCTGATGGAGCAAACAGGTCTCAGTGCTGCCACCTTTTCGGCTACTGCTTTTACCACTGTGGTAAAATGTTGTATAGACAAAGTCTCCATACGTGCCATCCATGGGGCAGGCCCACTGAACCTATTGCAGAGGATAGGAGGCATCTGGAAAGAAAGAGCCACAGAAGCTACTTACAGCAAAGGTTTATACCGAGTTTATACTCAGCCAGTAATGTCTGAGTGAAAGCATGGCAGAAAGATTGATGAGACAGCGCTGTGTAACTCCAGAGGCAACCCCAGGCACTTATCAAATGGGAATTTTAAAAAATCCCTTTAAACACACGAGGACTCAGATGCCAGCACACGTTTTGATGGCCCCAGCCAGACAGCAAAGGCATATTGGCACCACTGTAATTTGTCCATTCACCAATATGCTTCCCAGAAAGCACCCATATGCTTTCTTTTAGCATCCATATGCTTTTTGAGCAAGGAAACTAAAATATTTCATTAGTTTTGAGTAATTAATAATTACTTATTTCACAATAGTCACCCTCATTAAAAAGCAAAAATAACTGATTAAGCTGCAGGATCCTGGCTTTCAACTCAGGCTTTTTAAATTTTTTTAAAAAAATTCTTCCCCTCTAGGAATTGAGTAATAGGGTAAAGCAGCCAGTGTGGAAATATTCACACTACAGGGAATGAACAGTTATCACCCACAACCCAGCATTCCTCTTGACTGAGACATCGTGGTTTAATGAAAAGAACATGGACTTTGGATCAGAAAGACTTAGAATCCAATCCCAGTTTGACCCCTTCTGAATAGTAACTTCTAAGGAAATGAAGGGTGTTAAAAAGATAAAGCCTGCTGGATCCCTTCAACCCAGTCTTCCATTATTCCCAAGGAGTGACTTCACAGCATCCCCGCCCCCCGGACCCCGCTATCTCAAGGCATGGTACAGCATGCCCCAAGAATGCTGGCAGCATGCCAGGCATTGTCAGCACACCACAGCAATAGCCTTGAAATAGGGCGAGGGCCGAAGTGAATGTTTCTCAAACACTAATGAGCATATGAACTACCTGGGGCTCTTGTTAAAGTAGAGATTCTCATTCAGAAGTTCTAGAGTATGATCTGAGATTTGCATTTCTAACAAGCTCCCATGTAATGCTGATGCTTCCGGTCCTCAGACCAAACTTTGAGAAGCAAGAGACTTACAACTGTCAAGATGAAGTTAGGAAATAGAATCTTGAAAAGCAGAACATCTGTGCCTGTCTCATTGGGCTGTGATAAGGATTATTAATCAGATGGGTGATAGTATTTCTGTATATTGAACAGTACACTGGTATAGTCCTGTTAAAAGGGTATGGTTTCAGCCACGCACGGTGGCTCATGCCTGTAATCCCAGCAATTTGGGAGGCTGAGGCAGGTGGATCACCTGAGGTCAGGAGTTTGAGACCAGCCTGGCCAACATGGTGAAACCTTGTCTCTACTAAAAATACAAAAAATTAGCTGGGCGTGGTGGCTCATGCCTGTAATCCCAGCTACTACAGAGGCTGAAGCAGGAGAATCGCTTGAACCCAGGAGGCAGAGGTTGCAGTGAGCCAAGGTCATGCCGGTGCACTCCAGCCTGAGCAATAAGAGCAAAACTCCATCTCAAAAAAAAAAGAAAGAAAGAAAAGAAAAAGGGTATGGTTTCTATTACAGACAACAAACCTGAGACCCAAGTAAATCAAGTAACTTATCCAAGGCCACACAACTAATCCTGCTGACCTTCAAATACAGGTTTATCTGCCTGTCAAGCCTATCAGTGTGAGTATATGCCAACGGAAAGGTAGGAAATAAAAGTAGATACTACTGTAGATTGCTGGTATAAAGCCTTGTTCTTGTTTTGCCATTATTCTCAGAGAGCCATTAACCTGCTGTGTGAATTTTAGTAAGTCTTACCCCTTCTAACCACCTCCATTTCTGCATCTGCAAGGTGAAGGTACTGCCATTGAGAAACTCCGAGGCGTCTTCCATCTCTGACCTGCCTTTCACTCTTCTGGCCCCCCCACACACTCACAGTGGGTCATCAGGTGCTAAGCTTTAGCTTCACACATGTGGCAGTCATCACAATTTGGCAGCATCCAAATTCTAGCTGCTCACATCTGCATTTGTGCTGATCTGTGCGTGGTCAGAAGTTATCTCTGTTAAAAGTCTCAAGCTCAATATAATGGGGGGGTAGGCCGGGAGGAGGGGAACAAAATAGATGACCCAAAGCACTGAAATTCCTATTTAGGTGAAAACTCAGTATGATCAGGGCACTATGACCCTAACTACTCTTCATCTCCTCATCTCACTTACCAAATGAAGATATTGAGAGCACTAACCTGACAGAAGTTTGAAGAACAAGAAAAAAACTGAGTTATGCATAATGTGTTTCATATGATTATCTAGCTTTTTTTATTCTTTCTTAAGGAGCCAGATAAACACGTAGTTAACGAATTATGATATGAAGTAATTCATAATGTATGATCTTGTCCCTTCCTAAAATCCCATAGTACACATTCTCTGTATTCCTCTGGGGCCCATCTACCATTTTCTACCAGAAATTTCCATGGTTTATGAACTTGCATCATTGTCTCTATTTGTCTTCAATGTTATCTCTGGAGGTATTCACATATTTTGGAGTAAATCCGGATTTAAATCCAGATTTTATATTTATTAGCTGTAAAACTTTGGGCAAATTACTCAACCTCTCTGAGCACCTAGCAATTTTCTATTTTATAGGATTATATACAATAATGTATTGAGATGTCTAGCATTTAGCAAATTCTGAATTAAAATTGAATTTGAATGCATGAGTGAATGAATGAAGTAGAATAAGAGTTTCAATATTAAAATATCACTCAATAGTTTGAGATACATACATGCCAAAAGTCATGCTACAAAACGAGCCTAACACTCAGAGTATAACAATAGGTGACTACGGGGAAAATCCAACAGCAAAAGGAAATGTATGCCACTCAAATGTCATCTCATACTTCCCACATAGAATGAAAACTTTTGCTTAACTCATGGATGGCCTTCAGAGCATCTACAAACCTCCTAAACTTGTTGATAGCATTTTCTGGAGTTCTGCATTTTCCAACTATTTCATAAATTCATCTGAGTTTCTGAAAATTCCATAATCCTCACATCTGCCCCAAACACAGGATCATGTGTATGCACGTGTGCACGCACATACACACACGTATATTAAGAACTACTACTTTAGGCCAGGCACGGTGGCTCACACCTGTAATCCCAGCACTTTGGTAGGCCGAGGCGGGTGGACTCCTGAGGTCAGGAGTTTGAGAGCAGCCTGACCAACATGGTGAAACCCCATCTCTACTTAAAAAAAAAAAAAAAAATTAGCTGGGCGTGGGGGTGTGCACCTGTAGTCCCAGCTACTTGGGAGGCTGAGACAGGAGAATTGCTTGAACCTGGGAGGCGGAGGCTGCAGTAAACCAAGATCGTGCCACTGCACTCCAGCCTGGGTGACAGAGCGAGACTCCGTCTCAAAAAAAAAAAAAAAAAAAAAAAAAAGATTTGCTACTTTAGGCAGGTCCCTGGACAGAAAGGGACTGTCAAATAAAAGAGAAAAAGTAGATTTAATAAAACAAGGCTGAAAGCTGCAAACATACTGTTTGGAAAGTATGGGTAGTGGAACTTATAATGATGACCATCTCAAACCAGAAAAAGGGGCTCTGAATTCAAGATCTGGCTTGGCTGCACATTCGCTGCAGGTCCTTGGGCAAATCTGAGACTCATGAAAATCAGAGGGTTCCTTTGACATCATCTATGCCACCCTCCTCCTCCCATCTCACAGATGGAGAAAGTGCAGCTCAGAGGAAAGTTAGGCATTCACTAAACTCATAGCAAATTAATTAGAGCCAGGATTTGAACCTCAGACTCAGTCAACTGATTTCTACTCTTTGAACCTCTGTACTGTGAGGTTCCAGGTAAGTGCTTAGGTCCAGTGGTCTCTAAGCACCTTCTATCGGATGGGTAACAATTACTACACTCTTCTCCAGACCTGGAAGCCCCCATGTACATGTGAGTTTCATTTTGGCAATGATTATACTAGCTGTTTCTCAGTCCCAGCCCATCCCCACAAGAATAAGGCAGAAGGGTCTGAAATAAGAGAGAAGGGTCTGAAAGGGTGAGAGACACTGCTATTAATGCTGTGTAGCCCAGCAATTGGGAATCGCAGGCCTTGAACTAGACTTCATTGTGTTGGCTATTATTCTTCTGTCCTCTTGCTTATAAATCCCTCATCTGTCTTCTTTTTTTTAATGTTCCCCAACAATGTGCAGGAAACAGGAGCTCATTCTCAGATTCCTATAATTCACTGATTCAGAAAAGGGCAGGAGGCGGGTGGAGGAGAGTGATGATGTCAGCGTCAAACAACCTCTTACAGGAAGAACTGCAAGGGAATCCACAGTCTTTTAATAAACACGGAAAGCAGAAGGTAGCCGGAACCCTCTGTGCCATGTCTTCATGAAATTAATGAAGATACCTGGAGTCCATTTATGTTTAAGGACATCTCACATCCCCATGCTGAAAATGAAATTGGTTTTGCCTGGAAGATAATGGCCTTTTAAGAACTAGGAAGTGAAAGGATAGTTTATAGAAAAAGATTTCTCTACTTAAAGATACAACTATGTAGTCAGAAGAATTCTAGTCCAAGATCAGTCAAAAACACTTTAGACAAATCAGATTCCCTCCCAGACACTAAAATCTCCATCTGTGACATGAAATAATTTGTTTAGATTACTTCGTGAAGTCCCCTCTGGCTTTGACATTCTGATCTCCTTTACAGATCCAGTGATTTGCTCTGGAAAAATCAAATAATGGAAGAAGCATCCACCTCTTCCTAACGGTCTTAATAGGGGGGAAGTTTACCAGATCCTCTCATAAGACCCAGATCAGGGAACAATGTCACAGAGTAAAGAAATGTGGAGGAAAACAGCTTTTCTTTCCTAACAAGGAATTGCAAGTTGCTGGGGTAAGGGACTACCGCTACCGGTGTATAAATGCCCATTCTTACAGTATATATAATAAAAGTCATTAACTGCATGTCTGGTATGTAAAAGAAGCAAAAGCTAAGCAGAAAAATAACTAATTTTCCACAGTGGCTGTGCAGTAGAGTCATAGGACTGTCCTATGATTTTGGAAACATGGCACCAGGAGAGAGAAGGGACTAGCTAGGAAATAAAATCATATATAAGAGAACATTTAACCGGAAGTAATGCCATGATCAACTGGTCCAACTTTGTCATTAGATGATGAAACAGACCTCATAGAGGGAAGGTGACTTGCCTAGGTGACACAGCCAGGTGACATTACAGCTGGGATTAGAAAAGGATTCTCATGGCTTCTGGTGCACATAACATACAACATACTGCTTTGCTCCCAAAAACAATGTGATTCTATTCAGGTTATTACAGAGGTAATTTCACTTATAACTACTGCCTCTACCTCCACTTCAAAAAACGGTAACTGATTAATTTTATTTAAAGCAGACTAGGACTGTTTCCACCAAATTATAATAAACAATTCACTCTGGCAATATAGACAAGTCCATGAGATTTAATTGGGTATTATTCATCCTTGCTAATGAATCACCCTGTGGAAAACAGGGATAATCAACCGTCTACAAGAGGCCAGAAGCCTGTTCTCGTTCAAGTACAGATCTTGCCTATTAAAGAACATTAGGTATCAGCTCTAAATAGTAAACAGGGTATACTGTTGCAGATTCCGTGGAGTGCAGCTTTAAATAGATTTGGTTTGGAAATGGGACAGAGAACACACCGCAGTCAGTGGATCAACGTTGAGAGCAGAGAAAAACAATGATTACACTCATTAAGTGGGTACCTGTTGACACATTTACTGTCAAGTCTAATTATTTATTGAAACTGTTATTCTTTCTTCATTACTGCCACTGATACCAATTATTGCCACAGGATTATTTTAAATTTCTACAGCATGCTCCCAGACTATTTACTTCTCCACCTCCCAAAGGTTACTTGAGAGGTTTCTATCATTCCCTCTCTACCATTCCCCACCTCCAAAATATAACGAAAAGAGAAAGAGAGAAAATTCCTCTTTCTTGAGAGTAATTTTTGTAACCTTTCAGGGCTTGCTTAAAACTCCTCTTGATAGTTTCAAGATGGGTTTCTGTGGGGACAGGGGATACAGTTAATTACTTTTCAAAGCTTATTCTATTAATATTTAACAATTGGCATCGGAGGGAAGGTTAGTGTGATAACTGCAGTTTCTAAATGAACAAGTTAGATCTCTGCCTCACAGAGCTGTCAAAAACTATGATAGTAGGTATCTACAGTACATTCTTTTCTGATATATTTATCCGTAAAAATAAAACATTAGAAATAAGTTTTTGCAGGGTTATTTTGTGGACTAGAAAAGAAATAAAAGGTGGACAGGAGCCATTCTTACATTTTTTGCTACTACCTTTTTTAAAAACAATGTTCTCTTTTTCTGTGTTAGTTTGCTGAGAATGATGGCTTCCAAACACCGCATGTTCTCACTCAGAAGTGGGAGTTGAACGAGAACACATGGACACAGGGAGGGGAACATCACACATCGGGGCCCGTTGATGGGTGGAGGGCAAGGCAAGGACAAATACCTAATGCATGCGGTGCTTAAAACCTGGATGATGGGTGGATAGGGTGCAGCAACCACCATGGCACATGTATACCTACGTAAAAATCCTGCATGTTCTGCACATGTATCCAAGAACTTAAAGTAAAATAATAAGTAAATAAATAAATAAAAAACTTCCTGGGTAAACTAGCTTATATTCCACTTGAAAAATAAATAAATAATAATAAAAATAAAAACAATGTTCTTTTTTTGTAGGAATGAGAAGAAAATCTAAATAACTTAAGTGGCTGTTATGTCTGGTTTAATTACAGAAATTTCATAGTCCATACATAACCTACCTTGTCTGCACGTGTTCTTATTATATATATATGATATTAGCTTTGAAAATCATGTAAACCTGACACCTTAATTTCCTCTCAATTCTAAATTTTCTAAGTCCTACAAATTTGGGGCAATACCAACCAATTTTATTCTTCTCAAAGGTCTGTGCAACTGAAGTCATGGTTGCAGTTCGAGGTCATAGATATAACATACCAAAGGAATTAACAAAATATTCAGCAGAATACATGTGTATAGTACTCTAAATAATGATATCAAATCTTCTACAAAGTTACTATTCTACATATTGACTACTTCACCTCTTTTTGGTTAAGTTACATTACATAAAACACAGTAGAGCTCATTAGAAGGTACAGATTCAGCAGGTTGACTTTAGGAGAAAAATCGCATCTGGTAAATTTTACAACTATGATGCTTCCTTTAAATGTTTTTTCTCCATTGGCCTCCATTTTCTTGGCAAACTCAAGACAAATGTATTCTTCTGCCAAGGATTGGTGTCATTCCCAACAGTCCCCCAGGAGAGTGGCATTCAGATACAATGGATGCAAGGTTTCAAAAGACTAACTCAATTTTCTGTGTTCTTAGGATTTTTCTGTTGTGGCTTTGGATTCTAGCTTTTTGAGATGATTTTGTTTGGCAGCTAAGAGAGAGTGACTGACCCAGCCATAAATATTTGGCCCCTTCAGAGCCAGGTAACACTGGCAGTATAGTGTAGTCAAAAATGCGCTCAATCAAGGGTTAGGAAACCAGGTAAAAAGCCCTCCTGCCACATACTAGTTGAGGATACAATAAAATAATGGTTAAGCACATTCTACTCCATTGCATTTTATGGACACTTAAATACATACACATTAAATCTGAATCGTCTGTGTGGCCCAGATTTTTGGTTTTGGTATTAAACCTTAAGGGCTATGAATTAAAAGGGAAAAAAATAAATCAAAAAAACAAAAATAAAAAGAGAGGTCAGCTCACTGTCTTGGCCATTTTTCAGTTCTTTTCCTCATAAAGTACTTTGTATTTCTTCTATTCTTTGTATTTCTTCTAAAATCAACATTACTGGCTCAGATGCCTATTAGTATTTCATAAACAAGAAGACACGCCTCCTCTCTTACCTCAGATAGCTGGCTCCTGGAATGGATGGTTGACACAAGGTTCAGCCAACTGCAATGCTAGTGTTTACAAATGAAATAAGTAAAAATTACTTCCAGACACCAAACCCATATTTATTCATTAATAGTCATAACCTCTTATATCTACATAATGGTTTCTTGTTTTACAAAACATTTTCACATTCATTGCACCCCACAGGAACCCGATGAAGAAGCAGGAAGAGATGATTCTACTGGCTTCATAGGTGAGGAAACAGAAGCTCAAAGAGGGACAGAAAGGATGAGAAAGGAACTAACACCATCCTCATGATTAACTTTACAGAAACCATATAAAATGAATATTATTGTCCACATTTTACAGAAGTAGAAACTGAAGTTCACAAAAGGAAAGTAATTTGCCCAAGATTACACAGTTTAGTATCTGGCAGGGCATGAATTTGGAGCCAAAGTTTGTGCCTGCTAGTCCAGTAATCCTTCCTTTCTACTTCAGTTTTTCCTAGGTTATTAGGCTAGGGAAAGACAAAGACAAACAGCAACTCATTGTCTTAATTCACAAGGCTTGGTGGAGAGAGAAAATAAAATAAAACCAGCTATTTGATTGAAATGAGGAAATGGGAAAAGTACATAGGATTTCGAGCCAGTCAGATTTCCTTTAATCAATGGCCTTAGGCAAGTTATTTAAACTCCATGAGTGTCAATTTCTTCATATGTATGTGAAGATTATGATATATACTCCATAGCCAAAGTTGCCCTTAGTTAAACTTTTTAAATAAGATTTCTCTCCATTATTCCATATATATGGTTATAGAGAGCAGTGATAACATTTCTTCCCATAAATCCACATTTATATGATCAAAAGATAACATTATAAGCACATTAGGCAAGAGAATATCTCTTTGACTTATGTTTCCTAGTTTTAAAACACCGAAATATTAATCTATGTCACTCTCACATGACCTCATCTAACAAGAGACAGCCCAAAAACTTTTAAGATTTTAAAATCAAAAGTTTCCTTGACCCCTAAAAAGCAAAACAGATACTGCTTTAGTTGAAAGACCTGCTGATGAATCGCACATCATTTTCAACTTTGTGCCCATAATCATGCCCTAGGTTCAGAGAGTTGGAGTTTCCACCAGACTCTAAGAACAAAGCAAATTTGTTTTAATAGAATGGATGGATTTATTGAGAAATATAAGACTTCTAGGAAGTTTTGATAAAATGTCCCGTTTACATAAAGGACTCAAAACAGGTTAAGAAAAGAACATGGATCCTGCAACTATACCCCTGAACTTAAAATAAAAGTTTCAAAAAAAAAAAAAAAAAAAAGAGCATGATTGATCAGATGCCCTGCAAGAAACTTGTCATCTACCACCAAATGAAAACATTAATCATCTTTTAACATCATGCTTTATTTTATAGCTTGAAAAATCACAATGACCATTATGTCTCAAACCATTCCCTTTATAACTCCAATGAGACCTTATTACCCAAATTTTACAAATACAAAAACCAAACTTCAAAGATCACATGGTTAACATGGAGCAGATAAAAATGTAACACTGTATCTTGATACCAAAATCAGTAAGCACCCTCCTACTACATGACGTAGCCTCCCAATTGCTATTTGAAGAGGGTAACTAAACAACTTCAGGAAAGGGAAACCGAGTGTATAGCACAGAAAATTCAATTGTCGAAGCACTAACACACACTTAGTTCTAAGTTCTGCTTTATTAGCAAGTGAAAGGAGAAAGAGTAGACTTCACATCTGTGGTCTAACCAGAAGGTGACACATTACTAAGCTAAGGCAAAAGGAGTGTTTGATGCAGTGTTACCATAAACACTTTCTCAGATCTCACCAGGAAAGTTTCAAGATGCAACATCCCTGGGCAAAGTGTCGAAGCACAAGCCATATACGCAAGTCTGTACCAGTGAAGTTTTGTGAAGAGTGTGATACAGTTTGACTGTGTCCACACCGAAAATGTCATCTTGAATTGTAAACCCCATGAGTCAAGGGTGATACCAGGTAGAAGTAATCCGATCATGGGGGCAATTTCCCCCATGCTGTTCTCATGATAGTGAGTGAGTCTCACGAGATCTGATAGTTTTATAAGCATCTGGCATTTCTCCTGCTGGCAGTCACTCTTTCCTGCCGCCCTGTGAAGAAGGTGCCTGTTCCTCCTTTGCCTTTCACCATGATTATAAGTTTCCTGAGGCCTCCCCAGCAATGTGGAACTGTGAGTCAATTAAACCTCTTTCTTTATAAATTACGTGGTCTCTGGCAGTTCTTTATAGCAGCGTGAGAATGGACTAATACAAATCCTTCACCAATCAGTCTCATTTTAAGCAATAGGAAAGCTGAAGTCTTTCTAGCTAAGAAGTTCACCAGCCCTCTTCACGTGGATTGAGTGGCATGTGTCCTGAGTAGCTCCTGAGTGTTTCATAATGCAATGGAGTTTTCCATAATTCCATACAGACATCTGGGACAACTGACAAATCCCACTCTAGCCTTTTGGTAATGAAGCCAGTTATCCTTGGCTGCCTCTGTGTATTTTATAACTAACTGCTGACCCAGAACCTGACATGTCTGCATCCTTTGTCAAACCATCCATCCTCTCTCCCCTCAAAAATATGCTCACCCTCAGAAGCAATTTTACAGAAGCAACTATATTTTGGAGAAAAACAGGATGGAGTAAATGAAGGTAAGATAATAAAGAGAGAGAAGCAAGAAAATAACAGGGGGTAAAGAAAAAGCAGAAGAAAATGGAATGACATGGAAATGAAAAGTGCAGAGATCAGCTGCAATGGGTTTTTCACAAACCATGGTGTCCTTTGAATTTTCCACCACACCTCACAACAAAATGTAACCATCCCTAAGATGATTATCTTAGTATTATGAACAAAAATTCTAAGTGTTATTGAACCAGTGTAAAGCTAACTCAAAATACTTGATATTTTGTAAGTGCTTTAGTACCTCAATAAGCAATATAAGAGTATCTTATAAAAACTCCCACTAAGTCAATAAACTGGTACCTCTTTCACCCTGGTGTCCAAGATATTCATTCCGAATAGGGGGAATCATATTGAAAAGAATAATGAAATGGGGATGGAGGAACTGGGTTCTGGTTTTAGTGCTGTAATTATCAAATCTTTTGATTAGAAGTTGCATAAAATACACATTCTGTGTTTCTCTTTTCACAGTTATCCCAAAACCACTGCGAAAAGGCCAATAATAATTTGGTCATTTTCATAAGTTTCATGTGGCAACAGAGGTAGTAGTAAAAGGATTACTTAACCTAACATTTATTAAAATAAAACAATGTTTTAAACATAGAAGTCTGTCCCCAGAAGCAACTGAAATGTTAAATCAGGCCAAAGGAATTAGATGACAAATATGGACTGCCCTGCATTCCAGTCATCAAATACCACATACAATTTAAAGTGCACTCTCATGCCACCCTAAGATACTTATCAAGAATACAAGGTATTCCATAGCTTATGATTTGGTTGTCTCATTAAAGTAATGTTTGCCAGGATTTAATTGCTTCCCTCTCTGATTTTAATTTCCACACCTGTCAGCATCTATCAGAGGCACTGAAATCTTCTGACATCTGGTTGATTGTGTTGAAATTAATCAGATTTTTTAAAAGTAAATTGCTTTGGCCTAAAGGTAATGCTCAACTTCTTAATGTTATATTTATAAGGGCTCTATCAATGGAATGTATAATCTAGAAATAAAATGAGAGACTTTAGGAATTCTGAGCAGAAATATAAGTAGCTTACAAATCTCCAGCACTGGACTTTTAAAGATAAGTACTTTAAGAGTGACATCAGTAGCATGGCCAACCAGAGGCCCCTAGCTCTCGTCTCTTTCACAAAGACAGCCACAACAACAATCAACAACTAAACTTTAACAAAAATAACTGGGCCAGGCACGATGGTTCGTGCCTGTAGTCCCGGCACTCTGGGAGGCCAAGGTGAGTGGATCTGTTGAGCTCTGGAGTTTGAGAGCAGCCTGGGCAACATAGGGAAACCCCATTGCTATATAGAAAAAAACAAAAAGATGAACTAAAAACAGAAGAAGAAAAAATAATAACTAAGGCAGTGTACCAGACTGCATCAGAGAAGTAACAGAAACCCTGGATAGCAAGAAACTCAGAATGACCACATAGAGAATAGAAACAAAACACCTGGTCTTTACCACCCATCACCCACTTGGGATCTGCTGGAAACAGGGAGGAACTTCTCTCTAGGGTAGAATGGTACACAAAAGGATCCCAGCAAGCCCCATCAACACCTTGAACAGCTACAGACCTCACCCATGGAGTCTCATGTAGTCCTCACAGGAGCCAAGTCCCAGCTGAGGGACCTGCCTGAAGTCCACATAGCCGTGCTTCCCCAAGAAAAAGAGCAACCAGTGTGACCTGCCCTCTGTGGCCTGCGCAGCTACTGCGCTATGCCGTCTTGGAAATGGAGCTTTGGCTGGAGTGTCTCTTGCTCTGGGAGTGCATAGCTATGACACTCCATCACTAAGGCTAAGCTACCGTTGAACCACCCGAACCCAGTGGCCCGACATCCCCAAGCCGAGCTGCCAGCAACTGTTCCACTCTTCCCCATGGGCCCAGGTGAAGGTAGAGTCACTTAATCTACCTTTCACCCTCCCCTTCAGGCCAGTGCTGAAGCAGTACCCTGCCTCCTGGGAAAACAGTACATTGGCCACTCAGAGCGGTCACGCACCCCAGTACTTAATCTGAAGTAGCACCCTTCATCCCAGGGAAATGGTACCTGGGCTGCCTAGAAAAGTCATGTCCCCCAGGCCTGAGCTGAAGTGGCATATTGTCCCTTGGTGAATTGGTGCCATCGCTCAGCTGAGCAGCTGTAAATCCCAAAGCTGAGCTGATGTGATAACCCACATCCTTGGAAAACTGAGCAGTGGCTGGGCTGATCTGAGACACTCCAGCCTAAAGGGAAAACAACTCTAATACGCTGTTTCCCTGGAGCTGGTCTACCTGCTTAGTGTCAGAGCTGCTAAGATACCCCTCTCCCTGTGGCATACAGCCACCACTGTGCTGTACTCTGCCCCCACTCAGGGCACAAGTAACAGCTGTATGTTGCCATTCTGGGGTACTGCTACCGCATGTGGTCTTACAGAGTCTAAGGTACTGCTGAGTCCCAACATCCAGGGGTCAAGAATCACTACTACATGGTGCCTCATCCCCTGAGATCCAAGTTGCCACTGAACCCTACTGGCTCATGTTGCCAAATCAGGGCATATCCTGCTCTCTGGGTCCAAACTTCCCTGCACTCCTTCTTTCCTGGAGTTGAGCCACTCACAGCTGGGACTGAGTTTGTAGAGTAATGTCTCAGAGTCACAAATCCTGGCTCTGTGGGAAGCCTACATCCAACCCTAGCACAGAGAGTGAACCTGTAACCCAAGACCCAGGTGTCACAATAGGTTGGCAAGATCCTGGGCATAAGACTCTAGTCCCACAGCCACTTCAAGCACCTGCACCTAGAACTCAGCACCACTGCACTTGCTTGTAGGTCATGTGATATCTGACATGAAGAGCAGTCCCCTTGGCTAAATCTCCCCATTATGAAAAAAATAAGAATAGGAGGACCTCAAAAGCCCTTGACACTGAGGACATTAATAATCTATGCCACCACCACCACTGCCACAAATTTCTACAACTTAAGCTACTGAGGTGCCCACAGTTATTGCTGACATTGAACGTAGCTTTAGAAGCTGCATGGAGACCCTATCACTGCATCTATTCAGAAACAAAGTCATCACACCCCTCCCAACTGTAACACCAACCCTAATTGCAAGCGGAAGTCTTTTTTTATGAAAACCACTCCAGAAAGTTTGTATAGAAGAGGTAATTGTTCCACCGGATGCAAAGACATCAACTCACTGACACAAGAAATATGAAAAAGCAATAAAATATGACACCACCAAAGGAATGTAGCTCTTTAGTTTCAGACTCCAGTAAAAAAGAAATCAATAAAATGCCAGAAAAGGAATTCAAAATAATGATCTTAAGGAACCTCAGTGAGATACAAGAAAATACAGATAGACAATTTTACTAAATCAAGAAAATAATTCACAATATGAAGAAGAAATTCAACAAAGATAGACATAATAAAAAAGAATAAATCTCAAAAATAAAGAATTTCATGAATGCATTCTTACCCTCATACCAAAACCAGACAAGGACAAACATGTAAAAAGAAAATTATAGGCCAGGATCTCTGATGAACATAGATGCAAAAATCCTCAACAAAATACTAGCAAACTGAATCCACCAATACATTTAAAGGAGCATTTACTATGATCAAGTGGTATTTATCCGAGGGATACAAGGATAGTTTAACACAGGTAAACCAATAAACGTGATACATTACCTCAACAAAACAAAGTACAAAAACCATGATTATCTCATTAGATGCAGAAAAAGCACTTCATAAAGTTCAACATTCCTTCATGATATAATATCTCAAGTCAGGTATAAAAGAAACATACCTTACCTCAGCATAATAAACACTTCACATGATAAACCCACAGTCATCAACATACTGGACACGTTCAAATTGAAAGGTTTCTTTTAAGCTCTGGAACAAGACAAAGATGCTCACTTTTACCACTTTTATTCAAGATAGTTCTTGAACAGGCGTATACACCAATGGGACAGAACAGAGAACCCAAAAATAAATCCACGTATTTACAGCCAACTGATTTTCAACAAAGGAAACAAGAAGAATCTCTTTAATAAATGGTGCTGGGAAAACTGGACATCCATATACAGAAAATGGAGCCACCATGAGATATCATCTAACCCAAGTTAGAATAGCTATTATCAGAGACAAAAAAAATAAGAAACGCTGGCAAAGATGCAAAGAAAAGGGAATTCATACACTGTTGGTGGGAATGTAAGTTAGTACAGCCATTATAGAAAATAGTATAGAGGTTCTTCAAAACACTAAAATTAGAAATATTGGCTGGGCATGGTGGCTCAGGCCTATAATCCCAGCACTTTGGGAGGCCAAGGTGGGCGGATCACGAGGTCAAGAGAAGGAGACCATCCTGGCCAATATGATGAAACCCCGTCTGTACTAAAAACACAAAAATTAGCCGGGCGTGGTAGCGCGCGTCTGTAGTCCCAGCTACTCGGGAGGCTGAGGCAGGAGAAACGCTTGAACCCAGGAGGCCAGGAGGCGGAGCTTGCAGTGAGCCAGATAGCACCACTGCACTCCAGCCTGGTGACACAGCAAAACTCCGTCTCAAAAAAAAAAAAAAAAAAAAGAAAGAAATATCGTAAGATCCAGCAATCCCACTGCTGGTCATATATCCAAAGGAAAAAAAAAAAACATTTTCAATAAGATATCTGCATTCCCATGTTTATTGCAGCACTAATTATAACAGCCAAGATAAGGAATCAATCTAAGTATCCATCAACAGATAAACAGGCAAAGAAAATGTGTTATATATTTACAATGTAATACTATTCAGCCATAAAAAAATGAATGAAATCTTGTCATTCACAGTAACATGGATAAGCCTGGAGGACATCATGTTAAGTGAAATAAGCCAGAAGCAGAAAGTTATTTGTCACATGTCCTTTCTCATATGTGGAAGCTGAAAGAAATCGATCACATAGAGAGTAAAATACTGATCACCAGAGGTGGAGAAAAGTAGCAGGAGGGGGAGGATAGCCAAAGGTTGGTAAATGGATACAAAAGTACAAAGGAGGAGTCAGTTCTAGTGTTCTACAGCACTATAGAATCACTATAATTACCAACAATTTATTGTATATTTTCAAGTAGCTAGAAGAGTGGCTTTTGAATGTTCCAAACACAAAGAAATAATAAACGTTTGAGGTGATGAATATGCTAAATACCTTCATTTGATCTTTACACATTGTATACATGTATCAAAATATCACACTGTACCCCGTAAACATGTACAATTATGTGTTAATTTAAAATAATAATAAAAGCAAAAAAGGTAAATACTTTTAAAAAATTCATTCAACAAATGCTCATTGAGCATATAGTGCTTGCAAGCAGGCACTTCAGGGTAGAGAGGAAAAAAACATGAAGCTATCTCAGAAAGTTTGGGGCAATAAGTAAGAATTAACTAATTAAGCAGAACTCACTTTAAGAGAAGTAGCCAATCCGGTCACTCAAAAGCTTAGTTTAATATTTATAATTGTTACCATCTGTATGCATTGTCCTTTCACACAGATAAATGATTTTATTCTTCACTGCAGCTCAGTGAGGCAAAACTGATACTGTTCCTAGTATATTCTCGTTTGACAAGTGACAAAGCTAAGGCACAGAGTAGTAAAGGAACTCTTTCCTAGACATCTAGTTAACGGCAGATCTGGTCTTGTGATATAAATAAAAGCAGACAACACAGCATGACCACTTTGCAATAGAGAAAAAATTCCTTCCAAATTCTCCAAATATAATTACTCAGTGCCAATTGTTGTGCTAATATCTATCAGATCAGATACAGTGCTTAAGACACTTATTTAAGGAAATCCACAAGCACTAAGCTTTTCTACAAGAAGTAAAGGGAATGATGAATAGAGAAATACTATGCAATATGTTCTACTATCATGAGATTATTTTTATGTACTTACATTGTTATTCTTACTTGGAAATATAGAAAAATTAATGTAATAATGACGCCCCAGAAGTGAGCCTATAATGTCACCACACCTATCTTTATGTTATTCTGTTGATTCTGATGCTTCCTTATTGAAAAGAAGAAGGAAAAATATGGCATGCATGCAACTGGGGTGGGAGGGTGGGGGTGAAGGTGAGGAGCCAAAGATAACACATGGAGCCTGGAGGTTGATTCTCACAAAATGGCTTTATAATCAAACAAAACCAAGCCCTAATATGGGTCTTACCTTTCTAGTAGAGTCTGAGGCCCTACTCAACATTTAGTGTCTCCCCGATAAGAAGCTTCTTAATGCAAAAATGTTCGATGAAGCAGCCTTTCTTAAAACTACCATAATGCCTAGTTTTATATCTGGATCACTAAAATTACCATATTGTTTTATCACTTTTAGTTGATCATGCATCTTGAATAGAGGCTCTTTGTCTAACACAGCTTCTTGAATCCGAACCCAAAGTCTATCCAGCATCTGGTCTTTAGTATGTACTCAAAAGAACATTCAATGAATGAATGAATGAGCAAATGAACAAAATGTTCTATGCAACTACTATAACACACACCTAGTTTAATGCATGTGATATAAGATGGGATTAGTAAGTGTTTGTGAAATTGAAATTAATTGAACTTTTAATTTTTTTAAATGTATTGTACAACTAAATGATTGTAAAGTTACTGAGTGATCAAGTGAAGCATTTAGCGAGGAGTTAAGTGACATGCAATGAGCCAGTCATCATTAACCCATTGGCAGGATGAAGTCACAATTTTCACAGGAAGATTAACAGAGGCTAAACACATGAGCAGAAATGTAGGCAGCAGCTGCGAAAATTCACATAGAAGAAAACATATTTGTCAAGAAAATCATGTTAAATTCTAGATATAAAAGTTTAGAAGGAAATCTAAACATGATGGTAACTTTTATAAGAGTATATACGTTATAAAATTTAAAGAGAGAAGAAAAGAGAGAAGGAAAGGAGGAGGGAAGAACTCTTGAAATAATTTTTAAAACCAAGTGCACATGTGTGAAAAAGAAAAGGAGTTGTTGGATAGATAAAAGATGAAATAATTGATCAAGCTAAACATAATATATTTTAGTAACTAAGCTAAGCATTTTATATCTTTAATCCTTAAAAATAGTCTTGGAATTTAATATTATATTCATTTTGCATCTTGGGAAACTGAGGTTTAGAAAGATTAAGTAACCTAATCAAGTTCACACATCTAATAAGCACCAGAATTCATATCTCAGCTTTCAGACTCATACACATACCATTTACTCATACTGCTCCTAGTACCATCAGAGATAAAATGTGGCCTTGAGGGAGTCCCTTAGAGTTGGACATCAGGACCAAAATCTAGAAAGTGATGTAGAAATGGGGAAAGCACCAAGAGGATGAGCATCCAAAGCCTTCTATGGGATGTAAGTAGCAAGAGAAGGTCTAAAGGAGGAAAGGAGGCAGATGGGGGAATTAGAGCTATCTTTGAGTATCTGGGGACATGTCATGTGTAAGCAATATTATACTTTTTCAAACTATGCAATGCTAGAAATATGGGGATTAAAATAATGGGAAAATCAGTTTTAGTGTAATACAAGGGAAAACATTAAACATGAAGCTGTCCAGCAGTAGAACAAATTGCCTTGCAAAGAGCTGCAAAAGTTCAAGTGGAGGCTACATAGCCATCTGTCAGAGAAGACATGTGATATCCTGGCAGTGGCTGGGAGTCTGCATTAAAAGATGGACATTGCAATTCTGGGTTTGGGAGATTTAGCAGCCCAATAGTGGGAGATACATAAAAGCTCAGATCTCCAGATAAAAATGTGAAGAACGCTCTCTAAAGAGGAGACCCCTGAGCAAAATCTATTCAACATATCCATGGGGCTCCTATGATACACCAAGCATGAGATAGCACCATCCTCAAGAAGCTGAGACAAGGAGGCAGAAAACAGGCATTTTGAAGGGGTCAATCAGCTATCACTATGCAATTTGCGAGCCTAATATAAATGGCTAGAAAAAAACAAATGTAGAAGTCTCAGGAAGAAAAAATAAGAAGACTAAATGGTCTTCTGGTGAAAGTAAGGGCAAAACACATCAGTTTTGTGGGAAAAAAAATTAAAAAGAGTAAGTCACCAAGGCCTAGGATTCTTACGTATTTATTTATTTATTTATTTATTTATTTATTTACTTACTTACTTACTTACTTACTGACTGACTGACTGACTTATTCTGAGGCAGTATCTCCCTCTGTTGCCCAGGCTGTAATGTAATAGCACGATCTCGGCTCACTGCAATCTCTGCCTCTCAGGCTCAAGTGATATTCCCACCTCAGCCTCCTGAGTAGTTGGGGCTACAGGCATGGGCCACCATGCCCAGCTCATTTTTGTGTTTTTTGTAGAGACAAGGTTTTACCATGTTGCTGGGATTATAAGCATGAGGCACCATGCCTGGCCAGGCCTAGGATTGAGGAAGAGCTCATTCAGAAGGGTAACCTGAGGTCTAATCAAATCATACTTTGGGATAGGAAAGAAAGACATGAAAGAAGAATCAGGAAAAAAGCTAATAAACAAAGTTTGACTCAAAAAGCTCACAGGTGGGGGAAGGCAACTGAACGGTGAATGAGAACTAGGAAAAAAACAAGACCTTGCAAAAGAACATCCAATTAAGTTGAAAATGAAAGCACAATACATTTGAAAGTTTGCAAGCCTCCTTCCACAGCTTATCAGATTTACTCACATATGTTCACACGCAGCATTGTCTGCAAACCTTAGCTCCCCAAAAAGTTACTCTATAACATAAGAGACATATTTAAAAGAACATGTAGTATTCTAAGTCCACTTCTATTGACTTTCTCAGCATTCTTCAATACAGTCTCATAGACTGACTACTGTTTAGTGAAGAAAACAAGTCACATAAAATATCAACATAACCAAAAGCAAAGTTAAGAGCAAGTTTTATTGGGCAACCTCTTTCTAGAAGGAAAGGGGAGGAGACAGGGAGAGAGAAAGAGAAGGATGGGGAGGGAGAGCAAGAAACTTTAATAGAGAATAATTGGGGAGCAAAGGGCACAGTTTGCCTAGTAAGATGGGTTATAGTGATATAAAGGATGATAATTGCTTGCACAATTTTCTTTCCTGTGACTTTTAACAACTTTAATTTAGGTAAAGAATGGCATGGGTCCTTCAACGAAAACTCACTGATTCTTCCTTCCCCACAAAGCTAGAATTCCATCTTATTCAGAAAATGAACAGTCAACTGTACCTTTAACTTCGCTTCCCCTGTGTCTTGGCAAATACAACACATGTTTTGTTTAAAAAGGCATGAGTGGTTACCATTGAAAAGCAGAAGAGATAGTAGTGGTGAGCGGAGAGTAGGGAAAATATGCAAAAGGTTTAACATTTTTTAAAAAACGGAATTATTCCCAAAAAGTTCAATAATTATACAGGTTTTGTATCCCTAACCCAAAATCTGAAATTCAAAATGCTCCAAAATCCAGAAGTTTCAAGGACAGACAGGACGCTGAAAGCTCACTGGGGCATTTTGGGTTTCATGTTTTTTGATCAGGAATGTAAACCAGTAAGTTTAATGAAAATATTCCAAAATTAGGAAAAATCTGATGTCTGAAACACTTTTGATCCCAAGCATTTCAGATAAAAGATATACAAACTATATATATTTGTCATCACCATCTCTGACAAAGAAGTTTGGAATTCCTTGAGTTACCTTTAAATTCCTGAAAGTGGAGCAGGAAATCAAAAGAAAAGAAAGAAGAGTTAAGTAACAATAGGTTCTTGTCCCAGCTCCGCCACTAACTTGTGCTGCCATCTTAGACACATCTTTCCACCACTCTCCTCTCCTGTCAAATGAAGGGACTGGACTCAATGAGTGGCTGTTAATGTGTGACCCATACATGTGTAGGAGTCCCTTAGACCTTTCAAGAGTCCACAAGTTCAAAATTATTTTCATAATCATACTAAGAAGCCGTTTCCCTGTGTTGAAATTTACATTAATGCTACAAAAATAACAGTGGGTAAAAAAACTGTTGCAGTCTTAAAGTGAATCAAGGGAGTGATTTCACTGTAAGACACATACAATAAGCGGGACAGGGAGCCAGTTTCACTTAAGACTCTCTTTAATGCATTGAAACGTATCAATCTTATTAAATCTCAGTCCTTGAGTACTGTCTGACTAGGTTTTACTAAAGAAACCTGATCACATAAAATGTTAGCATAATCAAAAAGTAGACATATTTTTAATATTCTTGAGTACACATCTTTTTTACATTCTGTGTGACCTCTGGGAAGTACCATGAAACACCTGCTGAAGATCAAACTACGATGATTGTCTCTAAGAAATGCACTTTGTGTAACTGTTTAAATTGACAGCTGCTAACCAATCGCTTTTTTCATGGAACATCATTTTTATTTGAAACAATGACTGACGAACTATGGTTCTTTAAATGTGGGTTTTGCCGGAGATTTTCTCAAAAATAAAGCAAGAGAGCTTATCGTTTCAAGGAAAACAACAGTATTTGTAGCCAAAAATAAAATTCATGTTTTCAAGTAAAAATCAGAATTTTGAAAACCTTACATCTACTACTGTGCACTTGACACCTTTCTAATATTTCAAATGCTTTTTTGATGAATGAGCAGTGATATTAATGAAGATGACTTTTTATATTATAGAATGAAATGATCAGTGTTTGCAAGAACTGAATAAGTGAGTGACCAACGACTTTCTAAATGACCAATGCATGATTTTACAAAATCATAGGAGACTCAATCAAAGTGAAAATTTGACCAATGGATTTTAATATAATAGGGTATAAAAAGTCCATTAATATGATTTCACATTCCACATTGAAACTAACCTATAAGAAACTACTAACTTTAGGTAATGTGAAAACTGTCAAGTTTTGGTATAGTATCAAAGAAGAAAATCCACAATTACTTTTTATCCTTCCTTTTTCAAATACATAGCTGTGAGAGACTGGATTTTCTTCATAAACATCAATCAAAACAATATTTCACAACAAATTAAATGCAGAATCCAGCTCCCACTTTTGTCACTATTTTTTCACAAATATATTTATTTTTTATACAAATATTTTTCATTAAAATTGTAGTTTCATTTCTTACTTTTTTGAATATGGTAAATATCATTATACATAATGCATGCAAACAAAAGCTCATTTTTAAGAACATAAAGGAGTTCAGAGATGAAACCACTGAACTAGACAGGACTTATGTTCCCTCTCTCCCTAGCACTAATCTACTTTGGCTCTAAACCACTAGGAAAGATAAAGAGTAGCTCATCTCTACTTTCAGACGCTGCTACCTGTCTATCTTTATATAGCTGCTACTTTCTTGAGCCTCTGGAAACACTGAAACATCTGTATGATGTCACCATACAAGAGGCCACTGGTCAGTAAAAAAAATACTCACTGTGTGCCTTCCATGGAACAGGCAGTGGTTACTAGGACCTGTATCAGAATTCAGACTCCACTACTGCTCCACTTATATGCTTCTTCAAAAGACAGTATCTCTCCAAACCTGTTTCTTTAACGTAAAATAAGAATACAATGGGAACTACCTCATAAGATTTCTGTGTAGATCCAATATAAGGATCCATTAAGGAGCTTACTATATACAGTGCCTAGCATGTAGTAAACACTCCATAAATCCTACAAACTGTTATTATAACTAAGATATCTCTTACCAAAAAAACACTTTTGGCAATGTTCACGAAAGAGATAATGGTAGTCTAACCGTATATTATTAGAGGCTCATAAACTATCCCAGTTGCAGACTCATTCAGTTAGATAAAAATAGAGAAGCGAAAGTATCCAGGAGTACTGGCTTTTCTCACCTCAAGAGCAGAAGAATCAGTCTTTGGCCAGGAATGAAATCAGTGTTGTAATCATGACCCAGCCACTACATTAATTCCTAAACTTTATGTGGTCAAATGAGTTGATACACAACATCATTCTCAGCACTATGTTGACAGGACAGAGGATGATAAGAAAGTAAGAATTTAATCTACATTCTTGAATAAAGAGAAGAGTTTCGTTTTTCCTTTGTTTGGGCAAAAAGTCACGTTCATTGTGTCTCTTTACTTCATTTAAAATCCAGAAGAATTGAGATTGAGGAAAAATAAGAATGCTTATCAAACAGAGGTCAGACCCAAAGAAAAAAGAATGCCCTCACAATACTAAGAATAGAATACAAGCAGGAAACAGGGGAGGATCTCCATGATATATAATTTTAAATTAGAAATATAATTCTGAAGAACAGACAGGTACATACCTACAATGTCTTTATAAATATATAAAGAAACTAATCATTAAACTAGTTATATTAGTAAGGCCCAGTTTCATTTTCAATAGAAAAAGCATCATGTCACTTTTATTTCACTTTATTTCATCAACTTTAAGTACAACCACTTTAACTATCAATACCTGATAAGACTCGTAACTGTGGATTTAACAGAATAACGTTAAGTTATACTTCCAGAATAATGTATAGAAACGATCATGCCCCCTTAACAGCACTTGGATCTTCAATCAGGAAATTCAATTTTAGCTGCAAAACTATGTTTTGGCAAAAGTGCAATTGAACTCAGTGTACTTGTCACATTTCTAAATATACTCCGGTCACCATGACAACAAGAGAGACTGATGGATTGCTTAAAAGAGTACGGTATATTTAATTGTCAGCATTTTAAACTGACTCAGAAAAATGCTGTGTGATAGGTCTACTCACCATGGTTACTGCTGGCTGAGTCCATAATAATAAAGGTTCACATACGCACATCACCAGCGTGCGCACAAAGAACGTAAAAGTCGGAAGACCTGGTATTTCCAACCACCTCAAACGCCAAACTTAAAGCTTTAGAAAGACTCGTTATCATCAAGGTGCCCCTCAAGAACCTCTCTCCCCAAATGGTCAGATGAATCCCAAGATCTGTGTCTGCACACAGGGCCACTAGAGCCAATCCTAAATCAGATTCCAACAACTGCTTCCTTCTCAGATTAAAGATAAGAAAAAGTCGAGGGTATTTTCTCCCGGGATATATCTGGGAAAAAGAATGAGAGAGACTCTTTGTTCTTTCTTGTCATGTAGATCTATTCCCAAATGATAATCTTCTGAGATCCATTCAGTTCCTGAATAAACACTTCCTGCACAAAAATCCCTATGCCAGAGAATCTTCTACAGGCGGAGATACAGATGCAACAAACATGGACCCTGCTCTCAAGAAGCTGATATCCTAAAACAAGAGGAACACAAAAAATATAAATATATAATCAGCTAAATAGAATGAAATAATCCAAATAAATGATCTATTAAATTATTTAATTTACCATACAGTGTGCCTAGCCTATAGCAAACACTCACTAAATCTTCACCATTATTATTATTACTAAAATATTTCTCACCAAAACAGTTTGCAATGTACATAAAGAAAACAAAAGCATGGTAATCACTCTTTTAGAGAACCATACATGCTTTGTAGACTATAAAGCAAGATAATGACAGAAGAATGATGGGGAGGGGGGTATGTGTGCTACTTTAGCTAAAGAATGGGGAAGAGCTAGGTAAGGCTTTAACATTTGAGCTAAGCCTTGAAAGATACTTCCAAGCCAGTTTTGCACAGAATCAGAGAAAGATCAAGTGGGAAAAAGCTTGGCTTATACAGAGGGCTAAAGGAAGGTCAGTGTGTCTACAGATTACTGTGTAAAGTGATGAGTGGTATGAAAAAAGCAGAGAGGCCAGGCGCAGTGGCTCACACCTGTAATTCCAGCACTTTGGGAGGCCGAGGCGGGTGGATCACCTGAGGTCAGGAGTTCGAGACCAGCCTGGCCAACATGGTGAAAACCCATCTCTACTAAAAATACAAAAATTAGCCGAGCGTGATGGCTGGTGCCTGTAATCCCAGCTACTCGGGAGGCTGAGGCAGGAGAATTGCTTGAACCCAGAAGGTGGAGGCTGCAGTGAGCCGAGATCGCACCATCGCACTCCAGCCTGGGAGACAAGAGCGAGACTCCATCTCAAAAAAAATAAAGAAAGAAAAAAAAAGGAGAGAACATAGAGTCATCTCACAGGGCTTTGCAGGCCATGAAAGGGCCTTTCAAACATTTCTACAGATGCTCCTTGATTTCTATGGGGTTGGTTACACCCAGATAAACTCAGTGTGAAGTGGACAAATTGTAAGTCAAACCATCATAAGTCAGGGACCTTCTGCAGATACTACAGCAGCCACCGTATGGCTTAAGGGGAGGGGTGTGATATGATCTGACCAACAATTTTAGATCTCTCCAGATGGTGTGGAAAAAGGCCACAAGGGGAAACCATAAAAGTAGAAGACAATTTCAGAGACTATTGCCATAGTCATGGCAATGGATGGTAACTTGAATTTAGGTAGATTCAAAAGAAGTAATGATAGCAATCAGAGTCAGAAAACATTCTGGAGGCAGAACAAACACGCACTGGCCAAGCATGTACTCTGAGCAGGAGAAGTAGTTAAATGAGTTATATGGAGGTCCTACAACACGGGGGTGAACATGCCTCATGCTTCAGGAGGTCTTGGTAGATCTTGAGATGACGCATTTCGGGTGATGCTGCTGCTCTGTGAATGACACTTTGAGAACCAAGGCTCTAGGAGAGCCAGGAGACAGGAACAACAGTGGAGCAGGAGGTGATGAACGTTGGACTTATGGTAATAATAGATGGAATATAGTAAAGAAGAAACATTCAAGAGATGTGGCAAAAAGAAATTACCAAAGACTTGAGGGCAAATAATCTAGGAATGGAAATAAAAAAGAAGATGGTGCTGGTGGAATTGCCTCTAAGCTTTCTTAAATGACATTGTTCATTATATAGATAGAAAAACATGGTTTCTATCTATCTAGTGCAAATCAGTTTTCCAAGTCACATTTCATGTTGCCACAACCTATCCCTATAAAATAAGGCTAGGGAAATTATTGTAGTTATAGATAATAACGACAACAACAACAATACCAATCATTTATTGAAAGCTTATTCTGTGTCAACCACATTGCAACATGTACTATCTCCAAATCTGGCAATAACTCTATTCCTATGTAAGAAAATGACAAACTAATGCTCAGAGACGTTATATAGCTCACCCAGAATCATTCCTGCTTCAGCTGGATTCAATCCCAGGAGAAAACCCTAAAATCTATGACCTCCACTTCCATTCTGCCTAACAAGCTGAATCCATAGGAGAATAAGATGCCCACTTGGGGCATTCACCCTCAAAGTCAGAGTTCCCTTTTAATCTGACTAAATTTCAAGATCACAACTGGCAAATCTTGATTCATAGACTCTAGCAGCATAGCAATAAGGACCCAAGGTCAGGTGCCACGTGCATAGAACAACCATGACTTATTTTATTTCCACATAAGGAGAATGCAACTTGAGTGTTTCATGAGCTATTCACTGCTCATGCTCAGACTCATGTCTCTGCACTCAAACTCTAGTGCTTTTCCATGGCCTCTGTTTACCCTCGACTTTATTCTGCTACTGCTTTGCAAAGTTTTCTTCCCAGAAAATAAGTGGCTGTCTACACAGTAATGTGTTTGGAGTGAAGATGTGAGAAAGAGGCCCTCATCTGTGAAGATGCATGGTGAACGGTAGTAGATATTGACAAGTAAGAAAGGTTAGTTTAGATATTTCCCCAGCCCAGGAAGTGGGTACAAAATGAGCCACAAGACCTTCCTTCTAGTTACCCACACTGTGCTTTCCCAAGGTGATTCACAGGTACAGCTCCACTGATCTGACAAAGGGGACTGTCTTCAGAAAGATGAAAGGATGTTTTTATGTCTGCTCTCTCTCTTTTCTTTATTTGTTCCTTCTCTAGTAACAACAATTAATTGTGCTGTGCGGGCAGTACAGAGATGAGTCTACCGGGAAGCCAGCACAAATCCATCAAGCGCTTTTAGTCCAAGCTTTTTAGAAGCAATTGCTTACCACATTTTCACCGCTCTTTTTCTCACAGCTAGAATTAGAGTGGATTTTACCACACAATCACTCTAATGCCCTTTTCCCCCACCTCTAAAGTGAAGATGGAAGATGACTATTGGTCCATCACCAGCAAAACCATAAGACATACATGAGAAAACCAATTCATTTAGTGTTTTATAAAGACTAAGTATTGGGTCCTGAGATAGGTATCCCACATACATTAACATATCACAACTTTGTGAGGCAGACATTGTCTATGTCAAACAGGTGAAGAAATTAATGCTCAGAGATGAGAAGTTACTTGCATAGAGTCATACAACTAGAAAATAGCAGAGCCAGGAAGTAAACACAGGTCTGACTCCAAGGCCAATACTTTTCCCATCACTACAGCTGTCCGGCACTCTTCCAAGAGCACTCACAACTTTTCATTCTCTTCTACCAGAGAATCAACATTGCAAATATTACTTAAAACTCAGGCCGTATATAACCAAAAGGCCTTTTTAAAGAGGTCTTTTCTAGGAAGAGTGAACGACTAAGCCATCATAGATTCTATAAGAGTTACCTCTGACCAACCAAACATGTTCCTGAGGGACCAGTTAGGGTCTCTTCCATGCCTAACTAGGAATCATGGAGACTCTTGAATTTCCCAGCTCAGGGCTCTGAGAAAATGACATCACATAAAGCCTGCTCCCTCACCCAACACCAGGGCATGCAGTGAAGAAGGACGAATCAGGGAAAGGGACACAGTGGAAGCCTGAGGGCCTATAAGTCATATGTTCACAGAGGCTCTGGTTCACAATGAAGCATAATAAAATAAAACCACCCAGTGAAAAGTATCTACAGTCCAAGCTTAAACTTGCCTTTTCATTGTTATCCTCACAACCTCCATAGATTAAATGTTGGAAAGGATCAAGCCACAGAAAAAATAAGATTATCCAGTCCTTAGGCCCTTAGACATAATATCTGAGCAAAGATGGGGATTCGTATATGTAAGCAGCATCCTTTTCTGTCCCCCTTTACCTAGAGAGTGATGAGGTGAAGCATCTTGAAAAGATTCCTTATCATAAGCTGAGATGACAGGGACACCTGATGAGAATGGTAATTAAATCAATAAGTAAATAAACACTTGGATCAATGTTCTTCATTTTTGCTGGCTATCTTAAGAAAATGGGATGCCTTATAAAGGTATTTCACTCTTCCAACCATAAATACAAGGTAGCTTCACAAAGTTTTCTCTATTTAAAGTTATTTTGGTTTTCAACAAATGCCAGTTAACCATCTTCTACGTGTTAGTGTGTGGTTTTGGGGGAAAAAGGATGGTAGAAAGAGAAAAAGACCCAATCCCTATTTTCAAAGAGCTCAAAGGCTGGTACCTAAGGCCAAGCACAAAATGTTGTGATTTTTTTTTTAAGTCAGCAAGTTATGTTCTCAATTATGAAAATACCAAATGTCAGATTTTTCTCCAGTCCAAGCAATAATATAAAATGAGCCAATTCTTCTGAATTAGACTTTTTAAAATGAAAATTATGGCTGTTGAAGCTTCTCCTTTTAATGACAATATTATTAGAACTCAGGGGAGAACACAAGGTCAATTGACTCTGATCCATGTTCTTCCCAGGCTCTAAGCCAGCACCATCCAATAGAATTATCATAGGAGCCACATACACCATTTAAAATTTTCTAGTAGCCACATTTCAAAAGGCTCATTGAAAAAAATTATTTTACAAATATATCCAAAATATTATTTTTCAACATGTGGCACTAGCCACCTTTCAAGTGCTCAACAGCCACATGTGGTTAGTGGCTGCCATATTATACAGCACATCTCCCACCTCGCCTCAACCTTCAACTCCCAGGATGAGAACAGAGCAAAACATTTGTTGGAAACAAGGAGCCAAGTTCTGTAATATTGATTGAGATACAAGTACTCCCACAGGCAGACCCAGTTCTCCCAATACTGCAAAGTGTTTCTCTCAACCTTCTATCTCAAGACCAAGAGACTGCAGGACACTGTGATGGCAAACGCCAGAGGGAGAAATGGCTCCATCTTATATGTGAGGATGAGGAAAATCAAACAGGACCAAGGATTACTACCGAAAATATGACAGCTTACTCACACTGGCCACTGGGATACCTTTTCTACTGATTCATCACACACAGGACTTGAGATTTTACCCTCAAACTTTTTGTGGCTTGAAACAATCTCTTTTTTCTAGATCAAGTCACCAATACTTCCTCTTCCCAATCCTCTGTGCATCCTCTGAGAAGAGCACAGAGAAGGTAAAACATTCAGTAAGTACGATGCATCAGTGCATGAAGCTACTGAAAGAAAGAGATGAGAAGCCCTTTTCCTCTCCATACCTTCTAGTCTTGATCCATGGATAAGGAAAATTCAATGTCCTTGTCAAATGAAAAAGAATTCTCTCCTCATCCCTATCCTGTCCTGAACAGTGAATGGCTGACATCCACTAAGCCATACTTAGAAAGGAAAAGGATTAGTTGTCAGGAATGGGCGAGTTCCGTTTCTTACTCCTTCCTGCTTTCCCAAGTGTTCTCCTTTCTATTGGAGATGTGGTTTCTGAGACAGGCCCCAATGCCTGGGTTGTTTACTGGGTAAGTATACACAGAAGCAGCACTGTGACTGAGCTCACCACTGAGGGGACCCCAGAGTTGAGACTGCAGGGCAGGCTGTAGCAAATCGCAACATTGTCGTCAGGTCCTAACCAAATTTTCTAATTGAACTTTGAGGTCCATGTGATTTGGGAGTTTCGGCTTTCCATTATCATGAAGTTAGTAGTTTGAGGACTAGTCAATAATCATTGCCACCAATTTGCAAATGTGTTGGAGTGTGTATAGTCCCAGACAACTGGTCTTCTATTAAAAAATAAAATAAAACAAAACTGGCCACTATCACAATTAACATCACCAGTAATAACTCACATTAACATCATGTACGCTGTGATATGAAGCAATGAGAAGCGTACTTCACCTCTGTGGTGGTCTTCCCAGAAATCTAAAACCCCAATTTAATCATGAGAAAGCATCAGTCAGACTCAAGTTGCAAGACACTCATTCTTCAAAATACCTGACCGTTACACTAAAAAAGTGTCAAGGTCCTAAAAACAGGGAAAGGCTGAGAAATAGCCACAGTCAGGAGGAGACAAAGAAGACAGGATGACTAAATGCACAGCAGCATCCTAAACTAGATCTAGGAAAAAAACGAAAGGCATTAGTGGAAAAACTGGAAAACTGCCAATAAAAGATATAATCACTTCTTTAGTCATGTTACACCAATGATAATTTCTTTGCTTAAACATACTTTGGTTATATAAGATGTTAACATCAGGGAAAGCTGGGTGAAGGGTACACAGGAACTCTTTGTACTGTTAGTCTAGCTCACCAGCTTCAACAGACAAACATTATTGGGGAATGAACACCCTTAAACTGCCTCCAGCTAAATCAAAACCCCATCAGAAAAAGAGCTGACAACAATGAACTACAATACAAGATATTACATAAAGTGATGTCTTGGGTCTTACTGTTATCATAAATTAATAGCATTTCAAATGCATTTGATTAGTTAAAAGGCTCAATGGGAGCAAGAAAGGTGAATTAAACAAGTATTTTAAAAGTAAATAAATAAAATGAAATAAATGAATGAATGAATAAGATGAGAAAGACCAACTGTGCCAAATAAGGAATTGGTAACTGAAAAATCCACATTTTTGCTAATTGTTGAAAATTTTTATTCTGTATTTGGACAGGCATTATATAGAGAATCCTCTTCCCAAACCACCGTTGGATGTTTCAAAGACTATTCTGGCCCTGTTTTACTGAAAGAAAGTCTGTTCCAGTGTGTGTTCCTGAGAAGACAAGGTGCTTAGCCAACACATTCACAGGGGTCTGTGGAGATTCAGTGTCTGAACTTTCTAATCCTTATCTCAAGCATCTGTGAAACTATATAAACTAACCTGAGAAAAATCCTTTTCAAAGAATCATAATTTTTGGCCGGGCGCGGTGGCTCACGCCTGTAATCCCAGCACTTTGGGAGGCCGAGGCGGGCGGATCACGAGGTCAGGAGATCGAGACCATCCCGGCTAAAACGGTGAAACCCCGTCTCTACTAAAAATACAAAAAATTAGCCGGGCGTAGTGGCGCGCGCCTGTAGTCCCAGCTACTTGGGAGGCTGAGGCAGGAGAATGGCGTGAACCCGGGAGGCGGAGCTTGCAGTGAGCCGAGATCGCGCCACTGCACTCCAGCCTGGGCGACAGAGCGAGACTCCGTCTCAAAAAAAAAAAAAAAAAAAAAAAGAATCATAATTTTTTTTCAATTTTTTCCCTCAAAAGTTAGTTTTTCTTCAACACAGTTTACTTGATTCACCAAGCCAACCAAAGTCGAAAAGAATAAGAAAAATTAAATTCCACCGTGTTCTCCATATATAAGTAGGTACTTATGTAAGTAGGTAGGTAGGTAGATGGAAGGAAGGTAGACAGGCAAGCTGAAATTATATGAGCCGAGTTTACAAACTCAAGTCTTCTGCTAAAAGAAAAGGACTTTAGGAAACATTCTACTCCATTCCCAAACCTTCATCACTATCACAAAAATATCCACATATTCATGAGTTTTGTTTTTCTTTTTTTTTTTTGTTTTTTTGGAAATCCTAGTTTTAGAAAAATGTTTTCTCTTCAACAAAGGTACTGAGTGTCATAGAAACCACGTCATGGAGCCCAACACTTTTCAGATGAGGAAACAGTGAACCAAAAAAAGAAATGGAATTGCCTAAGTTAGCTCTTTCTTATCAGAATTCCTCCTGAACATTTTTTCAGGTATTTGGGCCTAAAATTAAAAAGCAAGGCCCAGAATAATTTTTTAAGTGCTGTGAGCAAAGTACTGTGCTAAATTAAACTGCACGATGCAAAGAAAAATAAGAGAAGGATCTTCCTGACCCTGAGGAGCTTTAAAACCAGCTTCTACCCTCCTGGAGGACATTTGGAGGGCTTTTTGTGGAGAAGGATCTTCTATGAGAATGCTGTTTTCCCTAGAGCCTCTCTATTTGTGTCTGCCTGTCCTCCCACACTCCAGATACACAGGGTCCAAAGACAGTGCTGGCATTTTTCTACTTTCTTCTCTTGTCTCCAGATCGGTACTCCACGATCACATGCCCTCACTCTAGCCTCCTATTCTTCTCCCACCTCTTCTCCATTGAGACTTTCAATTCCTGAGATTCTCTCTTTTCTCCCTGTGCACCATCCCCTCAGAGCTTCATTTTTCCCCCCAATTCAAGACAGCAGTTCAAGGTAGAGCAGGTTAATACAGCATTTCAGGCATTATTTTGGTCCTTTATCTGCCCTGACCCTGCCCAATACAACAGTCTACCTTCCCAGCTCTCACAACCCTGCTTAGTTGCACTACACTAAATATAACTTTAGCAGGCTAAGACAGCAATAATGGAAAAGTGATTTCAATATGAATCCTCTTAATTTACAGTGTGGTTAAGAAAACATTTTCTTACTTATTGGCTAATTTGATTATCAGGGCCCTAATAAGTTAGGTACAAAAGATTTGAATGCCCATTTAACAGAAGGAGACACAAAGTCACAGAGATGGGAAATCACCTTTACCAAGGCCATAACGAAAATTTTTGGCACTGCTCAAGCCTGAATCCACATCTCCCTGGCCCAGCGTGCTTTCCATTACACTATGTGCCCAAGGTTCTAGGATGCCCTGCATGAATAATAACACACCATTAATGGTGAGGACAAACCTTTAATCTATACCTGAATTAGACCAGCATTTTTGGTTGACTTAGATACAGAGAAAAAAAAAAAACTTAAAAAAAAAAGTTTTCCAACTGATTCTGGTAGAAACGATTAGCAGAAATATCTTGCAAAGAACGTGGGTGTCCTGGAAGACTCATCGTCGTCATCATTATAATTTCTAATCATGCTGTGTGGGCAGGTGTCCATGTAGCAGAAACACCATTGGCACCCAGATTAGCAGTTTCATCGGGAGACAAGAAACTAAGTCTGCAATTCTTAGACTTCAGAGCCTGAATCACAGCTTTCCCCTCAGGGATCAGCAAATACACAAGTCTGTGCCTTAGCAAGGATTGTTGGGCCTGACAAGGGAGGTAACCAAATATCAGGTCCATCTAAAAATGCACAGTGGAGCAAGGGACAGGAGGTTCCCTGGGAACCTGGAAATACCACTAGCTGCAGAGACAGAAAGGCGGAGTGTTTGTCCCACATTATAGTTCTAATTCACTCAGCAACTTTTATGAATCATTTGCCTTCTTTGCATTTTTGTTTTGATTCTCATCTGAAAATTGAGTTTTCGAAGTAAAGCTACTGGTTTTTAAATGAGACATAGGAAGAGGTCAGAAGAAAAAGTGGCCATCAGTAGGGGTTTGGGCTTCCCCCCAGCTCTGCATCTTTCCCTGCACTACAGCAGGTTCATCGTTATCATTTCTATCCTGGACTTGGGCTTCTGTGCAAAATTTAGCCTAAAGTGTCCAAGGTCACAAACATCATGGGCATCATGTGATCTCTGCTATTGCAACACTGCTAGCATTCTAATTCTACTCAACTGTATTTTTTCTTGAGCAATTCTTATTTTTTTTTTCTTCCAGTAGGGTCTTGGTCAGTCACCCAGGCTGGAGTGAAGTAGCATGATCATAGCACACTGTAACCTCAAACTTCTAGGCTCAAGTGATCCTCCTGCCTCAACCTCCCAAGTAGCTAGAAATAGATTGGGCTAATCTTTTTTTTGTTTTGTTTTGTTTTTTTGAGACAGAGTTTCACTCTTTTCGTCCAGGCTGGAGTGCAATGGCACGATCCTGGCTCACTGCAACCTCCGCCTCCTGAGTTCAAATGGTTCTCCTACCTCAGCCTCCGGAGTAGCTGGGATTACAGGTGCCTGCCACCATGCCTGGCTGGTTTTTTTGTATTTTTTTAGTAGAGATCAGGTTTCACCATGTTGGCCAAGCTGGTCTTAAACTCCTGACCTCAGGTGATCTGCCTGCCTCGGCCTCCCAAAGTGCTGGGATTATAGGCGTAAGCCACCGCGCCCAGACAGGCTAATCTTTAGAAAGACATTTTTACCCAGGTATACTTGATTTGAGAAAAACTATGTAGACTTTTAAAATAAATCTATTAATATCATGACCTAAAAAGGTAATTTGAAGCATGTCTAATATGTTCTTATTCCTACACATTAGTAGATACCTAGAGAGAATATCCAAATGAGGCAGAAACGAACTAGAGTTACAGGACTGAATCAGCCACAAATTCCATAATTCCCTGGAGATTTATTTATTCACACAAAAGCATTTCTTAAGCACATTAGCAAGTGCTTAAGAAATATATGACAGGCACAACGGTAGACCCAAAATAAATAAACAGACAAGGTTCCTGTCCCTACAAAGCTTACATTCTAATGGGTCTGGGATTTTAAGAACCTGTGCATAGTCAAATAACTAAAAAATAAGATTAAAAACACTATTTAGCAAAACTTAAGGCATACAAATAAGCATCTCTTACAGGAAAATTTATATCTTATTTATATGAATAAAAAAGCAGAAATAAAAATATGGAAATTAAGAGCCAAGTTCAAACAATGAGAAAAACAACAAAATAAACCTAGAAAAAGTAGAAGGTATTATTGAAGATTTTAAAGAGAAAATAAAGAATTACAAAGTGGTAGAGCCAACACATAAATGCAAAAGCTATTTTTTAAATAAATAATAAATTAAACTCTGATGCTTTAGCCAGAAAGATGGATACACATAGCAGAAATCCATAAAACTTTAAATAATAATGTGAAATATAACCATAAATACAGAGGAAATGAAAACAATCATGAGAAATTATTTTACACCATGCAAATGAATTTGAAATAGGTGACTTCCCTAAAAAAACTATAATTTAACAAAGGTAATCACAGAATAGATATAAAAGCTAATTAGTCCAATTACTACAGAAAAAAAATGTAAAAAATTTTAAAGAGCAAACACATTCTTCACTCCAAAAAAGGCAATAAGTGAAGGTATTTTCACAAGGGAATTCTACCATATTTTAAAGAAATAACTTTCTTCACTCCGTTCTTCACTCCAAAAAAGGCAATAAGTGAAGGTATTTTCACAAGGGAATTCTACCATATTTTAAAGAAATAACCCATGTAAATGTTATCAAACTATTTCAAAATAAAGAAAAAAGAAAAGCTTCCTTGTTTGTTTGTTTGTTTATTTTGAGATGGAGTCTCTCTCTGTCGCCAGGCTGGAGTCAGGGGCGCAATCTCACTCACTGCAAACTCTGCCTCCCGGGTTCAAGCGATCCTCCTGCCTCAGCCTCCCGAGTAGCTGGGATTACAGGCGCATGACACCATGCCCAGCTAATTTTTGTATTTTCATTAGAGACGAGATTTCACTATTTTGGTCAGGATGGTCTCGATCACACACACACACACACAGAATTTTCAAATAATCTCACTTATGAAAATTGAAGCACAGATCATTAATATATTAATGATCTCTAGGATCTAGCAACACTAAAAATATATAATACAGAAACAATGAACAAGTTGATAATTATTTTAGCAAGAATACTAACAAGATTTCATGTTTGAAAATTTTATTCATATATTACAGCAAATTTACAGGACAAAAGAGAAAAACATAAAATTTTTTTAGAATATATGATTACTTTCAAAGTTTCTTTAAAAAAAAAAGCTAGATAACCTTTTAACAACCAGTCTCAATTAAAACAACAACAATAACAACACTATCAAAATAAGTGTGGATACTTTTCAACACAATACATTTCTCAAATCGAAAGCCAATGTCACTAGTAACAGGGAACATTATGAGCATTCCCATTAAACTCAGACACAAAAGAAGGACATTTACTCAACCACAGTTATTTAATATTTACTATTCTAGAGGTATTAGTACAGTTAGAAGAAAGCTATAAGTGTTGTAAAAATTGGAAAGAAAGGATAAATTATTGGCAGATAATATACTTACTTAACTAGAAACTCAAAAAAAATTTATCTAAAATTATTCAAATAATGAGACAATTCAGTAAAGTGGCTGAGCAGAAAATCAATGTACTGAAATCCAGACCCCAAACACAGAGGCACACACACATATAATTAAATGAAATAGAAAATAATTACATTAACTAGAGCAAGTAGAAAATATCTACAAAATTAACTTATTAGAAACAGGCACGGTCTACATGAAGAAAAATCTCAGTGCTCCTGGGAACATCAAAGAAGGTTTCAACAAATGGAAAGGCATTAGTATTCCAAGAAAAAGAATCAACATTTTTACAATGTATAGCATGTAATGCTAACAAATAAACCCAGCAAACCTCATAAGTATATCAACAGAACTTTTTTACATTATTTTATTTTATTTTTTTTTTTTTTTGAGACGGAGTCTCACTCTGTCACCCAGGCTGGAGTGCAGTGGCGGGATCTTGGCTCACTGCAACCTCCACCTCCCAGTTCAAGCGATTCTCCTGCCTCAGCCTCCCGAGTAGCTGGGACTACAGGTGCCCGCCACCACACTTGGCTAATTTTTGTATTCTTAGTAGATAGGGTTTCACCATGTTGGCCAGGCTGGTCTTGAACTTCTGACCTCAAGTGATCTGCCCACCTCAGCCACCCGAAGTGCTGGGATTACAGGCGTGAGCCACCACGCCCAGCCAGAACTAGATAGGTTCATTATAAAGGTCAATGAAAAATAAACAGGCATTAAAAGCCAGAAATTTTCTGAAAAAGAGAAACTAATAGGAATGGGGAATCTTTGTCAGATAATAAAACATATTATAAAGCTACAATAATTGAAAGCATAATAATGACACATGAAGTGACAGATGAATAGAACAGAAAGTCTAAAAATAGATGCAAATTCTTTTTTTTTTCTTTTTTTTAATATTTTAAGTTCTGGGGTACATGTGCACAACGTGCAGATTTGTTACATATGTATACATGTGCCATGTTGGTTTGCTGCACCCATTAACTCGTCATTTACATTAGGTATATCTCCTAATGCTATCCCTCCCCCGTCCCCCAACCCCATGACAGGCCCCAGTGTGTGATGTTCCCTTTCCTGTGTCCAAGCATTCTCATTGTTCAATTCCCACCTGTGAGTAAGAACATGCGGTCTTTGGTTTTCTGTCCTTGCGATAGTTTGCTGAGAATGATGGTTTCCAGGTTCATCCATGTCCCTACAAAGGACATGAACTCATCCTTTATTATGGCTGCATAGTATTCCACGGTGTTCTTAAGTATTAAATACTTAAGTATTAAGAAATTTAATATACAATAAAGGTAGCTTTTCAAATCAGTGTGAAAGAGATGGACTCCTCAATAAACAGTGTTTAGAAATGCAGATCCAGAAAAATATCAAAATAAATCCTAACCTCACATTTTTTACCAAAATAAAATTTCAATGGTTCAAAGATTTGAGAAAGAGCAGAAGAAATAACTAGAAGAAAAATTGGAAATTTCTTTTTAAATATCACAAAGTGGGGAAGGCATTTCTAGGCATCACACAAAATCAAAGAAACATAAAATCAAAAAAGGATTAACTATATAAAACTTTTTATTTTAATCTGCAAGTTAAAAAAGAAATGCAAAATGGTAAAGCATTACAATTCCTGTCACAGACTACAAGTTAATTTTCTTAACTGTAATAAATCAATAAGCAAAAATTCAGCAATCCAATGGAAAAGGAAGTGAAGGACAGTTCAGAAAACGGAATTACAAATGGGTACGGCTCATTTCAAATGGTGTTTAGAGTCGCTAATAACAGAAATGCAAATGTGTATATAAATGGCATGTATATAAATGTATTTATATACACTGGAATATAAATACATATCTGTGTGTGTTTGTGTGTGTGTTTCTGTGTGTGTGTGTATACACATGCTTATTTATACCCAGTTTATTTCTAAAAGGATATATAAAGAACTTATACTTTCCTCTGGGTGGGAGAAGTAAAGAGATAAAATAAAGATGTACTTGTCATTGCATAGTTTTGAATTTTATACTATAGTTTAAACTATATTTTTGTGTTACTTATTCAAATTAATTTTTAGTTTCTTTAAAGAAATGTTGGAAAGGCCTGGTGCGGTGGCTCACACCTGTAATCCCAGCACTTTGGGAAGTCGAGGCAGGAGAATCATCTGAGCTCAGGAGTTCGAGACCAGCCTGGCCAATATGGTGAAACTCTGTCTCTACTAAAAATACAAAAATTAGCCGGGCATAGCAGCGGGTGCCTGTAATCCCAGCTACTCAGAAGGCTGAGGCAGGAGAATCGCTTGAATTCGGGACATGGAGGTTGCAGTGAGCCAACATCAGGCCACTGCACTCAAGCCTGGGTGACAGCAAGACAGAAAACAGAAAAAAAACAGAAAAAAAAAAGAAATGTTGGACAATAGCACATCAAAGAGAACGATGAATTCAGGGCAGGGAAGCCAGATAGATAGCCTGCAATGTTCCAACTCCGTAAGTTTATTTTATCTTACTTTTAGTTTAGTTTAGTTTAGTTTAGTTTAGTTTAGTTTAGTTTAGTTTAGTTTAGTTTAGAGATAGGGTCTCGCTCCATTATCCAAGCTGGAGTATAGCAGCACAATCATAGCTCACTGCAGCCTTGAACTCTCAAGCAATGTTCCTGCCTCAGCCTCCTGAGTAGCTAGGACTACAGGTGTACACCATCATGACCAACTAATTGTTTTATTTCATTTTTTTGTAGAAATGGGGTCTCACTATGTTGCCCAGTCTGGTCTCAAACTCCTGGCATCAAGAGATCCTCCCACTGCAGACTCCCATAGTGCCGGGATTTGACAGTAGACAGAGAGAGAGAGAGAGAGCATATAAAATAATTAGAAAATAAGAATAACTAAAAAAAAAAAATTGGGGCCACTGCACCCGGCCTCAATTCTGCAACTTAATACGGCATATCAGAATAACTATGAGAAAGATATCAGGATCTGAAGACTAATACAGCTGCTTAATATCTTCGACTTTTTGGAAGTTCTTCATCCTTTCAGCACCTCAGTTTCCACAGCTGTGAAACAGAAAGCTAAAACTTACACTTCAACAGGTCTCTGTGAAAATTAAATAAGATAACTTATAATAAAGCACTTAGCCCAAGTTCTGGCAAGGAACATATATTCAATCAATGTTGGCTCTCTTTACTATAAGGATTCTTTTAAAAAATAATAATAGCAATAATAATAATGCTCTGCTCAACCACACACATTCCACCCAACATCTACCCCCACCACTCTGGCCTCAGCTACCCTTCCTATTGCCATTGACACCCTAACTGCCCAAGAAGCAAGGATTGAATAAACTCAAATTCTAAATGCCAGTCCAGAAAATGAATTTTAAAAAAATCTATTTCAACTCACATATTTCACAGTGGAGGCCATCTATAATTAGGTGGTGGCCAAAGTGATGAAAACTCAAATCTATTGACCCCCTTTTCATAGACTCTTCAACACAATTATTTCAATGTGTAGGCAAAGATTGAGCAACTCTCCCTCAACAATTATTTCATGTGTCAGCAAAGAATGAGCATTTCTCCCTCAATTCCACTGGCTAGCTATTTTTTAAGTTCACTTTGCTTTCTTGCCTTCTCACTCCCAAGCACCTATAGCGCACTCATCAACCGGGCATCCTTGGCCTGTCTCTCCTTGTGAACATGGATCACCACAGAATACACACAGTCACCTGCCTCATATCACTGCAGACATTAGAAGACAAAGTTATCTTTCTTGTAATATCCCAAAAGGCCAACTTCGTCAGTCTTCCAGAAGAAGAAAAAAAAAAAAAAAAGAAAGACAACTTTAACAAAAACTCACTCTATCCTGATAGAAACAAATAAAGAACCCCTTTCTCTAGAACACAATGACTTAAAGAGATCTTAAAGCTGATGCATCCTCACAGCACTGGGTTTTGTTGGCAGTCATGGTGGTGGTGGTGAGGTTTTGGGTGTTTGTTTGTTTTGTTTAATTTATCTTTCTGTTTTTGGCCTGTGTGAAAGATTCTGTTATGGGTATTATCAATTCTCATTTAAAGAAATAAGGACAATGGTATTAATAATGAAACAAAAGTACTCCTTTTTACTCTCTGTGGTCTGCAAGAAGTTTCACATTTCACTCAGATCAGAACTCCATGTTTTACTGATGTGAAAGTATGTGGTTTTTGCGATAGCCAAGTTCTTCTAATATTCAACTTTGTTGTTTCTTACTTTCAACTTACAGTAAATGAATCCCGATTTTTCCCCTTTGTCAAAATCAGCCCATTTTCAAAACAAGCAAGCCACCTCACTCATGACACTTTTCATGAATATTATACAGGCATAAGGCTATTTAAACCTATTTTATCGAATTATACAATCTCAACTATGAAGGAGATTGCTCAATTTTTGTCTGTGGATGCCACAGGACACAACTAATTCTGGAGAAGCACAGAAGAAAGGCAAGTCCTACCTCTGCTTATCTCGCCTCTCCCCTAAGGACCTCTCAACCTTTGTTTTGGGCAACGTTTAAACAGAGAAATCAGGGATCATCAATCAGTCCCCAACCAGAGAAGAACAATTACTGTCATCATGCCCATAGCCATCATCTTTAACCTTAGCTTCAGGTGCGCTCAATCTAACTCCAGAGCCTGCAAAGTAGGTAATGCAAAAATTACTCTCCTCCACTGTATATTAGAAGAAACGCAGGCTCCGGACAGGTGCGGTGGCTCATGACTGTAATCCCAGCACTTTGGGAGGGCAAGGCAGGTGGATCACCTGAGGTCAGGAGTTCAAGACCAGCCTGGCCAATATGGTGAAACCCCATCTCTGCTAAAAATACAAAAATTAGCTGAGCATGGTCATGCACGTCTATAATCCCAGATACTGAGGAGGCTAAGGCAGGAGAATCGCTTGAACCTGGGAGGCAGAGGATGCAGGAGCAGGGATTGCACCACTACACTCCAGCCTGGGCAACAGAGTGAGACTCCATATCAAAAAAAAAAAAAAAAAGAAGAAGAAGAAAAAGAAGAAGGAGAAGGAGAGGAGGGAGGAGGAGAAGGAGAAAGGAGAAGGGAGAAGGGAGAAGGAGGAGGAGGAGGAGAGAAGAAGAAGAAGACGAAGAAGAAGGAGAAGGAGTAGGAGAAGGAGAACGAGAACGAGAACAAGAACAAGAACAAGAAGAACAAGAAGAAACAACAACTCAGGCTCAGAAAGAACAAATGATTTGCCCTGGAGCCCCCAGCAATAAGTGGGAAGATCAAGTCCTTGACCGAAGTTTTATCGTTCTGAAACAAGGCTCTATCTACTCTCTACTCCGCATAAGGGGAGCACCCTGGATTTTGTTTGTTTCTCTCAACACTTTGTGCAGCACTGGCTCTTAGTTGCTTCATCGTGACACAATGACTCCACCAGCAAGGCTGACAACCAGCGCATACTTGATGGCACCACTGTTTACACTGGAGTTGGTTTCGATTGTTCGGTGCCTGGGCCATAGCAGTTGTTAAATATTTTCACTATCACTATGATCCATCAATTTTCAGATGGGTCACAAGCAATTTATTATCAGTAACTGTTTAAATCCTAACGTTCCAAATGATTTGTTTTTGTTTAAAAACTAGCACTCTTTCAAGGTTATCCCTATGATATTGTCACTCACATTCCCATTTACTTGCTTAAGTGGGGCATCTAGAAGCAGAGTTATAGACAGTTTTTCATTTATTCCACTTCACCACAGCTTGCCTTCTCTGTGATATAGGCATATCACAGCCCATAGTGTGCTGCGATATTAACACTATTCATCATAAGAATCTTGGATAAATAAAACCGAGAAACTGCTTCTGTAAATGTTGGGGGCAGAATGACCAACAATTTGGCTTTCCTAGAAAGAGAAGAGAATATCTGAATTCCCTGTAAACTGGTAAATCCTCTACCATCAGTCCTGAATTCTGAGGGGGCCTGATATTTAAGCAACAAAACTTAGAAGGTTCCACCTGTTATTCCTAGCTCTGTCACTAAAAATCGTGTCCAAACAGAGGTAATACGAATGTGTTACCCGTTCCCGAAATTACACACACGCACAGACACACACACACACTTACACCCCAGAGCACAGAATGGATCCAGTGTAGTAGTGCAGGTGACCAAAAATGCCCCACAGTCCATTCAATACGTATAGAAACAATTTATCCTAACAATGTCTAAGAGATAATCAGCTGTATTCCCTGTGTTAATAAAGTCATATTGAACATCCCAGTTATGAGCTTATCTCATAGGACTAAGAATGTATTATCTATCTCCCTCACTAGAGTGTAAGCTCCCTGTGATGAAGAACCAGTTATTCATTCAAGTAAATACTTACTGAGCATCTATTATGTGCCAGGCACTGACCTAGGTGGGGATACAACAAACAACTTAAAAAGACTAAATCCTGGCGCTCACGGAGCTTACATCCCAGTGTGGTAAAAGTAGAAAATTCATAAACAGGTAAAGATGCACATAATTTTCAGAGAACAATAAATACTCAAAAATAAAATAGAGTACAGGAGATAGGTAGTGCCAGATGTGGAGGCACAAATTTTATCTATCTTACAGCTATTTCTAATCATTGATTTGAGGCTTTCGAAAAAACAGCCACGTCTGAGTCCCACCCACAGATATTCTGATTTAATGAGCTTGGGGGTGGACTTTGGACAACACTGTTTTTAAGGGCACGCCAATCATTCTAACATACCACCAGGACTGAGATCCACTGGTATGTATGATTTTAAAAGAGAACAGGCTTTGGTTTCAAAGCTACCTGTCACATTTCATCTGTGTGACCTCAGGAAAGATACTTCATTTCCTTGAGCCTCAATGCTCACGTCTGTAAAATGGGATAATAATAGTAATAGACACCTCTTTGGGTTATTGTGAGAATTGAATGATATATGCAAAGTATAGCAAAGTTTCTAGCACATGCAAAGGACTCAGTAAGTTTTGCCATCATTTACTGTTATCTCTACCAGTTAAAAATATGCACAGAAGATGCAAATTGAGGGCTGCAGGCCAAATCTGGTCCTTAGACGGGTTCTGTTTGCCATTTGCAGTGTGGACTTACAACGTGCTTTGTTGTTGTTTTGAGCCAAAGTTGATGCTACTGAGTAAGATTGTAAGTTGCATTTTTCTTCTTCCATGAGGAAGTATCTCTCATAGTGCTTTAAAAATACTTGAATGAGCTGCCAACATTTTAAAAACCAAAGAGTTTACATAAAAATCTGGCAATGATGCATCTCCACGTGGCAATAATTAGCTAGCGCCAAGCGGCTGTCACCCCTTTCAGAGAGGATGCCCTCTTGAGCACCTCCCATTCCCCACCACGCACTGCATCTCTCTCCCCAAACACATGCCCAGAGCATGGCATTTCAACAACACACTAGCACTGTTACTTTCCTTACGGTAAAGAGGAAAACAAAATATTTCCTGCACCCACGACTCTAAAGTGGGAAGAGGTTAAGCTAGATAAAGGGCTTTGTGTTTCAAGAAAATGTGCCTGACTCTGTAGGCATATGGCCTAACATATCCTGGACACTGAAATAGGAGCTTTGCAAACATTAGCTCCATTCATCCCACAATTCTGTGAGGTACTTTCCATGATCACAATTTTCAGGCCAGGCACGGTGGCTCACACCTGTAATCCCAACACTTTGGGAGGGCATGGTGGGTGGATCATTTGAGGTCAGGAGTTCAAGCCCAGCCTGACCAACATGGTGAAACCCCGTCTCTACTAAAAATACAAAAAAAAAAAAATTAGCTGGACATGGTGGTGCACACCTGCAATCCCAGCTACTTGGGAGGCTGAGGCAGGAGAATCGCTTGAACTCAGGAGGCACAGGTTGCAGTAAACCGAGATCACGCCACTGCACTCCAACCTAGGTGAAAGAGTGAGACTACGTCTCAAAAAAAATAAAAGAAAAGAAAAAGAAAACACAACATTTTTCAAGGATGAAGAAACAACCCTAGAGAGGATAAGCAACAGCCTTCAGTCACATATACAATAAGTGAAAAGTTAGGTACAGAAACAGAACTGTCTGACTTCAAAGTTGAAACTTCCTCCACCATACTATGCTCCCCGCACCAACGAGAATATTTAGTGTAATTAAACTATTGAAGACAACAACAGGTAAACGAGAAAATCCTTGGAAAAGAACACCGTTAATTTACAATAGTATATGTCTCTCTCTGGCCAACGTACTTTGTTTCATGACACTACTGGCATCATCCATCCCAAATACTTTCGGTCGCTGTGTGTTTCAGACTCTGAAAAACCTTCAAATAACACAATAAAACCTGCTCCTCTTTTCCTTTAATCTTACATAAAGGCAGTTCTCTTAAGTCTATAGTCAAAGAGATTATAAAAAGAAAACAAATCACTTTGCGTGTGTGTGTGTATCTGTGTGTTTGTGTGTGTGTTGCGTTGAGAAAAATCAAAACCAGCAACTGAAATAGAAGACCAAGACCCAGTAAAACTCATCTCAAATATTGACACTTTGTGAGCCTCTCTGGACTCACCTTGTCAGAATTAACCTGCCTCCAGATTCTAGTACAGGTTATTTGTACCTATCTCAGATTTCCACATCACATTATACTTATGGGTTATGTCAACTTAACTATGTTTTATTTACTTTTTTATGTCCCAATCCACACCTGCTACCAATGTTAAGCTCACAGAAAGGCACAAAGCTGGATGTTCAGTAAAATGGTTGTTGACTTGAGGGCTGCAAAATAACACTGAAATCAAGGTAACACTGACCTTTTCCTAACAATTTTTTTAAAGTAAATATATTTAGTATTTAGCTCCTACAGAGCTAGGCTTTGTGGGTATATAGAGATTAATTTTTTTAAGTACATTGACTTCAAAGAACTTATCACCCACTGGGAGAGTCAAAAGCACATATATAACCATAATGCAGAAGAAATAAAAATGAAATCTCCTAAGAGATATAAACAAAAAAGTCCTGGCAATTGAGAGAAATGTGCAAGCTAGGAAATGTATCAGTCTTTTGCTATTATCTTTATTTTAAGTGGTCAATTAAAATATTTCAGCCCAAATAAATATGTAATTTATTTCCCTGATAATTTAATGACATTTCTTTTTTGAAGCAACTGACATTTAACTATCAGAAGAGCTGTTAAGAAAGGTCTCAGCCATAATAGGGAATTCAACTTTTTTAAGGAAGCTTAAGAGAAATTATCTTTGTATTTCAGCAATTCTGGAAGAGCTTGACTTTTCTGACAATATAACTGCAAAGGAACTTGAGTCAAAACACATGGGAAAAGAAAAGATGCTCAAGATATTTCAAGTCTACAATTATTTGCTGAACACATGCTAAGTGCCAGGAAATATGTTAAGCTCTCCAGGGAAACAGAGCTCAGCCTTTATTTGGGATAACAGTGGGCTACTCGTTCAGGATAAGATATTAAGATATAACTTTATGGTAAGCAGTACACAAGAGGTATATGAGCAAAAAGCTGTGAGATTTAAAGGGGAGAGAAAGTATGTAAATTAGGAACTTTATTGATACATGTGGCATGGCACCATGAAAAGAAAACTAAATTTAGTAACTTAACATTCGCATTATACTCCTGGTTCTGCCAAAATAATTTGGTGACAGAACTTGAGCAAGTCCCTGCCCACCTTTTAGGCTTCAGATTTCCCCCCATTATTAAAAAAGAGGCTTAAACTATACAGCCCTTCCAGTGATCTTAGTCTACAAACAAATCTGGGCATTACACTACACTCTGAATTGGAGGTACAGCAAGAGAATGCAAATTTTCTATTACGCCATTTAAATCTATTTGCCCTCTGAGAGGTTTGCCAACCCAGAAATTCAAAAGCAACAAAGCTAGTAGCTACAAATTTGATACATTTATTATAATTTATATGACTACAATTTACTGACTAAATTACACACTGTTCCATCATAAAGGCTGGGGTACTCCTACAACATCAACAGGGGACGTATGAAGACAGGCAGTTAAGTAGGGTAGATTTCCGCCAGGGCACTTCCTCCATTCTATGGCACAGAAGGTATAGGGTAATTATAGGTCCAGCAATTACTAGTTGATACTAGTCCTTTTACTAAGAAAAGTGAGAACTTTATTTCCCATTAGAAATGGTTCCAGTATAACTTTCCAAAGCCATACACCTTTTCAAATATTTATTTTGTAAATTATCATTGGCCAACCCTGTCTTACAAAATCAGAATCTCCAGGGAGGGTACTGGGAACCTATTTTTAATAACAGGTGATTTTGAAGATCAAGCAAGTCAGGAAACTCCTGTTATAAAACATCTGATCTCCTCATTATTCACCACAAGTGCCCTGCTTCTTATCCTATTTGCATGTTTCTCCTACCTGCAGTGTGCTTCTCCTACCACCGCTGGTGACATATACTTACCTATTCTTCAGGGTCCAGCTCAAATACCAACTGATTCCATGACCCTCCACACTCTCTCTTCCAGGAAAGTACCTTTTACCTCCCACAGTTCTTTGTACTCTCTTTAAGTATAGAAGAGATCAGAGAAGGAGTCTGAGTCATTCATTCATTTATAAGTTCATTCATTCAACAAATATTTACTGGTCACCTATCCCATGCCAGGTACTACTCTAGGCACTGGTGACACAGCCAATGAACAAAACAAAGTTCTCTATTTTCAGGGACATTTTAGTACAGGTGCTGGCAACCTGTGGCACGCAGACCAAATCCAGCCTACTGCATGTTTTTGTGAATAAAAGTTTATTGGAACATATTCACACGCAATTATTTATGTATTGTTTATGGTGGAGTCTTGAGTGTTTCGTGTATTATCTAAGAGCAGAGTGAGTAGCTACAACAGACACCTTATGGACCACAAATCTAAGCTGTGTACCATCTGTCCCTTTACAGAAAAAGTTGACCATCCCTTGTTCTAGTATATTTTTCCCACATAGCACAGTGTTGAGTACGTAGTAGGCAGTTAATACATGCTTAAAGAATAAAACAGATTAAAAGTAAGAATAAAATCATATAAGACAAGTCCTTTGGCAGAACCTCTTTTATCCACCCCCATCTCCATTCTTAATTATGCCAAAGCTAATTCCCACCCAGAATAGAATGTTGTTAGCAACTACAGTTTAGCATGATAAAAAGGGAGGGAGCAAGCTTTCAAACCTATGGAAAAGTTAAGAAGTAAATAAATGTGCTGTGATTTCAAAAGTCATTGCTATTTCAGGCTTGTTTGTGATGATAACAGCTGGCCTGGCAAAATATATTACAATAGCTGTCTTTTCTGGCTTTCCAGAGCTTACAAAAGTTTGAAGGGAGTTACTGCATTTCATTGGTTTGTTTGCTTCATAAGGTGCATCTTGTGGAGGAGACCTTTCTGTCTTCTGGATCAAGCTGCCTAATGAGACTCAGATTAGGTTAAACAAAAACACACAGCAGCATGTGAGGAAAACCCCATTCTGTCAAATACTAAAGTAAAGTTCATAAATGCAATCTTATATCCACATCCTAAGAGCTGTCTTCTTTATCATGTCCATATGAAAGCCCTGCCTTCTCTCAAGAAAAGAACTGAAAACTGTGCTATTTGCAGGATCCTTTTCAGAGGTTGAGTTACCATAAAATTTAAAGTGGAGAACTGATATATAGCTAAGGTTTCATTGTGGTTTACTGCAAAGAGTAACAGTTTTAGATTCAAACAAGTCTCTGTTCCACAAAAACTGTGGCACTCATTAATCATGTAAACTTAGGCAAATCATTTAGCCTCTTTGAGTCTCTGTTTCTTAGTTATAAATTGGGATAATAGAAATTACATTGAAGGAAGGATGGGAGAATTAAACGAGAGAGTAAATGCAAAGCAGCTTTCTCAGAATCAGAAGAAAAATGGTTTTCAGTAAAGGATGGTTGTTTTCCTTCCATTTTGTCCAAAATCAAGTTCCAAGCAGCTCCCCAAACCTTGAAAATACCTTCATTATGTTGTCTCTAAACTCCCTGAGAATGTTACAATATGTTCTGGGTTGTTGTTTTTTTTTTCTTTTTTTTTAAGTCAGTAAATTGGGCTGGGTACAGTGGCTAACACTTATAATCCCAGCACTTTGGGAGGCCAAGGCAAGCAGATAGTTTGAGCCCGGGAGTTCAACACCAGCCTGGGCAACATGGCAAAATACTGTCTTTAAAAAAAGTACAAAAAAAATTAGCTGGGCATTGTGGCACACAACTGTAGTCCAAGGTACTTGAGAGGCTTCAGTGACTCCAGGACATTGAGGTTGCAGTGAATTATGATCGTGCCACTGCACTCCAGCCTGGGTAACAAAGTGAGACTCTGTCTCAAATAATAATAATAATAAATAATAAATAAATAAAATCAATAAATTTGGAGAGATGGCAATTGTATATCTTTGACTTTTCCTTAGTCTGACCTCAAGAAAATTATTTTTAATTTATTATATCCTTCTTAAAAGAGAACTACTCTGAAGCTATACAATAGCTCTTCATTCTATGTCCTGGCAACTGATTCTTAGCAAAACATTCCTTAAAATAACAGTCTCCAAAAGGCATTATACTAAGAACATCCTGATTAGCATCACAGAAAGGATAATCAGGTTAGTTCTGACCTTCCCTCCTGATTTTGAAATGAAACAAAAATGGCCGAGCTCTGGTTATTTCCACTTTCTGGTCCCCATGGCCTTTGGCCCCTGTAACCCACAGTGTAAAATGCAATAAAGAAATTCATAAGTTTTCATCAAAATCATCTCCATTAACTTTATAGATAGACAGTGAGCAGACAAGCAGGTGTAGATATGGATAGGCAAATAGATAAATATAAATGACAGGTAAAAATGGAGAGATATACATGAAACAGGGAGGTAAGAATTGCCAGAAATGGTTAGACGGACGACTGGATAGAGAGGCAGGAGGGTGGATGGGCAGGTGTATGGAAAAACAAGCATGGAAAAAAGGAAGGATGGAACTAGGGCAAATGTAGAAGATAAGATGCTGAGCAGACACATAGAAATGCATAGAGACAAAGGGATAAATCCATGACAAAAAAGATCAATCTTAGGACTGAAATAGTAGAAAAATCTCCTCTCACAGCTTACTACTCCTTCAATCTTCATTTAAGAAAATATTCAAAGGTCTCTCTTCATCATTATGTCGTCATATCCAGAAATGTGTTTACAGTATTATATATGTGCCCAGCAACAGAAAATGAACTCTTTGAGCAAAACAAATCTATTGTATCCTTCTATGAAGAGAAAATAAAAAGTCTTCCAGATGGCATAAGGCAACTTACCTAACGCAGGACATTCAGGAGACCAACCAATCTATTTTTTAGTATTTCTGTAACTAATGTTTTATTAATAAAGAGAACTTGGGCTAATATGTTTTGCTGTAGTCAGAATTTTCTACAAATTAATAACTCTACAGGTCTGACCTTTTTACCTTAACTGAGATCTTAACTAAAAGTACTGCTAAACTCCAATTCAATACATATTAATTTATTTAAAAAACTGGATACTTCAAATTCCTTTACTGCCAAAAAAAAAAAAAAAAAAAAATGGCCAAGTGTGCCTGCCATGTTTTAAAGTAAGTTCCTTTCTTGGTAAGCAGCTAACCCTTAATTATGGAAACAATAGTCACAATCGTTCGTCACAAAATCTCAAAATGCATGTGCATATATCAGATAATGCAATATTATGCAATGATTAAAATTTACATTTTGGGAATGTTTACAATACAGTGTTATGTAAAGAAAACAGAATAAAAATACACATAGATATACACAAACACACACAAAAAAAGAAAAAAAATAAACACACACAACCCTTCTTAAAAAAAGAGAACAGATTACCCAAATGTTTAAATTAGAACAATGATGTCCCTGGATGATGGACTCATTAGGGTTATTTTAATTTTCATCATACTTTTGTGCATTTAACTTTTTAAAAAGAGTCTATGTAACTTTCATAATTGAAAAAGAAATGTCTGTTCTGTTTTAGGGATGATAAAAGTCCCTTTGTTGAGATTACAAATAGGAAGGTATTTTTCTGTTTACAGAGTACTTTCATAGGCATTAACTCATCTGAGCCATTCAACAACTCAGAGAAAGGGGTTTGATGATGATCTCCAGAGACAGACAGCAGAGCGGTGAAGCTCATAACTCGAAATGTGACACAGGCAGACCTGGCTCAAGGCTTCCTGGTGCCCTACTGTCTTCTTTACAATGTCCATCCATTTTTCTCAAGAAAGGAGTTTTGTCTTAGTTTGCTTTCTAAAAGGGTTCCAAAACTGTTTTACTTCCCTCTCATCCCAAGGTCCAACATCCTATTTTTTTAAAAACAAGAACCAAGAATCAAAAAACAGATAGCCCACCCCAGATGCCTCACCTCACAGTGGGACGGGGAGACTATTCAAGAACTTTAAAATTCACTGTTGCTATTTTCGCATATTCATACAGCCAATTATCCTAACGGGACTTGTCCAACCTATTAAGGGGATATCCAGGCACAATTTTAAAAAAAGACACAGTCTGACCTAGAAAGGGAATCAGAGACGAAGATTCAAAAGCTGCTTAAGACGACGTAATGCTGAGGGAGAATTATAGTCAGCATCGAAGAAGCAACACAGCTCAAATGTGCCTGGTCTTGGAATGACTCACCGGTATTGCTGTGACGCTTTCCTGTCCCATTGATCAGACAGGTTTTTCCATTAGAATTTACTGACGACGTGCTCCCCAGTAAGTTGGTAAGATCAATTCTGTAGTTTTAAAATAAGGAAGATATGACTGAAATGTTAGAACACAGTCTCCACGCAGCACACACAAAAAAGCCCAGGGAGAGTCCGAGGCTGTGTGAAGGAAAAGTGGCCTCCCTTCTAGCTCAGCCCATGAGCAAGTTCACCCGTCTGTCTGCTCTGGGTTTTTTGATAAAGAGTTAACTGATTCTGATACAATCTGCTGCCTTATTAAGATGTAAGACACATAAGTTAGAGAGAGAGTGTGTGTATATGGGAAAAGTCTGGGCCTGCTTAGGGCCTGGGGCAAGAGTAGAAGCTAGGTCTTCATAAAAAGGCTGAAGCCTATAGAATAAGATGGAGCCTCATGACTGGCCTCATGGGGCTAAGCTTCCCTCTGCTCATGCAAACTTCTAGAACAGAACCCATCCCACACTGGGCAGAATAAATACTCATGATGGGAATGGGCCTGGGGTAGAAAGAAACAGATGGTCAGGACGCTGAGCTTTTGTTCCTTTATAGGATTGTTCAGCTTCCTCTCCAGCTGAGACCACACCCTTTTTGTGACCTTCTCACTCTTTTCATGCCCTGAGTGTGTCTTTTTCATCCTCATACCGATGGATTAAATGTCTTTTCAGAAAGCTTTCACTTTATGCACTGCAGGCCATAAGTAAATTGATACCCGTAAAGTTTGAGAAGGGGTACTCATGAGAAGCGCCTCACGAGAAGTGTGTGCCCTAGTCCAGACCCAAACATTTAGGGAGATGAGCTGAATTCTGGTAAAACCTCCCTAAGTGAGTCTTATCCACAGACTTAGGTGAGAACAATTGCTGTGTGGAGCAATCACCAACAATGGTATTTAAGAGAAGCAAAGGTAAAATAAGCAATGGGGTAGCCAGGCTAGTGCCCCCAGGAGGATCAGTGGCCAGTAGCCTGTGCTCATGGTGGACAAAGGGAGGGGGCCCAGAGAGTGACCAGGATAACAGAACGGCATCCATTCTGGACAAGGAAACAGAAAGCTGTTCCCAAGAAAAGAGAAGTGTGATCTGTCGAGGATTTCCAGAGAAGAGGATCCTATTAGGATCGTATCAGGAGCTCATTGGGCTTGCTACCACAATTGGGAAATTTGGGCAGGATTTGGGTTTGGAGAGATAGGTTTGCAAAGGATGTTCATTTCAGGAAGGCTATCAACCAATCTATACAATATATTCAGTTTATTAACTTGGAAAAAAGATAACAGTAGGTAAAAGTAGATGAGCACATTCTCTGTAAATTACTTTAATTATTGTTGAAACAATGATAGGCTCTGAAGAAACTTCCCATTGGAGAAAATTTGTCATAGGCTCCCAATTCAAAGATACATAATCCATCATGGCTACTACATTTCTATGACATATGTCTTTTGCCAAAATGAAGTAGTGAGCTCAACTAAGTACCTCTACCTGATCCCTTTGAATGTCAAAACCAAGTCCAATTCAGTTGTCTCATCAGTCTCTAGAAACATATCCTTATTGTTTCACTTCAATATGAAATGCTCAATATGAAATTAAGGATTAAGCTGGGTAATGAAACCTAGCCCCAGTGTCCTTTGATAATGACTTTTGTATTAATAGTTTCTTCATATATAAAATGGAAGGGGAAAGAAAAGATTTTAGTTAATAACCAAGATAGCTGTTCAGCTTGAATCACTATATAAACTACTGACTCACATTTTAAAACCTGATAGGCAATCTTTTGTTTTCTTTAAGCAACATATAGTCTCTCATTTGTACCATCAATCTATTCAATTCCTGATTTCCAAGAATCTTTTCTGCTTTATTCACAATTCCAAAAATAGAATTTATCTACTTGATTAGAGCCTCCCATCTATTGTAGTATTACGGAATTTATGTCTTTACCCCTTGGAATTTTTTACCCTACGACATTCTCTAAAACAGTATCTTGGAGGGAAGGAGTCTGAAATTTACAAGCAATGTCCAAAATTTGGCACTGAGGGGTGGTTGTTATTTCCGAAGTGGGGGCTGATTCTTGCACTATGGACCTTGGCAGTGTTACACAAGATTTGTTGACTCAAGGCTGAGTTATCTAAGTGTGTCCTTCAATTGGTGTTGCATAAGTAGATTAACCAGACTGAATTATAGATCGAATGACATCATTCCCTGCTCAGGAAACTGCCCCTGGTTTTTCACTTCCATATTGTGGCCCTGTCCTACCATTCTAGCCTCCCACTTTTTTCCCCTAAAGGAACTATGTTGACATTTGGGAAGAGTGTGGGGCAAGAAGCCTGGCACTGCAGAACGTCTCCTTTCTCCACTGCTTCTTCTCTTTTCTTGTTTGCCTCCCTCCCACTCCCTTGTTCTCAGATGAGGAGGCAGAGAGTTACCCAATTATTGAGTTTGGAGAAGAAACTGGCCATGTGTAACCCAGTCACTTCCTTCCAGTCTTTGTGAGTTACCTGACTGTTAGAGGCAGATCCTCCCTGCTCTTCATGGTTGGGAGCTTTATGCACAGTGTGCCCTAAATGGGAGTTATTGAGTGCAGGAGCTATCTGAGAGGAAGAGGGTAAATTTCATTCATGGGTGCTGCATTAGCAAGCCCAATGAGCTAATGTTCCACAACCTGGACATTATTGCCATCTGCCTCTGTGTGACTCCATTATTTTCAACTGGTTTCAATATAGGTAGGAGAGAATGAGAGAGAGAACAGCAAGTGGAGCTGGGAAAGGACTTGGTGACTAAGGCAGAGGCTAAATTCAGTTTCAATCAGCCTCCTAAATTATCACCTACTGTAACCACACTAAATGTGCACTATCTGATACCTGGATACATCCCTGCCTCTGCTTTTGCTCACACTCTTCAGTCAGCCTAGAACTACCTTCCCAAACCCTTACCTCTTCCTACCCTAACCTCCAGCCTTCTCAGACGGGGCCAACCTCTGGGATTCCTCCATCCCCCGAATCCTCACTTATCTTTTTCAAGCATTTTTGTCTTTATCACTCTGGAGTTACACAGACATTTTTAAGTCAAATCTCTATAAGACTCCAAGCTCCTGAATTGTCAAGGGCCAAGTCTCATTTATCTCCAAATCCTCCTTCTCATCCTTCCCCCAGTGGACCAAGTTAAACATTTAGTGGGAACTTATTATGTGCCGGCATGAAACGAAGAGCATTATATTCACGATCTTGCTTAACCTTTCCTAGGAAATAGGTACAGTCATCAGTCTCTAGATGGAACAGGGTCTGTGCTCAAAGGAATTCATCATTCCAGGCACACCTTGCTGCCTCTGGTGTAGGGAAACTTAAAGACTTGAGGCAGACTGGCAGATGTGGTGAAAGTGAGGCTCAGGAAGGCTATGTGCATTTCAAAACTGACTGTTCTATCTTCACTGCCTTAACCTTCACCTACACTGCCCCTGGGTTTAAGAAAAAAATAATTCTCACTTAAAAACAAAATAAAGGCTGGGCACGGGGCTCATATCTATAATCCAAGCGCTTTGGGAGGCTGAGGCTCACTTCAGCTCAGGAGTTCAACACCAAGCTGGGCGACATAGCAAGACCCCATCTCTACAGAAATTTTGTAGGTGGGCACAGTGGTGCATGCCTGTTGTTCCAGGTTACTCGGGAGGCTGAGGCGGGAGGATTGCTTGAGCCCAAGAGGCTGAGGCTGCAGTGAGCTGTGATCACACCACTGCACTCCAGCCTGGGCTACAGAGTGAGACCCTGTCTCTAAAAAATAAAATAACAAAAAAACAAAAATGGGAAGATGAGGAAAATAAAAGTCCAAATGGTCACTGCTCAACGAAGGGCCTAATTGCTCAATGTGAACAAAACTCTTCATCCCCAATCTTTGCTCTGAAAACAGAGGTCTGGATGACTGTGGTTTTGTCACTAGATGAATAGCGAGCCCTGAGGATTGTTAGAATTACAAGGCCCAGACCAGATCCACTCAAATATAGCTGGAAGCTTTCTAGTAACTCTAACCGTGCATGGGGAATGAGCTGCTCAGAGAAGTGAGTCACTTACTGGAATCTGTGCTGCCTGCATTACTCAGCTGATATTAATACACCCACTTGTTCATTAAAGTTTAATTGGAGTTCATGTGAATTGGTTTCACCGGATACTTAATCAAAGAGAACTGTTTGTGTACGAACCGTTCAAATACAAAGCTAGCAACACAGCTCTCCTTCAGCCTCTACACACGTCCACCGGCTGCTCTTTTAATTCTGTTGACACAATAAGTGAGTCAGAGAAGGTGGGACAATGACCCTGATGGAGGATGGGAAAAGCTGTCTATACTCAAACACAAAACAAGAGTAAATGAAAAAATCCTTTGTGAGAAGCCAGCCACAGTTCTCTAAACCCATCAGCTACAGTCAGACACTGGCCAGGACTCGAACGGCACCTCCTAAGCGGGAGCTTGTTCCTTCTAGTTTCTTTCTGGGGCTCATTATCAAAGCTGCAGGTCTCCTCTATTCCCTGGGCACCTGTTTTCTAGCTGTACATCTTTATTTTTAAAATGGGTGGATAAGAAAATTAACTATCATTCAACATAATCACACATTTCTCTTGTGCTGACAAGCAAACCATGAACACAATCCCTAATGCCTATTTATACAATCAGGACTGTCAGTACCCTGTTATTTCTTATCAGATATCTCATTAATCAACATTTGAGAAAGTATAAATTTTTAAAGCTTCTGAGAAAAAAACGTGCATGAAGTTAGGTGGAAATATACTTGCTTCGGTTTGGTGGCTCTAGTTGTGTTACCACTTTTTCCTTAAGTGTGTTCACCATTGTTAAGCATGCATGACTTATTTACCAAAAACAAATCAATATGAGTTTAAAACTTGGCACTATGCACTATTTTGAATCCCTGAAGCAATCCTCAGAGAATAGATTAAAGGGAAATCCACTTTTTAAAACAGGTTTATTGAGATATAATTTACATACAATTCACCCATTTAAAGTTTACGGTTCTGTTTTTAGTATTTCACAGTGTTGTGCAATCATCACCACCATATAAAGAGCATTTTCAGCATCCCAAAAAGAAACTCACAGTTATTAGCAATCACTACCTATCCTCTACCCCAACCCTGCCGGCAACCACTACTTTCTATCGCTACAGACTCTATAGATTTGCCTATTGTGGGCTTTTCACATAAATGGAATCATATAATATGTGGTCTTTCATAACTGGCTTTTTTTTTTTTTTTTTTTTTTTTTTTGACAGAGTTTGGCTCTGTCACCCAGGCTGGAGGGCAGATCTCGGCTCACTGCAACCTCCACCTCCCGGGTTCAAGCCATTCTCCTGCCTCACCATCCTGAGTAGCTGGGATTACAGGCACACACTACTACGCCCAACTGATTTTTGTATTTTTAGTAGAGACGGGGGTTTCACCATGTTGTCCAGACTGGTCTCGAACTCCTGACCTCAAGTGATTCACCCACCTCGGTCTCCCAAAGTGCTGAGATTACAAGCATGAGCCATGGTGCCCGGCCTTGTAACTGGCTTCTTTCACTTTGCCATAATGTTTTCAAGGTTCATCCATGTTGTAGTCCATATCAGTACTTTATTCCTTTCACTGCTGAACAATATCCCATTTTATTTTATGCCACATTTTGCTTTTCCATTCAGCCAATCTACTTCTTAAAAATAAAATAACCTCCCATCTACCAAATAATAGCAAGTGTTTTGATAGATATTAATTCTCAGTTTGACATATATTTTGCTTATCCCTTCGATGATCCACTCATGACTGTCCAATTATCCATGTTTAAAAAGTGAGCTTTGCATTAGACAATTCTCAACAGTGGAATGAGGTGGCAGTACCTTATAACCTAAGCCATTCTACATGTAAAACTCATCAAGATGGTAAGTTTATTGTTTCAGTATACAAAGAGCTCTCGCTAACATGATATAGCTAGATTGTGGGCTCCCCACGTTAGGAGCCATAGTTACAGAGCCCCAGGCGGGCAGGCTTAGAATATACTAGAGGAACAACATCCAAAACCATCTCTCTCTCAAGAAAAACCACATTTTCTGCTTCTTAAGATATTAAACCCAACCACTTAGTAATAAATACCTATAATGTGCTGTGCGCCACCATTATAATTAATAAGATATGAGACCAGTCCTCCAGAGTTCAAAATCTAGCAGAAGAGACATATAGAATGAGTCAATGCCAGCTCAAATAAAATTAACGGTATGAGAGAAACTCAGAGAAGGGAATCTTCCATTTGTTATGTCTCACTTGTAATGCTGGTGATTTCATTTCTAACCTTGTTTGTAGAGTTGGAGCTAATTATTACACAGTAGAGACAGTACATAGACTTCCATGAGAATGTAGAATCTATACAAGTTGATCCTTACTGGGGGCATAAATCACACCAATAAAATTACCAGATGACGTAGACCTCAAAAGAAACCATCAAAAATGGAAAGTCAAGGGGTCAAGGAGGTCATCTGTCAAAAGAGAAACACTTTCTGCCTCCTTATAAAGCATGCTTTTCAAGACACTATCAGGAAGCTGGTAATTCACTGAGAATTGCCACCTAAGAAACCATGTAGTGTAAATAAAAGAAATAGATTTCCAAAACCTATGTCAGGTAAACCATACTCTAGTACATGATGCTAATAATACAGCACTAGGCTTATTGGGTACCATGTGTGTAAGAGATTCAAAGGCATTTTCCAAAGAGAATTCAATCCTTCCCACCTCCCAAGCAAGTATAGTGCAGACCCTTAAGTCATCAGGAAACTTAAGAGCATATTCCATCCCTCTTGCTCTATATTCTGACGACATGTCCAGTCTTCCAGATAAAGGCACTCTGCAATCAGAACTAGATGTTTGAGTCATGCTTCTGTTTTTTGGAGTGTAGAGGTATTGACCACCTTAGATCCAACTCATGAAACAGATTAAGTTTTCACACAGTCCAAAAATAATTGATATGCTTAATGAGAACTTATTTCACTTAAAATTTCTACCAGCATGAAACCCTCTGTAATATGCCCATCCAGTTTGTACATCAGTAGAAGTGCTCCTCTTTAAATTCATATAGCAAGTTTGCACATCCTGTTTCCTAATTACCTCATGCAAAAAAGGAATTGTACCTTCACTTCTCTTGTTCATTAAAGCAAGGTTCACGAAATGCTTTGACATTTGATTTTTGAAAAACACATGCTGGTTTAACCGAAGGTCCTAGAGACTCATTGCTGTTTAAACTTGGGGAGAAACAAGATGGTATCAAATCACAGTTAACTTTTTAACTGATCTGTTTAAAGAAAATTAAAATGGGCATTTTTAAGATATATTACAACTCTATATAATCTGACAGTACTTGGTAAGAATTACCTCCTTACAATCAAATCAGGGTGGTGGAGCAGAAAGCACCCTAGAGTCAAATGTTCTGGGTTTGCATCCAGAACTGCTTTAAGAAAACTTATTTCACTTCTCTGAACCACAGATCCACCATTTCTAAAAGGGAAATAATGATAAACCCTGCCTTGCCTACATCATAGAGATGTCATAAAGCACACATAAGAAAATGGGTACTTAAGTGTTTTGAAAGCTACAAGCCCCCCACACAAGGTAAGGTATCATCTTAATGTCCTTTCTCTTTTTTTTTTTTTTTTTTTGAGACAGAGTCTCGCTCTGTCGCCCAGGCTGGAGTGCAGTGGCATGATCTCAGCTCACTGCAAGCTCCGCCTCCTGGGTTCACACCATTATCCTGCCTCAGCCTCCCGAGTAGCTGGGACTACAGGCGCCCACCACCATGCCCGGCTAATTTTTTTTTCTTTCTATTTTTAGTAGAGATGGGGTTTCACCGTGTTAGCCAGGATGGTCTCGATCTCCTGACCTCGTGATCCACCCGCCTGGGCCTGCCAAAGTGCTGGGATTACAGGCGAGAGCCACCACGCCCGGCCAATGTCCTTTCTTATAAAGACATTCTTAATGACATGAAAAACACTTTAGCCTTTCTGTTTATATTTTGAATAAGCCAAAGAAACATCTCAAAATCAACACTACCAATTCCAGGAAGTTTCACAAACACACACGCACACATACACACACAGGCTTTATAAAGATAATTGTTGTTTGGGACAAGAAGCCCAAGAAAGTAAAAGATTCTGAAGAATTGTTCGTCTTAGAGTTCACCTCAGCAACACATCTTTAAAATTAAGTATCATTCAGTGTATTCTTACTCTTTGAAGGTGGGTGAAATACATATGTTAGAATGTATTACCTTTCAAAAAGTGGTATGCCAAATTCCCACCCACCTCCTTCTGATGCTACAGAAACAGTCCAAGGAAGAGGTGGCCCCATTATATCAATGCTTTCTAGAGAAGAGGGAAATGGGAGAGAGCTCTGAGGACAGACCCAGGCATGTGCAGACTGAGGAAAGACAGAACTTGCCCGGAAGACACAGAAAAAATACCAACCAGCAGGCCACCTTTGACCAGTGAATTGACCCTCAGTAGCCACATGGCAACATTCCACTAGGGCAGCTTATCAAGGATGCGGATGCATTCCATTCCCCACACACTCTGTCATCTGAAGTTTACTCGTTCAGATAAACAAAGGTCAAGGACAGAGAAGCCAAGAACTTTTCCAAGGTCATTAGTAGCTGTGTAAATACAACTCCTATGTTCTAAACTAAACTTGCTGATGCTCTTGGAGTGAAGAGGCCGGGAACATGAACAGTCCTAAACTATTCACTGTGTACCTGTCCTTCTCGGTGGCTGTAGTATAATGGAATAGTAAGTGCTACCACTGAAGCACGGCATGCTGTGTGCCAAGCATTGTTCTACATGCTCTACGCATTCTAACTTTGTTAATCCTCACAAGGACCCTATGATGTAAGCCCATTTTATAGATGAAGAAAGTACAGCACTAGAAGTGAAGTTGTTTGTCCAAGGTCACATGATATTATGTGGTAGGATGGATCCAAACCCAAGCAATGTGGCTTCGGCATCTGTCCCTAAACAGTACACAAAACTGCATGTTGAACCGGGCATGGTGGCTCACGTCTGTAATCCCAGCACTTTGGGAGGCTAAGGCAGTCAGACCACTTGAAGTCAGGAGATCGAGACCAGCTTGGCCAACATGGTGAAACCTCGTCTCTATTAAAAATACAAAATAAATTAGTCGGGCATGGTGGCATGCGCCTATAGTCCCAGCTACTCGGGAGGCTGAGGAAGGAGAATCACTTGAACCCGGGAGGCCAAGGTTGCGCCACTGCACTCCATCCTGGGCGATAGGGTAAGACTCCGTCTCAAAAAAAAAACCCTGCATGTTTATGAGCACTTCCAAGATAGGGTGAACTCCCACCATGAACTAGGTACCTTTGCAGACACTCACATACATTTTGTAATTTATTCTCATTATGATATTGAGAGAAAGATTTTATAATCCTTTATTCACAGGAAGACACCGAAATCCTAAGAGGTCCTTAAATTGAGGATTTTACAAACACTAAGAAGCATAGTAGGGTTTGAACACCTGTCTGATTTCAAGTTCCATTTTCTCTCTAAACATCCAGGTTCTGCATGAGTTCTGAGGTTCTCTAATCATCATTAGCACTATCTGTCTACGTATGTACCTGCTTATTCGTTTTTTGCCAAGTGGTACCATGAAAAAAACATGTGTTTACAGGGAGACCACAGCAGTTCTACCACTTACCAGCTGAATGACTTGGACAAGTTACTTAGTCTCAATTTCCTCATCTAATGATGAGAACAATAATAACAGTACTGACTATTATCTCAGATCATATTTCATATGATTGTTAAAAAATTACATGAGATGATGTATGTAAAATACAAGAGTGAACATCACATAAGTGCTCAATATTTAGTCAATAAATAATTGAGTGAATTTAAATTTCAATGATGTAACATAAGCAAAAATCCTACTAGAGTTCCTGTTCTAGAATATTCTGTCAAAACCAAGAACATTATTAATGTATCGTTAGTATCCTCTCTAATAGTTTAAACATGTCTTGGGGCTCATAGCCACGTCTGAGCTAGTCTGTAAAACACACAGTGGCCAGCACAGAGCCTTGGATTTTAGACGTGCTATGATTCAATGATTGTATGATCTTTGTTTGAATTTACTGAGAAAAGAAAATCTAAAATGCTAAAATAACTCCTCTCAAAGCTTAGAAGCTTCAGTTGTCCATTTTCACTCAAAACTTTATTCTCAATTTGAAAATTATTACCCATAATTGAAGCCTAAAACCCACTAAAAGGCATCAATTTAATGTTATTTATTTCTGATACATTTCCTAAGAAATAAGGAAGAAAAATGATTTCCCAATCTCCATATTTTAAAATCTTATCTCTATCTTCCCTACAAAAACTTATAACATCATTTATTTTGTTCCAGGTCCTTAACAGATGGTAATCACAAGTGCTTTCCTGATACAGTTGCTAGCTAGAGGGGCGGGGGGGTGGGGGTGGGGGGTGGGGGGTGGAGAGAGAGAGAGAGATTGATTTTAAGAGGCTATTTGGCATCAAGAGAAGTTCATGTGGCAGAAGTATTTCAACCCGGACATCAAATGAAAAACAAATGCAAGAGTACATAATTAACTTTTAGGAAAAGAAAAAGTATGTATGTATGCATAGATGTGTGTGCATAGGTGTGCACGTATGTGTATAGACAGGTGTAGATACACAGATCTGTGTGTATGTGTGTGTGTGTGCACGTGTACATATGGAAAAGGCCAAGGCTCCACCAGGAGCTCTGGACAACGACGTGAAGGGGAGCAATGCTGAGACAGGACTGGAGGCTGGAAGACTAGTTTTTACACCTCCACTTTGCCACTCAACTGCCTCATCTGGAACAAGTCATTTCAACTTGGTTTTCTATTTCTAAGAATGGAGACCTCACGGGACTGGTGTGAGGTTTGAGCAACAAACGAGATCTGAAAGTGTTTTGGAAATGTGTGTACAAGCATAAAGGGACGTTACTACCCGTTTGTTCCAATGCCAAGGAGAGCAACTTTTTGTCTGAGCCAATGTCGCTCACAAGTGGAATCTATTCCCATCACAGCCTGCTTTCGGCAAAGGAAGAAGGGATGTGGACAATTTTCCAAAGAGGCAATGCTTTCTAATTTCTCTATTATTTCCAAAACAAAAAAGCCAAATCTTTCTCCCACTTTTGTTTTTCAAAATAAAAATAAATTATAACCCTAACTTGCTAATAAATGCAGGCTGGAGCTGTCCTTAAGTAAAAGCTTTTGATAACAAATTGCCTGCACTAAATGCTATTTTACTGCTGATTTTTTTATTGTTGCTTAAGCACAGCAATTATGCTAATAAGCCTGGGAGGATGGTACATCCAGCATTGAATCTGACAGATAAAATACTCAATAAAATGCTAATCTCACCTGAAAATTGGAATCAGACAGCCTTATTAGTATTTATGAATATGGCATCTTAAACATGTTTTTTCAGAGATGAATATATATGAAATCAATGTTGTCTCCTAATACAGCCTGCCATTTCTAGGCCTCTATGTGCTCTAAATTCAAGGTGACGATTACTCCTTGCCTTTACTTAGCTTCTTGCCAGAGAAAAAAAGAACTTATTGGCCATCACTACTACATAAAGAATGAAGCAATAAAATGCTTCTTTTTTTCCTTCATCCACCTTCCTACCTCTCTCCTCACCCCACCTCCGCCAGTCCCCCGAAAAAGGGAAGGTAAGAACTGTCTGTCTGAGCAAAGAAAGAAGGCAGATTTGACAGCAACGAGAACCATTTGTCAAACCATCTGGCTTCTCTCTTCACCTGACAGGAGGGAAGAGTGAAGTGTCAGAAAGAGCAGGGAATTGAGAATCCAAAGAGCTGGCTTTTAGTCTTGATTTTGCCATTTCCTCGATGTGTGACCTTGCCAGACCTCAGTTTCTTAAATAGAGACCTTCTGGAGCCCACTGTTTATGTCTCTATGAGAAGCCTCCATGGGCTGCATTAACACACGGGGCGGGGGATGGCAAGCCCCAGTATCCATGAACACTTGAATATTATAAGCCAAGGGAGATATGAGGCTGGTGGAAACTTGTAATTTTTAAACTTGTGCTTTGGCCAGGCGCAGTGGCTCACGCCTGTAATCCCAGCACTTCGGGAAGCCGAGGTGGGGGGATCACTTGAGGTCAGGAGTTTGAGACCAGGCTGGCCAACATGGTGAAACCCCATCTCTAAGAAAAATACAAAAATTAGCCAGGTGTGGTGATGGGTGCCTGTAATCCCAGCTACTTGGGAGGCTGAGACAGGAGAATTGCTTGAAGCTGGGAGGAGGAGGTTGCAGTGAGCCAAGACAGCACCATCGCACTCCAGCCTGGGCAACAAGAGAGAAATCCCATCTCAAAAATATAAAAAATAAACAGGTAAATAAAAATAAAAATAAACCTGTGCTTTGTCTTACATGGTCTCCTCTTACTATTAATGTGTCCTCGATTTTGAAATATATACCCCTAATGTATATTTGAAATATATATCCTCCATATATGCTTGAAATGGTCCAGGCTTAATATTAGAGGCCTTGGACAGCAAGCAAAAACAGAATGGCTCATTTACCAGCCATCCTCATAAAGTTAGCTGGCTTTCCTTTTTAGTATCAATACATTTATTTGGGGAGGGAACACAGAAGTGAGATGCCCATTTTAAATTTCAGAAACTAACAGTATCTGAATATTGTATTATTATTTACAAAAAATAAGAAGTTCTCTTCTTTAATTTCCACACTAAACCCCATAAAGCAGTAACAGAGAAAATACTGTTCTCCAGAAGTTGCCATGAATTAGGAAATAGAGGATCCGAGAGGACTTTCTCATCCACCTAGAGTAAGTGGGTTCTGGGGTCAGGACAAGCAGTTTTGCCTTCTGACTAATTCCAGCATGCTGCCAAACACACCACAGCATCCTCTGGGTCATAAGCATGTTGAGTCACTCAAACCTAAAATATCCAAGGAGCAATTCCCTGCTCAACACAAGGAGAGAGGAATGGAAGCCTCCATGACCACAGCAGCACTTGTGTCAGAGACTTCTCCCACCCCTTCAAGACCTCAGAGAGTTTCCAGAAAGTATGACTTCCTCTGGGAAAGTCCCAGGCATGGACAAATCAGGCCCACACTAAATAATGGAATCTGACACGTTGTGACAAGGACGGGCACAGATCTCAGAATCCAATTCATTCCAGGGCCCTTGGAAAGTCACTTCCCTCTATAAGCCCATTTCCGCCTCCATATAAGTGGGTCTTTTCAAGACCAAAGAGGTACCTCAGCCACCAGAAGAAGGGAGAAAAAAGACAAAATGTGCTCCAAAAATACAAAGAGTTCGGTACAGCTTACAAAGGGTCTTCCCATTGCTTTCTGGAGGTAGTGTCCACAATGCAGACAAAGCTGAACTATCCCCAACTTTTGGGTAAAGAAACAAAGACCAAGAAACTCAGAAATTCTCCCAGGATAAACAGCAAGCTAGGAAATCCTCAAACCAAAGTGATACTTAATGCACAGCTGTTGGGGGTTGTGGGAGGGAGGCTGTTGGTGCTGGTGCTTTGCACAGGGCAGAATATTAAAAAGGAGGCCAGAAACAGTGGCTCATGCCTGTAATCCCAGCACTTTGGGAGGTCGAGTCAGGCTGACCACTTGAGCTTAGGAATTCAAAGCCAGCCTAGGCAACATAGTGAGACCCCATCTCAACAAAGAAAAACTTTTCTAATTAGCTGGCATGATGGCACATACCTGTAATCCCAGCTACTCAGGATTGAGCCCAGGAGTTCAAGACTGCAGTGAGCCATGATCACACCACTGCACTCCACCCTGGACAGCACAGTGAGACCCAGTCTCAGGAAATAAAAAAGAGGAGTTAGTAGATTCTACATTCAGTAACCATACTATCCAAGACACCCCACCCTGCAAAAGGAGAAGATATGGGGATTACCATAATATCAGAGATGTGCACAACCCACGGGAGAGAAACAATTTACCACCTCTCTCTAACGCTTCACATATATAGAAACAGAATCCAAGTCTGTATACCCCTTTATCTTTATTATCCTACGACCAACAATACAACTTGCAAAGCACTATCACAATAAATTTATCAAGCAGAAATCACTATCTTCTAATTTACAGAGGAAAAAGCTGAGGCACTAAGAAGTTGATTGATCTGCCCAATTCACATGGGTCTCTAAAAGCAGGGCCGGGACTCACAACCAGGGCCCCTGACCTCACATGCCCTGTTTGTTCATTTTTTTTTTCTTCACTTGCTTATGCCCCCTCTGAATTGCCAGTGCTACCATTTTTCAGTAAACAACCAGAGCAGAAAGTCAGCTCTGAACCGATACATCTCCCAACAGAGGAATGATTCGAGTCATACTTCGAGGAATAATTTCTGGGAAAGCAGAGGAGGTGATGCTATCAAACAGTGAAACCTAAAACTCCTACTCACTACCTGCCTGAGAGGGCAGGAAATGGGGCCGAGGCCCTTTCCCTACATGCTCCCCCTGCCCGTTTTTGTCTCTCGCAGTCATTACTAAACTTAGCACCGTAATCAAATGAAAGCTGTTTCCCAGCTGTATGGCCTTGGGTAAGTCCCTGATCTCCTTGGTTCTGTTACCAATACACACTCATGCACACATGCACGTATGTGGGTACACATACACACATACACACACATCCCAGACCATCCCTTCATTTCACCTAGCAGGATGGTAGCTACAGAAAGCCTCTGTCTTTCTTATCCTGCAAAACACCACAGCTACCTCCTAGGCATTCAGAAAGTGTCTCCAGACCCAGCATCTGAAGCTCTGACTTGAATCCTCCACCTCCCCCTTGGGCCTCCTGGGTCCCATCCCATTTCTCCTGCCCATCCTTCCCGTAAGCCCCTCTTCTCCAACCCACTTGCCGTTGTCCTACATTAGGCCTGTGCACCTCCACCTTGAATAAACACTAACTTGTCTCTCATTCTCAACCTTCCCTTCTAACTCCATCTTTCTCTGAGTAAATACTTCCAGCTCTGTAAGAGCTCCTCCTGGCCAGACACAGTGGCTCACACCTATAATCTCAACAACTTTGGGAGGCCGAGGCAGGCGGATCACCTGAGGTCAGGTGATTTGCCCACCTTGGCCTCTCAAAGTGCTGGGATTACAGGCGTGAGCCACTGCGTCCGGCCGAGATGCTGATTTTAGAAGGATATAAACCATATTGTGCCTAGAGAAGTGCAACCAGTTTGGTGGAGGATGTTTCCAGAGCTTTCATAGGAGGAGCTCTTTTTGTTTTATTAATTTATTTTTATTATTTTTTTTGAGATGGAGTCTCGCTCTGTCACCCAGGCTGGAGTGCCGTGGCGCAATCTCGGCTCACTGCAACCTCCACCTCCTGGGTTCAAGCGATTCTCCTGCCTCAGCCTCCTGAGTAGCTGGGATTACAGGCATGTACCACCACGCCTGGCTAATTTTTGTATTTTAGTAGAGATGGGCTTTCACCGTGTTGGTCAGGCTAGTCTCGAACTCCTGACAACCCTTCCTAATAATGATTAGTGTCTCCATTTTATAGATCTGAAAACTAAGGCCCCATGTCAAACATGTCTCTTGCAGACTTAGCACTGGAACCCAAGTGTCCTGGGCTGGCTCTTTTTCTCTTTCCTTAGTATCACGCATCCTCTTTCTACCTAATATATAGCATACTTATCTGAATGAGCCACTAGAAGCAGTAGTCAGCAGTACATGCAGAATCTGAACTGCAAGTCAGAAAAAGGTGTTTCGCAAGTAGCAATTCTAGTTAAGATCTCAACAGTGCTGTTGGGAGGCGGATTTATCAAGCACATCATGTGAGCAGTCTGACCCTGGACTGTTCCCAAAGGTCAGAGCCATAAAACGCAGCCAGAATTTCATTCAATTTCACAAATGCAGCAACTTGGCATGTCTGCTTTCCTTGTAACAGGGGCAACTGCAAAGTCTTCTTCAAGAAGATTAATAATCAAAGTCAAAAATTCAGAGGTCATCATGTAAACCACTTTCTCCTTTTTAAAAGCTAAGCTTTTCCAATATGAGGAGGGTTGACACTCTAAGAAGTTGAGAGCTAAAGAAGAGATGGCACATTCTGACCTAACTTCACTAGGAATGCCACCAGCATCTTAAGCAAACACCACCTCTCCTTGTGCCTCTAGAGAGACAGGATTAAGAAGGAGCCTGGGGAAAAGCTGATAGCTGCTCATAAAAGCCATGCTCCAAAACCAAGTTCCCAGGGGCCCTTCTAGTTCCCTGGGTTAACTGCATTTGACCTTCCAACCCCTCAGGCCTCCTCAGTAATTCAATTTAACAGTTACAGAGTGCCTATAAATGCCAGCTACTGAGCTAGCCTCCAAAGGATCAGAGATGTCTGCCCTCTGATCAGAACTCAGAAACAGATACCACCCATTGAATACAAGGTGGTGTATGAAAGTATCTCTGAAAGTACAAACTGTGTGATGGGAAATGGAGGAGGAGAGAGACTGACACCAAATGTGAAGTCAGATGTTTCTGAGAAGGTGGAATTTGAGCTAAGCATGAAGGATGCTGCCTGGCAGAGGTAGCCAGCAGGGTGGCACTGCACCTGGGATGAAGAATATGAACATGGGGTGGAGAGGCAGGGGCCAAAAGGAAGGCAGAAAGGTTGCCTGAAATCATGAGTGTAGGGTCCTAAGCAGGGATGTCACTTATGCCAGGAGCATTGGGAGGCCAAGAAAACACACAGCAAGTCTCAAGACAGAGGCTCTGAGCTCACTGCTCTTAGGAGCACCCCACCAAAATAAAGACTCCCTCTCCAGTAGCCCAAGGAGATGAACATGTGTACACAAGCCAACCTCCTGTCACCCTGCATTCCAGACAAGGAACTACACAACACATGCATCCCTCCTGCGCTACCATGGCCTCCTGAAGCTGGACAATGTTATCACAACCTCCAGTATTAAATACAAAGCAACAGTGGACCCAGAAAGTATATCAGCAGGAACCTGACAATTCAGAGCTGAGACTAGGTGTCCAAGACCTGATGTTTCAAGGACCCACAATATTATGTAAACGCCTGGCCACTGAGCCCCATATTAAGCTAAAGACAAGAGACTAAAAATATAATAAAGAAAGTATGAAAGGTAGGAAAGTATTGCAAGGGAGGGAGGGAGGGAAGGAGAGAGAAAAGGAGACGAACGGTAAGAAAACAGAATATAAGGGAAGGGAAAAGAGAGGAGGGGAGGAGAAGGACAAGGTAGAAAGACACAAAAAAAGGGAAGAAACGTCTCCCAAAGGGCAAGGTGAGAAGGAGAAGGGAAAAGGTTACAGTTATCCCTCTGCCTATAAGAATGATTATATACAAGTAAAACATGTGACTGCAATTCGGAGTAACTATTTCAATGTTTGTAGTCATGATATTTCATGAAAGAACAAAGAATTTAAATTTTATACAAATAACTGTTGAGGTTTTTAAAGCAAAAAATAAACATATATTTACAGGTATATAAATGTGAGACAAAAACTAGACACATGGCAAATTGCTAATGACGGTAACTTCTTGGAAGAAAGAAAGATGGGGGAGGAGAAAGGAGTTTGGAAAGTTGCAAAAATGGTCACAAATTTTCCCCTTCCCTACCTATGTCCTCATCCTTGCAATATGACTTTGGAGCTTTTTTTTTTTTTTTTTTTTTGGTAGAGTCTTCCTCTGTTGCCCAGACTGGAGTGCAGTGGGGTGATCTCAGTTCACTGAAACCTCCGCCTCCTGGGTTCAAGCGATTCTCCTGCCTCAGCCTCCCAAGTAGCTGGGATTACAGGCACGAACCATCATGCTTGGCTAATATTTCTGTATTTTTAGTAGAGACGGGGTTTCGCTATGTTGGCCAGGCTGTTCTCAAACTCCTGACCTCAAGTGATCCATCTGCCTCAGCCTCCCAAAATGCTGGGATTACAGGTGTGAGCCACTATGCCTGGCCTGACTTTGGAACTTCTGCCACCAAGAAATATACTCTTTCTAAACCCGCATCACTAATAAGTGTGTATTTGTTTACGGACTTATCCATACATATGTAAAAGGCTTTTATGTGCTTTACTAAATTCAAATGTCTTCCTACAAACAGTAGTAAGAACCACATTTATTAAATAATTCATATGTGCAAATTGTTTTAAGCTCTTCACATGCATTATTTCATTTTGTCTTCAAAAATTCCTTTGTCGCCTGTAATCTCAGCTACTTGGGAGGCTGAGGCAGGAGAATCGCTTGAGCCCAGGAGGCAGAGGTTGCAGTGAGCAGATATTGCACCATTGCACTCCAGCCTGGGCAACACAGCAAGATTCCCTCTTAAAAAAAAAAAAAAAAAAATTCCTTTGTCGTCCTATCATTAGCCCCAGGATAGAACTGACATGAAGAAGAAGCTGAGTCACAAAAATTAAACAACTGGCCTAAGGTCATTTGTATACAATGACCTGGACTCTGGATTTAAATCCAGACAATCCAACTCCAAAGCCCACATTCTCCCCACTATGTCTGTGTCATCGTGTTAATCCACCAGTTGGTTAACCCAGACAAAACGGGAACTGGTTAAGACCCTGTTCTGGCTCTTGGTGAACACTACTTCCTTTCAAAGACTCACAAATCACCTGTCTACATAGGACCGTCGACAACTGGAATCACAATGAAATCAGCAGATTCTAGACTCTGGATACCTGTTTCGTTTGGGGGCGGGGTGGGGGATGGGCACTGGACTTTTTTGATAATACCTATTTCCTCGTCTCCTCACTTTCTGGCATTTCTGCTGATTTCTGGGTTTCCTCAAAATTACTGGTAGCCGTTCCCCATCAGAAGTTCTCTTCTGTATCCTGAGATGCGGCATTCGTGGTCCATGAAATTTGCAACCATTTAAGGAAAGCAAATTGCTCTCTCACAACCTCTTCAATTGTCATAGGCATCAATTTCTTCCTAATGATGTCGATTCCACCCTTCATAGATGACCCACCCCCTTGATAGAGATGACTGACAGAGGCAGAAAGCAGCCATGCAGCTCCGCTTTCTCCTTTCATCTGGGCCATTACATCACCCTCTTCGGGTTACAAAAATGCTAGACATCCACACAAAAGGACTCCCTCTTCCAGAGCCCATTCGAATCCCACTCATGTCTAGGAGGTCACTGAAAACGAAAGGCAGTGATTGGCTGCCAATTACATCACTGCTCTACAGGCCTGATTAAACTCTTAATTAATTGAATGCCACTTTACTTACACACCTCACTCCACAGACAAATAAATAAACACAAAGAGAACAACACAGGGTGAAGGTAGTAATAAACTATAGCTTCTGGCTCAGGTAGGAAAGAGGAGCCATTTGCTGGAGTTACCTGTCATTAAAAATGATTCGGTCACCAGGTGGAGACACACAGCTCTCTATATTAAATTAGAGGAATGATTCAAAGGGGACCAGTTTCAGCTGACAAGAGCAAAAAGAAATCAATTTTAGGTTGCCAGGACAACTAGACTTTTCCTGCAAGAATAAATTTGATACAGCCCTAAAATCTGACAACTAAATGTTTCCTCACATTACATCACATCCCTAAAATGTGTGTTGAACCAGTGAGATAATCAAGCCTGCTAATTACTTTCTACAACACCCAGAAGATACAGAAATGATGGTCTTGGCTCCAGTCTGACTTTCCTCTAACAGCTCCACTCGCTATCTTACTTTTATAGTGAATGAGGATTGTGTGCTTCTTAAAATGAATCTGAAAGCATATCATTGTCAGTTGGTCCTTGAATCCTAGAGAAAGGAAGGTGAGCACCTTCTCAATTCAAGTCCCCTAATGGGTTATATCTATACCCATGTTCCCTGTCATATAATTCATTGGCTACCCAAGGGGTTCCAGAGAAGGAGTCCAAAGTCACAGAATTATATTTAATACAATGGGGGGTCTAAAGGGACTTGAGAGGTTACCTTTGTTTTATAGAGGGTGAGTCTGAGGCATAGGTAGGCAAAGCAACTACTCAAGGCCAGTGAAGCTGGTCAGCAGCAGAGTCAGGACTGGAATCCAGCTCTTTGGATAATGGCTTCTACGCCATTTCCTTAAATAGCTGCAGTCATTCCATGGCTGTGCCTTGGAGACTTTAGGAGCTGAAGTTAAGTCCACTTGATCTCCTACTAATCCATGGGAGGCAGTGACCCCAAATGGCCTCATCCCAGGAGGTCAGAGTCCTGAACCCAGATCCAAAAATATCTGATGAGATGAACGTTCCCTGTGCATTTACATTCTCAGAAGCCTGAATATCAATGTACCTCCAGGGGCTATTAAAAACAAGAACAGCTAATAAATCATGGGAAAGCAGTTCACAAATGTAAAGTAATACAAAAATGCTAAGCATGGATAATATAAGTGCCCCAGGCTGAGGCAGTTCCCTGGAGAGCGTGATGCTTTCAAGTGGGCTAGGCTTTGGCGTGTTATTACACAGCCTCCACCATCATCTACCAGAAGATGCAAAGGACACGCCTCTCTCCAACCTCACTCTCCTTTCTTAGATTGCTCCCAAGTTCTCGAGAATGCCCCTAGATCTTATTATAACGTATTGTATTATAATAGAGCCATGGTTATATAGTCTTCACTAAGTGTAGAGAAACACCGAGAGGAGATCTGAAACAAGCAGCTCTGTGCACGTCCCCAGACCACTGACGGGAAAGCAAATGTCAAGCTGTCCCTAGCTTGTCATAAACCAAGTAAACCATGAAAAACAATGAATCCACTAGAAGATGCATGTCAGCCAATTCAGCCTTGAGAGTCGATTCAGAATCAGAGAGGTCAGAAGAGTATATAGCACACACAGCAGGTCTCTGGCTGCAGGTGCCATGGGAGGAAGAGGTGAGGACAGAGCACTCCTTCCAACCACCTACATAGTCTTTGGCAGATGAGGACTTGCTCCAAGCCAGGTAAGCAGAAAAGGCCAGGGGACGAATATCAGGGGTGAGTAGGGTAAAAATAAAATCAAAAGCTAGTATTGGAGAGATTTAGTTTCTAAGTCTGACCCTGCCATTACAAGTTGTGCCACATTGGGTAAGCTACATAAACCTTTCTAATCCATCCATACCTCATCCATCCAATATGGATCACTAGTATCTACTGCATAGGCTGGCTTTGAGGATTAAATGAAATGAACAATAGAAAGCAATTTACCCAGTGCCTGGAACATAGTACGTGTGTAATAAATGCAAATTATCATGATCGAAAGAGAGGCTGGGGGCTAAAATCCAGCACAAGAAAAAGGGCAAAAAGAAATGCATGAAGTTAGAGGGCTAAATCATGGGAATGGAGAATAAATGATTTTTCCTCCACAAGCTCTGCCTTATCTCTACTAAAGGGTCATCACTGGCCCCATTCCCAAACAGCTAGTTTAGGGCGAATGACAATAGCCAGGGATGGTCAGGCACCTCAAGCTTTAGCAGAAATCTGTGGTCAGCATGATCAACCGTGTGGTCAATATGGAGGTCATGTCTCGGCATTTGAGCCACTGAAGTCTAGGACTGAGTGTTAAATGTAGCTCCAAGAACCTTATCCCATAACAAGGAATGAGTTTTCTTAGGAGGGAAATGCACCCTCGACCACCAGTTCATAAACACACTTTAACACAGTCCATGTCTCTTAGAGAGATTAAGAAATGGGTATAATAACCATGGAATTAAACAGAAAGTTCTATTAAATCTTATTATTAGCAGGTTTTATTCTTTATTATTAATTATTATTAAGTAAGTTCTCTTAAGTCAAACTCAGATAAAGAGTCATGAGACTTTCCGGAAAAGGAAAGAAACTAAAATTTACTGAGCACCTCCTCTGGGATAGAAGCATTTAAAAAACTAATAGAGAAGAGAGAATCAAGGAATATTTCCTGAGAGATGTTCCTCTGAGTTGACAATACTCTGGGGCACCTGGCAGCCAGGCTATGGCTTTTGGGGCCACGTCCATTTCTTCAGCAGAATCCTGGTAATGCAGTGCTGCTGGATGGGCCCCTGTATTAAACCATTCTTGCCCTGCTATAAAGAAATACCCGAGATTGGGTAATTTAAAAGAAAAGAGGTTGGCCAGGTGAGGTGGCTCATGCCTGTAATCCCAGCACGTTGTGAGGTGGAGGCGGGTGGATCACTTGAGGTCAGGAGTTCGAGACCAGCCTGGCCAAAGGGGCAAAACCCCATCTCTACTAAAAATGCAAAAATTAGCTGAGCATGGTGGTACGTGCCTATAAGTCCAGCCACTCAGGAGCCTGAGGCAGGAGAATCACTTGAACCCAGGAAGCAGAGGTTGCAGTCAGCTAAGATCATGCCACTATACTCCAGCCTGGGCATCAGAGTAAGACCTGTCTCTCCAAAAAAAAAAAAAAAAAAAAAAAAAGAAAAGAAAAGAAGTGGTTGAGTTGTTGAATTATTGGCTCACAGTTCTACAGGCTATAGAGGAAACATAGCAGCATCTCCTTCTGTGGAGGCTCAGGAAGCTTCCCAACGTGGCAGAAGTCAAAAGGGAGCAGGCACTTCACATGGCAACAGCAGGAGAGGAGGACAGACAGAGAGAGAGAGAGAGAGAGAGAGAGAGAAAGAGAGAGAGAGAGAGAGAGAGAGACAGAGTTGGAGGGTGGGGGGTGCCACACACTTTTAAATGACAAGATTTCACAAGAATTCACTATCACAAAGACATCACCAAGTCATGAGGGATCCGCCCCAACACCTCCCACCAGACTCCACCTCCAGCACTGAGGATTAGAATTCAACATGAGATTTGGACGGGGACAAATATCCAAACAAATATCTAAACAAATATCCAAGCATCAGCCCCCAGAGGCCCCAGGGCCACGAACCACTCTTTCCTCCAGGTTCTGTGACTTACAACAAGAGCACCTACCTGCCACTCCATGTCTGGAGATCAATCAAGGAACTAGCTAAGAAGGAATACGAAGTTGGGGTCCGGCCACCAACAACCTTCATCTACTTCATCGCCACATGATGAAGCACAGCAGACACAACAAAGAGACACAGAAGAGCCTGAGAAGCAAGTATGGCTGTGTTGATAAGCAGAGTGAGAGAATAAAAGGTGTGGAGTCAGGTTACACACAGGACAAAAATGGGAGACAAGAGAAAGAATAGAGGAAAGGACAGAATGAAAGAGCTGTTGTGTTTTTTGTTTGCTGTGTTTATTTATTTAAAGCATACTTTTGCCAAATCATTTTTTAAAGTCACACTTCTGTTCAGTCTTTCAAATGGTAACTACAGCAGGCTTTGTTTTCTTCACTGACCAGCAGCACCTAGAAAAGTTCCTGGAGGCTGGGCGCGGTACCTCATGCCTGTAATCCCAGCACTTTGGGAGGCTGAGGCAGGAGGATCACGGGGTCAGGAGTTCGAGATCAGCCTGGACAATATGGTGAAACCCCATGTCTACTAAAAACAAAAAAATTAGCCAGGTGTGGTGGCACGTGCCTGTAATCCCAGCTACTCAGGAGGCTGAGGCAGGAGAATCGCTTGAACCTGGGAAGTGGAGGTTGCAGTGAGCCGAGATGGTGCCATTGCACTCCAGTCTGGGCAACAGAGACTCCGTTTCAAAGAAAAAAAAAGTTCCTGGAATACAGCAGGTGCTCAATAAATAATAGCTAAATGAATGATGCCCAGTTAGACTGGACCATCATTGCTGAGAAGAAAGCATCATTTAAAGTTACCAAGAAGAATAGCAAAACACTGTTTATGCTTCTCTTAACTCACTTTAATAAGGTGGAGAGCCAGGCACAGTGGTGCACACCCACCGTCCCAGCTACTCAGGGGACTGATACGGCAGAATTGCTTGAGCCCAGGAGTTCCAGGCTGAGATGAGCTATGATCACACCACTGTACTCCAGGCTGGGCAACAGAGGGAGGGGAGACCTCATTTGTAAATAAATAAATAAATAAAGTGGGTAACACAGTTTATGGCTCCATTTATTCACCAAACTTGAATTAGATTGACCCGCACTCTAGGACAAAGGAAAAGAAGTCATCCCATCAATGAAACCCTAAAGCAGAAAAGCCTCTCTGTGGAAACAGAGAATCAAGGGAAATGTACTCTGTACAGTTATGTTTTAATCTGAAAGTGATGACCCAAAGTCAGGATGGGCTCTGGCCATTCCAGTCTCTCCTTTGGGAAAAGGTGCCAGTTTCCACCTCTTAAGACCACCACATGCTGTAGAACTAAAATAGAGGTGACTGCTGATTCCTTTAAAGAAATAACAGTTGGAGAAGGGGACAGGATTTAGAACTAAATTTAAGCACTGAATTAGGCTTACCTAGAAAGCTTGACTGTCAATTTTCATGGTGTTCCTTCAGTCAGACTCCTAACGATAATTGGAAGGATTAATTCCTAGATAGTTCAGAAACTACCCTTTTCCCATAATGGAAAATACGTGGTAACTTGGAGGTGAAACTGCTTATTACAAAACAGTGACAAGGGTCAGTCTCAACCAATCCACTCTAACCATAAGGTCTATCAGGAATTCTTGCGGCCTGCAAGACTGGCACTTCTTTGTGTGGCTGTGCCTAATCTTAAGAGGCTATTATTATTTATTACACATGAAGCACTTTCTATCTGCAGAGTGCTTTGGAATCGTTTTTTATTAGTTACTCAGCATTCTGAAGTCTAAACACAGCTAAAGTTCTAGTGGAGGATGGAAAACTCCATGATCTACCAATTCATCACACTTGACAGGTCCATGCCCCTCCTCCCAATGGGGTGGACAAGTTGATAAAGGCACCAAGAGAGTGGTCAGAACGAGAAATCCAATTCAATCCCACTCTCATTTGCCAGAGCTACCTGGCACTGGGCTAGGGGCTGGGAGCTGTAGCAGAAAGAGGTACAAAAATAAATTTGACACAGCTCTTGACCTCAAGGAATTTACAGTCTGGGACTATTTGACAGGACTTTTATGGTCCCCTTTGTGGTTAAGAAAGCATAAATAGGTTTTAAATATCATGTGCAGAAACACAGAGCATGTTCCTACATGACTCACAATTTGAGCAATTATACAGACATAATCCAGTATCAAAAATGGAATAAAAAGGAAAGAATACAGAATGAGCTTCTCCAATTTTCAATTTCCATTGTTAAGTTAGGAAGTCCCAAACTACATCAGAAAAAAATTTAGAATAAATGAATTCACTGATAAAGAGAAGAGAGAAAAGAAAGCCAACACAAGAAACTTACTCTAAGAAAAAAGCAGACATTTAAGAGAAGGGTTTACTTTTCATAAAGCCATGTAAGGGTGGCATTTGAAAGTTACTATTGAAGGAAGTTACAAATAATTTCATATATATCTCTAAACATTGACGTTTACAGCCTTTGAGGCAACCATCCTTTACTATAAGATATAAAATAGACGGCCAGACATGGTGGCTCACACTTGTAATCCAGCACTTTGGGAGGCCGAGGCAGGTGGATCACCTGAGGTCAAGAGTTTGAGACCAGTCTGGCCAACATGGTGAAACCCCATCTCTACTAAAAATACAAAAAATAACTGGGTGTGGTGGCGTGCACCTGTAACCCCAGCTACTAGGGAGGCTGAGGCACGAGAATCGCTTGAACCCAGGAGGTGGAGGTTGCAGTAAGCCGAGATCGTGCCATTGAACTCCAGCCTGGGCAACAAGAGTGAAACTCCGTCTCAAAAAAAAAAAAAAAAAAAAAAAGATATAAAATAGCCAAGTCAAGGTGGACTTATCACCTGGCAAAAGTACAAAAGTATCAGAGAACACACTGAAAAATGAAAGGGGGGTAAGATTGAGAGAGGATTCTACATGAATTTTAAAGTATTTTATAGCCCTTGGCTTAGGGTTTATGGTTCACTTCTACAGGTCAGCATCTACTACAAAGCCTGGCACCATATTAGGTATTATTAGTTCTTCATTGCCTTAAATAAGTGAAAGTACACACGTACAAATGAATAATAAGAAAGTAGAAATCCTCAATTCTGTTTTCCATCGTGGTGCCCTAGTTGATAATTCAGTTGTGAAAGTAAACTGACTGACATATCACCCCACCAATTACCAAGACTGATTCACCAAATACTATGGTTCACATGATTCATGACTAATTCAATCCCATCCTCTACCATCTTCTGGCTGTGGGTGGTGGGGGCAGTTATTGTGTGTTTTTATCCTGCTTTACTGGGTAGGCTGAAGCCTGGAAAGGCAGAAAACACGACGCAGGCATAAAAGCACTGAACGAGTCTCTGTTATGCCATCTCTTCACCATGTGACACTGGACAGCTTCTTCACTGTATTTCAGCATCGCTTTGCTCGTTAGTAAATAGAGGGTAGCATTCCTTAGCCTGCCACCCTCGTGGACCCATTAGCAGGGTCTAACAAGTTAATAGGTGTTAAAGGGGTTAGTCTACATAAAGCCCTTATACGCCTATGTCACATATCATACTCCCCAAAGGATTAGTCATAGTCAACAAATTATTACTGTTTATATAATGGTCTTTCCTGTGGTTTTCTCATAATAGCACCAGGCATTTGTAACCATTAAAATTTATGCTTTTGACTGAAGCAAAAGATGTATTGTGCTTACTGTCCCTAAATCTTCTTGTAAACTATTTGTAGAGTCTATCACAGAACCCCAGCATCCTGATTCATTCTTCTCAACACCACTCCTGACCCAATGACTCTGCCGTGTCATCGTGTACAGCTTCCTCTCTTTCAACAGACACATACCTCTGCAGTAGCAAAAGGCTCACAGAGAGCTCAAAGTAAAGATGAATGTCACACATGGAAGCAAACGCTTCCCAAAAACTAGAACCGTTAGGTGGAACTAGACTGGGAAAGGAGGTGAATGTTACACAAAAGAATTTGGTCCTAATATTACGGTGAGCAGGCACCCACAAAGAGGATTCTGTTTTTGTTCTGTTTGCCGTTAAAGAAGATAATGGCACGGTCTTTTTACAAGTTGATGAGCTCAGTGTCACCGGGCATACCAAGTACATGCAATAGGAAACATAAACAGACAATCTGGAAATATATTAAATTCATGCTTTTAAGAGCTAGAAGAGGCCTTCAAGGTCCACTAGCATGTCCACTTGCCAGACGGAGAAATGAAGGCCTCAAATTGCAAAGCATCTTGACCAAGTCACAGAGCAAACTCGTGGCACAGCTGTCATCAGAACACAGATGTCTTTGCTTCCACTCTCTCTGGAGCCATCCCCCTGCATCATAAGAATTAATCCCCTCCTTCTCTTCCTCCCAGGACTTGGTGGCTGTGTTATAGCAGCTTCCAGGAAAGGGACCACAAGCAGCAAGGAAAAGCCAAGTGCAGGTTTCTTTAGTGTTGCCCCTGGTTCTTCATTCTCAGCATGAATAAAAGGGACTATTATGGGTGCCTCTTAAACCACTATGGCCTTCTCGGAGCCATTGTGCACAAGTTTGGGACATCAGCTGCCATTAAAGCCCAATGCTGGAATATTTTCCTAAGACCCAATGGAAACTTCCTCCTTCCTTTATTTCAGCTGAGAAACTAACGTCATCCTTTCAGAAGAGAAAGGGAAGAGGACAACTTTGGTTTGAACCCTCTCCCAAAGAAGCAGAAAATTGCAAACTTTTGCAACAAGACAATTTTAGTCTGTTGAAAATAGACTACAGAACCCATAAAGACCAATAGGAGCATTTAAAATCATGCCTTATCTCAAAGTGAAAGTGACCGTAGTCCACCTTAGGGCCAGAGTTTTACAATTCTATTTCTTGTTAACCTTCTTAACATCTGTGACAGCAAAGTGTCTCATCCGATTACTGACTGGGAAACCAACACCTCAGTCTCACATCCCTAATTCCGTCTCTTGAGGTGTGAGGAAGCTGTGGAATCTGCCTTCTGCTGCTCCCACTTCTTCCACAGAAAAGGCTTCAATGCATGAGAGAAGCAGACAACTATCAAGGTCATTAAAAGTCTGCATTTGCTTAGTGCACAGCTGTCCCTGCAACTATGTGTTGAACATACCTACATTTCTTCTCCAACAATAAGAGGGGCAAGTGAAAGAAGACCATGAAGATGCAGGAAATGCATTCTTCTCTACCCCGAGCAAGAAATAATCTGTCAATTGAAGATTCATAATGCATCCAAAACATACTTCAGGAAATCACAAAGAAAAATTCAAGACTGGGATTTTTGTTTTTGTCTTTTTAAGTTCAAGCCACAAAAAGTATTTGGAAGAATTAGAAAATGCTTTCACTGGGGAATTCCACAGGAACTGGAAAATCTCGGGCAAAATTAGAACCAAAGAAAACAGAAATAGTAGAAATCTCGAAGATCATCAAATTCAACCCTGCTACTTTGCCATTGATTAAAAACAAGCCAAGGAGAGTTTTGCAGCTGGGTGGCAGTGGAGTTGGGCTGAGAACCCATGTCTGCTGACTGCAAGAACAATTTCTTAGTCTTCACCCCATGCCAGCATTGACTTAAACACTGACTCCAAATTAAACCGACATGTGACCAAAAAGAAAAGGGAAAATAAACTGTTCCCTGTGGCAGATGCTTGGAACATTAGCTTCTTTCTCAAAACTTCACAGTTCATGTTCTGCATAAGATGGAAACCAGCAAGGGTCCTGTTTTGCCAGTTATGAATGCACATTTCTGAGGAATGCATTGCATGTCTGGCATTCTCCCTCCACTCCTGCTCCTGTTCCTCTTTTCGCCATATATGGCACTGAGCTCTGATGCCTGGGTCACAGAACTCAGGCCTTGGGTATGAATGTAATCTGGCTTCTGAGCTGTTTGTCTTTACTGGAAAACCGATGAATCCATCTAGGAAACATTTACTGAAATGCAAAAGACAGGAAGAATTGATTCAAACTCTGAACTTGAGAAGAGGAAGATTCTTCTTTTGCTCACCCAAAGAAATACAAAGCACATTTTGAGAAAAAAGTGGCAAGTTTAACACACGTAAGAGGCTTTCTTTCTGAAGAATTGTTTGTGTGTGTGTGTGTGTCCACACACACACGTCTGTGTGTTTGGGAACGAAGGTTGTTCTTATACAAGCATTAGAAAGAAAAAGAAACTTAGGCCAGTTGAGAAAAAGGAAAGCATCTAAGTAATCCGTGCTCCTATCAAAGATGCAGAATACTTTTGTCACTCTGAAAAGTTCTCTTTTGCCTATTCTCAGGCAATCTCATACCACCTCTTTCCTGCGAACAACCACTATACTCTGATTTTCTATTACCACAGATTAGTTTTGCTTTTTCTGGAACTTCAAATAAATAGAATCATACCCTAAAGAAAAGAAAAGAAAAGAAACGATAAGAAAAGAAAAGAAAAGAAAAAACTGATACTAAAAAACAAGGCACGGCCAGGTGTAGTGGCTCCCACCTGTAATCCCAGCACTTTGGGAGGCCAAGGTGGGTGGATCACTTGAGGTCAGGAATTCAAGACCAGCCTGGCCAACATGGTGAAACCTCGTCTCTACTAAAAATACAAAAATTAGGGCGTGGTGGCACGCGCCTGTAGTACCAGCTACTGGGAAGCCTGAGGCAGGAAAATCGCTTGAACCCAGGAGGCGGAGGTTGCAGTGAGCCGAGATCGCACCACTGCACTCCAGCCTGGGAGACAGAGTGACACACACACACACACACACACACACACACACACATAAAAAAAAAGGCACAACCAGCTAGCCAATCAGAACATGTGTTAGGCATCTTTCTTGATATAACTTTATTTCTTCATGTGATGCTTTATTTCCAAACTTTTAACAAGCTACATTTCAGAAACAAAATCTTTTTGAAAGCAAGGATAACCTGCAATTGTCATTTCAATTTAAAACAATTATTAAGTTTTTATAATTCCAAGCAATATTGTTGAAAGGAATTGTACAAAGAGAATTCAATATAAACATTCACCAGCCAGGTAATACTTAAAAGGAAAGAATGATCGGAGCAGGAAAAGATATTTATTTTGAGACGGGGAAATCAATACCCCAGAAATAGAAACAACTTGCCCAATGGCACACAGTTCAATAGGGTTAAGGACTCATAATTTCAACATGGAGCTCATAAAATTGAAAAAGGAAGTAGAAGGAACAGCATAAAGATATTACGATCTCCAGGAACAAACACAGAAAACAGCCACCTATTAACCCTTAACAGTATGTCGTATTTACTATAGTATATGATCACCCACAAACCAGCTTTGTTATTTCAACAGCATGTTTTATATCTCCTAGGACTCAGGATGGGTAAAGATCACATCCTATACTGATAGACCCCTGGAGGCAGCAATCTTAATTAGAATTCGAGGTCCATCAATTCTGTGAAGTATAACCTTGAGCAAGTTATTTATCTTCTCTATATTTCTAGCCATTCATCAACAAACTGGACATAATAATTTCTACCTTATAGGGTTGTTGAGAAGATGAAATAGGCCTGTAAAAAGTATCTACCTAGTAACATTTGAAATATATGTAAGCGGTTAATAGGTAGTACCTGTTAATAGAATATTCATTCATTATTCCTGCCACGAGGAGAATGAATGATATGGCACAATGGCGTAAGTCAGTAAGCCTAAGCTTCAAATCCCCACAATCCTTCTCTACCTAACTGTGAACTTGGGCGTACAGGTATAATCTCATTGAATCTTGTTAAATTACGTTTAGCCTAAAGCTGCCTCCTCCGTCCTAACAGGATGTGTAAACAGGATGCAACCTACTCTTGTACCATTCACAGAGTTTCAGCCAATCAAAGACAGCCAACTGTTCAAACCTATTCAAATAAGGAAAACACCAAGCTGTAACCAGTCCAGCTGTTTCTGTACCTCACTTGTGTTTTCTGTCCGTCACCTTCTTTGTTCTGTCCACAAATGTTCTTCAACCAAATGGCAGTGCCAGATTATCTGGTTTGGGGCCTGCCCAATTCACGAATTGTTCTTTGCTTAATTAAACTGTGGAATTAGATTTGTCTAAGGTTTTTGGGGGTTGTTTTTTGTTTTGGTTTTGTGTTTTTGTTTTTTTTGTTTTTGTTTTTGTTTGTTTTACAGTCTCCTTTGCCCCAGAGTTGTTGTGAGGCTCAAATGAGATCTTAGCTGGGAAAAGCTCTTTAGAAATTGCCTTGCAATGTGAAAATGTAAAGCGTGGTCACAAAGGTCAGAACCTTCTCTGAAGAATAGCAGAGTGTCACGTGCAGGTAGGTGCAGAATAAATATAAGTGGAGGAGGGAGAGATGGCCCGTGCTCTACCTTCCTTTTGCAATGCAAACTCAGCAAAAAAAAAAAAAAAAAAAAAAATCCTTAAAAATAGTTGGAATTCCATCGATTCCTCTCATAAGTGTTCCTAAGGCAGAGGCTATAGTCCCAGAGCCACAGCAATGGTGGCAGGACTACCACTCAGCTGAGTGTAAGAACGAAGTGCTGGCCCTGGGTTGCCAGACACGCAAGCCCGGGTTTAGGGATGGAGGTCTGGGGGGTCCTGGGGCTGACATCCCCCTTGAGAAGAATCATCTAAAGTGAGCATGCTAAAAGGGTTTCATCAAAGCCCATGTCAAGAAACCAGCAAAGGTCAAATCTCTTACTGGACACATCTTCCTGATCTATAGAGGATCTTTCTCAAGCTTGAAAGATATACAAAGAGGCAGAAAGCTGAAAGAATGCTGAGCACAGGTCATCAGGGCTGTAGGGAGCCTTAAAGCAACTCCAGTACAATGGCTTACTAAGTGGGTCCACAGAGGCACAGAGCTCTTCTGGGGAGATAACTCGGCCCTGGCTAGAAGCCTATGAGATCTTCCACCTTTTAACAACAGCACCACCATTTAACTGCACTTTGATTATTTTACATATTGAGATTTGACATCCCATTTTGTGAGGGATTTATAAAGAGTTTCCATGAAGAAGAAACATCTGAAAACACCGACATCCAAAGAACTTACTATTGTAGGTTTCACAGCCAGTTATTACCTGAACTAACAGAGATTCCTCAGAAAAAGTCCTGGGAATGAGGGGCTAGTAAGAAACAACCAAAAGAGGACAAGAAAGCTCCAGAGAGCATGCACAGCAGTGAGCGAGGTCAGCTGAGCCTCTCAAAAGCCTGGAGATCCCTAGAAGGACTTGAGAGGCAAGAAGTCAATGATCATGGGAGCTAGAGGGAACAGAATGTTCCAGGAACTGACCCCTTCACGTCTCTCCACCACACTCCCTCTGGGTTCTCACACCCAGGTACGCTGCTGCTCAGGAAAGATCTTCCTGCTTGGAGGAGGGACTTGGAAGCAGAAAAGCAAAGCAGGAAAGAGGAGAGCACATGCTTTTTCTCTTCTTCTGACTCTTCTGAGGTTACTGGTCAAAATCCTTCATGAGTAACAATGGACTTCACCTTCCCATTCCTCTATCTTTCTATCTGCCAGATAGGCACAAGTAGATCCATACCAGCTCTAGACGGGTTTGGTGAAAGGGCCGGGAGGATTCTGTAATCTGCTCAGTAACGGCAATAGAAAGTGCTAAATAAGTGCGTCAAGAAATATTTCTGGAAGAGCTATGCAACTGGAATGCTTGGAGAGCCACCCGCATGGCAATAACTCGATCTGTCCTCATTTTTTAGAACAGACATAAACCCGGGTTTAAAAAAGGACTCATGGCTCCAAAGCAGCCAAATAAATAAATAAACACAAAGAAATCTCTCAGTGACTTATGGAAGCCATTAATGAGAAAGTTATGTACATAATAAGAACTTGATTTCCTTTCTCTCTCTCTCTCTCTCTCTGTCTTCCCCGTCTCTCCTCTCCTCCCCTCCCCTCCCCTCTCCTCTTCTCTTCTGTCTCTCTCGCGCTCTCTCTCTCTCCTTTCACATCTTCTCCCCAGCCACTTTTGGTAGTGAGCAGTTTGCTGTGTATCCAAGGGAAGCGACAGTCTCCTGCGCTGTGCGGCCAATCCATCTAAAAAACGTATCATCTGTCTGTGCGGCAGAAAGCCCAGTTGGAATAAGCAAGTTCTGTGCGTTCAACTAGAAAACACTTCTTGTTCTCGCTGTCAAAATAATTCTGTATTAAACTTCTGGGATATGTGACTAATGTGCTTGGAACCTTTGGAGTGACTGGTTTATTTATTTTAGGGAGGGGAGTGCTGCTGCTGCTGCTGGTGAGGGTGGTGATATAGAAAGAGGAGGAGGAAGAGAAAGGGAGGGGAAAAAAGGATGGGAAGAACACACACATGGTCTGCTCAGAGATCTCACATCACCTTCTAGAAGCCTGCATTGCCGCACTTTGTTACAGAAGCATGAGAAGGAGCAGAACCAGGCAGCAACAGAGAAGTAAAGACATATAAAGACAGGCAATGCACACTCCCCAGAGTTAAGGTTGCCTAAGAGTTCCTAAAAAGACTCTGAAATGTATAAAGTAAAAGCAAAACACATACACACACACACACACACACACACACACACACACCAGAGTAATCCTATCACAGCCCTTTTACAAAGCCCATGACAGCTCCTTACTGATTACCAAAAAAAAAAGAAGCCTCCAACATTACAGGAAGGCATAGGAAACTTCTCTGATTGGATACAGATATCTCACCTCCAGACTCAGCCTCCCACTCCCAATCTCTCTAGATATTTTCATGTCTCTGCTATTCCCTCTGTCTTAAAGACTCAGCTCTTTCTTTCTTATTTGTTAAAGTCCTAGCCATCTAGCAAAGCCTAAAACAATATCCTTCCCCCAATCCCCACAGCAAAGCCCTCCCCAATGGCACAAACAGAACACCTTGCCTTCTCACAGCGTTCCTAACTCTAGCATTGATCACTCTGTAGCTTGTCTCCAAGTATTGTTAACTGTTGGAAAACTTATTTACCTATACCTGTAACCATCACCCTTCCTCCCTTCCCCAGACACCAGTCTCCTTGTAGCACCCAAAGCATGAGCACACACACAAACATGAGCTCTTTCTTCGCAGACAGGGGTCCTCTTTCACTATCTTAATTTCTTCAAGGCCAGCCACTGTGATGCCTCCATATACAGGCCTTCAGTAAGCACATGGCCATAGCTGAACTTTTGTGCCATCCACGGAAAAGCATCTTTAGCGATAAACTCAAGAAACATAAAACAAAACAAAACAAAACAAACAACAACAATAGCTGAAAAATCTGCAGAAAGAAAAGACCAGGAATTTAATTCGTGCTAAACCTCTAAAGTCAGTTCTTAAAAGCTGCTTTTCTCTCTTCTCCAAATCCAGTGGTTTTGTTCAATGCTTCTCTCCTGCTTTGAGTCAGAAAGTGGGTGGAAGTTTGGGGAACTAAATGAAGAAGGGTGACGCGAGCAGAAGGCTTCCAGTGGAAAACAGATGAGGAGATCAGGTAAATAAATCTAAGACACATCATTTTTATGACCTGACAAATAATTGCAGGTTGAAATCATCTGCTTACTTTGTGTTTTGTTTTGCTTTTTTATTTTCTCCAGCTACTTACTTATAATATTCATATGTTATAAAAAGAAAAAAAAGGAAAGAAAAGAAAGAGAGAGAGACACACACAGAGAGAGAGAGAGAGAAGAAAAAAGGTGTTTGGGGGTGGCGAACAGGGGTGGGGAAGTGACCAGGACAATGACGAAAGAACGATTTGGCCTGTGTGCTGCTGGTCAGCTTTGGCAGGCCCTCACCCTCTGAACTTTCTCTCCAGAGAGTTATTTGACAAACAGAGTTTCAGAAAACAATTTTCACTTTCTTTCTCCAAACCCCACCTCCCTCCCCTACCTCATTTTAAAAATCAGCTCCAACCTCCTAAAGAGGAAAAGAAAAACTAAGACCCAATTCATTTTACATTTTATACCACTTAAGGAAAAACATTTCTCAGAGCAAATGCTTTATGATTCAGAGAATAACATATTCTCATCCCGTTTCCTTTGACTGCTACAGCTCTCCTCTCATTCCTGTCTTCTCCTTGCCTTTCTTCAACTTGGAAGTGGTTATTTGCCCTCAGATGTGGCCTCATAATTATTCCCATTCAAAATCTCTCTCTCTCTTTCTCTCTCCCTCTCTGTCTCTCTCTCTCTCACACACACACACAAAACTAATGTTTGTTCCTATTGTTCTTGCCTTCATTAGAAGGTAACAGATCTATAAAAGGTAGCATGTGCACTTACTCATTTTAAAGAAAGCTTAATAAGCACCTACTAATAAGCATCCTACTCTCCAGCTGTTTATATTCTAGGGGAGGAGATCAAACATGTCCAACACAAACTGCTCAGCAATGTCGAAGGTGATATGTACAAGACAGGCCTACATGACAGAGCTCACCTAGCTCTGGGAACTGTGGAAGGCTTCCTACATAATACACCTTGCACACAGTAGACCCTCCATAAAAGTCTGTTAAGGGGATGAATGAAGAACAAAATCAGTGAGGATTCACTTGAACATGGACTTAAAAGAATGCGTAAGATTTGGGCAAGCCAAAATGAGAACGCCAACAGTTTAGGAGTGAGAGTGACAGCTACAGGGAGGCAGGAAAATGAGAGGACGCTCCCAGCAATGACTAGAAAGAAGTCTGGTGCAAAAGAAAAATGCTATCAGTGATGGGTTAGAAAGGTACTTATTAAATGAGCTAAGAAAAAACTTTCTACGTGACGGATTATGAGCTAGTCACTGTTAAACCCTTTACAAATATTAACTTATTTAATTCTCACAATGACCCTATTCCTATTCCACAAATGAGGAAAGTGAGGAGCAGGGAGGTGCAGCAACCTCCCGGGGAAAGTGTTGCTTGGTGCTGGAGCAGCCTGGCTGCAAGGTGTGGCTCATAACAACTACCTTACTGTATCTCCACAGCCTATCAATGTCTGGGAGGACAGATCATAGAAAGCCTTAAATGCCAGATGGAGGAGTCCACGCTCTCTTCCATATGCAAAAGGAAGCAACTGAAGGTTTTGAGAGAGAAAATAATAGGGTTGGATTTAGGGAAGATGAATAATTTGGCATTTGTGTTGAAGTCTGACTGGAGCTGGTGAATGGATTAGCGCTTAAGTGATGAATCAACTCCAACATCACCCGCTACCCTCTGCCCCATCATACCCTCATAAATCACTGTGTCATTGTTATGTACATAGTCCAACAGGATATCCAGTAATTTTTCTGTGTACACTCAGACTCTGAAATTTGATTTGTATATTGGAATAGTTTGTTCCCATCTGATTTCCGGGCCGAGGATTCCATGGAGGGATGGCATGGCTGCAGTCAGCAGTGAATGGCCTCTTAGTCTAGCCGGAACACTCCAAGAGGCAGCATTGTACATGTACTGAATAGTCACAAAAATAGCTCAGCTAAAGGACACAGAAAAAAAAAAACTGCACTCTTTGGAGCTGACGTATTTTTCCTTTTCTCCCTCTGCCACTGTTTCTATGACCTAGTAAGGAGGCATCACTGTAGAATGGAAAAAGCACTGAACGAAAATTCAGGAGACCTGGGTTCGAGCACAGATTACCACTTTTTTTTTTTTAACATGATTTCAGACAAGTTCTAGATTTCAGTTTTCCTATCTGTAAAATGAGAGACTGATTCTTAACTCGAGTGATTTTTTTTCCCCGTGTGTGTGTGTGAGACAGAGAGAGAAAGACAGAGAGAGGAGAGAGGAGAGAGAGAAAGAAGAGGAGAAAGAGAACTGAGATAGAGTGAGAGACAGAGAAGAGAGAGAGACAAGAGAGAGAGAGAGATGAGGGGGTGTCAAAAATATACAAGTGCATTTGGGGTGAGATAAGTTTATTTTAAATCTTGAATCCTTTAAAAACGTTACATAAAATAGAGCTGAGAACTAGGTTACAGAGGGTGAGTTAAGATTTTAAAACTTGAGGTCTGATAGCAAAATGGACTTCTACAAATAAAATGTCACAGTAGTTAGCTGTAAGGGGTGGGATTACAGGTACAATCCTTTTCATTTTATAGTTTCCTGTATATTGAAAACCTATACATGAGTACATATTACTTTCACTGTTAAAAAAAAAAACACTATTTTCAATATCTATTTTATTATTAAGAATTTTAAGACTACCCATAATCGTGCTTGGTAGGGAATATCGGTAGAGTCAAGCAGCTCGTTGGCAATGTGAGATGCAGTCTCCTCATTTTTGTAAAGGAAAGGCAGGCTGGAGACCATCATCATCAACTCTGCACTGCCTCAAACCCCTTCGGGGTATATACCCTGGCTTCTAGATGTGTCCTCTTCCCACCAGCCTGGGAGAGAGCCGAATCCCATGCATTCGTCAACCCCAGCATGTAGCACAGTGCCTGCCACATCCTAAATACTTAGGCAACAGTTTCTAACTTAAGAAACAACCTTTCTAAGAACCACTACAGTAGGAAATGAAGATAATATTCAGTTATATCTAACGAACTGTGGTGCTTTTGTCTTTGTTTTATAGACAGAGTTGCACTCTGTGACCCAAGCTGAAGTGCAATGGCACCGTTCTAGCTCACTGCAGCCTTAAACTCCTGGGTTCAAGCGATCCTCCCACCTCCTCAGCCTCCTGAGTGGGTAGGACTACAGATATGTGCCACCACATCTAGCTAATATATATTTTTTTTTTTTTTGGAGAGACAGGGTCTCACTGTGTTGCCCAGGCTGGTCTCAAACCTTTGACCTCAAGCAATTCTCCTACCTTGGTCTCCCAAACTGCTGGAATTACAGGCATGAGCCACCATGTCCGGTCCCAAGAATTGTTTTTCCTTTTTTCATCATGAAGCTATATATGATTTAAATATAACAGTCACTTCTTTAAAAATTAGACTTTGAGTCTGAGCGAAAATCTATAGCTATTTAAAAGATGACAAATATCTGTATGTTGATTGACTTAAAATTTTTTCAAGGCATATTGCTGAGTGAAAAAAATAAATGATAGCACCTGCAGTAATTTACGTAAATTGTAAATGCCGTCATTCACATAAAAGTTGCATGTGTGTATGTGTGTGTGTGTGTCTGTGTAGAGAGAAAGAGAGACTCTAAAAAAGGTATTTTCCAAAACTTTAACAAGGATTATCACTACAGAATAGTCCCAGCTACTTAGAAGGCTGAGGTGGGAGGGTTGATTGAGCCCAGAAGTTCGCAGCTACAGTGAGCCATAATCGTGCTGCTGCATTCCAGCCTGGATGACAAAGGGAGATGCTGTCTCAAAAACAAACAATCTAGTAAGATTATTGTTTTCCTATTTGTACTTTTCTGCCTTGTTCAAATTGTCTTTAGTGCTCAGAAACATTTCTTTTTTTAACATGGAGTCTCGCTCTGTGGCCCAGGCTGGAGTGCAGTGACACTATCTCAGCTCACTGCAACCTCCGCCTCCCGGGTTCAAGGGATTCTCCTGACAGCCTCCTGAGTAGCTGGGACTACGGGATTCTCCTGACTCAGCCTCCTGAGTAGCTGGGACTACAGGCATGCACCACCACGCCCTGCTAATTTTTTTGTATTTTTAGTAGAGACAGGGTTTCACCAAGTTGGTCAGGCTGCTCTCAAACTCCTGACCTCAAACCATCTGCCCGCCTCAGCCTCCCAAAGTGCTGGGATTACAGGCGTGAACCACCGCGCCCAGCCCAGAAACACTTTCTTTTTAAACTTCGGTTCCTCTGATTTCATCTGGGATGGAGCTGTTCTCAAACAGCTGTTGTTGAGTCACAGTTGCCTTAAAAAACAACAACCAAGCATTGTGTAAATATAAGGTGCTCAATCGTTATGCAGCCATGAGGTCCTTCTTGGGGCTATAGCAATAGTGACAATTTCTATCTTGGTTTCTATCAGTGACAATAGTGACAATTTCTATCAGTGACAATGGTGATTAATAATAATAATAATAATAAACAGCCCACTTACTGGTCATACTGGCCTTGCCATAAGTCATTAAAAAAACAGAGGCAAATTCCTTTCTCCAAGCTCCAAGCACAAGACACCCCACATTATCGTTTTTGTTAAATAGGACAGGTTTCATTAATAATAGGTGGAAGTGGCCAGGCACAGTGGCTCACGCCTCTAATCCCAGCACTTTGTGAGGCCAAGGCAGGCGGATCACTTGAGGTCAAGAGTTCAAGACCAGTCTGGCCAACATGGTGAAACCCTGTCTCTACCAAAAATACAAAAATTAGCCGGACTTGGTGGTGGTGCATGCCTGTAATCCTAGCTACTTGGGAGGCTAAGGCAGGAGAATCGCTTGAACCTGGGAGGCAGGGGTTGCAGTCAGCCGAGATCGTGCCACTGCCTGGGTGACAGAAAGAGACTCTGCCTTAAAAATAAATAAATAAATAAATAAAATAAGAATAATAAATAGGTGAAAGTGATAGTGTTGATTTTTATTTTCTTCTTTAACCCTGTTTACAGTTTCTGAATTTTCTATGAGAATATATTGCCTTTATATTAAAAAAAAAAGAAGGTCATTTAAAGACATGTAAACAACCACCACCATAAATAAGCCAGGCTCTCCTTTCACTGAGTTTAAACATGAGCCTTCCTTACCAGTGAGCCTGCAGGGGATATTCTGTAACTAGGTCACCGGATTTTACGCCATCACAGTAGTCCTCTCCAAATGTTCACCAAAGCTACCAATAGCTCAAGAGATTAGCTTTGGACAACTGCTGAATTGAACAAAGTAACACATACACTGGGGGAAAAATAATTTAGGAAATGCCTACAATATTCTTGGCACAGCAGTAGATATCAAAATTAAGAAGAGGCTGCCCCACCCTGCAGAAGCTTACAGTAGTAGAAGGGGAGAAATTATATACATGCATAAATAAGAATACCTTGAGGTACAATGTGAGAAGTTCTACAAGTGTTCCTGCTCAATGCAGTGTGGAAGTTCTAGGAAAGGAAAGATTATTTCTAGCTGCTGGAAGGACAAACAGCTTCAGGACAGAGTTAATGTCTCAGCAGGATCGGGCAGATCCCACACCAGGGTATAGTTCATCTGGCTGGTGCCCAAGAATGGTAAAGAGTGGCCTTAATTAGAGCAAGAGAGACTGGTGTCAGGTGTGGGGTGAACACTCAATGTCATGCTGGGGAATTTGGGTGTATTTCCACAGAAGCAAGGCAAATGTCTCTGGATGCACTCTGGGAGCCACGGTGATTATCTCCATGGAAGCCATTCTTTTATATGCAATAGTAAATTAAATTAGCAAACAAAAATCAAAGAGACTACAAATATTCAAGCTAGTATAAACAAGCCATAGTATGTTCTGGAGTAAAATTATTAGATGTGATTGTGAATACCCCATAACTAGAAAATACACCCCTTCTGTGTTGAAAATCTGGTGAGGGGAAGAGATTACAAGGGAAGACAGCAAAAGCCACAGCACTGACTTTTGGTTGCTCCCAATAATCCAATCCAAAGTGGTTAATTCCTCTTCTCTGGGGCCACTAAATTCAGCATCTGTGTCCATCCCTGTAACACCCTCTCCACAGCCTAAGACATCTCAAAAAAATATAAATGTTCTCAGTGAATAAATCCCACCCTTCAATGGAATGGTAACATCATAAGATTGAGGGTTCATAGAGTCAGAAAAAAAGTATACTGTACCAACAAAATAATGAAAAGTGGACTTTCTGCCCCCTAATGCGGTGATCGTCTTCTCTAGACGAATCTTAGAATCCCTTCAGTACTTACTTTTTTTTGCGCTAATAGCGAGAACCCCAACCTAGCCCATTCAAATCAAGATCTCTGGAAGGTGAGGGCTGACATGCTTACAAACAAAAAGCTCCATGATTCCAGCACTTTGGGAGGCCAAGGTGGGAGAATCACTTGTGCCCAGGAGTTCGAGACCAGCCTAGGCAACATAGTGAAACCCTGTCTCTACAAAATATACGAATTAGCCAGGCGTAGTGGCGTGTCCCTGTATTCCCAGCTACTCACAAGGCTGAAGTAGGAGGGTTGATTGAGCCTAGAAGGTTGCAGCTACAGTGAACCATAATCATGCCACTGCATTCCAGCCTGGATGACAGAGGGAGACGCTGTCTCAAAACAAAACAAAACAAAACCTCCCCAAGTGATTTTAATGCGCAGCCAGTGTTGAAAGTCACTGTTAGAAGTTTGACTGAAATGTTCAAAGGGAAGGGAAGTAAGAACTCAAATAAATGGGAAGAACTGACTGACCATTCACTTCAAGTATCACAATAATCCCTAATCACAAACCAGTTCCTTTTCAGGTCTCTTTCCCTGGTTGGGGAGTCCAGGATGAGCTCTTTGTAGTGGGAACATCTGGGCCCCGTGGGCCTGTCAGCAGATGCCACACAGAAGTGTCATGAGCATCAGCACACAAATCAAGGACACCTTGTTAGTAGGGCTCAGCGCTGGTTTTACTTATCACTGTAATAGTACAGGTGAAAGTAGGAGTGTGTGGAATTCAATTTACAGGCTTTAATGCTGTAGCAGCACTGGGTGGAAGGTGGATATAGGCTTTGCAGTTAGGCAAACCAACATTTGAATCCTGGCTCTGCCACTTTCTAATTGAACTTAAGTAAGTCTTTTAATCTCTTTGAGCCCCAGTTCCTTATTTGCAAAGTGGGAAAGAAAACACATGTCTTGCACGTTGTTTTTCTTCTAAGATTAGGAATGATGTGTGTACACAGACTGGGTGCCCAGTGAACAACAGTAAATACTACTATGATTACTGAGCAAAAAAACAACTTGAAGTTGTCTTCAAAATTGCATTCCATGACCAAACTATGAACTGAGAACAAAAGTGAGAAACAGATAAGGTAGACAACCAATTTCATATCTCATAAACCAGGAAGAAGTATTATTCACACTTCCCATGTCAACAAAAAACCAGTCTGTTTAAACTACATGTCAGTTCCTTTCCCTCAGTTGTGTCTTTCAGCAAATACAAACTGGCTTGGACTTTAACTGTCGTTAAATCTTGTCTTTTCTCTATTCAGTCTTTGTCAAATGACAGAATGGCAAAGCTGAAAGGTGGCCTCAGGAGGTAACACGACCGTCACCCTCACTGTGCAGGTAAAAGAGGACACCAAGGCTTTCCCAGGACCACACAGCTCATCAAAGCCTGCCCATCCTCAAGAAGTCATTAGCAGTCAGAAAAAAGCTATGAGCAGAAAGCTAATTAATGAGCTTATCAACACTTCTTTTCATAAGACAGGGAAAATGGAAATTAAAGTCTTACTATATGTGCATCAGGGACAGTTCTAGCACCAGAACTAAGATTCAGGTCTATGGGATCTGGAGCACTGGACATAGAGTATGGAGATGGGGTCACATGATCAGGCTTCACCACGACCTCATAACCTCAGACAACTAATGCCCATCACGTCTCTATGCCACATATTCCCTCTCCCTAATGGTATCACACTCCCTAACTTCCTCAAGGATTACTGGGAAATTTCTGGATGGTGACCATGGAAACAATCTGCAAATTAATAGGAGATAAATGTGAGAGGCCTATTCCAGTTAGACTTTGAAACACCCACACGTATGCATGTGTACCTCCCTGCACAAATGTATGAAGAGCCACTGATAGATATGCACCCATTACCCACTTGGGCCAAGTGCCAAATGACTGAATGTTAAAATCAATAGTAAGCCAAAGCTGAGACTGAAATCTCTCATTATCATCGTCTGAATTTTTGTGATATAAGAATACACATGAAATTTCTCTGTGTTAAAAATCATTTATCATTGATGTTGCTATACGTAATTTGGGAGGTTTTCCTGATCAGGAAATGTTGAGAGACAGTGTAGACACTCTACTTTTAATTTATCTTCAGAAAATGTGAAAAAAAATCTTAAATAGGCTTTTTCTTGAAAGACTGATGACCTTAAGTGTAATTAAATAACTAAAAGTTAAAAATGGTTCTTAATGGTCATTCTGTTTGGTGTCATAAATGCATTCCACAAACAACCCAGTAACAATTATAATTATTGTATAATCTAGTTCTATAACAATACTTAGATTACAATTTATATTTTTATAAATGCTTGTTAGCTGAAAAAAGATGTGTTGGTCAACCCAAAGTTATCTAGCTAACAAACTGTAATAACTAAGATTTAATAACCTCAATTAGCTAATATTCATTAACTAAGGTTTAATTAATCTAATTTTTATATTAATTACCAACTAATTTCCCTACTTGTTTAACTATTTGAAAGTTCTTAATTATTTAACCCATACATTATTAGCTTTCACAGTCATCATTAAATATTGTAGCATCTTACTCTTAATATAATATATTCCTTTATATTTCAATTAGTTGGTGGAGTCTCAGCGTACAAAGTAGTTTAAGAAGGTTTTCCATTCCAAGTTATAAGTAAAATGCTCACTATATTTAAAAGTACATATCTGGTTATTAACAACAAATTTGAAAAATATACGTATTCATTGCCAACATTTTTATGCTGATACGGTATGACGGTAACCAGTGTGATGTTCGCATCAATGCAATGATTATCCTGCAAAATTTCAGAGTTGCCTACAATGTTAATGAGGTAGGTATTTGGCTACTTTACCCTCCTAAAGGCAAAGCAGAGGTCGAACTCAAAGAGCAGGTTTTGGCCAAATATTAAGGCAAAAACCAAAGTCAGTGCATCCTTAAAGGTAAATGGGTTGCCTAATTCTAAGAAAGCATGTCTAGATTTTTAGTGTCAGCATGGAAACACAGTATGGTGCAGAAAACCAGAATTTTCATTACATACGTATCAAAAGCCAGCTATGAATTAAACACTATAGGAAGACATCCAGAAGAACTCACAGTCCAGCACTGGAAACAACTGTGTATACAACTAACCATTACAATGTTCACAGAGTGTGTGTAGGGGGTGTGTGGAGGAGGTCAGGAAAGGTTTCATAGGACCAAGCTGAGGCTGCTTGCCCAGAATCTATGAATAAGATTCAAGAAAAGGTGATGCCTTGATATGATGTGTCATGTGTCAGGCATAGAGGAAAAGCACCAATTTCATGGGTATACAGACCTGGTTTTGAGTCTCAGTTCTGTGAACACTAGCTTTATGACCTGGTAGACTAATGCAAAGTCTCTGAGCCTCCGTTTCCTCGTCTGTGAAATGGAACAGCTCCTATATCTTGAGTGGGTGTTGAAAAGACTGTATGAGATGTCTGGAGAAAGCATCCAGCAGAGTCTTCAGCAGATGTGGTATTCTCAGTACCTTCTCTGCTCCTTTCCCAAGATGAATCCACACAGTGGATAAGGTCAGCAAACTATAGTTAGTACCCTGCCCTATGAAACAACTCACAGCCTTGTGTTGAAGCAACCAAGATGCTTTCCACAGCTCCATCAAGGCATGTCAAGAAGCCATGGCAGGAGTAATACTTAAGTAAGCTACTCAAACATTTTATAACTTCCTTGCATGAGGTAGGAGTAAGTCAGGGTGTAGAATTTATCTGTATTTATCCAGTACTACACAGAGAAAGGAGACACTGTGGTGACTGGTAAGTATGGTTGAGACAGACGAGGCCTCCAGGAGTGTAAATATTTAGGTATCCATTCCTGTCAAAAGTCCTGTTAGGATGTTACACTGCAGGAGGGCGCCCATACAGTTGCCCCAGTGATTTTGATCGTTCAGTTCCACATGCCACATCTTTCACCCGAGGAGAGGCATTGAAGGAATCCTATCCACTGTGTGTGGTAGGCAGGGAGCTGTTTGTGTCCCAAGGAGGAAGATGCCTGCAGAACACAGAATGTTCTCCCTTAGGTCCTTCAAAACCTTGGCTCTGATTTTTCCTTCACCATGCAACGACTCTAACAAACAATTCCATTTCTGTAGCATCCAAGGCAGAGCAAAAACATAGGCAAGCCAATTAACCAAAAGCTCTTGCTCCCAGATGTGTATAAAAGTGGCATTGAGTTTATCATGGGCTACCTTATACATCAATTAATGCAAGCCAGTTTCCTCCCCATTCCACCACAGAAACCCTGATTTGCTGTTTTTAACAGGGGTTGGGGAGTTCCAGGCCTAACCTGATGAGGACTAGATACAAACTGTACTGACCATACAATAAAGTAAGGCCATCTTGGAACTGGCAGACAGTTCCAAATCACCATATGCAACACCTACTGAACTGATAAAATCTTACTGAGTTTTTCCTGCCCATATAAGGACAGCTTCATCTGTTTTGGCTTTCACTCTCTTTTGCAGTTTTGGAATACATCATTTGTAGAGTTTAATTTCTTAAGAATAGGTGGGCAGACCTTGTTTTAGTTTAATGTGTAGTCATTAAAATTCATGAGGCACTTATTGAGTGAAAACCATGTGCACAGATGGCCCTGAGCAAGAACCTGGAAGCAAAAAGGTGAATTAAGACACAGTCACTGACTCAGGTAGCACTTTACTTGCAAAACTTCCCAAATTCACTTCTTACTCAATACAGCTTTGACCTACAAGCAGTGAAACATGGGCAGTTTGCAGGAGAGAGCACAGAGTAATTACCATGCGGCGAGGAACCAGAGGAAACATAGTCACACATGCTCACAGAAAATTTATGCAGCCCCATTCTCATAATTTATTTGGGGAAGAAGGGGCATTACAGGTTTTACTGAGGGGAGGGAAAGCACAGATAATCTCTAAACCCTCCTTTTGTTTTAAACACCTTCTCTATTAAATACGTTAATTTTTGACAAAAATGGACCAGAGAGGATGACTTGTAAAAGGTAAAGAGCTCTGTGTTGAAGTCAAAAATATGTATGTTCTTATTGGGTTTCAGTCATTATCTACCTGGGACCTCATTTTCCTCTAACTACCCTGTTCCACTGTTTACCATCATTCTCCTTCACACCTAGTCATGGTGTAGGTTAAAAAGTAACCACCAATCTCAAATCACACGGGAAGTATGAGAAGATATTTTCATACTAAATGGTGTTGAGACAGCAGATAACCATTTGGAAAAAAGTAAAATTAGATCCATTCATTATGTTACACACAAACTGCAGATGAATTAAAGATCTAAATGTGAAAAATGAAACTATACAGGTACTGGAAGATAACATGCAGATAACACGGGTGTTAAGAAATGCTCTCTAACTACGAACAAAGTCCAGAAGCAATAAAAGAAATGATTCTTAAATTTGTCTCTATAAGTATAAAAATTTTATATGACTGAAAAGAAAATAAAACACTGTAATCAAAGTCAAAAGATAAACAAATTGGGAGAGATATGTGTAATATACTTCATAGATGAAAGGCCAATATATCTAATTTCCGAAGACCTTTCTAATTGAGAAAAAAAGACCAAAAACCCAATTTAAAAAAAAAAAAAAAAAGGACTGAGCACAGTGGCTCACGCCTGTAATCACAGCACTTTGGGAGGCCAAGGTGGGCAGATCACTTGAGGTTAGGAGTTTGAGACCAGCCTGGCCAACATGGCAAAACCCCATCTCCGTGAAAAATACAAAAAATTAGCTTGGTATGGTGACATGCACCTGCAATCCCAGCTACTTGGGAGGTTGAGGCAGGGGAATCACTTGAACCTGGGAGGCGGAGATCGCAGTGAGTTGAGATCGTGCCACTGCACTCCAGCCTGGGCAACAGAGAGAGACTCTGTCCCAAAAAAAATAAAATAAAATTTTAAAATGGGCAAAAGACATGAACAGGTAACTCACAAAAAACTCACAAAATGAATACATATGGACATTAAATACATTAAGATGCTTAACTTTACTCCTAATAGGACATGTGCAAATCAAAACTATACTGAGATACCACTTCTCATCCATCAAATTGGCAACAATTCATAAGCTTCACAGACATCTGTAGTTGGGAATGCTAGTGGGACATTCCATCAGAGAAAAATTTGGTAACTAAAGTACCTCATAAAATATTTACTCTTAACCCAGCATACCCATTTCTAAGAATATATCCCAAAAATATATCCAATGATATGGAAATACATATGCATAATGTTATTCATTGCAGAAAACTATCCAACTGTCCAAGCATAGGAAATTGGTTGAGCAGGAGAGAGAGAGAGGAAAAAAAAACGGAAGAAGGGGGAAAGGGAGGGAGGGAGAGAAGAAGAAAAGAAGAGAGGGAGTGCAAAAAAAAAGAAAAAAAATTTACGAAATCAGAGTGCAAAAGAAGATATACAACATGCTATCTTTTGTGTAAGAAAGAAGAGGAAATATAAAAACATATATATATATATATATATATATATATATATATATGTTTGGGGAAGAAGGGGCATTACAGGTTTTACTGAGAGGAGGGAAAGCACAGATAATCTGACGCTATAATCTGATATATGTGTGTGTGTGTGTGTATATATATATATATATATATATATATATATATATATATATATATCAGGATTAAAAAGAAATACCAGAAAGATAACCAAGAAAACCTCCAAGAGGTGTGGGGAATAACAAGGTGGAGCAAATATCTGAGAGACTGGCACTTCTTTTGGTTTAGTTTTGGCTTCTGGAAGCATGTTAATGTTTTACATATTCAAAAAATAAAATTAAACAAACTAGGATGGGAAGGAGGGAAACTAAAACTCAAAGCAAACTGAAGCATTTGAACCCAACTGTATTTTAAATGAACATAATGACCATTGGGATATAGGGGAAAGACACATGAAGAAAGAACTAATCCAGGTAATCCCTGAAGAGCGTTTGACAATATACCCTCAGTCTTGGGCAGGGTTAAGTTGAAGGAGGAGCACCATAAGCAAATCCTCAACTCTTTTTCACAGATTTGTTTTGTGTAGTAAGTGGTATTAGCAAATTAATAGTAGTAGTATTTGTGTATACATATTTGTATATGCACCCATATATTTACAGATAAACATATACACGTAGGTTTTGTTTACATATATATTTTTATATATAAAATTTCCTAGCTCCAGTCATTGAAAGAGGCTATAAGTTAAGGCACCAGAGTAGCAATGAGCACACCTAGCACTCAGATATTGGTCTCTAACATCTTTCTCCACATAAAAAGAGTGAGGACATAATGAAGACATGCTTGACTTCATGGCTGGGACAGAGAATATACAAGACCAAACTAGAACATCTTTTTATTCCAGCAATTAATCAATTGCTAACAACAAAGATGATGGGGACATGTCTCAAGGACACAGGAGCCAACTTGATGCAGCTCCCACTGACCAAATCTGGGATAATTTGAGGGCCAAAATAATTATATAGCAAGAATGAATTATGAAAGATTGAAACAGAAATCTTGAAGACCATAACCAAAAGAAAGAAAGAAAGAGGAAAATAGAGAGAAAGAGAGAGAGAGAAAGAGAGAGAGAAAGAAAGAAAAAGACAGAGAGAGAGAAAGAGAGAGAAAGAAAAGGGGAGGGAAGGGGGGAGGGCGGGGGGGAGGGCAGGGGGGGAGGGCAGGGGAGGGGAGGGAAGGGAAGGGAAGGGAAGGGAAGGGAAGGGAAGGGAAGGGAAGGGAAGGGAAGGGAGGAAGGAAGGGAGGGGAAACAGAAGAAAGAAAGAGAGAGAGAGTGAAAGAAAAAGAAAAGAAAGAGAGAAAGAGAAAAAGAAAAGAAAGAAAGAAAAAGAAAGAAAGAAAGAGAAAGAAAGAAAGAGAAAGACAGAAAGAAAGAAAGAAAGAAAGAAAGAAAGAAAGAAAGAAAGAAAGAAAGAAAGAAAGAAAGAGAGAAAGAAAGAAAAGAAAGAGGAAAAGAGAGAGAGAGAGCGGGAGGGAGGGAGGAGAAGGAAGGGGCTCCCGCATACAGTAGAACGCAGGATGCTGAATGATGAATGTGAAGAGAGTAGTAACATGGAATCCTAATTTTGCACCAATCATAGTAAATGCTGGTTTAGGAAAAAATGTAGGGTAATATTTTGATAAGGAGCAAGAATAAAGTGTCTCCCCATGGATAGCTTAATAATTGCAAAGGAAAGAATACCTATACTGTGGAGAAACTGGACAATGCCTTGATCAGTTGCTCAAAATTAACATCCCCAATGACGGAGAGATGGACACATAAGACTCCAGATGTGATCCCTGAGAGGGACACATTATCTTTGTAATATTCCTTCAGGGAATGCATAATTGAATCAAAACATGAAGAAACCAGTGACTAATACAAAATGAGGAATACTATAATTGTAAAGGGGGAGAACAAAAGTGTCAATGCCATAAAAGATAAAGAAAGGCTGTGGAAATGTTCCAAATCAAAGGAGACTAAAGAGACTTGACAACTAAATGCACTACCTGACCTTAGGCTGGACTGTACACTGAATGGGAAAAAGCAGTTTTCTTCAAGGACAGAACTGAGCCACCTGACAAAGGAGAAGTACAGACAGTAGACTGAAGTATTGAATCAGTGTCAAATGTACAGAAGCTGATTACCATACTGTGAATATGATGAGACTATCTTTATTTTTTTTATTATTAAGAAATACACACTGTACTTAGGGGTAGAGGCAATGATATAAGTGACCTACTCTGAAATACTTCTGGAAAAAAAAAAAATATATATATATATATATGGGGTGGGGGAGACTGTGTGTGTGTGTGTGTGTGTGTGTGTGTGTGTGTGTGTGTAGACAGAGAAAGAGAGGAAGGGAGGGAGGAAGGGGGAGGATGATAAATCCAATGGGATAAAATGTTAACAATAGACGAATCTGAGTAAAAGTATATGGCTATATTGGACTATGCTTATTTTGCAACTTTTTAAATAAGTTTAAAATCATTTACAATAAAAAGTTAAGAAAAAAACCATCAGAAAGAGGAGAGGGGAAAATGTAGTAACTGAGAATTAGCTCTATTTTCAAACATGATTTTAAAATAAATTAAGCACAAGCAATTTTATTTCATATAATATATACACTGCATACATATATATATATTTATTTCAGAGCTACACAAAGATTTTTGTATATTTTCTTTCCTTTTTTCTTTCTTTCTCTCCCTCCTTCCTTTCCTTCCTTCCTTCCTTCGAGACACTCTTGCTCTGTCGCCCAGTGGCACAATCTCAGCTCACGGCAGCCTTGACGTCCCAGGCCCAGTCACCCAGTGGCAGAATCTCAGCTCACGGCAGCCTTGATGTCCCAGGCCCAATCGATCCTCCCACCTCAGCCTCCTGAGTAGCTGAGACTATAGGCATGAGTCACCATGCCAGCTAATGTTTAAATTTTTTGTAGATGTGGGGTCTCGGCTGTGTTGACCACTCCACTCAAACTCCTGGACTCAAGCTATCCTCCCTGCTCGGCCTCCCAAGTGCTGGGATTACAGTTGTGAATCTGTAAAATTAAAATAGCACCTGGCTATTTTAATTTCTTAATATGGAAAGCAATTCCATAAAATTTCTTCTTCTAAAACTCCTGAGGGTAGACAAACACCTCACATGTCCAAGACCACAGTGGATGTATAACTAGAGCTACAGTTACAAGTTTTGTAGGTCAGTTCAAGCCTCTGAAATTCCAGTTCACTATGTTTGCAACCTGAGTGTTATTTCACTTTTAGAAAGAGCAAGTTTAGAGTTGGAAGATGAGCTTTATCTAACAACGTAATAGCTAGCATCAATTTTTAAAAACGTATTAGCAGTGGCTTTTGGGATTAAAAATTACCAAACGAACTGGTGCAAGGGAGGGCAGGGAGCTTTCTTCTTTGTCAAAATATAGATTAGGTCACATGTGCTGCCTTCCACCACACACCTGAGTTCCCAGCAGAAGGAAAAATTAATGAATCAGGCCTTGAAGTCTCCTTCTTGGATAAGTTTGGAAAGGGAAAAAACAAAGATATAAAGGTTAGACATTATGAGGTCAAGAAACATCAACTGAATGGAACTTGATGTTGAAACAGAAACAGGTAAAATATCTGGGAAGGCAGCAAAACCCTCAGCCCTCTGATTCCAAAACAAGCTCTGCTGACTGTATATATATATATATATATATATATATATAAAGTTATACTGCAGCTGAACACTAGGTATTGTTCCCTTCCAAAAAGCATTAAAATACAAAGGTCAGTTATCTTAAAAGGCATTTTATTGCACACGCTTTTAAAAGACCTTGAACAATTAAAGCAATGAAATATATTCCTTGCTCTCATTTTTAAACGTTCCTAGAAGCATAAAAAGAAGGCAGGTCCCAATGCAAAAAAACGCTAACCCTTTCGCTCCCTTCGCCCAACATTTACTTCAAGGCTTGTAAGCCTTTTCAAGAGTTTCCATTACATTCACGTTGTTTGGGTGAATTTTCGGTTCATCCAGCAGTTTTCACTTGGGTGTCAGGGAGACACAGCACAAAAATGCAGCCCAGTAAGTAAGATGTCAAGCAAGATACCATCAGAGAAATTGATACGAAATCAAGACTAGATCAATAGTTCTAAACTCTCGGGAGCTTTAAAATGTAACTGAGCTTGGGTCTCACCCACAGACACTGTGACTGAGATGAGCATTGTAGCATAAAGTTCCTCTGAAGATTTTAATATGTGGCCAAGTTTGCAAACCACTAGGCTAGAATATTTTAAACTCTTCTACATCCACTAAGTCTTAGGAAAATCGTCAATCCTCTGCTGCTTTACAGTGTCCTTAGATTGATATTGATCACATCTTTTTTTTTTTTTTTTTCTGAGATGGAGTCTCACTCTGTCGCCCAGCCTGGAGTGCAATGGCGCAATCTCGTCTCACTGCAACCTCCACCTCCCAAGTTCAAGCGATTCTCCTGCTTCAGCCTCCCAAGTAGCTAGGATTACAGGCATGTGCCACCATGCCCAGCTAATTTTTGTATTTTTAGTAGAAACAGGGTTTCACCATGTTGACCAGGCTGGTCTTGAACTCCAGACCTCAGGCGCCCACCTTGGCCTCCCAAAATGCTGGGATTACAGGCATGAGCCAACGCACCCAGCCTGATCACATCATTTTATCTCTCACTTTTGCTCAATTTCCACAAAAGTGAAATGACAAAAATTACAAACCAATTTCACCAATCTATAGAAAAAATTATTAATAAATGTTAAAGTCTTTGCATACACAAGTATTAGTTTTGACAACATCCTTAACACAGTGTATAAAACTATTTCTTAACTTTTCAAAGGTATTGCTCTCCTACCAACTAGTCTATAACCAGATGAAGGCTCTAAAAATAGCCTCAGCGTTTTTTTTTTTTTCCCACTAAAGTGCCCTGCAACTAAGACTTTGGGTGTGAGTTGTACTACTCACAGAACCCTTGATCTCAGGGTAAGAAGAATTCTCCAGAGGTCTTCTGGACAGTTCCTTGCCTTCATGCCGAAAAGAGCTCATTACCCCATTTCACAGATGGGTCAAGTGAGGCCCAGGAAATTAGAGTGATCTGAACTCAGTCACACACAGGTCTCCACACAAACATGTCAAGCTTTTAAGTACTGACTGAGTAGAATTCTTTTTCTATTAATAGTTCATCTGGGTGACTTAAGACAACCAGAGTTCTCTCTCCAGGTCTTGGCTCACCAATCTCTAAGAAAAGAAGGCTGAAATCCCATCATTTCTGGTCTGAGGCTGTAGAAAGAGAGAAATGCCTCAGATGTCAATAAATTATTAAGTTACTTAATTGATTAGTAACTTCGAACAAGATATTTTGTGTGACTAAGCCTCCATTTCCCTATTTACAAATTAGGAAGGATAATATTGTGAGAATTAAGGAATCCAGTTGATTCAGTTAAATAATCATCTGAGTCCCTACTTTGTGTCTCATCTATGTCAGATGGTAGGAAAATGTGGGTGTATTCAGTGCTCCTGCCCTGTGGGGGACTCACAGGCTTTCACCCTTTTCCAGGGAAAATGTTGTTGCTGAATAGAAAATGTAGAAACTGGAAGGAATATTTAAGATCTCATGCCCTATTTAGACTATTTAAATTCATAAGACATGGAAAGTCAGCAGAGATTTCAGATAAGAGAAATGAAATACAATTGCTATATCATCTATGAAGAGGAAAGAATTCCCTGTAATTAAATATCAAAACACTGAGCTTGGGATATGAGAAGGGGCAGAGAGTGTTAATCACAAACAAATTAGTGAGATAAATTGCAGGGTATCTGCTTCCTAAAGGCTTTAGAAAGTTATTGAGGCTGATAATTACAGAAATTCTATGGGTTTTCATTCCTACTTGAAGGGTAGACCAAAGAAATAGACACCTAGACATATCAGCCTGATCCCAATGTTCTCAGGTACCAGAGATTTAATGTTAATGAAAGAAAAAAAAAAAGTTGTAGACAGCATCTAGTTCAATAACCTCATTTTACAGATAAAAGAATAGACAGGAATAGAGAAACATGTCTGGGATGATAAAACAATTAAAAAGCAGATAGGACATCCAAGGGATATTCTAAGTCATTTCTCCATTAGAAAATCCTCACATCATTTCACACGATTTTATGGTATCAGTCCAAAAATAAAGTAAAAAACTTTGAAAATACATTTCAACAATTACAGTCAAGAAACAGAAATTTTTCCTTTTCCTGATAAAATAAAAAGCATTCACAGACAAATGAAAACAGTGAGGGTAGTACAATATATTCATCATTATTTTGTTTTTTGTGAAAGCAGGGCTGGGCTGGGTGTGGTGTCTCACACCTATAATCTTAGCACTTTGGAAGGCCGAGGTGGGAGGATCACCGAGCTCAGTAGTTGGAGAGAGCCTGGGCAACATAGTGAGACCTCGTGTCTACAAAAGAAATAAATAAATAAAAGCAGGGCACACACAAATGCAACGTTATTTTGATCTTAAAAAAAAAAAAGTGTGGGGTTAGAAAAGAGGGAAGCATGCCTTCTATTTTATTAAATTTACTTTGTGGTCTTTATTGCATAGGTGACATTATCATATAAGGTACCTTCTAAGAGGAGGTGAAAAGGCAAAAGGAAGGCAAAGGTGGTGGAATGAAGTTTAGGTCAGCAAACATCTACTGAGAATTTTCTCTGCTAATGGCTCTGGGCCAGGATCTGTGAGGAATAGAATCATAAGAAAATACCATCCCTGCCCACAAACTGTTTAAAAGCAAACAAGCCTGTAATCCCAGCACTTTGGGAGGCCGAGGCAGGCAGATCACGAGGTCAGAAGTTCGAGACCAGCATGACCAACATGATGAAACCCTGTCTCTATGAAAAATACAAAAATTAGTCAGGCGTAGTGGCGGGTGCCTGTAATCCCAGCTACTTGGGAGGCTGAGGCAGGAGAATTGCTTGAACCCGGGAGGCAGAGGTTGCAGTGAGCCAAGATTGTGTCACTGCACTCCAGCCTGGGTGACAGAGCAAGACTCTGTTTCAAAAGAAAAAAAAGGCGGGGGCAGGGTGGGAAACAAGGCAGAATTATGCTAACAATTTACCCTAATACAAGCCTAGAATGATGAGTGCAAAGAAGAGGACAAAAATCACCACTAACAACGGACCAAGAATGAGACACTAGGTAGCCACCCATTAGACACGGTCCATGCCCTCAAGGAACATATGCCTAGTAAGGAGATACAAAATCATTCATCCATCATTCATTCACTCAGATTCATTGAAAATCTACCATGAACCAGATACCGATGTACATGCTGAGGCTTCAGAAATGAGCAGGACATGGCTGAGTTCACAGTTCAGGGCAGACAACAAACACATAATGCTGAGTAGACACCAGGCAGTGTGATTAAGCCAAAGGAGATGTGTTTTAAAAGCCTAGGTTACTCAGAGAGAGAGGGGTAGATTATCAGAGATGACACGGAAAAGGCACCTCTACAACAAACAATCATACTTTTGACTCTAATACAATGGAGAATGAATAAAGCGTCTAATAGAGAAGAGTGCCACACACAGTGAGAAAGTCCCTAGGGAGTATTCTGACCAAAGTCTTGGTCTTGAAGGAGAGGCATAGTCTTCTAATTGCTTTGATGAATCACAGACCAAACAGTGATTCAGCTCTGAAAGAAACCTTAGAGATGGGCATTCCAAGGTCTCATGGGGTTAGTAGCAGAAGCAGGACTGGAACCCAGAACCCAAGTTGGACCACTAGACTGGTGCCTCTCCCTAAGCCCACTCTGCCTCTTCCATGTCTGTGAATGAGCTTACCACTCCTAGCTATGCAAAACTGCATAGAACCATTTCAGCAAGAGGCTCAGGTAGCATTAAAGAAGTTCCCACCTCAACGATGTCAATTTTTTGTTACTGTTGTCTTGAGGAAGCATGTTTGCTTTTAAACGCTCCCAAATTAAAAGCCATTCTCAGCCTTCCTACAATTGTATGTGCGCTGGGCGCAGTGGCTCACTTCTATAATCCCAGAACTTTGGCAGGCCGAGGCAGGCAGATATCTTAAGGCCAGGAGTTCGAGACCAGCCTGCACAACACGGTGAAACCCCACCTCTACTAAAAATACAAAAATTAGCCGGGCGTGGTGACGGGCACCTGTAAGCTACTCAGGAGGCTGAGGCAGGAGAATCGCTTGAACCCGGGAAGTGGAGGTTGTGGTGAGCAGAGATTGTGCCTCTACTCTCCAGCCTGCGCGACAGAGCGAGACTCTGTCTCAAAAAAATAAAAATTTTAAAAATAAAATAATTAATTAAAAAAAAAGATGTGGACCTGAACTCAGATTAGTGTCAGAGTGAACTTTCTAGTTAGCCTCCTCTTTCCACAGTGAAGAAATTACACCCAGAGAGACTGAGGTTAGTCACCCTGTCCAATCACAGCACCAGTTACACAGCACCTGAACTCAGAAGGGTCTAGCACCTTTTGCTCAGTGCTGCCAGTGTGGTGGTCTATGGCCTCATTCTCATAGCCTGCAAGTGATAGACCCCAGGACAGCAAGAATCATGCCAAAAGGATAACATCAATTAGCCTGTGTATTGTAGAAACAGATCACGAGATTTTAGAACGTAAAGAAAGAGAAAAAGAAACGATTTATTTCGCAGCTTTCCGTGCAAGCTTTTCAAAGGCCCTTCCCAGATCCGGCCTTCTGAGACACCACCCCAAGCCCCCGGAGGTTTGTTCTCTACTTAAATTGCCCCAAACTATGCTGTTTTCCTATCAATACTCAACAGCAAAGATGGAAAAGAATTGCCAATTTCTTGTGAATCCTGAAGATTTCCTTTATGAGTCATGGGAAACTAAAATAACCTGAGGGGTAGGGGGAACGGTAGAAACAGTTTTAAATCGGTTCTCACTAGTTTGTTTTACAGTGTGGTATAACTCCTGAGAACAGAAAAAATCAAGTTTCTAGAGTTGTTGTAAAAATAGGAGTTTTTGTCAGGTTGTGTCAGCTGTCACTGTGGCATTTCTTATTAGTATTTTTCTGTCTTTTTTTTGTTATATTAATTATAGTTTGATCACTGTAAGAGCTATTTTGAATCTATGGGACTTTCCTAACCAGATTGTTTTGGCATTTTAAAGTTACTCACATTCAGGGCCTAAACAATATAGCAAGTATCTTTTCTTCCTCTCTTTTTTATACTCAAATTCTGAACAAAGGAACCATCTGTTCTCTCTCTGAAAACATCAGCCCTTGTTTTCATTTTTCATTAATCATAATGCCTCAAACTTACATAATCTCTTTCTCCAACTTGCTTATTAAAGCATTTTGTAGACATCGCCTCATTCGTCTTCAATATCATCCCCTACAAACTAAGGAGAAAGGGGAAATGTTTGCTAATTTTCACTTAGGTAAGTGATTATCAGATGTTTAATGAATTTTGCATGAATGATGGCATGTTAGCCTCAGAAGGGACCTTGATGATCACCTGGCCCAGTTCTGGCTCTTGCATTTGTAAAATGAAGACCCAGAAAGGAGAAGTGATTTCACATTCTATTTGTGTACCTAACTCTCTACTCCTGACTGTAAGTGGTGAGGGTAAGAACCGTGTCTTTCACAGTTTTGTATCTCCAGTACCTGGTGTGTATTTGTTGAATGGATGAAAATGCTTGCAAATAGTCACACAGGTGGCTATGACAGAGCTGGGGTCAGAGCTCTACTCTCCTGCCTTCCCATTCAATGTGTGTGGTTTTTTTTTCCTTCTTCTTTTCCTTCTCTCTCTCTCTCTCTGTCTCTCTCTTTCTTTTTATAATACAATATAGACCTGAATGCAAGAAGAATCAAGCAGAGACACAACTAAAAAGGTGATGAGGATGGAGAGGATAAAAAGCAGGCTTTTACCTATAAGTTAGAAATAGGTTGAACAAACCCAGTAGAAATCAAGTTTAGCCATTAGCCATGCTAAAAAATAACCCATGTTAAGGCTGAGTGTCTAAAAGCTCTGCATTCCTTATGTGTGCCATATATTTAAGGATTTAGTGGATTCCTTAAACATTACCCAACTGAGGAAATGATCTGTCTTAACGCCAAAGGACAGCATGCCTCCTTAACACCTATTAGCCCAAAAAAAGCACATCATCCACCCTGCGATTTGGCCTCATCACTCACTGTAACTCAAGAGGACATACAGCGTCAGAATCATGAAATCTACCAGCCCAAAGTTTTCCAATGAGCAGAGGTCACTGGAATAAAGACCTTTATTCCATATGCCTAGCTGGAAGTCAGAAATTCATTTGACATGTTTCTTCTTATTTTCAGAATGTCCTACTCCCCACCATTACTCTTTGAAGTTATAGGGAAAATAAACTCTTTCTAGAAAAACAAGTTAAATTTTCAATTCTATCATCTGAAATTACGTATATAGTAGTAGTTATAACAAAGTCAACGACTCTCTGAAGATTCTTTAAAAATAGGTTGTCCATGTAGATGAGAAAGCTGTAGGTCTGAAGAGAGAAGGAAATCTTTTATTTTTCAGTAAAAGAAAAAAAGAAAAGAAATCAGAGGGCCAAGGAGAACTCAAGTATATTATAACACGGTCTCACATGAAGTACATCAGTTACAGATACAAGCAGGAAACAAATTAGCTTCAAAATAAAAACAAATCAACATAAATGAACCTTCAAACAACTCTGATGACTTTTTCTCCCCCAAAGGGAAAGATGAAAGGAGATTAGAAGGAAGAGAAGAGAAAAAGATGAGGAACGAGTAGGGAGATGCTTAAATCCCTAACACAGCATGTCTCACACAAACACAGCAGGCTGCCGAGGGTGTCTGGGGCTGTCCAGCACACAGCGGACAGGCGTTTATACCCAGTCATGCAGGATCAGCTGGAGAAACGTACAGCATGTACTTCAGGGCAAACAGCTGCAGAGAGGCCTGCGCAGATAACAGCAGGTTGGATTCATGCTATATCAGTAGTTCTATCCATACCCACCACCTTCTGCTCCTAGAGTGTCAGGCTATCCCCATGACCACTTATCATTCTTGCAGCCACTACGTGGAACATTAACCCTCTATTGACACTTCCCTGATAAAACTGTGCCCATTTCACATGTAGGGACATTCTCACTGTCTTGCTACCTCTAAAATCATCACTTTAGACTATGCATACATACCCCGTAACATCTTAACATTTTTCATTTAAAAATAAAAGAATCATATAGTTAAGGACATATAAAAGATCCACAAAATGTTCCCTAACTGGCCTTGCTCTCCACACGGAACTTTTTCAGAGCATTACTTTAATATAGCCAATAGGGAGGTTCATTCACTAAGAGTGTCTCTGATCTCTGCTCGTGTGTCTGCTCAGGTCGCCGAGGACAGAGCAGCCCTGCATTTGGAGCTCGCCCCTCCCTTGCCATGCTCCTCCCACCAAAACCATGTCTGAGGGAAGAATCCCAAAGAAGGTTGATGTGTTATCCCACCTGAGCAGCCTTACTAGTTGACATGATTGGATAGTTATGATTACGCTTTTTTATATGAAAGTTTCTACCCAAATATGTTGCTGGTCTAATATCCTAACTACTCAATAACAGTGGAATGAGTTTGAATAAAGCTCTCAACTACTCTAGGCACATCAGTTTCCTTCCCTACAAAATAAAGCAGTCAAATTCAGTACGTATAAGACTTCCTTCCAACTCAGAAATTCTGTGCCTATGAAGTTGCTACTGTCAAACAATCTGACCTCTCCCTCTTCATTTGTTCCTCTTTACCTCTTTCTCTCTCTGTCTCTCTCTCACACACACACACACACACACACACACACACACACTCTTACCCAAAACTCCTGACTCTTATGCAGTCAACAACCTTGTTAGGCAAGCTGTAAGCTATTCCTACCCATGTTCCCCCTCACTACTTTTTGGCTTAAAATTTGATACCAAAAGGATTTTTAAATTAGTTTATGAAAGGAAAATGAAACACACAGATATCATTTACACATAAACCCCACCTTGAGATGAGATCCTCTGAAGGGTCCAGCAGTCTCTCCATCATCCCAGGTCACAGATGTATCCATCTGCCAGCTCCATGAACTACAGGACAGCAATACCAGAGATCTAGGTGCTCAAGTCCCATCTCTATTTCTTGCTCTCTGAGACCTTGAGCAACTCATTTTACTTCTCTGGGCCTCAGTTTCTCTGACTGTAAAGTGAGGTGTTTGGGATAAAATAAATTGCAAATGATCTACCAATTTTGATATCCTACCCTAGAGGCCTGAAATTTCATTAGAAATGAAAGCAAATACCCATCCAAGCCCTCTTGACTGTATTGGTGTTTACATAGGACCTGCCAGATAAATTAAAGTGACTTTTTGCATGATGTTGCGCAATCAATACTAATAGTGCAGTAATAGGGCAAAGACTTCTAATTTGTGCTTGTTTATTTGTTTATTTCCAGGCTAAGGAAGTCACAGACACCACCTGCCAATGGCTTTTGGAGACTCCATAATGCCTTTCTTTGAACAATGGGCCCCAAGTTCAGAAACTAAAAATGTCAAAGGTAGAAACCACAAAATAGAACTAAGGAGCCTGAAATATTGATAAAATGATTAAGAGAAAGGAATGTGATAGCCCTCTTTAAAAATTTTGTTAAAACCAATAGCGATAGTAAGAAAAGGTGATATAAAGTAAAAATAAAATTGAGCACAGAAAAGACTGATTTGCCTGGGATTCCTTTCAGCCGTGTAATCGACACAAACAGCAAAGACCATAATACTCATGTTTCTATTTGCTACCCTCAACTGACATGGTTGGCCATTTGTTTTGTTTTAAATAAAATGAGGAAGCAACAACTGTATTAAATTCATCCGCAAAAAGGCCATATTTGCATGTGGAAAACAAGTAAGTGTGTGCCTGAATGGGTGATTAGGCTTACGATTGCCCATCTGCACCCAGGGCCCAGGCATCCCTGCAGGTGTGCCTGCCGCAGGGGCAGAGAAACGGAGTGGAGAGCCCTCTGCCATGGAGGGAAACCCCACGGCAACTGGACTTGTTCAAAGCTGCACACCACTACCATCCTGCTCCTGATCCAGTGCCCCCATCTCTTAGAGCTGAAAAACAGAAATATGTTTTGTCATTCTTTTGTTAGATTTATGTGGATTCTTTGAATCACAAAAGCAATTTATTTTTTCCTGAGCATCTTCAATGTGTACTTAACTAATAAAGGCATATCTTGTTTTATTGCACTTCACTTTATTGTAGTTGGCAAATACTGTGTTTTTTACAAATAGAAGATTTGTGGAGGCAGCTGTGTATCAAGCAAGTCTTTAGGTACAATTTTTCCAACAGCATGTGCTCATTTCATGGCTCTGTGTCACCTTTTGGTAACTATCACAATGTTTCAAACTTTTTCATTATTATTATATGTATTATGGTGATCTGTGATCAGTGATATTCGATGTGACTATCATAATTATTTTGGGGTATCACAAATCATGGCCATATGAGATGGCAAACTTGATCAATAAATAGGTGTGTTCTGACTGCTCCACTGACCAGCCATTCCCACGTCTCTCCTTGGACCCTCCCATCTCCCACACTAATACTGAAATTAGGCCAATTAATAACCCTACAATGGTTTCGAAGTGTTCAAGTGAAAGGAAGAGTAGCACATCTCTCACTTTAATCAAAAGCTAGAAATGGTTAAGTTTAGTGAGGAAGGCATGTCAAAAGCCAAGAGAGGCCAAAAGCTAGGCCTCTTGTGCCAAACAGCCAAGATGTGCATACCAAAAAAAAAAAAGTTCATAAAGGAAATTAAAAGTGCTATTCCAGTGAACACATGAATGATAAGAAAGTGAAACAACCTTATTGCTGAGATGAAGAAAGTTGGAGTGATCTGGATAGAAGATCAAACCAGCCACAAAATTCCCTTTAAGTCAAAGCCTAATCCAGAGCAAGGCCCTAACTCTGTTCAATTCTATGAAGGCAAAAAGAAGTGAGGAAACTACAGAAGAAAAATCTGAAGCTAGCAGAGATTGGTTCCTGAGGTTTAAGGAAAAACTAGGTCTCCATAACATAAAAGTGCAAGGAAAAGCAGTAAGTGCTGATGGAGAAGCTGCAGCAAGTTATCCAGAAGATCAAGCTAAGATCACTGACGAAGGTAAATACTAAACAACAGATTTTCATTGTAGATGAAACAGGCTTATATTGAAAGAAGATGCCATCCAGGACTTTCAGAAGTAGAGAAAAGAAATCAATACCTGGCTTCAAAGCTTCAAAGGACAGGGTAACTCTCTTGTTAGAGGCTAATGTGGCTGGTGACTTTAAGTTGAAGCAAATGCTCATTTACCATTCTGAAAATCTTAGGGTCCTTAAGAATTATGCTGAATCTACTCTGCCTGTGCTCTATAAATGGAATGACAAAGCCTGGATGAAAGCACTGTTTCCAGCATGGTTTACAGAATATTTTAAGCCCACTGTTACCTACTGCTCAGAAAAGAGGGAAAAAAAAAAGATTCCTTTCAAAATATTTCTTCTCATACCTGGTCACACAAGATCTCTGATGGAGATATACAAAGAGATTAATGTTGTTTTCTTGTCTGCTAACACAACATCCATTCTGCAGCCCATGGATCAAGGAGTAATTTCAACTTTCAAGTCTGATTATTTAAAAAAATACATTTCATATGGCTCTAGCTGCCATAGATAATGATTCCTCAGATGAATGCGGACAAAGTAAATTGAAAACTTTCTAAAAAGGATTCACCATTCTAGATGCCATTAAGAACATTTGTGATTCATAAGAGAAGGTCAAAATATCAGCATTAACAGGAGATTGGAAGAAATTTATTCCAATCCTCATGGGTGACTTTGAGTGGTTCAAGACCAGTGGAGGAAATAACTGAGGATGTGGTGAAAATAGCAAGAGAACTAGAATTAGAAGTGGAATGAAGATGCAACTGTGTTGCTGTAATCCTTTGTTTAAACTTGAATGGATAAGGAGGGGCTTCTTATGGATGAACAGAGAAAATGGTTTCCTGAGATGGAAATTACCCCTGGTGAAGATGCTGTGAGCATCGTTGAATGACAACAAAAAAAAAAGTATATCAAATATTTCATAAACTTAATGGATAAAGCAGATCCAAAGTTTGAGAGGCCTGACTCCAATTTTGAAAGAAGTTTTCTTGAAGGTAAAATGATATTATGCATTATCACATGCTACAGAGAAGTGATACAGCTTGATATCACTCTTTCTCTGCAGAGTCAATCAATGTGGCAAACTTTATTGTTGTCTCACTTTCAGAAATTGCCACAGCCACCCCAACTTTCACCAACCACCACTCTGATCAGTCAGTAGTCATTAGCATCATGGCAAGACCCTCCATCAGCAAAAGCAGGACTCACTGAAAGTTCAGATAATTGCTAGCATATTTTAGCAATAAAAGTTTTAATTAAGGTATGTATACTGTATTTTTAGACATAATGCTATTTCACACTTAAGAGACTACAGTATAGTGTAAACATAAATTTCATATGCACTGGGAACCAATAATTTTGTGTGACTCGCTTCACTGCAATATTTGTTTTATTGCGGTGGTGGTCTGCAACTGAACCCACAATATCTCTCATGTATGTCTTACTGGTTGTTGCAACTATTTTTATTTGGCATGCATGACCACTTTTACACACTTCACTCTAGCCACACTGTCCTCTTCACTTTTCCGGCATGTCCCCAGCATGCTTCAGGTCAGGTTATTTGCATTTGCTTTCAGTCAGTTCTACACACTCTTCCTCCAGTCCATCCCACCCACACATCTCTGGCTTGCTACCTCGTTTCATTCAGGTCTCCATTCACATATACTCTTACCATCAAGACCTTCTCAGGCCAGTGAATTTACATTTGTGTCCTCCCTACTCTTCATGCCTTTAACCTCAATTATTTTTCTTCTTAATATATTTAGGTTGGTGTAAATGTAATTGCGGCTTTTGCCATTAAAAGTAATGGCAGAAATCACAATTACTTTTGCACCAACCTAATAGATCACAATGTAAATATTACATATTTACTCATTAATTTTTCTGTCTTTTTTTTAACATTTGTTCTAGTCCCATCACCTGGAATAGTGTCTAGCAAATAGTAGGTGTTCAGTAAACGCTCGAGTTAATGAGTCATCATTATTACTATTTGCAAACTATTATACTAGATGACATGGGACTTCCTATGGAAAAAGACATAATTCATGCCCTCAAGGAGCTTCTACAATCTAGAGGAGAAGAAAGATTGTGAAAACAGGCTTATACAGCAGACTGAAGTGGCATGAATGCTTTATTGGATGTATACACAAAGCATTCTGGTAGTACAAAAACAGCCAATCATTGACAATAGGGGATGGTGGTTGGAGGAGGCCTAAAGAAGAGACTTCCCTGGAACTACCCTGAAAAGAAACGTACAAATCATCTTCAAAAATACATTCAGTACAAAAAATTCTAAGACATCCTCAGTTAGTCTCCTTTCCTTCAATAATGCTAAGTGGAGAAGAGATTGCCCAAGGTAAGTCAGCACTTACATGTGCCAAGATTATGGAGAAAGGAACAATCACTTTACTCCAAAGAGCCTTCATTTTAAAATGGAAATTATTTAAATGTACACAAAAACATGTCTAAAAAAACTCTAGACTCTTAAGACAGGGAGGACCTTAAAAGTCATCATGTATAACATTTTATCCCCACCACAAAATACCTAAAATAGAAAATACCTAACTGCATCAACCCCACCTAGACATCTGCAGTGATTGTGAACTTCGACCTCCTGAAACACACATTCCATCTGTGGTTTGCTCTTAATATTAAAACATTAAGCATTTTCCATAAACATTGAGAAAACATCAACATTCTCACACTATCTATCTCTTGCTTCCAACCCACTGCTGCCAGAACTCTTCCAGAGGTCCCAAAAAGTGAGTTTGCACCCGTTCCACAGCAGAGACCCAGGACAGCACCACCTGCTCTGCTCTCTCCTCCTCCTGCCCCTTTATTTCTTCTTTACACTAAGCACTTCCAGTTCCTTCTTCATTCCTCTAGGGTTCAAGTTTCCAGCACCTTCAGCCATCCTAAAATGCCCTCTTCCTTTCCTTCCTTTATTCTTGTCCCAGTGTTCAATCACCTGGTTGCTGAGCTGACCTACTGCTCATGCAATTGGGCTTTTTGCAGAGAGCTAAGCATTTTGTCTGGAGTTGGAAGAAGGGGAACAGGAGATCTAATGGATTCATGGGGTAAGGCTGATCCAATTAAGACCCTGGCAGGATCACCTGCCTTTCTGACCTTGACCTTGAACTGCCATCTTTGACATAAATTTGAATAGTGGGGACATCATAACTCCTAGGAAGCAAAGAAGACAAAGAGGTGAAAAGTGACCTCACTCAACCTCAAAGACATACAGAGTTTGAGTAGTCTTGTGTTTTCAATAAGTCATGGATCTTCTAGAACTTCTTATTCTAGCTTTTCATCTCCCACAGCCAGCCTACGTGTATGAATGTGAGAGTCAAATGTGTAGCTTTTAACCATCTCTGTGTCAGAGAATCAGCTTCTAAAACTTAATGGGCTACGTGATCTTGGGCAAGACACTTCACAAGTCAGTAAATCAAAGCATCCAGAAGGTAGAACAAAAAGAGACATTTAAATCACCTAGTCCAAAAGCAGCTCAGATACCTCTCATATGCTTTCACTCTCCACTCCCATGGCGATATTCCTAAGTGATCATTAGCTGAGTCAGGATGCAGCCTCAGAGTCCTTCTCAGCACAGCACCTCAAGGAACCACTACCAACACATCATTTGGCCATGTGAAATAAAATCCAAACCACTCATTCCTCAGCTGAGAAAAACTGAACCACAAAGATGAGCCATGACTGACTGCCCGGGTCTCACTATTAGGAGCAGACCGGGAACTATCAAAACCCCTTACCCCATTCCTCTAAGTCATTTCTCCTCCCTAACTCTGACAGTCTGTGAATAGCCCTTGGAGCAGGGGTGGGGGTTTGCTATTACACTAAGTTCCATAAGAGTACAGATAACGGGTTTCTAACAAGGGGAAGGAGCAACACAGGAGGCTTAAAGGAAGATGTGCATTTGAGCAGGCTACAGAAGGATGCTATTTGTGGGAACCAGTGAAGTATGCCTTTAGCAGAAGAAAAGTTAGGATTGGGGTGAGCATTCCAGCAGAAGAAACAGCATAAGCAGAGGAATGGTGAGGACTCTGGAGTGCTGAGCAGGGGGTGAGCAGCGGCTACACACAGAGGCCATGGAGGGTGGCAGTGGGGATTGGGAGCGAAGAAAATGACAAGATTAAAAGAGTAACCAGAGACTTTGTGGAGTTGTAAATGCTGATTTTTAAAAATTGACTTAAAGGCCTTAAGTGTAATAAATGGTAAAAGAAGATTTAAACAGGAGTAGAAGGAAAAGTAAAGAATATATCTCCATTCTCAATGGGGGGAAAAAGCCTTGCTATAAACTGTATTACAGGAATACTTTCATTATGTAAAAACCTATTTTGTTTTCATGTCATTCTTAGATTACATCATAGAGTGGCTGCAGCCATCTCACACTATATTATAAATAAATCACTGGCTTAATCATAGAATGAGCCAGGGCCTCAGATTTAAAAGGAAAACATTAGATCATTTTTAATAACTGATATAACTCAAACCAGTTGGCATTGAACCACGGTGAGGTGATCTCATCCTGAAGAAGTCCAAAAAGGACCCAAAGCAGGTCAGAGCTGAGCAGGTCCCAGAGACACTTCCATTTACAGATGAAGAGGTTGCTAATGGCACCTGAGTAGAATTCACCCCTGGACTAGTCTTGCCATTAAAATCAACACTTACTTTCCAGTAGTGATGCCCAATAAGCCTTCCCCATGAAACACAGTGGATAAAGGTTTTGTTCCTAGAGCCACTATATTTCCAGGTATCAGAAAACATGAGCACATTATGATGTTTGTAGTTAGGCCTTGGGAGTCATTATGCAAAATTAGAAATGTTGAGGCTATTAATTATTCAGGAAACATGAAATCTGGGGTGACCAATACACAAACGCTGCAGGTCTAGGCCAATCCAAGGGGACAGTGTAAACAGGACATGAGATAATGGCCTAACAAAGAAAAGAACTAAGGGTGATCTCCAGCAAAGAGTTATGGACTCTTAAGGTGATCAGAAACTTAACATTTAATGTGTGCCAACTACATAAGAAGTACCACACTCAATAGGTACTTTATAGACATTACGCTGCTTTGAGAGCACCAAAGACTCTGAAGTAGGCACTCTTCACTCCATGGCTTGCAGAAGTGAAAACAGGCTAAAAAAAACTAAGTGAACTAGGTAGGATTCAGTGACTAACGTGACAGTCTTCCTACTCCAAATTCCTCTTTACCATGTTGTCCTTGTCCAACTAAAACTCTATTTCCTACTATGTACTTTTAATAAAAATGAAATAATTGGTAAGAAACACTTTAATAACAAGCAGAGTTAGCCAGGCATGGCAGCTCACACCTGTAATCCCAGCACTTTTGGAGGCCAAGGAGGGTGGATCACTTGAGGTCAAGAGTTCAAGACCAGCCTAACCAACATGGTGAAACCTCCTCTACTAAAAATACAAAAAAAAAAAAAAAAAAAAAAATAGCCGGGTGTGATGGCATGCATCTGTAATCCCAGCCACTTGGGAGGCTAAGGCAGGAGAATCGCTTGAACCTTGGAGGCAGAGGCTGCAGTGAGCTGTACCATTGCACTCCATCCTGGGCAACAGTGAGACTCCATCTCAAAAAAAAAAGAATAAGATGAGTATTAAAAAAAATTGCTGAGAGTTGAAAGGGACTATGGAGCAGGTAGTAGAATTCACGTTCTGGCCAGCCACATTCTCAGTGACCAAAGCTGTGCGTTCCTCATTTTGGCTGTAAAGTCACTAATAAGCTTGACCATAATTTTAAGGCTCCAATTTCCATTAATTTTTCTAGTTATGTGAATGTGGACTCTAAGGGAACCTGTCATCTTCTATAAAATAAACTGCGGAGCTTGATTTTGAAAAGGACTGCTTTGGTCGGGGGAAGAGAAGGATGCTCTGGAAAAGAAACTCCCTGCCAGACAGAGGGTATTGGCTGAGGTTTTATGTCTGGTCTTGTCAGTCTCAAAGTAACGTTGTATATCAGCTCTCTGTTCCTAAAACAAATGTTATTCATAACTGCAGAGATACACTGTCTGAGCCGTGTAATATTGATTTATGCAACTTTTCAGGACACAACATGGCCCACCAGGAGACGCAGACCCCTGAAATTTAACTAAAGGGACAAAATCAAAGCTCAAGATTCCAATTTTTGACCTATTTTTCCTAATCTGTTTCTGGGACAGGAGAGAGTTTGAGAAAAGAAGAGAAAACATCCTAAAAGTTGCACAGACTCATTATGCAGCAGAGACTGTGTGGAGCGGTGGAAGGCGGGGCACAGAGAGGAGCTGCAGATGGTTCCTCCCTTGACTACCGCTGGCTCTGTGGCCCTGGAAGAGTATGTGCCCTTTCCAAGTCTCGGTGTCTCACGCATACAGCAAGGGGCTCAAGCAAGAACCTTTCGACATTTCTACCAAAAAAGCTCTACCGCTGAGGAGGGCAAAAATACAGAGGTAAGGGAACACGGCATGAATTGAAAACTTGTGTTTTTCTTCTTAAAAGCCATGCCAACTTTACATCCTGTGCTATTATGTACCAGTGCTTCTCTTAAGAGTTTTAAATGGAGTTTTCCCCCAAAAATGTCTTCAAGTAAAATTGATCCACAGAGGTGTGCTGGGTTTATTCAACTGCTTCAGGCAACGTCCACTTCCACCTTAGCACATCCATGTAAACCTGGGGAATCTGTGGTAAGCAGCCCCTAAGATGGTTCCGTGTAACTCCACCTCCTGGTATTAATAACCTTGTGCTCATATTCACCCCTCCCCTTCAGTGTGGCCTGGACCTAGTGACTCGCTTCTCGTAAAGAGAATGAGGCAGAGGGAACAGTGTGTCACCTCCAGGATTAACTTATAAAAAGACTGTGATTTGCCTCTCAGGGACTCTCTCTTGCTCACTCATTTTGAGGGAAGGCAGCTGCCATGTGAGCTGCCCTATAGAGAGCCCTACACGGCAAGAAACTGAAGTCCTCAGTCCAATAATCTGTGGGGAAACAAATCCTGCCAACCATCATGCGATGTGCTTGGTAGCAAGTAGATCTTCCCCGGAGTTCAGCCTTCCGGTGAGACTGCAGGTCCAGCAACACCTGGACTGCGATGTGGTGAGAGATCTTGTGGCACCCATCCAAGCTGCTCCCAAATTTCAGAAACTGTGAGATAATATTAATCAATGCTTTTTTTCTTTTTTTTTTTTTTTGAGACAGAGTTTTGCTGTTGTTGCCCAGGCTGGAGTGCAATGGTGCGATCTCGGCTCACCGCAACCTCCGCCTCCTGGGTTCAAGCAATTCTCCTGCCTCAGCCTCCCGAGTAGCTGGGATTAGAGGCATGCCCGGCTAATTTTGTATTTCTAGTAGAGATGAGGCTTCTCCATTTTGGTCAGTCTGGTCTTGAACTCCCGACCTCAGGTGATCTGCCTGCCTCAGCCTCCCAAAGTGCTGGGATTACAGGCATAAGCCACTACGCCTGGCCTATTTTTTTCTTTCTCCCAACTCTTCATCCACGCCCCATGAGATCTGAGACTATAATTTATCTCAATTTCCCAAGCACTCAGCGTAAGGCCTGAAACATATCTGGTGATTAATAAATGTGTACCATAAATAATATGTTTCTTGTAATCCCAGCACTTTGGAGGGCCAAGGTGGATGGATCATGAGGTCAGGAGATCAAGACCATTCTGGCCAATGTGGTGAAACCCCGTCTCTACTAAAAATACAAAAATTAGCTGGGCGTGGCGGCACGCACCTGTAGTCCCAGCTACTCGGGCAGCTGAGGCAAGAGAATCTCTTGAATCCTGGAGGCGGAGGTTGCAGTGAGCCAAGATCGCACCACCGCACTCTGGCCTGGCAACGGAATGAGACTCCATCTCAAAAAAAAAAAAGAATATGTTTCTAATGTGTATTTCTCCTTTATATGTTTGTCTTTTTCCCTAACTATAAGCTTCTCAGGGTCAGGGACTAAGCCTAATTCACATAGTTTCCTAAAGATCATGAGGTTCACTAACACCCAGACCAACACTGAGATCAGGGCAGCAAACACATACTCTATGAACCAGGTGTAAATATTTGGCCACAATCTACAAAGGTCTCTCTACCCATTCAAACTTCAGATGCTGTCTACCACACAGCAACTCATTGAGGAAGACCTGAGAATTCGGATCCCCTAAGGCCATGCCTAATGTAGAGTAGAGGTATCTCCACTGTGCCAGAAGCCAAGAAATAGGAGAATGTGGAATTAGGAGGAAGGAAGCAAAAGAGAGAAAGAGATATCACTACTTTTTACTTTCGTGGACAGCAAACATACCTCCTACAAGACATCCCTGGGTTACACGAAGAACCATAGAGTTTCAGGGGACTGGATAGGTCACTGCTCAGACCCGACAAATCCTCTTGTAATTTTTGAAGCAAATAACATACAAGCAATAAAAGCTAGCTGAGCAAATGCTCACACATGCCCAGAAAGCACCTGACTGAGGAATTATAGACAGCCAAGACATTCACCTCTGACGGAAGTGACCAATGCTTTGCTTCCGGCAGAGACTAATACCTGATACTTCTGAGGACCAAAGAGGAAATATTAAAACTGAAAGCCCTTGGCGACAGTCGGCAATTGTAAACCGGTATCAACAGAGGGAAATAATTTCCTTCCTGACTCCCACTGGGCTAGTCACGCCTGGAGCAGCAGGTATGATTATCTAATCTAACAAAGTAAGAAGCCAAATGGGCTAGACTGTAGCTTCTATGGGTTCTCTCAAGCACTGAGCTTCCCGGGTTTCTTAATTTACCACCCTCCACCTCCTGTCTCAGGCAAAAATGAATGTGAAAAATAATAATACATAATTCTATTTCAATTTTAACCTGCATCATTAAGCAAAGTTGCAGATCTAGCTGCAGGACTGAGGACGAGTTAGTGCCCATCCAACCCGGAGGAGGAAGAGGTACAATGTTGGCAGGAAGGGCATACGCTGAGCATGTCTAATGTTCCCGATGCTGTGCACTGAACTTACATTGTCTTTTTCTTTATATTCAAGATGAGTCTTTAAGGAAGAAGACAACTGTAATAATGTATCATACAGGAACCACACTTTATAGTTTACAAAACAGGTTGGCATTTAACAATGCACTTGCTCTAAGCAAACATGAGAGGTAGGCAGGGCAATGATTATTGTTCCTAATTCTCAGATCAAAAAAATAAGGGTGAAGGGATGTTGTTTTTCTAGGGTTGCACATCTCATACTTGTCAGGACTTCTGTTAGGGCATCCCACCATACTCACTGCCTTTTTATGCCCTCACAAACTTCTTAAGTCAAAAGCCTCTTTCTGTCCAGTCATTTGGGATTTTGTTTGTTTAGTTGTAGAGACAGGGTCTTGCCACATTGCCCAGGCTGGTCTCAAAATCCTGGCCTCAATCGATCTTCCTGCCATGGCCTCCCAAAGCACAGGGATTACAGATGTGAGCCACGATGCCCAGCTTGTCCAGTCATTTGTTTCATTCTCATTAAATCACGTAGTCTGGCTTCATCTGTGCTACAATTCCTATACTCCCTAACAGAGAGTCAGCCAATGCCCGATAGAACACCCTTTGGGAAAGGGACCCTCACTTCCTTCAGATTTATTCTATCCATGAAAATTCATGCAGCACCTATCCCATGCCAGAGACCCCAGCAGACTCTGGAGACACACACATGAACAAGCAATGCTGTCCCTGTCCTGCCCAGGTTCTATGTTCTTGATGGCCATGAGCACGTGTGTCCCAGAATCTTGCAGCAGAATCCATGGTCTCATTCCCGTAACACTTCTTGGTTGGCCATCATTCCTGGTCCTCTCAGCATCCTCGTGTAGACAGTGCAGCTGGCTGATGCCTTTTCAGAAGGTGAGGCAGGAACTAAAGCCCGGCTCTCTAGAGGGTCTCTGACAGGGGGGCTAAAGAGGTCTGCAGAAGGCCTGTGGTTGCCCACGGAGCTTCCAGTCCTCTCTCCCTCTCCTAACAGCACCCAGATATTCCTTTGCGGGGCCACCTCTTCTCCACTGTGTGAGTACCATGAGGTTTGGATGGGACTATGTCCAAATTCAGTTTCAGGAGAATAGTGGTTCATATTACCATAATCCCATTCTCTTGGCTTCAATGACTGGTTCAGAAATATACAGTCAGCCAAGCCTATGAGAATATAGCAAACCAGGCTCTTTCCCCTAAATGGGAACAGGGATATCTATAGTTTGGGTTTCAGCAGGCAGCCGTCTCATGGCCCATGAGGTAAAACATTCCAAGGATGAAGCCCAGGCACAAAAAAGGGCAGAGCAAGAAGTGCTGCAGAAAAACAGAGCTAGAGTCCTGTTCAAACTGTGCCTGAGGCTCACATGACCTCTGCACTTGCCAGTTTCCAGGTGTTCTAGGTTTGCAGAATCACCCACTCACTTTGTTCTAGATGCCATACTCTATTAAACGCAGGTGAAGGCTGCATCAGCATTTCGGAAGCCACTCCCAACAAAAGCCACTGTTGGCTCATATTTAGCTTATGAACAACAAAAACTTCTAAGACTCTTCCAGTCTGCTCATAGGTGGGAACTGAACAATGAGAACACATGGACACAGGAAGGGGAACATCACACTTTGGGGACTGTTGTGGGGTGGGGGGAGGGGGGAGGGATAGCATTAGGAGATATACCTAATGCTAGATGACGAGTTAGTGGGTGCAGCACACCAGCATGGCACATGTATACATATGTAACTAACCTGCACATTGTGCACAGGTACCCTAAAACTTAAAGTATAAATAATAATAAATAAATAAAAAATAAAAATAAAATAAATAAATAAAAGTCTCTTCCAGTCTGCTCTTGTTAAGGAAATCTCTCCCTTTCTATCATTACACACTTGATTTTTTTAAGTCCAAGTGCAAAGCTTCATACTTATCACAGTTTAATTATAAACACTGAAAAAACTCAAGACATAGAGGAGGTGACAAAGATTTTTCATTTGATACTTAAACGTATGCTAGGGGGAATATATTCCAGATCATGTTTGAAATTTTAACAGACACTAAGGTTTAAGCATCAAACCAGTGGTTTCCAGCCTTTTATGTAATATAGATCAATAGGCACACAGTCAGTTGTACTTTTAAGATACACTGATTAAGAAAAGACAGAGAGACAAAACACATCTATAAACTCAGTCACACTTTTAAATGAAGTTAGTTTTTTTTCAATCACAATGGCATCATCTCTGTTTTGGAAAACTACACCACAAATATGTCAAGGTGTATTAATTACTCAGTACAAAGCCAATGCTGGGGGCATATATGAATTGGCCTCAGCCAATGGGGACCATCGAATCAGGATCCTAAGTGGAAGTCGCACCCAGAATTCCCTTACTAATTTCCTCAGCTTTCCTTAGAGCCCAGGGTATTCCACACTGTTGATTCTTTTTACCACCCCGATTTTTTAGAACATAATGTTCTACTCTACCCATTAAGTACAGAGGTACACCAAAACACAAGGGAAAGTTTACCTTACCTGGTCACAATTCTCCTTTCTGAGCACATAACAGGATTTGCACCTCACATCCTGGTGGAGCTCTGGCAGGCCCTTTAAAACAAAGGCTCACACCCTTTGCCTAAGCAAATTTAGCCTGCTCTGCCCCAAAGGGTTGTTATAGAAATAAAATGAGGCTGGGCGCAGTGGCTCACACCTATAATCCCAGCAATTTGGGAGGCTGAGGCGGGTGGATTACCTGAGGTCAGGAGTTCAAGACCAGCCTGGCCATCATGGTGAAACCCCATCTCTACTGAAAATACAAAAATTAGCCAGGCATGGTGGTATGTGCCTGTAGTCCCAGCTGCTCGGGAGGCTGAGGCAGGAGAATCGCTTGAACCTGGGAGGTGGAGGTTGCAGTGAGCCAAGATGGCACCACTGCACCCCAGAATGGGCAACAGAGCAAGACTCCATCTCAAAAAAATAAATACATAAAATGAAATGAGATCACAAAAGAAGCAGCACTTTGCACAAGGGCAAACAAGAGACACTCAATAATACTGCTTTCTTTCCTTGTAAATGCCCAAACACTGTTCAGTGACATTTTCATTTTGGTCTTTCCATTTCATGAACACTTTCTTCCATGCCAAATGAGAAAGAAGGAGGCAATACAATTGCTGGCAACCTGAAATCATCGTTACTCCAAATTTTCCTCCAAGTTCAATGCTACCACCTTCCAAGAGCTGAGCTCTGCCTTTGCTTTGCCACACATTTTATTAGCATGGTTATATATTGTCTATTGCCATAAAAGCAACTCAAGAAAGAAGGAAGGGCATTTCAGTTCTTCTCTTATTCTTAATGCATCCTAGTTACTGATGCCCATACTTTAAGTGGAAAACACTGATGTTTAAAACTCATTAAAACATATACATTGATTTTAAAAGGCAAATGTGTTCTTTTTGTGTGCGGGACTCACCAATTGAGGAAAAAGATCTTCCCTCTGATGAGCGTCCAGTGGAACAATGAAAAAAGCAGAACACAGGGAATCAGAAGACCAGGTTCTGTCTTCTGCTCTGTCTCTGAGCCTCAAAGTTCCCACCTATGAAAAACAGAAGGGTGTTGCTTATGTATCTCTAGGGTCTTAACCAGCTTCAGAAATTCCCAGGCTTATAAAGTCTCTGACTGGGCCGTGGTTTACTTCTATACCTCCTAAACTCCTAGTCAGATCCTGGCACTCTTATTTCACTAATTTGACTCAGAATGATGGGGAAAGAGAATGCTGATGCCTCAGTGTTCATATCTCAGCTCTCCTAGTTCTCCTGGGAAAACAGCTTCATCTTAATAATGGAGGTGAAAGAGGCAAGTCAGTTAGATACTCAAATTGTAGGGAAGAAAAAAATTAACAGATAAACCTAAACTATACCAAATAAAAAAAGAAAAGGAATATGAGTTTGGAGACAAATTTCTAACTATAGGACCTAATGTTCTTTGAACTTTAGTTTCCTTGCCTGAAAAGTGAGAATCAGTGAGCAGCAGAGGGATAAACAATCTTGACATTTCCCAGTAAGCCGTCCTTGATATCATTTGGATATGTGTCCCCTCTGAATTTCATGTTGAGTTGTAATACCTGCTGTTGGAGGTGGGGCCTGCAGAGGTGATTGGATGATGGGGGCGGATTTCTCATGAATGGTTTAGCACCATCCTCTTGGTGCTGTCCTCACGATCACGAGTGTGTTCTCATGATATCTGGTCATTTAAAAGTGTGTGGCAACTCCTCTGCCTACTCCCTCTCTTGCTCCTGCTTTTGCCATCTGAGACACCTGCTCCTCCTTTGCCTTCAGCCATGAGTAAAAGCTCCCTGAGGTCTTCCCAGAAGCCAAGCAGATGCCAGTGCCATGCTTATACAGACTGCAGAACCATGACCCAATTACACCTTCTTTCTTATAGATTACCGAGCCTCAGCTATTTCTTTATGGCAATGCTAGAATAGCCTAATACAGCCCTTATTACAGGTTTTATTTCATTAGCAACTATTATTGTTTTGCTAATGATTACACAGTATGTATGCCAACAGACAAGTATCCCAAGGCAAGGGCTGTTATAAAACTTGTCTTTCATGTATGCAGGAGAAATCCACATACGAGAAACTACCATGCCCATTTCATTGTTGTCACTGTAAACATTACCTAGCCAATCATACAATTGTTTTGTGTACAAAACAATTCCAAGTTCAAAGTTGGGAGGGATTTTTTAAATGACCCACCTCAACTTTTCCAACTGACAAGAGAACCCGGTGGCCTGGGTAAGGAGGTGACCTCTTCAGGAGCCACTTGATCCACTGGATCAAGTGACTGCTTGCTTTGACAAAGGACAACAAAACACACTGGGCAGAGGGACTTGTGCTTGGTCACATGAGTCACACCTAGAGCCAAACCAGGACTTACAAATCCAGGCCTCGAACACCTATTTCAACGCTCTCCCAGTAACCTCAACAGCAGACAGAAATTAAGTAGGCAAAATGGAGTATAATCACTATCAGCCCAGAAAAGCAAGGAGTTTCCTGAGACCTAGTGGTCTTCAAGGACATTGGAATTCTGAAAGCCATTTCCACTGAAAGGAGAGAGAGGCATAATTTCAAACTTACTGAGAAATGGGTTGTTAGGAAGCCAACATTAGACCTGTGAACAATGCAATTTCATAAAACAAACGAAAAAGGTTGTCCCTACCCTCACCCGCAAGCTGCATAAAACCAAAGCTTCTCCTTGCAGAGAGAGATACAAATCACAACAGTTTCTACAACAGCAGCAAAGGGCATCTGACTTCCCAGATTTTTAAACTTCACTGAAAGGAAGAGCTCTCCACCCTTGGCCCTGAGGGAGTCTCACTCACACTCTCCAGCTTCCCTCCAGGCACAAATGAAAGTGGTCTCCATTTTCCATAGCCAACTTCTCTTTTAATAATTTTTTCTTATTTTCCATAAAGAGAACAAGCAGCTTTGCTAAAGAACCACTGTGAAATGATTGAAGTTCCCATGCAAACAAACCATTAGCAGAGTTCAAACGCAATTTAAATTACCAGTTGTTAAAGTGCTTCTCAATTTCGTGGTAAGTTTCCAAGGAGAATTACATGCTATATACTATTTAATTGGTTGTTTTCTATTTTTTAACATCCATTTATCCCCCCCACCCGGTTATAGTTCAGAAGTATCTATAAAAGCTTCCCTTTAAAAAATTATACATTGTTGAATAGATTAAATCTAAAGATTGAAAAGTATCAGAGAAACAGCTGCAGGATCACGCAGCTCACCAGAAATTGATGGTTTTGACACCACAAAACATGCAGAATTTTAAATCTTAGGAATCACCTAGTAGTGCCCTCACTCTTTACAGCTGAAGCACCGAATTCCCAAAAGGGAATGATGGAGTTGGCCTTGAGTATTTTCCCTGGTCAGCGACAAATTCAAGATGAGACACATTATTCCAAACTCCCAGCTCCCTGCCACCTCTTCCACATGTTGCCCATAAATGGCAGAAGAAGATGGTATGAAATAGCTGATAAACTTGATTTTCCACCTGTATTTTTTTTAAGAAAATATAAAGCCCTCTTCAAATATACTCCTGACCTCAAACATTATGGGCAATGGCAAGTATCTCTCCAAAAGAGAAGAAAATAAGTAAAGGCTGATGAATGAGTACAGTTAAAGGAGCTCAAAACAAGACACTTTATGAGCAGATTCTTGGCAGGAAAAGTCAAGACACTAATCTAGATTCATTAAACAAGTTATGTGACATCAACACTGCAGATTTTCACAGTTCTATCTGGCCCTGAATTAGTGCTGCCCCCAGAGACAGAGAAAGAGAGGATAAAAAAAAAATCAACAATGTGAAAGCAAGTCTTGTCATATCTGTAAATGGAAAGGATTTCTAGAAGCCATCAGGAGTGCAGTTTGAAGTTCCAGACTTTGATATTGGACTTGTGTAAAGGATTTTCTCAAAGCTCAGGTTTCTCTGTCTGCAAAACAGGGTTAATATCATCTACCCAACAAGGTGTATGCAACCATTTCCTGGGATCCCATATCTAGCACGTATGGCACAAAGCCTGCACACAATATGCACTAATTCACGTTCACCCCTTCCAAGGCTTTTATAATTTCTCAAAGCCTATAGTTCTGTGATTCTAATTTATGTGGACTAAAACCACGTCTTGTAAGCCAAGCATATTCCCTAAGTTTGTTAGATACTGTATGTCTCCTGACTGTAAACTCATTTATTTTATCATTTGAAAAAAAATTCATAAAAATTTATATATCTAAGTACTTTGCTTTAAAAGCAAACTTTTTGGAAATGCTATTTTTAAATGGCCTCCAAATCCACATTTTGAAACACACACACTAATAAAATCCCAGTTTCATATCCAAGACCTTATTTAAACTTTCCATCAACCATAAGAAAAATTTCCCAATTGAACACTGAAGAAACTGAGGAACGGAGAAGTTAGACACTCATCCAATATCTCTAGGCTAGTAAGTGGTAAAGCCAGGATTTGAACACAGGCGTTCAAAATCAAGTTTCATGACACAGGCTTTATTAATTTATAATTACAACTATAATATGGACAGTTCTTCCTCTAGAGGTGGAAATATACCTTTAAAACTCCTGCTATTTTCATATTTCATGGAGCTTTGGGATAAAAACAAAGCCTACATTTCAAACTATTTTTTTAAAAGTTCACATTAACAGCAAGTAAATCTTTCCTGAATTCTACCTTGCTATTATATTCTTAAGTGAAATAAAAAGCTCAGAACCCTGGCACTAAGCAGACATCTACTGGTATGTGGGAAACAAACCTGAAAAGGGTTAACAATTAACTAGCTGATATCAGACCAATTCAAAAACAATTCGAATGGCCGGGCTCATGATCAAACAAATCATGGGAACCCCAGTATGGGCTATGGAAACCACTCTGGCACAACTGTTAGTTAACAGAATGTCACATGTTCTGCATTCAGGGGCGCACCAAAGAGAGGTTTGCTAACACCTTCTGTCTTGGATAACACAGTGTGTGGACCTAGCAGGTGTAGGTGCTGAGTTGGACATGCCTAGGGGTGTCGAAGAGCCTCAATGGGGGACACACTGGAACACAAAAGACAGAATGAAAAGTGTAGAAAAGCACGAGTACATGCAACGTCCTTTTGAGGGTCTAAAAGTTCTCTGCAGATGATGTGACTTCTAAACGATGCCTGAACACCCAAGAGGATTTCCACGGATGAGGAGGAGAAAAATAGGCTCAGGGAACACAATGTGCAAAGGCCTTGAGAAGGATGAGTTCAGGGTGTTCTCAGAGAAAGTGACTAATCTGGTGAGGCCAGTGACAGAGGATGCAGAGGAATGTGGTGGGACACACGCCTGGAAAGGGATGTGGCAGCCAGAGCCTGGAAGACCTTGTATCTCATGTTCTAAAGCACTTGGATCTTAAGCCATAGGTGTTGCGTTTCGGGAAGTGACACAATAGAAAGTTAAATGGTAGCCCTATCCCTTTAAGAAATGAATCCCTTTCCATGGTCAGTTTCCAAGCATAGCAAGGGTAGGGGAGCTACCTATGAAGGGATCTTCTCCCTGTGGCCCCACTCACAGAGAAGTCGGGGGGCAGGTGGCTTTCAGAGTTGCTCTTAACCCATACCTTCAGTGACCCTTTCCTCTAGGTCTGAAACTCTCACCAACATAACAGACCCACTGGAAGGCCCAGGAAAGAAACAAAGTTTCACGTTCCAAGCAGGACTACCACTCTGCCTTCAGTGAACTGCCAGTCCCACCCAACTCCTTGAATCAGAAGAAGCTGGTCTGGAGACAGGCTCCATCCAGCCTTTCTGCTGTCTCTTAAGCAGGAGCCAGAGGCCTACCCAGCTTGTACTCTATGTGCCTGAAGCTCAACATCACAGAGCTCACAGAGTTCTCAGCCAGGCCTGAAACCTCGTGACATGAGATTAGTAATGAGCCTGTGCTGATGTCACCACTTAGGTTGTATGGAATCCTCCTTTCCCTTAAAGGAAACTTTGTAGCAGTATCCATATGTCAAGGCCTTCAAAGATGCAATGCCCTCCCTGCCCTTGAAGAGCTCCCAGTCTAGAAGGAGAGATAAGACATCAAGTAAGGGAGGACAAGTGCCACAGAAGAAGCACAGGTAACAATGCAAATTTTCATACCACACGGTGACATGACATGAGGTGATGTCATAAAAAAAAGTCATGACAACAAAGGAAAGGAAAATTGTTGACGATTCCAGATTTACGTGACCTCACCGGGAGAATCAGACCATTTTTATACTACTCCTGTCAACATGGTGGGTTTCAGGGGGAGCACCTATTGTATCACACCCATCTGGCAGATGGGAAAACTCAGGCTCAAGCAAGTTAACTGACAGTGAGGAAGTATCACAGCCGGGATTCAAATCCATATCCCATGCTCATATGCAGCATACATTTGTACTCTATTGCCTCACAGCTAACTGTGGTTGAGTTAGCAGAACAGAGAACACAGAGATCACTTCTAATGGATGGGAGAGCAGGTGGTGATCAAGGATTATTCCCTTCCCAAGATGGCGTCTGTGCAGAAGTTTACAGGAGGATTGGGAGTTCTATGAATGAAGATTGGAGAGGTTATCTCAGGCTAAAGGAAAGGCATGTGCTAAGGCATGAAGGTGAGAAAGTGCAAGATATATCTGGGGGTTGGTAGGAAATGTGTTTGATTTAAAGATATGTAAGCAGGAGCATCAAGGACCCACATGGACCCACAGTGGACCGATGTTGGTGTCCATTTATGACAGGTCCTGGATACCAGGGGCAGGAGTTTTTACTTAATACTGTTAAGTACTAGAAAAGTAATAAATGTTTCACAGCAAAACTGTGGCATGGTTTCAGCTTTACTTGGGATTCTGTGCTCTAACAGTAGGGCTATGCAAATAGCCTTTCAGCACCTGAGCCAGGGTCAGGAATAATGCGCCCTTGGGTCCTTTCAGGTCAATATACAGAAAGACATTGTTCCCTGGCTATGACTTCAGAGGTAAGAAAATCTACACCTATTTCATAGAGCCTGACCATCATCTTAAGAGCCTCCGTGACTCATTAAATATTAAATTCCGGGCCCCGGCTAGAGCACAGGTACCCTCAATTGGTAAACACAGCATGGGGAACAGGATAGAGTCAAAGAATAAAAGGAACTGTGCTTGACCCTTGGATTCTACACTTATTAACTATGGAATTTTGAGCAACTTACTTCCTTTTATCAAGGGTGCAGTTTCTTCATTTGTAAAATGGAAACGATAATATGTATACAGCTAGGTTCTTGTGAGAACAATCAAGTTGTGAGATTAAATATGAGGACGTGTGATTCCTACACGCAGGCTAACATGTTTAGAATAAATCCCCCCCACCCCGCCCCTAAAAGCCACCATGTTGAAAGGGTAGTATAAAAACTGCCCCATCTTCCTGGTAAAGTGATCTAAATCTGGATTTGTCAACAATTTTTTCTTTCTCTGTTGAAAATTGAGCTGTATTCCCCAGGCAAGTCATTACATCTTTTTGTGCCAAATTGTTTTCATCTTTTAAATGACCCAGTAATCCCACTTTGGGCAATATACATAAGGGAATAATCCAAAAGGAAAAAAGAAGGCAATTTGTTCAAAGATGTTATTCATAGTGCTATTTCTGGCTCTTTATATATCCCCCTATTATAGCACTTATCTCACTGTGCTGTAATTATCCACTCCCCTTCCATACGCCTCCAAATTATCTTTGAATCAATCCCCAGCACCTAGCACAATGCCTGGCATACAGTAAGAACTCAATAAATGTTTGTCAACTCAATGAATAGGTAATATAAAAGAAATTTTAGAAGAAACTTGAATGAGCAATAACAAAACACTGTTTTTAAGAGATTATGCTAATTATTTGAAAACCTGGTAACTACAGACTGCAAGAGGGGCGCATGAGAAAGCCTCAGAAATGAGTTTTAGATGACTTAGTGTATGATTTCTGAGCATCTCTGGGCTTAGGCTGATTATAGTATAAGATTGCCAGGGGATACACAGGAGGATGAGGTCACAAGCTAAGTTGCTTTGGCCTGGTGGCTAGAGGATGGGGCTTGGTCAGAATTTTGGATTCTCTACCTGATTCAGCCACTACCTAACTTCTCCAAGACCTGAAAAATGAAGTATCTGCAGGAAAGCCCAGCCTGTTAAAAGGAATTACAGGGAACTGCCAAAGGGCAGCAACTGTGAATTCAAATGTAAATGAAAAAAGAGGGCTGGTAGGTGCCCTTGGACCGCAGTCCAGTCCTCAAGACAAGGAGAGGCTTTCAAACCCCAGCTCTTCTGGGCTCCCACTGAGCCTTCCAGACCCATCTCACATGGAGATTGAAGATTCCTTACCAGGGAGTTTACAGGAGACAGAAATCTCTGCATGAACAGACAACACCATGAAAAAACAACATGTTAAATACAGCCCATAAAGTCAGCATCACTCTGAACGTTCCTCATTCTTGGTGGGAAAGAATGTTTTACAAAAATACCCAGGGAGAGCAAAGGAAGCTGCACGTTCTGCAGGGCTTATTTTGGGGCGTTCCAACAGCTCTCAGCTGGGAAGCCAAAGGCAGGAAGCCACCATCCTCTGTGCACTGGCCCAAAGCTCAAGGTTAGAAACTAAATGGGAGAGGGGTGAGAAACAGATACTCTTTGGTCTTGGAACGCCAGCTGCTTATCTGGGCAACCCCCTAGGGCACCTATTTTCATTTCCCTCTGAGTATCCCAGATTCCTGCCCATTTAGCTCAGCATTTCTCTGAAGGAAATCACACTTGAGATCCTATAGACGATCACTCCCAAACATGCCCCAAACTTACCTCTCCTGCCCAACTTCTATGCCCTAGTCAAAGTTACCACCACATCACACCTGAATTACGGTAAAAGTCTAGCCTAACCTTCTTGCTTCTACCCTTGACTCCCTTTTACTATCAGGTTCCCTCCACAGCAGCTGGAAAGATGCCTGTAACACATAACCCATCACATCTGGACTCAGGTCTAAGAAGCTCAGGTCTCTCACTTACCACCACCTGCTAGACCCTATTCTTTTCTCCTGCTTCTTCCCCTGCAGCCCACATCCTGCCAGCACATCAGTCTCCTTCTGTTCCTCAAACACAAACTCCTTCCCACTTCACAGCCTTGACCTTTGCATTGACCGTCTCCACTGCCTGCAGTGCTCTTCCCCCAACTTCTACAAGGTGGCCTCCTTGTCACTCAGATCTCAGCTTAAACATAACCTCCCAGAGTCCTTCCCCACTCACTCACAGTCAGAATGCCCTTTGTGACTCCTCCCTTGGGTTACTTATCAGTCCCTCTTGTTTAAGTGTTCCTTTATCTGCCTCCTTCACACACCTGCAGCAGCGTGTAAGCACCAAGAGATCGTTGTTGTGTGTGTCTTACTCTTTGCTCTAAATCGAGTACTGGGATAATGCCCAGAACAGTGCAAGGCACCTAAGTGGAAACTCAATAAAGATTTAATAAAATTAGATGAATACATGCCACGGATGGAAGAAGCCTGACAGATTGTATAAAAGGATAGTAGCCCTGCACTGTGGCTAACATCCTGGGCTTTGGAGTCAAATACACATTGGTCACTAATGCCTTTGCCCAAGAGCTATAGCGGTTTGGACAAGCTTTCTCACTTCTTTAGGCCTTAATTTTCTCAAAAGTAAAATGGGGATAATAGCACCTGCCTTGTGGGAGTGTTGGGAGAGTTAGAGACAGGATGCTTAGTGTAAAACTCAGCACAGCCTAAATGTTCACTGTCATCAACAGTAACCTCCTCTTTCAGGTGAGAAAAGTGAGACTCAGAAAGGGGCAGGGCATTGCCCAGATGAAACATTGCATTATGAGCAGAGTTAGGTGGGGTGTGGTGGCTCATGCCTGTAATCCCATCACTTTGGGAGGCTGAAGCAGGCAGATCACCTGAGGTCAGGAGTTGAAAACCAGCCTGGTCAACATGGTGAAACCCCGTCTCTACTAAAAATACAAAAATTAGTGGGGTGTAGTGGCAAGTGCCTGTAGTCCTAGCTACTCGGGAGGCTGAGGCAGGAGAATGGCTTGAACCCATGAAGCAGAGGTTGCAGTGAGCCAAGATCACGCCCTGCACTCCAGTCTAGGCAAGAGAGTGAGACTCCATCAAAAAAAAAAAAAAAAAAGGAAGAAGAAGAAGACGAGCAGAGTCAAGTCAGAAAAATCATGGCCAGTTTTGGCCTACTATTCCACAGACTTAATAATTACTAAAATATTAGATATCATGCCACATATCTATATATTCTGCCTTGTTCCAGAAATGATCTGAGGTACCTGACAAAAGATGCTAATAGTTCATGATTTAAGTGAGAAAGTGGGTAAGGAGAGGAGAAAATAAAGCAAAGAAAGGAGAAAGGGATACAAAAAATAAGAGCTGGATGTCTCATACCATTTGCTAGAGGTGAGCTTTAAATTTAGCTATGGGCTTCCTAGAGCCCAATACAAAAGAAAGGAAGCATAGCTGCGTACAGCCCTTTGGAACACTTGCTTTATTGAAATGCCATAGCAAGGTGTAAGGAGGTGTCACCATCCAGTTGAGAAGCACCCTGATTTGTCACACTCTTGCCAATTAGAATCCAATATCTGCTTACTCCTGATCACATGCCATTCTTAGGTAAAATTAGTCTCCACTACTGACTATGTGACTTTGGGCCACTTACTTAATTAACCCTTTGAAGTCTCTGGTTGCTGTTCTTCTATAACATGGAGGTTAAAAAATAGTACCTAAATGGATAGACAAAATGTGGTATATTCATTACCACAGAATATAATTCACCCTTAAAAAGGAGAAATTCTGACCCATGCTACAACATGGATGAACCTTAAGGACACTACGCTTAGTGAAATAAGCCAGTCACAAAAAGACAAATACGGTATGATTCCACTTAGATACAGAACCTAGAGTAGTCACATTCATAGAGAAAGAAAGTAGAATGGAGGATGCCAGGGGCTGGAGGAGAGGAAAATGGGTAGCTGTTGCTTATAGGTACAAAGTTTCAGATTGCAAGATGAAAGAGGCCTGGAGACTGATTACACAGCAATATGAATGTATTTAACACTGCTGAACTGTACTCTTTTTTTTTTTTCTTTTTCTGAGACAGGGTCTCGATCTGTCATCCAGGTTAAAGTGCAGTGGGGCAATCTTGGCTCACTGCAACCTCCACTCCCTGGATTCAAGCAATCCTCCCATCCCCACCTTCTGAGTAGCTGGGACCACAGGTGCATGCAACCAGGCCCAGCTAATGTTTGTATTTTTAGTAGAGGTGGGGATTCATCACGTTGGCCAAGCTGGACTTGAATTCCTGGGCTCAAGTGATCTGCCCACCTCGGCCTCTCAAAGTGCTGGGATTACAGGCGTGAGCCACCATGCCCAGGCTTGAACTGTACTCTTAAAAACCATCAAGATGGCAAATTTTATATGTATTACACCAAAATTAAAAATAATATTTTAAAAAATAGTTCCTACTCAAAGGCAGCTATAGTGCCACAATAATTTAGGTAAAGTGTTTAGCCCTGTGCTTGGCACCCATTAAGCAACCAATGCTTGTCAGCTGTCCTTATTCAGAGTATTAGTATTCATACTGGTATTATTTACTCCAACCTCTTACTGTCCCTGTCCCTCAGCACCACAGAAAAACACCCCAGGCTTTCCTTCTTCAAGGCTCTCTCCTCCTGTCTCATGAACAGGGCTTACAGTCACCACCCAGCCTCAGCTGGTCACAGAAGGAGACAGATTGTGTACAGGTTCCTGGGAGTCCTGTGCAACTTCCCTCCTCCCACTTGCTTCAAAGCAGATTAGAGAGTCGCTTCCCCTCTCTTTAAAACTGGCCAGAACAAACATAGGTCTCAGAGCACTTCCTCTGCTCTATTACATCTGCCACCTAATGCCACTGGTAATAAAATGCTTCCCCAAAACATATTTCTACCATCTTCCCTGCACTGGAAAATAAGGCCCTCAAGTTGATCCGAGGCCAGGTGCAGCAGCTCATGCCTGTAATCCCAGCACTTTGGGAGGCCAAGGCAGGCAGATCACCTGAGGTCAGGAGTTTGAGACCAGCCTGGCCAACGTGGTGAAACCCTGTCTCTACTAAAAATACAAAAATTAGCCAGGCCTAGTGGTGCATGCCTGTAATCCCAGTTACTCAGGAGGCTGAGGCAGGAGAATCGCTTGAACCCAGGAGGCGGAGGTTGCAGTGAGCCGAGATCGCGCCATTGCACTCCAGCCAGCCTGGGCGATAGAGCAAGACTCTGTCTAAAAAAGAAAGAAAGAAAAAAAAAAAAGTTGATCTGAAACTGAGCTGACTACAAAGAGTTACTCCTGATGGCTGTGAAACATCTGAGGTGACGTAATAGGTCGGTGTCTTCTGGGTCTCTATCCTGCTTTGGTAGGCTTAAAAAGTGTGTGTGTGTGTGTGTGTGTGTGTGTGTGTGTGTGTGTTTAAAATCTAATCAGAATCAGGACTCACCTTTGAATGGGCATAATATTCCAGAATTCTTACAGCTTCAAGAATAGTGGTAGAGGCTCAGATGGGAAGCCTTGCTGAATTTCTCTCAGGGAAAATTGCATAATTTTCACTTCCATGGATAGAAAGGAAGTTCCACACTATTCATTCTGCCTTTTGGACAAGTGATCATCCCCTTTCGTGAAAGAGAAAGATATAGGGAGCAAAGGAGAGCAGAAGGTTGCATTCATACGACATTCACATGAACAAAAGAAGGGAAAGGTAAGTAAAAATCAAAGAACAAAAAGAAAAGAAAAGAGCCTCATACAAAAACAACAAATCTAGGCATCTGAGCCCATATATCCTAACGGGAAGAGGTCTGAACTAGAAGTAGGTTCTAGTCCTCAATTTCCCACCAACTAGATTAGTAAGTGTGGACAGTTCTAACATCTCCCAATTTCCTCATCTCGCAATAGAGGGGGCAGCTTAAGTCTAGGGGAAGGAGAACGAACTGAGAGAGAAGATCTGGGTTCTAATCCCACATAATGAGCCATCTGTCTTCAGGGCCTGGGTCTCTGCTGCCCATTATCTCACACTGTGAAATTAGACAGATGTGCTGAAAACTCTGCAGGACTCTTCCAACTCTGACAACTCATCAAATCTACACAGTGACCTGCACACAAGGTATTCCAGACCGTGGATGCTGTGCAAATGCTACACATCAACATTTTGCATACTCTTAAATCCCACCATAACTGTTTTCAAGCTAAAACTACCCCTCCCTACATGTCCACAGACATCCCGACATCCCTTCCAGCTTGTTGCTTTAGCCTTAATCATCAGACAACAGCACTCCCAAATTGTCTTTCTACCCAACTCAAGTTAGGCCTCAGATGAGAGGAAATACCTACTTTTTAAAAAATATACAAATATAATTTTTCTTCAGGCCGATCTTGTCTTGAAATCCCACTGTAAGAAGTACTCCCCTGGGAAAGCAGCTGTCCACACCCCCAAATAAAAGTGACCAGCACTCCCAGCAACGTGTCCCATCACCATGCAAGTGAGCCAGCCCACAGGCTGTAAGCCCCAGGTCTGTGAGCAGAAATGGCAGTAATGATGTACTCACACGATGTCCAGCCCCCACAGGCAGCTGGCCCTCCACTAGCCCTCACTCCCTCTTGCAGGCCCTCAGTCCACTACGGGACACAGCAAGGCGGTGGTCTCGAAGCCTGAAGGGAACAGAACTGAGACATTCTCGCCTCAGCTTCCAGAACAAGGGACAGAGGAATGAAGGGGGAAGGGTGGGGGCAGGGTGGGGGGACGACTTTGTTTCTGGAAACAAGAATTCAAATCCTGCTTCTCCTAAACCCTGAGTCACCTCCCTCTCTTCCAATAGATCAGCCTGGTGGGTAAACATTTCCAAATATGGAGAAGCAGGCTGGAGGATGTCAGAAAAATCACCCTTCTCTCTTCTCTGGCACTTGAAGAACATGCCCCACTTTAACAAAGAATTCCTTACTCGGAGTAAATTATTAACCGCTAAAGAAGTGGATTCTCAACCCTTCCATACACTGTCCTATTCCAGGAAAAAACCTCCTCCACCCCAAACAAGGAAGTGACTGGTCTGAAAGGCTTTAAGCTCATCTTAAGAATGAGACCATCCAGAATGCAACTAAATTTATGAAATAAATCATTAATTTGGTGGAGGGGAGATATTTTGGGAGATGCACCTGAAAAGGTCACAAGAATTTAAGCTATGGTTCCTATGATGGCAGGTGAGTCTCAAAACAACTCCTCTCGGCCGGGCACAGTGGCTCACACCTGTAATCCCAGCACTTTGGGAGACCAAGGCGGGAGGATCACCTGAGGTCAGGAGTTCAAGACCAGCCTGGCCAACATGGTGAAAACTGGTCTCTACTAAAAATACAAAAATTAGCCAGGCATGGTGGTGTGTGCCTGTAATCCCAGCTACTTGGGAGGCTGAGGCAGGAGTATCACTTGAACCCGGGAGGCGGAGGTTGCAGTGAGCCATGACTGTGCCATTGCACTCCAGCCTGGGCAATAAGAGTGAAACTCCATGTCAGCCTGGGCAATAAGAGTGAAACTTCTTCTCAAAAAAAAAAAAAGAAAAAGAACAGCCCCAAGTCTCTCACGCCCAAGCCCAGAGTCTCTTGGTCTGGGAGTCCTCCTGAGAATGTAATTTGGCATGAGTCCTTCATGGGCACAGACACCGGGCTGGAAGACTCAGAATAAAACCAGACTCTCAAGAGAACACTGTTGTCAGGAAAAGTGGGGGTGAATTGCTCAGTTTAACTTGTAACATGGATTCCAACCCTAAGGTTCTGTGATGACTAAGTTGGAGCAGTGAAGCCAATCAGGAATGAATCTGATCTAAAATGACTCCAGACTGAATTAAAGGAGGAGAAAGAGAGATCAGACACTAGGGGAAATGGTGTGTCGGGATATAGGAGGTGCTCCGAGATGGGAATCCAAGTACCACATCTTGGCTTCCCGGTGGTTCTGTTTCTTAGTGATCTCGTTCTACTGTTGGTTGTAAAGGCTTTCTGGAGGTCAGATGAGTCCTTTTTCAAAATCGTCACCCATTTCCTGGCTTTGGACTGCACCAAGAGGTTGCTTGTTCTCACCCCCAGGAAGTCTTCAAGCTATAAACAGCTCTGATCAGGGCATGAAGGACCCAAGCCCCAAACCCCAAGCCCAAATCAGTCAGTCGTTAAGATTTTAGACGAGTCAGTGCTCCTTGTGTAGCTTACATATTTTTCATTTACAAATTAGGCAGATATCTAGAAATGGTCCAATCATGTGTCCTAAAAGCAGCTTCTACTTGGTCTATCCAAAGGGTCATTACACATTCATTTTGATTATTTGTTTTATACTTAACAAGCATGCCGTAAGCAAACATTTATTATTTATTGTACATTTAATGAAGGAACACAAATATAAGTTACTATTAAAATAGGTAAGGAAACAGAATCAGAGGGCCTTCCACTGCATGCCAGAACCAGAATTCAGGACAGAGATCTCGCCATTGCAACCCTCCTCAGCGGGTGGGCGTGGGACGTCAAAATTAGGTCTGGAGAGCAAAAAGGGGTGGTCTTCATTCTGTCAGGAGCTCAGAGTCCCTTCCTGCATCCCAACAGGAGCATTCCAGCAAAGAAAGGAGATTATTCCATGGAAAAGAGCTTCTGGGAATGGTCTTAAGCTTTAAAAACCAAAGACCAAGGGGAGAGCCACAGAGATCAATATGAAAACCAGAATGAAATATTTTAAACGTACCCTCCATCTTGCAAACATTTGGAGATCAGTTTCCACATCCACATAGAGAGAGACCCTTCAGTTCCTTCAATATATGTGTGCCTCTCATCCTCCTAGCTCTGTGATCTCAAAATTAGAAGTGGCCATAAAGGCCATTAAGCCCAGTGCCTGCCCCATTGGTATTCCTGAGGTCTCCAGTGAAGCAAAGATCATTATCTCCTGCCACTGCAAATTCCATCTTTCCATCAGAAAGTTCTTCCTTACACGGAACTGAAATCTGGTTCCTCCCCGGCCTTCCATCCCTTGCTTCACGTTCTGCCTCTCAGGACCATATTTCAACCTATGTCTGTCTCACTGGTTTGGAATTTTTGTAGGTGAGTATGTACACTCGTTCCCTCAGTATCCATGGGGAATTGGTTCCAGGACCCCTGAGATACCGAAATCCAGAGATGCTCAAGTCTTTTATATAAAATGAGGTAGTATCTCCTGTATACTTTAAAGCATCTCTAGATTACTTATAATACCTGAGAATGCAAATGCTATGTGAACAGTTGTTATATTATATTGGTTTTTTTATTTGTATTTTTTTATGGTTGGATTTTTTTTTTTTTTAATATTTTCGAGCCTTGGTTGGTTGAATCCATGGATGCAGAAACCATGGATACAGAGGGCTGACTGTATATAGAAACAAAGCTATCCAAGACCTCATCCCACAGTCACTCTGGTTGTTCTCCTGACCACATCACACTGCTGACTTCTAATGCATTTTTTGCCAACTTGAAATCCATTCTTTTTGGATTTTTCCAGTGTGTTACTGCTAAGCAGTCCATTCAGCATATATACTGCTGGCCTTGTGGACTCACAAGTCATACCCTACTAAACACCCATCAGATGGACTTGTCTACTTTATTGAGAAACAACAGAAGATAGACCTGCAAGTCCAGCTGTTCATCTACCTCCACCCCACAGCCCAAGCCACATTCCCACCCTTTGTGGATGAAGCTCAGGGATGCAGATCCCATTCCAAGATCCCCACTCCTGTTCTCAGATCCTGCCAGACCTAAAACTGTCTCCAGGACACAAGGCTATTCCAAGCAACATTAAGAGAGAGCTCTGTAGGAAAAGAGGGTCTTGTCAACACAATTCTCAGAATAAGAAAGCAGCCAGCAGACAGGGCAGCAGGGTCAATTTGCTAATCACGGGGCTGGGAGCTTGTGATCCCTGACAACACCATTCTGAACCTGTGTCTTTCTAAAAAGAGAGAAAAAATGTTATTTTCTTTCACAGTTCTGATGGCACTGTTCGCCGTCAAGGCCCATGTAGTAAGTACAATGATGCCTCCCATTATTAGTGTGTTCTACCTTTTATTAAATGATTTCCCAGTCTCATTGAATCCCTTCCAACAACTATCCCAGGAGGTAGTATTATACCCAATTTAGTGATAGGAAGACTGAGGTTCAGAGAGGTTAAGTATATTCCCAAGGTCACACCAGCAATAAGGAGCAAAAGAAACACTGGTTTAGGAGACTCCAGTTCCAATTCTGTAGACTCCCTTTCCAATTCTGCTACATACTAACTGTTTTAACTCTGGCTAACTTTATTCTGAACCTCAGTTTCTACACCTGAAAATTGGAGATTAAAATAGGCGCTCTGCTTATATCTCAGAGCAGTTATAAGGATCATATGAGATAATGAGAGTGAAAGCCCTATGGAAAAGGGTAAGGCATTATAAAAGTGTAAGGGATTATTGTGTGATTACTTACAAATGACTGTGCATTCCATTACAAATACAAAAAGCAGTGAGGTCATTCGCAAGACAAAGAAACATTAAGTCTCTGGGAATTAAAGGAAAATGATTTGATGTTCTACGGGGTTATGTCTATATGCTGCTCACTCTTGCAGTTCAAAGCTCAGCAGCAGCTGTCAGATTTTCAAACTCCAAGTCACATATGTCTACAGGAAGGCTCAAGACAAAATCTCCCTTTTCAGCTAAAAGCAAATGCTGGGCCAAAAGGAGGTAATAGAGATGGACGTTTCAAAGACCCCCTGAGATTCTCAGTTCCGGAAACGTGGCCTGCGATGTTTTCCTTGGAGAAGCTGTTAGAAACACAGGCTCCAGTCTCTCTGAAATAAGCCCGTGGGGAAATAAACATACAGTAAGGAGCTATTTTCCAGAGAGCACTGAGGATGCTCCCAAGCATGAATTAATCAAGGGCACAAGGTATTTCAAGCTGCAGATACCAAAAAGCTAGTAATCTCCAACCCACTAAACCTCCCAGCCCGGCTCACAGAAGCTTACCCTGGAATTCTAGCATCCCTAGCAGTGGGCAGCAGGCTGAGCCAGCAGATGAGGCTCATTTACATACCAGGTCTTGCTGAAGATCACCTGGGGGCCGCAGGGGACCCAAGGAGCTCTGAGAGCAAGCTGGTCTGGCTTCCTTCAGGCCTTTCCCAACATGCCACTTGTCAGGATTCTCTTCAATTCCTGAAAAGAGCCAAGTCATCTCTGTCATTTGTAGAGGGGCCGGATCTTCGCCAGAAATCCATTCCCAAGGCTGACAAGCACAGAGCCCAGTGAGGTCTGTTTTCTGGTTTGCATTTTATCATTTGCTTCCTGTGCTGATCATTTGAGAAAGACACTAAAGTAATTTATTGCATAGATGTGTGAGCATCTACTATGTGTGCGTGCTTGAATCCCCAGGGATGTTACAGCAAAGAGCTGTGAGATACAAACAACTTCAAGGAGCTCACAAATCCAGTTCAAGACAGAGACTGACTGCAATTGAAGGACAAGATGTTGTAAACTCTATGAGTTCTGCAGAATCCCTCCCAATGGGTGGGTTAGACTTTTGGGCTAGGAATTAAAAGAGGATGGAGCAGGGGGGCACAGATGAAGGAACAAAGGGCATTCCGACAGAAGGAAATATTTAAGCCAGACACAGTGGCATATGTCTATGGTCCCAGCTACTCAGGAGGCCAAGGCAGTATTACTTGAGCCCAGGAGTTCAAGACCAGCCTGGGAAACATAGTGAGATTCCCATCTTTAAAAAAAAAAAAAAAAAAGAAGAAAAAGAAAAGAAAGATTTGAACCCCAGCAATGACTGAGAAGATATGACAAAGACCAGCAAGTTAAAATCAAGCTTAGAAAATGTGGGTGGAGCACGGTGGCTCACACCTGTAATCCCAGCACTTTGGGAGGCCGAGGCAGGCGGATCACCTGAGGTCAGGAGTTCAAGACCAGCATGGCCAACCTGGTGAAACCCCATCTCTACTAAAAATACAAAAACTAAACAGGCGTGGTGGTGTGTGCCTGTAATCCCAGCTATTCAGGGGGCTGAGGCAGGAGAATGGCTCGAACCCGGCAGGAAGAGGTTGCAGTCAGCTAAGATTATGCCACTGCACTCAAGCCTGGACAACAGGGCAAGAGTCCACCTCAAGAAAAAAAAAAAAAAGAAAAGAAAAAAAAAAAAAAGAAAATGTGTAGGTCACTAGTGAGAGAAGTGGGCAGATGGATAGAAATAAACAGAAGTTAACTCAGAAAGGTAGATTGAAGCCAGTTTGTTGTAGCCTGAGGCAATTGAATTCTATGTCTAAAAGCAGAGTGAAAAATAAATAAATAATAAAAGCAGAGTGTTCCTTTACTTCGAGATGCAAAGCTCTGATTATACCATTGATGAGTTTAAGAAAATAGGCTCTTTTGACTCCTCGCTGCCAAATCATAACAACGATAACAATGAAAATTTAATGAGTGTTTACTCTGTGCTAGGTATTATACTAAGCAGGTTACATACATTATCTCATTTAACCCCAGCAATGACCCTGTGAACTAGGCACTCTCACTCCCATATTACAAATGAGAAAACAAAAGCTTAAAGGAAAAGTCAGATGCTCAAATCTCAGAAATAGTAAGTGCAACAGTCCAAAACTAACTGCTTCACATAGCAAACTCAACCCCTTGCAATTCTAGACTGTACTCCCCAGTTCTGGTCTTCTTTCTCATCGCCCAGATTCTCCCCGTCTCATTTCTAAGAGATGAAATCCTCTCCACATAACTAGCATGCATAACAATCTTGTATAACAAAAATAACTGTCTCTGAAATAGTTGACAAAAGTTTATATTTGTTTCTGTCTCTCCATTAGATCCTTGGGATCAGGAACCTTGCCTTTCTTGTGAGCCGGTGTACACAGTGAACACTCAAGAGTTATATATACTTAGTCAGACAATGTCTGTGAAGGTTGGACCAGGAAGGTAACACAATACTAGCTATAATTTCAAACCTTTTTAGCACAGATATTGTACCAATCTCAGCAAGGTTCCCAGAGTCCAAAGGGGAGACACAACCAGGTTGCAAAATGCAGGTCAAAGACCTTGTGGCTCGGGACATCCTGAAGGTCCTGCAGCTACTCTGTGGTTGCAGGACCTCGAACCTCCAGCAGGTGCGCCAAGAGCCAAGATCTTCACAGGGATCTGGACAGATTAAACCTTTCCTTGAAAAAATGAAAAAGCCATGTCCCACTGAGACGGGGATTTGAATTAAAGGAGGTGTGTCTAACAAAGTGGCCCAGGGGTAAGGGAGCTCTAGGCTGAGAGGTCTCAGACCCGTCACATCTCGTGACTCGTGCTAAGCCACTTTGTGTCCCCTTGTGCTGAACCACTCTGCCTCTCAGTGTTAGCAAAAGGAAGGGTAGACACAGTGGTTTTTTAACTTTTATATGTAGCAGCAGAACTTTTCCTTTAAATGGATGCTTTGACAATGTTTAGCTTACAAAATAGGAAAAAGCAGAGCGACTCAGGTTGGCTCTAGCGGTCCCCTTCCTTCCTCCACTTCCCACCACTTTTCACCTCCCTCCGTGCTATATCCCTCAAGATGACTCCTGGAGTCTCTCAGGCTCAGAAGAGAACAGCTTGAAAACCACCAGCCTTCTGAGCTCTTCATAGTACCTTCCAGGTCTGATTCCAGTAAATTCCAAGGTCTGACATGTACCTCCTTAACAAGCAGCTCTGCATTTTCACCAGTGGGATGGGCAACACATGGCGTAGATGGGGTGCAGCAAGGAAGAAAGAAGTCTCAAATTAGAAAACTTACATTATACTCTACTTACAGCTGGGTGCAGTGGCTCAGGCCTGTAATCCCAGCACTTTGGGAGGCCGAGGCAGGCAGATCACTTGAGGTCAGGAGTTCAAGACCAGCCTGGCCAACACGGTGAAACCCCGTCTCTACTAAAAATACAAAAATTAGCTGGGTGTGGTGGTGTGCACCTGTAATCCCAGCTACTTGGGAGGCTGAAGCAGGAGAATCGCTTGAACCTGGTGGGGCGGAGGTTGCAGTGAGCCAAGATTGCACCATTGCACTCCAGCCTGGATGACAGAGCAAGACTCTGCCAAAAAAAAAAAAAAAAAAAAAAAGATTATAATCTATTTAGGACCTGTGTTCTCTCAAGCAAGTTATAAGCAAGTTATTTCATCTCTCTAAACCTCAGTTTTCTCATCTGTAAAATGGAAAATAATATTGTTTATCTACCTCCTAAGGCTTTTATGAGAATTAGCTAATAAACTAGTTGACAGAATTGTACAATATTACAATCACTCCATCCATAAATGTTTCTAGATACTCAAATGGAAAAGCAGGCAGTACTGAGTTCAGGGCAAAAAAGGTGCCCAATAAGTAGCAGGTACTGGTTTCTTTCCTCCCTGGCACTTATCAACATGTTCAATTTGAACCAACAACATGATAGCAAGCAAGAGTTACTGGAAGAAACACATTTTATGTCCCAAATTCTCTATAGCTCATCTTTGAAAATCTTAACAGCTTATCTCAGAAATCTTTGAAACTCATGACCATCTTACACTTCCAAGAGTGACACCCAAGACTGTGGAGGATAAAGAAATGTGAGTTTGAGAAAAACACTCCTCCAGGTCATTGGCACAGGAAGAAGTGTGAAACTTGGCATCCTCACTCCTGACTTCCACATCAACCAGCCAAGCGGCCAGAGAAATCCCATCTGCTCTCTGAGCCTCAATTTCCTTGTCTGTAAAACAGGAACGAAAACAATCCTACCTTCCCCCTCACTAAGATATTGTATGAACAATGAAGCCAACAGGTGTAAAAATATTTCATATAGCTCTACAACTATAAAAAATATTGCCATTGTTATTATAAACTCAAGTAAAAAGTTGAAGCACTGCAAAAAGTTACTTAGAATGTGTCCAAAACTTGAGAATCACCCCCCGCTACTCCAATTGCAAGATTCCCTGTTGCCCTCCTGAGTTACTGCCAAGATTCCCGGCACATCCTAAAGATGCATTTCATTGAGATTTTCCCAGTTGACTCCTCACCAGTGCTCTAAACAACACAAACGATAGCATCCACTCACCCTCAGGCCAGACTCAAGGCCTCCAGGATGAGCCCAATCTATGTTTTTAGCCACGTCTCCCTTTATATTGCTACAAGAACCCCTGGCCCCAGGCAGGAGTGCACCCTCAATTCCACAGGACTCAAAACTTGGCTCATGCTTTCCCCGCCTTGTGCTGTACCTCCAAATCTCAGTGCAAAACCTCTTTACTGCACAGTGGGGAAGTGAGCCCCTTGGGAGTGTTTTCTGATTGGGGTATGGTCAGTAGTGTCTTCACTGGCCCACCCCTTCTCTAAAGATGGCCCCACCAATTCCCAGTGCATAAACATCCACATCAAGATAAAAAGGAAGATGTCTGTAGCTCTTTGTAGTCAACAAAACTTTTCACACAGCTCCTCTTTTTAAATGCTTAATATCAGATGTGTCCATGGTGCCTATTTTACAAATTTTATAGTAAGTGGCTGAGCCAGTAACCATGTGCAAGCCTTTGGCACCAAAGCCTGCACACACCACTCTCTCTTCCCCCAAAGTGGGTGTAATTTAAACCCTGCTATAAGGCCAGGGGCTCATGCCTGTAATCCCAGCACTTTGGGAGGCCAAGGCAGAAGGATTGCTTGAGCCTAGGAGTTTGAGACCAGCCTGGGCAACATAGCGAGATCTTCTCTCTACAAAAAAGAGAAAAAATATATATACATATTTGATATGTATATATATTTAAATATATATTTATATATATTTAAATATATATATATTTAAATATATATTTATATATATTTAAAAATATATATATATTTAAATATATATTTATATATATTTAAATATATATATTTATATATATTTAAAAATATATATATATTTAAAAATATATATATTTATATATATTTATATAAATATATATTTATATTTATATTATATATATATTTATAAAAATATATATTAATATATAAATATTAATATATATTTATATAAATATATGTATATATTTAAATATATATGTAAATATAAAATACATTTTTAAATATTTTTATTATATTTTATTATAATGAAATTATATTATATATTATATATTTTACTATACTATATTAATATAAAATATATTGTATTACAATATGCTGTATTATAATTTAATATATATAATATATAATATATAAAATTATATATAATTTAATTACAATATAATTATATATAATTATAATATAATATACATTTTATATTTATATTATAAATAAATATTTTTACTATAATTTAATTATTATATAATTATAATAAATATTTTTATTATAAATAAAAAACATATAAATTGTTTCTCTTTCCTTCTTTTTGCCAGCAAATATATATAAAATAAACCCTGCAATAAAAGGTACAGGAGGTCTGGCTCCCCGGCCAGCTCCCCACGTGACACTGGACAAATCACTCTCCCTCTGTGAATCACAGTTTCTTCATCCATAAAATGAGGGTTCTAGAGTCACCTCATATATCCACACATCCTTTTCCCTCCCAAGAAAAGACTTCAGAAATGAAACCTCCATGAGCAGCAAACAAGGAAACATCTCACATATGTTTAGTCAGTTCCATCCCTGAGCTTCCTCTCCCAACCTCGAAAGCCCATCCAAAAAGAAGGAAAAGGGACCAACCTGAATATCAGAAAGCCACCACAACCCTACAGGACAGCACAGGGAACGCACGCGGCTGCCATCCCCAGGCAGACAAGCAAGCCACTCCCCAGGATCAACTGCAGTCATGGTCATAGCGCGTGAACCTTGTCAGCAAATTGCTGGTTTGAATGGCAATTTTTTAAAAGCTCAAGATGCAAGAGCATTGATGCAGACGACACAGTCTGCTCCCTACATGCCTCATGGCTTATGGGCCTCACACAGGAGTCCATGCAAGAATCTCTCTTTTTCACATCTCTCTTCGGTGTCAGCAAGTACTGCTGCTGCCTGACCACAATGTGGAGACAGTATCTGTGTGGCACGCCACTGTGCCCTTTCCATGTATTCTCTAAAAGTCCAAATGCTGGCTGCCAGGGCCCTCCCAGAACCACAGGATCCTAAATCTGGCAAAACTCAGGTACCCACTAGTCTAACACCTGTAAACTACAGTTTGAGGCATTCATTCATTCAAAAAGCATTACTGATGTTTACATGATGCATGGTGCCAAGACGAGGCTACGTTTCTGCTCTCAAGGACCTGCTCCAATATCTGAAATGGCTTCCCAATGGCAACAGGGGAAGTCCAAGTGCTTTATCTAGTAGCTCTAGTTTCTCCACAACCGGGACCGAAGCTTCTATTGCCACCATAAACTTTCTCCCATTGCCACTCAACACATATTCTTTGCTTTATTTAAACTAAACTCTTGGCTCACCTTGTCCCCTCTGCTTGACCTGCTATCCTTCCACTCCCAACACCAAATATCCACGTCCTACACATCATCAAGCACACTCGTAGTCTTCAACAGGAATGAGATGACCCTTTGGAGAAAGACAGTTTTTTATCTGTGGTGTCTTCATGTATTAAAGGACGTCTAACTTCCCTGGCCCCAACCACTAAATGCCAATGGCAGCCTGATCTCCAGTCGTTGGGACAACAGAAGACACCCCATTATGCTGCTATTTTGTCTTATTGAGATGGAATCTCACTCTGTCACCCAGGCTGGAGTGCAGTGGTATGATCTCACCTCACTGCAACTTCCACTTCTTGGGTTCAGGCCACTCTCCTGCCTCAGCCTCCCAAATAGCTGGGATTACAGGCATGCGCCACCACTCCTGGCTAATTTTTGTATTTTTAGTAGAGATGGGGTTTTGCCACGTTGGCCAGGCTGGTCTCGAACTCCTGACCTCAAGTGATCCGCCCGCCTTAGCCGCCCAGAGTGCTGGGATTACAGGCATGAGCCACCACGCCTGGCATCCGTCACATTTTTAAATGCCCCATAATGAGATGGTACTACCCCCAAAAGAGAATCACCGGATCACAGACTATATAAAACTCTCTACTTCTCAGCCCAGTCAGAATAATCTCTCTTCCCTGGATTTGCTGAGCCTGCTGTGTAGGGCATTGATCAACATCTTCCTTGCCCTGTTCTAACTGTGTGCCTGATTTATTCTCCTTCCCAGTATTGGCTCCCAGTGGAAGAATCCTTGACTTCTCTCTCCCCACATTGCCAAATCCAGCTCAGGGACAGGTCCATAGTAAGTGTTTAATAAATGTTTGTGAAGAAATTTTGTAAACAAGACAACTGTCCTAGGGTATGACTCCCAGGAGGAGATTAAACTGAACTGGAAAATTGCAAATCAACTGCTGTCGTCAAAAATAAGAACTCAGTTCAGAAACTGAACGTGGGCAACTGGCCTGTTTTTTCAGGGTATTAATTATATTAAGTTTATATATTTTACATAAATAAACAAATATTAAACATAATTTCATAGTGTAATTATATTACAGTGTTATAATTACTTATAAACATTAAGTATTTCAGAATAATAACTCCTGGGGATTTTAAATGGATAAGTTGGGGGTAGATATATTCTCTTGGCTGGCTCAATCAGACTATTTCCACCAGCTAGAGTGCCTTTCTGCATCACAGAAGCCGACTTAAAAATTACATTCCCCATACTTCCTCAAAGCTAGTAAATTAGGTTCCGCCAGTAAGATTTCCTTGTGTGTGATCTGGAAGGTGGAAGTGAAGCTGAATCTTCCTGCTACTATTTCTACTGGCAAGCAATACCAGGGAATCATGAAGGGCAAAAGGACACTCCATAGGCCAATCCAGTGCCCCATCACTAACTATTAAGATGTTGAGAAAAGTTTCTGAGGCCTCAGCAGTGGCTTCCTAATCACATCTTCCTTATCCCTGGATTGTGGCTAACCAGCCTGACCAATATGATGAAACCCCGTCTCCACTAAAAATACAAAAATTAGTGGGGCATGGTGGCATGTGCCTGTAATCACAGTTACTCGGGAGGCTGAGACAGGAGAATCTCTTGAACCTGGGAGGCAGAGGTTGCGGTGAGCCGCGATCGCACCACTGCACTCCAGCCTGGGCAACAAGAGTGAAACTCCGTCTCAGAAAAAAAAAAAAAAAAAAATTCTTAAACCCAGTAGCTCCAGTCTTTTCAATAACTTTGTTAGCATCTCTTTCCTGTTAAATTATACAGAATGTCTTTCCTGAACTTTGTTAGATGCAGGAGGGAAAAAAAAATAGATAAATTAACCGATCACTCATTCTTTATTTATTTGGCTGAGACCTATGTCTGTCTATATCTAAAAGCTTCTCCCTTGCCTCTGTGAAGGAACAAAAAATATCTCAGTTTAGTATAAGAAGCCAAATAGGGCCAGGCGCGGTGGCTCAAGGCTGTAATCCCAGCACTTTGGGAGGATCACCTGAGGTCAGGAGTTCGAGACCAGCCTGGCCAACATGGTGAAACCCCGTCTCTACTAAAAATACAAAAGTTAGCTGGGCATGGTGGTGTGCACCTATAGTCCCAGCTACTCGGGAGGCTGAGGCAGGAGAATGTCTTGAACCTGGGAGGGGGAGGTTGCAGTGAGCCAAGATCACGCCATTGAACTCCAGCCTAGGTAGGCAACAGGAAAACCCCATCTCACAGAAAAAAAAAAAAATCCAAAATAGACCTAGAACTCCAGGGTTACATAAGCAGTCGATGTAATCAGCAAATCAGAGTTACACAAACTAGTTTATGGACAATATAAACGCTAATTCATATACAATGAAGCATGGTTATAGCGTAACTACTGATCCTTTCCTTAGGATTCCTGGCTTGACCTTTGTTTTCCTGATTTGCCAGTGAATACTCAGCACCATACAGGTGCGCCTGCTGCATACCCTGTGGCTCTACCTCCGTGCAGCTCCACAGAGACGTCTGTTCCTCCTTTTTGGCCAAAAGGAGCCTCCGTTGTATTTTCCAACAAAGGCTCCAGCAAATTTTCCGTCCCACATGCTCTTCCAGAACTTGGCCACCCCACCAAGATGTAAAGTCTATTGCCTCTCCCCTTGAATCTAAGCGAGTTGGGGACTACTCCGACCAATAAAGTATAGCGAGATGATGCATCTACAGCTTCTTCCTGCACCTGCTAATGCTCACTCGCTCTCTTTCTCCCTCTCTCCCTTCCTCTCAAGGCTTGCCCTTTGGAAGCAGCCACCAGGCTGTGAGGAAGTCCAGGCCACATGGAAAGACCACATGTAGATATTCTGACCAACAGGCCTGGTTAACGTCTCAGATGTCATGTGAGTGAGTGAGCAACCATATCCCTCTAGCACCCAGCCTTCGAGTCTTCCAGCTGAGATCCCAGGCATTGTGGAGCACAGAAGCGTCATTCCCCCTTTGCTCTGTCCAAGTTCCTGATCCACATAATCCATGAGCATACTAAACGATTGTTGTATACCACTGAGTTTGGGGGTAATTTGCTACACAGTAATAAACAATTGGAACAAAGCCCAGCCCTTTCTTTTACCTTCACCTGGTGCCTGCTCTGACCATGCAGATGTGACTTTCTCATCTGGTGACCCACGTTTTTCATGGACACCAGTTTCTCTAGGGTTGTCAGTGGTGGGCAGAAGGGCAGGGGTGAGTTCTGCAACAATAATAGCTCTGAGACACTGCACAGTTCATGGGGAATGCAAATGAATCAACATAAACATGGGACCCAACAGCCCCAGTCGCTCTGTCTACCAAGTAAATGTGAGGAGGTGATGCTACCTCTCTATTACCTCATCTGTAAAATGGGCATGCCAATGCCTGACTATTGAAGAAGTTATGAGGATGAGATGAGAGGTCGTGTGAGGAGCACTCCACCCAGTGCCTACAATGTCAGATACCAAAGTCTATCCACCATACCCTTCAGCTGACCAAGGGCTTCCATCTACAAATGTGATTCAAGTCTACAGAACAGCACAACAGCTATGCTGCTCTCTTACCCAGCATCAAGCCCAGGCCCTTATACACAGCAGGTAGTTAGAAAACATTAAGCCTGTGCTATATAGCAAGGAAAGTTTCTATCATTTCAAAACAATAAGGTATATTGTTTAGGAGTGTGGTGCCTGGAGCCACTGGCCTGAATTCAGCTCTGTCACTGGCTGGTGGCCTGGGGCAACTTATCTAAGCTCCTTGTGCATTTGTTTCCCTATTTATAAACAGGGATAACAATAACACCATCCTCATAGGTTTCTTTAGAGGATTAAGTGAAACAATATGAATAAAGCAGCTAGAACAGTGACTGGCACATAGCAATCGCTTGCTACGTTTCACCAAGTGTGTAAACCTAGAAGCAATCTTAGGACACAGGTATACGAATGAGGTTTTACAAATGAGGAAACTGAGACTCGAATTATGTAACTTGTGCAAGGTCAAAGGTAGGGGCGAGATCCAAATCCAACTCCGTGGCCTTCCACCCAAATCCAAAGCTCTTTGCACCTCAGCATCCTGCTTTTCGATATGCACGCCTAATGGAAAAATGTATTTAACTAGAAGAGGGGAAAACAGCCCAGACATAACGGGGTTGCACCTTGGGAGCTTTCTGGGTATCACAGGATGATAAGGCCAATGTCATAAGCCCTGCCCTTCAGCACAGTCAGCTCCTGTGGGTAAAATTAGCTCAGCTCTGCTCCAGTGCCGCCTGGAGCCCCGAGGCAAAACTCACCCCAGGCATAGCATGACCTCACCTGACCCTCACTCTTAAGTAGGGTCCCTTATGCACCTCATTAGGGCCTGAGATGACTCATTGTGTTCTTTCCTGTCTCTGGTGCTGAGGTCACCTCTATGCTATACAGAAAGGCGGCTGTGAAGGAGAAGTAAAGATGAAAACGCAGGCAACCATTCTGCACTCGCTTCCTCCAAGGCAGCTCACAAGCAAGGATCGGAGTGCCTGCCTGCCATGCCAGCTGTGTACTGGGGCAATAAAGCTCTGCCGAGTTATATAACCCAGCTCAGGAGAAAATGATAGACACTAGCCCAAAGGGACTCCTGAGATTACCATCCTTATTCTACTCTGGTGGTGATGGTATTGAGCAGGGAATGGGCCTATTCAATATCCTTCAGTCCTGCAGAACATGGCACAATAACCATGACTATAGGGGTCTCCTCTGCACTGTCCCACCCAATACTACCCAAATTGAAGGCCAATCTTAAATGTCACCATTCCTTGAACCCTCCATGCTCCCATCCCTACCTGGCTAGAATTTTTATCTCAACTCCCACAATGTCTTATCTATACAATTTATTATTTGGCATTTATTTGCTCAACAAATATCACTTGCACACCTATTTTTGATTTGAAGATACAGAAATATAAAGAATTACCATTGCTCTCAAGGAAATGCAGCCCAGTTCAACAAATGGCCTAAAATGGAGGAAGCAGAGACAATAACAGTCAGAGGAGTATTCCAGGCAGAGGTGGTATCAGAGCAAAATCTTGAAAGGACTGATAGAGTGGGCAATGGTGTTTCAGACAAGGGAACACTATGTGTGAGGTCACGGGAGCTACAGAGAATCCCAGGTATATTCCTAGAGCACAAGATCATCTTGGAGATTAGTGAGATGAGGACAGAAAGAGGCAGGGGTCAAACCACTTCCTGCCTCTTTCCATTCCTGTCCCTTAATTCATGCAAAGGATTCTTAATTTGCCCTGAATGAGGAAAGCATTGAAGGATTTTAAAAACAGGGACATAGCATGAACAGATTTGCATTTTTGGAATATCACTCAGGAAGAAAAGAGAGAATAGGATGGATGAGGGTAAGAATAGAAAAAGAAGGCCAGCTGAGACTGCTGAAGCACTCCAGGAGAGAGATGCTGAGGGCCTGAATGGAGGACAGGCTCCAAAGGTAGAGGGAGGAGGGAAGTGGGCAGGACGTGTTACCGTGGTTGACTCTGTAAGACTGAGGACAGTCAGAGGCAAGAGTGAAGGACAGAGAGGAGCCATCCGGAATGAGTCCCAGTTTCCAGGATTGGGCGATGTCACTCACCAAGCTAACAATGCCAAAAGACACGGTGAGCCCCATGCAACTTTGGGATTTCCAACTGGAGTGTCCAAAAGGCATGTAGGAGTGTGGGCCTGAAGTTCAGGAGTTCCAAACTGGAGATAAACACCTAGCAGTCATGAGACAAAGCTCTGCAATGCTTGTATTTATGGGATACAAGAGAGAGCAAGAGCCTGCAAAGAAACCCCAAGGAGAGGCTAGGGAGGTAAAGGAATAACAAAACATCCAGAGACACTGGGAGTGGTCAACAGAAACAGCACCACCAATGCCAAATAAGAGCACTGCTAAAAAGGAATGCATCTGAGCCCTCTAGACCCGGACAAGAACAACTTCCATCCGACCAGAATGGGTTAAGAAGCCAAAAGAAGGTGAGGCAGTAGAGACAAATATAAAGGCAGAGGAGTAAAGAAGCGAGATGCCACGCTCTCAGAAAAGCATGTCCGTATAAATCTTACTTCCTCTACTAGACACAAGCTAGAATAGTGCTGTCCAAAAGGAATAAGATGCAAGCCACATATGAAATTGTTAATTTCCTGCAGCCACATTTTTAAAAAGCAGGAAATCATAGGAGAAATGCATTTTAATTTAACCCAATATATCCAAAATATTATCATTCCAAGAAGTAATGAACATCATATAATTTATTAATAAGATATTTTACATTACTTTTTATACTAAGCCTTTGAAATCTGGTGTGTTATACTTAACGGCACATCTCAGTTCGAACTAGCCACATTTTAAATGCTAAACTGCCATATGTCATTCTAATTTAACTTTGATGAATCAAGGCTCAACATGGCAGCTGGCATGCTGTGTATTTTTTTCTAATAATATGACAAAATGAATGGAAGGATGGATAGATGCTTGCCACTTCATTGAGAAATTCAGTAAACTCTCTACGGCTTCGTTCTCTTTATCAACTATACAGTACTTTAAGTTTCTAGTCTTGGGTTATATTATGAGTAGATCCTTGGTATAACTTAATATTAACGGCGTAAGTTTCATTCTTTCTAAATTTCCTCTGTTGCTTCAAAAATCACAAATTTCGTCAGCCTCTTTCTTTTTTCTTTCTTTTTTTTTTTGACAGAGTCTCGCTCTTGTCGCCCAGGCTGGAGTGCAATGGCGCAATCTCAGCTTATTGCAACCTCCACCTCCCAGGTTCAAGCAATTCTCCTGCCTAAGCCTCCTGAGTAGCTGGGATTATAGCCACAAGCCACGACGCCCAGCTAATTTTTGTACTTTTAGTAGAGACGAGGTTTCACCATGTTGGCCAGGCTGGTCTTGAACTCCTGATCTCAGGTGATCTGCCCACCTCGGCCTCCCAAAGTGCTGGGATTACAGGCGTGAGCCACCGCGTCTGGCCCAGGCTCTAACTTTCTTAGGTCAAAACAACTCTGTGAAACACTAGTCAGAAGACTACCACTGACACAGATCTCAAGCAAGCCACTTTACTCCTCTGAATGAACCTGTGTTTTCTACCATAGACGGGTATATAACTCTTAACTCTGCAAATCTCACAGGTTCATTGTAAAACTCACATGAAACAGTGAAAACACTAACAAAAGTAAGGTAGAATCCACAGGTACCTCTCTATTATAAAGGTATGTCATATGAGCTTGTAATATACATTTCAATCATGTCTACATGCATACATACATAATAAAACTCCACTTGGCTATCTTAATGTCAATATTTTGACTTCCAACATCATTATACTTCCCTTCTTCCCTCAAGAACTACAGAAGTTGTGGTCAACCTGATTTTCCTAGGAAAAAGAAACTAGGTTTTCCCTGAGTCATCGCACTGAGGTTAGTAGAACTGGATAGAGCTTGCCTCCAAAGTAGAGATGTAAACAGATTGGGCAGGACGGAGTGAGCCTGGGAGATGGTATGGTTGAGGCTCAGTTGCCTCTCTAGAGAGAGGACCCAGAAAGTGTCCTAATAATGAAAACATTTCTCCAGCCCAAACAACTTCTAAGAGCTGAGTGGTAATAACTATTTGGATCCATTCTGCCTTCTGGTGATACACAGAAATATCTGGGAAATTAGAAAAGGTGTAAAGCTGAAATGAGGACTTCTTATCGGCACAATTACGAAGTACAGAGGAAAAAATTAAGATGATCAATTGGATTCTTTTGCTGTCTAAATTTACCATCAATACACTTCATAAAACATCTTCCCTCAATAGCCCATGGCTAACTGACCAGGAATGAGGGCCACTCACCAACAGAGAATAGGGAGCTCACCTGACCATTCAGCACCCTGATTTTTTCAGGGAAGAAACAATGAGAACCAGAAGAGTACATAAAGGACCAAAGATGGTGAGTGGGGACTTGCCCATGTAACACAGCATGTCAGTGGCAGAGCTGAGCCTTAAACCTTGTTCATCAGAATCCAAATCTTTTGCTGGTTCCCTTTATGTGACCCCCAATTTTTTAAGTCAAATTAAAAACTATCCACTGACTAATCGAGCCAGATAAAACCATTGATGCATAGGCTGCACAGTGTAACTCCAGGAAAAATTTAAAAATGGATAAACTCAGCTGCAAATGCCATTTAACCCAAACTCTATCCTACTAGCAGAAAAAAAAAAAGAACCTTCTACTTGCTATTTCTCAACCACACATTTTCCCATAGCCAGCGAAGTTCTTATGGCAAAGCAGTCATCAAAACTAGTGTCCACCAGACCACACATGTGAACATGTCACCCTTCAGTGCCTGACCACACACAACAGAGGTCAGACTTGTGCAAATATCATGTCCTGTAAGGAACAGTGGAAAGCAGGGCAAGTTTATAAAATTTTGTTGTTGTCCTCACTTAACAAACACTTACATGGCACTTGTTGTATGCCAGGCAATTTTTTACATACTTTAGAAATATGAACTCATTTAACCTTTCCAATAACCTTGTACAGTAGCTACAATTATCATCATTCCCGTTTTACAGGTAAGGAAACCGAGACACAGACACAGATCTAGACAGCGACAGAGCTGGGAACTGAATCTAGGCAATCTAGCTCACAGTCCATGTTCTTCATCGCCATGCTATGCTGCCTCTCAGTGGATTTTGTTTTCCTTGTTGTAATGGTTGAGGGAGGGGAGGTACCAGAACGCCAACTTCTTCTTGTACAGTAATAAACATGAAAGACACACAAACCAACACGCTATCTTCAGCATAATCAGCACATTCTCTCCCTAAAGTCAAGTTATAGGACAGGCCAAATCTCAACCAGGAACATGTTATTGATTTACTCTAAGAAAGCCCTGTCACAACAGCATAAACACAAAATGTCCATGTGGTCAGCCTATTCTTTCTATCACCATCAGGAGGTTGTTTCACAGGAGTAAAAAGTCAAGTCAAAGTCTCAGGGGCAGCAAGGAAAGATGGAGAGAAACATCTCCCTGAGAATGGTCTTGCTGAAGGTATTGGAAAGCAGTACATCTGAGGCCTCGTCTTTCCGGAGCACTGCCGACGCCTGGAGCAAGAACTCTTGTCCTCGTTTTGCAGAACAGGATACGGACACCTCCAGTTTTTGTCACAACTTACATTTCTAGGCAAGAAAAGGGCCCTGTTTCTCATGGATGTCACTCACTGCAAATTCCCAGGAGAGAGAGGCCATACAGTGGAAAAGCGGAACGTTCAGACTTTGTAGTCAGATGAGACTGAGATCAAACCCTGTTCTTGCCATTGTGTGACTTTGTGCAAGTCACTTAAATATGCTGAGTTGATTTCTTAACCTGTAGAATGAGTGAAGAATGAAAATTCCTACTTCATGGAGTTACTGTCAGATTAGAAACAATGTTTGCTAACTGCCTAACACCTGGCATGTGATAGCTATTATTTAAAATAAAAATAAAAATGGTCTCATCTTGATATTTCCCCTACCCTGTGGGAGAGATTAAATGGATGTGCTGCTCTTTCTCCTTTCTTCCCTGCTGTTAACAGGACGACTGTGCTCACAATTACCTGAGCACAAAATCCCTTAGACCTGAACCCCTCAACTGTCCAGTCAAGTCCTGTGCTGTTTCACACACTGGTGTTCTTGCCCATGATCTCTCTTCTTCCTAGAAAGTTCTTTACCAAACTCCTATTCATCTTACAAAACCCAACTCAAGCATCACCAACCCCATGAAGCCTTTCTAATCGCTACCTCCTCTGTGCCTTGTGTGCACATCAAGTACTACATTGAGGATGCTATAAGATAGTGGTATAACCACATGAGAAACTGACATTCATCAGTACACAGAGATATAGCAACACAGGTTGCTAAAATATTTAAATATTCCCTTACTCATTGCCAAATAGTTTATGTTTTGAGGCTCCTAGTTGTCCTAACACCATCCCAATTTTCCCAATCCCCCCCTAGGAACCCTCAAACCTCCTCAAGATCCAGCAACTAAAGTTCCCCTCTGGCAGACCTAGAGTTATTTCAATACAGTGTTATACATATTTAAATATCGTCTCTCTGTCTGCATGGATAACTTGCCTACTAAAATCAACATTGATTTATATGCTTTTGGGAACAGAACAGATATTAACTGCTGGAAAAGATGCTCCTTGAGGTCCGGAAGCACATGACTCCCCAGCATCCAGAACACTCAGCTACAGTGAGCTCGTAGCAACGGCTGAGTTGATTCAATGTCTCCTATGCCTCCCCTCCTCAGCCACCACCTGGCTCACAGTGGACCTTCAGTGAGTGTTTGCTCACTGGCTGACCTGACTGCTGTGTTGAATCAAACTGTGGGGTCAGACTGAATTTGATTCCAGTTTCCACAGTTACCCAAGCCATCTCTCTGACCACTGGCTGCTGCCCCTCCATTCCATCCTCACCCACTTCCAGTGGCAAAACCTAAAGGCCAGCTCTTGGCTCCACACCTTTAATGGTCCTCTGATGCCCACAAATCAAATCCAAACTCTTCTGAAGATGGCAAAGGAGGTCTTCATTCTAAGAATAAGGAAATAACCAAAGAAACAGTTGTTTCCTCCAAGCACACAAAGCGTAGCAAATAAATATAAGAAGGTATCCTTTAAAAGTTAACCAAACTGTTAAAAACAGCTCCTTGTATTTTTAAAACCAACTGGGTTTTTTGTTTGTTTTTGTTTCTGTTTTGAGACAAAGTCTTGCTCTGTCGCCCAGGCTAGAGTGCAGTGGCACGATCTCAGCTCACTGCAACCTTGGCCTCCTGGGTTCAAGTGATTCTCACATCTCAGCCTCTCAAGTGGCTGGGATTACAGGCATGCAATACCACTCCCAGCTAATTTTTGTATTTTTAGTAGAGATGGGGATTCACCATGTTGGCCAGGCTGGTCTCGAATCTCTGACCTCGTGATCCACCTGCCTCGGCCCCCCAAAGTGCTGGGATTACAGGCGTGAGCCACCACGCCTGGCCCCAACCAGAGTTTTAAAAATGGTGGCACATCAAACTTATTCACTTCATCTTCTTTCATCATCTAGTGAAATAAGAAGAACAGGGATTATTTTCCTTCATTTTAACAATGATGGGGAGGTGACTTGCTCAACTTTCACAGTTGGTTCACATTATGGCCGGGGCTAAATTCTAACCTCAAGAATCTTACTCTAGAGCTGTTGGTTTCCTCAGATCAGCTCATCTCAGTGCACAATCTTATGGACTAGGATGTAAAAACACAACATGCAACTCTGTCACTCCTGCCTTCTACTGCTGTCATACTCTGCTGCTTAGCGCTTGTCACCCTCTGAAATATGCACCTGTTTACTTTGTTGTCTGTCTTGCCTCCTAGAATGCAAGCACTTATGAGACCATGGACTTTGCCTGCCTCCTTCATCACTATATCCCCAGTGCCTAGAACAGAGCATGGCACAGTTAGAGCGTGAAAGGAAGAGGCGACATGGAGTCAGACCCCACATTGACTCCTTCTCCCTCACTTACCAGCAGCCTAGCTGGACAGGTACCTAAACATCTCCAAGCCTCAATCTCCTCATAATTAAAATCCAAAGAATGGGCCAGGCACGGTGGCTCAGGCCTGTAATCCCAGCACTTTGGGAGGCCGAGGCGGGCGGATCACATGAGGTCAGGAGTTCAAGACCAGCCTGACCAACACGGTGAAACCCCGTCTCTACTAAAAAAATACAAAACTTAGCCAGGCATGGTGGCCCATGCCTATAATCCCAGCTACTCGGGATGCTGAGGCAGGGAGAATTGCTTGAACCCAGGAGGCAGAGGTTACAGTGAGTCAAGATCATGCCACTGCACTCCAGCCTGGGTGACAGAGCGAAACTTCATCTCAAAAAAAAAAAAAAAAAATCCACAGAATGACACCTACCACCTACGTTACAGTGTGTGTGGGAGGAGTAAAAAAAATATTGGCCATTTCTCCACACAAGTTATGCACCCAATACGTGCCTGCTCCTCTCCTTCTTTCAGTCTTTCATTCCCTGTCCCCCAATACCTCCTCTCATCAATCACCCCTCTTCGCTTGCAGCATCTACAGCCAAAAATAAACCCTTCCCCACCTCCGAGTGTCAGCACCCCCCTCTTTCACAGACCCTTTCTAAGGCAGGTGTCTACAAAGGACCCTGGCAGAGCTCACAGTTGGAGCCAACCACATTCTCGTGTCTGCCAAGTTCTGACCTACTTCCCAGCCAGACTGAAGCAGGTGACGCTGGTACTGATTCAGCAAGGTCTTTTTTTTTTATTCTTTTCAAATCATCTTGGACTTGGGACAGAACCCAGAATCACAGAGTTATGGAACTCAGAACAGAAGGGTTTACAAAGCCCAGGCCATCAGATACAACCCTATCATTTTATAGATGTGGAATTTGTATTCCAGAGAATGAGGTGTCTTAGGCAAAAATAAATCAGAATTCCAAATTCCTCAAATATCAGAAACCACAGCGTGGCCCCAATTATATCCTGAGAGAGGGCCCTGGCCTGCCTATCACTCTCGCACATCTCAGAAACTCTTCCTTATGGGCCTAGTGCGGTGGCTCATGCCTGTAATGCCAGTGCTTTGGGAGGCCAAGGTAGGAGGCTCACTTGAGCTCAGGAGTTTGAGACCAGCCTGGGAAACATGGTGAAACCCTGTCACTATTAAAAAATACAAAACTTAGCTGGGCATGATGGCACATGCTTGTAGTCTCAGCTACTCAGGAAGCTGAGGTGGGAAGACAAACTGAGCCTGAGGTGGTTGAGGCTTCAGTGAGCCTCAGTCATGCCAGTGCATTCCAGCCTGGGTGACAGAGTGGGACCCTGTCTCAAATAAATAAATAAATAAAATAGCACTGTTGGACCACATCCTCTCCAAGCTGTGAGATTTTGGATGTATGTGTCTCATCATCACCTCCAATACATTATCACCCACTAACCAAAATAATTAGACTGTGAGTCATTAAGCTTAGGTCTTTTCCATAGGGCAACAGGTACATATTCTTTTAGTATGATCAGTGTTCATCTATGAATTGTTAAGCTTTTCAAAGACAAGGATCCTATTTTTGTGTAATTATGTGATGCAGATTTCATCCATAACCATAGAGTAAATGTTGCTAGCCTGATGAAGTTTTATAGTAATACCATGGTGCAGGGTGACCAACAATGATGCAGCATCTTCAATACATCAATTACCATGCTTCCCATCACTATGTATTTCTTCCCAGCAGTCCATTCATTCTAACAACCTGCCATTCCTCAAACCCTTCCTTATATACCACGTGTAGAAGCAGTTGTAGATCTTGTAGCATATTCTCAATGGGAATTCCTCTTTGAGTTTTAAGAATGAATCTGGTTTTTCCCAAAGTCACCGAGAAACAATTCCAGTGAATAAGGGTGATGATCCAGTTGGAGATGATCATGCTGAATAACACTTCGCCAAATAATTGTTATACAAAGATTTTAGGTGACAAGAGCATCATGGGCCTAAGTCATGGAGTGTTGGCTGACCCCTGGGGACTCCTTTAAGGAGGGTGATAACTCAGTGAATTACTAGGCAGTACCAACTTTGCAATAAGTCCCAATACATTATATCTTCCAAAAGCTGCCAAGAAAACTAAATGTGCTGATTCAGAGGTGGTACTCCCCTCCCAATTCTTACTGCTCCTTTCCAAAAGGAAAAAAGAGGATCTTAAGTAAGAAATGCCAAGTGATCCCCACTAAAACCTAGCACCATTGTAGTCAACTGGCATATGTCCTCAAAGATGATGACACAGGCTTTCCAGTTTTCTTCCCCTATGAAGAATTCATATAAAATAATTTAATGAAAAGGCTTTATGCATAAAAATGTTCAAAAGAGTATTATTTATAAGAGCAAATAACTGGCAATAACTCCCATTCAACAATATGTAAATGGCTAAATTTTAAAAATAGTACATCCACTCAGTGGACTAGGAGAGTGGCTATTAAATATATAGGAATTAAAAAATAAACTAGAATGTCTATGAATATTCAGTAGAGAAAAAAAAGAAAGAGCAAACAAAACTGCCTGGTATTAAAAAATTGGTGAATAATATTTTAATAACATATCTGCTTCTGAATATTAATAATGATGACTAACAGATAATGACATTACTCAGGAGCTCCAGAAGAATGCCTCCATGAAAGCCTGGAAATATCTGAAACCATAATAAAAACACAGGGGTTTAAATAAAAGGAAGCAATTAGAAACTTTGTGGGAGGGAAGAGGGGGAAACTGCGTAAGAAATTATAGCCCAGATATGGAGAAACCAGTCCAAAATAAGAGAAAAAGTTGCTGGAACTTGAAGAAGACACACAGAACAGACTCCAAGCAGACAAGAGAACGACAGAATACATAAGAGATATGGTAGAAAATGCTAATTTTTTCTCTCAACAAAAACAAAATACAGCCTAAAATTTTAAGAAATAAGAAGAAATTATAATAAGAAGCTTATTTATTATCTATTTACTATAGAAATAAAATAAACAAAATGTAGAATGACTCTGAACAACTACAGAAAAAATTACAATCATCTATTAGATTTTGATGCTAAGGGAAAGTTCAGTCTCCTATAAGTGGCTTAAAGGTGGTGACCTCAGAACCCCAGAAAAGGAAATGAAACCACAGCACATGACTTAGCCCTGTATTAAGCAATATTTACCTAGAAATCATAATGTAAATATTATTTATTTTTTCAGCTTTTGCAATCAAACCACAGAGCACAGATGACTTAGCTATACGTATAAAACCATTAATATATACATGTGCCTATATGCATGTATCCATTATAAACCCTCGAGATGCAAAAGGTAACCTAAAACATTATTGACAAGTTGAAGGGTAAATGTGGAGAGGAAAAGTGGAGGGAAACTCTAATATCTTCATCTTACAAAATAGTGAGTGAAGCGAAACTGTCAAAAGTTCATATAGCAAAAGACTGAGATTTATGCATATTCTGTAAACATAAAGGAAACCACAAAGAATAAAAGTAGAAATGTAACTGTCAAGACTTGGGAAGAGAACTGGGAAGGACCAATTGGATATAAATAAATAGTCCTTACCTATCATAAAATAAAGTTTAATAGGCATATCTAAAACTAGTAACTCAAGCATGAGACAGAAGCATATTATTTAGAAATATGATAGTAACCACCAAAAAAACTCAAAAACAAAAAATGGTTACAAGTGGTTGACTATGGGTAATGGAACCGGTTTGGGAAGAGATGGGACAGGAAATTACTGTTTTATTGTAAACACTTCCGCATTATTTTATTTTTACTGTAAGCCTGTATTATAGCACCTTTTAAATTAAAAAAAAAAAAACTTAGAAAAAAATTATTTCAAGCTAGAAAGGATTAACTGCCAACAGCAGGACCAAGAGGTCACAAAAGTCAAATGTGAAGGGGCTTTCCTGGGAAAACCATTACAAGATGTCACTCTTTTGAAGATCATTAAATGCATGACAAGGTCGTCTTTTTAAGCCACCTAGCCCTCTTTTAAGAACTTCTCTTTCCCCTTCTCTACCCAAGCTCTTTAACTCTCTCCTAGCATCCTCCTATAAAATTTTCAACACTCTGTGCCCTTCAAGTCTCTTTGCTGGCTTCAAAATAAGAAGCAGTCCCTTATGAAAACTTGAAAATGTAAAGAATCCCTGAGGAAACCCCAAAATCAACAGACATCTCAGGCTGTGCAGCACTGTGGCCCAGAAGCACACCAAGGCCTGGGGGTTGGAGCTATATTTAGCAGCTCTGGGCAGACAACAAGGACTCCTGTTCCCTGGAAAGGAGGTAATTAAAGAAGGCAGATTTAGGCCTGAGGTGGTTAAGTCTCAAGAACTATGGCTCCGGGCAAGCCCAACCTGTGCCCTGAATGAGGAAATAGGAAGCCGCAGGCCTGACACTCCTTTCCTACACCAGCTTTTCTTCTCTCAGGTTTCTAAAGCCAGGGAAATGCCAGTTGTCAGCCTGATCGCTTCTTTTTCTCAGTCATTTAAGACCCATTTATGGGCACCCGCTATGTGCCAGGCTTCATGCTGAGTGCTGCAGAGAGGGGAGACATGAATCAGAACTTTGATCTCAGGCAGCTGACAGGTGAGAGGGGTGTAAACACAAAACATAACATTAGGTCAACAATTACCCACACCATGAGAGAACGACAGAAGGGAAGCCGCTGCCCGTTGGGATTCCTAGGGAGAGTGTCCAAGGAACCATGCAGAGGCTTGACCCAAACAAATGGAAATGATTGAAACATGTGAAGAAAAAGTAGCTTTCTGGAAGGTAGAAATTACACGGGCAAAGGCACAAAGTCAGCCAGGGTATGTAGGGGAAAAGAGAGTTATCCACGCAATAAACTGTGGGGTATATAGAGGGAAAAGAGAATTATCCACTCTATGAACTGTGGGGTATATAGGGGGAAAAGAGAGTTATCCACTCTATAAACTGTGGGGTATATAGGGGGAAAAGAGAGTTATCCACTCTATAAACTGTGGGGTATATAGGGGGAAAACAGAGTTATCTACTCTGGATAAAACAAGAGCGAGTGAAGAAGATTAATGTTCCTGACTTGCATTTACTGGACTCAGTGGATATTCTCTCCTTCCCTGCAACCTGTGCCCTACAGGGTAAGAATATTCCCCCCACCCCGCCCGCTCCCCGATTTCACAGATGAAGAGTCTGCAACTCAGGGAGGAGAAACAACATTCTCGAGGTCACAGAGCTGTAAATTAACAGAGGACAATTTCAAAACCAGGCCTCCTTGGCTCTAAGACTCAAGTCCTTTCCTCCTCTACCATCAAAAGAAGTATAAAAAGAAGGCGTCTCTGCAAACAGAGATAGAAGATATGCCAGTGGCCAGGTGCAAACACGTATCACAGTTCACAGCAGCACTCCCATTGGCTTCATTTTTAGGGATTTCCAAAATTTCACACTGTACCTGTGCCTGTGTTTCATAGCTCTCTCTTCTTACGTCCAAGACCCTGTCACCATCTCAGCATCTGGAGCCTTTCGAAACCTAGGTGCTGACACTGCACTGCCCCTTTACCTACACCAGCCAGTCCCCCTTCCTGGTAGGCCCTGCCCAACCTACATCTCCTTCAGGCTAACTCTTAGTCATTAACAGAGGTGGGCTCAGCTTGCTCCAGTCACAGTGGCCTCAATGCAAATGCTTATTGAATTACAAAATGTACCCCTGCTCTTTCTCTACTATCCTAAAAAAAAAAAAAAAAAAAAGTTTACCGGAGCCCTATTCACTTTAAAAAGAAGCCCAGGAGGCTCACTCTTCAATTCCTTATTACTCAAGGCTCACATTAGGGTCCGACCTGCTTTTCCCACCACACAGCTCAGTATGGTGACCCGATACCACCTTCCTACAACCTAAAGGAATGCCATATAGCCTTCAAAGCCCAGTTCAAATCCAATATTTAAAAAACAAATTTCCTGGTTCATTGAATGCATCCTTCGTGTAAGCTCCCCAGGCAGCACACTTGTCTCTCTCCCCACACTCCCTGGCACTGGATAGTTTATCTTTCAGTGACAGCATGCTCTCCCTTCCCTCCTGGATGGGGAGCTCCTTGTGGGAAAGTTCTCACATCTGGGGCCCAGCCAGAGCCAAACAGTGCAGGGCACATGGCAGGCACTAAGAAACCCCAGCAGCAGGACTCTCGGTGCTGGAAGTAGTCCGTGCAAAATCAAATCCTTCAGAGCCTCACCAATGCCCTATCCACAGATTTTTACCCAAAGTACATTTTATTGCTCTATGACAGAATCTTCCAAACAAATTCATATCTTGGAAGCCCCGATGAATTAGAATCCCAGAGGCACTGCGATGGCCAGTCAAATCTTCCATTTGATAGTCTCCCACAAGGAGGTACCGTGGTCCCTGCCTGAACACCTCCAGCAACTGGAAATCTTATACCAATTGATACAGTCCACTCCATTTTTGACATCTGCTACCATAGGTCCTTACACACTAGTTCAGTCTATCTCTATGGGCTTTTTGCTTAAATTCCTAGCAGTGGCAGGTTAGAAGGTATAAGCACATATCCAGCTAGGAAAGCAGTGTAGTACGACAATTAAGGTCATGGACTTTAAAATCAAGCAGAACTGGGTTCACATCCCAGCTTGCCACTTATGGGAGGCCATAAAACCTCCCCAGCACACCCCCTCCCACTCCCACCCCCTCCCATGGCTGTTACAGGATTACGGGAAATGATTCAAGCAGAGTGCCTGGCACAGTGAGCACTGGGTAAATGGCAGCTATCATGGTCATTAGTTCTATTCCGCTTTGCCACGTAATCAGTGCTAATCACACCCTTGGCCACTACATGAAGTCTGTATGCCCTTCCACAGGATGTCTTTGAAAAGCTTCAGCTGATGTCTCATTCTGTTTGCTGCTGGCTGGGCACAACTGGAAGCAAGAAGTTGACCGGGGGCTCCCATGACAGTGTCTGATACAGAGGGGACAGTGAAAAAAGAATCAGAACAAAGCTTCTTTCACACCTGCCTTTACAGGTGCTGCCCATGACTCTACAAAGATAAAGGAAGACACCAGATGTCACAGCAGCTGCCTGGGTCACTTAGAGCAGTAGATATTGATGCTCTTCAATGTCTCAAGCCTCTTCAATCATAGCCCCAAAGAGGACATAAGGAAGGTGGGCAAAGGTGGAGGGGGAATGGAAAGGATACTCCAGGACGTGGTGCCTGTTTTCTACACTCCCAGCTGCCCAATCAAGCTCAGAGATCCGAGGACAAGAGTTCAACCTCTTCACCCACTTCTACTTCCACCCCAACACTGCAGGTCAGAAGCAGCTCAGGTAATGTGAAGTGTGTCCTCAGGCAGATAGTACAAAATCTAGGTCTGGCCTTGCTATTAAATTTATGTGACCTTGGGATGCTCATTGACCTCTTTGGGCCTCACCTTTCTCATCTGTACAATAGGATGCTGGCCTAGACCATTGGTTTTTCACCAGCAATGTACAATGGAAACACTGAGGGAATTTTCTCTAAGTACTCTTGACCAGGTCTACTTCTCAGAGATTTTGATTCTAGACTGGAGTAAGGGCTGGGCATGTGTGTGTATGTATATTATATGTACATATATTATATATGTGCATATATTGTATATGTACATATATTATATATGCACATATATAATATATGTACATATATGTATATATATTATGTGCATATGTTATATATATATATTCAATTCTTTAGCTGGTTAAAAATCACTGGACTTAAAGATCCCTATGTTCCCTTCAGCAAACACCATCATGTCTCACCCTTGGAAGAATGTGTGTAAAGAGCTGGGCACAGGACTTGGCACATAGCAGGTGCTAATTAAATATTTGCTCCCTCCTCTATCTATCACAACCACTCCCAGCCAAAAACAATGGCAGCCACATAGGTCTCACTAGGCCAGATGGCAGCTGGTGCTGTATGTGAAACAAATTGTGTCAGTCAATTAAGGAATACCCATGGTCTAGTCACAGGAAGTTCCGACCAATGAAAAGAACGAGGTAGGGATGACTATAAATAAGTACATGATGAATATAGCAGAGGTGAGCTCTACAGTAATGCTTCTCAAACTTTCAGCAACACCTAAAGACATAGATTCTGGGGTGAGACCGAGAGTCTCCACTGGTAACAAGTGCTAAGTGATACTGATGCTGCTGGCCCAAGGAGCAAGCCTGGAGTTGCAATCTAAATGTAGGCATTGTGAAGGGATAAACTTGCAGCCTAAGGCAATCGTTCCACACAGATTTGCTGAGCATCTATTAAGCACCACTCAGGAAATGTGCTGAGGCTGGAAAGACTCACGAGGAGTTAGACTTAAGAAAGAGACATCTCAGCAAATACTCGCAATAAAATGTGCCTTAAATTCTATATCAGAGATCTGGCCAAAGTGCTGTGGGCATCCCAGCAGAAAGCCAGTAATTATATCTGGGTTGCCTAAAACAGAAAACTATGAGGACGCTGATGAAGTAGTTAAATTGTGGAAGAGAACAATTACAAAACAGTATGTACATGGCCAGGTGCAGTGGCGTGCACCTGTAGTCCCAACTACTTGGGAGGCTGAGGCAGAAGAATTGATTGAGCCCAGGATTTCCAAGGCTGCAGTGAGCTATGCTCATGCCACTGTGCTCCAGCCTGAGCAACAGAGAGTGACCCTGTCTCTAAAAAGTAACCAATTAATTTTTTAATTAATTAAATTAAATAAATTTTTAAACATTGCTTTCAAAGTATGTACAGAATTGCTCCACTTTTGAGGCTAGAACCAGGTGGGAAAACTGATATTTATACAGCTTACTAGCGAGAAATAATTTTTCTATAGTTAAAAGAATCTTGAAGCAGCAGCGGAAACAAGAGGAGGAGGAGACAGAGACCATGTATGGCCTGCAAGGCCTAAAATATTTACTACCCAGTCCTTTACAGAAAATGTTTGGCAACCTGTAGGGTAGAAAGATAGATACACAGATACAATTATGTAGCAAATTTCACACTGGCTGTTGCAAATGACTGCAGGTGGTTTTTATTTTCTTCTTCTTTTTTTTTTTTTTTTTTGAGACGGAATTTCACTTTGTCACCCAGGCTGGAGTGCAGTGATACAATCTCAGCTCACTGCAACCTCTGCCTCCCGGATTCAAGCAATTCTCCTGTCTCAGCCTCCTGAGTAGCTGGGATTACAGGCATGCGCTACCAAGTCCAGCTAGTTTTTGTATTTTTAGTAGAGACGGGGTTTCACCATATTGGCCAGGCTGGTCTCGAATCCCTGACCTCGTGATCCGCCCACCTCGGCCTCCAAAAGTGCTGAGATTACAGGCATGAGCCACCGTGCCAGGCCTATTTTCTTCTTTGTGCTTTTTCATGTTTCTGTGTTTCTCCAGAGACAACATGTTCTCTCTGAAACTAAGGGTGAAAAAGTTACTGTCCTTTGTGCAAGGCATTTCAAATTCTAATAATCTACCTTAGAAAATAATCATAGGTGCAGACAAAGAATTTTGTTAAGAAGGATGTTCGTCACAGTGCTATTTATAATGATGAAAAATTAGAATTATGGTATATTCTTAAGATGAAACAGCATACAGCCATTCAAAATTACATGTACAAACAATTCTTAATGCCATGAGAAGCTGCTTGTGCTGTATTGTTAGGTGAAGTGGCAAGATATGAAAATGTTTATATAGTAATATTTAGTCAGTAAAATGCAAATGCACATAAAATCATGAAAAGCACCACTAAAGAAAGAATATTAGAAACGTAAACAATGCTTGTGTCTAAATAGTGATTTATGAGTGATGCTCATTTTCTTTATACGGTTCCATATTTTTGAAATGTGTTACTATGACTAGGTCCTACACTTATAACACAAAAATACCACACATAGTAAGTTCAGGTTTGTTTTTGCCTTAAGTCTTCTTGAGGGAATATAAGGAGGTTCAAGAAAGAGGAGACAGAACATTCCCCAGACAGAAACAAAGGGGAAGGGCCCTTGGGCCATCAGGGCAGCATGTGCTAAGACACAGAGGCTGCAAGAGAGTGGGACCAGGGACACACTCAGAGTAGCAAGCACAGAGCATGACTGGCAGGGGACAGCCATAGCAAATCCTGGAAACAGAGGTGAGGTCAGACGAGAGCAGGGCAAGGTGGGCACGGTGAGGGATTCTGCCCACAGGCTACGGGAGGCAGTGAGTGAGAAGGCAAGAAGCCAGCTGGGAAGCCGAAGGACAAATGCCTTCCCAGACACCTTAAATAAAAGCAGAGTCAGGGAGCGCGGAAGCCCACGCCAGGGAGAGCAGGAAGATAGTTAAGTGTCTTACACTCATTGCCATTTACAAAATGGTTCTCCTTAATTTTCTTCAAACAAGGCTATGCATATATTGGTGTCTGGAAATGAAATTAATTAGTAAATCAAATCAATACATTCTTATTGGCCAAGCATCACTCACGATCCCTTCTGACTTCATCCTAAAAGTGGACCCAACCAACAACCCCCTATGTTGCTTCACAAGTAATTTCTGACCAGTCAGGCACAGATGCCATGCAAAAGACAAGGCCTCAAGGTGCCATTATCTGTCAAATGGACCCAAGGCAGGATGAGGCTGAATGAAAGAGGAGGAAGAGGAAGAAAGGCTCACTCAGGGGGAGAGGGGAAGCTGCTGCAAGCTAACTACTGCTCTCACTGACTCAGGATGCCCATTTCTCACAACCAGAGGCCACAGTTTTGGAGCAGACAAGAGACTGCAGAGAGGCTTGCTGAAGCTCACTCCACGGCTGGATTCCTGGCAGGATGAGAAATGGAGTTCTAGTAAACTAGAAGGAATGCTGCTGGCAGGAGACAGACCTCTCGAGAGGGCTTTAAATGGAAATATGAGAGCACGAGAGGAACTCTAAGTGTAGAAAATGCACTGGGCAAACAAGCGTGTCGCAGATGTGGGCGCCCCAGAAGGGAAGGAGCTCTGGAGTCACAGGGGACCCAAAGGACAGAATGTCAGGTGGCCCTCCAAGCCCGCAGGTGGCAATGGGAACAAGGCGGGAAATGAACTGGAGAGCTGAAGGCGGGGGCCTAGGAGGAGGCCGCAGAGCTGTGATGAAGGGCTGCTCATCAGAGGCACATGCACGGGTCAGATAAAGAAGCTCCGCTGCGAAGACAGGGGGCAATGCAAGGCCACAGCCGAAGATTCCATGCATGCTCTTCACGGTGGCAAATTCAAAAGCCTTGGAGGGCAGCATGCTTCTATGATAATAGGGAATGGGGGCCGGGGGGAATATGTAGACCCCATATCAATGCTCTCAAAACCTCTCTCTCTCTCTCTCTCTCTGTCTCTCTCCCTCCCTCTCTCTTGCTCACTCTCTCTCTCTCTCTCTCTCTCTCTCTGTCTCTCTCCCTCCCTCTCTCTTGCTCACTCTCTCTCTCTCTCTTTGTCGTGCTCTCTCTCTCCCTCTCTCTCCCACTCCCCACCTCTGGCCTAATATACCTGCATGTCCACAGAGGCACCAATCTGCAATGATGATGGACTCTCTCACCCACCCTGCTACTAGGAAACTTCTTCCATATATCATAAACAGAGACCAGTATTACAATACTTCACCCACTGCGCCAATTTGGCTTTCATGTCTGTTTCCTGTGTCGATCACAACATCCTAGACAGCCCAAACAAGGCTTTATTCACCTCTAGTCCCCGGTCCCTGGAACAGCAGACAATAAATAAGGAATCAACAAGTGTCCTTCACTGCCGCACACATTGGCTGTGAATATCCTTTTGCAAAGTGCAGAACATCTGAAAGATTCTCACATTGACTAAACAACAGTGTGACCTGAAGTTAAGAGAACCATAAAGGTAAATGATTGCTAGAAGTTTAATTCCAAACAAGGAAGAGCAATTTGATGCAATGGGCAGAAGACAAACATTGGGAGAATGAGAACGTATCCTCTTGAGTTGTGATGTGAACAAACAGAGATTCCAAGATCTTGCAAAAGCGAACAGTCAGCAACCAGCATGGTGCTTAGAGTAGTCCCTGGGCAACAGAAAAAAAACAGATAAATGAAGAAACATGGACAATCACCCTACCTGGGTCTCAGCGTGAGGAGGAGAACTAGGACTTCCAGACAGAAAAGAGGAGAAGCATGAGGAGGGGGCTGGGAAAGACATTTCCCTGTGGGCATGTGGTGCCCTCCACTGGGGCCAGAATTCCCAACCTGCCTCACTCTCCCCATCTGTGAAATTGGCTGATTCCCTGAGGTCCCTCCCAGCACTGACTATCAAGTGACAGAGAACCTAGAAACTCCAGGAGCTCCATCAGAGCCCTGACTACCTGTCCAAGTGAGACTGTGGGAGCCTCACTCTTCTCACACCTGTAAACTGAGGGTGCTGCAGTGTCAGCTATATCAACACTCCCAAGTATGCCTTTGCCAAAACCTCTATGGATGAGAAAGGAAAAGAGCATGTATGGAATTGGCCAGGGCTTAGAACCATCTTGAACATGACACACTTATGCACATCGTCACATCTTCCCAGCATCCCTGTCCCACCTCGGGCAGCAACTGTCAAAGTTCTGCCCCCAGGATGACCTCCCAGAGTCCTCAGGGCAGCTCCATCTCTCCAGCCCTCATTCCTTTCCAGCTCTTTGGTGTTTCCCTGTAATAAAAACACTGTGCACTTCTCTTTTCATGTTTTAACCATGAAGTGCCTTCCTCCAGACAAGTACTTTAATCCTTACTCCAGTCAGAATAGGTAACATCAGCATAATTACCATCATTACTCCCATTTTACAGAGGAGAGGGCTGAGGCTCACGTAAGACCTAATCTTCATCTTCCCAGGGATCCTCCAACTCCTAGCCAGGCCTCTCCCAGCTCCTAAATCAATCATGAAAGACTACAGCAATCACATCCAGTACTTTTCTGATCTAGTGTCTTTGCCGCTAAATAAAGGCAGAAATCAAGGTGGCAGGATCAATCCTGTATTCAAATCACTGTACTGTCTGCCACCCTCCTATGCTGGTCCAGGGAGCAGAACTGAAAATGTGCCTCAAGGCCCCAATCCAAAACAGATGCCATCACCCTGGACAGATTCTCCAACCATGCTCCAAGACTGGTATCCATCTCACTTCAACCAGCCCTCCTTCCCAGGCCTGGGTCTGTCTACTGGCACAGGGGGACCCTGCCATGAAAATGAGGGCATCTCTACTGGATTGCAGGCGATCCCCTCGCTGGGCTGGCCCACCCATTCAACCATCACTGGACCACCCCCAGGCCTGCTACCCCTTCAGACACTCAGCCTCATACTGCCTAGCTCTTTCTACCAGGTCTCTCCCTCAGATCAATTCCACCTCAGCCCCAAACTTGCCATCTCCTAAGCAGATTTATACTTCTTCCCAATTTCTATCCTTCCTCTAGCTCATTACTGCTTTCCTGTTGCTTAAGCTAAGTCTATTTCAAATTATAGCTCAGAGAGGGCAGGTGACTTGTTCAAGACTACACAGCCATTTAGTGGCAAAGCTGGGGCTTGAACCCAGCTCTCCCAATTCTAAGCCTTGTGTTTTTCCACTAAATCTCAGCTGTCTCTCTCTATCATACTGCTCAAGAAGCCACTGGTGCATGAGAGGGTGCAGACCACATCTTATTCTCTTTAGTAATGTGTACACTAAGGGCCAGGTATATGTTCAGTGACTTCTTGCAGTCCTAGGAGGTATGACTGTCTTTGTTTACAGATGAGAAAATGTTTTCAGACTACTGCACTGCTATACCACTAGTCTAAATACAGTTGTGAACACACAGCACTGGTCAATAAATGTGGGTTAACTGATTTTTTTTTTTTTAATTAGCTGAAGAGAGCCTAATGGAAAGACCTGAAAAACAAGTTTGTGGCCAGATCAGGCAAAGGGGGTAAGATCCAGTTATCATTCTGCAGTAGAACTAAACATAATATTGTTGCAGGACAATCTCTGATGGCAATGTGAAGCAGTCTGTGAGTCGGGGTGCCTGATTTTGACTCTACCTGACCTGACAGTGTGTGTGACTCTAGGCAAATCTTTTCTATTTCCAGGCCTCATTTCCCCATCTTCAAAAACTCTTTTTTAAATTTATTTATTTATTTTTTTTACAAAAGAAAGAAAGCAAGAAATCCCAGAAGTTGAACTAGATCATAGGTTCTCTTCAACATTAGTAGCACCTGTGAGCTTCTTAGAAATGAAAATTCAGGGGTCCCGCCTGATTTACAGCATCAGAACCTCTGAGACGGGGCCCAGTAAACTCTCCAGGATGACCCTAATGTTCCTTCGAGTTTGAGAACCATTAGACTAGATGACCTTTATGATCCTTCCAGCTCTATCACTCTGAGAACCTTATGCTTTCTCAATTCAACAGCATCAACTCCTCCCAATTTTGCCATTCTGATTTTGATCTGGCATGAACTTGGGTCATCTGGCTCTCTCATCTGGTCATGTCTGATGCTTCCTCCTGTGATTAATAGAAAAGGCCCCAAGAAACAGACAGTATACTCCACTGCACTTATTTTTTCCATTTACCACCTCAGTGGTATGCATTCTGTCACTATATTTAAAAAAAAAAAAATTAACATGTACAAAAAAGCCCAACTATGAGCACAGTGGCATCCTGGTACTATCCTTTTAAAAATTGGAAAAGGAGTTTACTCCTGAGGCAAGTCAGTAAGGAACTGCTGTATTATCTGAAAAATAGGACCTTTCTGAGCCCAGTGATCTCTTTTTAGTATAAAGCCAGTTGAAGGAATAAGAGAGCATTTGCATTCTACACCAGAAATACTCGTAGATTAGCAAACCTTTTCTTTCTTGGTCCTTACATATCAAAACAAACAAACAAATCCAGATCGACCTTACAAGTATAAAAACACATCCCAATGAGTACTATTTTCTCTGTGTTAACTATCAACAAATGGACTGTTTACTGCTGAAATAGTGCCTGAAACTTTATTGTGAAATGAATGAATGTGCACCTTCTCAGTGCCAGCATGGGAGATGTAAAGATAAGCAAGTTAAAATTCTACTCTAGGTGGGGCGTGGTGGCTCACGCCTGTAATCCCAGCACTTTGGGAGGCCAAGCAGGCGGCTCACTTGAGGTCAGGGGTTTCACACCAGCCTGGGCAACATGGCAAAATGTCATCTCTACTAAAAATACAAAGAAAACTAGCCAGGCATGGTGGGAGGCACCTGTAATCCCAGCTACTTGGGAGGCTGAGGTAGGAGAATCGCCTGAACCCAGGAGGTGGAGTTGCAGTGAGCCAAGAACCCACGACTGCACTCCAGGCTGAGCGACAGAGCGAGACTCTGACTCAAAAAATATAAAATAAAATAAAATTCTACTCTAAAGAAACTAAATTTGAGTCTAGTGTCAGCAGTGTCAAACCTGTCCATCCATCCAACAAATGTTCACTGTTTGCCAAGTTCCAGGCAGACGAGAAGGTCCTAAAGAAGTAAAAGCCCAAAATAAGACGAGCATATTGATAACTACAAGAGAAGGTAAGAAGTGATCAGTGCCATGCAAGCAGTACAGACAAAGGGCCATGGAACCATAAGAGGAAGTGATGATTTCCTGCTTAGGGGGGATGGGCAGAAATCAAGGCATGCTTCATGGAAGAGGTGGTATTAATATGCTGGACCTTGAAGATCAATTGGATTCAAACAGGTAATGATGGCAGGGCAGGGTAATCCAAATGCAGAAAGTGCTGCAACAAAGACAAGAGTGAGGGAAAGCAATGGAGATGAGGTTTCAGAAGTCAGCTGGCCCCCTTCAATAAGACCATAAATGGCAGGATAAGGAAGATATACAGGGTATTTATGTCTCCAGGGTTCAGCTCCTTCACCCAGCCTCCCAGCTAGAGATGTCCCTCCTCCCCCATCTCTCCAGGCTCCAGGGACAGAACTGTGCACCTGCTGCCTCACCCAGCATGCTGTGCCTTCCCTGCTGCCTCATGCGTGCGTTCCTCGGGTATCAATGCCTGCGCACGCTTCGCTGCACTTGCTATGCCATGTCTTTACACTACTGTTTTCTGTAATTTATAAAACACATACTGCCCACGAGTTTGTATTTTTAATTCCTGTAAGAAGTTTTGGGATCCAATTTGTGTGAAAGTCAGACTGTAACATAATGTAGTATTGTATGATAAAAGCCTCCAAGAATAAAAACAGACAGTATATCCTGCTTATCAGATACTCAAACACTGGTTCCATTCCTGAGTGTCACAGATTTCCTCATGAATAACTCTTCTTTGTTTTGCACCAGCTTGTCCCAATCTTCTTGAAATAAGTTCTAAGGGGAGAATTTCCTGATTTTCAAGGCTTCTTTTTCAAACATTGATTGAGAACCTACTACGTTCCAGGCTGTGCTAAAAGTGGGCACAACGGTTTGCTTAACTTTCACAGGGTAAAACTGTGGCATTTTGTGAGGGTTAAGTCCTATGAGACATTACTGATCAGTGAACCCACTTTACAGATAAGGAAAAATGAGGGGAAAGGTGGAGGAGCCTGGATCCAAACCCTAATTTTTGGGAGTCCCCGATAGTTGCTCACTCATTTATTCAACAAGGACAGGATCAAGGTATCTTGAAGATCCTTTTCTGATCTTCTCTGGGCTTCCAGCTTCTCCCAGCATTGTCACTTCACTTTTGGGGGCCTCAGTCTCTTCCCCTAAGAACAAGGAGACTCAATGCAGTGACTTTTAAGCCCTGCTTTGCTGGAGCCCTTCAGGGAGATAAATCAGGGGAAGAAAAAAAGGTGGGTCCCATCCTGCTCGACTTCATCCGCAGCTGCTCCAGATTACATGATTACAACATTATACGTCATAGTAGGCTTTTCTTTCTTACTTTTTTTTTGAGATGGAGTCACTCTGCTGCCCAGGTTGGTTTTTTTTGTTTGTTTTTTTTGTTTTTGTTTTTTTTGAGACGGAGTCACTCTGTTGCCCAGGCTGGAGTACAATGGCACAATCTCAGCTCACTGCAACCTCTGCCTCTCAGGTTCAAGTGATTTTCCTTCCTCAGCCTCCTGAGTAGCTGGTACTACAGGCGTGAGCCACCACACCCGGCTAATTTTTGTATTTTTTTAAATAGAGATGGGCTTTCTCCATGTTAGCCACGCTGGCCTCGAACTCCTGACCTCAGGTGATCTGCCTGCCTCAGCCTCCCAAAGTGCTGGGATTACAGGCATGAGCCACCGCGCCTGACCTGTAATAGGCTTTTCTATAAGGAATCCTTCTCTAAATATTAAGGAATATGGGCCAGGCGTGGTGGCTTACACCTGTAATCCCAGCAGTTTAAAAGGCTGAGGCAGGAGGATGGCTAGAGCCCAAGGGTTTGAAACCAGCCTGGGCAACACAGTGAGACCCTGTCGCTACAAAAAATACAAAAATTTATCTGGGTGTGGTGGCATGCACCTGTTGTCCCAGCTACCCCAGAGGCTGAGGTGGGAGGATTGCTTGAACCCAGAAGGTCAAAGCTGCAGTGAGCTATGATCACACAAGTGGGGGACCCCAGCCTAGGGGACAGAGCAAGACCTTGTCTCAAAAAAATAAGTAAATAAATATTAAAGAAGATGAAAGTTTTAAAATGATCCTAAACTGGGTATCCTGGACTAGATCTTGGAACAGAAAGAGGAACTTAGTGGAAAAGCTGGTGAAATCTAAATAGTTTGGAGTTTAGTTCACAGTAATGTACCAACATCAGTTTCTTAGTTTTGACAAACGTTCCATAGTAATGTAAGACATCAAAAATGAGGACAAGTGGGTGAGTAGTATATGAAAATTCCCTGTACAATTTTTACTTTTCTATCAACCTAAAATTACTCCAAAATTAAAAGTTTATTTAAAAAGACAACAATAACAAAAAAAACACAATCATTTAGATAATCTCTATTATCTTTTCCAAATCGCCATTTTGTGACTTAATAAGGGTAACACATAATAACAGTGGCTAATATTTAATGGGCACTTATCACATGTCAGGCTCTGTTCTAAGGGCTTTATATGTATTAACTCATTTAATCCTCACAACAAGATAAGTAATTTTCTTATTATTATTTTATGGATGAGGCAACAGAGGCCTAAAAATACTGAGCAACAAGTTGAGGTATTTTTGGCAGGCCAGAATGCAAATCCAGGCAGTGTAGCTCCAGAGCTCTGGCCCTTAAGCACTACATACTTAGAGCAGAGTTTTCCAGATGCTTCTGGAATTGGGCCTATCTAACCAGGAATAGCCAAAGGACTAAAGGCAAAGACTGAGAGGTGAGTAGTTTGTTTAATACAAAAGAAGAGGAAGCAAAAAGGACTCTCAAGGTGAATTCTTAGCTTCTGAAAATCTCTACTGGAGAAGAACCAAACCTCGCCGAGGTTACCAATGGCCTCTCCACATGGGAATGACATCCTTGGCCTTGTCCTAACTGTGTTCTGCCCTCTCTGGCATATCATCCTTGAAGAGTTGCACCACCAGCCCACATCATGCCCTCTAGTCGGCTACTTGCTGGCTGTCTGCTGACATTTTCATCCCTGAAGTGTCAGTTCGGGTAGAGAGTGAAATGAAACATGCAGGCTGTCTTTTCAAGGCCTGCAAAATAAGCTTAAGCTTTCCACATGACCAGTTTTCCTAGATACTCAAGAATCCACGCTGAGAACCTAGTAGTGCATTGCCCAATCCTAGAAAGCAAAAACCCCACCTTTCCAATTGATAATATACCTCATGGACTGTTGTTTCCACTAAGTGTCAAAAAGAAAGCATCTCACCTCCATTATGGGATCCTTGAGGATAAGACTTGGTCTCACTCATGGAACAACAATATGATTCCATAAAGAAATGGTGCTAATCTCTTGGAAAGATTTGTAGCTGGCCAGGACCACCACCCGGCAATCTGTGCCTCCATTGCAATCATTTGTCTTTGGGAGGTTTCAGAGTGGACAGCATCCATAGGCATAGCCTGAAGGGAAAAAGGTGAGGAGAGAGGAAGCTATCCAGATGGAGAATGAGAAAGGAAGATTTACAGCATTGAGGGTGTAGACAAGAAAGAGATAAGCTTGGGTGACTAAAAAGCAATGGCAATAAAAAGAAAATGAATCCAGAAGCAGTCAGGATGGAAGAGAACCAATATTCATGGAATGCCTACTTTGTGTAGGCATGAACTATGCTCACTGCAGGAGTTTCCTCATACTGCCAGGCTCAAAAGTACATGGAGGATCAAGCAATCCAGGGTGACTGCAGCTTGTGTTGACTTAGTAAACATTCAAATTCAACATTTTCTAGTTAAAAGGCCCTGAGAGTACACATAGCGTAACCCTAACGTTTCATACACAGATAAACTGAGACTCAGACTCAGAAAAATTCAAGCCCAAAATGGAATGAGAAATACAACCCAGGTTTGCCAGTGTTCCTTTTGATACAGATATGAAAAACAAGGAAGGTATTGCTGAGAGGCTCTGAAAGAATTCACTGTTACGTGAAATCTCCCATGATATGGCAGACCAGATTTGTAGATTATCCTCTACCTCATCTAGCATGTTCCATCTGCTGGTTGCTACCAGAGGGGAGGAAATTGGTAGCATTATTTTAAATGAAGTAGATGTCTTTCCAGGAAGATATAAAAGGGTACCTTGCCTTAGATGAAGAAGATGATTCAGATGAATAAGAATGAAAAATGAAGACACAGGTGATTCACCAGAATAAGAGAAGCTGGGGGGAAGGTAAGTTGGAGGAAGTGGTAGATGACAAGGTAAACGGAAACTAGACTGACTAGAATGATGCTGTTGATGAAGAAGCTGAGACTCCCTCGGCTGGGCATGGTGGCTCACACCTGTAATCTCAGCACTTTGTGAGATCGAGGCGGGCAGATCACAAGGTTGGAAGTTTGAGACCAGCCTGGCCAACGTGGTGAAACCCCATCTCTACTAAAAATACAAAAAAATTAGCTGGGCATGGTGGGACACACCTGTAATCCCAGCTACTCAGGAGGCTGAGGCAGTGGAATTGCTTGAGCCTGGGAGGCGGAGGTTGCAGTCAGCCGAAATCATACCACTGCACTCCAGCCTGGGCAATAGAGCGAGACTCCCTCTCAAAAAAAAAAAAAAAAAAAGAAAAGAAAAGAAAAGAAACTGAGACTCCCTCTCATAAGAGTGATTCACAAGGCAGAGGCTCTGCCCCAAACAAAGCATGAGAATGAAAATGTCTTACAGACGTGAATCAACAATCACTTCTGCAGATGGGCAGTCACGCAGTTGGAACAAAGCCGAAGGCAGAAAGTTCTGCGCCAAAAAATTCATTGCCTCTTACCTCTCCATATTCAGGCTATAATAAAAATTGGTCTACATTATATCAATGTGTTAGGGAGTCTCCACCAAATCAGCCATGTCAGAATTTCACTGTTATTCTGTTCCCGATGATGCTCTGGCAACCCTCCAGGCCTCTCTGCCTACACAGTCTATCTCCCGCTAGACCCAGCGCTCCTCCATGAGGAAAGGCTGTCCTGGTTACATACCCTCCACTCCAGTTAAAAGACTCTATGTCTAAAATCACCCACTCTATGTGCACAACTTTCAGACAAAGTAGAATTCTGACCCTGTATCATAGTTACTAGGGTGAATGTCTGAGTACCCCTTCTGGGCTGTGGGAGGTTCGTGGCCAGGGTCCACGGCCCACAGCAGCTTTCCCCAAAGCATATTACATCACTGAACCCAGGAAATGCTCTGGTACAAAGGGTAGTAGTGGGGTGCAGGGGTTCTATGATCAAATAACTTTGGGAAACAAACCTTCCGGGAGGTCAGAATGCGCATTCGTTTATTAAAGTCTCAAAATCCCATGGTAAAGATACACAATACTGAAATTTCCTTAATTTTGTTTAACTTGGACTTTTCCAAACTTACTTGGCTACAGGACCCTTTTCTTAATAAAACAGCCTTAACACTTTGGGAAATACTGTCTTACAGAATCACAGCATTCTAAAGGACCTTCATGTTCCTACAGCTGAACTTTGCAGCTTTCACACTGGTCTGTGTCCTCTTTAAGAGCAGGGGCCTTGTCTGAATCAAGGTGTATCCAAACACTCAGCTAAGTGCCTTACACACTGCAAGCCAATAATACGTGTTACACGGATAAACTAAACCCAATCCTCTCATTTCTAGGATGAGAAAATAAAACCAAATATGTCAGAATGACCTCTTTTATAGCTTCCTTAGGGTTTAAAAGAAGCCTCTCACAGAGAATGTGCTCAATACCTTTTGAAAAACGAAATGTTAATAGAATAGGATTGAAGAAAAAAGAAAAGATTGAAAAAGTTTCTCAGTTATACTACGAGCCCAAAGTTTCTATAACATGATGGACTGCTGCCTCTTCTCCTCTTTCACCCAAGTGAAGTCTTAAGTAGAAGAAAATAAAAATGATGAATCAAAAAAGGAAAACTGTAGGAAAACCAAAGGCCCCTTGGGATGGGAGGTGGGGGAGGTGGTGTTTGCAAACTGATGGGGATAAACAAGACTTGTCTGTATCTAATTTAGACTTAATAAGATAGTTTGCTGAATGTTAATTAAATACTCAGTGGTTGTTACCAACTGTGGTGATTAACTTAATTTTGAATTAAATAAGCAATAAATGCTTAACTGAAGTTCTATTAAATTTTACCCAGCAAGTGAGAAATATGAGGCTCTTAATTGACTTTAAACAAGATAGTTATGGCAAGTTAGTTGAATTTTTATTACCTGAAGATAACTGCCTTATTAAATCTAAATTGTCTATTTTATTTGATAGGGAAATATGTCATCAGTTCTTCTCATTTACCAAAAACATGTCAAAAGAGGTTCACAACTGGTCTGAAATGCTTGGCTTGGGATTTACTTCCTGATCTTATTTTAATATTAAGTTTATTCATTTAAGAATGAATTTAGACTTAAGCATTAGAGAGGTCTAGGAAGGAATTATATTTACAACTGAAGAACCAGGTGACCATGTTTTCTAAACCAAAAATCAGGACTCTGATTTTTCAACGTAGACACAGTTTAGAGATGTTCTTTAACATCACAATACTGAAATTTCCAGGATGTCGCCATGGTTTAAAAGGCTATGGACACAAAACATTTAAAATCATTACTGTTCAAATAAATGGTTGGCTCTGCTACTGAACAAGCTGTACGGCCCTGGGTAATTAACCTCACTTTTCTAGACTTCAACTATCACACATGTTAAATGAAGAGGTTGGAAGTCACTGTTTTCATTCATTTATTTTTTTCTTCATAGTATGTGCAGCACGTGCCTGGCACGGAGTAGGTAGCTCAATAAAGACTGAGAGAATGAATGAATGCACAAATAAATAAATTTAAGCAGCTCAAAACATTAAACATTTTTAGCCCTTTTATATCAAGCGTCTTCAGCCCAGACTATTTCTAAATATTGTCATATGACAATCCATATAAAGAGAAACACAAACAATAAACCACTACTTGGGAAATTTTTTTAGTAATCAAAGAAATTCAAATTAAAACAATAATAAGATATTTCTTACATATTAATTTAGCAAAGACAAATGCAAGTTATAAAATTAAATCCTGGTAAGTGCACAGAGAAACAAGTAGATTCACATACTGCTAATGACTGTGCAAGTCAATAGTCTTTCTGGAGGCTGACTGGCAACTGATCTGAAAAGTCATAGAAATAGTTGGGACTTTTGTGCTATAATTCTTCTCTGAAAGAACTTAAAACATATTTAGCCAGTCAGCAAACACTGGGTCTACCATAGGTCATAATTTGGAGAAATAAAAGGAAAAATACAGTGAGTGCATTATTAGCTAATGGGTTGACAGAGAATCCTAAAAAAAAAAAAAAACAACACACACACAAAGATAACATTTTTCAGTGGCACTGCATGGCAGGCCTTTGTTTTGTTTTGTTTTGTTTTGTTTTGTTTTGTTTTGTGGTGGTGGAGTCTTGCTCCGTTGCCCAGGCTAGAGTACAGTGGTGGCACAATCTCAGCTCACTGCAACCTCTGCCTCCTGGGTTCAAGCAATTCTACTGCCTCAGCTTCCCAAGTAGCTGGGACTAAAGGCACATGCCACCATGCCCAGCTAATTTTTGTATTTTTAGTAGAGACAGCATTTTGCTTTGTTGGCTAGGTTGGTCTCGAGCTCCTGACCTCAGGTGACCTGCCCGCCTCGGCCTCCCAAAGTGCTAGGATTACAGGCCTGAGCCACCGTGCCCGGCCAACATGGCAGGCTTTGAGGCTTTACTACACTGACCATAGAATACCTTCCACAATCATGTTATGTGAAAGATACTATTACACTCTTTTAGAGATGAGGAATTGGAAGTTCAGAGAGGCTAAGTAACCAGTACACGATTATATGGCTAACAATTAGCAGAGCTATAATTTAAATCCAAACCTTCTAACTCTCCAAACCATCCATGTAGTTTCTACTACATCCCTCAGCGATAACCACGTAATGCAAGACACAAAAACTGTAACCTCTATAAGGAAAAGTCAAAGTGCCAAGAAGGTACTCAATTAGGTGGTGGTGGTTTTTTTAATTTCTTAAGCTATTCTTAAAACTCAAGTCATCATTTATTACTTCATATATATTATTCATTCATTCATTCATTCATATGTTCATTCAATAAACATTTATTAAATTATTTATAACATCCCAGGATTTGCAGCAGATGCTGTGGATATGAATATGAACAAAAGCTAGAGCCGGACTCAGAGATCTGCACAGGCAGGGAACAGGAAGAATCTGGCATTGCGATAATAGAAAACTTAAGTCCTGGTTCAATGTTTAACTTGCTTGGGTTCTGGGCAAATCATTTAACCTTTCCCAGGTTCAAGCTTCTGATTAAACTTGGACAATAATAATAACCATCCGCAGGACTACTGGTATGATTTACCTGTAATTTGTAGGAAAACACATGTTTCCATAAAGCCCTATAAGAAATGGCAACAGCAAGATAAGTATTATGCTATGTGGATGGTCCATTTTGACCAGGATCCTGCAAGCTGAGCCAGCTACCAATATCTCCCACATGAGTGAGCATTAATTTATTGGCAACGAAATGGTTGTTCCATCACTACTCTGAATGAACTACAGGCCACCATTCTTAGAGCTCAATCATCCATTTTTAACTCTCTCTGCCTTTTGTCTAAAATAATCCTGAGGAGCCAAATGGATAAAGCATTCCCAGATAAGACTGTTATAAGTCTCTTTTCCCAGGAATTAAATTTAAAAAACAAAAAGAAAGAAGAAGAAGAAAGAAGAAAAAAAAAAATCAGGGTTGATAGGTCTTAAAGACCTCGCAGAGGAGTTTTCAACCAATGCCTGAACTTTCACGGTAACAGTTCAGTCAGTCACTGCTTGAATATCTCCAGCAATTAGAGATTCAGTAACTCCAGAAAGAGCCATCTCATCTCATTCAGAATTAAGAGATGTCACAGAATCCTTACAAGATAAAAAAGGGTGGAGATCTTCCTTGACAAGCAGTTCTCTCAAAAGCCGTATGTTCCGTCACCCGTCTAAGACACTGGGCAGACGAGATCACCTCAGTGTTACGCTGGGACCAGGGCTGTGAACTTTGCACGTGTAATTTTCTTAGGTGCTGAGTCTCCCCTTATGCAAAATGAGAAGACTCTGTGACTTCTATTCTATCTGTGAGTCATCTCTCATATCGACTGCCTCAACCCTAATTCGGTTTTGCTTTATCATTTGCCTGGGCTATTGTAGCAGCTCAGACAGCTCCTGCTGTCTCTAGCACCCTTGCCTTCAATCCGTCTAGCACACTATAGCTGATTATTTTCTTAAGGCACAGATCCAGTCATCTCATTGATCTACTCAATGCTCCTTTCAGAATGCAGTCTCAACTTCTCAGTACAGCAATAAAGGTTTCTCTCAATGTAGACCCTAACCCATCTCCACAGCCTCTCTACTATGCAGTCCACCTTCATGACTCTAATTTTTCAAGGCACCATGCACTTTCTCACCTCCATGTCTCTATCCATGTTATGTCTCCCACTTAAATATCCTCTATCCCACCAAACAAATTCCCACTTACCCTTCAATGCCCAATCAAATGACAATCTCTTTATCTGAGTTTCCCCAGGTCCCTAGGGAGTTACCATCCAATTAGAGCCATCAGACTTTTTTTTTTTTCCTGACAGACAGAGTCTATTCTGTAACCCCAGCTGGAGTGCAGTGGTATGATCATAGCTCACTGCAGCCTCAAATTCTGGAGCTCAAGGGATCCTCCCGCCTCAGCCTCTTGAGCAGCTAGGACTATAGGCATGCACTACCACACTGGCTAATTTTTTTATTTTTATTTTTTTAGAGATGGGATCTTGCTATATTACCCAGGATGGTCTTGAACTCCGGGCCTCAAGTGATCCTCCTGCCTCGGCCTCCCAAAGTACCGGGATTACAATGTGAGCTACTGCACCTAGCCCCTTCAGGTATTTTTTGCATATACTTCTACATACTGTCTTGATGATTTATGTGACCTCTTGCAAGCAGAGACCACACTGCATTCACGTTTCCATCGTCGAAACCCAGAGTAACATATCACTAATTCTTTCACAGATGCACCTGATACACGATGTCAAATGAATACACAAATGTATCAAATTTATGGAAAGAATGTTATCTTTAGGGTCCTGTCCAGCTGTCACTACTGGAACCCTAGATATTCTCCAGGTAAAGCTATTAAACTATGACCAAGAAGAGAGACTTCCAGGGTGACAATGACCACCTACTGGAACACTGACCTATCTTTCACCTCATTCTAAGAAAAGGTGTCACTTACCTGCCTGGCCAGGGCAGAGTTTGCCTTTCCCATGAGTCAGGGCACACCCAGCCCTGTGGGTGGCAACTCTTTATTGCACTTCCTGAAAATGATTCGTTTTCATACCAAACAAGACAGAAGCTCCAGGTGCCAACCAAGTTATTTTCTTCCTTGAACTAAACAAGAACCATCTTCAGTGGAAATTCACTAGGAAGTACAAGTGCAGATGACTCTGCATAATGGAAATGAATTTCCACTGTGACCTCTTGGCACAGAGTTTAGTAGAGCATTAGGCTTCCACGGTTACAGCTAGAGATCATTATCAAGATGGGCCACTGGATGGAAAATAATAGATTCAGGGACCCAGCTAAAGTACACACATGAACAGAGAACCAATCTTATTCCTTAACTCTCAGTAGCCAGAGCAATTCAGCTGCCTGCTGAATCCTGGTCTAAGCCTTCCCATCCTTCAATGTCTAACTGAAGGCTCAGCACTTCCAAAAGGCTCCAGCAATTCACAAGTCCATCAGTCCTTCACATGCGCCTCTCCCACGGCACTCTCTTATATTATAGATATACATTAACATGATTTTATCAACCCTCATAAATAGTAAGTGCTTACGATCTTGACATACCCTTCAAACAAACTTAAATTCCACTTCTATAAATGTAGTTTATTCAGCAGACTTTTTTTTTTTTTTTTGGAGACAGAGTCTTGCTCTATTGCCCAGGCTGGAGTGCAGTGGTGCCATCCTGGCTCACTGCAACCTCAGCCTCCTGGGTTCAAGCGATTCTCCTGCCTCAGCCTCCCGAGTAGCTGGGATTACAGGCGCCCACTACCACACCTGGCTAATTTTTTTTTTTTTTGTATATTTAGTAGAGACGAGGTTAAATCATGTTGACCAGGCTGGTCTCAAACTCCTGACCTCACGTGATCCACCCAACTCAGTCTCCCAAAGTGCTGGGACTACAGGCGTGAGCCACCATGCCTGGCCACTCAGCAGACATTTCTTGAGCACCTAGCACCCCCTCTAACAAAAACAGTGGATGTTTGTTGAGTCCTTGCCTTATGCCTGGCCTTATGCACATTATTTACACTACCTCACTCAATATTCACCTATAAGTAGGGTGACCATATAACGTATCCTCCGAATCAGGACACCTATGAGAGTAAAAAGGAACACTACTGATACCACTGAAGTCCTCTGCAAGTTGACAGTTGCGCTGCTGGGTGGTGGCCTGAGTAATTAAGGGACACTAACAATGGCTTCAGCAGGAAGGGTGCATGCTGGAGGCAGGTCAAAGCATCCTCCTTTAAGGTCAGTGACCCTGCCCTGTCCTGATCCTCATGCTTATCCAGCCCATGAAAGGTTCCCACACAAGTTTCTGAAGAAGACCTGGTTTCACCTTCAACACCAGCTTTCCATTTGAACTACAGAGGGATCTCCAGCTATGATGCAAAGTCACAACACAAGCAATTACAACAGTAGAAGCAGACCCTCCACGGGTAACAGATACAAACAGTGCAAACAAAACCCAAGAGAAGGTGGGATGGTGGCAGTGGAAGAAGGGACACTGCACAGCCATCCACTGGTGACAAATCAGCGCACAACCTGGAAATGCCCGTGAATGTCTGTGGCACTCATCCCACTTTTGCGGGCACACTATACTCAACTGTGGTGACCTCATTAATAAGAGATCTAAAAATGAATACGTGGAGAAAACAAATAGTGCCTGTGACCACCAAGGGAGCACCCTGTATTAAACAGCACAACGAGGACTTGAACTAGGAGTTGTCTAGGTCTAAATCCTTTCAGCCCCACAAGCACAGTAAGGTGTCATCACTGTGTGCCAGATGCCCCGCTGGGCACCCAGAATCGGACACATGTACAGACTGCATTACCACTGACAAAGCGCCATCACAGAAATGCCCCTGATTCTCACAAATGCATTGTGATAGATCACAGGATCTCCATTGAAAGGTAATTTAGGCTCAGGGATGTTCCAGAACTTGTTCAAGATCACAGGGCTTGTGGTTAGCCCAAACATAGGTCTTTGTTTTCCCTACACCAAAAATCACCACTATTGCCAAAATGATCCGGTATGGTGAAGCCCAGATCTTTGAACTCCCTGTCCCAAATCTGATTTTTAGTCTTGCCTTCCAAAGCCTTGAATATAGTCACCTAATGCTACTAATTAGTACTAGTGAAATAATAATAACTACTTCTCACCTGTGTAAAGGGCTTGCAGGGATGTTCACATCAACTATGCTCATTTGCAAAAGTTAAGGAACAAGACAGGAGTTTTGGAGAGGGGGGTTTGATTCTCACTCTGCCACTTAAGGCCCTGCACCCCAGTTAGGAAAGTTTTATGACCCTTGAACTCCCGACCAATATCTGCAAGATAAGACTGATCTAGCCAACTTGTCTCTTGCATTATATTTGGGAACAAAGTAATACAAATGATTATAAAATGTATTTGCTACATTAAAAGTGCTATGAAGGCTATGAAATACTCATGGTTTCTGTGAGATACATTGTGATGGGCAGGTTCAATAGGGAAGACAAACACAGGAGGATCTACCTTGTAATGGATCTAAAACTATTGCCTAAAAACTTCTAGGCAAGCAAAAATAAGTAAATATTAATGGAGAATGGTAGAGAGCAGGGGCAGGGAGCTGTCAAAAGCAAGGAACCTTGATATTAGCATGGAAGCATAGCTTGGTTCTCACAAACAAGCATCAATGGCAGCCATCCATGGCAGTTACATAAATAAATCGCCAGACCACACACACTCAAACTGAACCATCTTAATCTGATTGCTTTCTAAGTATGAAGCGCAAGTTTCAAGCCTAAGATACCATAATTTCCAAGTTACATCCTCTCCTAAAATTCTCCAAAGCAGAGAAACCCCTAGTGGAGGGTGGAGTGGGGAAGGAAGGTGTGAGGTACAGCAGAAATTGAGAATGAAAAATACCTGGAAACAGGGCTGGCCTAGGAGTAAAGGCTGTGACCCAACTCCACTTCAGCTGACAAGGGTGTGATTGAGCAGCTCTGTCCCTTTTCTGGGGCCTCAGTTTCCTCATCTGTATAACAAGGGATCAGCTCACTCTGGCCAAGAAGGCCCCAGTCCATGCTTGGCTGGCAGCTTGCTGCTTCTCCTGTTGACTACAAACTTTGGTGTACATTAAAAAAATTCTTTTCCCCAGCCAAGATGGATAAGCTGTCAAACAATTAGAAGGACAAAAGTAGGAATTAAGCTACCTGATATTATTCTAGCAGCAAACAGTTTCTGGAATCCATTTTTCCCTCCGTACGCTGCTGACCCGATACAGGCCCATTTCTCCTGTCCTGGAATACTTCAGCAGCCTTCTAAGCTGGGACTCTGCCTCTGGTCTTAACCTGCCCTCAGTCTGCCACCAGAGCTCTTTGAAATACAGATCCAACAAGGCCCTCCTTTGCTCAAAATATAATAATAATAAAAGCCTTCCTGCTCCCTCCCACCTCTGCCATCATCCTTAGCTTGGCCCATCAGCTCTTTATCAACTAACCCTCCCTAGCCAGCCCCATCTCCCACAGTGATCTCCAAACACACATTTATATTCCTCAAATACTTTTAGGCCTCAGGCCTGTGCACATACACCAAGGTCCCTATGGCTAGAAAGCTCTTCCACTCCTATCCACCATGTAAACTCCTATTCACTTCTCAAAACCCAACCAAATGTCTTCTTTTCCATAGGCATTCACCAGTTCTTCTAGATGATTGGTCACTCCTTTCTCCATGTTCCCATTAGCCCTTTGCTCATTACTTTATTAGAGCCTTAGCATCTTCTCTTTCAGTTTCTTTCCTATGATAGAAGGAAGACTCTGGAAGGCAGAGCCTATCTCAGTTTTCTTTGTAACCAGTATCTAGCATTTCTGCCTGGCATACAGTAATCACTTTGTACACAAGTACCGAACTCAATACATGAAATTGAGTTGTATCTGATCACAGATACGTGTGGGTTGGAAGGGTTAAGGAGTCTGGAAATTGCTTCATGGCACAAGGTAGATTTTGATATTGATCCTAGAATCACAGGTTTACAACAGGCAGAGACAGAAAGGCTGGAAACTCCAGGTAGAGAAAACAGCATAAGAAAAGGCATGGATTAAGAAAACAGAGGGCTGGGCACAGTGGTTCACTCCTGTAATCCCAGCACTTTGGGAGGCCAAGGCCAGCGGATCACCTGAGGTCAGGAGTTCAAGACCAGCCTGGCCAACATGGTGAAACCCCATCTCCACAAAAATACAAAAATTAGCCAGGCGTGCCAGCAGGCACCTGTAATCCCAGCTACTTGGGAGGCTGAGGTAGGAGAATCGCTGGAACCTGGGAGGCGGAGGTTGCAGTGAGCCGAGATCGGGCCATTGCACTACAGCCTGGGCAACAAGAGTAAAACTCCATCTCAAGGCTGAGCGTGGTGGCTCACGCCTGTAATCCCAGCACTTTGGGAGACCAAGGCAGGTGGATCACGAGGTCAGGAGTTCAAGACCGCCTGGCCAACATGGTGAAACTCCGTCTCTATTAAAAATACAAAAATTAGCCGGGAGTGGTGGCGGGCACCTGTAATCCCAGCTACTTGGGAGGCTGAGGCAGGAGAATCACTTGAACCCAGGGGGTGGAGGTTGCAGTGAGCCAAGATTGCGCCACTGCACTCCAGCTTGTGTGACAAAGTGTGACTGTGTCTCAAAACAAACAAACCAAACAAACAAACAAAAAAATACTCTGTCTCAAAAGAGAAGAAAACAGAGGACTGTTCCAGACCACCTGTCTGTGTGAGGGAAAAGTGAAAGAGCAGTTGCAACTGCAATTAACCTTGGCATAGTTAATCTCACAACCCTCAGCTCTACACTCCCAGTCCCTCAATCTTCACTCTGCTGGCAGGACTGCCCAATGCCACCTGTGCCAGCAACAACTGGCTCAAGGTTCTGGGGCAGTAAAAACAGTCCCGCTCCCCCATGATTGCTATCCTGTGGCTGCAGTGAACTATTTTACTCCCTCTCTTCATCAAGCAAGTATTTCTGGAGTGCCTACCATGTGTCAGGCATTCTTCTGGGCATTGGGAATACAGCCATCAACAAGCAGACATCACTGCAATCCTCAAGCAGCTTATTTTAAAGTGGAGAGGAGGCAGACACACAAATATGTAAGATGAAGTGGTGATGCATGCTTATTTGTGTCCATAAACATTGTTCATTCACCAAACAGCTACTGAACATCCTGGGGTCTGTCTCCTCTCACAACACAATAAACAGATTATTAATGCTTTTATCTGTGAGTGGCCAAAATGTAGATGACCCATCTGACTCAGGTAGGTGATAGGAAGGATTGTAGGTGTTCCCTCAGAGCCCTGAGCCAGAAAGCTTTCCTAGAGGACGCAGAAGCTATATGGTTCAGCACCAGAGAACATATAGCACCGTTACCGGAGCCGTGAGATCAAAGGTAATGACTGAGTTCAAGACTGTCACTTCCCCACTCTGTTACTTTATGACCCTAACTGCCTCTCTACAAGAATAAATCACATTCTTAACACAACAAGGGACTGGGGAAGCGAGCTCTGTTGAAAGAGGCAGATGATTTGCTAGAGAGGCTTAGTCCTTTCCAGTTAGGTTTGGGGAGAGACGACACCCAAGGTAGCATCTTAAGAGAGAAAAAGGGGCTAGAACAGCACCAGTGTGGGACTGAGAAGCCCGTTTGTCCATGTGAATCCTCAATTGTGACCCCACTAGGGCCCCACGAATGTGGGCTGAATTAAATTCCAGGGAAGAACACAGACAAGCAATGTCGATTTGAGCTTTTCATGCATGTGGGCATAGAAAAGAGTGGTGAAGAGGCTATAAGAATGAGGCAGAAGTTTGAATGCCTCCTGGTAGTTGTGTAACCTTATTTCACCAAATTCATTTTCTCATCTGCAAAATGAGACTGGTAATCAAAAAACCTACTTTAATGAATCAATATGATAATTACATAACAGGTGGTAAGCATTTGAAAATATTTCAAAATTATATTACTATTAAAAAAGAATGATAGGAAAGGAAACATTTTCCAGCCTCAACTCTGTGGTTTACCTGCTTCCAAACATTAATCCCTACACTACCTACAGCTACCTATCCACCTACCAATCTCACTGATGTGACCAACATTTAGAATGCACCAGCCTTTTTCTCCAAGCCTCCAGGCAGCCTACAGCAGACTTCCACAACACACTTGAAATCCTTCCACCCTTCCCCTTGCCCTCAGGTTCTCCGCCTCATATGTTCCCTCAAGCCAACAGATTTTCACCCAGATACTAGCTTCCTGCATGCATCAACATGATTATATCTTCCCCTTCCTCACTCTACTAAGTTTCTTCTAGCAAAGCACAGCCCTCCAAAGCCAGATTCCAGGAAAAGTCCCACCCACCAATGAACATACTCAGCTTGGATCCTCTAATCGCGGCCCAGGGTCAAAGTCCCAGGTTCACTCAGACTAAAAGTGGTACTATGCCTCCTGCATTACCATCCAAATAACTACTCCCACAGAGATGACGCTAGAGACCCTACCCAGCCTTATTCTCCTGTGAATCTCTACAGAACCACTTAACGGCCCCTATCGAGATTAATTTAAACCTTACTTATTAAAAAGTAAAGGCCCTCTTCTTTCTCCATTTTCCATGGTCCTCTTCATGGCTGGCCTTTCAAAACACAGCCTGGAGAATAAAGCAGCTTCTCCCTGCTTCTGCATCTGCTACTATCTTGCTAATAGGTCCTTCTCTCACCTGTCCTTCTTCCACCTGGACAACTCCTACTCATTCCTAGAGGTTCAGCTCAGACACCCCCCTCTCTATAGTGGTTTCCCTGAGGGTGAGCCTTCTCAGTGAAGAGCAGCCAAAACTTACCCTGTAAAAGCACTTAATACACGGACATGCCCCACTCCACCTTTTTCCCTCCCCCTCACACACACCACACACTTGTGTGCTCCTCAAAGGCAGGGACCATGTACACCTCATCTTTGTACGCTCAGGGCCAAGCCAGTTTCTGGTTCACCGTAAGCAGGCTCCAACCCCGGGTTTTACCTGCTACCTGCCATTTTCTATCTCCCTGTCTTTTTTCTGCTTAATGCAGCAAATATCTGTGCTAAGGGGGCTACACAGTTCTTATGAGTTACACTCTACCCGTGTACAAAATCCCCATCATCCAGCATCTTCAGCATAGTTCTGAAATCAAATCCGATCTAACTCTTGCCCCATTCCCAATTAACCCAGACTGGCTCAACAGCAGGGTAAAGTCACACGTCACCACCAAGAAGCAAAAGTTCTGGGTTGTAATTTTGAACACATCCCTAATTAGCTATATGACCTTGGGCAAGGGTTAAAATAAAGGTGACAGCAGCAGCAGGCCTCATTCTCAGGGGACCTTTGAGATTCAAATGGAGTATCTGATTGGAAAGTGTTTTATAAAGTGCAAAGCACTGTACATTCATAAACGACATGATGAACAATTTTATCAGATTTAAGCCATCAACTATAAGATGTGCCATTACCAACTTAGGATGAAAAACAACTGCACAACTATGGTACATTGTAATAAGACAACCACATTTCAGTGATATTAAAATGTGAAAAAAGTGTGTTTTACAATTGATTCGATACAACGTATTTGTCTCAATAAAATACAGGAATCTGCTATAAAATTTTCATATTTGCCAATGGTACGTAATAGGTATTCAGTAACCTATGTCGAGTAAATGAACAAGAACCAATTGATAATATTATTTTTCTTGGGGGGGTGGGGCGCAGCAGAGGAAATGGAGTCTCACTCTGTCACCCAGGCTAGAGTGCAATGGTGCAATCTCGGCTCACTGCAACCTCCTCTTCCCAGGTTCAAGTGATTCTCCTGCCGCAGCCTCCCAAGCAGCTGGTACTACTACAGGCACATGCCACCACACCCGGCTAATTTTTGTATTTTTAGTAGAGACGGGGTTTCACGATGTTGGCCAGGCTGTCTTAAACTCCTGACCTCAGGTGATCCACCTGCCTCGAGCCTCCCAAAGTGCTGGCATTACAGGCTTGAGCCATCGTGCCAAGCCAATAATATTCTTAGGCCAAATTATTACCTCTCTCATTGGAATTGGGCAGCAGGGGGCTTCTCGATGCCAGTACCTCCCCTCTAAATCATGTCTCAGCCTGCTCAAAACCCTCAAATGATGAATTTAAGATATATCCAAACTCCTTAGCCTGGCATTTTTAAGCCCCTTTATAACCAAGTTTCCTCTCCCGTCCATCATTTCCTGGAACTGTCTTCACCAGAATGTGTCACTCTAAGAAAGATCCTACTCAAGTCCCAGCCACAGCAATCAGCTCATCAGCTCAGCTTCTCCTCCCTCTGCGTACACTCAAAACCAACTCTAGACCCATGCTGCTTACAGAGAGCCTGCCTCTGGGGGGACTGCCAGACCCTAAGGCCCCAGGCTTTTACCCCTACCATTCAGAATAGGTAATCCCCTCTGGAGCCTACATTCTAGACTATAAAGTTTTGGGTGTTGGGGTTGGGGCCTGCATTGTAGAAATTAAATGCAAAAATGCACACTCTCCTTTGTTTGTTGTTGTTGTTTTTTGTTTTTTTTGAGAGGCAGTCTCCCTCTGTCGCCCAGGCTAGAGTGCAGTGGTGTGATCTCAACTCACTGCAACCTCTGCCTCCCGGGTTCAAGCGATTCTCCTGCCTCAGCCTCCCGAGTAGCTGGGACTACAGTTCCCCGCCACCACACCCAGCTAATTTTTTGTATTTTTAGTAGAGACAGGGTTTTGCCATGTTGCCCAGGCTGGTTTCTAACTCCTGAGCTCAGGCAATCCGCCCGCCTTGGCCTCCCAAAGTGCTGGGATTACAGGCGTGAGCCACCGTGCCTGGCCCACACACTTTTTCCTTTAACTGCCCCCTGGTGCTGGCAGGAACTGTGCAAGCAGAAAAACTGGTGACGAAGTGGAGAAAACCATATTGGATGTCCTAACCCCCCACTGTCCACCATTATTGACCATAGGCTCTAGGTCTAGCACCCACCTTCGTGGACCTTTACCTATTCTTCTATCTATAAGAGTTGAGGAAGGGGGAGGATGGGAGAGGGAGCTAGATGCTTTGTAAAGGTGCCTAGCCACACTTTCCCCTTCTTCACTTTAGGCTTTCTTAAAATGCACATGTGCAGGGAAAGGTAAGCCATTAAGTCATCAACACCTTAGTGAGAGTGAATTTTACAGGAAAGGCAAGAGATTTAGTAAAAGGGGAAGGAATGGAAAGAGAAAGGGGACTGGAAACACAGTTAAGTGAGTTTGGTACTAGCAAAAGCCCCAGAGAAGACCCTGAGTTCTCGCTAGTTGTTTTGTGTTGGGGGAGGGAAAGCAGTGGATCCCTTCTAAGGGAAGGGAAGCCAGAGAGATTTTTCAGTTCTCCTACGACTCCGAGGTTCCAAAGACTCTGCCCTGTCCAAGCACCCAGGCACAATTCCACTGATTAGCTCATCTCATATCACAACCTCCCCCATCCCCAACCCCTTGCCTCCAACTAAAGAATATTTATACTTTCATCTCCATTTCCCACACTACTTAGTCTTCTCTGGCCCACGGTTCCCTCGAAGAGATGTCTTCCTCCAAGCCGCTAGCTGGCTTCAGGAAACTCCTCAACCTCCAAAAACCCCATTCAGTGCAGGACTCTCCAAAAGGCCGTCCCAGGGACCAGAAAATCAAACCCCCTCCCTGGAACTTCCTTTAACTTTGTCCACGCCTTTGCTCCAGCACTTAGCATTTTCTACCCTAGGCCAGGTTTGACTCCCAGGTTCAACTGAGTTCCTTGAGGGCAACGTCCAATACACCCAGCACAGGGTCTGCCACACACAGGGTGCTAGAGAAATGCTTAGAGAAAGGGAACTTAAGTCCGGAGCCAACTATTTGAATTATGGTCTGGCCTCTAGTAAATAACTTCCGGGCGACCCTCCTTCTCTCTGGGCCTCAGCTGCCCCAACTGTAAAATGGGAGGACTTGGAGGACTGGGTCTAGGCCCTTTCCGCTGTGACAACTGTGATTCCGCGAAAGCTCTAAGCGGATGGGCGTGGCCCCGCCCCCTGGGCGCCCAGAAAAGTCCGGGCAGGGGGCGCGCAAGGCTCCAACCCCGCCTAGCCTGGGGTCGACGCTTTTGGAAAAACTCTGGGTCCCCCTCCCCCATGGCGTGCACCCCGTGATTGGGCCGCGGCCGGCACTTCCGCACAGCGGGCCAGGCCAGAGCAGGGCGCGCGCCCTGCGCTCTTGCCACCCCGGAGGCGCTCGCGCCGGGGGAGGGCTGGGGGTTCCCGAGGCGCCCGCGGGTGGAGGGTGAGGGGAAGGAAGGATTTGCAACAATACCTCAGGGAGGAGGCAGCCGGGGCAGCGGCGGTGGTGGTGGCGGCGGCGGCGGCGGCGGCGGCGGCTGGAGGCGGAGGCAGAGGCAGAGGAGGAGGTGCCCGGGCACTCCCCCTCCCATTGTCCCCAGCCCCGGACAGGCCCGGCCCCGCGCCCCACACTGGCCTCCTCGAGCGCGCCGCCCGCGCCCAGCGCCCCACGCCCCGCGCCCCGGGCCGTGCAGCCAGCCCTTACCTTGCAGCGCCCGGCTGTCTCCCGATCGCTAAAGCTACTTATCCCGGGAAAGCTCGCGCGGGACCCGGGAACGAACCCACAGACAAAAAGTGAAACTTCGGCAGGGCTGGAGCGGCTGCTGGTTGGTGCCTTTCCCCCTCCTTCCTCCCCACCGTCCCCACCCCCTCCCCTTGGTCTCCCGTGCGGTGCCCTGAGCGCTGGAGGCTGACGTCAGGGGCCTGAATTCCTGACTTTGCCTGCACGCATTTGTCCATGTAAGGTATGGGAAGGCGTGTGCCCGCGAAGCCGCCGCGCAGAGCTCGCCTGGCGGGGGAGGGGAAACCCGCAGCCGGCAGTGGCTTTGCCAAAAGGTGGGCGCACTGAGGGCATTGCATTTCCTGGGAGGAAGAGGAGGAGACGCGGGAATGCAGGGAGCTTGCAAAGGAGGAAGAGAAAGAGGGAGATGTGGAGACTTTGCCCCTGCTAGAGGAAGAGGAAGGAGACGTAGGAGGAAGCGGCCGCGTCAGGGGGCTCCTGGAAAATGGAAAAGCCTGCGTCTACTATTAAGGCGTCAAATTAGGGCACTGAGCTTGAGTGGAAGAGATCCAGCCATGAAATCCCCTTCCAAGATTTTCCTCGTGAGCCCCGCCCTGGATTCCCAGCAAGACTCAAAACTTACAAGGTGTCAGAGCTGGCAAAGACCAACTTCCAACCCGTCCGCTTGGCACGTGAGGAAACTGAAGCTCTCGGAAGAGAAATGACTTGTACAGGGTCGTCACTCAGCAGATCGAGGAGCGGGCCCAGGCGCTCTGCCTCCCACTTGGGTTCCCGCCTCCAGGAAGGGCCCTGGCTCCCTTTTAGCCCTGAGCCTTGAAGCAGGTTAGATGCCCGCGAGCTGTGCGGACCACCCAGTGATTTCTACTGCTCTTGGCCCAGAGCCAGTTCCTGGAAGGTCCTGGTTGACAGCGAGCCCTGAATATCAATGACAATCAGTTGCTTCAGGGCAACTTCCTCTGTCCTGTGCTCAAATAAATGAATCCCTGGAGTTTAACGTTTACTTCTGAGCCCCGCCCAGAAAGCTTGCTCTGTGCTTATAGCTTCAAAAAAGTCTGCGAACGAGATGAACTGGTTTGAATACAGACAAGCCTGTCATTGGAAGTTTTGAGTTGGATTTTTCTTTCCCCTCTGACATCTGTAAGGGTGAACGACGATGAGAACCACCACTTAACTGTGTTAGGGGATTATGACGCGCAGCAGCCATGGCCAGGAAAGCATTCCATACCCTGAGACTTCCTTTCCTTGCACTTCTCTCCTATTAATATCTAAAGTAATCCCTCACGTTAGCACATAATGAAAGCAGTCTCTCACCCGGCTATTGCATCTTCAGGTGAGTTAGATAGGACAGAGCGTAGTCCCCCCTTTACACCTCAGACAAAAACTTAAGAAACGTTACTCGCCCAACACAAAACAACTGACTGACCAAGCACCTGTCTTCCCCTCCTCCCATCCAGGTCTCCTGACTAATCCCTTCATCTTTCCATACCTGGCCCTGACCTCTAGCAGGACCTAATTCCATTCATAACTGTTGAGAGTACACCATGAGCTACTGATTCATAAAAACTCCAAAAAGTGGTTCTTCTGAGGATGGACTTTAGTGGGATTCTTTTGACCAGGAATTAAGGAAATAATGTAAAAACACATGTTATTGGATTTATTAAGCACCTTCCTTGTGCTTAATAAGTGTTTGAATTCAGACATTTCAGGGGTAAGACTACTTAACCTCTGTGTTCCTCTCAACTATCTAATGTACACATACAAAAATATGAACATGGCTGGGCGCGGTGGCTTACACCTGTAATTCCAGCACTTTGGGACGCCGAGGCGGGCAAATCACCTGAGGTCAGGAGCTCGAGCCAGCCTGGCCAACATGGCAAAACCCCATCTCTACCAAAAATACAAAAAACTAGCTGGGCGTGGCGGCGAGCGCCTGTAATCCCAGGTATTCCGGAAGCTGAGGCAGGAGAATTGCCTGAACCCGGGAGGCAAAGGTTTTAGTGAGCCGAGATTGCGCCACTGCACTCCAGCCTGGGGGACAGAGCAAGACTGTTGTCAAAAAAAAAAAATATATATATATACAAACACATATATATACACATATATATACATATATACACATATATATACATATATATACACATATATATACATATATATATACACACACACATATATATATACACACATACATATATATATATGAAGGCAGTAACAGAGAGATAAGGTCGAGAATAACCACCCATTCCACAGACTAATAAAGAATTTATCTCTTTGCAACTAACATAGTTTGAAATGGGAGATACGGGCTCTTGGAGAGAGTTTTTTCTGGGGTTCTGAAAAGGTCAGATCCTATCAAAACACAATCCACTCACTCAAACATTTCAGCGTACTCACATTCTGAGTACTACTGTTTAGTATGAAAAGAATTCCAGTGTTACATGAAGTAAAAATGGATTATCTCAATCCTCATGGAATATAACGGGACTTGACCAGCATTTCCTTTTTTTTTTTCCTTCAGTAACTCACTTATAAGGAATAATAGGGTCCTAATGAGGATTAAGATTTAATAAGGTGTAATTAGAGTTGTTCATTTCTTCCATCATATACATTATAAGAGTACTGTGCCGGATCCAGAAATGCTACTAATTATGTTGAAACTGTTGTATGGGTGTGTTGGGGAAGTCACTGTGTTTCTCCTCCTGAAATGTTTATGAATTGCTCAGGTGAGCATGGTGAGCATGGTGTTAGCATGAACATCATATAAAGTTAACTACAAAAGATAATTCTGACTCATGAGGAACTTCCCAAGAGTACAACCACCCAAGTCATAATCTGGATGCTTAGTGAACTGCATACAGTGTTGTCGTCAGTGCTAACCCTACCAAAAGCCTCATTCCCATTTACTGTTCTGGTTTCTTTCGTACTCTTACTTTTCTCAACCTCCTGTTACAACTTTCTACGTGCAGGCGCTTGCGTGAAATGGAAAGGTTGTATGAATTTGCACTCAGTGGTAGAAAAATACTGGTTTACCAATTCAGAGGCTAAAACACAGAATTTCAGGTGTAGTGTGGGGTCGTTTGGGCCAAGGATAGCACACTGGTGGCCTAAAGGCTACCAGCAGCATTTTCATGGGTTCAGTAATGGCATAAAAGACTTTTAGGCAAGCTGGGCTTGGGTCCTGCCTTTCGTTTGCATCCATTACAGTCCTGTACACGTGGCCTTTGTGTAGCTCATGCCAGTCCTTATTTGGAGTTTTCATATACATTTCACTTAACTCTCACAAGACCCCTTCTGAGGTTGGCATTATTATTTTTTTATTTTATCCATGAAGAAACTAAAGCCCTAAAGCCCAGGGAGTTTAAGTACTAGCTCTGTGTTAAGAGCTGAGTAAGCTCATTTTTTTTTTTTTTTTTCTTTTTTTGAGGTGGAGTCTTGCTCTGTCGCCCAGGCTGGAGTGCAGTGACGTGATCTCTGCTCACTTCAAGCTCCACCTCCTGGGTTCACACCATTCTCCTGCCTCAGCCTCCTGAGTAGCTGGGACTACAGGCATTCGCCACCACGCCCGGCTAATTTTTTTTTTTTTTTTTTTTGTATTTTTAGTAGAGACGGGGGTTTCACCAGGTTAGCCAGGATGGTTCGATCTCCTGACCACGTGATCTGCCCTCCTCGGCCTCCCAAAGTGCTGGGATTACAGGCATGAGCCACTGCACCCGGCCCCAAGCTGAGTAAGCTCTTACTCAGCTGAGGGTAGGTAAGCTAAGATTCCACACTGATCCCTGGCAACCTGGCACCTTGCTCACCCACTGTTGAGTGACCATCTGCTCTCAGTTTGAACACTCAAGCGTAGGGAACTTATGATCTCCTACAGCTGAGCAAGAGGAAAAGTTCTGAAGAGGCTATTAGAAAAATAATAAGAATAAGAGGGCCATGGGTGATAGAAGGTAAATACCCATCTGCTGTTGCCTCTGAGAGCCTAAAACCTATCAGGCCAAATGCCTCTAGTATGGTTTGCACGGACCTTCATAATTTGGCACCTACTTGTCCCTTCAGCCTCATTTCTTCCAGGCCTTTATGTGCCCCCACCCTCCACCCTCCTTCTAGTAGTTTTCCAAGCACATCTTACCTCTCCCTGCTTATCTCTGTTTGCATATCTTCCCTTTTCCCTCGGGAGTCCTCAGCCTTCTCTTTCAGATAACTTCAAGTGACGGGGCCTGAATGCAAGCAGACCAATGAGAGTTGCCCAGGCATTTGGAAGTAGCAATCAAGACTAGCATGGGGGCCAGGTGCGGTGGCTCACGCCCGTAATCCCAACACTTTGGGAGGCCGAGCCAGGCGGATCACCTGTGGTTGGGAGTTTGAGACCAGCCTGGCCAACATGTGAAACCTCGTCTCTACTAAAAATACAAAAATTAGCAGGGCATGGTAGTACACGTCTATAATCCCACCTACTCGGAAGGTTGGAGCACAAGTATCACTTGAACCTGGGAGGTGGTGGTTCCGGTGAGCGAAGATCACTGATTTTTCATAAGTGTGTTTGATCTCCTCCATGCAAATATAGGATTCTTTATAGTCGTCTTCATGTCTTGTTCATTTCTCTTCCCCAGCAGCCAAGGCAGTACCTGGCACTTGCAACCAAATGCACTCTAGCCTGGTTGACAGAGCAAGACTCTGTCTCAAACAAACAAACAAACAAACAAACTAGCATGGAGAGGGACACAAGAGAGAAATGTTTATGGTCCTTGCCTTACCCTAAATTACTGTGCAACCTTTTGGCAAGTCACTTCCTCTCTATTCTGAGTTTCTTTATCTATTCAATTGGGTTCTTAGATTTGGTGGTCTCTAACACTCTCCCAGTTTTTCAATTTGATGTTACATTCTACCCAGTGACCAAATTCATATTCCAGAAGCATAGTATGCTATGTCATACCGCAAATCTTGTAAACGTTCCTGATATGGTTTGGCTGTGTCCCCACCCAAATCTCATCTTGAATTGCAGTTCCCATAATCCACACATGTAACAGGAGGGACCAGGTGGAGCTAATTGAACCATGGGGGCGATCTCCCCCCACCTGTTCTTGTGATAGTGAGTTAGTTCTCATGAGATCTGATGGTTTTATAAGGGTCTTTCCCCTTCACTGGGCACTCATTCTTCTGCCTCCTGTTGCCACATGAGGAAGGACATGTTTGCTTCCCCTTCTGCCATGATTGTAAGTTTCCTGAGGCCTCCCAGCTATGCTGAACTGAGAGTCAATTAAACTTTTTTCCTTTATAAATTTCCCAGTCTTGAGTATGTCTTTATTAGCTGTGTGATAATGGACTGATAGGGTTCAATAATATCAACCAAATTAAGTTCATACCCTGCAGCTTCCCCTTCCTCATTTCATGATCAAATCCTGATGGCCTTTTCCAACTATAAGTTGTACCTCCAACACCCCCTCCTCCACCACACACATACACACACACACACACACACACACACACCACTTCCTTTACTTCCTGCCTCTGGGCTTTTGCACGTTTAGTTTTCTCCTCTTGAACCTAAAAGACTTTCCAGGGCCATCTCTGAATCTGCAGATTCTACATGTCCAGCCAACCCCCTCCCATTGCCCATTCCTTCCAAACTCCCTCCATTAATATGAAAATAACTTCTCTATTTTCTCAAAAAGATACCCATCTCATTATCCCAATGCATTACAACTTTTCATCAGTGTGTTTGATCTCCTCCATGCAAATATAGGATTCTTTATAGTAGTCTTCATGTCTTGTTCATTTCTCTTCCCCAGCAGCCAAGGCAGTACCTGGCACTTATAACCAAATGTCAACCAGTAAGTGAGTGAATGAGTGAATCACTCCTTCACTCAATGTGGATAGAAAAGCAACACAATTGATGCTGTCTCTCTGGAAGTTTGGTCATGTTTCTTTAGACCATGACTCTGAGCAGGCATCAGGAGGGGCAAGGGGAAGAGACAGGACTAATATTGGTCATTTGTTACAATGTGCTGTGTGTGCACTTTCTAGGCCTTCTAACGATTACCATACATAAATTGTATAAATTTTCCGATAACATCATTCTGCTACTAGAATAGACATGAAATTAAAGCCGTGGTTATTTTGCAACTTTATATAAACAAAATTTAAAAAGATACCTAAGGGCATCTTTTTTCAGAAATAACTAAGCATAAGTGACAGTTTTAATATTTTATGTATCCTCTTCTATAGTTGAACATAGGTCTTTTCCAAGATTATAGTACCAGTGTCATATACAAACCAGGCCTTTGGGTGACAGTGACTCCAGCTCGGCCCAATGAGCATCAGTCTTTTGAAAAGAGGTTAAAAACTTAACATGGTAAATAGTAGTGCAGGCTTGTAATGAATGCAACACTAAAGATAATAAAACAGTTTATAGACCGGGCATGGTGGCTCACACCTGTAATCCCAGCACTTTGGGAGGCTAAGGCAGGAGAATCGCTTGAACCCAGTGGGTGGATGTTGCAGTGAGCCAAGATCGTGCCACTGCATGCCAGCCTGGGGGACAGAGTGAGACTCCCTCTCAAAAAAATAAATAAAATAAAATAAAACAGATTATAAAAGGTTTGCTTACTCTCTCTTCTTCACATCTCATTGTAGAATGGAGGAAGAAAGTGAATGTAAAATGAAAAGAATGTATCATCAGACTTCCTAAATGAATGTTTTCTCTTTTTATTGAGTACTAGGTCTTTGATGTCACAAGGTAATTTCTTCATTAGCTTACAGGAATCAAATCAATATGGACAAACAATCATTTGTATCTGTCCCCTGAGTTTCTGCACAATGTTACCCAGTTTTTAGTAAGTGGCTATAATGTTTTGCATTTTGCCAGATCACAGGATCGGATTGTCTGAATGCATTTTGTTGTATCCCAACTCGGCCACCTGTACCAATTTAAAGGCTTTTGACCTCAGGTAAGTGCAGGACTTAGAAGAGATATGATCGTGCCTGGAAGCCTGTGAATCTTCAGAGATCAGGCAGAGCATTCTCACAGTGGGGGCCAGTCTCTTGTGGCAGAGATGTTGGTAGGCAGAGCTTTAATCCTTTTTGTGTTCACTACCAATGAAAAGTTTCAAAGAGGCTCAAACAACAAGGGAGACAACTTATGCCATCTTTTTTGCTCTAACAACAGGTTATTACTGCACCTACTAGCCTTATTAGGCCTGGGAATACAGTGTTGAGAAAAACATTAATAGACTCAGTTCCTACCCTACATCCTAAAACAAAGATAATACATAGTACCAATTCCAAGCAGAGGAGTGTGTTGAGATAGCTTGGCTGAGACCTCCCAGGTGGACCACTGGATGGGCTGGATCCACCACTGCAGCTGAGAGGCTCCTTTGATGGTGATGGGGCAGGCAACGATGATCCTGGAGACACAACCGAGGACCCACTGGGGAAACACAAACATGTCATGAACATTTTTGTCTTCACACAACAACAGAAGCAGGAGGTAAAGGATAATGTCCAAAGGTTTGAGTTGCATGGAGCTGAAGAAGGTCTGCCAGTTCTTGATGAGCTCAGTACCTGGAATAGGCTTTAGGATGTGCCTTGCCTCATTCATGGCTGCAATCCACAGTCTCACTGACTCCCTGAGCATCACAGCAGATATTAGGTCAGTTTTAGATAAATAGAAAGAAGTCCATGATATATATCTATATAAATCTCTTTATATATACATATATTATATATATGTATATATATACATATATTATATATATGTATATATAATATATTATATATATGTATATATATACATATATTATATATATGTATATATATACATATATTATATATATACATATGTTATATATATTATATATGTCTTCTATATATACATGTATATATACACAGTTTAATTGAGGTATAATCTGCATACCATAAAATTCATTCACTTTAGGCAGAAGTGGTTTTTAGTAAATTTAGTAAATTTATGGAATTGCATAACCATCACTGCATTCTAATATTAGAGCAGTTCCATCACCCCAAAACGAAACCTTGCACCCATTTATAGTCATTGCCTATTCTTATCTTCAGACCCAAATATCTACTAATCTACTTTGTGTCTCTATAAGATTTGCTTTTTCTGGACATTTCATGTAAATGGAATCATAGAACGTGTGAACTTTTGCATCTGATTTATTCCACTTACCATGTTTTCAAGGTTCATTAATGTTGGAGCATAATGTATTAATACTTTTTTCCTTTTTATGGCCAAATAATATTCAATTATATGGATATACCATATTCTCTTTACTCATTCATCAGTTGCTGAACATTTGGCTTATTTCCGTTTGGGGGCTACAATGAATGAAGCTGCTGTGACCATTCAGGTACATATTTCTATGTGGACATATATTTTCATTTCTTTTGGTTACATGATATTTTAAAGTGGGAGAAAAAGCATAGATGTAATTTTTTAAAGGATTTGAAAGGGTATGCTTAATGTTATAAAAGTGATTGTTTTAAAGTGGTAGAATTATTTATTCTTTTTGCTTACCTAAATTTTCTAATTTTCTTACAATAAATGTGTCACTTTTAAATTTTCCTATGTGTCTGTAATAAGACAGACAATACAGCTTTTTTAAGACAAAAAAGCAAACACATATTTGGGAAGATGTGATCCCTTTTGTTTGACCTTGAATCTTCTCAGCAATCTATGCCAGAAGGTTTGTGGTGGAATATTATTTTGAAATATTTAATTAGATCTTTACCCGTATTTCTAGACCTTGGCTCTTTATTCACCCAACTAGCTAAGACAGTCTGTGTTAGTGCATTCCCAGGGATGGAATAGACCTCAAATTGAAGGAGGCTAGGTTTCTTTTACTTTCAGAATAAACTTAATTTTAATTGCATACTCCCAATTATAGAAAATTTTCACATTTTTGCTTTTGAGTTTGTGGACTAAAATTAGCAGACTTTTACAGGTTAACCAGTCTTTATTTGAGAATCATCAAACTCAACATCGCTCAAAATTGAATTCTCCCGGGCTCTGCCTTCTTCCCACTTCCCTGTCTCCTTTCATGGTACCCCAGCCTTCTTGTGAGGAGGATGCTCACAACCTGTGGTCATTCTTGACTTCCCTCTCCCTAACTCCTCATTCCAACCACTGGTCAAGTCTGGCTGATTCTACCCACAAATTCAATGTATGGGTAGGGAGAGAAGAGAGGCAGCGATTTTATTTCTTTATTTATGAAACAGAGTCTTGCTCTGTCATGGAGGCTGGAGTGCAGTGGCACAATCTCAGCTCACTGCAACCTCTGCCTCCCGGGTTCAAGTGATCCTCCCACATCAACCTGCCGAGTAGCTAGGATTACAAGTGTGTGCCACGCTTGAAAATTTTTTTTGTATTTTTAATACAGACAGGGTTTCACCACGCTGGCCACACTAGTCTCAAACTCCTTACCACAAGTGATTCAACCTCCTCAGCCTCCCAAAGAGCTGGGATAAGAGGAGTGAGCCACCGCTCCCGGCCCAAGAGGCAACAATTTAAATTTAAATGGTGATCCTCTCCACCAGGATTCTTGTGAGTGGAGATGCAAGACCTGAACCTCCTGGCCCACACTAGTTCTCACATCTTTACCTGCTTTTCATGGAGTGCTCTTACCTTGTTGATTTTACTGTTTAAAGATACCCATATTTGGCCGGTGGGTGGTGGCTCACACCTGTAATCCCAGCACTTTGGGAGGCTGAGGCAGGCGGATCACTTGAGGTCAAGAGTTCGAGCCCAGCCAGGCCAACCTGGTGAAACCCAGTCTCTACTAACAATACAAAAATTAGCTGGGCTTGGTAGCAGGTGCCTGTAATCCCAGCTACTCAGGAGGCTGAGATAGGAGAATCGCTTGAACCCGGGAGGCAGAGGTTACAGTGAGATCGTGCCACTGCACTCCAGCCTGGGTGACAGAGAGAGACTGTGTCTCAAAAGATAATAATAAAATAAATAAAGATACCTATATTTTATTCAGCATGGCCCCAGTTAAAAGCCAGTTGCTGCTTCTGGTGCTCAACCAATAAATTGTGATTAGTCCCAAAGCTAGAGGAAAGGGGATTGTATCCTACGTATTTTTCAAGGATAATTTTAAGCAAAAATGTCCACATGATTTTATTTCAATCATCAACACTTACAGTAGGGTGGACTCCACCGTATGTTCACAAGGAAAATTCAAATGTAGTTTGAATATACAACGTTAGCACAATGCTAAAATAAACAAACTGGAATAAAAATAGATACCTATAGAGAATAGTAGGGCAGTAATTCATATCTGTGGCCCTAACATGATTTTTTTTTCTCTGTCGCACAGGCTGGAGTGCAGTGGTGCAATCTCAAACTCCACCTCCCGGTTGCTCACTGCAACCTCCACCTCCTGGGTTCAAGTGATTCTCCTTCCTCAGCTTCCCAAGTAGCTGGGATTACAGATGTGCACCACCACGCCCAGCTAATTTTTGTATTTTTTTTTAGCAGAGGTGGGGTTTCACTATGTGTTGGCCAGGCTGGTCTTGAACTCCTGACCTCAGGTGATCTGCCTGCCTCAGCCTCCCAAAGTGCTGGGATTACAGGCGTGAGCCACCGCGCCAGGTGTACATGATTTTTTAAACCAAAAAGCTTCCAGTATTTTCACCTTCCATTTGAACCTTACAAAGTCCCACTAAGGCACTTGGTATTCCCTCATTTATCAGGCTAACTCACAGAACACCATACTACCTTAATATCTCACCTCTCAATCCGATTCGCTCTAGCTCCAGATCACCCAGGTGGCTACCACTTGTAAGCTGAGGCACTGAAAAGGCTCTGGCTAAAAGATCTAGTTTCCTTTCAGCACACGAGTTTATTATAAACTTTCTCTTTCCCTGTGACACATGGCATAATAGGCAGGAAAGAAGTGAAGCCCTTTAAGATTTCCTGAGCAGAAATACAAGAAGCTTGAATGGTTTGGGTGGCATTTATAAGTTCCAAGTAGGACTGGTCACATTTCTTTAGGTTTCCCATGGAGATGTGGTTGAGATGAAGCCCTCAACCACATCACTGAGCCAAGGGAGGATGCTCAGATTGGGAAGCAAGAGACCTGGGCTCTAGTCCCAGCTCTGTGATAAATATATGATCCCGAATAAGTAATTTCCTCTCCCTGAGCCTTATTCATTTTTATTTCTCTTTCTTTCTTTCTTTCTTTCTTTCTTTCGTTCGTTCCTTTCTTTTCCTTCCTTTCTTTCCCTCTCTCTTTCCTTCCTTCCTTCCTTCCTTCCTTTCTTTTTCTTTCTTTCTTTCTTTCTTTCTTTCTTTCTTTCTTTCTTTCTTTCTCTTTCTTTCTCTCTTTCTTTCTCTCTTTCTTTCTCTCTTTCTTTCTCTCTTTCTTTCTCTCTTTCTTTCTTTCTTTCTTTCTTTCTTTCTTTCTTTCTTTCTTTCTTTCTTTCTTTCTTTCTTTCTTTCTTTCTTTCTTCTACAGGATGAAGATCCTCATTCCTGTCCCACCTTCTGTATCTTTATGGCATGGACCAGATAAAACAATGAATGTAAAAGTACATTACAAACTGTAAACACCATGCAATGTATGGAATTTCTGGTTGAAGTTCATGATTCCTGACACTGCTTTTCCTATCCCCACTCAATGTTTTCACCCGCTGCTTTCAAAGTGAACCCCCAGTGTTCTTTTGTGGTCTATTTGACCCTTAATTTGTCAACCTATTAAGAATGATCTACTAAACCACAAACTGACCTAAATTCAATATATATTGAGCCTTAATTTCCCCAAGTAGAATATAGATAACTTTCCAGCACCAAGCTCTGAAATTGAGGATTACTGAACTAATGTCTAAATGCTCTGAGAGCTTTTCTTTAAGGAAGAAAAGTGGTTGCTGCTTTGGGACGATGGCTGAATCTCCAATTAAATTCTTTAAAGCACAAGGCATTGACATTTTATTCCTACCTCTGATTACATTAAAGGATTATGTCTGATTGCTGTGGCAGATGTAAGAAGAGGAAACAGATTTGATTTTGTTTCTATGTTATAATGACTAATTATTACAGTTCAAAAAAAATCTAAATTTCAGTGTCTCCCATTGCATGCATCCCACTTAATCAAAAGACAAATAGCATTCATTGGGATGAAGAATAAGAGAATTAAGAATCCTGGGCAGTTTATCTATGCCTGTCACTAACTCACTGCTTCATATTTGACTATGAGATGATCATCTTTCATGCTCGGTTTGACCTTTTAGTGAATGTAATGCAAGAAACTCCCCCTGGCCCAGCACCTTCCGTCTTACAATCAAAAAAGCAACTATTAATGATCTGGCAATGGTGTGTTGCTATCTAAATAGGGTACTGTATATCCATGTTGCCCTGGACAATCCTAAATCATGACTATCTTCTCGGGCTAATTTTATTTATTTATTTATTTATTTATTTATTTATTTATTTATTTATTTTGAGATGGAGTTTTGCTCTTGTTGCCCAGGCTGGAATGCAGTGACACAATCTCGGCTCATCACAACCTCTGCCTCCTAGGTTCAAGCGATTCTCCTGCCTCAGCCTCCTGAGTAGCTGGGATTACAGGCATGCGCCACCACGCCCGGCTAATTTTGTATTTTTAGTACAGATGGGGTTTCTCCATGTTGGTCAGGCTGGTCTTGAACTCCCAACCTCCGGTGATCCACCCACCTCAGCCTCCCAAAGTGCTGGGATTACAGGTGTGAGCCACTGCACATGGCCTTCTTAGGCTAATAGCATTAATAGCATTGCCTTTTACTCTCAAAAGTCGCCCAATTTGGGTGATTGACATTTTGGTCACCCTACAGCATAGAACTTCTTCAAATAAACTTTCTTGAGTACCTATTAATGCAGAAGCTCCTGAACATGATACTTACTTGACTTGAAGCAGTCATGGATCCTACTCTACGAAAAAAAAAGGCTAATAAGCTGTATATACATACTTTACATAAAGTGTATACTTACTGTATTTTAAAATGTGATGGGTGTGCAGAGAGGAGTAGAATTCTTTTTGTTCTTTTATTCTTTCACAATTATTTTTAAGTACCTACTATAAAACAGGTAGATAACTGAATACCACGAACAACATATAATACGTTATGGCCAAGAAGGTGTAACACACTAGTTCAGGTTATAAACAAGTAAAAACAAATATAAACAAGTATGTATATATTCAGTTACTGTAGAGTGATCTATGTTAAGGTAAGGATGAGTCGGAGTGTTATGGGAGCCCATTGGAAGTGCACATAGGTCTTGAGGAGCAGGAGGGCAGAGAAGATTTGCAGAAAGAAACAACAGGTAAAATGAGACCTGAAAGAAGATTAAGTGTTAGCTAGGTGAAGAAATGTAGGGTAATGAGGAGTGCTCTAGCCAAAGTATACAGCACATGCAAAGACAGAATTATATTTCAAGATTGTTGTAAACTAAGAGAATTAAAAATAGTTCATTATGGTTTGAGCATAGCATGGGGAGAATAAGAAAAGATGAGCTTATGAGGAAGGAGGCAACAGAACTGGCAAAATTTGGATCAAAGAAGGGAGGAGATTATTCAAAGAAAGGAACAGAGAAAGCACTGGGGTATGGCAGAGCAGCAGGCAATCTATCCTGGATATGGACTTAAGTCCTCGGAGGATTCTTGAGCAAGCAATGGGCTGCCCAGAGCTGTGCTCAGGATGGTTGTTCTAAACAGTGGGACTGGCCTTGTGTGAGCTCAGTTCTTGCCTCTGGTCTCTCCTAGCCTGCCTTATCACCTTGGGGTCAACCTTCATGTATGCACATGTATGTGGCTTCTAATTTTGTAAGTGAAGAAACTCTGGGCCTTTGGGCAAGCTCTGTATCCAGCAGAGTACTGGTTAGCTATCCCGTTCACCATTAGACATTTATTTCTACTTTTTCAGAGCTAGAAAATCTCGGCCCCAACCAACAGACACGCACAGGAAAAAAGCCTGAGGACACCAAGAATTGAGCCAAAAACAGAGTATGACATCCAGCTCTCCTCTGGGGATGGATTTGGCAAGGGTCTAAGTAGATAGAGTGGAATCAAGGGTCTACTGTATCAAAGTAGCAGATTATAGCTCACTTGAAGAAAAGTAAGCAGAAAATAAGACCACGGTGGGGTCTATTTAAAATGCATTGACTGTGTCAGGCAGGATTCTCAGTTTTAAGTAGTGAATTGGACTCTGACAACGTAAGTGGGAAATAATTTACTAAAAAGATATTGAGTAGTTTCTAGAGTCTACTTTGACATGAAAGAACAGGTTCAGAATCTCTATACCAGAAATGAAACTATTTAGTCCAGTGGTGACACTCTTAAAGCAACTACTGGTTATGGACATTACTTGCACCACAAGCATCCCTAACACAGGGTGCTGCCTGTAAAACAGCTGTCATGTTGCGTCTGGAAACTGCATGTGGCCAGTTCTGCTCTGTTTCCTTGAACCACTTGTGTTAGTCATTGGCTGGAACATACACATCTGGCTCGCAGTGCCTACTCTGTGCATCCTAATTGCAAGGAAGACTTAGAAAGTGAGTTTTTCCAGGGGGCTGAGGCAGGAGAATGGCGTGAACCCAGGAGGTGGAGCTTGCAGTGAGCCGAGATCGTGCCACTGCAGTCCGGCCTGGGTGAAAGAGCGAGATTCCGTCTCAAAAAAAACAGAAAACAAAAAAAAAAAAACAAAGTGAGTTTTTCGTATTTTCAGTTTCTATATGGAAGGCAAGCTTTGCTTCATAAAATGGAATATTCTCCAAACATAGAAAGGTGTGTGCGGAGGGGATACAGATGCTGAGATGAGCAAATAATGACAAATGTCCATTACACTTACAGAACAAGGGAAAAGAGAACATCATCCTGGAGCTACAAAGGGAGAACAACCTTCTAGAAAAGATTTGTTGGAGGAACCAGAAGAAAAATAATAAAGAATGTTTTGGCATTCTTTCTCTAAAAGCTTAAAGGCATTGCCTTTTGAAACAAAAACATGAATTATAAAAAGAAAGCTTGACATGAAAAGACAGCAGGCAACATTTCAGACTAAAATGGGAAATGAATAAAATGAAAAAAAGTACTTTAGGAAAATAAAAGTGCAATAGTAGAATTAACTTTCACTTTGGGGAAAAGAACCAAAAGCAGAAATGACCTGAGAAAATTTAGTCTGCAATATAGAGGGTAAACTTGAGAATGTCTTCTAGCTTACAGAGGATAGCACAAAGAGATTAAATAGAAAGAGAGAATGATCTATGTAAGACAGGGGTCAGAGATCCAACCTGAGAATGATTGAAGCCCCTTAGGAAGAAAGCAGGATAATTGTTTGGAAACAATGGTTGAGGGCATAATTAAAGAGACTCTCCTGAGCGGCAGTTTTACATAAGTACGCAAGTGCAAAGGTCCACTGTATTCAAAACACAATCAAAGAAAAGCTATTCATACATATACCCATCAGGAGTAAAGAAAAACAGCAACAAGTCCTTTAAGCATCCAAGCATCCAGATGGTAGAAACCGTTTACCTAGAAAGGAATAAAAATTCCTGTGGTTTTAGCTTTTTTGGCAATGATAAATTGCCAAAAGTAATTAAAGGGATATCTATATAGATTTGCAGAAGAAAGGCTGTGAACAAGTTAATTTGTTTTGCTTGTGTGAAAGCAACAAAAAGACAGATTAGGTTTGAAAAATAAAGTACCCTAAGGCCTTGCTTCTCAAAGTGTGGTCCCTGGACCAGTAGCAAGAGCATCCCCCGGAAGCTTGTTAGAAATACAAAATATCAGTCTGGGCGCAGTGGCTCATGCCTGTAATCCCAGCACTTTGGGAGGCTGAGGTGGGCGGATCACCTGAGGCCAGGAGTTCGAGACCAGCCTGGTCAACATGGTGAAACCCCATCTCTACTAAAAATACAAAAAAATTAGCCAGGCATGGTGGCAGGCAACTGTAATCCTACCTACTCGGGAGGCTGAGGCAGGAGAATTGCTTGAGCAGTGAGCTGAGATCATACCACTGCACTCCAGCCTGGAGAACAAGAGTGAAACTCCGTCGGAAGAAAGCAAGAAAAGGAAAGGAAAGAAAAGAAAGAAAAGAAAAGAAGGAAGACAAAAGACAAAATCTCCATCCTACCCTAGACCTGCTGAATCAGGATCTGCACTTTAACCAGATTTCCTGGTAATTCCTACACATACTAAAGTCTGAGAAACACTGGGTTAAGACATATTCTATGGACCAAGAATGGAACCAAAATTAAGAACTTAAGAATGGGGGGCCAGGCGTGGTGGCTCACGCCTGTAATCCCAGCACTTTGGGAGACCTAGGCAGGTGGATCACAAGGTCAGGAGTTGAGACTAAAAATACAAAGAGGTAGGAATATTGCTTGAGCCTGGGAAGTCTCTACTAAAAATACAAAATATCAGCTGGGGATGGTGGTGTGTGCCTGTAGTCCCAGCTACTAGGGAGGCTGAGGCAGGAGAATTGCTTGAACCCAGGAGGCAGAAGTTGCAGTGAGCTGAGATCGCACCACTGTACTCCAGCCTGGGAGACAGAGCAAGACTCCATCTCAAAAAAATAAATAAATAAAATTAAAAAAAAAAAAGAATGGGGAAGTGAGTGATGGTGTGTATGATTGGCAAACCACTCTGATGGTCAATAGAGAGCCACCACCTCATCAGGAAGTACTGAAGGAACATGCTCACCGATTAAGATCACCCATGATTGAACAAATCTGTCTCTGCAAGAACAGGAAGAGATTAGTGCCCTCCCACACTAGCTTCTGGCAAAAAGCTTCCTTTTTATCTCTTTCACTGACCCTTTTTATCTCTTAGGAGACTAATCCTGTAATTGGACATAAATTTCTCTTAAAGGACCTATCTCTCATGGAAAATTTAACATGGGTTTGAGAAACTCAAGTATGATTAGAACAGTTTTTTTTTTTTTAATCTAGATATCCACGTCTGTGAAAAAAATACTGGAAAGAAGTAGAGCAAGTTATTAAGTAATAAAAAGTATTATGTTTTGAAATCTCTATTTTTTTCAAGTTTTATTGAATGAGTCACCTATTATGGATTATAAAGATAAACTTATATTTTAAAAATGTTTTCTATCATGAAGAGAATACATAAGCAAGAAAACAAATCATAAATACCTCTATGGCATATAATCCCTAAGTCATCCTTTCCAGCATTCTCTCTCCCTGTTCCCCTTCCTGCCCTCTGTGTTCTGGCAGACCTACCTCACGCTTTTCCACCTCCACATCTTTGATTGCTAGGAAATCCACCACTCCTGGCCTACCTAAAATGTCTGTGATACAAATCCTACTGTCCTTCAAAACTAGTTCAGGCAACACCTTCTCCCTGAAGGCTCCCCTGATAGTGGAACCTTTGTTTTTGTTTATGTTTTTTTTTTTTTTTTCTGAGAGCTAGTTCGCCCAGGCTGGAGTGCAGTGGTGCGACCTTGGCTCACTGCAACCTCCGCCTCCCGAGTTCAAGCAATCCTCCTGCCTCAGCCTCCCAAGCAGCTGGGATTACAAGCACCACCACCAAGCCCAGCTAATTTTTGTATTTTTAGTAGAGATGGGGTTTCACCATGTTGGCCAGGCTGGTCTCGAAATCCTGACCTCAGGTGATCCACCCACCTTGGCCTCCCAAAGGGATGGGATTAGAGGCGTGAGCCATCGCGCCCTGCTGAACCATTGTTATTGTAACCCTCCTCCAGTTTCCTATATATCTCTTCAGGTATCTAATACTTCATATCTCATATTAGCAGTAGTAGTAGTAATCATAAAGTAGTGGCAGTAATGCTGTAATGTGTTTGCTGTATTGTGAGTTCTTCAAGGCCATTTAGTGTTTTGAAATCACCTTGGTTATAGTAAGCATCAACAGGCAATTGCTAAGTGAATAACTAATAATTTGTCCTAAGGTTTGAGGCAGGTCCAAAAGAGCAAGAGAATGGAAACATCATGCTATTTCTTCTCTCTTCTTTTACCAGCTGTGTAGCATTCCTTTGCATTTGGTTAATATAGCAAGCAAGTTTCAATATCAGTAGAAAATACTTAAGTGGTTTTTTAAAAACATAAAATACCAAAAGAACATGTTGTATCTCTATTTAAACCAACTTACTATCCTACATTGGGCAGCTTGCCTCCTCAGATCCAGAGGAACTGTTTGCTGTAATATTAGAAAAAAATGAGTTTAGATTAAGAGCTCTCTAAGGCCCTTTCCAAATCTAGCCTTCTATAATTCTTAAATGATGATAAAACCAAATTTGGCTTTCAGGGATTTCAGTTGTTGTGTTTCAGATATTATAATGTCAAAGTACCATAACAATTAATAATGCTGATTTACCGAGTGCTAATTCTGATTCTTTCTTGGTTCTTACATCATCCAATCTCTTAGAGTATAAGTTTTTCTTTCTAGAACAACTTGAAGCCAAGAGCGTTCTCTCTGAGCCGTTTGCCTTCTAAAGTGAACGCATGCATTCTGCAGCCACAGCTGGCCCCAGTTAACCTTTCTCCTAGCCACCAGTGCATGGGCCCATAAGACTCAGCAATCCCAGTTTCTGAAGGAGCCCATTGTCACAACAAACAGTCAACAATTAAATTTTCTTGCACGCTAGTTCTAAGCTAGGCAAGTGCCACTTTATTCTCAGTGTATATCCCCAGCTCCAATTAAATGACCAACTTTTAATACATTCAGGGGAAATTTTATTGATAATCTATTAGGTACATAGTTATACCTTGTAAACTGTGGATGTTATAGAACATATAATGAGCCATAATACAAACCACTAGCATTTGTTTTCAATTTTACTGTTTATGAATAATTTCCACATACCTGTGGAATTCATATCAATGATTGTTGAGTTTCCAATGTGTTATAGTTAGGAAGCATCAACAGAGGCTTGCTCTTTACAGCTTTGCTGTGGTCAACACAGTGCAGAGTCCAGTAGTGAATCCTGCTACACAGATATGGGTAGAGGCCATTCTATGTTGTTCATTCAACCACAGGTGATCACTCTGTATATTTATATGTTGTCTCAACGGCCCAAGTACAAGTCAGGTTTTTCTTTCTCTATGAAGCCTTTGTAGATCCCCACCTCTCCAGACAGAAATATCTTTTATCCTCTGAATGCCTATAGCACTTTTCCTATAACTCGTTTATTAGATTTTTTCATTTTTATGTTTTTAAAATTTTTAGCTGGGCATGGTGGGTCATGCCTGTAATTCCAGCACTTTGGGAGGCTGAGGCGGAGGTTGCAGTGAGCCGAGATGGCGCCATTACTCTCCAGCCTAGGCAACGAAAGTGAAACTCCATCTCAAAAAAAAAAAAAAAACAATTTTTTTATTACACTTTTTTTCTTCTGTTTTTTTTTTTTTCTAACTTTTACTTTAAGTTCAGGGGTACATGTGTAGGTTTGTTATTTAGGTCAATTCATGTAATAGGAGTTTGTTGGACAGATTATTTCATCACCCAGGTACTAAGCCTAGTACCCATTATTTTTCCTGATCCTCTCCCTCCTCCCACCCTCCACTCTCCAGTAGGCCTCAGTGTCTGCTGTTTCCCTCTATGTGTTCATGTGTTTTTATTATTTAGCCCCTACTTATAAGTGAGAACATGTGGTATGTGACTTTCTGTTTCTGTCTTAGTTTTCTAAAGATAATGGCCTCCAACTCCATGCATGTTTCTGCAAAGGACATGATCTCCTTCTTTTTTATGGCTGCATAGTATTCCATGGTACATATACACCACATTTTCTTTATCCAGTCTGCCATTGATAAGCATTTAGGCTGATTCCATGTTCTGTGTCCTTCATTAGTCTATGAATGTCTGTCCTAGACCGACTGAATCAGACTCCAAGGATTATTTGTCATTATAAAAAGCCTCACTGTTCATATGTGAAGCCAGGAACATCTGTGCTCCACAGACAGGGAAGGCACCACATACATAAGTCCCATGTCCCTCGAGAGATTGTGGAATCTAGTGGTTAAGAACCCAGGCACTGACATAACTGACGGCCTGGGTTCATGTCCCAGCTCTGCCACTTACAATTTAGGCTTTCGGCGAGTCACTTAACCACTGAGAACTTCAAATGTGTACATGGGATAATAGTGCCTGCCTCATAGGCTTATCGTGGGCTTAAATGAGTCAACATGTATAAGCGCTAGGAGTGCCTGGCACTAAGTGTGTGCTGTATGTCAGCTGTTATTGTCCCCTGTGGAGAGCTGCATCCAGAAGCTGCTTGGTTGAGTATAGAAAATGATACACACATACTTCTACTGCTGTGAAGCACAACTACATGGATAATATACTTGTGTTACAAACTGCTCAGAGGATTTAAGGAAACAAATTGATTTAGGTTAAGAAATCAGAGCTATCTACGGTCTTTACAAAGCATCCATATTAGTATATGCACTGTCTCATTTTTTTACGTTTTTATAAAAACTGGCCACTTTCTCTCTACGGCAAACTTCATTCAGGCAGCGTGTAATTGCCAGGAAGCAGCAAGACCCATGCATCTCTGATGACTTCACTGGCCTGACCGTGTAATGGCCTGACTTAAGAATCCCCTAGCGAAAGAACTTTCATGGGTCATTTCCCAGTGACACATGAGAGACTGGAATCCTAAAAGAAGTCTCAGTTGAGTAAGGCCAAGTCAGTGCATAGGGTACATATGAGTAAGCTGTGGGCAGGAGATTAAGCTTTACACTAGCAAAGATCAATGAATAACTCAGATTTATTTTCCCTTTCTCTACAACTTGTATATATTTTGATATTTTGATTCCCAAACTTTTTCTTTCTTTTTTTTTTTGTTTTCTTTTTTTTTTTTTTGAGACAGAATTTCACTCTGTTGCCCAGGCTGAAGTGGCATGATCTCAGCTCACTGCAACTTCTACCTCCTGGGTTCAAGTGATTCTCCTGTCTCAGCCTCCCAAGTAGCTGGGATCACAGGCACCCACCACCACGCCTGGCTAATTTTTGTATTTTTCGTAGAGACAGGGTTTCACCATGTTGGCCCGGCTGGTCTCGAACTCCTGACCACAGGTGATCCACCCACCTTGGCCTCCCAAAGTGCTGGGATTACAGGCGTGAGCCACCACGCGTGACCCAAACTATATTTTTCAAATGCTATATCTTCCTTAAATATCAAAGAATAAGAGAATCAAATGTAATATCTTTAAGCCAAAACTGTCATTGGTCAGGGCAGTAGCATATTTTCAACTATGGCCACAATAATCTCTCCGATTCTCATGCACACACCTTTGCAATGTAACTTTGCTATTCCTCTCGTAAAAAGGTGGAGTCTACTCACCTACCCTTTGAATTTGGGCCAGCCTTGTGACTTGCTTTCACCAATGGAAGACTATGGCAGAAATGATGTTTTGCAACTTCTGAGCAGAGGGCTTAAGAAGCCTTGCAGCTACTGCTCTTAACTCCTCTTGCTGTGTATACATCTCAACTTCCATGTGAAAAAGCCTAGGCTAGCCTGGTAGATGCTGGAGACACATGGCATTGTTGACAGTCAATAGCAATTGGCTTCAAGCTAGCCTGCCAATTGACTATACCTGCACGGGTGTCCCAAGGTGAGTTTGTCAGAATGACTACTCAGCTGAATCCAATCCAAATTATTGACCTAGAGAATTGTGCACTATAAATGACTATTTTAGACCCCCAAATTTGGGATTGGTTTGTTACATAGCAAAGACTGACTAATACACAGTGCATGCTGTGGAAAGAAAAAGCTTCCCTTTAATTTAGTGAAGGTATTTGGGCAGTTAACAAGCCTCCTGGCCTTTACAAAGCGGTCTGAAATAAAAGTGGCCATTATGAGAGTGTAGGCACAAGCTCACCATAGAGAAAAAATACTTAATGGGTGGTTCCAAGAGACAGAGTTGTCATGGCAGAAATACAGGCTTTTTGTCGAGATGAGGTAACTACATACTCAGAATTTGTAATTGCTGTGGTTTAGATACTGTTGGTTTGCTTCCACCAAAACTCGTGTTGAAATTTGATCCCCAGTGTGGTGGTCTTGGGAGGTGGGGCTTAGCAGGAGGTGTTTGGGTTATGGGAGAACAATCCCTCACAAATGGCTTGGTGCCGTTCTTGTGTGGTAGTGAGTGAGTTCTTACTCTGGTAACACTGAGTTAATTCTTGCAAGAATGGATTAGTTCCCATGAGAGTGGGTTGTTACGCAGCCAGGAGCGTCTTGGGCCTTCCCTCTTTGCATGTGTCTGCCTCCTCTTTGATCATTCATCATATTTGGGCCCAGCACAAAAGCCCTCACCAGGAGCCAAGCAAATGCCAGCACAATGCTTTTTTTTTTTTGAGACAAGGTCTTGCTGTGTCACCCAGAATGGAGTGCAGTGGTGTGATCACAGCTCACTGCAGCCTTGACTTCCCAGGCTCAAGCAATCTTCCTACCTCAGCCACTGAAGTAGCTGGGACTACATGCACGTGCCACCATGCCAGACTAATTTTTAATTTTTTTTTTGTCAAGATGGGGGTCTTCCTATGTTGCTTGAACTCCTGGGCAATCCTCCTGCCTTGGCTTCCCAAAGTGTTGAGATTATAGGCATGAACGACCACACTTGGCCCAATACAATGCTTTTTAAACTTTCCAGGCTGCAGAACTGTGAGCTAAATAAACATCTTTTCTTTCTAAATTACCCAGTTTCAGGTATTCTCTTAAAGCAGTACAAAATAAACAAAGACAGTAATGAATCTAGTTTGTAAAATTATTCATAATAGTCATTACATATTAAGTCCAGTTTATAGTTTACCAAATACTTTCAACCACAATTGACTCTAGAACAACAGATTTGGACTTCATGAGTCAACTCATACATGGATTTTTTTTTTTTTTTTTTTTTGAGAAGAAGTTTCACTCTTGTTGCCCAGGCTGGAGTGCAGTGGCGTGATCTCAGCTCACTGCAACCTCTGCCTCCGGGGTTCAAGCTATTCTCCTGCCTCAGCCTCTCCAGTAGCTGGGATTACAGGCATGCACCACCATGCCCGGCTAATTTTGTATTTTTAGTAGACAAGTGGTTTCTCCATATTGGTCAGTCTGTTCTCGAACTCCCAACCTCAGGTGATCCACTCACCTCGGCCTGCCAAAGTGCTGGGATTACAGGCGTGAGCCACCATGCCCAGCCTCATACATGGATTTTTAAAAATAAAAATTGTACCAAGTGTGCCTGCCTCTACTACTTCCCCTTCCACCTCTTTCACCTCTGCTACCTCTGTCACCCCGAGACAGGAAGACTGACCCTTCTCCTTCTCCTCCTTCTTGGTCTACTCTAAAATGAAGTCGACAAGGAAAAAGACCTTAAGATCCACTTCCGCTTAATACATAGTAAATATATTTTCTCTTCCTTATGATTTTCTTAATAATATTTTGTTTTTTTAGCTTACCTTTTTGTAAGAATATAGTATAATATATGTAACACGTAAAATATGTGTTGATTGTGTTATTGGTAAGGGTTCTAGTCAATAGTAGGCTATTAGTACTTAATTTTTGGGAGTGTCAAAAGTTATATGTGAGCCATGCATGGTGGCTCATGCCTCTAATCCCAGCTCTCGGGAGGCTGAGGTGGAGGATCACTTGAGGCCACGAGTTCGAGACCAGCCTGGGCAACATAGCAGGACTTTCATCTCTTAATAATAATAATAATAATAATAATAATAATAAAGCCAGGTGCGGTGGCTCATACCTGTAATCCCAGCACTTTGGGAGGCCAAGGCAGGGGGATTACGAGGTCAGGAGATCGAGACCCTCCTGGCTAACACGGTGAAACCCCGTCTCTACTAAAAATACAAAAAATTAGCCAGGCGTGGTGGCAGATGCCTGTAGTCCCAGCTGCTTGGGAGGCTGAGGCAGGAGAATGGCGTGAACCCGGGAGGCAGAGCTTGCAGTGAGCCGAGATCGCACCACTGCCCTCCAGCCTGGGCGACAGAGTGAGACTCCATCTCAAAAAAAAAAAAAAAAAAGCTATGCATGGATTTTTGACCACCTGGTGGGTTGATTCCCCTAACCCCTGCATTGTTCAAGGGTCAACTGTACAATGCTTCATATGATTTGGAATAAAAAGTTGTTAGAGCCACCCAAGGGCATAAATTCAGAGGTTTTTCAAACTTGGCATCACAGAATTAGAAATGATCTTGGAGCTGTCAACACAACCTTCCATGTTATCTATTTTTAAATATTGAAGATCCAATTAAGATTCCAGTTGAATAAATCATTCAGTGGGAAATGACACATACATGGCTCAAACTATTCATTCACAAACATAAACTAAAATCAGTTAATGAGCCCATTCTCTCCACTACACACACACATGAATTCAAGTTCCCAGATTTCATGATGGGAAGAATGGTGGTAAGAAAAAATTTATTGGCTGGGCATGGTGCTCACGCCTGTAATCCCAGCACTGTGGGAGGCCGAGGCGGACGGATCGCCTGAGGTCAGGAGTTCAAGACTAGCCTGGCCAACATGATGAAACTCTGTCCCTACTAAAAAAAACACAAAAAATTAGCCAGGCATGGTGGCAGGTGCCTGTAATCCCAGCTACTCAGGAAGATGAGGCAGGAGAATCACTTGAATCCAGGAGGTGGAGGTTGCAGTGAACCAAGATTGCGCCGTTGTACTCCAGCCTGGGTGACAGAGCAAGACTGTCTCAAAAAAAAAAAAAGAAAAAAAAAAAGAAAAAAAAAAAGAAAAGAAAAAGAAAAAGAGAAAAAATTTCTTTACCACCATCTCTGCAGCTCCATTGAATCTCCATTTTCCACATATGAGAAACCTAGGCTCAGATACTTGCTTCAGATCACTCAGCCTGGGCGAAGCTCTAACACAGGCCTACTGATTCTAAACTCAGACCTTTCACCCTTGCCAATGATGTTTGGGAACTTGTAACTCTGTTGAGTCAAAACTCAACCACAGGTAAATTATATACTATATACATAATTGCCTACTTGTTGCTGTAATCACCATAAACCAAGATTCATGGTTAATTTTTAAAGAGTGAAATGACCTGTGTTTTGATATTCTTGTAAAAACACTTAATGCCCTAATATTAGAAAAGTAATGGCCTTCTTCCATCAGCAACCCACGAAAAAAGAAACAAATTTATCCTTGTGACCCAAGAGGTATAGAGGTAGAATCAAAAGTTGGAAGTAGCAGGAGATATATTGTAGCTGAAGTTTAAAAATACCTTTTTTAAAAACCTAGTTTTTTAAAAACAAAACAAAAACAAAAAACAAACCTGGAAACTCCTGTCCCTAAAAGCATCCAGACAGAATGGTAAAAATGGAACTTCTGGGCTGATTAAGAGACTGGATAATCTGAAATGTAAGAGTCTTGTAAGGAAGTCCATAAAAGCTCACATCCTTGTTCTCAAGTGAGTGTTACTGCTTTTATTGATTCTCAAAATAAAGGAGGTCTGTTGCAATTGTTTCCCCTAACATTGAAGAACCCTTTATTCAAGACTCTTGTAGAACTTTAAAAAACATTTGATCTGCTCAGTTAGCCTGGTCCTTGAAATTCATAGTCCTTCATATGTGAAAATATTTTACAAAAAATATTTATGGTCTTCAGAAGTCTTGAATATCCTTGGCCAAGTGCCTTTCATATTGTGGAAACAGGCTTAATAAGAGGAATAAAATTCTCTTATTTTATTTGCCTGTTTGAGCTCTTTCACACATACCAAGGTAGAGAGAACCGAGGTGGCGAGGAGAAAGAAAAGGAAATGTACTTTTACTTATCCTTAAGGGTATACTAGACACTGGACTAGGTACTTTGTGAAATTATTTCTTTAACCCTCAGAACCACTAGAGAGACAGTTAGTTTTATTCTCTCTATTTTTGCAGACAAGTAAACCGAAGCTCTGACAGGTTAACTTGTCTGAAGTCACATTGCTAAAAAGAGTTAGCTGATCCTAAGGCCCCCATCTTTCTTTTTGTTTTGCTTTATTTTTGAGTTGGAGTCTCACTCTGTTGCCCAGCCTGGAGTGCAGTGGTGCAATCTCAGCTCACTGCAACCTCTGCCTCCCAGGTTCAAGTGATTCTCCTGCCTCAGCCTCCCTAGTAGCTGGGACTACTACCAGCTTGTAGTCCACCATGCCTGGCTAATTTTTGTATTTTTGGTAGAGACGGGTTTTTGCCATGTTGGCCAGGCTGGTCTTGAACTCCTGACCCCAAGTGATCCACCTGCCTCGGCCTCCCAAAGTGCTGGGATTACAGGCGTGAGCTACCACACCTGGCCTAAGCCCCCACCTTTCACCCAGCGACCTCAAAGAAAGGCTTTAATGAAAGCAGCTCATTTTCTTTACTGGAATTCAAAAGAATGATGCATTAGTATTCTTTAGTCACTTAATCTATGTCATTCATGCAAACCCTCACCACCTCAAGAAAGCCCCTGTAAAAGAAACAGTGTTCTGATTCAGCAAAAAATTCACTGGGTTGACCAAACTCACTTCACTCTGATGTCCAGTTTGCCCACTTGTAAATAAAAGGATTTGGATCACTTGCTTTCTTAGGCCCTATTTCTAGCTCTAAAAATTTTCCATGGAGTCAAAGAAATCATTACCTGAGTAATGTGTGTTAAGGAATTTCTCTCAATAGCAGAGAATTCCTGTCTCTGTGAGTTTTATTTTTAATCTTTTTCTTTTCTTTTTTTCACGTGCATACTTGGTACGAGAAGAAGGTGTTGGAACGGGGACGTTTATTTATTCCCAGGGTGTTTTTGGCATAAGCAGAAACTGCTGTAAGAGCTTCCCCCACACATGAGCATCACAGACACCTCTCACAGGGGGTGCGAGCAGAGCCTCGCTCAGCCTTTGCTGAAAAGATAGCAGCCTGCCAGGTGGGGCTGGAGGTGACAGGGAATGTGATAGGAGACAGCTGGAAAGAGCTCAGCGTCACAAGATTTCATTCTTGTGCACACCCCAACTCAGAGTGTGAGGTCGGTCAACACACAGTCTTTCCAGGCCTCTGGTTTCTCAGCTCTAAAAGGAAGCAGTTGGGCTTACAGAAGGCTAAAGAAACTAATAAGGTGCCCCTTGCATGGCCATATAACTTTATTCGTTGATTAACAGACTTCAGTCCTTTAGAGCTGGATAAGAAAATGTGTCTTTTGGACTCTCTTTCTACCTCATACATCATGTTGGACTAGTCTAGTCTATCTTGGGGACTACGTGTCTGTAAATTAGCTACTTTGTGGATTAACTGATTCAAGATTCCAACCCCAGGAATGAAATATATCTTGCTCTTTATGCAGAAAGGTATTGCTTGACAATGTGCAAAGAACCAATTGGAAAACATCTAAAATTGGACAAAAATGGCTACGGGGAGATGGGTCACCCACCACTGAGAATGGGGCTTGCTGTCTCTCACAATCAGATAATTGGTTTAGATTTAAGAACTGAGTCTCAAGAAGACCAAAGACAGAGGCTGATCTCAGCCCGTCCAACTGGTGCTTAGTCTGAGTCTTCAGTGATTCACAGCCATCTGAGAGGGTAGCTGGACAAAGACCATTGGTATCTAGCACTTGGAAAGCATTTTTACTAAACCTTTTGATTAGATTCTGGTCTATTCTCCTGCCAAGTCCAGGAATCCCTTCCAGAGCATTCCTCTCAAATGGTTGTTCCTTCTTTATTTAAACTTTTCAAGCAACCAGGAATTTATTGCTTGTGTGCAGCAACCTGTTTCATTTTCAGACAGCAAGTAGTTAGAAAGTTATATCAAGATAGTTGTCTCTCCATAAGTGAGTAAAGGATGTTTTTCTTTTTTTTTTTTTTCTTTCCGAGACGGAGTCTCATTCTGTCACCCAGGCTGGAGTGCAGAGGTGTGATCTCGGCTGACTGCAACCTCCACCTCCCAGGTTCAAGCTATTCTACTGCCTCAGCCTTCCTAGTAGCTGGGACTACAGGCCTGCGCCACCATGCCTGGCTATTTTTTGTATTTTGAGTACAGACAGGGTTTTACCATGTTGGCCAGGCTGGTCTCAAACTCCTGACCTCATGTGATCTGCCCACCTCTGCCTCCCAAAGTGCTGGGATTACAGGCATGAGCCAAGCTTTCTAATAGAGGAATCATCTTTTTTTTAGAACCAATCAGGATTGTTGGCCACAAGCAACAGGAACAGACTGTGGTTATCTCATGTGAAAAGGGACTTAATTATGGCTTGACTTACAATTTTTTGACTTAAAATGATACAAAAGTGATATACATTCAGTAGAAAGTGTTAGGATACACTTGCGATGCTGAGCAGAGGCAACCAGCCCCAGCTCCCAGTCAGCCACCCAATCACGAAGCTAAAAAAACTCATACTTTATGGTGTGCAGTGTTGCCAGATGATTTTGCCAAACTGTATGCTGATGTCAGTGTAATCAGTGTGCTTAAGGTAGGCTAGACTATCCTGAGATGTTCGGTGGGTTTGATGTATTAAATGCATTTTTGACATAGGACATTTTCAACTTATGATGGGTTTATCAGGATGTAAACCCATTGTAAGTCAAGGAGCATCTGTATAGTGAAGTGATGATCTTAGAACGGACTTAGGAGACTAAAAGCATGAGCTGGGGTAGGAGACAGGATCTATAGTCAATGTCATGTATCAGGAACAATCTGGCCCATGTGTTAGTGCTCTGATCTGCTTTAACTGCAAATGTTTCCTCCATCTGCACCTCATTTTCTAAAGAATCAAAGTCCTAGGAGGAAGTACAGGATTGGCCAACCTCAGGTCATGTGTTTCAGACTGGGCAAATGTACAGGTCAGGAGTCTTGCTCTGTCACCAGGCTGGAGTGCAGTGGCACAATCTCAGCTCACTGCAATTTCTGCCTCCTGGGTTCAAGTGATTCCCCTGCCTCAGCTCCTGAGGAGCTGGGACTACAGGCGCACACCGCCACACCTGGATAATTTTTTGTATTTTAGTAGAGACGGGATTTCACCATGTTGGCCAGGATGGTCTCGATCTCCTGACCTTGTGATCTGTCCACCTCAGCCTCCCAACATGCTGGGATTACAGGCATGAGCCACCACGCCCAACCCAGCCCTTCTTTTTCTAAAGGAGTAGCCATAAAGACTTTGCCAGTGAACCCTCTGAGTGCATCCACAGATGGCTCACTGTTTTGTAACCTAAAAGTGCCTGTGCAGACTACGTGCCCATGGCCTGCCTCTGGGACAGATACATAGTTGTTTTCCAGAAGACTGTTTTGGAAAGATGAAGAAATGAATTCTGCCATCAAATCCAGTTGTATCTTTCAGCTTGTTAATGCCACATAGAGCTTTATGCTTCTATTACCTGCACTAAAACACACCAGTGTCACTTAGTGAACTTTTTAATTGGCTTTTTAAAATAGTAATGTAATCAGGCTCCTCATGCACAAAAATCTGCAGACGGGCTGAAAGGGAAAATGTGAATCACAGTTTAAATACATGCTTTTCGACTGCTTTGTAAGACAAACAGATGTATTAATTAGCACATACTTTAGGGTATGTTATATACTTAAATGGAGGAAAGCGAACAGAATATCATCTCACCAGAGGCAATAAAGATTTGAGCTCTGACCCTAGAAACAAAATGGCATCTTGTTTTCAGAAATGCCTAGCTGTGAGAACAATGAGTCAGGGGCTTAGAGGAATGATCTCTGGATTTATGTAACAAGAAGGCTCTTGTTCAAGTGGTATATAAGAACTAGACCACAGCCTTAGTAATGTGGGGAAAGCCTTTTAAAGTAGATCCATATGAAGAAATTCAGTAGTCACAGAGCTAAGACATTTTCAAAGGTCTTTAGTAACAAAATTGTGCTAATGCCCAGGACTTAAGAATAAAAAGATTTAGACTGAAGGTAGAGGTGAGTCCTTGGTGTGCATTGTATTATGCTAAGTGTTATTGAAATAATTTAAAAAATGGCAGGGTCTGTACCATGTAGGAGATGACATTGAAGGGATCACATGGACATAATTATGGATTTAATGCAGCATATTTTTTAATGAGAAATTAGTGTTTTGTTTTTTTTTAACTGAAAGATCAAAAGAACTCTTTTCCTTAGAAGGAAGAAAATGTGATTCTTCCTTTTCTTGACCTTTTATGGCATTCATTCTTGCCCACCTTGGGCAGTTATTTTTGTATAGGTCTTGTCTTACTGGACTTCAAGAATGAGATAAAGGAAAAAGGACTATGTCTCATTTCTTTCTACTCCATCCCACACATAATGCTTCCCTAGTACACAGAGAATTCTCTGTATGTGTGTGCTGAATGAATGAATCATCAAAGTCAGTAAAGAAGACATAGGGCTCCTTCAAGTCCAGAAAGAATCTTCCCGTATCACTTTAGACGAAACTGTGTGAACTTGGCAAGTAAATGCACCTCTCTGGGGCTTCCCAGTAAAATGAAATGATGAAATGTTGGTAAAATAGGGAATGGTAAATTGGTTTCAACTTACATGCCTACTCAGTCAATTTCTCTGGACTCTAAGTCTGGATGCTCTTTTTGGCCGGATTGCACACTTCTGATATGAGAAGGCACGACCTTGCCTGGTGGGAAAGAAAGTGGCATATGGGAGCATTGTGTCTATGTCCTGCTCATCTGTAGGTTGCTGTATCTACGTTGTTTTAGAGAATGAGGAAGGAAATGACTTGTGAAAGTACAACATTAACAGAATGCAAACATTGTGACAGTCTTCACCTGACCTTTGATGTAGATATTTTCTTACCCTTTAGAAGATTTCCTAAAAGAAAAGCCATGTTTATCCAGTGCTCAGGTGACACTGAGCAGAGTAGGCTGTGGTATACGCTGGATTTCCAAATGCAGGCTGATGGAACCTCATGCTTTCACTGATAAGAACCACCTAAAATGCTTGTTTTAGGTATGGCTTCCTGAGTCCCACCCTACAATAAATTAATTAAAATCTTGAGACTAGGGTTCAGGAGGAATATTTATGCTAAGAAAATTTTCCAAGATGATTCTGACATGAAGCCAAAATTGGAAAGCACTGTTTTTCATGGCTGAATCATAGTCCAAAAGTATCTGAACAGGGTGAAACAAACATGATGAAATGTCAGAGACAAATGTAAATCCCTTAACTTTACAATAACAAGAACTGGGAAAACCTAGGCCGACAGCAGCATGTGTAATACAACTGCAGCTTCAATATTTGGTTGCCTGTAAGCTCTGGCTGAGCCAACTCTGAGATACAGCTTACCAAAACAGCGACAGTGGTGTTAGGCTGAAGGCATAGGAATATAATGACGAAGCAAAAGACAGCTCTCTTTCCTATTCTGTAGTTTCAGAAGACAGCTGCATTGTGTTCTTGATTTAGTAGGGGTAATTGTTATTTTTAGTAGCAATATAGAGTAGCTGTAGTAGTAATAACAATCCTTTATGCAGCACTTCATTATTTATAAGTTTATATTCAACATTTTATCCGCCCTAAATAAAAACTTCAATTTAGCTGTGTTATGCAATAGAGCCCATTGGTGGACACACTACTCAAACCTACATCTTTTATCCCCCAAGTCTCATGTCGTGTTTGGCAATGTGGAGAATTTACAGGCCAGGAGAGTAAGATAGCCGAAAACCATGCCATCAGAAAAAACAGAGTTCCTTACCCAGAAGAAGACTTCATAAGGCCTTGCCTGTTGTCACCGAAGGCCTGGTGGGTTTCCACAGGGAAGAGAGGGCAGACTTGTCACAGGAGGCCTCAGAGGACAGAACTTGACCAATGGTAAAAGTTACAGGGAGACATACCTTGGCCCACACCTTGACCCAAAATATTTCTTAATCATCAAAGTCCCCGAAAGATGAAACAGGCTACCTATAGGGAGATTTTGGAAAACTATGTACTAGGAATGGATGGGGAAGAATTTGGGGTGGGTGACTTCAGAGGTCTTAGAAGGGACCCTGAGTTGTGCAACCTGGGCCCATGCAACCTTCTGATGATTAGGGCTGCTGAAACAGCAGGGCTGAAGGCAGGAGTAGTGGGATAGAATGGCCTCAGGTGTGGGAAGCTGCCACTCTGCACCCAAGTGACTGAGAGCTTCACCTGTTTGCCCTGTGACCTGCACTGGAGAACCTCATACTTTAGCCTTAGCTAGCACATTGGGAGCAACCTGATATCCTGTATGCTTTGGGGAACCGCAGCCTTTCTCCTTTTACATGTGTTTAGTGAGCCTTGATTTAGTCGTAGAATTACAGATTTCTAGAGCTTAGAGCCAACTCAAAGACCACTTAGAGGTCATTTGGCCCAACCTGGCCACATTATAGACAGGGAAACAGACAGTTAAATCTGTGACTTAAATTATAAACACCATTAAAAATTAGAGTTAGAGGCCAGGCACAGTGGCTCGCACCTGTAATCCCAGAACTTTGGGATGCCAAGGTGGGAGGATAACTTGAGGCCAGGAGTTCTTGACCAGCCTGGCCAACATGGTGAAACCCCATCTCTACTAAAAATAAAAAACATAGTCAGATGTGGTGGAACATGCCTGTAATCCCAGCTACTTGTGGGAGGCTGAGGCATGAGAATTGCTTGAACCCAGGAGGCGGAGGTTGCAGTGAGCTGAGATCGTGCCACTGCACTCCAGCCTGGGCAATAGAGCAAGACTGTCTCAAAAAAACAAACAAACAAAAAACAAATAGAGTTACAAGAGAACCTCAGGCCATGCCCCATCTGGCCACACCCCTTCATTTTCCTGAGAAAAGGAGTGATTAACTAAGATCACTAAATGAGAGATGGCATGGCCAAGACTGTAGCCCCGTCCCTTGTCTCTCAGTGTGATGTTCCTACTGCTGACACGTTTCATCTCCTCTTTTCCACTGAGGACCTGTTCCTTCTGTCTCTTCCACTAGGGAAAATACCCTCTGCTTTGGGATGCAGGGAGGCTGGAGCTGAGCTCACAGGGGGCCAAATCTGTCCCTCTATGCCACAGTGCCACCTTCTCTGTGAGCCTGGCCTCAAGAGAGTGTGCAGCACTGCTGTGACTGTGGATGCAAAGAATCCTCCAAGCACGCAGCATAACAGAGGTGTTTTATAAGCTGCAACTCACACCGCTAAACGAACACACTAAACATTATTCCAGGTAATTCTACATGCTAATTCCTCCCTGAATTATTTTCATGTGTGTATTTGTGCGCTTGAGCCCAGAGTTAGTATTATGGGTGGAAAATAGAATGTAACTTTATAGTAGTGAATTTTTTAATGAGGTGAGGGGATAAACAGTGTTTAGCAATTTTCTTCTCCTTCTTTCCTCCCTTCCACTTTTGCTCTCTCCTTTCCTTTTTTCTCATCTTCCTTCCTTTCCTCCTGAATTCTCCAACTCAGGGCTGCAAGTATTCATCAACTGAAGAACGAATGTCCACCCTCTAAGAGCTTGTGCATATAGCCGCAATGCGAGGATGACTTACTCTCTTTCAGCTTTTTTGCCCGTCTCAGAACACAACTTTCTTTGTGAAAGTCTATACCCAAAGACAGTGCAAAATCCCTCTTAAGTCTGACTAACACCCTCATTTGTTAGGAAATTCTTATCTCTGCAAGGCCCAGCATTTGTAGTAACAAATACTAGAGGGTACCAAATACTTTTCCTGTCTACTTCAAAGTTCTTCTTTGTGATTGCTCACCGCTCTTTGAGAAATTTTCCTTTCTCACTGGAATTCTCCACCGAGTACTCTACCCCAAGGTGAATTTTTCTAGTGAGGAAATGTGATCTTGAAAAAAAAAATCATGACTCTGTTTGCCATTTTTAGAAGGCAAAATTTTATCAAACAAGAAGACCCAATCCACTAATATTTAATTGCCCCCAGGAAGTGTCTCTCTGGGATAAAAACTAATTTCCCCAAATGTACTTGAGAAAAAAAAAAAGTTTGGAAACTAGTGATGTCACCTGCTGAGAGATTGAAATGAATGTAAAGAGCAGGGGCCACCTGGGGACAGAAGACCTGGGCTCATCTCCCATTTCCTGTCCTTCTGACATATTTTGCCAGGTCGGCCACTTTTAAGCCATGTGGCTTCGAGCAAGTGACTTAGCCTGTTTGTACCTCTGGGACATGGGGACAATACAGCTACGTACCTCATAAGTTTGTTTTAATGAATAAATAATGGTGAAAGAAGAGCTGAAATTTACTGGATCTTCCCTAGTAACAGAAGAGCAGAAACATGGTTCTGGAGGCTGGAAGCGGGCCATGTCCACATCAGGCACTTGCAAAGAGCAAGGGGCAGCAGGATGTTGGGACTGGCCAGACCTGCTCACGGAGGGCTGGGAACAACAGGTGACTGAGGATGCATCAGAAAGCTGAGATTTGCAGTTCTCAAATGAAGAAGCAGAATTCACAGTGGGAAGTGGAGTGTTGGGTCAAACATTGCTTTGGAAGTTAAACCCTCTAACGAATTACCAGGATTGGAAAGAGCTTCGGCCTGAAAGATAGGAGATCACAACCTTGTCTCAGCATGCTAGGAACTTGCTATTTGACTGTGAACAGGTAACCTCCTCTTTCTAAGACTCAGTTTCCCTGTTGCTTAATAAAAGGAGAGGGGTTGGATTGCTAGATTTTTTCTTCTGGCTCTGATATTCAGTGATTTCTGATTTGTGAACATTTGTTTCAGTGCTTAACAAAAAGAAGAAAGAATATTCTGGATTATAATTAAAAGAAAGAAAGGAAATCCTTATGATTTAATTGAACAGGTGAACTGTGCACCATTTCTAGAAATCCGTTGCAAATGTTTCATAACAGTAGCAGCTTGTTCACCCTTTATGGAATATTTGTAGGAAAGAAGGTACAGATTGTAAGCAGGAAGACACTTGAGAAGTTGAATATCTTTGAATGTCTGATAAGACAAGGAAAAATAGGGCATGACATTTGACGTTAATTTTATTCATTCAATAAACATATGTCAAGTGCATACTGTGAGCCTCTGCACCTGGTCCATGTGAATTCCACCTGATTTGGGTCTTCAAGAAGTCACAGTCTAGTGTAGGAGAAAGGCAAGTAATTTAAAAAAATCCATTTAACAAGACATAATGAAATGAGGGCTGGAGAAAGAAGAGATTAATCCCAACTGCGAGGATTAGGAAAGGCTTCATACAGGGCGACATGTGAACTGGTCCTTAAAATATGAGTAAGGCTTTGACGAACAGGGAATGGGGAGAGGGGGCATTCCAGGCTGAGAGAGTGATGTGAATAAAGGCTTGTAAGTGGGAAATTTGGGTTATTTTTAGGGCATGGAGGTAAGCCATTTCACAGAAACACAGAAGCCTGGGAAATCTCAGAGAAGCAACTAGAAGGGTAGAATTAGTTTGTTTTGATTTTTAGTTACTTTAATGGTAATGGAACTCCCTTATAATTTTTACTGGAGAATCTTACCCAGTATTCATTTGAAGGACAAAGGATTATAAAGTAGGTGCTTGGGAAGATGATGCCAATATTTAATAATCCAGCAAAGTGTGATCTGCAGGTGGGGAGCATACAGCCATATAGAAGTAATAATATTCTTGAGAAATGAATTTTGGTTTTCATATTTTGACTTTTTATTAATAGTAAGAAATCTATTGTAGTTCTCAGAGTGACATATTGGGGACTCGGTCAGCATCATGAGGAACATAGGCAAGTCATTTTGTGTCTTCCAGGCCTTTCTAGATGAGTGACTGGGGGTGGCTGAAGGTGGTTTTTAAAAATAAAGATTTTGTAGACACATATTCAAAGCTGATATGGCCTTGTTACACCTAGACTCTATAACCTTAGCCCCAATCCTCTGCCTGTTGGGTGTCTTAGCTTCTTCCTCAGAAAACTGTGGCAATGCTGCAGTGCCGAGTCACCCTGGGAGGCTGACGGTGGGGTGTGAGGCACACTGGAGCCAGCCTTGGGCTCACTGTATCCCTGCCCTCCTCATTCTCCAAGTAGTGATGCTACTATCTATATCATAGGCTTACACAATTATTAAATAATTACTAAACTATTAAACTATTAAACATGGATACGTAATAAGGCTATAATAAAACTCCAAGAATGTGAGTGACTATGTATGATTATTTAAACACTTAGCCCTGTTTGGAGCACTGAATAGACATACGCGCAGAGTACATTCAATCCAAATACAACCAAGGCAGCTGGGTGAGGTGGCTCATGCCTGTGATCCCAGCGCTTTGGGAGGCCAAGGCGGGCGGATCACCTGAGGTCAGGAGGTCGAGACCAGCCTGGCCAACATGGCAAAACCCCGTCTTTACTAAAAATACAAAATTAGCTGGGCGTGGTGATATGCACCCGTAATCCCATCTATTCCAGAGGCTGAGGCAGGAGAATCGCTTGAACCTGGGAGGCGGAAGTTGCAGTGAGCCAAGATCACGCCACTGCACTCCAGTCTGGGAGACTTTGTCTCAAAACAAACAAACAAATAAAAAAAATACAACCAAGTCACTAGCCAGGTCACATATATTTAGCACAAAATTTACCTGGAGGGCAACAATCAGAGAAACACAGGAAAGTGAACGCTAATGAAATATTGGAAGGAAGATAAGGCTTTTTCTGAAGAACGTTTTAGGGAATAAAAAAATATAAGTTACAAAAACACCCTTCCCAGGTCTAGTTTAACACAAATCACTGAAATCTCAGGGTTGGAAGATGCCTTGAAAATTGTCCTCTCCACGCAGAGGCTGAGCATCCTTGGCGTAGAGCCCCAGTCCTCCAAGAGCTCCAGTCTCCCTCACAGGTTTGAAAGGTTCCTTCTTGGGTGGAGCCACAATCTGCCTCCTTCAACTTTTGGAATCTTAGAAATTCAGAAATGGGGCCAGGCACGGTGGCTCACGCCTGTAATCCCAGCACTTTGGGAGGCTGAGGCGGGTGGATCAGAAGGTCAGGAGATCAAGACCATCCTAGCCAACATGGTGAAACCCTGTCTCTACTAAAAATACAAAAAATTAACTGGGCATGGTGGCATGCACCTGTAGTACCAGCTACTTGGGAGGCTGAGGCAGGAGAATCGCTTGAACCCGGGAGGCGGAGGTTGCAGTGAGCCGAGATCACGCCACTGTACTCCTGCCTGGCGACAGAGTGGGACTCTGTGTCAAATAAAAAAAAAAAAAAAAGAGAAATTCAGAAATGGGGCCAGGTGTGGTGAATCAAACCTGTAATCCCAGCACTTTGGGAGGTCAAGGCAGGCAGATTACGTGAACTCAGGAGTTCAAGACCAGCCTGGGCAACATGGTTAAACCCTGACTCTACAAAAAAATACAAAAATTAGCTGGCCATGGTGGCTTGCGCCTGTAGTTCCAGCCACTCAGGAGGCTGTGGCAGGAGGATTGATCACTTGAGCCTAGTAGGTGGAGGTTGCAGTGAGCAGAGATCACACCACTGCACTCCAGTCTGGGTGACAGCGCAAGACCCTGTATCAAATAAATAAATAAAATAAAATAAAATAAAAAATTCAGAAATGGTAGAGCCCTTAAAGTTTATCTAAGCCCACCCCACAGAGTGCAGAAATACCTTTTATAACCCAGCTCATGGGGCTCAGGGTCTCCTGGCCTCTACCTTGATATTTTCCCTGATGAGTTCCTCAGCTCCCCAAGGGAAAGCCTTTGCTATTACTGAGCAGGTCTAGTTGCTAGAAAAGATGTGCCTAGTTCTTTGCCATGGTCCTGGTTCTTTGCCACTAATTGACTCTATGGCTTTATGTCCAATGAACTGACCTTTTGGAATCTTAACTTCACAGAGCAAGACTTATCTACCTTTAATTTGACCACCCTTCAGACACATGGAAACCCAGGATTATCTTTTTTTCCAGTTAATTGTTCCCAGTTCCTGCAGGTATTTCTCATTTTACCCCTTTCCCCAAACTCTTCCTCCTTCTGGGTCTCTGCTTTTAACCTCTGGCTCAAATGCCTCTCCCCCAACATCTTCCTTTTTGAATTCTACCAACCATAGAAACCTGGGTGGCATGTCACTTTTCCAAGACACCCTTCCTGATCCCCATTAGAAGTGACAGCCTCTTTATTCAGACTCTGGGCATGCTCTACCATTTACCCTCATCATTTTCTGCTTTGCTTACCTATCTGTGGCCATATATTGAAAGGAAATTTCATACTTTCTTCTCATTAACCTACATTTTAGGGAGCACTGAAGTTATCATTCACTTTCAACTTGAAGAGTATATTACATTCTGGCCAAGCACGGTGGCTCACGCCTGTAATCCCAGCACTTTGGGAGGCCAAGGCGGGAAGATCACCTGAGGTCAGGAGTTTAAGACCAGCCTGGCCAACATGGCAAAATCCTGTCTCTACTAAAAAAATACAAAAATTAGCTGGGCGTGGTGGCAGGTGCCTGTAATCTCAGCTACTTAGGAAGCTGAGGCAGGGAGAATTGCTTGAACCCGGGAAGCAGAGGTTGCAGTGAGCCGAGATTGCACCACTGCACTCCAGTCTGGGCAACAGAGCCCAGAGTCTAATATTTACATTCATGTTAGGGCTAATTTTTCTACATAATATTTACATGCACGGTGGGGCTAATTATTATACTTAGTATTTACACCCACGATGGGGCTAATTATTCTACTTAGTATTTACATCCATGGTGGGGCTAATTAGTCCCCTTAGTATTTACATCCATGGTGGGGATATTGGAAAAGGAGTATCATTCCTTGACTTACTGCTGTAAGAAAATTAGTGGATAGCTGATACTACATGAGAGGTGATACGCTGTCTTGAGCACAGAAGACTTAGATCTCAGCAGGTGAACAATCTTGGGTTGGCTGCTTGGCTGCCCTGTGCCTCATTTTATTTCATCTCTAAGATAAAGATAATAATATCCTCAACATAAAGCTGTTTTGAGGTTCAAATGAGGTATTTATGTGATGATGCCTGGTTTGGAGGAGCTGCTTCATAAATGTTAGATGAAATGAGGTAGAATTAGAATTCAGTATGACCCCTTCAGTTAGGGAAGTTGATGTGAATGTGAAGGATTATGCTTAATTGAGGAAAAATGATGTATCTGACAGAAGAACAGTAAACAGCTATTATACAAGAAGCAGGATGACTGCTTATGCTCAAAATAAATATCAGTGTACCATACAAATATCAGGCGATATTATGTGGAGAATGAAAAATTAGAAATTAGCATAAGTTCAGTATTATTCTGATACTGATAAGATAATAATATCTTATTATCAAAATTCCTTAGGTCTTGTTTACTGTTCTTTGTCTTAACACGATAGCTCTGTCACCTAACAAGACCAGATATATTGGAGCCTCAGTCTTCTCAGGTACAAGATCTAGATGTTTGGAGAATGATCTCAAAGATTTTATTCAGCTTTAAAATTCTGCATTTTAACTTACTATAAAACTCTTAGATGAAACAACAGCAATGACAAACACTACATTTATGAAGAAAGGCATTGAGCATTGGGAAATGCTATGGAACATCTAATACTGGAAATCAGACATAAGAAAGGTGATTGCTGTATGGGTGGGAGTGTGGAGGTGTTGGCGTAGGCTGGCATGTGTATGAATAGAATATTTCCATTTCCACTGAAGACAGAGCCAAAGCAAACTGACTTAAATTGAGGCCAGGCGTGGTGGCTCACGCCTGTAATCCCAGCACTTTGGGAGGCCGAGGCAGGTGGATCACCTGAGGTCGGGAGTTCAAGACCAGCCTGACCAACATGGTGAAACCCCATCTCTGCTAAAAATACAAAAAAATTAGCTGGACATGGTGGTGCATACCTGTAACCTTAGCTACTCGGGGGGCTGAGGCAGGAGAATCATTTGAACCCAGGAGGCAAAGGTTGCAGTGAGCTGAGATCGAGCCATTGCACTCCAGCCTGGGCAACAAAAATGAAACTCTGTCTCAAAAAAAAAAAAAATTGCTTAAGGAGGCCTTTCCAACTATCTGAGGAGTGTAACTCAGAAACAGTTGTCAAAGAGAGCTTGGGAAATCAGATCTTGAAGAAAAATCAGAGCAAGAGGTTTCAGCAGAGGAGTTTGCCAAGGTCTTCCCAGCCCATTAACTCTCCAACACACTTCTGTAGTAGGTTGGCTGCCCCATCAGGCATCTTCCTCCTGGCTTTGTGGCCTGGGCTGGTTCTAGTTCCCCTACTTTCACTCTGACTTACAGCCAAAGCAAGACTGGGACAAGTGAAATTCCTGGTTGCTCAATGTTTTATTACTAGTAGTTAGATGACAATTTGCATAGTGGTAATGTGTTTTATTAGCTGTTCCTTGCAATTATTTTGAGGTACACTTGCTGTTGCCCCATTTTTAAGATGGAAATGCTAACACTGAGCGAGATGAGGGCAAAGTCAGAGATGGCACTAGAATGCATAAACTCCCCACCCTGAGGCCTTAATTTGGTCCCCTTATATCTATGTTACTGTAAGTACTACGAAGCCTTAAAAGATCCTCATTTAAGAAATATGAGAAATAGAGTATGAGCCTGAAAGATGCAGGAAAACCAGTAGTCCACACACCAGATAACTTTACTATGCAGATTTCAGAGCTGGAAAGAGAATATAGAAAATCCAGCTGATGCTTTAAACATTTGGTATTATTAGAATCATTGTGACAAAGGTAAACATGGTTTTTAGCCTATACCAAAGTTTGTGACTGGGGTTCCTGGGGCCGTGCAGCTGTGAGAGTATGTTTAATACATTCTTCCTTGAAAAGCCCATAATGGCTTAAGGAAGAAAGATATGCAGGAGTGGTATTCAGAGGCCTGGGTTCCCGTCCTGGCAATGCCGTGAACTTGCTATAGGATTTGGTTAAGTCCTTTCCAGCTCTGGGCCTTCTCTGTGCTGAGGCAAGTCTGGAGGGGATTGGGGAGCAGGAGATGTGGTTAGTTTATGGGTAGACAGTCTCTTTCTGCTCCTATGGCAGTGAATGGATCAGTTCACTGTAGACACTGGACATGTGGCAGGTGCTGTGCAAAGTGGTGTCTCACAGCCTAGGGAGAATTGTGGGTGTCAGAACAGTCCAGTGTTATCAGATCATAACCAGCATCACCATGATAGAACAGCAGATATGCAGCAAATGCCTGCTATAGGAATGCCTTATTGAACTAGCTAGAATTAGGTTCAGCTGTGAGCAACAAAGACCTGAAAAATAACGGCTTGGACAAGATAGAGGTAGAGTTCTCCACCACTGTGACCTCACAGATAAGCCCTAATCCCCAGAACCTGTGAAAATGTTATGTTACATGGCAAAGGGGAAATAAAGACGAAGATCGAATTAAGGTTGTTAATAAACTGACTTTAACCTAAGGAGATTATCCTGAATTTTCTAGGTGGGACCAGTGTAAACTCAAATGTCCTTAAAAGTGAAAGAGAGAATCAGAAGAGAGACCGTGATGGTAGCATGAGAAAGATCGGGTCTATGTTGTTAGCTTTGAAGACAGAAGAAGAAGGCCATCATTTGAGAATGTGGGCAGTTTTTCGGAGCTGGAAAAAATAAGGAAACATATTTTCCCCTATAGCCTCCAGAAAGGAATGCATCCTGCGGATACATTAATCTTAGCCCAGTAAGATCCCTGTCAGGCTTCTGTACTATAGAACTACAAGACAAAAAGAAAATTTTATTGTTTTAAGCCACTAAGTTTGTGGTAATTTCTCAGAGCAATAATAAACATGTAATACAATGGCCAAAAAGACATCTGAGATAAGCAACCTGAGGAAGGTAGCTGCAGTTCCATCAACTGTAGACCCATGTTCCTTCTTTCTTATTGTTCTACTGTGTGATTTCTATTTGCAAGGCCACCTCGAGGACAAAAATAGCTCCTGGAGCTTCAACCATTCAGTCTTCAGTCTGAGTAGATGAAAGGATGAAGGGAAGAGGTCTCTCCCTAAGAACAGTTTCTGAAAGTCACACATGTATCTGCTGATTTCTCACTGAACATGCCTTGGTCACATACACCTGCCAAACTGCAAAAGAAGCTAGGAAATCCAGTCTTTTAGCTGACACGGTTTGTGCCCAGCCAAAATCCAGTATGGTTAACTGAAGCAGAGAGTGGATGTTGGGAGGCAGAGAGCCAACTCTGGCAAGTAATGACCGTCTTTCTCCCTCCCTTTCTCCCTCTCAAACAAGAGTTTTTTGTTTGTTTGTTTCTTTGTTTTGTTTTGTTTTTGTTGTTGTTTGTTTGTTTGTCTGTCTGTTTTTGAGACAGAGTTTCGCTCTTATCTCCCAGGCTGGAGTGCAATGGCACAATCTCAGCTAACTGCAACCTCTGCCTCCCGGATTCAATCGATTCTCCTGCCTCAACCTTTGGAGTAGCTGGGATTACAGGCATCTGCCACCACACCCAGCTAAATTTTGTATTTTTAGTAGAGACGGGATTTCACCATGTTGGCCAGGCTGGTCTCAAACTCCTGACCTCAGATGATCCACCTGCCTTGGCCTCCCAAAGTGCTGGGATTACAGGCGTGAGCCACCACACCTGTAATCCCAAACAGAGGGGATTACACCACACCTGTAAAGCCCAAACAGAGGTTTTTAAAGATCTAAGTTCTAATCTCAAAATCTGCTTTTGATGCACAATGAGAAAGCATGTAGATGCTCGTTTACTCATTTGTGTGTCATTTACTTATCTTCCAACACTTTTTCCTTGGCCTAATCCACATTGTCGGCATTCCTCTCCACTTGGCTGCCTTTGAGAGCTTATCACTCTCTCCCTTGATCACCACTGTCTTTGTTCTGGCAGAAGCTCATGACCTCTCATCTGGATTCTTTCTGAAGCATTTGGCACTCTGTTGAGGTAGATGGAGTAGGTTTCACTATTCCTAATTTCTTCCAAATGAAGAATGTGAAGCTTAGGGAGGCAGAATGACTTGCCCAAGGTCATAGCTGGTAAATGGTAGGGTAGCAATGTTGAAAGGTGCTTGGCTGTGTATTGGCTGTCTAATGTTACCAAAGTCCCTTTCCACTGCTAACCAGACCTCTTGATGGGAAATGAATTTGCTGATGATAGTTTGGGAGAAGTTTTCTAACTTCTCAAAAATTGTGGTAATTATTATTATTATTATTATTATTATTTGAGACAGAATCTTGGTCTGTTGGCAGGCTGGAGTGCAGTGGCATGATCTCGACTCACTGCAACCTCTGCCTGCCAGGTTCAAGTGATTCCCCTGCCTCAACCTCCAGAGTAGCCTGGGATTACAGGTGCCCGCCACCACATCCAGCTAATTTTTTATATATTTTAGCAGAGATGGGGTTTCACCATGTTGACCAGGATAGTCTGAATCTCCTGACCTCATGATCCACCAGCCTCGGCCTCCCAAAGTGCTGGGATTACAGGCATGAGCCACCGCGCCTGGCCAAATTGTGGTAATTTATAATCTACTACTACAGAGTGCTAAGCATAGAGGGTAGGGATGGGAGAAGAAGAGATAGAAAACGAGAAGGGGTGACTATAAGGTGAACGCCCTCATTCTTAGTATCTGGGTAAATACGCTGGGATTTCCAAATGAAATTTCTCTATAAATCCAGCCCCTGTCCCATCCCCACTATCATGAAGATCTCTATTTCTATATTCCCAGGGTAGACACATTGGAATTATCTTTTATTCTCCCCTCTCTCACCCATCCCTTTACTCTGCCCCCTGCCATCTAGTTATTGCCAAATTCTCAGGATTATAAACCAGCAATGCCTCTTCTGTCCACTTCCTTCTTGCCATCCCCTCTGCCACTGACTGCTCTTCTTCCATTTTATATTTTGGTAGCTGCCCAAAGGTCCACCTTCCTTATCTCTGTTCCTCCCTCCTTCCTTCCTGTAATGCTGCTAAACAAATCTTTTTAAAATATGTAGCTAATAATTCCACTGCCCAGAAAAGTTCAGTGGCTCTGCCATGACTTCACAGCAGAGTGTGTCTCCTGCCCTTTCCTGCTTTGTTGCCCTTGTTCACGCTGTGCCCTTCAAAGGGAATCCCCTTCCCCTACTGCCACTCAATATCCAAATCATATGCAACTTTCAACATTGAGCATGAATGGTTCTTTATCCATAAAATCTTCTTTGATACCTTCCCACCACACCTAAGCTGGAAACAATTCTTCCTCTTCCTCTTAGACTCTCCAAAATCTTTTTATTTTTTTTTTTGAGAAAGAGTCTTGCTCTTTCACCCAGTCTGGAGTGCAGTGGTGCCATCTCAGCTCACTGCAACCTCCGCTTCCTAGGTTCGAGCAATTCTCCTGCCTCAGCCTCCCCAGTAGCTGAGACTACAGGTGTATGCCATCATGCCCGGCTAATTTTTGTATTTTTAGTGGAGACAGAGTTTCACCATGTTGGCCAGGCCTGTCTTGAGCTCCTGACCTCAGGTGATCCGCCCGCCTTGGCCTCCCAAAGTGCTGGGATTACAGGCATGAGCCAACACTCCCGGCCCAAAATTTTATTTTTCTACTTGTAACTGTATATTTAGTTGCCTAATTGTTTGGCTATGGTCTACTTCCATCAAGTCCTGTGTAAGTTCCATAATGACATTGACCATGTCTTTTTTGGTCACAGTTGTATGACTAGGACATAGTGTCTGTGACCAGTATAATCATGAGTTTTGTGTCCAAACAAAGCTCATAAGGGGAATTCAGAATATCTTGAAAACCTGCTAAAATGATTCCAATAGTAATGCTTTTTTACCCCCACCTCTTCAGCCTGACCCCTGATGAGGGCTACGGTATTCACTTTCTATCTTTCATTAAAGTTATTTGAATGTGGGTGCCTCTCTGCCATCTAGACTAAACTCTTAAAGGACTGGACCTTACCTAATTTATCTGTTTCTCTACCCATCCTGCCACACTACTCATGCCCCGCTAACTTTGACCACATCATGAATTCAGGAAGTAAACAATGAATGAAGTCAATGCTATGCAGGATGACATCTTGTAAATGTAAAAAATGTTGCCTTCCTTTTGGTGTTTTAGTCATGAAGTCCTTGCCTGCGCCTATGTCCTGAATGAACAAGCAACCTACAGAATGGGAGAAAATTTTTGCAATCTACCCATCTGACAGTGGGCTAATATCCAGAATCTACAAAGAACTTAAACAAATTTACAAGAAAAAAACAAACAACCTCATCAAAAAGTGGGCAAAGGATGTGACAGACACTTCTCAAAAGAAGACATTTATGCAGCCGACAGACACATGAAAAAATGCTCATCATCAGTGGTGCAGAGAAATGCAAATCAAACCACAATGAGACACCATCTCACACCAGTTAGCATGGTGATCATTAAAAAGTCAGGAAACAACAGATGCTGAGGAGGATGTGGAGAAATAGGAATGCTTTTACACTCTTGGTGGGAGTATAAACTAGTTCAACCATAGTGGAAGACAGTGTGGCAATTCCTCAAGGATCTAGAACTAGAAATACCATTTGACCCAGTGATCCCATTCCTGGGTATATACCCAAAGGATTATAAATCGTGCTACTATAAAGACACATGCACACGTATGTTCACTGTGGCACTATTCACAATAGCAAAAACTTGTAACCAAACCAAATGTCCACCAATGATAGACTAGATTAAGAAAATGTGGCACATATACACCATGGAATACTGTGCAGCCATAAAAAAGGATGAGTTCATGTCCTTTGCAGGGACATGGATGAAGATGGAAACCATCATTCTGAGCAAACTATCACAAGGACAGAAAACCAAACACCACATGTTCTCACTCATAGGTGGGAACTGAAAAATGAGAACACTGGGACACAGGGCAGGAAACACACGGGGGCCTGTCGTGGGGTAGGGGGCAGGGGGAGGGATAGCATTAAGAGAAATACCGAATGTAAATGACAAGTTAATGGGTGCAGCAAACCAACATGGCACATGTACACCTATGTAACAAACCAGCACGTTGTGCATATGTACTTTAGAACTTAAAGTATAATTAAAAGAAAGAAAGAAAGAAATGTTGCCTTCCTTTGCCTAGAGCAAGCTTGGCTTTGGAATATTTAGACAGTTCAATCCCTTACCTCTGCCAGAGAGAGTCCTTTTGATAAAGAGAATACTTGGTTATATTTTTAAAAAGTTTCAAAGCAAGGGCCAAACATTTCAAAAGGCAAGCAGATGGGCCCTGCAGGTAGCATTCACTGACTAACTAGGATGCTTTCAACTGCCTGTGCTAAAATTGGTGCTAGGGGCTAATGTCCTGCTTGTCTTGCCTCATTAGAAAGTCTTTCTCTTTCTAAGATGTGTTTCAGGGAAAAAAAGAGAAATGAGGGGGAGAGAAAAAGACAGCGTTGGGTTGCCACTGGAGGGAACTGGATCTAGAGATGAAGCATGTAGTTGAAGACCGGACTGATCATTTCACCTTTCATCTCTTTATTACTGCTCCACACTCCCGTGTCAAACGTCAAGCTGCATTTCCTCTGAGGATCCTTCCAAAGAAAAGAGCTTGCCCTTTTTTTTTTCACCGCCCCTCAGCTTCCAAAGGCGTTTCTGATCTCTTTAGCTAGAACTAGCTGAGGAGGGCCACGACCTCTTTCTTTCCTGCCGCTCTGAGGAGGAGCAGAAAGTGGAGTAGGTGATGGGCAGGTGACCTACCTTACAGCAGGAGTGGGGGAGTGCTTTGCCCAAATTAGCATCACAGAGAGGGTTCCCAGGCTTTCCTTCCCACCAGATTCTGGCATCAGTCTGGTGAGCAGCGGTAGTCTAAAGCTGAGGCTGTGGGGATGCAGGACAGAGGTGGAAGTAGTATCGTAGTTAACTTACCGTTCTACACGCTGAGCGAAGACAGGGAGGAGAGCAACACTGTAGCAAGTAACAGTTAAGAGTGGATCATCCTAAATCCACACACAAACATCTACTGAAGCCGTGGTCCAAAGCTGGCTTGGGGTCTTAAAAAACTGGCTTGGAAAGGAGCATTTGTTACCAGTTTTCCTCTAAGAGGATGAGTGAGAATTTATCCATTCACTTGGACAAAGCATAGCTGTAATCTTTGTGCTTCCTTTTGTTGAAAGAACACTGAGTTCAGAGCTGCTTGGCTATTGGCGCATTGATCTCAACCTCATTTTTTCTCTCTCTCTCTCAGAGAATAACACTGAATTAAAAGGCAATTCAAGTCCTGCCAAGAGGGATTGTGATTATCTGATCCAGGGGCCCTGGTCACACTATGAATTATTGGCCACTCTTGACCTTTCTCTGTTAAGACATTGACAAAAAGAAAAGACATCTAGTTTAAAACTGGGACTTAAACGCTGGTCCGTGAAAAAGTGTAGATCATGTTAGATGAACAACAAATATTTCCCCTTCTTCATGAAGAGATGACAAGGGGATGGGAGCAGGAGTTTCTACCTCAACATACCACAGTGCCCACCCTAGAGAAATGACTCCTACCAGCAGATATTGGACCAGGGAAAGGTCCAATGTGTATCTTGGACATTGGACCAGGGAAAGGTCCAATGTGTATCTATGCACTCCACAGATACATAGCACACAGACATACCACCGCTCTAGCAAAGACATCACAGAAGAGCTCTAACAGAAACAAGGGACTATCAGAAGAACCTAGGAGGATTCTTTATCCCATCTGTGGACGTATACCAAGTCTGGAATGACGTCTCCCCATCTGCAGATGAGCAAAGAGTAAAAGCTCCAACAGGAGCTCTTTAAAAAAAAAAAAAAAAGTTGGTCATGTAAAAGACTATCCCATTCAAGATACCTAGAGAAGACACATATTTGGAAAAGACTAACTGGTGAGCCTACAGTAGTCATTCCTGGTGTCCAGTCATCTTTCACATATATGTGAACCCTGGAGCCAGTGCCTGGAGAGAGGCAAATGAATTCATGATTTGGAATGCAGGCTGCTTTCTCTAGACAAGACCCTTGCTCTCTGAACACTTGTGCCCTTCACCTGGTGCAATATGTACATATTCCTGGGAAACGCCAGGCCTGAGGAAGTGAGCATTATCAAACTCACCAATTATCTCTTCTCAGTGTTTGTCAGAAACCAAATGTCCTTCTCACCTCATCTCATCTTGTCTAAGCCTCCTCTCTAAGCCTGCTTTCATTTGATATTAGTTATTTATACCTCTACATTAATTTTTATTATTGACCCTCTCCCAAAGGATTTACCCTCTAAGACTTGTCATTCTTTTGGGGTGAAAGGCTCCTATTAAAGGGATTCTGGGCATTCATCATTAAGAACCAGGGCTACTTGTGTTAACTTGGAAATTACACGATATGAGGTAGTTGCCTGCATAGATAATATCACATAAAATAATGATCCTTTTTGTTCTTGCATTTTAATAATTATTGTCCTCAGACTTTGGTGTGTATCACCACCTCCCAGGGAGCTTGAATGCTAGGGTCTCACTGTCTGGGTTTTAGTCAGTTTATCTGCGGTTGGGTTCCAGAACCTATTTACCTTTAAAGGTTTCTAGATATTCCTGATCATTAGTCTGATATGGGAATCACTGATCTACTGTTTTTTTCTTCTCTAACACACCTTAAGAATATGCTAGCACTCACACTATTCACAATAGTAAAAAAGTAGAAGCAGGCTGGGCGCAGTGGCTCATTCCTGTAATCCCAGCACTTTGGGAGACCGAGGCGGGCTGATCATCTGAGCTCAGGAGTTCGAGACCAGCCTGGCCAATACGGTGAAACCCTGTCTCCACTAAAAATACAAAAATTAGCTGGGCGTGGTGGCGGGTGCCTGTAATCGCAGCTAGTTAGGGGACTGAGGCAGGAGAATCACTTGAACCTGGGAGGCAGAGGTGGTAGTGAGCCAAGACCACGCCACTGCACTCCAGTCTGGGCAGCAAAAGTGAAACTCCATCTCAAAAAAAAAAAAAAAACAAAAAAAAAAAACAACCAAAAACGTAGGAACAACCGAAATGTCTATCGATGGATGAATGAATAAACAAACTGTGGCATGTACATGCAACTGAGTACTCTTCAGCCGTAAAAAGCAATAGAGTGTTGATACACAATATAACATGGATTAACCATGAACAGATTATGCTAAATAAAATAAGCCCGACATAAAAGGTCATGCATTGTGTGGTTCCATTTAAATGATATACCTAGACTAGACAAGTAAACCCACAGAAATAGAAAGCAGATTGGTAGTTACAAGGGATTGTGGGGAGGAGAGACGGGGTATAAGTTTTAATGGGCCTGGGGTTTTCTTTTGGGGTCTTAAAAGTGTTTGGAACTAGACAGAGGTGTTGGTTGCCCAATACTGTGAAGGTACTAAATGCAACTAAAGTTGTTTGCATTAATACAGTTAATTTTACGTTATATGAGTTTCACATCCACGACCTCATTTAGTCTTTCTAAAACCCTTGGGAGGGAGATATACGCACACTCATATCATAAATAAACAATGTACACACTCCATCTTTCATTTGGTTGTCGCTTTAAGGGAAGCCTGTGTTATCAAAACGTGTAATTTTATTGTCAAGAATGGCATGATTTTTTCCCCTATTAATCCTTATCTTGATTTAAAAATACAAATCTATAATAACCTGGAGTTATTTTGTTTTGTTTTGTTTTGTTTTTGAGACAGAGTCTCACTCTGTTGCCCAGGCTGGAGTGCAGTGGTGTGATCTCAGCTCACCACAACCTCCCTCTCCCAGGTTTAAGCGATTCTCGTGCCTCAACCTCCCGAGTAGCTGGGGCCACAGGCAGCCGTGACCACGCCTGGCTAATTTTTGTATTTTTTAGCAGAGACAGAATTTAACCATGTTGGCCAGGCCAGTCTTGAACTCCTGACCTCAAGTGATCCACCCTCCTCAGCCTCCCAAAGTGCTGGGATTACAGGCATGAGTCAACAGAGCCGGCCTTTTTTTGTTGTTTTTTGATTGCCAGAGCAGTGGCTTGGTAATGTGAAGCAAGTGGAATTGTTCTTAAGATGTATTTGTGTGGACTGCTGATGCCGGATGGGGAGCCCTGGAGGTGTCATTCTGGAGTCTGCAGAAGGATCCATGGAATGTGTATACTCATAACCCAGTTTGAGCCCCAAGAAAGGGCCCAGAATTTAGGAAAAAAAGACATGGAATATTCAGATCCTGCTGCAAGAAAGAACTAAGAAGTCCTTACAGGAAGTTCTTTTTGACAGAACCTACCAAGCTGAAGGGAAATCCTTGTTTTAGGATTATTTGAAATCCTTGTTTCAAGGTATATTTGTGTCCTATTGCTGCTGTGACAAACTACCACAAATTTTGTGGCTTAAAACAACAAATGCAGCTGGGCGCGGTGGCTCACGCCTGTAATCCCTGCACTTTGGGAGGCCGAGGCAGGTAGATCACCCAAGTTTAGGAGTTTGAGACCAGCCTGGTCAACACGGGGAAACCCCCGTCTCTACTAAAAATCCAAAATCCAAAATTAGCCAGGCGTGGTGGCACGCATCTGTAATCCCAGCTACTTGGGAGGCTGAGGCAGGAGAATCGCTTGAACCCAGGAGGTGAAGGTTGCAGTGAGCTGAGATTGTGCCATTGCACTTTAGCCTGGGCAAAAAAAGCAAAACTCCGTCTCAAACAAACAAACAAACAAACACATATTATCATATAGTCCAGGAGGCCAGAAGTCTAAATTGGGTAGACAGGACTGTGTTTTTTCTGGAGGCTCTAGCGTAGAATCTACTTGCCTTGAGCTTCTAGGGACTGCCCCCATTTCTTGGCTTCTGGCCCCATATCACTCAGACCTCGGCTTCTACTGTCACATCTTTGTTTCCGATGCTGACCTTCTGCCTCCCTTCCTCTTATAAGAACCGTTGTGATTACACTGGGCCCAATCAAGAAGAGTCTCCCCACCTCAAGATCCTCTACTGAGTCACATCTGCAAAGCCTCTTTGCTATTTAAGGTAATGTACCCACAAGGTGGGGGGATGAGAACATGGGACTCTATGGGCACTATTATTCTGCCTGTCACAGAAAGTGAAGCTTTGGAAACTGTAATCATAAAGGTGACCATGTATTTTCTTCCAAGCCTGTTCATCCTCAGAACACAGCTTCTGGGATGGTCACTGTATAGTCTTAGTCACTCATACCAGAGACCTTAGCGTCATCTTCAAATTCATTCCCTCAGCCTTCCCAGTCTGTATTCAATTTTCAATCAAGTTCAAAGCCCTATTAATTGAAAAATAAATAAATAAAATAACAATCGTGATTTAATATTTAAATATTTAAAAAATAGTATAAAACTGATGGAGAAAAGAGAAAAGAGTTTCTCTTTTCCCCTAGTTCTTTTTCTCAAAGGTCCATTTGTCACAGTTAGTATGAAATTGGCTACAAATCACAGAGACTGCAAATAAAAGATGCTTGAACAGGATAGAAACATTTTTCTACTTAAAAATATCCAGGGAAAAGTAATCCAAAGTTGATGTGCTGTCCTATCTTACAAATTGCTCAAGAACCAGTCTCCTGGCCGAGCGCAGTGGCTCACGCCTGTAATCCCAGCACCTTGGGAGGCTGAGGTGGGTGGATCACCTGAGATCGGGAGTTCGAGACCAGCCTGGCCAACATTTTAGTCTCTACTAAAAACACAAAATTAGTCGGGAGTGATGACGCATACCTGTAATCCCAGCTACTCAGGAGGCTGAGGCAGGAGAATCGCTTGAACCTGGAAGGCGGAGGTTGCAGTGAGCCAAGATTGCGCCATTGCACTCCAGCCTGGGCAACAAGAGCGAAACTCTGTCTCAACAAACAAACAAACAAACAAAACCAGTCTCCTGTCAGTCTTGTCTCTCTGTCTTCCCTGAAGTGTGGATCTTACACTCATTATCCAAGATGGTGACTATAGTTCCAGTGCCAATGTGTAGCATTCCAGATATCAGGATAACAAAACTGACAAAGGAGTACACACATTATCTTTTAAGCAATGTTATCAGGAGATGCTACACAACCTTTTGTTTACATTCTAGTGGTCAAATTTTATCACATGGTCACACATAGTTGGAAGAGATACATACAGGTGTGGTATTTGTTTAAAGTACATATCCTGGCTGGGTGCGGTGGCTCATGCCTGTAATCCCAGCACTTTGGGAAGGAGAGGCAGGAGGATCACCTGAGGTCAGGAGTTCAAGACCAGCCTGACCAACATAGTGAAACCCTGTCTCTACTAAAAATACAAAAATTAGCTGGCTGTCATGGTGCATGCCTGTAATCCCAGCTACTTGGGAGGCTGAGGCAGGAGAATCACTTGAACTGGGGAGGCAGAGGTTGCGGTGAGCCATGACCACGCTTTTGCACTCCAGCCTGGGCAATAAGAGTGAAACTCTGTCTCAAATAAATAAATAATACATAAATAAAGTACATATCTTTATTTTATTTAAACATGTGGGATCACCTTGCTATACTCTCTGCATTCTTGCTCAAACTACCTTGCACACACAGCCATACTTATTGTTTTTAACAGTTGAATGGTATTTCATAGTATGCATTTGCAGTCATTGAATTGTTTGATGCTTAGCCGATCTTCTCCTCTCTTTTTTTCCCCCCACACTACAGTCAATCCTGCAGTGAATATCCTTCACCATCCCTCTAGTGTACTTTGTGAATGATACCTTTTCTGTTGTCCTTTATTTAAGCCTGGGTTTCCCAGAAGTCAAAGCTAAGGTAGAGGAATTATGTCATTGTATATTATTAGGGAATCCCATCCCAGGCAACAGGAGTGAGCAAAACAGGACTGGAGGGAGAGTCAATATGAAAATGGTTATCGAGCTGATCATTGTTAAATAATACTGATAACTCAATCAATGGAACTATATCTCTAAGCAGCCTTAAAACCACATCTAATGATCACCCATTAATAGAGATAGGGGAGAGAAAAGAGAAGGAGCTTATCTCCTGACTTCTGTCTCCCAATCATTAGAGGTCTACTCCACAGGGTGTTAAATCCCTTCTAGTTTGTGCATTCGTGTTCAGGAATGCTGACCCAGCCTTGCATCAATGTTAATAAGGAAGGCCTGTGGTCGGAGGTGAGTGGTGTGCAGTATGAACAAGAGACTCCCAGTTTGTACCTATAAAGCTCATCAGAATCCACAGAGTTGCATGACGTCAAGGGGAACTGCTCTGGTACAAGGGGTGGACTGTATCAAACATCTGTCATTCATCCCTGCAGATCAGTTCATTCTTCTTATTATAACTGGTTCTATTACTACAACAGGGAATCATCTCTGTGAGAACAAGATGGCCTCGCTTCCTTTTTATGAGGGGAAATAAAAGTTCAGTTAGAGTCTGCTTCAAGATGATCTTGAGGCCACGATTGAGATTAATTACGCTCTTAACCACTTTTTCTAGACGTTCCTCCCTAGGCCAGCACTTCAGCTGTTCTGGGTTGCTTACTTGGTGGAGTGACCATCTGTGTATCTGATTTTAACATCACAGTGTGCCCTTCATTAGACTCCCTAGCCACATTCATGCTACCGCGACCTTAGTTCATTAGTTCAGGTCTGCTTCATTTCTTGACTGGCTTTTTTGTTTGTTTGTTTGTTTTTGACTGAGTCTAGCTTTGTTGTCCATGTTGGAGTGCAGTGGTGTGATCTCGGCTCACTGCAACCTCTGCCTCCTGGCTTCAAGAGATTCTCTTGCCTCAGCCTCCAGAGTAGCTGGGATTGCAGGCACATGCCACCATGCCTAGCTAGTTTTTGTATTTTTAATAGAGACGGGGTTTCATCATATTTCCCAGGCTGGTCTCCGACTCCTGGTGGCATGTGATCCACTTGCCTCTTCCTCCCAGAGTGCTGAGACTGTAGGCGTGAGCCCAGTCAATTGCAATAGCCTTTTAAAAGATCCTCATCTTTCGTTATTTTCATCTCTCTATTCCATACTTATGAGTTTCACCAGATGGAAATTTATAAAATGACAGCTTGGTTCGTGTGATACTCCACAAAAAAATGGCCTCCTATTGCTCATGCTATGAGCAATAGCCCCAAGTTTAAGGCCCTTGTTCATTATTTAACCGATTTCCCAGCACTAGCTCATCTTTCACACTCCCTCTAATCTCATGTACTCTAATGCCAGATAACCACTCTGGTTCTAGGCCTTCCTGTTGTCATGACTTTTCCGACACCCTTTCTATCATATGCATGCATATCCAAACCCTACTTATCTTCCAAAGCCGACATAAAGAAGGCACTAACCTGGGGCTTAGGGATGGAGTCGGTAGGAAATTGCAGACAGGCAATGAGAACCATGGCAAGGTAAACAGGGAGGTGAGTCAATAGCCAGTTTAAAGACCCCTGCTTATCCTATCTCTGAGTACCCCGTTTTCTCCAATACCCAACCCATAATGTTCTTCCTATGATTGTTTTATTTAACAACAATCCTTGTTTTACTATTATTGTTTTAGGTCAAAGACTTCAGAATCAGTAACAGATTTAACTTATTGAAAATTAATCTGTAATGTGTTAGACTGAACAAAATAAGAATGATTTTTGTGAATTCTTTTGGTTACATTAGGGAAATCACAATAACATGCTTTCATAGTTAATTGGGTATGTCACCGAGACAACTTTAGCTCTAGTCTTTTAGATGGACCAACTCAAAAGAGGGACTTGAAAAGCTTTACATATGTGTGCTGGGCAATAAGTCACATTTTTTAGAATTTTTCATGAGAGCTTATTAAACAAATATAGCAACAGTTATTTCTAGGTTAACAGGCACTGTGTTATAATAAGTATATTGTAGGCACTGTGCTAGGTGCAGAGAATGCAGTTATGAATGAGACACGTGCTTTGCCACCAAGGGACTTAAACACGAATCAAGAAGATAGACAAGTGAGTAGGAAGTCAATTATAGGAGGATTAATGGCACTATGGGACTGTATTAGTGGGCTAGCAAGGGGATAGGGAGGTATGATGGATAGGGGATTAGAAAAAAATGGCATGTGAGCTGAGTCAAAGAGTAGATCTCTGTGTCAAGCATTCATTCATCTGTTTCTTTTTTTTTTTTTGGAGACCGAGTCTCGCTCTGTCACCCAGGCTGGAGTGCAGTGGAATGATCTCGGCTCACTGCAAGCTCCGCCTTCCGGGTTCACGCAATTCTCCTGCCTCAGCCTCCCCAGTAGCTGGGACTACAGGCGCCCGCCACTACGCCCAGCTAATTTTTTGTATTTTTAGTAGAGACGGGGTTTCACCGTGGTCTCGATCTCCTGACCTCAGGATCCGCCCGCCTCGGCCTCCCAAAGTGCTGGGATTACAGGCGTGAGCCACCGCGCCCGGCCTCATCTGTTTCTTTAGTCATTACATAATCATTCACTTTTGTTCCTTCCTTCAGCTGGCCTTTATTGGAAGCTGTAGCAGACACTCTTGGTTGATCTCATGCTCATTTCCAACCTTCTTATTCCTAATCACCTTCAAAACAAGGGTGACCATTTGACCCAATTCTAGCCAATAAGGTAAAAACCGCTGCAAGGATGAATCCTGAGTAACATTTTAATTCCCTGACATGGATACCACCGTTTTTCTTTCTTTTTTTCTGTTCACTGGATTGTATGTATGATGACTGGAGCTTCTGCAGCCAGAATACAATCATGAGGAAAAAGTGCAGAGGGTTTCCACTGAATAGAGTTGGAGCAAGTGTATTGTGCCTCTGAACTAGCACCAGCAATCATCTGTCTCTGAATATCTTATGTGAAAAAAATAAACTTCCGTTTGTTCAAGATGCTGTGGTTCACTTTTTCTGTTACCTGCAACTGAAAATATTCCTAACAAATTTGGGAGTCTGCTTTTGGCCAGGACTTTTGTTTGGTGGTCTCTTAATAAAGTTGTCTGTTGCAAACAACTTAAAAAGGACAGCCCATGACAAAGGAGCAGGTGATAATATCTCTTCAGTTACTCCTCTTCCCTTAGTGAGTGAGGCACTAAGATTTATAACTGGGAGATTGGGATGGGAGTTATTGGTGTCTGGCCCCCTGTCTCAGCACCATCGTATATTTCCTTAATGAAGTGCGAGACCAGGACTCCATAAATTCACATAGTAGCAGAAGCGGGCAGCAGCTCGTCAGCAGAGCTATTCAGAGAGCCCAGCATCACTCTTTGCGTATTAGAGAAGTTCACAGCCAGTTAAAAATAGGCTTGGAGAGAAGTCGCTTTTAGACCACAGCTCATTTTGGATTTCTCTGGAGCCCCATTCTGGGCCACAGTGTATTTCCTTTTTTCTTTCGTTCTAGTAAGAGTACTCAGGCAGTTCAGAGACAATAGATACATGGTTATCTTTAGTTCTGTTGTGCACAGAAAGCAGAACTATGAAAAAACAACAGTAACTTATTGGGCACATGGACTGTTACAGCTTTTTAATAAATGGCAACACCCACTCAGCCTTTACGAGGGGCCAGTGCTTTAAATCCTCAAAACAACCAGGTGAGAAAAATGCTATTAATAACCTCATATCCCTGATGAGGAACCTATGATTCAGAGCAAATAAGCAATGTACACTGCTATTAAGTAGCAGTATCAAAATTTGAACCCAGGTCTGTCTGATTCCATTCAGAGCCTGTAGTCTTAGCCTCCATTCATTCAAAGTCACACATGGCTTTCTGTGTCACTCAATTTTCATCCTTAGAGGAGACCTGTGAAATAGGCAGGGCAAGGAAATGATCCCAATTTACTAGGAGAAAACCTAGGACCAGAGAAGTGAAAGAATTCTTTAAGGTTGACCAGTCCATGTGCAATAGAACTGGGACTTGAATCCCATCTTCTAACTCTGAGTCCTGACTTTGCTCTGCCATGGCAGGCTGAGTGCTGGAGCAGTTCAGTTTTGAAAAAACACCCTGAAATTGTTTGAAACTGTTTTTGGTTGACTTCTGAGTTTCAACACCCAACCCTGTATCAAGAAACCAACTAACCCAGGGCTGCCCTGATTTATTTAGGGTCTTTTAGAGATCAGTTCCTGCCTAGCACCTCTGTCGAATGATATTTGGTACTTTCATTTAAAATTTCAAATATAATATTTCAAATTTAACCATCCTTCAAATTATGGCAAGAGAGTGTGAGCTGGAGGGATCAATGTCTTTATCAGGGGCACGGCCAATTTAGCTGATAAAGTGAGTATAATATCTCTTTGAACATTACAATTATCCAGTGACAAGGAAGCTGACAATTAGCTTATAAGAGTTGAGTATAGGGATTGTACGTGTGAATATTTTTTTAAACACCTGAGTTTTGGAAAATAAAAGTGGCCTGCCCACATTTTCAAGCACAGTGGTAATCAAAAGAGAGCTCTGTGGAGGTAATAATACCTTGTATTTTAAATACTGCTTGTCTTTGAAGAGCTCAAATCACTCTATAATCATTTCCTTATTATGATTCTCAAAACTTCCTGGGTCAAAAAGTTACAAAGTTTATATCTTAACAGTCTGGCCTCAGTTTCTTCTTTGGGAATTTGAGGTGGAAGACCAGGTTGCTAAGAGCTCTGTCAGTACAAACACCTTTTCCACCTTCTCCCCACCTAGCCCTCTCCCATCTCCAAGGCCCCTGCCCTGCAATCCAGCTACCCTACTTAGCCTCTTATTTTTTTCTAGATCTAACAAGTTAATCTCATTATATAGAACCATAGATTATTTTAATTCGGAGAGTTTCACACCAGTGAGCTGGAGGCTGAACAACTGGCTCGAGGTGGGAAGGGGGAGCGGCCCTTCAGTTAGAGCAGTTTCATTTTTATCTGCTTTTATACATTGGGGATCAGCATAAGATTTTATTTTTAAGAAGGATTTTGATGTTTAAAAAATTGCAATCTGGTCATTCAGTCCAGCTCCCTCATTTTACTGATAGGAAAACTGAGGCCCAGAACAAGGGAGTCACCTGTTCAAGGTCTCATCCCAGCTCCTGAGAGAACTGCCTGTCCTTGAACACTGATCCCTGGGTGCCAGTCCCGGGGGGTCTTGGCAGGCCTCTAGGTTGCTTGTCCCCAGAAGTCACTTTCACAACAAAAGTCCGAAATGTAGACTAGTAACCATGGACTCATGCCTTGGGGGCTTTAAATGCACCTGCCCACAGACTTTTCCTCCCTTTTTAGAGTTAAAGGCACTCATTTTACCTGGGAACATTTGACTAGACCATGCAGAAAGAAACGAGTAGAATTAGTATGTGCCATTTTCACCTAGTCCCAAAATGGTTCTCCACCTCAACTAGGTCATGAAGAAAAAAAGTGTAAGTACAAACATACACATATATTTATATAGCTATTGCCTTCCAGTGAGCTCAAAGCATACACACACACACACACACACACACACACACACACACACATATATGTCATTAGTTCTTCTGGGGGAAAGGAAGAGCAGTTATTGTCTGCCTCATTTTGTATGAGACTATCAAGGCAGAGAATAAATTGATCTTGACTCAAATCATGGGCTGAATTGGTGGTGTTGGTGTAGGGGTGTCTAAGCTAAGCACTTGTTGTATCATGTTCTGCTCTGCTCCAGGAGCAAAGTCTGGGAAGTTGAGGACCTGAGCTCTAGCCCTGTGTCAGGCTGCACCCGTGAGCAGGTGTTTCATTCCCTGAGTTTCAGTTTCCCCATATGGTAAATGAATAGAGGAGTGGCATTGATCATTTTTTCTCTATGGCTCCTTTCTCTGTCCTGGAAGTGACGTTTGGAGGATTGAAAGGAACAGAGCTGAGCCTGGAGCAGCCCACCTGAATGAGGTGTGTCTGCCCCTCACTTCCTTAACCCAGAATATTCCAAACTCTGGGGAGTGTGCAATGTATACCCCCATGTAATAGTTTTGTTGGGGTCCTGGGCCATACTGCAGGCCAAGAGTTGGGACAGCTCCATAAAGGGAATCCAAGTCCCAGCTGCTATGTAATCCTGGGACTGAAAATGTGGATGGGGTGTGTTTATGTCGGTGTGGGTGCATGGGGAGGGAGGAGTGTGCAGGAGCTTGTGGGTAGCGAATGGTATATTGTGGGTCCAAGCTGTAAGTCGTGGAGATGCCAGGAGTGATTCTCCCGGTGTGGAGCTTGCCTCCTGGGTCTCAAGAAGACAGGCTAGAAGCAAGATGGGTGGTCCGTTAGGGACACACGTAGCACTCTGGGAACCAGCAGTGGCTTTAAGCTATTAGTGGCCTTACTTCTTTCTCATTTTCACTAGAATGTCCGTTACCTCATTAAAAGTTATCCCTGAAATTACTCCATGGACAATACACAAATGGGCAACACACACATGAAAAGATGCTCAACTTCACTAGTCACTAGAGAAATGCAAATCAAAACCGTAATGTGGTACCACTTCCCACTCACTAGAATGACTGTAATAAAAAACAAAATAAAACAAACAACCCAGAAAATAGCAAGTGTTGGCAAGGATATGGAGAAAATAAAACCTCATATATTTCTGGTGGAGGCCAGGCACCTTGGCTCATGCCTGTAATCCCAGCACTTTGGGAGGCTGAGGCTGGTGGATCACCTGAGGTCAAGAGTTCGAGACCAGCCAGGCCAACATGGTGAAACCCCATCTCTACTAAAAAATACAAAAATTAGCTGGGCATGGTGGTGCATGCCTATAATCCCAGCTACTTGGGAGGCTGAGGCATGATAATCACTTGAACCCAGGAAACACAGGTTTCAGTGAGCTGAGATTGCACCATTGCACTCCAACCTGAGTGACAGACAGAGACTCCGTCTCAAAAAAAAAAAAAAATATATATATATATATATTGCTGGTGGGAATGTAAAATTTTTCAGCCACGCAGAAAACAGTTAGGTGGCTCCTTAAAAACAGTTAAACAGGATAACCATATGACCCAGCAATTCCACTCCTAGGTGTATATCCCAAAAAGCTGAAAATAGGGACTCCGACAGTTAATTCGTCATCAATGTTAATGATGGCAGGATTATTCACAATAGTCAAAAGATGGAGAAAACCAAAAGTCCATCAACAAATGAATAAATAAATTCTGATATACATCTACAATGGAATACTATTTAGTTAAAAGAGGGAAAGGAGTACTGTATCTTCAGAATCATGTATTAGATTAGACTAAGATTACAAATACGAGAGAGGGAGTAAGTTCTTCCCCTAATGATTGTGAAGCCCAAGGCAAGTATATAAAATGAGACCCTGGCCTATAGCTTGCCCCTTTCTTTCCCCACTCCTAATTGCTTCTGCTTTGTAATGACCTCACAGACATGCATGTGAGCTCCAGCCTCACTCCCAAGATCCATACACAACCCAGTCCCCACCCTTGCCCATCCCTACACCCTGCACACAGCTGCCCCTTGACCTAAGTGTGCACACACTAAAATCATGTTTTGCCCTCTGCAAGACAGACTGGAGAAGCAAGGCCCTAAGAGTGGATTCGGGGTAATGTGGTCAGGGAATTCTGGAATCCTGGGTTTGTAAAGGATGGTCTAGAAGCTGAACATGACTTTGGGTGAATATGTTCCCTGGGGCCTGTGGACTCCTCACCCAGTAGAGAAGAGGACACCTCGGGGAGAGATGGTCTGGGACTTTTAATGTGCAAGTTCCAGGTCAAGGGTTGCTCTAGGCTAAAAGAAAGACTAGAAGGAACTATGATTTATTGAGCCAGGCCATGGCAGGACACTTTTTGTCTACTACTTGATTCTTATTCCATCTGAGAAAGTGTCATTTGCTCCATTTTACACTTGTCATGACATTGAGGTGAATTCTCCAGGGTCACATAGTGAGTGAGTGTCAATAATTCTAAAGTCTGTGTTCTGGCCGGGTGTGGTGGCTCATGCCTGTAATCCCAGAACTTTGAGAGGCGGAGGTAGGAGGATCACTTGAACTTAGGAAGTTCAAGACCAGCCTGGGCAAACATGGAGAAACCTCGTCTCTACCAAAAATACAAAAACTTAGCTGGGTGTGGTGGCGCACACCTATAGTCCCAGCTACTTGGGAAGCTGAGGTGGGAGAATCTCTTGAACCCAGGAGGTAGAGGTTGCAGTGAGTCCAGATGGCACCACTGCACTCCAGCCTGGGCAACAGAGCAAGACTCTGCCTCAAAAAAAACAAAACAAAACAAAACAAATTCTGTGTTCCTTTTAAGAGCAGTTCACAGGATGACTAAAGAAGGCATCAGAAAATGCTAAGGACACTTCTGGACAGAGGTGGTGTTATTTGCCGTCAGAAGTCAGTAATGCCACATAGCATGCTTGGTAGGCTTTTGTTCTTGGGTTTGGTTGATAATGAGGAAGAGTCCTTTGCAGGTTGCCTCTACTGCTCTGCTCAGGGGCCACCCAGATCATGACGTATGGTGTTCCCAGCAGTTCGGGTTGACAGTCCAACCGTGAGTCACGGCACCATCACATCTGTTCAGGACCACACAGCCTTCTGTCTAAACATTTCCACTCAGCACAGCTGTGCAAAAGGTGCCCTTGCATTTTTTGGTAAACAAGGCAGGGTGGTTGCCTTGGTGTCTTTCCATCCCTCGCAGTCTCTTTGGTGATTATCTACATCACAGTCCAGAAGCAGAGAAGCTTCTGAGCAACACAGTGAGATAAACTAAAATGGAACTTTTCTTTGCTAATTTATTTGCTACTTAAGATAAAATTTCTTATTCTGCTGATAGTGTCTCAGTTTCCTTGTTTGGAAATGGGGCATGTAGGTGCTAGCTTCATATGATGAAGGATTTAAAATGTGTTATCATTTTTGCTTTTTAAATCATCAGTACTGTTCAGGTTTGGAAGAGTAGAATGAACTACCTGAGGGGCAGGGCGTTCCTCACAAATTGTGGATTTCTGAAGAGATTGTGGAAGACTTGGCAAGATATGGAAGATTTAAGACCTGGATGATCTTTTAAGTCCTGTTTAGCCTTGTGACTAAATTATAAACATTATTCATTTTAAAGGAAGATAAATTGTGTTAAGTACCATAAACAGCACAGATTGGGCCATTATAAAAGTATGGAGTTAAGAAGAGGTTGGTTCCAATGGGAAATTATAGGTGGCTTCATGGAAGGGATGGCATTTGAATTTTGACTTTATTTTGGAAAACACGGGAAGCTATCAGTTGGTTTGCTTGCTTGCTTTTTTAAGCAAAGAAGTAATACAATAGTCATAAATGCTGTTTGCTGAATATTTCTGGGTCCATATCTTCTGGATACATGATAAGATTCTGTTTCCTGGACACCTGTGAGTGGGGCCATGAACAAGTTCTGACCAATGAACTGTGAGCAGCAGTGACATCTTCCACTTCCAGGCAAACATTACTTATCAGTGTGAGACCCTCCAGGGCTGTCTTTTCTCTCTTCTACATCTTCGGCAATATTTCAGAGAGTGGTTAGTCCATCAGCCTGGGTCTTAGAGTAAGGACAATAATGATGTGGAGCTGAATCCCCAGCTGCCAGACAATGGACAAGTTGTGAGAGTGAGAAATTAACCTCTGTTGTTTTAAGCCACTGTAATGTTGGATTTGCCTGTTCCTGCAGCATAGCCTAACCTATTCTGAGTGATACCAGGAGCAAGGCCAGGCTTGTACTTCAGGAGTGTTATGCTTACTGTGGTGTGCAAAATAGGCTTCCTTAGGAGAGAATAGAGGCAGGAAGAATGGTTAGCAGAGGGTGCAGTAGACCAAGCAAGAGATAATGGGCACATGAGGGAAGGCAGTGGCCAGGAAGATGGAGGACAGGTACAGTGGTTTTCAAAAAGCAGGTTTTCAAAGGTAACTTTGAAAAACGAAGAGTCACGGAGCCTGGCAAACAATTAGATTGATATGAAGACACATTGTTGACAACTTTCAGAGTCCCACTCTGGTGCAAAAGGCATGATTACCTAGAAATGTCCCTGGGAACTCATTCTTGGTGGCCTGGACAGTTGCCTCTTTGGGATCAAAGACCTCTGCTTTTCCCAGCAGGAGGGGCTGCACCCAAATTCAGCTTCTGATGGGACCTGGCAGGAGGCCTTTTCTACATAAGGGGGTCTCTTTCTGAACTCAGCCTTCTGTGATTCCAAGGTTTGCAGGTGTCAGATACTTGGCTCTTTCACATAACTCCTGTAAACATCTAAACCCACTGGCATATGAAAGCCAGACAGCCTGGCACCCATACAATCCACTGTTCCCCTACGCAAGTATGCTTCAATATGTGACCTTTAAAAACGAAACATGCACCCCATGACAAATTTTGCAGGATATCCTGGCTTTCATATGTCTCTCCTAGGAAAAGCATGAGACTGGCCTTTTGGCTTTCTACTACCGACTTTTACGTTGTAAGTTTTCCTTTAAAATTCTGTTTTGTACTCCGTGCTGTGTCTCGAGCCCTGTTGCATGTTGCCTGACAGGTGTGACAACAAAAGGACTCGTTGTGTGCAGTAACCATGGCTGCGGAATTACAGTTCCACTCCTCTGACTATGGATATGGAAGAACAGGCCTGCAGAGGGCCTGATGGATGTGGCCTGGCCCCCGACTCAAAAAGGAAAGCCGAGGGCTGTGTGCAGTGGTTCATGCCTGTAATCCCAGCACTCTGGGAGGCCAAGGTGGGTGGATCACCTGAGGTCAGGAGTTTGAGACCAGCCTGGCCAACATGGCAAAACTCTGTCTCTACTAAAAATACAAAAAAATTAGCCGGGCATGGTGGCACGCACCTGTAGTCCCAGCTACTTGGGAGGCTGAGGCAGGAGAATCGATTGAACCTGGGAGGCAGAGCTTGCAGTGAGCTGAGATCGCGCCACTGCACTCCAGCCTGGGGGACAGAGCAAGACTCTGTCTCAAAAAAAAAAAAAAAAAAAGGAGGACTCCTCCAGGATGGGTACTCAACCTTAACGAAATTATTTGACAGAATTCAATAAATCAGCATTTTTTGAGAAGAGATTCAACATTCTTCCAAATGATCAATTTGCACATCTCCACTTTTCAACTCCAGCCATTGAACATCTTGAGGAATTCTCAAAGGATCCCAAAACATGTACAACTTGGCAGTGAATTGTTTGCAGGTGTTTTTCAGTTGGTTCTTTGGATTTCAGGGCATGCTTGCTGGATAATGCTTCAATGGCAACCGAAGACCCAGCCCAGCTCTCTCATGTCTCTTATCCCCATACCACAACTGAAGCATGGTATGTTTGTATTAAAAATAGTCAAACATGCTCTAGTAATTTAATATGTAGGGTGATATTTTTGTTTGAGTTTCTAGTTGGCATATTAGTAGTTGAGAAAAACATTGAATGAGACTTTTGCAGAATGGCTTAAAGTAACTTCTGGGCATTTTCAAGGACTTTAAGAGGCTGATGACACTGGTTACTTGTAGTGTCTAATTTTACTACAAAGTGTAAGTCTTCCTTTGCCTTTCACTTGCGGTGTCATGTGCACACCTCTTACGGTTGTCAGTCTAAGAGTGGTTTGGGGCTTATGTCAGAATTCATGAGTGGGAAAGAAGGAAGAAGAGAGATTTTCCTGTGGTAAATGGAGAAGATCTGGAGAACAGGCAAGGATGAAGAGGACTGGAGAGGATGTGTTTGTACATGTAAAAGAGAAATTGCTTGAGGGGTGTTACCTCAGTGGTATGCAGTGTAAGAAAGTGGAAAGGGAGGGTTATGATAACTGCAAGATCCCCTGATGGGGAAAGAAAACCTCATGTGGAAACCAGCTCCAGCGCCAGCCATGCTGGCTTTCACTGGGGAAGCCTTTTGTGTGGGAGCGTGCTGAAGGTCTGTGCACGGTATTTGTACTCCACAGGCTCTTGCTAGCCATAGCCACAGCATGGTGTAAGCAGCCAGAAATGAAGACATCCCCAGGTCTTGTCCTGACTTTACTTTTGCTTTAATTCACTCAATGTATCTGGTGAATCCTTCAGTCTGATGAGGAAACAGCTTCCCCCACCTGCTGTGTCCTGTGCTTGCATCACTTACCCCCTCTGGAGAGGGTGGTCTGTGTCTCCAGGTAAATGAGCTTCCTAATACTGACCCCAGGATTCTATGGACTTCCCTACACTGTCACCAGCAGGGCTGGTCCAGTAAAGGCCTCCCACACATCCAGGACTTTAGTTTGCTTAGTTTACACTGTGTCAAGGACAATGGAGAACACATATTCTCTGGGACAGCCTGGCTCAGGCAAGAAGAGGGAAGCAGGAAGGTTCACGAGTCATGGCCCTACTTCTAAGAGGTCCACTGGCAAAGCCACCCCAGTTCCCTGCACCCAGGGAGGGGTGCAGAGAAGTAGGAAAATACCACCTTTTTAGCTGCTTACACTGAAAGCATCATCAGAATAGAGACATTTTAGGTAGAGAAAAAATTCCCCAAGTAACAGATATACATACAGTAGGGAAATTTTTTCTATTCTATAATTGCTTTATCAATTTTCATACTGGGATAATATTTCTCTAAACTGGATAGGAAATAAGAGGGGAAATGGAAACAAAACACGTATACAGTGATACGGGCACCTCAATCTCAGCATGTTCTTTTGTTTTTTTTTCCAAGACAGAGTCTCTCTCTGTTGCCCAGGCTGGAGTACAGTGGCGCAATCTCTGTTCACTGCCACCTCCGCCTCCTAGGTTCAAGTGATTCTCCTACCTCAGCCTCCTGAGTAGCTAGGATTACAGGCACACACGACCGCACCTGGCTAATTTTTGTATTGTTTAGTAGAGATGGGGTTTCACCATGTTGGCCAGGCTGGTCTCGAACTCTTAGCCTCAAGTGATCTGCTCACCTTGGCCTTCCAAAGTTCTGGGATTACAGGTATGAACCACTGCGCCCAGCCCTCAGCATGTTCTAATGGCAAAGAAATAACTAACTGCTGATTAAATTTTGCTCCAGTATATGCCCAGTTTCCGGTTGTTCTAAAAAGACATAAATGTTATTTACTAATTTCATTTAAAAGGTAATAGATTATCTCTGTTTGCATGGCCAGTTTTTTTTTTCTGCATGTATAAAACTGAGCAACAAAGTTCCTCTAAACAGAAGTAGATTGCAGCCATGATATGATCAATAAGAGAAACTTAGCCACAAAGTGTCCTCAAGCAGTTAGAGCATAAACCTGAACCAATATTGTGTGTCGGTAGCAATTTGCTTTTATTTATTCATCAGCATCCCCTTCAACTAAATATAAGTGTGGGCAAAGAACAGTTACAGACATGGACAGGCACTCGTTTCTCTAGAATTATTAAGAATCACTGGACTGTGAAATATCAGTGTTTCAAAATTTCTGATTTCTCCTGTGAGGTACTTTTCATATTTTATTTTGATAACTGAATGCAAATGAGCTTCAGGGAACCCTTTCTCACCTGTGTTCTTTGCATGCTGGTACAACTGAGTCTGTTTATTAAGGACTATTAACAAATACATAGCCCAGTTTAGAATTATACAAATCAACTACATTAGGGGAGTTGCCAAAAAAAAAAAAATTGAAGGTAGAAACAAAACCTTCTTTAATTGAAGCTCTGTTGATTTTAGTTTTCTGTAATTATTATAATTGTTGGGATGTTCGATGCTAAGAACTTCAAACTAAGAATGGAAAGTTTGAGTTCAGGCTCTACCTCTTATTTTATTATTATGATTATTTTTTGAGACAGGGTCTCGCTGTGTCACCCATGTTGGAGTGCAGTGGCATGATCTCAGCTCACTGCAACCTCCACATCCTGGGCTCAAGTGATCATCCCACTTCAGCTCCCCTACCTAGTAGCTGGGATTACAGGTGCGCTCCACTATGCCTGGCTAAGTTTTTGTAATTTTGGTAGAGACGGGGTTTCGTCATATTGCCCAGGCTGCTCTCAAACCCCTGGGCTCGAGTGATCTGCTCACCTCAGCCTCCCAAAGTGCTGGGATTACAGGCATGAGCCACCACACCCCAGCTACCACTTATTAACTCTTGAATGTGGAGCAGTCACCTCCCCTGTTGGCCTTGGTAAAATTGGGATGAGCATCCTTTTCATACCTGTCTTACTGGCTTACTGAGGAATTTAGATAACAGAATAGATGTAGTAGCTCATTGTGAGATTATCCAAACATGAAAGAATGAACATGACTCCGTTTAGAAGAGCCCAGGAGAACAGGGACACATTACCTTTGTCCAGATATAATGAGCTCTTAGGAAAAAGGAAAAATGACTTTCTTCACTGTCGTTTCAGTAATTCTCATCTTTATAACAGCCACAGCCATAGTTAACAGTCATCTCATTCCTCCTGTATTAGGTGCCTCATCATCTTGTATATATGTAATTTGACAAGCACTGATTAAGCACCTACTTTGTTCCATGTACCAAGTACCATGTACAGAGTCAAAGAAATGTTCTCATAGTATACAAGTAGATCTAATGAAAGGCAGAGGTTGGGCTGGGCGTTATGGCTCATGCCTGTAATCCCAACACTTTGGGAGGCCGAGGCAGGCAGATCACTTGAGGCCAGAGTTTGAGACCAGCCTGACCAACATGGTGAAACCCTGTCTCTACTAAAAATACAATAATTAACTGGGCTTGCTGATGTACACCTGTAATTGCAGCTACTTGGGAGGCTGAGGCATAAGAATTGCTTGAACCAGGGAGGCGGAGGTTGCAGTGAGCTGAGATCGTGTCACTGCTCTCCAGCCTGGGTGACAGACTCTGTCTCTAAATAAATAAATAAAAATAAAAACAAAGGCAGAAGTCTAATCGGATGACATGGGCTCTCTGTTGAAGAGAGCTTAATTCCCATGGGGTGAGTTTGTGGGTGCTCTTAGGAAAGGTGAGATTCAAGCAAGTCTCTAAAGGACCTGACACAAATATATGCTAGGTATGTCCTGATGCAATAAGCAAAAGAATCACTTTCAGCATCATGGTTAGTTGAATCAGACCCTGATCAGTGAACTGGCTGCAGTCTTCTTCCCTCATCTTAATGTCTGAACATCTGGGGTTTAGCAGAGAGGGGCAACACATAGTGGACACTCAGCAAATAACGTGGAGGCAATTCATGAGCAATGCAATATATTTGGGAGTGCGGCTGGATGGGTCAGATACTGGAGTAAACAGAGGGTGTTCACCTTGCTCCAAGACCTTGGCCAGGTCATTTGTCTTCTTCCCTCATCACGATACTGGACAGGAAAATCTGATCTGCCTTGGAGGCTTGTTAGCAGTTTGCTGCCTGGCAGGTCTCTGGCTCAAGTCTGATTGCCAAGTAGCAAGAATAAAGCAACTTCCTGAAAGCATGCTGGGGACGATAATGACCGTCATATGAGATTTGAGGTTGGGGAGAGTGTCGTAGGGAGCAGCCATCACTGTCCTGTACAGGAGGACTAAGCTAAACACTAATATTAGAATTTTTTTAAAGAAAGCGATTAAACAAAGATAATTGTCTGTTGTGTCAAGGTAAGCTTCCTAGGGCACTTTTCTTTAAGAAGGTTAATTATCTTCATAGATAGCTAGAATATTAGGGTTATTAAGGAGGGGGGAAAGATTGTTGATGTTTAATCTGTAGTTCTTCATGGCATGCTAACGAATTGAAAAATATAAAGCTGATTGGTCCAAAGGCTTGGCTTGGAAAGCTCACTGTGGAATAACAGAGAGTGAATTGGCCAGCCTCCGAATTATTGCCATGCAAATGTCAAGTAGCCAATGCTTCCTGTTTTAGTAGAGGCAGTGTCCGAGAAGCAGGTAGAGGCTTGAGGGTGCAATGATGGTGATTTTGGGGGAGTCACTGAAAGCTGCAGATGGCACTGTTGAGAGTGTAGCCCATGCCCACATCCTCACCCACCTGCAGGACTAATTTTGTCTTTGTTTTTGCTGCCAGTGGAGTCTTTCAGCTAAAAGTTTCCCTTGCATAAAGCGTGATGTTTTAGAAGTATGGAAAGCATCTTTATATATTTGGATTAGTAGTACCCACTTTGCAAGAAATGCTGTTTACCTCTGGTTATGGGAATTGAACGTAATGGAGAAATTAGAAGTGAGTAAAGCCTCTTTACAGCTTTACTGAAGCTGGGCCTTGGGCCTTTGGGAAAAGTTTGCTGCTGTTCTGAAAACAATCACTCCCTCCCACCACGTGGAGGCCCACTGCAGCTCTTGCAGTCACTGGCAGTCCGGAGCTTCAGCTTGTCCCTGCCCCTAGTACCTCTTCCAGCAGTGGCTGGTCGCCGCCTCACTCAGCTGTTATCCTGCCTCATGGGTTTTCCTGGCTGGCAGCTGCAGGTCACTGCTAAGTCTCAGAATGTCTCAATTTCTGCACCACCCTGTTGTACCCACTTGTGTTGGTGCTCCCCTCAAGAGAGAAACAGGGCAACACAGAGGAAGTTTGTAGGCAAGAGCAGTTTCATGAGTGAGCAGATCATGCAACTGATCAGAGCCCTGCGCTCAGAAGGCCCCGCTCTTGAAATACTCTTTGGCTCCAGGAAGACTTCTCAGACTAGATACCTCCTCTGCTGGTTCCTACTGCAGTGTTTCAACTCCATAAAGCACAAATTACATTGTAATGTTTTTATCTGCTTGCTTGTCTATCTTGTTTATTTCAGAACAGGAAACAAATTTTATTCATTTCTGTGTCCTTGGCACCTAGCACAATATTCAACATGTACTACGTGCTCATTAAATATCTGGGGAATGACAACAGAGGTCCGTAATTGGTTGGTGGCACTGGAGCTGGAATCAAAAAGTCTCCCATCTCTCCACCTTGGGCTTGGACAACTGCATTTGAAAATGGGTTTTCAAATGACAGCTTTTATGGGGATCTTCTTCTTTTCTGTCTCACTCGAAGTGGGTTTGTAAACTAGCAAAATTGCACCTGCCACTAAATTCTTCCTTGAAAGTCAAATTGGGTTCAGGTGAGCTCTGCATTTCTAGCTGAACAGGTACTGCCACAGGGTGATGAGGACTCAGCAAGACCAAAAGAGGTTTAGTGTGAACTCTGCTGGGTTCGCCACTGGTGCATCAGTTGCAAGCAACAGAACCGGACAAAGAAGAAAGCACAAGGAACAGTCCAGTTCTGGAAGGCTGGAAACGGAAAGGAGGTTATGGAATATAGAGAATGGTCATTCTTCTCTTCCTCCACATTTCTTGATTTCTGCTTCATTTCTCTTATTTGATAGCTATGTGACCCAGGGCAGGTCACTTAACCTTGATGAAACTCATCAATAAAATGAGATAATAACGTCTCTATTGCCCACCTCATGGTGTCTTAATAGGATCAAATTTGAAAGTGCTTGTAAAAATGCTTTGTAAAGTTATAAGATATGATGCTCATATAAAGATCTGTTATTACAAAATATACTTACCCATGTGGCTTTCTATGAGACTCCTTTACTAAATTTTAACCAGGCTTGGATATCCCAACTGAACTTTACTATTTAGTGTAAAAATTGAGATTTTGGCAGTTAGGAAAACCCAGAAGTGCCTTTATTGACCTTCAAATATGAGTTCTAGGATGGCCTTATTGTTGTCTCTGGGTAGGACAAAATTATCAACTTTGGTCCTTGCACCTTACAGAAGTTGTCTACTGCTTTTCCCCCCACAAACTCTACTTCAAATTCAAAACACATTTTTATGATGTTTTATTCTATTCCAAACATAATGGACAGTGTAAATCTTGTTTGAAGGCTCATGAAAAAAACCAGACACCAACACAAATAATTATAACCCAAGGTAGAATATAAGAGAAATTACAACAATGGCTTTTGACAGCTTGGAAGAGGAGAGATGACATCTAACTAGGGGACTGAGGAGTGATTCATGAAGTCTAATCTCTGGGTCCTGTGATTTTGGGACTCAATCTTTTTGATAAGGCAAAAGCCCTCCCCAATTCTCCAGAAACTTGTGGACCAGTGTAGAGAACATTCCTTCAGCAATCTTTCTTTCTCAGAGCCTGGAAATAACACTCTCAGATTCTCAGTCTTTTCTTCCTTGTGAGGCCCAGAGCTCTGCGCAGCTCATGTTTGAGATGATTGGCCTCCTAGAATCTTGCAGGGTAGCCCCTAGGCAAGCCTCTTAGATTCTGTTTTCTTATCTGCCAAATGCATGTAATAATATTTACTCCAAAGGAATGTAGTAACATTTAATTGATGTTTGCAAAACCTTCTGAGATCTACAGATGAAAGACCTTGGAGACAAACACAACATGATCATTAAAGAAGACTTAATCCCTTCATCAGCCTTTAGAAGTTCTCTGTTTGCTCAATCTGTACCTTCTTTGAGGGATCACTGTACCTCATTTCCAGATGCAAAAAATTCTTATGGAAAGAGACAAGTGGTCCTTGATTTTCTGGTCACCCTCTGGGATGTTCTCTGTTCAACATTATCCCTAGACTGACACACTCTCTCTCCTGGATTTTTTTTCCCATTTTGCAAGCAATGGCTTGTCTTCCTCACACCTGGTCAATGCTCACCCTGATCTCACTCAGGAGACTTCTGTGAGTGAGAAGACACTGACCCATTAGTAGTAAGTTTGTTGATTTCAAAGACTCACAAATTCCTGCTCTTTGAGCTACAAAGAAAACATCATGCTCATCTTGGATGTTAGTGACAGCTTTTTACTCCCTTGAAAAACTTATCTCCCCTTTCTGGAATATGATATTTTTTATCTCTTCATTCTAAAAATATGATGAATATTCTTGGTCTCTGACTCCCTGGTGGGAAGAGTGAAGCCCCGTCATAGATTGGTCATTTCCTTTGGCTTTATCATTGATTTTCCTTCTTTTCTATTCTTAGATTTTTCAACTATAAAATAGGATAATGATCATTGAACTATTTTTCTCAAAAGGTTGTCCTGAGGAGTTAATGAGAACATGTAAAGAAAATCACTTTGCAAACTCTAAATGATGTATAGACACAGCTGTGAGGTCTGATCCGTAATGCAGACGTCAATGGATACAGCCAATGCTCATAGACACAGATTTGTAGTGAAAGTAAAGTCATAAAGATCAGTGTCCCTGTTTCCAAGTTTGCTGAAATATTCTCATCTACAAACTCTTGTCTGTTGACCATCTGACCTCTGAACATCTGCAATAATGGGGAACTCACCAGCTACTGACAGAGTCTGTTTCATATCTGGAAACATCTCACTGTTAAAAAATCCTCCCTTTGGCTGAGATGACATCAGTTTCCCAGCAGCTTCCAGAACTGATTTGTAATTCTTGTTCTTGATTCTACACCAAAAAGTTATGAAAACCCCCTTCCCTATAATAGTCCTTCAGATTTGCAAAATAAAGGATTATGTCTTTGCTGGGTTTTCTTATGACTGATTAAAACTCCCCAGTTTTAAAATATTTTCTCATGGAGCTTTGTTTCTCGGCCTTTCACCATTACAAAGGTAGGATTGGTGATTTGCCCAACAAATGGGGGAGGCAGAGGCTCCCGGACCACAGTAGAGCAGATGGGAATGGTTGGATCCCTATGTACTCAAGGTTACAAGGATCAGGATGGAAAGGACATTTTTATCAAATAGTGCCAGCCAGCCCCATACCCAGCATTGTCAGTGCCTCACACACAGTTGGAGCTAAATGAATAAATACTGCCAGTGAATAAATGCAATGAGAGCTTTGTTATCTATAAGAGGCATCTATTTTATTCCTCCAGAACACTGTAATTTTGGAGTGTCTTTCTATAATTTTTCTGCTACTATATCACTATGGAGGACAAATTTTACTTTCTTCTTAAACACTGAGATGTATTGAATTCCACTGAAGTTTTTCCTTTGAGTCTCAGATTTTAGGTGCACATGAGAAAATGAGATATGAGGGAGAACAGGAAAGTGGGTGAGATAGGGTGTCACCTAAAATTTCTCCTGCTATTTGCAGCTATTTCCCATACTCAGTCTTATGTTGACAAAGCTTTGAGCTCATAACAAAAATGAGTTTCCAAAGCATTAAAAGGGGGTGGGGCATGAGTCACAGATCCCAGGGGGAGACATTGGATGTCAGTCAGTCCAATCCGGCACCTGATAATTGATCTCCTTTACAACACCGGATTCAGATTTGGTTAATATTTACTGAGCAGCTACAGTGTACTAGGCACTCTGTAAGATGCTTTTACATAAAACCTCTCATTTTGTCCTCCCTTCTCTGCAGTGAGAAAGGTATTAGAGTCCCCTGGCGTCAAGAAAGAGAGATTTGACACCAGCAACACTGACCTGCTGCTAGTATACTCCCGATCTTCTAAGGAGATGTTTCATTCATTAAATCAAGAGAAGTCTATGAAGCCTTCAGCAATGATTCCTAAACTGTATTCTTTCAGGTCTGTGGAGTTTGTAAGAGCTCCATATATGCGCTCAAGGTTGTCTAGAGACTGCAAAAAATAGACATATTTTACTCATATATACTTGTTTTCTCAAGTGTATTGCGGATACTGTTGTGATAAATCAAATACAATTTTTAAAACTATGTCACTAAAACCACAGTTTTTGTCACCATATATTTTATCAATCATTAGAATTTTTAATTAACATACTTTATTTTTTGAGCAATTTTAGTTTTACAGAAAAATTGAGCAGAAAGTATAGATTTCTCATACACTTCCTTGTCCTACCTCTCTCCCCAGCCTCCCCTATTATTAACTTTTTGGATTAATGTGGTATATTTGTTACAGTTGATGAGTCAATATTGTTGCAGTGTTATTAATTCAAGTCTATAGTTTACATTATGGTTTACTCTTTGTGTTGAATATTCTACAGGTTTTGATAAATGTGTAATGACATGTACCCACCATTATAGCATCCACTATTATAGACACAGAATAGTTTCACTGCCTTAAAAGTCCCCTGTACTCCACCAATTTATCCCTTCCTCTCTCCCCTGAACACCTGATATTTTTAGTGCTTTCATAGTTTTGCCTTTTCCAGAATGTAATATAGACAGTATCATGCAGAATGTAGCATTTTCAGATTGGCTTTAAAAAAATTAGTGGTATGCATGTACGTTTCCTCCATATTTTTTCATGGATTGCTAGCTCATTTTTTATTGCTAAATAATATTCCACTGTATAGATATACCACAATTTGTTTATCCATTCTCCTATAGAAGGACATCTTGGTTGCTTCCAAGTTTTAGTAATTATGAATAAGACTGCTGTAAACATCCATATGCAGGTTTTCGTATGGACATAAGTTTTCAACTCATTTGATTAAATACCAAGGAATGTGATTGGTGGATTGTATGGTAAGAGTATATTTAATTTTGTAAGAAACTGCCAAGCTGTCTTTCAAAGTGTCTATTTCATTTTGCATTCCCACTAACAGAGAATAAGAGTTACTATTGCTCCACATCCTCATCAGCGTTTGGTTGTCAGTTTCTTGAGTTATCTTTATTCTAATAGGTAGGTGCTAATATGTCTTTGTTATTTTAATTTGTAATTCCCCAATGATGTATGATGTGCAACATCTTATAAATACATATTTTCCATCAGTATATCTTCTTTGGTGAGGTGAATGTTCAGATATTTTGCCCATTTTTAAATTGCATTGTTTGTTTCCTTATTCTGGAGTTCTAACTGTTCTTTGTATATTTTGAATAACCGTCCTTTACCAGATATGTGTTTTGCAAATATTTTCTCCCAGTCTGTGATTTGTTTCTTTATTCTTTTAATAGTGCCTTTCACAGAGTAGAAGTTTTTAGTTTTAATAAAGTGTAACTTAACAATTCTTTCTTTTATAGGCTGTGTTTTTGGCATTGTTTCTAGGAAATCATCATCAACCTCAACGTCATCAAGATTTTCTCTTATGTTATCTTCTAAGAGTTTTATAGTTTTGTGTTTTGCACTTAGGTCTATGACCCATTTTGAATTGATATTTTGTGAAAGGTGTAAGTTCTATGTCTAGATTCACTTTCTTGCATGTAGATGTCCAGTTGTTCTGGCACCATTTGTTGATATGACTATTGTTTCTGCATTGAATTGCCTTTGCTCTTTTGTCAAAGATCAGTTGATTTTTCATGTGTGGGTCTATTTCTGGGCTCTATATTCTGTTCTGTTGATTTTTTTTCCTATTCTTTTGCCAGTCCTACTGTCTTGATTACTGTAACCTTATAGTAAGTCTTTCAGTTAAGATAGTGTCAATCCTCCAAATTTGTTCTTCTTTAAGCTTGTATTGGCTGCTCTGAAGCCTTTGGCCTTTCCACATAAACTTTAAAATCGGTTTGTTGATATCCACAAAGTAACTTGCTACGATTTTAACTGGGATTGGGTTGAATTTATAGATTAATTTGAGAAGAACTGACATGTTGACAATATTGAGTTTTTCTAGCCATGTACATTTATTTAGCTCTTTGATTTCTTTCATCAGGGTTTTACAGTTTTCCACATATAGATCATGTACATATTTTGTTAGGTTTATACCTAAGTATTCCTCTTATTTTAGTGCTATGTGAAAGGTTTTGTATCAGAATTTCTAAAGGATAAGTAGTATTAATTGGGACACCTATATTTTTTAGGTTAAAATGTGGTCTGCTTAATCCAAAAGATGAGAAACTGCTGGCTGATGTGATACTGGACATAAAGTAACTAATGGTAGGGCTCTGAGCTTCTGCTCCCAGAGGGGTATCTAATGGTGTTTCTGTGGCAATGTCGTGGTACACTAAGAGAGAAATGCCATTTGCAGCTCAGACTCTAAGAAGGAAATAACTTTTACATCTTCAAGAGTTTAAAACATGTTTCCCTTGCCACATCCCACATAGAGAGAAGGTGGGCAGCAACATAAAAGCCTGTGTAAAGAGTGCAGGTTAGAGGAAGGGAGAACTATAGCATTATTCGACTATTCTTTTTCTCTAGCAGAGTAGATACACCGCATTGCTCTTAGGACAAAGACAAGGATTCTTTCCAAAGCCTACAAACTGGGAATGGTCTGACCTCTATCAGCCTCTTAAACCATATGCTCACTTCCTCCAGGGCTTGGCCACGTCGGCCTTACACATCCTCTTCTTTGCTTTTCCACAGGGAAAAGTCTACTTTTTCCACAGGGGACTTGAATCTGCTGGTTTTTCTCCTCTTTAGCCAACACATGCATTACTTCCTTGATCCTCCCAAACCAGGCCTCTTAAAGTGCTATATGCTTCTGAGCACTTGTTGTACTATGATTTTGCATTTATTTATGTGATTAGCTGATTACTAGACCATAAGTTCCACAAGGAAAGGCAGTTACATCTGTTTTTTTCTCACCATTATCATCTCAGTGTCATCCCTGTTGAGTGAATCAGTGATTGATTAGATATCTTACAGAATTAAGAGCTGTATATATTTCTTATTTTAGAGTATGGAGGCCAACCAGTTATCCAAAAGATCCTCTAGGTATTATGATACATACAGACACTTGCTATGGGTGGTTCTCCATCCAAACAACACAATCAACATTCTGGTTTCCAGTGAAACTAGAAAAACTAAGTCAGTGGAAACTAAGTCAGTAGCTTTCCTCACACATCTTTGTCGTCGCGAGGCTTATACCAGTTTGGAAAAATTTAATTTTAAGAGCTTATTTGGCAAACATTTACTAAATATCTACTCTGTGCCACATGCTGCGTTAAATGAGAACCAGACATAAAGTGTCTCAGCCATGGTCTCCATCTTGGAAGACTGGAGTTACAGTGTGGGAGGGATACCTGTCAATTCCACATCAAACTAAATGGTCGGGGTGGAGTCATAGTGAGGGCTGTAAGCTGATGCTCTGGGGCCCCATTCGGTCTTCCTGGTTTTGTTTTTGTTTTCGTTTCTTTGGCTGTACACTCCTTCTGAAACTTTTTGACCTGAATGACTTAGGCCAGTCCCGTACATTTTGTTCCTTTAGTCTTCCACCACGCACTTCTGTCTCATACTTTGCTGGGTATTTCTTGTGTTTCCACTGCCTGCTTGGCCCCGAAGTACATCCAGTTGCTGACCTTTGGTTGGGGCCAATCCTTCTCTGGGGTCAGTGGTTGGCCAGAGAGAAACTGCTTTTCACATTCCTGTTTTGTGCAAGGAACTGTGGGAGACACATATAATTGGATCATGCAGGGCCCTGATGTCCAAGAACTCACAGTCCAGTCAAGAAAGTGACACACACTGTCTCAGAGTGTTTACCAAAGCAGCTGTGAGAAGCGACTGGAGCACATGTTTTGATCCCTGTGTTTGCAGCTCCTGTTCATGGCATGGCAAGATCACCATGCAAGCCCTTATCTTGTCTTCTTTTAGGGAAATTAACTGTGGTTCTGTTACTGTGTGACCATGGGTAAATTACTGCAACTTCAGCTCATTGAGCTATGGTTTCTACACCTATAAGCTGGAAGTGATATTAGGGGACAACCAGGTTGTTGTGAGGTTTAAATACACAATGCAGGCCCGGTATGGTGGCTCATGCCTGTAATCCCAGCACTTTGGGAGGCCGAGGCCGGTGGATTACGAGGTCAGGAGATCGAGTCCATCCTGGCTAACATGGTGAAACCCCGTCTCTACTAAAAATACAAAAACAAAATTAGCAGGGCATGGTGGCGGGTGCCTGTAGTCCCAGCTACTCCGGAGGCTAAGGTGGGAGAATGGCATGAACCCGGGAGGTGGAGCTTGCAGTCAGCTGAGATCACGCCACTGCACTCCAGCCTGGGCGACAGAGCAAGACTCCCTCTCAAAACAAAAACAAAAACAAACAAACAAAAGGAATATATATAGAAATGCTTGGCATAACATTCTGTATAGAAGAGATAACCAACTAATATGGAGTCTGAATCCTGCTTTATGGTGACCTTCATAGACCCTGTTGCAGAATATGTTTTGGCAACTCTCAGGCCTACCTTTCATAGGAAGCCTCAGCAGGGGATCGGGCAAACCTCATCCCTGCCCAGCCATCAGCTGCACAGAACACTCTGTGCCGGCAGCAGGCCTGGCCATGTGACCTCTTCTCCTTCTTGGCTGTTCCCACTGGCAAGCTGTGAATAGCCAGAGACACCCTCCATAATGCTGAGACCTTTTCCCAAGGAGCCCAGCGGGAAAAATGTTCTGTGTCTTTGCAAAGCCTGACCCTCTTCTGGGGCCAATTCTGCTGGAGATACAGAGAACCTAATTGTTTCATGTACTTCACGTCTCTCTGTTGGTGGCCACTTAAACCCTTCTTTACCATAATGAATGAAATGCTTCAAAGAATCAGGATCCAGCAATCTCAATGGCCCCAGGAGCACCAAGACGTTCAGGTTGACAGATTCAGAGAGTGTCAGAGCAGGAAGGCATCTTGAGCTTATTTGTCCAACCTCCCCCTTCCCCAGCCACCTTATAGCTGAAGAAGTTGAATGTCAAAGAGACAAAGCCACAGACAGACCTAGATCTCTTGCCTTCCAGGCCTGGGCTTCTGCTGTGACACCATCCTGCTTTCCGCATGTGGAAAGAAATATTGAGTGTGGTTGTGTGCGTGTGCATGGGGCCCCACTAGTGCCAGTTGTCGCAAGTGATAGATCAGACTCAGCCAAAAAAAAAAAAAAAGTTCACATGGTTGGGAATGTGGGAGACAACAGATTAGCTTGTACAACTGAGATGCCAGGAGGACATCTGGCTTTGGCTGTGTTCTTGGGATCTGGTTTTGCTCTCTCCATCTTTTAGCTCTTCTTCCTTTATGTTACCTCCATTCTAACATTCTCTTTTCTCTCAAGAAGACCTCCATAAGTTTCCAGGGTGAAGTCCTTTAGGATAATGTGCAGTGGGGGAAGTAGGAAAGTTCTCTGTCCCAGCCTTCTCTGCAAAAACCCTAAGGTTCGCTCTGATGAGGCTTCTTCTATCACATGCCCTCTTGTGAGCCAATCACGGGGGCTGGTGACTGCAGTGCACTAACTGATGTAGGCCTGAGCCATGCATTCCACCCCAGGGCTGGGGACAGGTCCCACTCAGACCTCGTGGACTGAGAGTGAGATGCTTCTAGAAAGGGGAAATGGGGCTCTAGGGCCAAAGCGTGAAAAATGTTCTCTGCACCCCTCTGGGCTTCTGTGTCTGATAATTAGTTTCATTGTGTATTAGGTTTATCAAATTTTCCATCTTCCCAAAGTAGGAAATGCTTTGACCTCTAGCAAATATGATAGTGCAATTCTTATAGTAGAAATAAACTCAGAAAAGACTGCAACATTTCCCTGGGTGAGGTGGAGATCCTGGGCTTTAGGAAACACACCATCCCACTGTTGATCAGCTAATCCAGGCCTTGTTCTGCATTTGCTTCTATTAAATAAAAAATGAGACATGTAAATAAACAAAGACAAAATCAAGCAAACTAAAAAAAACTCAAAGGCCTAATCTTTCAGATTGCTAAGAAATTCTGATTAAACATATTCCAACATAAGACATAGGCCATTGTAGCTACGTAAGGACGTTGCTTGGTGCTTGAGAATATGTAAGCCCTCAATGAGCACCAATTTAACATCTTCTTATTTTTATTTGTATAATTTTTTTTGAGACAGAGTCTCCCCCATCCCCCATCAGACCCCACCCCCCACCCCGCCGTTGCCCAGGCTGGATGGAGTGTGGTGGTGCAATCTCAGCTCACTACAACGTCTGCCTCCCCGGTTCAAGCGATTCTCCTGCCTCAGCCTCCAGAGTAGCTGGGATTACAGGTGCACACCACCACACCAGGATAATTCTTGTATTTTTAATAGGGATGAGGTTTTGCCATGTTGGCCAGGCTAGTCTCGAACTCCTGACTTGAAGTGATCTATCTGCCTTGGCCTCCCAAAGTTCTGGAATTTCAGGTGTCAGCCACCACACCCGGCCTCAGTATATCATCTTCTAAAAGTCAGGTAAGAGCTACTTGCACCATTTAAGAAGCATTTTCATGACAACTACTGCACAATCTGTATGAAGGCAGAGTGCCGCCTGTCTCCATTCTACAGACAGGAGAGTGAGGCTGGGAGAGGTGAGCAACTTGCCAGAGGCCATGTTGTCAGTAGTAGATCTGAAAAATCATCCCAGGCCCTTCGACCCCAGAGACCTTAATCTTTCCAGCATATTGTGGTCTCCCTGGAGACGTGTCAATACTTTCTATTATTTTCCTTAAAAGGAAACATCATATTCAAAAGGCAAATTAACATTAACAATCCAAATTCTTTTTACTATCAGACTGGTAAAAGATTTAAAAGGATCAATGAAATCAAATTTTAACTAGGTCATAAGAAAAGATCCTCTCATATGTTGTTGGTGGGTCTGAAAATTGATACAATATATTTGGAGTCAAATTTGGCAATTATCTTTTAGAATAAAAAATAATGGCATTTTGGCAGGTCATGGTGGCTCACGCCTCTAATCCCAGCACTTTGGGAGGCCGAGGTGTGCAGATCACCTGAGGTCAGGAGTTCGAGACAAACCTGACCAACATGGTGAAACCCCATCTCTACTAAAAATACAAAATTAGCTGGGCGTAGTGGTGGGCCTCTGCAGCCCCAGCTACTTGGAAGGCTGAGGCAGGAGAATTGCTTGCACCCAGGAGGCGGAGGTTGCAGTGAGCTGAGATCGTGCCACTGCACTCTAGCCTGGGCGACAAGAGTGAAACTCTGTCTCAAAAAAAAAAAAAAAAAATGGCATTTTAGGGGTTGTTTCTAAGGAAGGGCATAAAAAGTGTTCATTGCAGCTTTGTTTATAATAAACAAAAAAAATGGAGACCACCTAAATTTCCCTTCATAGGTGAGTGGCTTAACTGTGATCTAGTGACACCGTGGAACAGGAGGCCCCACTCAGGGACACCAACACTGTTAGGTCTCTACTGCTTGTTAAATTTTTAAATTGTAGAACAATATATACAGCAATAGGCCATTTACATAAAAAACAAACTGCAATATTTCTATATGCACATAAATTAATTGCATAGAGTAATGGTCTAAAATGATATGCCAAACTAATAACAGTGGAGGTGGGGAGGGGAAGAAGGATGAGAGGGTTTGGAGTTAGTGGGGAATAGGGCAGAGATTGAGGTCAAGATTGGAGCAGACAAGAGGATGCTTGCTTTTAGGTATTTACAGTTTTTACAGTAAGAATATATTCATATTCTATTTGTATAATTTAAAGTATTAAAATGTAACACAAGATCTTACTAAAACATATTAAGTCATTTCAATTAATGAATGTCTTATTAGTATCTGAGTTTGGAGGAAAAAATGCTGGCTTCTTTCAGAGTTTTCTGATTATAACAAATACTTATCAAGAACTGACCCAATACTAGGTAGCCTTCAACCCTTTGAGGGATTTACAGATTGGTAGAACATGAATGCTAGCAGTAAATTAGGTATCACTGATGTTCACCTATAGAGAGACAGGCTATTGAGGACCAGAGTCCACTTACCTTCCTGATTTTTTTCCAGATGTCACATTCGAGAGTGAGATCAGGGCCATGCGCCTGGGACTCCATCTCTCAAAGCCTTAGGTTTTGCCTCTGTAGTGTGGAGAGAGTCTTAGTGTTTCCTTCCTTGTTTTCTTTTAAGAATCAAGTCAGCCAGTGATTATGAAATTGCTGGGGAGCTGTCAAACATGATAAAAATGATAGAAGTTGATGTAATTTCTCCTGCTTCCATTTGTCTGAGCTTCAAAGTGTTGAAGTGATTTGCACAGGGACACGCAGCTACAGGACAGCTTAAGCTCTGTTTTTGTGGTAGTCCTGGTGGCACTTTGCAATAACACCCGTATCACATTGTGCACAAATTGTGAATGTGCCTGTTTCCCCCACTAAGCAGAGTTCTGTGAAGTCAGAGGCCAGACACTAGTCATCTTCTTATCCTAGCACCTATCTAGTGCCTAGAAGGCCTTCAGGGAACGTGTGTTATATATGAAACCTTCTGGACTCAGCTTTCTCTTCTCTAAACAAGAAATATAAGCTAGATTGCTGATATCCTTTTTAGCTCTGAGGGTCTGTGATTTTAAGATCTAAGTTTTCACTTCAACAGCACTCATTATCTCTAACCAGATGATTGACTTCCTACAAATCCTCCAAAGCTTGGGAAATTCAACTGGATGAGAAGGTGAAGGATTGGCCAGTTCTTTCATGTGGAGGGAGTGAGGGAGTTTCTGTAGGAACCTTAACTGTGATGTCCCTGGCTGATGCGGGCTTGGAAGTAACAACACCTTGTGCTTATGCAGCCTCCTGCTTCTCAGCAGTTCAAGTGCTTCCCAGACATTATCTCACTATTTCTCACCATCTTCTTCGGAAAGTGGCTGAAGGCAGCTCTTGTTATCATACCCCGGCACACCCTGCACCAGTGGGTTAAATGGTTTTCCCACAACCTTCCAGTGAGAGTCAGGACCAGGACCCCTGTCACCAGACTTAGCTTTCCAGCCTGCTCATTGCCTCATGCAGCTTTCAGGACCCATTATTTGCCTCAAGGAGAAGGGAAGTTCACCATCACTGTTACAACAATTTGAGACATTTGCTGGGGAGCCCTGGGAAAGGAGAATCCTCTTTCCTTCTCCAGGCATGTGCAGTTGATGATGTATATAAACTGATTATAGAGAAAAATGTTAAGTATGTGTGGCTCATCCTATGGAGGAATCTGCCAATACATTCGACATTTATGGATGTCAGGGTCAAGAATGTGGGGATATTGGAAGCCTGGTGCAGTGGTTTTAATTAACCTGGTGCATCATAGGCTCAGTAGGTATTGCGCCTCAGTAATGCTACTCCAGAGACTTTCATTGGACCACCCAACTCACTCCTTCATTCTTTGATAAATGATAAAATTAATACTATAGAAGCAAAAAAAACAAAAACAAAAACAAAAAACAAACAAACAAAAAAAAGAAGGACTGGCCTTGCAGTTAGGAAATCTGGGCTTCATTCAAGCATTACATACTTTAGTCTCACGTGCTGTTAGGAAAATTACTTGATCTGTCTATTCTTCAAATTCTCTATTCATAAAAATGGCTAACACCTGTCCCATCAGTTTGTTTTAAAGAATAAGTAAGAGACTATCTAAGCCATATTTTTACAAATATTTGGGTTACTTGATAGTACCAGGCACACCCAAAGCTATAGCATTTCTGGGATATCAACTTCAGGAAAGATTTTAAGGAAATCAACTTTATCATAAGATAAACATATATTTTTATAAAGTAGTATGCTAAAAGTGAATACCTTTTAAAAAGAAAACTTTTCAGTTTCACCTTGCTTGAAGGGTAGAGGAAGAGTGATGGATTTTCTGCCTCCAGATTCTACAGGATACAATTTCACTTCCCTCTTCCATGGGGTACCATTAAGATGACTGGGTAGAGACGTGTGAGAAGTGTTTGACTAAATCGTCCATTCCTTTGATGCTTCTAAATTATGTTCTGGCATCAATTTTGGTTATTTAGATGATATTAGCTCAGGTTCTTGTGGCAATGACTGCACAACTTTTTTTTTTTTTGAGACAGAGTCTCGCTCTGTCACCCAGGCTTGAGAACAGTGGTATGATCTTGGCTCACTGCAACCTCTGCCTCCCAGATTCAAGCGATTCTCCTGCCTCAGCCTCCTGTAGCTGGGATTATAGGCACCCACCACCTTGCCCAGCTAATTTTTGTATTTTTAGTAGAGACAGGGTTTCACCATGTTGGCCAGGCTGGTCTCGAACTCCTGACTTCAGGTGATCCACTCCTCTTGGCCTCCCAAAGTGCTGGGATTACACGCGTGAGCCACCACACCTGGCCAACTTTTAAAAAAATATCGTGTTCTCAGCTTTTATTTAAGTGTCAGTATAATAATTTGTTATATGTAGAATGTTTCCCCATTGCCTGAAAGATCAGTGTTGAAGATCTGGTCCTTTATGTGACTTTGTATCCCTCATATAAGGATTCAGGTGATAAAACTCTTCCTCAGATCTTCTGCCCAGTAGAAGAAGGTTGTCTCCTCTGAAGAATGGATAATGACACTTTTGATCACATAATCAAAGCCGGGCAATTCATCACTTTTCTGTTTTTGCCATGGCAGTCAGGGGGGTTGGTGCTATTTTATTCTTACATTTAGTAACAAACATATCTGAGGTTCCTGACATGATCACTTCCTTTCTTGCATACACTGCCAGATCTATATGTTTAACCATCTGGTGCTTTTATTCTACGTCTTTGCTAGGTTTTTTGTTTATTTTAAGAAATAGTTAAGGTATCAATTACAAGGAAACCATTCGTTCTGAAGCAAGCCTAAGAGGTACTAAGACTCAAATTTAAATGTAAAATTAAATTCCTTCAGAGATGAGACCTGAGGCCAGCTTGTGAAAGAGCCTGGGTTTGCCTGTGGGGCCATCAAGCAAACTTCCCAGTTAGACAGTTCCTTCTTAGGAAGCCCATAGCCAGTTACCTGCTTCCTGTTCCACCCTCTACCACCGTTAGTGAGGATCTTTCCTAGCCTCTTGTCTTATATCTGTCAGCCCCTACTCCAGCATTTGCAGGCCAGGTACAAGTACAAATGTAGGCTACTGGACATACCCTTGCCCATTCCTGGTTATGCTATATACCATTGGCGGCCTAGCATTGATGGGTGTAGGCACCCCCTAAAGACAAATCCTTCTCAGACATTTCCACCCAAGTGTTCTGATGGCAGGGAAGGGCAAGATTTGGAAGCAGAACATCAATCACATTTCCTACCCCTGGACCACCCTCTTGTCCTAGGGCTGTGGCCCCTGGGTCTGTGATCTGCTCTGGGGATGAGGAACCAGGGGAGAGGTGAACAAGCACCCGGAAGCAGGCTTTGGGCCATTTGCATAGGCAATTTCAGGGGCCCAAACACCCAGGTTTTGGTAGGAAAGGGGGAGATGGGTTCCAGGAGCACACATTCATGTGGCCCCATAGACTCCTACCCAATGGGGAAGGCCAGAGCTGGGGCCCCTGAGGCATGGAGCCTAGAGCAGGGATGGTGGTTGCCAGATTCTACTGTTATCTGACAACTCTCATGCTTAGAGAGACTGCCTGTGTCATCAAAACTGACCCAATCTGTGTCTTCTTCAGTCATGGGATCCTGGAGTATTAAAGCTGGAAGCGATCATGGAGAGCAACTGTCTGACTCTTCATTTTAAAGACAGAAATATCAGCCAGGTGTGGTGGCTCACACCTGTAATCCCAGCACTTTCGGAACTGAGGCGGGTAGATCGCTTGAGGTCAGGAGTTCGAGACCAGCCTGACAACATGGCGAAACCCTGTCTCTACTAAAAGTACAAAAATTAGCTAGGCATGGTGGCATGCACCTGTAGTCTCAGCTATTCAGGAGACTGAGGCAGGAGAATTGCTTGAATCCCAGAGGCAGAGGTTGCAGTGAGCCAAAATTTTGTCACTGCGCTCCAGCCTGGGGGACAGTGAGACTCTGTCTCAAATAAATAAATATAAATAAATAAAGATAGGAATATTGAGGACTAGAGAGGCAATTAACTTGTCTCTTAAGGTGTATTCTAAATATCTGTACCAAATCCTCAAAGAATGGGTTTAGGGTAAGGAGAGAAAGACATATTTATAACATGCTGCAATGGTGAAAGCATGGTTAGATCCACTAGGTTTAATATATATGGGCTTAAAAATTCCTCGAGGTTAGTGATGAACAAGGTGTGAGAAATGGAAGTTAGGAGGAGAAAAAAATTTTCTAACTTCCACTGTTAGAGAAAGTATTTTTCCCCTTGGATATATTGTATTCACTCAAATGTGCTATTGCACTGCAGCGATAAAAATTAATAGCTTTGTTTCCTGTGATCTCTTTATCAGCCAAAGCACAGGACTATGGCTCTCAGTTATTTTAATGGAAAAACTGAAGTTGTATTATCAGGTGATAAGGCCGTGTCAGGTGTTATTTTATTCTCTTATCTCCCTTGTTCAAGGTGAGGTGTTCAAGCCCTGATGGATGAGCAGGGCTACCGTGACTATGATGTTCTCTGAGCCTTGATCTAACTCTGCCTTTTAAGATAACTGTAGCAGGTAAGAGAGGCCTCCAGGGCCAGCTGATTCTTAGCATAGATCCTGAGCATAGATCCAAGGGAAGGCTTTGATGGTTGGGGTCCTTGTCCCAGGACAAGTAGCTCAGGGACTTTGCAAATTCAATCACATAGCTCAGGTTGCCTGCACTGCAGAACCTTTCATGACTCCCCAGGAGAATTTACTCAGCAAGCACTAACTGTGATCTCTGATGTTCCTACTGTTATGTTTGATAGAGTGGGAAAGATGAGTTATGCCAGTCCCTGCTGCCCTTGAGAAGCTCAAAGCTTGATCACATGGGAAGGAGGCTTAGTCATATCCTTCTCCTCCTCTGGACTTCCAGGACACATTATATCTATCCATGTTGTGGCTCTTGTCATGGTATGTGGTCATTTATTTGTCTGCACAAGTATTTTTTCTCCTAATAGAATGAATGCTCCCCTGAAGCAAAGACCATGTGTTAGATGTGGTCTCATGTCCATCTTCAGCACCACAGTTAAAACACTGTCAATGTCTGTGCACTAAATTAATGTGGGAGCAAATTCATTGGTTTGCTTGTCAGTCTGTTGCTTATTTACTTCCACGATAACTCTACTTCTAATCAGGCCTGTTACTAGTATCAGAGGTTTGCTGTGAGTGCCAGGACGAAGGAAACTCCTGCCTCCGTTCCCACATTACTAACACAAAGGCCCCTGGTTTCTCATTGTTTGTCAGCCAAAGTGGCAGTTCAGGACTGGCTGTGGGGCAAGAGACACCCCTCGGATGATGTGAAGCAAGTGCTGGCCACCCAGTGAGACAGGTGGGGTCTCGACTGTCCTGACTTCTGTTCCTTCTCAGATCCCATCACTGAGCCTCAGTTACTTCATCTGGGAAAGGGGATTTAAAAAAATCCTGTCTTAACTGCTTCACAAGGAAGGTTGTTAAGAAAGTCACATGAAAATGGATGTGAATGGTAAAAACTGCACAAGAGAAAGAGAAGATTATTAGGAAGTAATAATAATAGAAGTGGCTCCCTCTTCACCTTGCCCAAGGGTTCTTCATGTGCCTTTGGTAAAGGATTCCAACTCATGTGTGCCCTGCCTTCCTCTTGGTATGTCAAATAATTATTTCTCTACTTTTTTCATTACAGACACTCTGGAGGAGAGGCTTGGTAAGCAGTGGGACCAGATCCCCAAACTGCCTTCACATGACAGCATCCACATTTCACCAGGGGCCCATGAGCAGCTCAGGGAAGAGTGCATCCCCAGTGAGGGCTTCACTCAAGAGCCAGCAGAAGTCCTTTAGTCCTGCATGACTCAGCCTTGGGGGAGGCTCATCCTCATCTTAAAATCAAGGGATATGTAGAAGCAAGGTGAGTCTCAGGAAGCTATCCAGATAAAAGACTGAATCAATCAAAATAGAATTCCAGAATCCTCTCACTCCTGCTGGATAGAATTGAAATAAGCATGGTATCTCATTTCAGCTCCAGGGTCAGGGCCCTGGAGCCTAGGATCCTGAGAATGACTCTGCAGGAGTGATCTTGGACAAGTCATTGATGTCCTCAGGTTTCCAGGCCCTTCTCTGTCAAATGGGCAGGCTGATTAATTCCCAAAGTCCCTGCTACTTTGACTTTGTGACTCTGTGATATCGCATGAATGCTTTATGATGGCTGGATGCTCTGAGTGAATCTACAGGCAGGTAGCCCTTGTCCTGTGATCCCCTAATATATCTCTGGATCGCCTGCACCCTGTCTCCCTCCACATGAGGCCCTACACATCCATTTGTAGGGCCTGGGGACCCAATAGCAGCTGTCTGACTCCTCCAGGGCCTGGTCCTGTTTTGGCATTGATCCCTGTTGGTTTTAAGCTGCCATACACTGGACCAGGAGGCAGAGTGCGGTTGTAGTGTAGCTCAGCTACAACTGACTTAAGCTGTCAAGGCCCAACTTCAGTGAACGCTCTTTTATGAAGCCTTCCCCAGTTCTCATCCAGAAGATTCTCTCTCCTCTGGACTCTCGTGGCACATTCCCTGTAGTCCTCTAAAGGCCCTTAGCTCTTCCTATGTGGCTTTATAATTAAAACCATGTCCTCCTTTTAGTTTCCTAGTTTTGACAGAAGATGAAGAAACTTAGTTGAGTAACTCGCTGGACCTTAAAATGCAAGTCTCGGGAGGCCTTCAAAGCAAGGATCCAGTTGAGATAATGAAGCAATTAGGCATTTGTGAAAGTCTTTGACCTTAGTTTCCTAGAAGGAGGACATGGTTAATCCTAAGGCCACATAGGAAGAGGATCGTGAGGATTGTAGGGGCAGGCAGAGTATTCTGTTTTCCCGTAGATCCTGCGCAGGGTTTTGTACATGTTAGGGGCCCAAGAAATATGAATCCGTGACCTGAGGAATTCAAGTTTGAGACTTGAACTGGATATGGATGTAGATTGTCCAGATCTAACAAATACATTCCTATGATCTCCTTGGTGCTTGGCTAGTGATCCTAAGCTCAAGGATCTGTTTAGGTAGTAATGGGGTGAAGGGGGGATTTGATAGAATTATTTTGGTTGTAAGTTGTGAAAGACCAAGTGAAATTGGCTTCAGAAAAAAAAAAAAAAAAAACAGAGGATGGGAGGAGTATTATTAAAGGCAAAGCTGGCTTCTGGTTAGACAACCTAGGAGCTACTGTCAGCTTTTGCTCTCCAACCATCATCTTTGCCTCATTCTGTGTCAGCTCTATACTCAGGCCCATCTCTCCTGCTCGCAATATGGCTGGCAACAACCCCAGGGAAAAGAATATATCATTTCATCTCTAACTTTTTTAGGAGTGCTAGGCTTGTCTCTCCAAGGTCATTATTAATTAACAGTCCTTACAGCCAAAGGAGAATTCTCTCATTGGCTCTGGCCATATGTCCATCTCTGAAGCTGGCTGAGGTCAAGGGACTGGGAGAGGAGGTGTTATCTAAAAACAAAGAGGACGCTGTCACCAGAAGAAAGAGAATCAATGCTTGTGGCAAAACCAACAGGGCGGACCTTAAAAATATCTTATAGAGTTTCAAAAAGCCTAACAGAAATAGTCTACTTACTAATGTTAAAGCTGTACAAGTTAATGAACATGTCAAGTTTCTTTGCCTTTGTCTGAAATTATGTCAGCTCAGTTAGCAAACACTGGATATCTTTTGTTGACCAGAAACTCTTTGCCTCATAAAGAACAGAAAGAGAAATTAATTTCTTGCATGCTCCATTTAACAGCATTGAATCATTATAATCTTAACTTCTATGACACTTTTTTCTTTGAAACATATATCATATCATAATATCATATGGTAAATAGTTTCATCTGAGATTGGAGGGCTAGTGTATATTCTCAGCCAATGACAGCTGAATAAACTTGACTGTGCTTTCTCAGCCAAAGATTATTGACACTTCCCTACATGGTAGGCGGCTTTCGGCCAAGAAGCATTCCATTGTACTTCAAGAATTGCAAGTCTTTGGCAATATGTGTTTTTCCCCTTGTGGACCCTCCCTTTCTGCCATATATTTTGTGTTCTGGTCAGTAGCTTTACCCTCTACACCTGACAAAGTGTATGGAAGTATAAGTTTTGAAGGAAGATGAAGAAATACAGTTGAGTAACTTGATGGACCTGAAAATGCAAGGCTCCAGGGGCCTTCAAAGCAAAGGTCCAGAGTTGAGATACAGAAGCAATGAGGCATTTGTGAAAGTCTTTGACCTTAGCGAGGGCCTGGTGAGCACACTGGAGCCCAGTAAGGAATTTTTGGATAAATTCCAAAATTTATCCAAAAGGAAGGTTGGATAATTATATGTAGGAGAAGCCTTGGCCAGGGCAGGTCATAGTTTTAGGGGATTGGAAAGAATCAGAAGATCCACTGTCTAGAGGAGCCAGAGGCTAGGAAGGGGCTCCTTCACCAGCCAAGCTGTAACAGTTGGGTCTCCAATTTTAACATTTACAAATGTTAACGAGAAATTCTATAATTGCTTTATGTAATCATCAGAATATCTTAGGCAAGGGAGAAAAAAAAAACAACAAAAAACCAAAACCAAAAACATTTCCTCTGCCTTGAGTTCTAAATTTTAAGGCGCTCACTCTCTTTTTATGTTTTGTTTTGTTTTGTTTTGTTCTGGGTAGTTCAATTCGATTAATCTGAAACATCATCCTGTAGTGGGCTTGAGGGAGGGGATGTGATGGATTCTAGATATGAGGAACACACAAGGTTCAAAGGAACCGGCTCTCGCTAGACATCCCTGCTGGGAACAGATGATGGGTTGGGGAAGCACCATCTGAGGCTCTGTAGTTTTGAACAGGGCTGGGAGAAGAGGAGCGCATGTTATGGACAGCACCCAGTGGGTAGTGTACAGTGAGGAGGAGCTGGCAGTAAGTTCCGGAGCCCTTCCACACTTCACACTGAGCTCTGTATGAAAGAGTCCCTGTATTTCAGTGTGAAAGGAAAATATTGTGGGTCACCAAAATCGCTAAGCTAAAGAGAAAATTCGAGCTAGGAAATTAGGCAAACCTGCCTCCCATTCTATTCAAAGGCATTCCTCTGTTCACTGTGATAAATGCATATCTGATTGCCTCTTTGGAAAGACTAATCAGAAATTCAAAAGAATGCAACCTTTTGTCTCTCACCTATTTGTGACCTGGAAGCCGCCTACCTGCTTCAAAATGTCCTGCTTTTGCTTCTGAGTTTTCCCATCTATCTGACCGAGCCAATGTTCATATTACATATGTTGATTGAAATCTCATGTCTCCCTAAAATGTATAAAACCAAACTGTGCTCCGACCACCTTAGGCACATGTGGTCAGGACCTTCTGAGGCTGTGTCATGAGTGCTCATCCTCAACGCTGGCAAAATAAACTTTCTAAATTAACTGAGACCTCGCTGGTTGTGGTGGCTCATACCTGTAATCCCAGCAATGTGGGAGGCTGAGACAGGTGGATCACTTGAGATCAGGCTAGCCTGGCCAACATGGTGAAACCCCGTCTCTACTAAAAACACAAAATTAGCCAGGCATGGTGGTGGGTGCCTGTAATCCCAGCTACTCAGGAGGCTAAGGCAGGATAATCATTTGAACCGAGGAGGCAGAGCCTGCAGTGAGCCAAGATCGTGGCACTGCACTCCAGCCTGGGCAACAGAGTGAGACTCCGTCTTAAAACATAAATAAAATAAAGTAAATTAACTGAGACCTGTCTCAAATTTTCGGGGTTTACATGAGTTACATGCTTCTGTAAGTACGTGACTTGTTTGGGCTACCAAGGCAACCCAGAGGCAAGATTGGAATCCTGCCAGTTCCCAAGTCATATCATCTCCATTGCCCGAATCAGGAAGAGACCTTAGAGATGATCCTGGTTCATATTCCTCATTTCACACGTGTAGAAATTGAGATCCAGAGAAAAGAGGAAGATTTACGTAGGCTGGCCAAGGTTTTGGTATGGTTGTTCCACCATCTAGTTGTGTCAGGATGAGCCGAGAGTACTTGTTAAAGTGTTGATTCTTGGAAGCTATTCCAAACCTATGAAATTAGATGCTCTGGAAATGGGCCCAGAAATCTATATTGTAGTAAGTACCCCCTGAGGTGATTCCCAGACACCCCAAGTTTGAGGACAACTGGCCTAAGTTTCCAAAGGTGCTTCATAGTTGACCCTGCAGAAGGGCTTTCACTCCAGGCTCAGCGCTCGCTCTCTCTGGCCCCAGAGACCTGCAGGAGCTGGTGACTCTGGAGAATACAGATCCGGAAGGGTAAATCAGGGAGTGAGGTTCGTTTTTTAGTTCTCCTGCAATTTGAGAGGCCTTGTTGCATTTTTTTTTTAAGACTAGTTCTAAAGGAATTGGGCAAATGATTCCTGTTTGCCTGTCAAGCACCATGATGTTTAAATGTATCTCTGTCTTGAAACACTGTTACTCTCTAAATTCCAACTGATCATTTGACAGTTGAAAAAGCTAGCATAAACCACTTTCTTTCCTTTTTTAAGTTAATAGCTGCACTCCAGTCTCTAACGCTTCATGTGTAACAGTTTAAAAGATTGGCATGCTTCCCTCTATGGCTTTCCCATCTCATACAAACTTTAAGTTGCTGAAAATCACAAGTGATCGTCTCTGAATCCTAACTATAGACATTAAAATGAGAAAAAATAGTTCTTCTGGTTGTTTTGAAAATGATATAACTCTTTCCTGATAGTTAAAATAACATTTACCTCTTCTTATAAGTTGGTCTGGGTTGTCTTACTATTTTATTATGTGACAGCTTCTAACATTTTAAGCCGATTCCTTCAAGTTGTCCTAAAACCTCAGTATCACTAGAGATTACTTGCTAAAACTTTATTTTTCAATGATTAAAAAGTAAACAAATAGACCAGGTGCAGTGACTCACACCTGTAGTCCTAGCACTTTGGGACGCCAAGGCGGGTGGATCACGAGGTCAGGAGTTCAAGACCAGCCTGGCCAAGATGGTGAAACCCCGTGTCTACTAAAAATACAAAAATTAGCCCTGCGTGGTGGCACGCGCCTGTAATCCTGGCAACACAGGAGGCTGTGGCAGGATAATTGCTTGAACCCAAGAGTCAGAGGTTGCAGTGAGCTGAGATTGTGCCATTGCACTCCAGCCTGGGGTAAAAAGAGAAAAACTCTGTCTTTTAAAAAAAAAAAATTAAACAAATAGATCATCAAGTTATTTATGACGATTAAACAAAAGGACACAATAGGTTTTCTCTTAAAAATCAGCTTGTATATGTATGCTTCTATGGAATATTTGTCTGGGCTTCAGGACAGGGATCTCCTGCTACCCCTGCTGTGTGAACTTGGATAAGGCACCAGCCTTTCTGGCCTCAGTTTCCCCATCTACAGAACAAGAGAGAGACATACAAGTGATTTTTGAAGACCTCTCCAGCTCTCAAAGTTATCAGGGTAAAGTATCAAGAGGTTATGAAACGTCTCACACTGTGGGAGGGAACAAATATGTCATGATTTTGTTCCAGTTTAATCTGTTTCACATTTAGTATAGTCCAACCTGTGATAGGTCCTCTGTGGAACATAGATGACTCACTTCCTGTCCTAAGTGGGTCTTCTCTGAGGTATGGAACAGATCCTTCCTTCAGATATGGAGCCAGCAGGGGGGGTCAATGGGCCTCTGGGCAAATTCTTCGTGTTCTTTATCTGTGTCAAATTAAACCTGCTAATCAGCATACACCTATGCCCAAGGGCATGTAAGGACAGTGCAGCTTAGAAACTAGATGTTCCTGAAAAGTGTGCCCATCAAGTTTTTATAAACATGATCACATTTTAAATGTAGAAGAGTAGTTGGCAACTGAAATGGAGATTAGGGTAAACCTTTTTGTAAGATGACAAATGCCTTTTGTTAAGTAATATTGAAGGCTGAAAAGCCCAGTGTATCTACCACTTCTTCCAGGGAGTCTCCCCAGCCTGCTGCTGGATCCTGGCAACTTCATTCATCTCCTTCCCCTCTAAATTCCACTCTACTTTAAGAGCTGAGCCCACATCAGTAAGTACAAAATTATGCTCTTGAAACCACAGGGTCCTAAAATGTTAAGGCCAGAAGGGAACTTTGAAACATCAATCTCTTTACCCTACCTTTATCACCCACTCATTTGTGTATTCATTAATTTATTTATTTAACAAATATTTAGTTAATGCCTACTGTGTGTTAAACATTGGGCTAGGCATAACACATACAGCAAAATCAAGGCATAGAAATCTCCTACCCTCATGGAATTTACATTTTCTCTCTGTGTGTAAAGGTAAACAGTGTATATGTTGGTTGGCTGATGGAATGGGGAATTACTGGTTGGGAATGGAGAGCTACTTTAGATTGGTGGGCAGAGGAGGTTTCTGTGAGGAGGTGACATTTAAGCTGGCATCTGAAGAATGAGAAGGAGCCAGCCAGGGCAACTGCTTAGGGTGGAGAGAAAGAGTAACTGGTGGAGACTGAGTGACGGGGAAGAACTGGGAGAGCCTAGAGAACTTGAGAGGGGTAGAAAAGGGGTAGCGAGGTGCAGGTGCAGACAAAGGCAGAAAGGAGGGCAGGGATCATATCAGAGAGGGCTTTGAGGCCATGGTGTGGAATTGGTATTTTCTGCTGAGTTTAGTGGGAAGCCATTGGATGGCAAAGAGCAGGGGAGTAAAATCTGATTTATATTCTTGAAAGATCCTTTTGGCTGCTTTTTGGAAAAGTGATTGTAAGGAAATGAGAAAGAAAGCAGAAAAAATGTTCTAGAGGAGCTTTAATGGGACTATTTTAGACTAGGGTTGTTGCAGTGGGGTGCAGAGATGTGCACAATTAATTTTGGGGGTGGACTCACAAGACTTGTTTCTGGTGATAGGGGGTAACTGGATAGGGGGTTAAGAAATAGGAAGGAATGAAAGATAATTCTTTATCTTTAAGCTTGAGAACTGGGGGAAGGGTTGTTTATTAAGATAAAAAGATTGGGGAAATACAGTACAGCTTTGAGAGAAAATCCAAGAAACCTGTTTTGGATGTAGTAAGTTTCATATTCTTATTGGGCCCTCGAGTAGAGATGTTGGATAGATCACTGATTCTTCTCAAAAGGCCTTCTGATTATTGCAAAGGTTTTAGCTTTGTCTCCTGATCTAGACCAAAATTCTCCTGAAGATAGGCAAAGCTTATGTTTTATATGTCTTCTTCTTCATTGACTTCAGGGTGAGAGGAAAGTAACACAATTTTTATACTCCCATATTCTGGATTAAATAGGCTTGGTGTGCTGAGTCTGCTGTATCGGCTTGCAAGAGCTAATTGCTAAGATTCCAGAAATGCTACAAGCCAGTTGTAAAAGCATCCTTGAATTCGGTCATGGTGGAGTACTTACACACAAAATTTGGCAAACTATAAATTGGGGATTTTTTTTTTCTTAGTGAGCCTGGTTACCAGCGTATCAGAGTAATGCACAGAGCCACCAACTCAAATGCCCTTAGGAGAAAGGAAGATAACATTTATTAGTGATTCATCTAGGACATTTCTCCCATTGAAATACCAAAGCATACTGGGCCCTAGCTAGGCTAAATTAAATACCTACATTGCATTAAGTTCAGAAACTTAAATTTCTCAATCAAGTACACACACACACACACACACACATACAATTACAAAACATTCAATTCCCCCCTTAACATCCCTAACAGAAAATTTTAAATTTGTATGATTGTTTCCCCTGAATTCAAATAGTGCACCTCAAGATAAAATCAAACATTCATGTCTAAATAGGAAAGGTATATTCCCTCTAAAAGACTAAAGTTCTAAGATGTTAGTTGTCATTGTCAAGATTCCAACTCAGCGTTGCTAGATCTTATGCATTTTCAAGAAAAGCCAGAAATCTGGGTTTTAATGAGAAACTTCCCAGCTGTTAAATGTTGACTTAAAATTTTAAAAAGCACCATAAGCCAAACAAAACACCTGTGTAGGCTTCACTGGGCCCAAGGGTCACCAGTTTGCAAGTCTATTTGAAGTTCTTGTGCGTGGTTATCCATCTAAGGTGGGGGAGAAGGCCCCCCAGAATATGCCAGAAATGGACTTCCCTGCCAACTTTGGCGTGTGGGAGCCACATGAAATCATTTTATTAAAAAATACGTGTTAGGTGACTTATGCTATACTCTAGCACAACGGGGCAAGTACACAACAGCTGTGTTTATTTTTCCCATTTGACTGCAGGCTCCTCTAGGGCAAGGGCCATTACTGAATCTTGGTGTCCCACTAGTATGTAATATGAAAGACAGCAAATAGGAGCTTGGTATGGAAGGAGATGTAAACACATCTTTTCAAATCTCTTGAAGAACTAGACACTCAAAGAGAAGTCACTTGCTGTTGGCCTCAATAGTGAATTAGTGCAGAGCTGGCACTAGAACCCATATCTCTAAATGATTGCTCCTAGGGATAGAAGGGACCTGTGTTTTTCAGGAAATATTTGCTGAATTAATGAGTCCAAGGAAGAATTACAGCAAAATCAATGAATGTACGAACGAGTGAATACAACCTGCAATGACCATTTGGTTTATGGAATACATTTTTTAGTAAGAATTATGTGAATTGGGAACTGATTCTGGTTCTTCCACTAACTGTCATATTGCTATAAGTATGTCCCTTATCCTTACAGGTCTTTTACTTTCTTATCTGTAAACACTTTGTCTCTGCTGGTGTTCTAAAAATCACAAAGTAATAGCTATAGTCAAAATTATGAAATTCTACATGATTTACGTGGATTTTGTCATTAAGGCTTACAATGGTTCTATGAGCTGAACACTGTTTTTATTTTATTATTTATTTATTTTCTGAGACAGAGTCTTGCTCTATTGCCCAGGCTGGAGTACAGTGGTGCAATCTCAGCTCACTGCAACCTCCACCTTCCAGGTTCAAGTGATTCTCCTGCCTCAGCCTCCCGAGTAGCTTGGATTACAGGCATGCACCACCATGCCTGGCTAATTTTTGTATTTTTAGTGGACAAGGGGTTTTACCATGCTGGCCAGGCTGCTTGGCCAGCCTGTTTTTATACTGCTGTGCCATACATAAAGAAATTGATGCACAATAACGTAATTAAATTGTTCAACTTCATATAACAGTGGATTTGAATGCAGGCATTCTGCTCTGGAATCATAATAAGAATGAAAGTGCTATAGAGAAATAAAAAGATGACATAAATCTGTGATCAGAACAGTTTTGGGAGTGTCACGAATGTGGTGTTTCTATGGCTTTTGAAAAGAGTGATGCTCTAGGTCAGGCGTGTTGGCTCACGCCTGTAATCCCAGCACTTTGGGAGGCTGAGGCGGGCGGATCACCTGAGATCAGGAGTTAGAGACCAGCCTGGCCAACATGGTGGAACCCTGTCTCTACTGAAAATATTTTTTAAAAAAGAAAGAAAGACAGAAAGAAAAAAAATTAGCTGGGCGTGGTGGCACATGCCTGTAATCCCAGCTACTCAGGAGGCTGAGGCAGGAGAATTGCTTGAACCCAGGAGGCGGAGGTTGCAGTGAGCCGAGATTGCACCATTGCATTCTAGCCTGGATGACAGACAGAGACTCCGTCCCAAAACAAACAAACAAAACAAATAAACAAACAAAAAATCAATTTATTACTGTATGTCTTGGAAAGTTTCCTACACTTGCAGGGGCCTTTGGACTCAGTGACATCAATGAATGTCATGGAGTCATTATTTTGCCTTGTAGTTTCAGCTACTTTGACAAAGACAAATATATACAGCAGTAATCTTTGCACAGTTAATAAATTAAGAAATAAATTATCAGGCTTTGAGCAAATTTTCCCAGAGTTGTATTAATTTATGAGGAGCCAACAAATTAGGCATCTTGGTTAATGCCTTTGATTTAGCTAAACACTCCTGGTTTGTACTGGAAAGGGTGACCAGCCTTTTTGACTCTTTTAGCTGGCATAGGTAGTTACTTGTGCTAATTAGCAGGAAAAGGAGCAGAAGGCAAATAAGAGGCACAAAATATCCTCCAGCAAGAGGTAATGATGGTGCTTCTCCTGGGCTCTGACTCCTATGACATTAAGGGACAGAAAAGGACTTGATCAAACCCCTACTCAAATCTACATGTGCAGTTTGGATACTCATAGATTGCTAGAGCTGGAAGCATTTTAAAACATTGCCTAATACAATTCTTTTATTTAATAGATAAGGAAACTGAGGCCAGACAGGGAAAACATCTTGGTCACGATTGTGCTGCAAAGGAGTAGTTGAACCAGAACTCAAACCAAAAGGTCGTTGCTCACTTTTTGAGTGACCATTCCTGCATAGCAAGCCCTTTTTGGTTTTGCCCTCAGGACTCTGGTAAACATTTGAATTATGGGAGTTTGACCATTAGGAAACTTCATTTTAGTCTTCTCTGGAAGTTCAGGGAGGAGAAATAAGTTGTGGCTGTTGCAATGCCTTAGATTTAAATACCTTTCACTCTCATTTCTCCAAGCTAAGGGAAGGAAGAAATAGCCTGAGGTTTCTCAACATTAGAAAATCAAAAAGTAATCTGTCTTTGAAAAGGTGTATAGGGATATAGATTACGCTTACTTTCCTAGGTATATTTATGTTAGCTAATATTGAAAGATTGCTAAAGGAGGGGTTTGGGAATCTAAATCCCACTTGAATCTTGGTCTTGATGAATAACCTTGGGCAAGATATTCTTTCTGGGTTTTAGTTTTCTCATTTGCAAATTTCGTTGATTCTTAAGACCTTGGCCAGCTTTAAGTTTCAAGATGTCCGCCTAGATAACAGAGAGAGGCTCTCTAAAAGAAAAAAAAATGTTTATTCAGAAATAGGGTATTTCAATGGGAATACGCATGCCGTAGTATTCTTGGCTACACAGATCAGTAAAAAGGGTGGTGCCAGTTTAAAGATAGACAGGCAGTTACTGGGCAGATTCCTTGCAAAAATATTGTGTGTGTGTGTGTATGTGTGTGTGTGTGTGTGTGTGTGTGTGTAAGATTACATTTATGCAAGATTGTAGTTTTTGCAGTCTTTTGTGATAGTTCTTGTTATCAGGCATTCATGCATGAGAACCGTTTCTTCATGGCCTTTCTTAATTCTATTTTCAGGGTTCTTAACACAAGTGATTCCATTTTGATTCTGACAACATTCACAGCATGTCTAGAAAACACCTGTACTTTGAGTATCATTGCCATGGAAGAAGAAGTAACTTTCTGGATGGAAGTTGGCCTTCATAAAGCCGGGCTATATTTGCAAATTAAGTGCTTCCCTTATTAACATGGTCCAATGGAACAAGCATGGGCCCACGAGTCCAGACAGGGCTGTTTCTCTTTGATCCATGACCCTGGGCAAGTCCTTGACTTCCTTTAAACCTTTTTCTTTTTAATCTCTAAAGTGAGATTAACACCTGCCCATGTTTGCCTCCCAGGACTGTTGCAGAAGACAAAGGATATAGAAATACTTTGTAATACGCAGACATATGAAGTTATGTGTAACTTAGTTTTGCGTGTGTCCTTAACGACTAAGAAAAACGTAAAAACAACATGTAGAACCAGTCACAAGTTCAGTGTGGCTAAAGTGATACTGAAGAAACTAAACTTTCTTTTTCTCAAGGTCGTTTTGCTTTCCTAGTAATAGCCCAGCTTGAAATGGGGCTTTGGGGCTTACTAAGGTGTTCATATGTCCTGGCTTGGCTGGGACAGTCCTATTTGCAGTAGTCATCCTGGTATACTTTTTAATTATAATTTTTTTTTTTTTTTTTTTTTTTTTTGAGATGGAGTCTCACTTCTGTCTTCAGGCTGGAATGCAGTGGCACAATCTGGGCTCACTGCAACCTCTGCCTCCAGGTTTCAAGTGATTCTCCTGTGTCAGCCTCCCAAGTAGCTGGGATTACAGGCGTGTGCCTCCACGCCCAGCTAATTTTTGTATTTTTGGTAGAGATGCGGTTTCACCATGTTGGCCAGGATGGTCTCGATCTCTTGATTTCGTGATCCACCTGCCTCGGCCTCCCAAAGTGCTGGGATTACAGGTGTGAGCCACCGCTCCTGGCCTCATATTTTCATTCTTAAAAGTGTCCCTGTTTTGACAGTAAATTTCGTGGCCACCCCTAAACTTAAATACCATTCTGTTTCACCTTTTCATTATACATAATGGGGAATAGAGGCTCAGTGAAGAGAAACAACTTCCCAAATTCACTCAGCCTGCCCAGAGCCTGCAAGTGGAAAATCCCTTCTCTTTGTACCTAGGAAGGAAGGGGAAGAGAATACAGGGTGACAGAATGGTTCCCTTTGTCTGCTCTCCAGCGTCTTGAAGCAAATCTAATAGGAGTGCCCTAACTCCTCTCGATTTCCTGGAAAGTGATCAGCAATAGTATGGTTGCCAGTGGCCATGAGGGAGCTAGGGTTTGGAGCAAACATTACAGGAAGCTGGAGAGGGAAGCTTTTTCTCTTCTGTACCCAGAAGAACAGCCCAAAGGGAGGAACACTGCCTATGATTAACTAGCTCTTATTTAGGCACAGTATTTTTTTGGTTGATGTCATAACGTACCTTCACTTTCATGGTCTCAGTTGATCTAATTCTTACTGTCTTTGGAAAAGAATGTGAAGGTATCATCGTTCCCATTTTGTAGTGGAGAAAATCGAGGCCGATAAAGACTTGCTTTAAGTTTCACAGTAAGTATCAGAGTTGGTACTAGAGCTTCATCTCCTATGTCCTTGCCCAGTATTACTTAGGCTTCATTTTGCTTCCTGAACAGTCTGCCCTTAGGCATCTAACACAGAAATCTCATTATAATAAAGTATTTTTAGTATTCATGTAACTTAAGCCTTTTGGATGGAGCCCAAGGCAGAACCATCTTATATCCTGAATTTGGCTCTGTGGCAAATAGTGTTAGAACATGGTTCATGATCAACTATGGGTTTCGCTTTACAAACATATCTCTGAAAAACTTCCCTATGTGGACGGAGAACAGGCTAATTTATCTTGGGATAGGAGATTTCTCTTTGAAACAGTTGCTGGGATCCTGGAGAATAGAGGGACAGTCTTACTATAGTACTTAACCGTGCTGAGCTTGCAAATCCCTAACCTGATATTTTTGCAGAATCTCCAATTCAGAAAGATTTGTTTTGGCAGAGACTGAAATTCTTTATTTGGAACTTGAGGTATCCCTGACCCATAAGCATTCGGCTTGACAGATACGCAGTTGCATCCGTCATCACTCTGCCCTAAGCAGGGCAATGGCTGTGGTGAGCAAGAGTAGGGGATCCCGGGTATGGTCTTGAGTTTGTGGCTAACACATGAGATGTGGGGAAAGCTGCTTTTCTTTTAGGGGGCTCAGTTGTTTCAACTGTCATATGTTGAGACAGCATTAATCAGTGGGCTTCAAACTTTTAAAGCCACCAGATTTTTCCCCCCAGAATGCTGTGGGAACCTAGCATGAATAAATAGTAAAAGTGGGACTCACAGCTTCTCCATTTAGCCACTGTATGTCTGTAGGGCCTCTGTGGACTCTAGTATGGCAACATTCGGATACATACCTTTTAGCCCCCAACACTGGGATTCTAAAGATGAGTAATGGCTTAGTGATAGATGTTAACCTCCTGAGGGGTTGCAGTGAGCCTGGAATTCTGGATACAGAACTGGTCAGACAGGGAAAAGGGCTGTAACAGTGTGACAAACAGTAGAATTAGAGTGGAGGGTAGCAAGATAAAGTTTTACATTTCATGGGTTAACAGCACTTTATAGTTTACAAGTATTTGCACTATAGTTGTCTCTTTTGAACTTACGCAACACTGTGTGCTCAGGCATTTGTGCAGCAATCTTTTGTGAAGCTGGATTATGTGCCTGGTACTGTGGGTTGAGCTCATGGACATAAAGAAAGAGGAGAGCATGTGAGCCTGGAGGAGCTCATCATCTTATAGAGGAAACAGGCAGGTAAAGAAATCATTGCAATTGCAAAACAGAAAAGCTGTAAGAGAGGTGCAAACAAATGTTGAGCAGCGAAGTGAAAGCAATGATTCCTTTTTCCTGGGGAGGGGAGGAAGGCATACCTACCGTGGGGCCTGCAGGATGAGTGACCTAGGCAGATAAATACCTAGGTAGAGAAAAACACGTGCACGAAGCAGTGGAGGCCTGTGTGAGCAAGGTGCGTTTGGGGGAAACAGGAAGAGCTAGGGGAAATCTGGCCTTCAAGGTATGGAAAGGCAGTTAAACAGTGAAGTTAACCTGCAGCTTAACTGGGAAGGACTTTGAATACAATGCAAAGAATTTGGACCCCATGGCCATTAGAGCCCCATCTTCCAGATGAGGAAAAGGGCCTTCCCTTCGCACAGGGACAGCCGAAACTGTGACTCCCACGTTCCTTTTGCTACCCTGTGCTGCCTCCAGCAGGCCTGAACCGAGGCAGGCCCTGCGTGGGAGAGGCCTCTGGGCTGTTTATCCTGCGCCAGTGGGGCTAGCTCTGGCAGGGAGTGGAAGTAGGTGAGGTGGGGGCTGTGGAGGAGAGGAGGAGCCTGACAACAAGGGCTACATTCAAGGCCTGCACTGGAGCTGACGAGGAGAATGGAAAGCTACAGTCTGTTGGAGCCATCCAGCCTTGGCAAAGCGGTCGGGGCCTTATAAGGAAATGTTGTTCTCTCCCAGCCGGTGGGGCTGGGATGGAGCCCTGTGCCCACAGGACAGAGCTGCCCTTGTGGTGGTAGGCTGGGGGTGCCACCCGCCCCTCTGCTGTGAGCAGGAGCTGTCAATGGGCCACTTCTGCAGGCTCAGCATTCCCTCTCAGCCCCAGTGTGCGTGTAGCCCCCACCCCTCCACCCCCTCCCACTCCCCATTGCCTTGGGCTGATTGGAGGAAAGGAAAAAAACAAAACAAAACAAAGACTTGGCAAAGTCCCAGGCCTCATTGCTGTTTGATGCCGAATTATTCGGAAAATAGGCTCAGGTCAAATTCTCTCTTTTTCCTGAAGAATGCATGAATAAGGGGATTGCTCTTTGTCCTCCTTCCCTGCCTGGCGCCCGCATCTCTTTTCCTTGTGATCACGAAACTCCCAGCACCCCACACGGCCCAGTGCAGAAAGCAAGAAGCTGAGATGAGTGGGCGGGGGAAGCCTTGTGCTGGTGCCTTTTCCACCTCCCAAGGGTAGAGCAGCAGCCACCGGAATACTCATAGGAGAAGGGTGACTCTCGGACTCCTTACCTGTGCCGGGCAGACCAGAGGGCCAGGGAGAGAGAGATGGGCACAGGGTAAAAACACAGCCTGCCCAGAAAGCAACAGAAAGTGCTCCTTGGGGTGGGCGCGGTGGCTCACGCCTGTAATCCCAGCACTTTGGGAGTCCAAGGAGGGTGGATCACGAGGTCAGGAGTTGGAGACCAGTCTGACCAACATGGTGAAACCCCGTCTCTACTAAAAATACAAAAATTAGTTGGGCGTAGTAGTGTGTGCCTGTAATCCCAGCTACTCAGGAGGCTGAGGCAGGAGAATTGCTTGAACTCGGGAGGCAGAGGTTGCAGTGAGCCCAGATCGCGCCACTGCACTCCAGCCTGGGTGACAGAGCAACAATCTGTCTAAAAAAAAAAAAAAAAAGTGCTCCTTGGGAAAGGACAGTAAGCATTAGTCAGCTCCTGGAAGGAGGGCTTTTCTACAGGGAGTGAGGAGAGATGATTTAAAGCACTGATCCCTAGCAGATCTTTCTGAACTCAAGATTGGGGATAGGAGCAGAAAAGATGCTTAGTGTGGCCTTTTGCTTTGGCTATTCATAGACCCCGTGCATGAAACCCTGGAGCTACAAGGAAGCAGGTTGGCCAGTGCAGCTCCTCACCTAAAGCTGAAATATTTTTACAGCAAGCTTGGCAGACCTTCAGCTAACCAGTGCTCCTCTAGTCATCATGGACTTAGTTCCTCAAGTTAGTCTGTCCCAAACATACAGCTCAACCCAACAAGGAGAAGTAAGTCATGGAAAGCAAGAGGAAACTTCCGTTTCCAAGGAGTTTACCATCCAGAGCAAAGCTACAAGGAGCACACAATAATCCAAACACAAAGAAGAAAGTTATGGCCAGGTGTGGTGGCTCACGACTGTAATCCCAGCACTTTGGGGGGCTGAGGTGGGTGGATCACCTGAGGTCAGGAGTTTGAGACCAGCCTAGCCAACATGGTGAAAACCTGTCTCTACTAAAAATACAAAAATTAGCCAGGCGTGGTGGCGGGCACCTGTACTCCCAGCTACTCAGGAGGCTGAGGCAGGAGAATTGCCTGAACCTGGGAGGCAGAGGTTGTAGTGAGCTGAGATTGTGCCACTGTGCTCCAGCCTGGGGGAGAGAGTGAGACTTTGTCAAAAAAAAGGAAAGAAAGAAAAAAAAAGGAAAGAAAAAAGGAAGGAAGGAAGAAAGGAAGGAAAGAAAGAAAGAAAAGAAAGGAAATAAAAAAGAAAGTTATGAGCTCTAAGAAAAACAGAGATGTCTGAGGTGAAAGAAATTGCTCTTGACTAGGTGTCCACAGCAGTAGATGAGGAAAGCTCTTATAGAAGAGATGGAATTTGGGGTGAAGAAAAGTTAAAAGTCCAAAAAGTGACATTTTGAGAGATTGTAGGGAAATGGCTTCCAGGGGGAGGAACTAGCCTGAGCAGGACGTGGTGGCAGGAAATCTTGGGGCTCACTTGGTGTCTGTGGGGAGATGGACAAGTGGATTAGTGCAACAGGGAGAGGAGGGGCTGTGGTTGGAGAATGGCTGAGCACCACATTTGGGGGCACTGAATCCCAGAGGGAGGAGGAAATTGAAGTGATTGGCAGCCAGGAGCCACCGAAAGCTTTTAAGCGTGAAAGAGATGTGACCGGTACAGTGGTTCAGCAACTGTGATCTGGTATCAGGCGCAGAAGGGAGAGGCATCCTTCGCCCTGCTTTGGTGAAGCCAGGAAAGTACCACTTCCTGCAGCAGAGCTTTGGCGGTGTTGTGGCCCTTTCCTGAGCACTGGAGGCCTGGCTCTCCAGACAGCCACCTAGATCTCAGGATTTCAAGCACTGCTGCATCTTAGAGGCTGGCTGCTTTTTGAACGAGTGACCCTTCCCCAGAAAGGACTAGGACTGGCCACGTTAGCTCAGTTCTCTTTTTACTTTGAGGCTTGCACAAGTCATTGTGTTCAGATATGGTTAAGAAACCTAAACTTCAATCCCTTTTCAGGACTTGGAGACCTGGCAGGTTTCCAAAAAGCACCCAGGGTTGAAAGGCAAAAGCTCTCGGATGCCATCTTATCTCAAAGAGTCTGTCCTTTGTAAGGCATTCACTATTTAGACACCTGTGCTTGTCTCACACCTGATGATAATAGAGCAGTAACTTCCTCCCCAGCTTTTCCCTCCATGGCTTCTTTCCCTTCCTTTTGGATGCCTGCCTCCATCAAGGCATCACTATTCCTAGGGAGTATGAGGCTTTTGCAGAGTGCTTTGGGCTCCTGTTGCAAAGAGAGCAGGCATAGCTTTTTGTCCCAGAGACAAATCCAAGGTGCTCTGGAGGATAGCAGTGAGTTCCTGTCTGTGTTCTGGATCTGGGTTCTGGCCAGTCTTGCTGTCCCACTGCCCAGCATGGCCAGTTCAGCAATAGAATTCTGAGGGACCTGAACTTGATCTTCACACCTGGCCCCTGCCTCCTAGCCACAGGGCGCTGCAGCTGAGGAGCTGATCATGTGCGTCTTGGTAGCAAATCCTGCTTCCTACCAAACTTTTCTTCCTTGACAATGCAGACAGTGACCCCTGGGACCACAGAGATACAGTTCTAGTCCTGGAGAAACTGGTTGTTCCCCTGTCCTTCCAATAGGTTGTGGTTATGGCTAATTTTGAATTTGTATTAGATAACAATAAATTTACTTCTTCCCTTTTAAGGGAATATATGAGCATTTTATGATGAGATATTATCTTTTTTTGTTTGTTTGTTTTTTGTTTTTTTGAGACAGAGTCTCACTCTGCCACCCAGGCAGGAATGCAATGGCGTGATCTCGGCTCACTGCAACCTCACCTTCCAGGTTCAAGGGATTCTCCTGCCTCAGCTTCCCAAGTAACTGGGATTACAGTCATGCGCCACCACACTCAGCTAATTTTTGTATTTTTAGTAGAGATGGGGTTTCATCATGTTTGTCGGGCTGGTCTCACACTTCTGACTTCAAGTGATCCACCTGCCTCGGCCTCCCAAAGTGTTGGGATTACAGGCATGAGCCACCATGCCCAGCCAAGTGAAATATTATCTTAACTCTTAAGACTGCATTTCAGAATAACTGACTTATATGATGGCTGGCATTCTGTTATGTGAAGCAAAATTCTTCTCAGGACCCTTTGATTTACCACCCAAATTGTCTGCTAGCTAGCTCAGTCTCCAACTCAGAGAAATGTCACTGGCAAATCTCCTCAGTTTTTCATTTTAATTTTACCTAACCATTCATTATTCACCCCATTTATTTGATTTGGTAATAAGCAGTTTAAAATAATCACAAGGTATAAAGGGAATACAATAAAAATGTTCCTCTCAACCTTTCCCCAACTATCTAGATGTCCTCCTTTTCAAAGCCGACCACTATACCATTTTCTTATGTATCCTTCTCCTCTGCGATGTTTTTATACAAGTAATGATCAGGACTTTCCTCATCCAGTAGACAGCTCATGCAAAAAGAAGCAAGCCTGTTCAAACAGAATTCTCCAGGGACAGTTTGTCTCCCAGGTTTGCCTATACAGGGAGCAGAACCCTGATTCTAGATGCCAGATAGAACTCACCTGGCCCAGGTTTCTATAGCACAAGCCCTGATATTCTTTAGCCTGACCCTCAATGAAAATTAGCTGAGGACGCCTGAGCTCACTCTCTGGAATGAGACCTAAATACCATCTCCTGCATAATCTTATAGAAAATGAATGAAACAGAGACTGCACTGTGAGTTCTGGTGCCAATTATAAAGGATCTGGGGCAGGGATCTGGCATCCAGGTGGCTAGAGGAAGAGTCCTGGAGTTTTTAGCATCCTCCCCTCTGGGTCCCATTTCTCTGGTTTTTCATGGTGTGATCTGGACTGAAATGCCCATCAGTTATTCTAGACCCCGACTTACTGATCACAGAGAATCTTTAATCTGTGCTTGTTTACTCTGAAACTGGCATCTCCACTAGTGCTGCAGCTGCTCACCAGACACACCAGAGCACTCTTTCTTGCTGATGATGCTGGAGCACTTTGTTGCTCACTGATCATGCTGGAGCTCTATGTTGCTCACCCATCATCCTGGAGCACTCTCTTGCTCATTGATGATACTGGAGCACTCTGTTGCTCCCTAATCATACTGAAGCTCCATTTTCTCAGTGAGGATCAGAATTCATCATCCCTGGCTGCTCTAGTTCCCACATCCTGGTTGCTGGGAAGGGTTTTAAAACCTCTTACATGGAAAGAGTCCCTTCTTCCTGATTAGAGTCCAAACTGAAAATGGATCCTCTATTTGCAAGCACCACGACACTTCCAGTGCAGCATTAGTAAATACCTCCCAAGCAACAGCAGCCTGGCACATTATTGTTTAGCCACCTCCTGCCCGATATCATGTGGGTTTCACTTATAGAAGGTTCTACAAGGTAAGGGAGGTAGAAACAAGTCAGCACAAACAGAATTATAAATATCTTTATAGTGACAGATATATGAAATCTAATTGGGTGGGGAAAACAGATGCAGATAAACAGCTGGATAAGAATGCAGGTTTGAACCTAGTGAAATACAAAGAGGATGATATAAAAGATAATATTAAAGAAAAAGCTGCCTGTAGGTATTCTACCTTTTGCAATATTTTTTTATTTTCCATAGTCCCATCTGTCTTCTTGTCCATATACAATGCACATTTTTACATAGTTGCAGTCATGTCACAAATACTATTTAGGGTTCTGTGTTTTCGCTTAATATTACATGAATTTGCCGTATTGCTCCAATCTTTCTTTTATGGCTGCAGAAATGCCATTGTGGTGATTCACACCAAGTTTCTTGCCTTTTACCTATTGTTGGAATTTTATGTCTCCAGCTGCTTAGCATTATGGATAATTTTGTAAAGATTATCTTAGGATATTCAGCTTTGTGCTTTTGTTGATTTTCTTAGGATCAAAATCCAGGAGGGAACTGATTTGTAAAGGGGTATGAGGAACAACATTCCCTCTGGTACAAAGCTAACTGTGTTGGGCACAGCTCTAAGCCTCATACTAATCTTACTGGACATAGCTCTAAGCCTCATACTGATCTTACTGGCATGTTGCTCTAAGCCAGTAACTAGCATGTCACCTGGCAACTGAGCAGAAGAACAGAGGTTTACTAGGTCCTGAGGGAGGCTGTTACTGCACAAGTTCTTTGCTGGTGACAGCAGAAAGTACTTAGGGGCCATTCCAAGGGTCTGCCTTGTTTGCAGAGTTGATTCATTTGTGGTTGCCATATAAAGGCCTCTGAACCAACAATTGTTTGGGAGCAAAAGCAAACGAGTGCCAAGATCCAAGTTCTCGTACTGTGGCTGTAGGGTTGAGGGCTGCATAGGGTCGAAAGGTATAAGTCACTGTAATATCAGCGTGGGGACACCATGGGTCTCATCAGTGGTTTTGCCCATGGGCACAGCCCTTGTGGCGGATGTCTAATTGTGTGCAGCCCAGATGTCAGCGGAGGCCCTTGGAGATCCTATTAAACTTGACCCGAACCCCAATGCCAAGCCTTATGAGAGCCTTGAATCCACAGAGCAGTTGCTCTCCGTACCCACACCATATATCATCATGCCTCATTCAGCTTTCATGCCCTCTTATCTAAGAGTGCTGTCTGGTTCTGTCCTGCACCACCCATTCCAGGAACAAAGCCCATTTCCTTCACTTGGTCTTCACAAAAACCCACTTGCATTCAGACGTTTGTGAGTTTGGTAACTTTACTGAAGATCGAGGGTCATGAGGGGAGTCTTCATAGACTCGGCAGCCCTTGCTGTCTTTTCACCTCCTGCCTTCTCTGGTCCTCAACCTCATTCTTCTGAGCAACAGGCACCTGATCCCTGGTCTTCTTTAGTAAAGTTCCCCATACTCAGGTCCCTTCTGTGCCCATCCAGGTATTTTATCCCAAGCAAATAGATATGGCCCCCTGAAGGAAATCCTGGTAGAGAATCTTCCTCTATCTCACCATTTGCTGTCAATAACCATATCTTTACAGGTAGATGGTTAGTGAGGAGTTTTTGGTTTTGTTTTAAATGAGATAAGCTTTACATAAGAGGAGTTGTTTACAGGGAACTTTTACAGATATTATTCCATTCAGGACTCCCAGTAGCCCTGGCAGGTGATTAGTTAGACAGGTGCTATTATCTGAATGTTTGTGTCCTCCCCAAAGTCATGTGTTGAAACCTAAGCCCCAGCGGGATGGTGTTAGGAGATGGGGCCTTAGTGAGGTGATTTGGTCATGAGAACCAGGTCCTCATGAGTGGAATTATTGGCCTTACAAAAGAGGCCCCAGAGAGCTCTCTCACCCCTTCCCACCACATGAGGACACAAGGAGCAGTTGGTAGTCTACAACTTGGAAGATCACCCTCACCAGAAGCTGCCCATGCTGGCACCTGGTCCTGGACTTCCAGCCTCCATATCTGTGAGAAATGAATGTATGTTGTCAATAAGCCACCCAGTCTGTGATAGTGTATTATAGGAACCTGAACAGACGAAAGCAACTGGCATTATTATCCTGGCTTAGAGTTGAGGAGACTGTGGCCCAGAGAAGGGGAAGAACCTGATTGGGGCCACTCAGCTGATTATTGAAGAGCCGGAACCAGAGCCCAGATCTCTACTGGGTTCAGTGCATGATCCTTCTCCACATCATCTTGCCAGGTCAGTTCTAGGAGCCTCACTAAGCTCTAACAGTGGCAAGCATTCAATAAACGCCCACCCAGTAGACATTACCAAGTCCTCACTCTGTGCCTGTTTTCAAGAGTGTAGAGTGAAGAAAGCATGAATAAATTAAGAGGCTTCTTGTTACCCCAGCACCCAACACTTAGTTAAAACCAGATGTGATAGACAAAATATGTTATACCCACACAAAGGAATATTAGTCAGCCACGAAAAGGAATGAAAGAAATACTGATACATGTTACAACATGATTGACCTTGAAAACATGCTAGGTGAGAGAAGCCAGACGCAAACAGCCACAGATTCTATGGTTTCATTTGTACGAAATGTTTAGAATAGGCAAATCCATAGAGACAGAAAGCAGACTAGTGATTGCCAGTCTTGGAAGAGGGGGAAATAGAGTGAGTGCTTAATGGTGTAAGGTTTCCTTTTGGGGTGATAAAAAATGTCTTGTAACCAGATAGAGGTGGTGGTTGCACAATATTGTGGATGTACTAAATGTTACTAAATTCTACACTTAAAATGTTAATTTTATATTATGTGAATTTCACTTCAATTCAAAGTAAAAAAAAACTCAACAAACCAACAAACCAGTGTGACTTCACCCCCCCACCTTCAGCTTTCACCTCCTTGCATGGTTCCAGGTCCTGATGCTCCCTCACTGGACAGGGAATGAACATATGCAGACTCAGTTCTCAATTCTGTCACTTACCAGCTATGCGGCCTTGAGAGTTTATGCCTTTCTCTGGACCTCAGCTTTCTAACCTGCAAGTTGAGGATGTCACCCAGATTTTAACCCAAGTTCCTTCTAGGTAGGCATTCTGAGATATTGGGAGTAAAAGGAAGGATGCAAACCAATTGGGGAGGGGCAGGGGAGGCACTCTGTTTCTTCTGCAACTTTCTCTTCTCAGCTAGTGGACTATAGTAATTTTTAGTTTCCAGTCCCCAGTCACACAGATAGCAGCTTCGGCTCTTGGCTTGGCTGGCACTGCTGGGGCTCCCACTATGCTTCACTGAGCAACGTAAGCCCCTAGGTAATCCTGTTAAGCCACTGGGGTAGTGAGTCATTTCAGTACCACCTGAACACCTTCCTGTGGTGTCCCAGCAAGGAGAGGACCTCCAGCCAGATCATTATGACTTGATCTGCAAAAACTTTTGAAGCATAAATTGGAGCTTTTAATTGCATTGTGACTTGGAAATCCATCATGCCTAAATCAGTGTTCAGAAGAGCTCAAAGTATGCTCATTCATTCATTTATTACCCATCTTCTGTGCCCCTGTTACATCCCAGGTGCTGTGCCAAGCTTTAGGAAGACACAGGTATAGCCACTGTCTTCAAGGAATTCACTGCCCTTTGAGAGAGACGGACTCATAAACCAAAGTAAAATGTAGCATTTACAAAGGTAGTGAAATAAAAGTATAAATCAGGAAAATTAGCAGTTCAGTGGAGAATGAAGGAATAGATTAAAGGGTCAAGAGAGGTCTTTACAGATGAAGTAATATGCTGAGTTTTCAAGAATAATAGGGGACTTCCATGTTCTAGTGGTGCTCCAGGGAGGATGATGGTTACAGTAGTCTACTCCAGTAGGGAGAAGCATTTTTTTAATCACTGTTGACGTTTACAATTGCCAGTGCAAGATGACAATAAAAAGATGTCTAAATTTTAGGCTGTCTTATTGATTTTTAAATTCCTAGAAATAATGCATCTTCTTATTGCCTAAACTAGGATAGATTACTCCTCCCACTGCTACCAAGTACAGAGGATGTGGAAGGGCATTCAAAACACAAGGATCAACATGTGTCAAAAGTTTTGAAGGATGAAACTTTAGAGTGTGTTCATGAAGTGGCAAGGAGTTTGATATAGCGGGACATAAAATATTTGGAAAAAGTGAGCTGAGTAAGAGCTGAAAATGAAGCTGGGTTCATTTTTTGAGGGCCCAAGATACGGTGTTAAATTTGAGTTTTATTCCAGAAGGCACTGGGGAGCCACAGAGGGTGGTCAGCAAAAGCATGATATAATCAACTTTCTTGTTGATGTAGCACTTTGGCAGCTGTGAATGGATAAGATGGGTCGAGAATGAAGGAAGGAGGCTGGCCAGGAGGCCCTTTCAGCCATTTGGGAGGGAGATGATGAGGGTTATGCCAAAGCTGTGTCAGAGGATGGGAAAAGGGGGCTGAGCTCAAGAGATATGTAGGGGTTAAACTCCAAGGGACTAAGAGTCTGATCAGAGCTGGGGGTGAGCAAAGAAATGTCTAAATAATAATTTCTATTTCTCCTTGCAAATGTCCTGCGAATGTCGGAGTTGGAAGGGATGTTTGGGACCACCTGCTCAACCGTCTTTGTAGCCCAGAGAAATACAAGGTACTGCCCAAGCTCAGGAGTTGAAGGCAGAGTCAGGATGGGATCTGTTTTCCAAGTTCCCAGCCAGGGCTGTCTCTTCCACTGTGGCTGCTCTCCATGTGCTGGTGACCTTCCCTTGATCCCACCCCTGCTCGTCAGCAGAACAGTGACTGGATAGAGAAGCCTTGAGTTCTCGTTCTTAACACTGCCCCGAAACAGTGACTTGAAGGAAGACCCTGCCTTCTTTGAGCTTCTGTCTTCTTATTTGTAAGTGAAAGGCTTGTCAAAGAGGAACTTTTCCATTTTTAATTCCTCTTGCTTCTGATTTTCTTTCTTAATTTTGCCATAGTCCCTACCATTTCTTCTTGCCTTACATTAGGCCCACTTCACTCATTTCTGTCTGGATCTGAGCTCTGAGCTCTGACCTAGATCCCTTCTGGAGGCCCTGGCACTCACTACTAGCCTGTCCTGCTTGTCTCTGAGCAGTCAGGCCATCCACAGCAGAGGGGATTGTCTTTCCGAGCTGCACATTCCTGGGCTGGGCCACCATCCTCTCTCTCAGAAAAATTACGTCTTTCTCTGCAGGTGCTCTGCCTGGACTGTGTATTGGAGAGCAAAGGAACTGAATGCTACGCATTGCGGATTTGGATACCATGTCTGCTGAGCTCAGGTGTGCTCTGGTCATGCTCTTTCGCAAGGAAATGGCTTCAGGACCTGGGACCTAAGTCCCAGTGTGAGTCAGATTCCTCAGGGTGCTTGAGCTTTCTTTGCCTGTGCTCTTGGGGCACACCAGCCTATAGGGTCAGGTGCCTTAGGGGTAGATCTCAAAAATAGAAAGCTGTTAAGGTGAGCTTTCTCATCAAGCTCTCTCTCACCTTCCTGCCCCAACCTTCTCAAGTGTCAAGAGACGAGAGAGACTCAGAATTGGGGAAGGAGAAATGGGGAGTTCTCAGAGGCCCTGGAGCCACCCTTTCAGCCAATGCAGAATATCTTCACCACCAAACTGCCCCCCCCAACCCCCGAAAACCCTGGCTTTCCTCTCCTGTATTCCTGCGCCCTTCATTTGAACAGTTTATACACCTCCTGTATGACTGTGCAGGGCAGCTGTCTTGTCCTATTTTAAACTTGTCTTCCACACAATGATGAAAGTTGCCTTTTTGTAACTTCCAATGATTGCTCCTCTCAGAACGTACCAAATCCCTGTCTTGCAAGACAGTCTTTTGAGTATATAAAAACAGATCATGTATCTAACTCCCATTCAACTACTTTTCTGCCAATTAAACTCAACCAATTCATATGTGGTATAGTTGCCATATTCTTAGGATGTGGTATCTCCCAAAGGGCAATGATTCTAGGTATGGTTTAACTAACTTCTGTAGCAAGAAAACCACAAATGCCAGTGGCTTAACACAAAAGCGGTTTCTCTCTTATGTGACAGTTCCTGGTCAGTGGGTGGTTTTCTTCCATGTAGTGATTCCAGGCCTCAGGGACCTGTTATCTTAAATCTCTGCTATCCCCTAGGCACTGCCCTGTAGCCCTCTCAATGATCCTGCTGGCAGATGGAGGGACAGAGAGTGGAGGAGGCACAAAAAGTGACATTTGATCTTCCACTCTGATTCCACTGGTGAGACCAGTCCTATGGTATCTCCTTCCAGAAACATGGATTGGGAAATACAGTCCCTGGCTAGCCTGCTCCCCCATTGGAGACAACTCTACACAGTGAGAGTGGGGGACATTTGAAGGAAAGCAGGCCATCTTTGCCACACTAGGCACCTCTTCCACCTCCCACTTCTGAGCAGCCAGCATGGACGACCTGCTAGATGCTGGGTGGACCAGGGTGGATGGGTGCGTTGGGGGTGTGGAGGGGAGGGCAGGTGTGTATTTCTCCCCTCTTGTGTCTAATTGGTAAGCAGTATTTTCTTGAACTTCAGTTCTGCAAACATTACTTTTGAGATCTTTGCTATATCTGCATAACACCTGTACTATAATTGACTTAATATTCTCTTTACACTGATTCACTTTTTAATTTAGTTTCACCTGAAGGGTAATATCTGGGAAATCATAGTTTTGATATGATAATTATACTTTTCCCAATATGTTCTAAAATGGATATGTAATTATTTTAATATAAATATTTGCAGATATACCACCTCAAACAAACAAGATACCACTGGTGGGTACATTGCACATTTTAAGAAATACTGTGATTGAGCCTGTATAAATCCCTCATAATCTGGTCCTTGGCTTTCTTTCTGACCTTACATCCTGCCTCTTCCCTCTTGCCCATGATCCTCCAAATACATGGACTTATTTGTTCTTCAAGCCTGCAAGCTCGTTCCTACTCCAGGGCCTTTGCACCAGCTGGTACCTCCATGGGAAATACTTTCTGTACATCTTCCCATGTCTGGTTCTTTCTAGACATTCAAGACTTAGCTCAGATGTCCCCTGCTCAACGAACCACCCAGTCTTTACCAGCTGCCTCACACCTCACTTCATTCCACCCTGCACAATCACTCTTTGTTTCAGTCCCTTTAAGCACTTTTCAAGATCTGGCATGGTGTGCTTATTTGTTGATTTATTTATTGTCTCTGTAACCCTAGTAAAATATAAATTCCTTAAAAGCAGGGATCTTACCTATCTTGTTTACCTCCACTTTCCCGGCACTTAGCACAGGGCCTGGCACATAATACTTACTCCATAAATATTTGCTAAGTGAATAAAAATGAGAAAAATGAACATAGACACCTAGTTCACTAATCAAATGAGAATTAAAATAAAGTTTTTTCTTTCAAATATTTTTTATTGAAATGACAATCAAATAAAAAAAGAACAGTGATCAATTTAAGCAAATTTTTACTTTCTAAATATAAAAATATAACCAAAACTTATTTCTTTTATACATTTTCCATAAATGTAATACCAGAAAAGTTCTCAAAGCCAAACTATAAATGATGCTTGTGTACTATGATGTGAAATAAATTTTTTTTAGCAGCTTGGTTATCCTTGATATGCATTTGGTAAACGTTTGTAGAAAGCACCTTGGAGATGAGGTCATACGAGGCCTCCCATTTCACCCATGAACTGCAGGCATTTGGGCCTGCAGTATGCAGGCCATCTGACTTACTTGCCAGCCAGAAAGAGAAAAGCTGGACAAGATAGATTGGTAAGCCAGACTTGCCTCTGGAAGACAGACCCTGGGTTCACTTGTGCAAAGGTTGCAGGAGGCTGGGAGAGGAGGGGCCAAGGATCCAGTCATCCATGCGTGGGGCCACAAGCAGCCTCAGTGGCCCAGGGAGCAAACATGTGTCCCGAGGCTGTCAGCCTCCACTGATTAGATTGGCTCCTGCTCCTCCTTCGTGAGAGGTGGGATAAACCAAAGGATGCTGAAAAAACCCAGAAGTGTCCAATCCATATGTTGGCATGGGAAATAGAAAGGGGATTAAAAGTCACTTTACTTATGGAACTATGAAGAAGGTGAACATGCTTTTCCTTGCAGAATGATCAGTCCACAAAAGACATGTAAGATGAGGGCAACAGCCAATAGAACCCACTCCCTCTTTCTGCAGAAACACAGTTGTCATGAATGCTGTGATGCGGCCCCCCTGAATGCCCTTTGGAACTGAGGGACTCATTTCTGCTACTCAGTACTGCTGGGATCACAGCTGAATCTCTTCCTAGGAATTGCCGTAGCCTGAAGGGAGCTGCCTTACCCAAGGTGAAACCTCCATCCTAGGCACAGATCCCATCCAATGACTAGTTGATGTAGGGATGCAGAGACCTGACCCCGTGGCTTCAATCCCAGACAATTCTGAAAAGCCACACCAGCTCCTGACCAACCACAGTGCATTCAACCTCTCCTGCCACCCAATCCTGCTTCCCTCACTCCTTTGCATTCCCAATAAACTCCCTGCTCACGAAGCTTCATCTCAGAGTCTGTTTCCCAGGGAACCCTAGGGCAACTTGTGTTGTCCCTAGTTGACTGTGTCCTCCACAATCAGTTGCCATATTGTTTAAGTGAGAACCAAGTTCTCACCAGTTTTTTACTAAGTTTGTTTCTTGTACGTGAAGATGAGACAAACCATATCCAAATAAGTGTTGGTGCACCTGAAAGAATGGTGGGTTATTCCCTTAAAATTACTTGAGATAATAAAAGTTAAAACTACAGGAAGATAACAAAAATAGCCAAGTGAAGTAATATATGTAAAACAGTTGACATTTCCCAATCTGTTTCACACAAAGCTTTGGACCCCATTTATGTGCCAGTCCATTTCTGCGTCCCCACTGCCTCCACGCCTGCGGCTCACTTAGGGGAATGTCTCGGAGGCTGATACCTTTCTGGCATCTCCTACTACTGCCAGCTTCCTCAGTCATCCCCACCCCACTCAGGAAAGGGCTGGGCTGTGGCATGGCCTCTGCCACACCTGCTGGATGGGAGCCGTGCTATCACAGCTCCAGTGCTAGAACCAACCAGATGGGACCATGTTGCTTTCCTCCTTCCACCAGATGATGACTCACATCTTGCTTCCCCAGGGCTGCTCAGAGGAGTAGGGTGATACCACGGAGATCCAGGAGAGTTAACTCTCCATGAGATGAAGTTTGCCCCATGTGAGAAGGGAGGCAGAAGGGAGGTGACTATCACACCCTCACCTTTCTTCCAGCTCCTCCCTGCTCCAGCAATATTCTGTATTGCAGTGGTTCCCTCAAGGACAATATCTCACAAGAATGAGTCATTGGCCACATTCCCTGGTGGTGCTGTGGCCAGTGTGGTCCTCACCTTCTTGCATTTTTCCCCCCTCCTTTCTGCCTCCCTCCCTTCACCCTTATTCTTGCTGCCTGGAATTATGCTGTCTCAGAAAGCAGCAGCATGTCAGCTTTGCTTCAAATTTTCCCCAGATAATCCAGGTGAAGGCATGGGCATTAACTTATTTGATTGGTTTTCACAAAAAGTCATCCTCTGGGGGGTTAGAATTATTGCTGGTATTTTTCAGTTGAGTAGACTAGGGGTAAAATAAACTGCCTGAGGCCAAAGCTGCACAGGAGGTGGTAGATCAGGGCTCAGTCTGCGTTCTGGCTCCAAATTTGCTGTTTTCCTTACACTTGAATTTAAGTTTCCATCAAGAGTTATACAACCAAGGAACTATATCTGCTCCTGTAAAGGCAGTATTTAGGGGTGGGGTGGGGTGGGTGTGAGGGTGTGCAGGAATCACTAGAAAGGACATAGAAAAATCTCCCGCAGGAGGTGGATGAATTGAGATGATAGTCCCATGGGCTCCACTTCCTGTCTTTCTATCCCAAACTTTCACTTTCCGCAGGTTCAACATCAAATGTGCATTTTTAGGCTCATGAGAGTAAAGAAAATACTGTTGCCATGCGTATGAGTTTCCTAGGGTGGTTTAAAAGGAAGAGACTATTCTCTCAAAGTTCTGGAGGCTACAGGTCCTAAATCAAGGTGTCGGCAGGACCATGCTCCCTCTGGAGGCTCCAGAGGAAAATTTATTCTCTGCCTCTTCCTGCTTGTGGGGGTTGTCAGCAATCTGACTTGCCAACAGTCTTCCCTTCGCTTTCCTCCTATGTGTGCTCTCATTATCTTGCTTTGCCTTTATCTGATAAGAACACTTGGAATGGCATTGAGGATCCTCACATTTAACCCACAGAAAGCACATCTCAAAATAATTAATTTAATTACATCAGCAGTGACCCTTTCATTCCAAAAAGGTAATATTGACAAATTCCAGGGATTAGAACTTGATATATTTGGGTGGCCATTATTCAACTTGCTATGCTTGATAATAGGCTAATTTGCCTGGAGACATCAGTGTGTCCTTAAACAGGCTTAGAAACAGTTCTGAGTGTTCCTCAACATTACATTAGTTGTCTTACCGGCTGGTGCAGGGGAGGAGTCCTCTGGGCTGTAGAGGTGGCTGAAGCCAAGCTTTCTGCTTTTCCAGTAGTGAGCTAACAGGGGCACTGAGCAGAATTTACCCTGCCCAACCCTCTGAGCCCTAGGTAGGGAGGTCTGTGATGTTGTCTTGATGGTGCATGATTCCCCTACTGCTGGGACCACAGAGGATCCCTGGGCTGTATTGCCTTTGTTTGAATTTTCAGTTGCTGTCAATCACCCTGAGCCAATATTTATATTTCACAGAACTATCTCATGGCAACTTTTAGAGGAAAGAATCTTTCTAATCACAAATATTTGCAGTACGTGACCTTGTTGCACTTTGGCCAGTGATGTTGAAAAATGGGTCATGTGCAGCCCGGAGGTCCCCTACAGATATGTCTGTTTGAACAGTTTCCTGGCAGTACTGTCTTCTTAGGGCTCTTGTGGAGATTACTGAGGTGCTGAATAAAAAAGAGAACAAACTGTGCCTGAGGGCCAGATGCCATGCAAAGAGAGTCTTAGCAAATGCCAACTTCCTTCTTTTATTTATTCTTAGGCTGCTTCCTCTTCATTTTCTTCAGGGGCTACATTTGATTATATTAATTAGCGTATTTTTTCCTCAAGTTCTCTACCCAACTCCCAACCCTTTAGTTCCAGCAGTTAATATTACTTTTAATTTCTAGAAAATTGAGGCACTGGAGTAAATTCCCTTAATTGGGGCCTCCCTCACCTTTACTCTGTCACCTGCAAAGGTACCTTCGTGCTCATCCGTTCTCCCTTCTTTCAGTCTTAGAACTATTTAAAGCCACGTCTTATACTGGCATGGAGGGTTAGCCATTCTTATGTCCTCTAGGTCTTCATTCCATCAGTTAGTTCCTTGCTCTCTCTTTTCCAGAGTGGCTCCATTAAAATGTAATTAATGTACCATAAAAGTCACCCCTTTAAAGTGTAAAATAATATTTGTAGTACATTAATGAACTTTTGATTTAATAATCACTACCCAATTCTAGAATATTTTCAGCATCGGAGAAAGAAACTCAGCACCCACTGGCAAATCTCTCTCCATTTCCACTCCCTTCCCACCCCCAGCCCCCAGCTTTGGGTAAACACTTAGCTACTTTCTGTCTCTATAGTTTTTCCTATTCTGAACATTTCATATCAGCGAACTCATACAATAAGCCATCTTTCCTAAGTGGCTTCTTTCACTTAACAAAATAGTTTCAAGGTTTATCCATGTTGTATCACACATCAGTATATCATTACTTTTGATGTATAAATAATATTTCACCACATTTTGTTTATTTATCAGTTCATTAATATTTGAATTCTTTCCATGTTTTGGCTATTATGAATAATGATTCATATACAAGTTTTTGTGTGGGCATGTTTTCTCTTCTCTTTGGCATATATCTAGGAATGGAACTGCCAGGTCATATGTTAACCATATATTTAACATTTTTAGGAGTGATCAAACTTTTCCAAAATGTCTACACCATTTTACATTCCCACCAACAATGCATAGGGGCTCTAATTTTTCATCATCCTTACCAACATCTATTATTACCTTTTTGATCACACATATGCTAGTGTTGTGAAATGGTATCCTATTGGGTTATTGATTTTCATTTTCCCAATGACTAATGATGTTTTCTTAGTCATTTTGTGCCGCTGTAATAGACTACCAGAGACTGGGTAATTTGTAAAGAAAAGTTTCTCACAGTTCTGGAGCCTGGAAAGTCCAAGATTGAGGTGATGGCATCCAGTGAGGGCCTTCTTGCTGTGTCATAACGTGAAAAAAGTCACCACATGGGCAAGAGAAAACAACAGAGAGGGCCAAACCATCATTTATAATGACCCGCACTCTTGAAATAATGAACCACTTCTATGATAATGGCATTAATCCATTCATAAGGGCATTCTCTCATGATCTAATTACCTCTTAAAGATCCCACCCCTCAAGATTATTGCATTGGGGATTAAGTTTTCAACACATCAACTTTGGGGGACACATTCAAACCATAGCAGATATTGAACATGTTTTTATGTGTTTATTGGCTATTTGTATATCTTTAGAAAAACATCTGTTCAGATGCTTTTTCACTTAAATATTGTGTTTTATTTTTATTATTGAGTTGTGTTTTATATCTATATTCTGGATTCTAGTCATTTACCAGATACATGATTTTCAAATATTTTCTCTCATTGTGAGGATTATGTTTTGCACTTTCTTGGTTGTCTTTCCACTTTCACATTTTTTGCTTTTACTTTATTGTACTTTTAAAAGCGCAGAAATTTTTAATCTTGATAAAGTCTAATTTTTTTTTATTCTGATTGTTGTTGCTTATGCTTTTGGTATCCTATCTGAGAAACCATTGCCCAATCCAAGAGCACAAAGATTTACTCAGGTTTTCCTCTAAGATCTTTTATAGTTTTGCTCTTCCATTTAGGTCTGTGATCCATTTTGAGTTAGTTTCTGTATACAGTATAAATTAGTGGTTCAAATTTATTAATTTTTTTTGCATGTGGCTATCTAGTTGTCACAGTGCCAGTTGTTGTAAAGATTTTTTTCCTCTCATTAAATGGTCCCAATATCTTTGTCAAAAATCAATTAAACCTGAAGATGAGGGCTTATTTCTAGATTCTCAATTTTATTCTATTGATATATAAATCTAGTTTACTTTAGTACATCCTGTCTTATTACAGTGCCTTTGTAGTAAGTTTTGAAGTCAAGACATGTGAGTCCTCTAATTTTTTTAAAGATTGTTTTACTTATTCTGGGTGATTTGCATGCCTTACGAATTTCAGGATCAACTGCCAATTTCTGCAAAAAGCTAGCGGAAATTCTGAAGGGGATTGCATTGGATCTGTAGTTCAGTTTGGGGAGTGAACTACAGTTTTAAATATTTTGTCTTTTGATCCATGAACATAGAATGTCTTTTCATTTGTTTAGATCTTCTTTAATTTCTTTTAATGATGTTTTATAATGTTCATTGCGCAAGTCTTGTCTTAGTTTTGTTAAATTTATTCTTAATAATTTTATTACTTTTGATGTAAATAAAATTATTTTCTTAATTTCATTTTTAATTTTTCATCAATTATATATAGAAATAGAATTGATTTTTGTAAGATTTTGTATCCTGCTGCCTTGCTGAACTTGGTATTAGTTCTAATAAGTTTTTGTGGGTTACTTAGGATTTTGTATATACGTCATTTGTGAATAGATAGTTTTACCTTTTCCTTTTCAATATGAATATGTTTCATTTATTTTTCTTACCTAATTGTTCTAGCTAAAATCTCTAGTACAGTACAAATAGAAATGAAGAATGGGCATCCTTGACTTGTTTATCATTTTAGAAAGGAAATGTTCAGCCTTGATCATTAAGTATGATGTTAGCTGAGGTATTTATAGATGCCCTTTATCAGATTGAGGAAGTAATCTTTTATTCCTGGTGCATTGAGTGTCTTTATCATGAAATGGTGTTAGATTTTGGCAAAGATTTTTCTGTGTATATTGAAATGGTAATTTGTTTCTTTATTCTATTAATACAACTTTTTTTTTGGCAGGGGGCGTTGGGATGGAGTTTCACTCTTGTTGCCTAGGCTGGAGTGCAGTAGCACAATCTCGGCTCACTGCAACCTCCGCCTCCCAGGTTCAAGCGATTCTCCTGCCTCAGCCTCCTGAGTAGCTGGATTGCAGGTGCCCACCACCACGCCTGGCTAATTTTTTGTATTTTTAGTAGAGATGGGATTTGGCCATGTTGGGCAGGCTGGTCTCGAACTCTTGACCTCAAGTGTTCTACCTGCCTCAGTCTCCCAAAGTGCTGGGATTACAAGTGTGAGCCACCGCACCCGGCCAATACAACTTTCATGTGTTGACCCAACCTTGCATTCCTGGGATTAATCCCATTTGGTCATGATACATAATCCTTTTTATATGTTGCTAGAGTCTCTCTCTTACATCTTTAATGTTTTTCTGGACTGATTCCTTTCCTTTAGCTAATAAGCATGCTTAAATTTTTTTCAAAACAATAGAGAAACAAACTTACTCTTGGGCCCAAGCAACTTTTTTCTTTTCTTCCATTTTATTCTAACTTTGGAAAGGATTACCCTCTTTTTAGATAAACACTAATTCATCTCTTAACCATAATGAAAGTTGCTTGCATTGAGATTTGAAGGACATTCTAACTGCCAAAGTCCATGAACACTTTTCAGCCCCTACTTTATCGAACTTTAGTAGCATTCTACAGTTTATCATTTCCTTCTCTTTTGAAATATTCAAATACCTGGAGTTCTTTTGTATCTTTTTTATCACGGCTTCTTGTTCTTCTTTGGGATCACTTCTTCCCCTGATTATCAAATACTGCTGCCCCTTAAGGTTTTGTCTTTGGGCACATTTCTTCTCATTTTATAGGAAAATCTCATAGACTCTCATAGTTTTTACTATTATCTGCATACTGATGAATACTAAATTGTTATCTTTTCTTATATTCAGCAAGGTATATCCAATCACATTCTAGACATCTCCCCTTGAAAGTCCTACAGGCTTATCAAATTCAAGAACTCAAAACAAAACTTTGTAGCTTCCTTATACTGCCCAGCCTGTTCTTCAGATGCGAACATTTGAAATTTAGGTAAATTTAAACAGCTCCCTAAATGAGGTGAGAATTGCCATAGCTTACTGATACAAGTCGCCTTTTCATTGGTGTGAAATGCTGTGTTGTAGAAAGAGATAATTTAACATTTCCTATCCTCAGAAAGCTTTTAGTCTTAAGCAAGAGACAGAAATAGACACAGATGACTATATTCCAAGGCAATAGCAAAAAAAAAAAAAAAAAAAGAATTATAATAGAAACTCAAAGGTGGATGAGTTCGATTCTTCCAGGGCAGGTGGAAGATGGGAATGTAGAGGCTTCATAGAGATGGTGACTTCTGAACTGGGACAGGAAGGTGAGTGGGACTTAGACAGATGGGGCAGGGTGGTGGTGAATTGGCTGAGCTGTTATGGGGGATAAAGCCAGTGTGCAAGGAGGAGCATATGGTTTGATGTGTCTGGTAGGAGATAGGAGGAACATAGCAGGTGTCAAGGTAAAGGCCAGAATTTGAAGCATCTTGAATGCCACCAAGGGAAATTTGAGATGCATTCTGTAGACAGGAATAACTAATTGAAGCTGTTAATCATGGTAGTGACAGGGTCAGAGTCACATTTTAGGAACATTCAAGGAGTACTATTCATTTAATGTTTGCATGCATTATTTTTAAGTTATTCCTAGGCACCTCAGAGTAGTGAAGGGGAAAAGGTCTTGGGAGAGCACTGTCATTGTTTCTGTTTTGGAGGCTGTGATTCTTATATTTGAAAATAAGAAGACAATGAAGCAGCATTGGATATTAACTTGTCAAAGTTCAGCCATCTTTGCCAGAGGCATCTTCCTCCCACACCCCTACGGCATTGTCCTTTGCCAAAACTGAAATATGTGTCACTGTGTCCTGGAGGCAGAATGAAAATATATACATTAAACAAACAGGAAGAAACACATGAAGAAAAACCCACCAACAGTTATTACATGGCAGGTGTACAGACTCTTCCCCACTCAACAGCACTCCCTAGCATGACATCCTGTAATGTTGCCAGGGCGTGGGTAAAGAGGGGTTTTCTCAGCATACAGAACACAAAATTCTTCTTTACATACTTTATGTTCTGCTCCAGGGCCCCCTCTTCCCTGAAGACTCTTCTCTTCCCCAGTAGGAAGCAATCTCTCCATTCCCTGCTTTCACATGACTCTGATAGCTATAAAATTCGTGTGGCATTTGTTCCCAGGCTGCTGGTGAAATCCTGAGGACAGGGCCTGTGTTGTCCTTTGCTGTATTCTTCATGGTGTCCAGAAGAGAATCTGGTGTCCAGGCTCCTTTGAGCAGTAATCTGCAGAATGTGCCCAGCCTGGGGAAATATAAAGAACAATATTTTGAAGAGTGTGAAGAAAATATTCAAAGTTTTATTTATACCTATTTTTAACTCCAAATAAGAAACAAATTAACCCTTATTATTCTTTAATGTATAGATTTACGGAAGTGTATACATATAAATATAAAAATATAAATAAATGTATTGAGGTGAATGCACACATTTTCTTCTTGGTGGAGTTTGATTTAAAAAAATGTTTTGAGATCATTGCTCTAGTGCTGAATTAATAATTGCTGCTTGAAATATTTAGTAACTCTAAAGAGTTTAGCTTTAAATAGGAAAAGTTATTGCCAAAGACAAATGTAGGTCATTCATTTATTCTTGCCAACAAACACAAATATTAAAAACAGTGTCCTCTTTTTTTTTTTTTTGGAGACGGAGTTTCTCTCTTGTTTCCCAGGCTGGAGTGCAGTGGCGCCATCTCGGCTCACTGCAACCTCCGCCTCCCGGGTTCAAGCGATTCTCCTGCCTCAGCCTTCCGAGTAGCTGGAACTACAGGCATGCGCCACCACGCCTGGCTAATTTTGTATTTTTAGTAGAGACGGGGTTTCTCCATGTTGATCAGGCTGGTCTCCAACTCCCGACCTCAGGTGATCCACCCGCCCCGGCCTCCCAAAGTGCTGGGATTACAAGTGTGAGCCACCGTGCCCAGTTAAACAGTGTCTTCTATGTGCCAGGCATTGTGCTGGGCTCTGAGGGTTGTTTGTTTAAAGATGACACCTCTGATATTGACATGTGGGAGGGCTTTGAAGAAGTTTTAACCCCACATAATATAATAGCAGAATGTGAGTAAGGAGCATATAGTGAAATGGGCACTCATATTGCCTCCTGGGGATAGGGGGCTGGGATTTTGGCATAACTTTTCTGGAGGACATTTTGACAAACATACTGAAGACTTTTTAAAAGTTCACACCTTTGACCCAGTAATTTTACTTCCAAACATTTTCTAAAGCATAATTAAGAATTTATGCAGATATTTATCTACAAGAGTGATTATCATATCATTTCGAAAATTGAAAAATCAGAAACAACCCAAATGCTCAACATGGTATTCCTTATGTAATATGTGTTCTATGCATTCAATGGAACGCAACCCAACCATTAAAACTTGGTATGGAGATGCATATTTCATCACACTGAAAGTTATTTACAGCATTTTAAAACTAAAATTGGTTATACATTATTATATAATACAAAATGATTCTATTAATATTTATCCATATGGAAAAAGATTCAAATGAAGTGTGCTGAGACTTTTTTTTTAGTTTTGGTTTTAAAATTGACATGCTGTAAAGTACAGTTTTATGGGTATAAGCTATGTATAGATTTATATCACCACCAAAACAATTAGGACAGACAGTTCCGTCACCTCAACAAAACCTTGTGCTGTCCTTTGGAATCATACCCTCCCTTTACTTGTAAGCCCCAGCAACCACTGATATGTTCTCTGTTGCAATAATTTTGCCTTGTCCAGAGTGTCATATAAATGGGTTCATACAGTACGTAACTTTTAAAACCTGACTTCTTTCAGTCAGTGTAATGCCTTTGAGATATGTGTAGTAATAGTTCTTATTTTTGCTGAAAAATATTCCATTATATGACTGTACCATCGTTGCTTATTCATTCATCTGTTCAAAAGCATTTGAGCTGTTTCCACTTTGTAGGTATTATGAATAGAGGTGCTATAAACATTTGTGTAAAGGTTTTTGTGTAAACATGTTTTGCCGGGTCCTAGGGTAAGTGTATATTTACTTTATAAGAACCTACCAAACTGTTTTACAGAGTATTTTACTTTTTTTCCTTACCCACCAGGAATGCATAACAATATCAATGCTCTTCATTCTTGTTAGTACTTGGTACTGTCAGTTTTTAAAAATTTTTATTTTAGCCCTTCCAATAGCTATATAGTGTGGCTGGGCACGGTGGCTCATGCCCGTAATCCTAGCACTTTGGGAGGCTGAGGCAGGCAGATCACTTGAGGACAGGAGTTCAAGACCAGCCTGGCCAACACAGTGAAACCCCATCTCTATTAAAAATACAAAAAATTAGCCGGGCGTCGTGGTGCACACCTGTAATCCCAGCTACTCAGGAGGCTGAGGCATGAGAAACGCTTGAACCCAGGAGGCAGAGGTTGCAGTGAGCCAAGATCGCGCCACTGCACTCCAGCCTGGGTGACAAAGCAAGACTCTGTCTCAAATAAAATGAAAACAAAAACAATAGATACGTAGCGATATCCAATTGTGATTTTAATTTTTATTTCCTAATGGCTAATGATGTTGTGTATTTCCTTATGTGCTTATTTGCCATCTGTATATCATCTATGTTGTAGTGTCTCTTCATTCTCTTGCATATTTTGAAAAATTGGATTGTTTTACTATTGAGTTTTGAGAGTTCTTTATATATTCTAGATATAGGTCCTTTGTTAGATATGTGATTTGGAGCTATTTTCTTCCAGTCTTTACCTTATTTTTTCATTGTCTTAATAGTATCTATCTTTCCTAGAGAAAAGATTTTTTAATTTTGATAAAGCTCAATCAACTCATTTTTAAAATCTTATATATTGTATTTTTAATGTCATATCAAAGGGATCTCTGCCTAGCCCTAGGTCATAAAGATTTCTCCTATTTCTTCTTCTAAACATTTTATAGCTTTACATGTTATACTTAAATCTGTGATCTGTTTTGAGTTAATTTAATTTTTTATAAGGTGTGATGTTTAGGTTGAAGTGGTTCACATATTAGCACATACAGATATATATGTTCCAGCATAAGTTTCTGAAAATAAACTAAATTGTCTTTGTGTCTGTAAGAAATTAATTGGCCATACGCATATAAGCGTATTTCTGGAGTCTTTATTCTTTCTCAGTGATCTATGTGTCTATTTGTTTGCTAATACCACACTTTCTGATTACTGTATAATAGGCTGTGAAATCAGGCAGGGAGGCAGGGCCAATCCTCCAACTTTATTCTTCTTTTTCAGACTCGTTTTGATTATTCTAGTTCCTTGTATTTCCATATAACCTTTAGAATCAGTTTCTTTACACATTAAAAAAAATCTTTCTAGGGATTTTGATTGGAATTTTATTAACTCTATTTATCAATTTGTAAAGAATTGACTTCTTGACTGTACCCAGTCTTCCAATCCAAAAACATGGTATGTCTTTCCATTTGTACCCATACTTTCACAAAGTTTATGATTGTTTTCTTTTTGCTTATTTACTTACTTTGAAAGTTTATTTTTAAAATTTATTATTTATAAATTTCCAAGGCACTTTGGGGAAAAAAGAAAAAAAATTAAATTTTTGGTTATATTTAATTTAAAATTTGAAGGCCTTTCAGTAGGCAATGGAAAGGGCAGATCAGGACAGTAGTGGAACTGGAAATTAGAGATGCCCATCATGATGTTCTGAGGACAGACCAAGATGCTAGTGAGGTGAGAAATTCCAGTGAATAGATGCGGCATGTGGAGAGTATGATAAGAAGTGGCTTTGGTCAGGATCAGGGAGGACCAGAGAAAGGTAAAGGTTTTGGCAAAGAATCTTCCAATAATGAGACAAAGCCACATGTTAATTTGGGCAGAGTCTGAGTAGCATAAGAAGTCAGTCCTAGTTACTTGAATTTAGGAAGATGATGTCCACTGTCTATGGGAATGGAAATAGTTAACAAGGTCTCCAGGCTGAGTAGCAAGTGCTCCAGATACTCAAGGAGGAGTGCACCTGGCTTCTATGGAGAGAAACAAAGCAGTGATCCAAATTTGGACTGAACATCATCATGGGAGGATTGGCCAGGTACAATGAATTCTGAATCTTTTGAGAATCTGGACTAAAGCCCCTGAAATTCTACTTGACTAAGTCTTGAATTAGTCCTTGGAATGGCAGTTTTGAGCCCGAAGGTGGAATTCAGACGGGCTCAGTTGTGAGAAGAGGAATGTTCGGGTAGAAAGCCTGTTGAAGCGTTACTCATTTGTTCACTCATTTACCCAACATTTACTATATGAAAAGCATTCTTACTGTTATTGCTACCATCCACAGTAATGCTACTTGTGGAATGAGCAGACAGTATGCCTACACACGCTTGAACACACCCACCCATTCACACATGCGTGTACTCATGTACACATGCATGGGTGGCTGCACAGGAGGAATGGCAAGCTTTGGCCAAATGCCAGCTGGGAAACCCATGGTGATACTGAGCCTCAGCCTCAGGCACTGGGAGCCCCATGGATCAGTTCACAAGGTAGCCGCTAACATCAAAGAATGGCAAGATTGTTTCAAAACTGGGACAAAGGGTAGCTATAACCCTGAGGCCTCATGATGCCAGAGAATAGGTTGATGAATTTGCTTGCAATTAAAAAAAAATTCTAGGTAGTGTTTGAATACCTGGGCATAAGGACAAAATGAATTGGCCAAAGCCCTATTAAAAATATTAAGTAGTTCTTAATTTAGCTAGCAGCATGAGTGGGGCTATGGTTTTTTCCAACAAAAGAGATCAGCACCTTTTCTTCAGCATGTAAGAGCAAAAAGACAGCAAGTCTTTTGAACTTGAACTTGCTTATTATAAGCTCTTATCAAAAATCATCACTCTGTGTGTATTGATTTCTAGCCAACAATTAACCAGTTATGACCTTAGAGCCTTGATAATAACTGGGGAACTCACTCAACAGAGGGAAGCCTGCTTGTTTATGAACAAAGCAGGTGTTTATGGACCCCTTCAGCCTTGGGTGAGTATTTTTCCATCCAGGTGGCACAAGAAGTCACAAATACAGAGCTTCAGTGGATCCTTGTCCGTGAGCTTAGGCTGACTATCTGGAGAGGTGAGGATGTCTAGACCTGACTGCAAATGACTTAACATCAAAATTATGAGATCAGCCACCTGCTTTAGATGGTTGCAACTCAATGTCTATGTTCCCACATAATAGGATTGCTGATAATAATGTCATTTACTCATGCATATTTTACACTTTACAAAATGTTTTTTACAACCATCATAACATGACAATTTTTCCTGTATGATTCCATTTATATAAGTTCAAAACTAAACACAAGTAAACGGTATTGTTAATGCAAACTTAGGTGGTAAAACTATACAGCAAATCAAGGAAATGATCACAGTAACATCAGGAGAGTGGTGACTCCAGGGCAAGAAAGGCAGTGTGATTGGGAAGCGGCACATCGGTCCTTCGAGGTGCTGGCTCTTTTCCAGTTCTTCACTTGGGTGGGGCTTACACTGGGGCTTACATTGCAATAATATGTTAAACTGTACATTTATGACTTACGCACTTTGTGCGTCAGTGTATGTTTTATTTCACATATATCAAATAAAACAACAAACAGCAGACATAAAGACAAAAAGAAAAAGAAAATCAGTTTCATCAATGTCATTCTAACCAAGACTGGTTATTAGTTATTGTGATTCTTGTCTAGAGATGACTTAAAGCTATGTGCTATATAACATATGACTGCTTTGGTGGTATTTTAGGTAAATGCACATTGATCTTTCATATCCCTTATGTTTTTAAAGAAAAATCAGTATATCTATATAGTTCCAGTCTGGGAGCCCTATGGAAGGACTAAGAGACTTGCTCAAGTCACCTGGTAGTTAGTATTAGAATTTGAACTTGACTGTGGTTGTTTTGACTCCACATCTAATGCTCTTGGGTGGTAATACTAATATTCTCTTCCTGTCCTGAAAGACTCCACACATCTTTTTATTTCAAGGAAACTGAACTGAGTATCTTGGCTAATTGTAGAATTGTCCACTGGTTTTCAAACTTGCTTTAAAAGATGGAGTATGTTTGGCGCTGTAGTAGTCAGAAGTGCCAAAAAAAGGTTTCGTTCACTTAGCGTTGTGAATTAAGCCAGTAGGAAAATGCGCCTGATTTCGTCATAACAATAGCATCTTTAGAAATTAGAATCTTTTACATATAAGATTAAATCTCATCATAATATATTTGTAGAGCAAATATATTGTGTTCACTATAAAACATTCAGAGAAATTCAGAAGAGATAAAGAAGGAAATAAAAACCACCCATAATCCCAACCTTCAGAGGTAGGTACTGCTGAATTTTGATATGTCTTTAATCTACGCTTATATGAGAGTTTGCCAAATTGGTATCCTGAAAATGCTGTTTCAAAACTTGCTTCTTCAGCTTAATAGTGTATTATGGATATTTTTTCATATTAATAATTTTTCTATAACATAATTTTTAAGGACTGTACAATATAACATTGTATAAATGCATGTACCTGTTTTTTAAAAGCCAATTTTCTTTTATTGGCTATTTGTTGTTTTCTAATTGCTTCTATTATAAATACTGTTGCAATAAACATCTTCGTAAATAAATCTTTGCACATACCCAGTATTATCTCCTTAGAATAAATTCCTACAAGTGAAATCAGTGGGTCTGCGTCAAAGCGTATGCACACTTGAAAGGCTTTTGATAATATTTGCCAAATTGTGTTTCCGAAATATTACCTCAGTTTATACTCCCACAAGGAGTATATAAAAGTATTTCCCCAGCCACGGCAATACCAGATACTTGAACTTAAGTTAAAAAAAAATATTGTTATAGTATGGTTGAAATGTTTCACTTTTTTTTTTTTTGGTTTGTTTTAGCCCTTGTGTTGACTGGATTTCTTTCGTCTTTCAAGTAAAATTGTATGTTCCCTCTCCTGCAGTAGCCCTAATGATCAAATATGAATGATAGGACTCAGAAGTCTCACATGTATGCACATATTTTAAAATTTCCACTTAAAACATGAAGGGAATCCACTACTAAAAAGGAAGATAGTAGATTTTGCCCGTGTTAACATTGCTGTTCTCAACTGAATTGCTTATTTACCCTAACTAATGCTGCATAAGGCGTTCTAAGCACACTCATGTATTGTTAAATTACTTAACAATCATTCACAGAAATTGGAAATCAAATGAGCCCAGTGTATCAATTTGCCAAATTCAGCAAACTCTGGAGCAATCTGCTTATAAGACCTTGTGGGGGACAGCAGTCACGAATGGGTTAGAGAGCCCATTAGCTTATGAAAAGGGCTGTCAACACAATCATAATCTATTTACCTGTGTTTCGCTGACAGATTTTTTCTGAGCTAATGGTGAGAGAAAGCTATTTCCAACATTCATACTGAGACACTCAGCAGCATAATGGCAGGTTCAATCCCAATAAAGCAAAATAAAACAAATATTACTATGATGCAACTCTTTCTAAAACAGAAATAATGTTAGGCCCCAGGTGGAATTCCATTTCTTTAAAATATATATTTTTTATATTATAAAATCCTAACACAACAAAATAATTGGGACAATGTTTTGGCCTGCATTCTATTGGGATTTGACTGATTAGTGATAGCTTGATTAACAAGGCTTCTGGAAAGAAATCTCCATTGATTAAAACATCAGCCTAGGGGAAAGAAGTTTGGGAGAAGTATGGACTAGTTTCTTGTTATTCCCGAGCTCTAGAGGGTAGAACTGAGAAGGCGAGTGTGTGAAAGTGACAGAGGGTCTGGCTTTAGGTGGTCTGAAGAAATACATTTCTAACAATCAGGGCTGGTCTGAGAATGTCTGCTTTGTGAGGTAGGAAGCATCCTTTTTCCTTAAGGGAGGACTAGTTAGGAATACAGTTCCTTTATCATGGGGACTGGAGTCTGTGATTTCAGGCAGGAATCACATGAACATGGTTTGGTGGGTTGCTCCACCAAAATGGCTGTGAGCTCAGCAAACAAGAAACATGAGAAATGCCCAGTTAATAATTTTCAAGTGGCTTTTTTTTTTTTTTTTGGAGATGGAGTCTTTCTCTGTTGCCCAGGCTGGAGTGTAGTGACACAATCATGGCTCACTGCAACCTCCACCTCCCGGGTTCAAGTGATTCTCCTGCCTCAGCCTCCCAAGTAGCTAGGACTACAGGCATGAGCCACCACGCCCGGCTAATATTTTTATTTTTAGTAGAGATGGGGTTTCACCATACCGGCCAGGGTGGTCTCAAACTCCTGACCTCAAGTGATCTGCCCACCTTGGCCTCCCAAAGTGCTGGGATTACAGGCATGAGCCACTGTGCCCAGCCAAATGGCTTGTTTTTGAATAGTATACTGGTCAAAGACAGATCACAAGGGGCCATCATCAGTTGGGTTAGGCTTAGTGTTAGGGTAGATCATTCTCACCTAATCTCAGAGACACCTAGTTCTATCTATCAGAACCTTCACTGACAGACAGGTGGTTCTCCAGGGCAGGTCCCTTTCAATCAGTGACTTAAGGGTCCAGTCTAGGTTAATTTTGCATCTCCACTATCTAGACATATGACTTCTCTGTGACAGGGGAAAAGGCAGGATGGAGGACTCACATCCCTCTTCTTTGCTTCCACTTAGGTCAGTTCTACTTAGAGTCTATTGGCCAGAATCAGTTATGTGGCCCATTCTAGCAGCAAAGGAGAGCGGGGAGTACAGCCATCCTGTGTACCCAGGAAAAAAAGAGGTAAAATAGGTCTTATGAAGTGTTATTTTTGCCAAGGTGCTCAGGGGTTTTCTTTATGTTTACATTTTACCCTGGTGAAAAACATGTGTACTTTACTGTATTGTAGCAGAAATTGTACATGACTTATGCTTACCATATAGCATCACAGACAACTGATTTTATGTAGTTTGGGCAGTATTTTACTTATTCCACATTTGTAAAAAATGTTTTGTTTTGTTTTTGTTTGTTTGTTTTTGAGACAGAGTCTCACTCTGTCACCCAGGCTGGAGTGCAGTGGGACGATCTCAGCTCACTGCAACCTCTGCCTCCCGGGTTCAAGTGATTCTCCTGCCTCAGCCTCCCGAGTAGCTGGAATTACAGGCATGTGCCACCATGCTCAGCTAATTTTTTGTATTTTTAGTAGAGACAGGGTTTCGCCTTGTCGGCCAGGCTGGTCTGGAATTCTTGACTTCAGGTTATCTGCCTGCCTCTGCCTCCCACAAGGCTGGGATTACAGGCATGAGCCACCGCGGCCGGCCAAAAGTGTGTTTTGTGTGGGAAGTTGGGGCTATGTACTCTACCTGTGTATTCATGCCTTCTCTCCTGCCGCTGTGTTTATCTGGGGAGGAGCAATCAAAGATGGCTTCTGAGCCTCCAGTCTAGTTAAAACATTTTTCTGACTTTAAGTTCTGGATTCCTCAGTGCTGCACCCTCTGAACACTAGCTGTTGAGAAAGAGAGGTGTTATTAGTTTGCTGGGGCCATTGTAAACAAAGGAAATGTATCATCTCACAGTTCTGGAGGCCAGAAGTCTGAAACCAAGGCGTCAGCAGGGTTGCTTCCTTCTAAGGGCTGGGAAGGAGAACCTGCTCCAGGCTTTTCTTCCAGCTCATGGTGGTTTGCTGATAACGCTTTGGTGTTTCTTGGCTTGAAGAAGCATTGCTCTGATCTCCGCCTTCATCTTCACATGGCATTCTCCCTGTGTGGGTGTTTCTCTCAGTGTCGACATTTCTCCTTTTTACAAGGACACCAGCTGTATTAGAAGAGAGTTCACCCTAACCATCTCATTTTAACTTGATTACCTCTATAAAGATCCAGTCTCCAAGAAAGGTTACATTCTGAGGTCCTGGGGGTTAGAACTTCAGCATCTTTTTCTTGGGGGCGGAAAAGGTAGTGATGACACAATTCAGCCCATAACAAGGAGAAAACTATTCTTCTAAGCACAGACTTCTGACCAGCAGCCCAGGCTGGGCATGACTCCCACATGCTCCCACACCCCTTTGCCGGCCAGTGGTGTTTTGCTCTGGCTCTGCTCAGAGCCATGGCTAGTCCAGGACATGGGGGTGGTGCTGGTGAAGCAGACTGTCCATAGACTTTAAGAGGCAAGGAAGGCTGGACACTGTTCTGACACCAAAGGCCAGGGAATGAATGACTAGCTGTTTGACCATAGCGAGCTAGTGAGTTACAGTGGGGAAGAGAATCCTAATCACCACTGTCTGCCACAGTGAAGTTCCTTGACAAATGTGTACGAGGATCCCTTTTCTCTGGTGACAGACATAGAGTCAGGTACTGTGGCAGGTATGGTAGGGCAGCAGGGAAAATTATCGGACAAGGAGGTAAGAGACCTGAGTTTATACCTCCTGTATTTCCTTTTTGAGCTTCCATGCTTTAATCTATAGAAAGACCATGGAATACTATGCAGCCATAAAAAATGGTGAGTTCATGTCCTTTGTAGGGACATGGATGAAATTGGAAATCATGATTCTCAGTATATCTCAAGGACAAAAAACCAAACACCGCATGTTCTCACTCACAGATGGGTATTGAACAATGAGAACACGTGGACACAGGAAGGGGAACATCACACTCTGGGGACTGATGTGGGGTGGGGGGAGCGGGGAGGGATAGCATTAGGAGATATACCTAATGCTAAACGATGAGTTAATGGGTGCAGCTCACCAACATGGCACATGTATACATATGTAACTAACCTGCACATTGTGCACATGTACCCTAAAACTTAAAGTATAATAATAATAATAATAATAAAAAAGAAAGGCTGGGGTTGGTAAACTCTGAAGTTCTTGCCTGCTTTCAGCCTCTGTTAGATAGTTGGTGACACTGAAAAATACTAAGGCATCATAATACAAGAACTCATGACTGAAAGGGTCTATATGCCTTTCTGGGCCCCTAATCTCCTAATCTAGCATGACTTCGGTACAGGGAAAAGAGGATCACAGACTGTGGCTTATGTGCTGAAGGTCTCACTCTGGCAGACATGCTTGAATTCAGTCACTATCTATATCTGTATCTATATTGATGTATCTATCTCAATCTCTATCTCTCTCCCTCACACACACAGTTTTGTTTTTGGCTGGGGGAGGAAGATATTTTTAATAGCAGGTTTTTTATTCTCTCTTTTTTTCCTGGAAAAAGATGAAATCATCCGTTTATTCTGGACCAATTATAAGCACTAGAAAGCGCAGGAGGAACAGACAGCTTCATCACAAATAAATACACACTGTGGGAGGGGGAAAGGAGGAAACTGTTATTGATTGGCCTTGTAAAATCTGCTGCTGAATCGATAGCAATTTCTGGAAATGCCAGACATTTATTTTGTGTGGCTTGAACAGCGGAGATAATAATAAACATACTTATGAAGTGAGTCTCCTGACACTATTTCCTAGAGCCCCTTATAATAACATACATACATAATGGGTACTATAACTGTACAAGCCATAGTGAATATACTTCAGATTTAAAACCCCAAGCCGAGTTGCCCTCTGCTAACCTCTCTTCTGTGCTGGATATAGCATCTGAATGTCTTCTCTGTTAAAGAAACACAGACAATTCATCTGCATGAAGAGATAAGAGATGTGTCCTCCTTAGTTGTGGAAAGACAGGCCGAGGATTGCTCTAATGGTCAGGGAAGAGAATCAGATGCTGAAACTGCCTGACCCTGCCTGGCCACTCTGAATTTGTGGACCTGCCCCTTCACCTGCGCCTCTCTCAGAGCTCCATTCATCATTTCTTTCTAACAAGGGGCAGCTTACCTTATGTGGATGCTGTCTCATCCCCACCCACCTTTCATCCTCAGCCAGTCTCCTTTCCTCCTGGCATAATGTATTCTTTCTGTAGGCACATTTGGCAATCTTGCCAGGGCCATTGGCCTGAGAAAAGACTCAGGGGTATTTTGGCAAAAGGGAAATTGTTCAATGTGGTTGAGCATAGTACAAGTAGCTACCATTTATTGAGCACCTATTACATGCTATATAATTTATTCACCACGTTGCTTATTCCTCATGACAGCCCTTTGAGTTATTATTTTAAATCAAGTTTTTAATGAAACGGAGACTCCTCAAGGTAAAATATGTTACCTAAGATCATTAAACTATTACGAGACTGAGCTGGAGTTGAGCTCAGGTCTGACTTAGAGACTGTATTTTTCCCATCCTTCTTTTACCTGCTTAGGTGTAACTGGGATAGTGAGAGGTAAAGCTATATACCATGAGTGCCTGGTGAAGGTATCTGGACATGATTACTGTGCCATAAGGAAGAGATAAGGTTTCTTTGAAAATGTAGATGGTGCAGAGTCCAGTTTTAGGGAGATGATTTTGGTGTTTGTGTTTAGCATGGAGTGATGCAGAGAAACATGCAGACTGGGAGACCATGTAGAAAGATACTGCAGCAAACATGATGGGGAGAAAAGAAGCTCAGACAAGGAGAGGAGGCGGAATCATCAAGGAGTGGCTCTTGACAATTACAAGAATGGAAAACTTTCCCTCTTCTCTCCTCTTGTTCTCATCCCTAGCTCTTCCTCCCTTCCTAGCCACTTTACCTTCTCCTATTTTGTGATAGTGGGAGAGCTCCTTGGAAAATATTCATTCCCAGGATAGATCTCTCAATGCAAAGCCAATCTCAAGTATATTGTTGGATATAGATATGTTCTGAGCTAAGAATAGATGAAGAAGATCACTTTTCCACCCTGATTTTAAAATATATGCCCTTTTAGTTTGGCACTGCTAAGAAGAATTTGAACTACTAATTTGGATGATAGGAGGTGTTATTTCTATAAATCAGCAGATTTCTGGATCTCTGTCTACGTCCCATCTTTTCATAATCAACCTGTAGTCTTACAAGACAGTCTTTATGGTTTTGAAAGCCACAAAAAGTCTTTCCCTAGAGATCTGGCTTGGTACAGAGAGTAGTGCTTTCCCTCCAATTACACAAGAAACCAGCTCTCTTTAGATGCTAAGTCAATCCTTGCCTCAAGAGCCAGTCCTAGAAAACAGCTCCCTAAATACTTAAAGATGCAAAGTCAATTAGACTTTTTGGATGGACTATCATGTAGGGAACCATGTGAGTTACTGAGTTTTTAATTCTTCAGATGTTCTTTGTGCATGTATTTTGTGTCATGCCTTGTGCCAAGGCCTTTGGAGAAGGCCAAGAGGAATCATACAGGGCTTCATCCCTCAAGGATCTTATAATCTAGTAGTGGAGATAAGTTTATATTCACATGTAACTTCTACACAGGCAATAGGCAGTCCACACCACAGAAGTGCCACAGATAACGTAGGTCATAATTCTAAGGGAAATAGAAAAGATAGGTTGTAGTTTCTAAATGACCCTTAAATGGGAAAGAAAAAATTTGCACTTTTGGGGGGTGTCCTAAGTATACAGAATAACTAGCAAGTTGAGGCAGCAAGAAACCATGAAGAGTTTTCAGGGAATCCCGACAGAAGTCCAATTCACTGAGATTCTAGGTCCTGTGGAAGGGAAGAGCAAGAGATTAAAGAGGTAGGTAAAAGTTACATAACGAAGACTTTAAACAGCAGTCAGATATGTTACATATTATTCCAGAGGCAATAATGAAGATTCATGACAGTTTTGCAAAAAGGAAAATGGCATGGTCTCTCAGTATTTTAAAGAGGGTATGACACTTTATCTGCAAGGATGAGACACTGGGGTAAGAAATCCAGTTTTAACACCATTTCAAAAGTTCAGTGGAGACTTTCACTTCTGGAAAGATTGAGTAGACACACTTTTCTCTCTTCCTCCTGCTGAGTGCAACTAAAATCCTTGGCTGTTCTACACAAAACAAATGTAAGAATATTCTGATAGGTAGAAAAGAGAAGGCAGGCTAACTAGGGGTTCAAAAGCCAAGGAACAACATAACGGTGAGTTCCCCCAGCTTTCTTGTGTCTCTTATATTCCAGACTTGGAGCTGAAGCCAGTAACTAGAAGCACCTATGAGTACGGACAGAAAAGCCTCAGCAAAAGCCTGCTGTCTTTAGCCAAAGGATCAGGAAAGGGAAAGCATGGCAAGACCGAAATCTTTTAGATGATAGCCATTCTATCTCAACCAAAGTGATAAAGGGGTCACTCAATCAAGAAGATATAGCAATCCTAAATGTGTATGCACCATAGAGTAATGTTGTAAAATATGTGAAATAAGAACTGATAAAACTGAAAGAAGAAATAGACAAATCTATAACTATAGTTGGACATTTTAATAACCACTCTCACTCATGGCATGATCTCTCACTCATGCCAGCAAAAGCCAAATGGAAAACCTAGACTTCTGCCCTCACTGGGCTGTCCTCAAACTCTTCCCTGCACTGGGGTGATATTAGAAAAAGCCGAGTAAGGGGCTAGAATGTTCCTCCCTGCGGACTGGTAATCAAACACCCTCCCTCACCATCATTGTGTAAGTGGAGACCACATGGATAGCCCAGACTCCCAGTTCGACCCAGCAGTAACGAGGCACCTGTCCCCTCCCCACAGAGATGGTGGGAAAGTTAGCCTGGTGGAGAGTCAGAGATTTACCACCTTCTTTTTGGTGTCAATGGAGACAATATGGGAAACAGCAATGAGGCATTCCTGCTCCTACTAGCCAGGAGGTATCAGTGCAGGCCTATTGAGAGCTAGAATTTCTCCTCTTGCCCAGCGGTAATGACAAGCCACCACCCTCATATGTAAACTGAGGCTGAGTGTAGAACTTGGATTTTTACTTCCACCTGGAAGTAATGAAGTGACACCCCTTTGTCTGAAAAAATAGTGTCAAAAAAAAAAAAAAAAAAAAAGCCAGCTGAAAACTTCTCAGATTTGGCAAAAGACAGATTCACAAAATTGGCTAAGCCTCAAAGGAAATAGACTCACAATAAATTCATACCAAGACATACCATAGTCAAACTTCTGAAAACTAAAGACAAAGAAAATCATTTGAAAGCAGCAAGAGAAAAATGATACCTTCCCTATAGGAGAAAAGCAATTTAAAAGATGTAGATTTCTCATCAGACACCACATAGGCTAGAAGGAAGTAGCACTAATATTTTTCAAGTTTTGAAAGAAAACAACTGTCAATCCAGAATCCTATATCCAGCAAAAATATCCTTTAGGAGTGAAGGGGAAATCAAGACATTCTAAAATGAAGAAAAACTAAGAGGATTTGTCACCAGCAGAATGTCCCTAAAAGGATAATGAATGGATGTACTTTGAACAGAAAGAAAGGGTAAAAGAAGAAACCTTACTATATAAGGAAGGAAGAAAGAATATAGTAAGGAAAAGTATGGGCAAATGCGAAAGACCTTTTTTCTTCTTTTGAGTTTTCCAAATTATGCTTGATTGTTGAAGCAAAATATAGCAAACCATATCAACATTACACTTTGTTTTAACATTACGCAAAGCATAACGTTGTCTGACATGGTCTCAAATGTATGTACAGAAAATATTTAAGACATTTGGATTAAAATAGGGAAGGATAAAGGGAAGTAAAGATGAGTAAGGTTTCTATACTTCGCTCAAACAGAAAAAATTATGACATTAGTAGATTATGATATGTATATGTAATATACTACCTAAAACAACCATTCAAAAAGCTTTACAAAATGAAACACTCAAAAACATTATAAATAAATTAAAATGGAATTAAAAAATGTTCAAGCAGCCTATAGAAAGGTAGGAAAAAAGGAGAGCAACAAAAAACAGAACAAGTAGAAAACATAAAGAAAATGGCAGACAAATTCTAGCAAATCAATAATTATATTAAATGTTAATGGTCTAAATATACCAATTAAAAGATGGAAATTGATAGAGTGGATTAAAAGACATGACCTGATATTTGTTGTCTGTAAGAAATTCACCTCAAATATAAAAGTAAAAGTAATTTGAAAGTAAAAGAATATTAAAAGATATATCTGGAAAATATGGATCAAAAGAAAGCAAAAGTGGCTGTCTATATTAATATCAGATAAGGTGGACTCCAGAGCAGAGAAAATTACCAGAGACAATGAGGAACATTATATAATGATAAAGGGGTCACTCAATCAAGAAGATATAGCAATCCTAAATGTGTATGCACCATACAATAATGTTGTAAAATATGTGAAATAAGAACTGATAAAACTGAAAGAAGAAATAGACAAATCTATAACTATAGTTGGACATTTTAATAACCAACTTTCAATAATTAATGGAACAACTAGACAGAAAATCATCAAGGATATAGAATTCAACACCACTATCAACCAACAGGATCTAATCCACGTTTACATAACACTGCACTAAAACACAGCTGTATACACATTGTTTTCAGGCACCACAGAATATATACCAATGTAGAGCATGTTCTGGACCATAAGATAAACAAGTAATTAAAATCATGTGGAATGTGTTCTCTGACCACAATAAAATCAAATTAGAAATTAATAACAGAAAGATAATAGGAAAATCTCAAAACACTGGGAAACTAACCAACAGTTTACATAATCTATGGGTCAAAGAAAAAGTCTCAAGGAAAATTACACTGCACTGAGTGAAAAAAAACAAAACAAAACACAGAACAAAGTGAGATACATTGAACTAAATGAAAATAAGAATACACTGCAAATATGTGGGATACAACTAAAGAAGTCCTGGGGGAGAGAGAGAGAGAGAGATTGATTTATAGTACTAAATGCTTATATTAGTAAAAAGTCTCAGGTCAATCATGCAAGTTCCTGCCTCAACAAAAAAAAAAAAAAAGAAAAGTAAAGCAAAATAAACTCAAAGTAAGCAGAAGGAAAGAAATAATAAAGATAACAGAAACCAATGACATAGAAAACTACAACACAATAGAAAAATCAATGAAACAAAGAGCTTGTTCTTTGGAAAGATCAATAAAATTGATAAACCTCTATCAAAGTGCAAGAGAGTGAGATAGAAATGGAGAGATGGAGAGAAAGAGAAGGAAAACAACTTATTAATAGCAGGAAAAAAAACAGAGGATATCATCACAGACTGAATCACTAAAAGAATAATAAGGGAATACTATGAACAACTCTCCACACAAAAATTTGACAAATAAAATGGATCAATTCCTTAAAACCATAAACTACCACAACTTATCTAGTATGAAATAGATCATTTGAATAACCCTATAATTATTAAGGAAATTGAATTCAGAATTTTAAAAACTCCCAAAAAGGAAATTTCTAGTTACAAATGATTTCACTAAAGAGTTCTTCCAAACTAAAGAAGAGTTAACACCAGTTCTACATATGTCCTAGAAAATAGAAAAGGAAGGAATAATCCTTAATTCACTTTATAAAGGTAGCATTGCTTTGATTTTAAAACCAGACAAAGACAGTACAAATAAAGAAAACGACAGACTAACATCTCCCAAAAATATAGAAGCAAAAAAAATTTCAAAAATAGAAAGGGACAAAATAGAAAAAAATCTCAAATAAAATCAGCAATTATAAAAGGAATTATGCACCATAACCAAGTGGGGTTTATTTTATGAATTCAAGGCTACTAAAGGTTTATTTTGAGGATGAAAGGCTGCTAGAATAGCTAAGTAGAAAGAAAAATATAATATATGATTATATTAGTCAATGCAGAAAAAGCGTTTGACAAAATTCAACAGTAATTTGTGATTTAAAAAAACTCTCAGAAACCAAAGAATATGTCTACAAATCCCTTTAGCTTATATTATACATAATGATAAAAGACTGAATCCTTTCCCCCTAAGATCAGGAATGAGGCGAGAATTTTCACTTTCACCACTTTTATTCAACATAGTTTTGGTTCTAGTTCTAGCCAGTGCAATTAGGTAAGAAAAGGCAACAAAAAGAATAAAGATTAGAAAAACAAAATAAAATTGCCTTGATTTGTAGATGATAGACTTTTATAGCAAATTACAAGGAGTCTACGAAAAAAAGGCTCCAAGAAGAAGTGAATTTAGCAAGGTTACAGAATGCAGATAAACATAAACAAATGAATTACATTACTATATACTATCGATGAACACATGGACATTGAAATTAAAAATACAATACCACTTATCATTGCTCAAAAACTGAAACACTATGTATAAACTTAACAAAATACTTACAAGACTTGTATGCTGAAGGCTATAAAATGCTGAGAAAAAAATCAAAGACGGTCTAAATAAATGGAGAGACACCATTTTTGTTCATTGATTTGAAAATTCAACATAATTGTATTAGTTTCCTATTGCTGCTCTAACAAATGACCACAAACTTAGTGCCTTAAAAAATACTTATTTTCTTACAGTTTTGGATTTTTGAAGTTTGATACTGGATCTTACAGGGCTAAAATCAAAGTGTTGGCAAGGCATGTTCTTTATGAAGGCTCTGAGGGGAGATCAAAGTCCCATATCTGCAAAGTCTCCTTTCCCATAGAAAGTAACATATTCACATGTTCCAGGGATTAGAATGCAGAGCTCTTTCAACAGTCATATTCTGCCTACCACCATAGTAAAAATGAATAATCAATTCTTCCCAAATTGATATGCAGATATGTCACAGTTTCTCTCCAAATCACAGCAAGATTTTCAGTACGTGTCAATGAGATTATGCTAAAAGTTATATGGAAAGACAAAGGAATTTAAATAGCTAAAACAACTTTGAAAAACAAGAATTAAGTAGGAGGAATATGTCCACTGGATTTTAAGACTTATAGCTACAATAATCTATACTGTATAGTGTTTGTAGAGAGATAGACACATGGATCAATGGAATAGAATAGAAATCACATACATAGGCTCACACGTATCTCTCATCAATTTTTTAAAAGGTACAGAAACAATTCAATAAAGATAGCCTTTCAACATATGGTGCTGCAGTAATTTGACGTCTGTTGGCAAGCAACAAACAAACAAACAAACACAAAAACTTCAACCTAAGTTTCACCCTTATGTAGAAATTAACTAAACACAGATCATGGAATTAAATATAAAGCATGAAACAAAAAACCAGAAAAAGAGAAAAACCTATAGGGAGAAAATCTCCAAGATCAATGGCTGAGCAAAGAGCTCTTAAACTTGACACCAAAACACAATCCATAAAAGTAAAAAGTGATAAATAGTACACTATCACAATTAAAAATTTTTGCCTTGTGAAAAGGCCCTGTTAACAGAATGAAAAGACAAGTTACAGACTGGGAAGAAAATACTTGCAAATCACATATATGATGAGGGATTAATATCTGGAATATGCATAGAGAGAACTCTATCACTTAAAATTCCTAGAGGGAATGTAAAATGGTACAATCTCTTTGGAAAATAGGTTGAAAATACCTTTTTTAAAAAGGATACATGCAACTACCATACATCCCAACAATTGCACTTTTGATTATTTATCTCAAAGAAATAAAGATTTGTGCTCATGCAAAATCCTGTATGTGAAAGCATACAACAGCTCCATTCATACTAGCCCCAAACTGGAAACAACCCAGAAGATGTTCTTCCATGGGTGAATAAACAGTGGTACATTGGCCAGGCATGGTGGCTCATGCCTGTAATCCCAGCACTTTGGGAGGCCAAGGTGGGCAGATGACCTGAGGTCAGGAGTTCAAGACCAGCCTGGCCAACGTGGTGAAACCCCATCTCTACTAAAAATACAAAAATTAGCCGGGTGTGGTGGCACACGCTTGTAGTCCCAGCTACTAGGGAGGCTGAGGCAGGAGAGTTGCTTGAACCTGAGAGGTGGAGGTCGCAGTGAGCCGAGATCATGCCACTGCACTCCAGCCTGGGTGAGAGAGGGAGACTCTGTCTCAAAAACAAAGCAAAACAAACAAACAAACAAAAAAACAGTGGTATTGTGGGAAGTCAGGGACCCCAAACGGAGGGACTGGCTGGAGCCATGGCAGAAGAACATAAATTGTGAAGACTTCATGGACATTTACTAGTTCCCAAATAATACTTTCGTAATTTCTTATGCCTGTCTTACTTTAATCTCTTAACCCTGTTATCTTCGTAAGCTGAGGATGTACATCACCTCAGGATCGCTATGATGATTGTGTTAACTGTACAAATTGATTGTAAAACATGTGTGTTTGAACACTGTGAAATCAGTGCACCTTGAAAAAGAACAGAATAACGGCGATTTTTAGGGAACAAGGGAAGACAACCATAAGGTCTGACTATCTGCAGGGTCGGGCAAAAAAAGCCATATTTTTCTTCTTGCAGAGAGCCTATAAATGGATGTGCAAGTAGGGAAGATATCGCTAAATTCTTTTCCTAGCAAGGAATATTGATATTAATACTCTGTGAAAAGAATTGTGTTCCTGATGGGGTGGAGATCTATAAACGGCCGCTCTGGGAATGTCTGTCCTACGCAGCTGAGATAAGGACTGAGATATGCCCTGGTCTCCTGCAGTACCCTCAGGCTTACTAGGGTGGGGAAAACCCCATCCCAGTAAATTTGAAGTCAGACCGGTTCTCTGTTCTCGAACCCTGTTTTCTGTTGTTAAGATGTTTATCAAGACAATACGTGCACCGCTGACCATAGACCCTTATCAGTAATTCTGCTTTTGCCCTTTGCCTTGTGATCTTTGCTTTTGTCCTTTGCCTTGTGATCTTTGCTCTCCTTTTTGCCCTTTGAAGCATGTGATCTTTGTGAGCTACTCCCTGTTTGTACACCCCCTCCCGTTTTGAAATCCTTAATAAAACTTGCTGGTTTTGTGGCTCAGGTGGGCATCAAGGTCCTACCGATATGTGATGTCACCCCCCGTGGCCCAGCTGTAAAATTCCTCTCTTTGTACTCTTTCTCTTTATTTCTCAGACTGGCTGACACTTACGGAAAATAGAAAGAACCTACGTTGAAATGTCAGGAGTGGGTTCCCCCAATACAGTGGCACATTTATTCATCGAATACTACTCAACAATGAGAAGGTACCAACTATTGATACACACACACCCTGGATGAATCTTCTGATAGGAATTATCCGGTTTTGACACAGCCAATTTCAAAGGGTTACATATGGTATGATTCCACTTATATTACATTCTTGAATTGACAACATTATACAAACAGAACAGAATAGTGGTTGCCACAGTTAAGGAAAGGGTTGGGGCAGAAGAGAAGTAGGTGGGCCTGTAAAAAGACAATGTAAAGGATCCTTAGGGGATGGAAAGATTCAGTATCTTGACTATATGAACATCAACATATTGATTATAATATTACACTATAGATTTGCAAGATGTTAACATAGGGAGAAACTGAGTAAATGTACAAAGGATTTCTCTGTATTATTTCTTACAAGTACATATGAATCTACAATTACCTCAAAATAAAAAGTTTAATTAATAAAAGTTCAGAGGAGATCAAACTAGGATGGTGATTCCAGGAGTGGTGGAGCTTCAGAGGAGGGTGGTGTTGGAGAAAAACACAAATGAGAGAAATAATTTGAAGAGCTACTTTAGTGGTCCTTACTCCCCCACCATAATCATGGTATCTTGGGTTGACTGAGATTGTGTGTATGCCTCTGGATAAGGGCAATTCTTGTTTGCTCAGTTACTTGGTACAAAGGATGGCGAGGGACTTCTCCACCTTGCGTCCCTTGTTGCCTTGGAGCACTGTCCTGTTCTGATCTATTAGTAACTTTTGGAGGCAAATCAAAGAGCCATTGATAGAAGGCTTTGAGGGGCTAAACTGCCCTCTCACTGGTCCTAGTATCAAAGTTTGGAGACGTTACATAAAGAAATTTTCTAAAATTCTCCAAGATAGTGAGGAGGTGGTGGTGGAAGGGTAGTGGGGATGTACTGAATGAATATGAGCTTGCCCATTGAGCCCATAGAATAAAAAGAAGAAGAAAAAGTAGGGGAACACTGGCTTCCAGAGGGAAGGCAAGATCATGCTTTTCCCTCCTTCACACCCATGTCCTTGCCACAGCCACACTCCCCTTCAAAGATGAGTCAGGGCTGTCAAAGGCAAGAGTATTATGGACTCCTGATTTGGGGGGTGAGTTTTCACAGGGCTGAGCTAACAGCTTGAATGTTCACCCTTCTCCCTCCTTCTCCTGGGGCTTCTCTCCCTGTTGCTTGGAAGCGGACTGTGCTTGGAAGGTGGCTGTCCCTGGGAAGGCCTGGGGGCTGGGGCATCAGGAGGGTTTTGTTCTGTTTCCTCCTGTAGCCCAGGCAAGAGAAGACTTGATGAGTTCTTGTGGCCCAGCTAGACAGGAGCCTGACTGAGGTCTAGGGTGTGGGCCCAAGCTTGTGGTGATGAGGTGCTCCTCTGCCTGCTCCTGCCCTGCATGGCTCCTGGAGAAGCACCCATGGCAGCTGGCTTGAGGGCTTGTATCCTGGATCTGGAATTTCCAAAACTGAGAGAGAAAGCATGAGAACAAGAAAGAGCAAGCAAGGGAAGTGTGGTGGAGAGAGAGAGACAGACTATGTGCCTTGGCTTATGCCTGTAATCCCAGCCCTTTGGGAGGCTGAGGCGGGTGAATCACTTGAGCTCAGGAGTTTGAAACCAGCTTGAGCAATATAGTGAAACCCTGTCTCTACTAAAAATTAAAAAAAAAAAAAAAAGAATTAAGCCAGGTGTGGTGGCATGTGCCTGTAGGCCCTGCTACTTGGGAGGCTGGGGTGGCAGGATCGCTTGAGTCCAAAAGGTTGAGGCTACAGTGAGCTGAGATCATGTGTCTGCACTCCAGCCCAAGTGGCAGACCGAGACTCTGTCTCAAAAAATAAAAGAAAAAAATAAAGATACAGAGAGACAAAGAGCAAATGAACAGAATATAACCACTTCATTTCTTTCTTCCTTTCTTTCCATATACCCCTTACGTTTTTATCCTGTCTTCCTCACCATCTTAACCTCCCCTTACATGATTTGGTTGTTTGCATTTTGGCCTTGTCTTGTTTTTATTTTAGCTTTGTCTTTTAGTGCTTGTATTGGTTTTTAGTAAATGACAGAAAATTCTCTAAGTCAACCCCGGGTCTTTACAGTGGGCTACGTGCTCTAATCCCCAGTCTCCACTCCCTGCATCTTTAGCCTCTCCCTGTCTCTCCCTCCAGTCCAGCCACACTTGACTGCTTACTGTTCCTTGGACATGCTAGGAGGAACCACCTCAGGGCCTTGCATTTGCTGTTTCATTTGCTGACTGCCTGCCCCACGCACCACCCTGCAAATTGCCACATGGCTGGCTAGTTCCCGTTCCAGGTCTTGCCTTAAATGTCATGTTTTCAGTGAGGTAGTCCCTGAGCATCCTATGTGAAATTGCATCACCCCTTCAACGCTCCTTACCCTCTTCTTGGTCTGCTTTATTCTCCAAAGCACGTGTAACTCTCTGACATACTCTGAATTTTACTCTTTTATCTTACTCATTGTCTGAGTTCTTCAATTAGAGTGTGACCGCTACAGGGGCGGGGCTTTTTGTCTGTTTTGTTCACTACCAAATGTGTCTATAACAGACCCTGGCGTATAGTAAGCAGTCGGGAAATACCTGATAAATAAATGAATGGAATAAGGGAATGGATAAAATTCTTACTGGTGCTAGACAAGATATAGTTTACATACGATACATCTCTAATAGTGTAAATTAAGTATATTAAATATTCTGTCAATTAATGTAATATTATTAAATATATTTAATAGTAATATTTAAACATTTCTTAAAAGTATATGACTTTGAAAAGAATACTGGACTGAAATTTAAAGAGTTGGGGTCAGTTCCGGAATCTTCAAAACAGATTCAACAGGGAAGAAGCATTTAATTTCCCTGCCTCGGTATCTACACTTGTGAAATGAGTATGATACTCTCTGTGTACCTCACGGGATTATCATGAGAATCAAATAACATATTGAATGTGGAAGTGTAAAAATGCAAAGGTAAATCACACGTATCCTCAAATCTCTGCCATGATAGAACGGTGGTATTAATGGTTAGTTATCATGTAATGAAGGAATTCAGAAAGTGCTCTTACTTATCCTCGTGGTGATAGCGACACACAGTATGACAAGAGCGCCGACTACTCTGTGGGACTTAATTGTCATGAGGTACCGTGCGGTTCTCTGAGAAACTTATCCTATGAAACCTGAGTGTCATTCGGGAGCTTATCAGCAGTGCTTCTTGAGGGGAAAGGAGAGCAGAGCAGCAGAGCCTGGCGATGTCATGGAATATTCCTTCCTTTCTTCCATTCCCCGAGCTCTGTGCTGTTGCATTTCTGGCTGCGTATTATTGACAGAGGAAATGCTGATTCATGGGTCTGAGTTATAGGAAACCTTGTTTCCTGGTGGAGAAACAAGCCCGGTGGTGCTGCCAGCATCCTCCTCTGCCAGTTTCTGCCACATGGCCCTGCTTCTGGGCCTGCACCCAGGCGGGCTGTGAAGCAGTAAGGCCAACTCAAGCGCGACCAATGAGGTCACTTTCCCTGGTGAACTGAACTAAGCTGAGACTCCTCTAGGGCCTCTGGAGGCTCTTCAGCTCTGATCTCACGATACCTTTCCAGCCCATCTCCAGCTGCTCCCTCTGGCTCCCCATGCTGCTGTCATACATGGCTACTCCCAGTTCTTTGTGAACACCTTGTATTTTCCAGTCTCTATGCCCTGGCTCATGGTGTTCCCTGCCTGGAATGGCCCCTGACCAAGTGTCGGCTCATTGAAATCCTACCCATGCTTCAACTCTGCTAAATTGCTTCTCGCTATGTGAAGCCTGCTAGATTTCCTTGTATTTTTTCCTTTCTTCCTTTCTTGCTTTTTTTTTTTGTAGGGGATTTTCAAATATACACATAAATAGACAGAATTATCTGATGAACTTCCATGTACCCTCGCCCAGCTTCAACAATTCTGATTCTTCTTGAACAGCACTTGTTCTTTCCTTCTTTGAGCTTCCTCAGCAGCTCTCATGTTCTGTGCATAACCCATAATTGCTGAATTGAGTGGGAAGAAGGTGACTCTGTGGATTTAGGGCGCTCCTTTTAGCCACCCCCCACAATAAGGAAACTGAGGCCCAGAGAAGTGAAGTGAGTTGCCCGATGTTATAAGACAGGTGGTGGCAAATTGAGATCAGATTCTTTTGAAGGGCCTCACAATCTAATTAGAAAGCATGGATAACATACTTATAACATGTATATGTTAGCAGATCTCAAGTACTACAGGGGCTCAAGTTATTAGTAAGTGTGTGTTGAATGAATAAATTAAACTTCCATTCAATTGATTAATGAGATGACCTCTTAAGCTTGGCACTGAGTAGTCCACTGGTCCTCTCCATTCTATCATCTGACATCAACATGCTGAAGGAGATTCCTGACTTCTGTGGAGAAAAATCCTATACAATTATAATGGCCAGTATGAGTTAGTGAGAAGTTTAAACTGGTAAATATTCAAAAATAAATTTTGTTTTCTTACTACATGGAGTAGAGAGTAGGCATTTTGTATCTGAAGAACCTAAATACTCAGAGTTAATTCTTACTGGAAAGGTAAGAATATAAATTAAGGGAGTCTGAAGTTCTGTGGCTTGAAGCACTTGTACATTTGATGACTTGGGAAAAAGACATAAAAAGTATGGCAAGATAAAGCAAGACATAAAAAGCCAGTCCTGGGATAATGGCAATTTTTCATCTTGATCCAGACCTATCTCAAACCTGGATCTTAGAAGTACGGCAAGGGGTCATTTGGATGTCCAGCCTGAGGTGCCCTGACTTTACTCTGTAGCCATGGGAACACAGATCCGGTCATCAGGCAAGCACCAAAGCTGTTGCCAGTGGGACAGGGTGGTGGATAGAAAATGTGTGTGACTTTTCTTCATAAAAGTGAGTTAAGACACAATTTGAGATTCTTTTTTTTTTTTTTTTTTTTTTTTTGAGACAGAGTCTCGCTCTGTCGCCCAGGCTGGAGTGCAGTGGCGCAATCTCAGCTCATTGCAAGCTCCGCCTCTTGGGTTCACGCCATTCTTCTGCCTCAGCCTCCCCAGTAGCTGGGACTACAGGTGCCCGCCACCATGCCCGGCTAATTTTTTGTATTTTTAGTAGAGAAGGGGTTTCACCGTGTTAGCCAGGCTGTTCTCAATCTCCTGACCTCGTGATCGGCCCAAAAAAGATGGCCTGAATCAGAGTCTTTCTGCAGGTTATGCAGAAGCAGCGCGTAATCACTGTATGCCTTGGCAGGTGTCGCACCCAGGCATCCACCAGGCATTCTGACAGCTCTGTCCCATGAGCTCATCTGAAGGATGGTGGTGGTCACCTCAATGCCTAGGTCACAGGGTGGTTCTGAGGTTCACCAAAGTAAAGGATGAGAGAATGATTTGTAACCTGCGAAGTGCCTCGTTAAGGTCCTGACAGCTTCATATCTGCTGTTCTTATTAGGGATAGCTAGTGGTACCTGCCAACATCAGAGACATTGCCCTGAAGGCGAGAGAGGATACAAAGAGGAGTTCTTAGAACTAGGGGTTGCATTTCCCATTTTAGTGTGGGCCAGAGACCCGGGTAAGGAGAGCACTGGGGACATTCCTGGAACTTTTGTCCCTTCCCTACACTCATCACTTTCTGTTGGTATCCCTGTGCAGATGATCATAAAATGTATCAAAATAAAACTTGCCCTAGGTGCCAGTTTTAGGGGCAGCAAGTTGAAGGGTGGGTACTTGCGAGGACATGGGGTGGTGAGAAGTGTTTTGCATTCTGTAGGCAGCCTGCAATTATGAAGAGAGAAAAATGGGTAGAATTTTAAACTTTGTGGGGGAAAAAGAGGATTTTAGGAGTACAGGGCAGAAGGATGGAATGTGCCCCTGAATTGGGCTGGTGGGGAGTCCTTTCATGTACAGGAAGGAATAAAATACTGCTAAAAGGAGATTTATGACATTCACTACAGTCAGATAGGATAGTAGATGACAGTTTGCTCTCTAAAATCCGTAAGGACACATTTCCTCCTAGGGAAAAGTATCCTTCCTCCCACCGCACCTGGCACAGGCATACACATCTATTTATTTCCTTAATAAAGTATTTCTTCAAGGAGATTAGATAGGTAAGTGCGTCCTAGCACTAAGTAACCATTACTCATCCCAAATGTGGTCTTCAGTACAATAAACCTTAATTAAACACCATAAAGGGACAGGATACTTGTTCAGGCCTCTAGGGGACACAAATTGGAACAGAACTTGAGCCCTCAACATGTCTATAGCTTAGCAAACTCATGTGGCTCAGAGCCTTCACAACAAAGCAGGAAAGGCAAGGCCTCCCTTTTCACCTACAAAGGATTCATCTTCTTCTATACCCTCTTTGTTACAGGACAGTAATGCTTCCAAGCTAGAGGCATTCAAGGAGTGGCCCAGAGAACATGTCATTCAGGGCCTGGAAGATTTCCATCAGCATTCAGGTAAAGGCCTTGGCCCCTGGAGCCTGTCTCACCAGGAGGGAGCCCGGCAGGAAAAAAACAGTTGGGTTGTACTGAGCTGATCTCATTAGTGCTAGGGTTAATCCTGAGGTTAATGTATATTCGTTAGATTTTTTTTGTTTGTTTCCTGGTGAAATATTTCCATCCCTAAGCTGAGTTACTCTGTAAACTTCGGCATGGATTTAGCTGCATTCTCACTGAAATGCAGTGCCAGTCAGTGTACAAAAAAAAGCCCTAAGATCTTCCTTTAAAAGGGCTATATTTGAGTGTTCAGGTCAGATAATAAGGCCCAGAGAAGGTACAGAAGAAATGAAGAGTCTGCACTTATGTGCCTGTAAATGTTTAACAAATGGCTCTGTGGGGTGAAGGGGAAGCCCTGTTTGTAGTATTTGCTGATTTCTGCTGTGTAAATACTCCCACTGTGCCTGATTTCAAGCTACCAATACGATGCTCACTGAATGTGGAGCTAGGAAGAGATGCCAGGGTCAGCTCTTGTGAGCTGGTACCTGTTGGCTCCCGTACACCGCTAGCCAGCAGTCAGAACAGACACAACGAGAACACACTTGGAGGAGAGGAGGAGTTGGAACTCAGATGAGGAGGTTAGGTAGGTGTGATGGTGAATGTGGGAGTGTCAGCAGCACACGAAGATAAGCAAGAGGTGGACAGGCTGAGCGGCAGCCAGCATCAAGCCAGCCATAATAAATGGTCATCCTAAGAAAGACAGCTACTATTCACTGAGCAATGCTATGTGTCAAGAATTCAGTCTGCTTTGTGATGTATTCTCACAGTATCTCTGCAAGGGTAATTTTATTCCTATTTAACAAATGAGGAAATTGAGGCCTAGAGAGATAAAGCAACTAGTCATGTAAGAAGTGGTTAGGTAAGAGTGCAAACCTGCTGTTTGTTTCCACTCTACCATCAAGCTAGGGGGAGGCTGGGAATAAGTCCTGTTCCTAGACAGGCAGGCTATGGAGCTGTTGGTGGTAGACTTTAATTCCAACAGTTTTGTAGGAATGAGGACCCTGGGTGGATTATGAAATCAGAGATAAGATGAGTCACTGGACCCAGGGTGCAAGGTCAGAAAGGGACAAACTTGATGCTGGGTCACCTGACTGCTAAATGTCCTCTCACTGAAGACAATAAAAGCCCTCAATCCTGGAGTGGAGCAGAGAATTAAGTTGAGAACTCTTGCAGTGTCAACCACGCAAGGTATCAGTGACCAAGTCCTTGTGGATGCAGTTGGGACTTCTGAGGAAATACCCTATATAGGATAACTATGGATATCTATGTTTTATATCAATAGGGGTCTACAGTCCTACAGAGCTGTAATACAGCCTACGGAAACGAGTTTGAAAATGGAAAACTATGCTGAATAAACTGCTTATGACCCAACATCATTCCAAAGCAGAGTTGAGACTATGGTATAGCCGTGCACAGTGTAAGGCATGAAGGTTGGACGAGGATCCAGGTGAGTTAGGTAATGGAAGAGGGATGTGACAAAGCGTGCAGAACCGAAAGCCTCAGGATGAGATGAAGAAGGAGTGAAGGAAGCCTGGGAATTATATTAAAGAAAACTAGAGGAAAACCACCTTTCAGGTAGAGGGTCAAGAAGGCCCAGGACTAAGAAGAGCCTGAAAGGTCTCCAGGGAATGTGACACTGGTGCAAAAGGGAAATGGAGTAATAATAAGTGGCTGATAAATCAGATTAAACTTTGCTGGTATTTGCTATCTGTAGATAGCTTATGTTCCTGAAGTTCCTTTCCTGAGTAGCAGAGTTTAATGGTGTCTCTTAACTGTCAGTATTCTGTGTGAGCATTGAGAGTTGAAAGATAGAATTACAGTGACACAAGGTGGGGAATTTATTATTCAAAGAAAAACCAGATTGAAGTGGGATGTTGTGGTTGTAGATGCCCTGTCTATGAAGGACAAATCTCCCTTTTCATTCTGGAGTGCAGTAGCCAAAATCTGTGCCATTACATGAGTGAGCCCTTTACTACAACAACCTTATGAGATAAGGTCTCCTATTCTTCCCATTTTAAATTACAGAGAAGGAAAGTTTACCCTGCTAAGAAATGGCAGAATTAGGATTTGAACCTCATATACCCTTTAGAACCTGAACCTATATTATTAGGGCAAACCATATAAAATTTTCTGGGTTTTTTAGTATTTTATATTGGATGTCGGTAATTCCCAATCACATTATTTTGACCCTCAGTGTACTGAGAATACCATAGAAGTAAACAGATTTTGCTGTTTCAAGAAGCAGAATAGTCAGTTTCAGCTGCAACACAGTGTCTTGTCTTTTGTCACTTGTGATGCTAGTGGTGGGAATAGAACTTTTTAAGGAGCAGAGAGGATAAACTTGTGAGATTTTCAAGCATGTGGAAGTGACTTGAATGGATTCCCTTTAGGCAATGGACACCTGGATAGAGATCCAGGAAGAGACCACCCAGACGGTGAGCTACTTGAAGAGCCAGCATGGTTTCTGGCAGACAGTGTTGGTTAATAAACAGTGAACACTGAACGTGTATGCCTGTGTCAGATTTCACACTGAGATGACATAGTAATATGGCTCTCCCCTGGTGTGTACATTCACTACTCACCAACTCAACATCTTGGCACAAGGTTGAAAGTTTGGACCAGAGCAAATTTTGGCAGAGCAAATGGTGTTGGGGTGGAAAAGTCAGCGTTTGCTCAGATTGTTCTTGCACTGTCCAAGCCAGGTGGCTTCAGGAACATTGTTCATACTTCCTAAGTCTTCTGTTAAGTGAGCAGGCTTATTCTTTCCAAAGTTCTCTCTAGATGGTTGGGAGGCTGTTAACAGCTTAGAGAAAGTCTTTGTGAGCAAAAAAAAGCAAAAAACAAAAAAACAAAACAAAACCCCACAAAACCAAAAACATTATTTGAGGTGGGGTATAAAATGTTTAATCTTGTCGGAAAAATAGGGAAGCAACATGGTGGCTAGTCTGGAATTTCTGAAAGGCTCACCATTAGGGAGATAGACAGTACGTGGGTCAAAAGGGAGAGTGAGAAAGCACTTCTGACACTTCACGCAAACCTGGCCCCATGCCTGAATGTCTATGGAAGCCACCTCCCTACTGCCTCTGCACTTTGACTCAGTACCTTCACCTGCTGCAGAGGGTGATTAGCAGCAAGGTCTACCACCACAGCTGTGGGCTTCCTGCTCCAGCCTGCCCTTGGGGCCTCCATCACCTCATTTCTTCTGGCCTCCTCCCCGTTCCCCATTTTGGAACAACTGTACATAATCCCCTCTCCCCTGCCTTCCCCCTCCCCAAACACCCCCACCTGCCCCTTCTGGCTCTGTGCCAGCAGCTGGCTGGTAAGCAGTGCCAAATCAAACAGATGTGTGTGGTATTGACCAGCACGTGTTACCAGGCTCCCTGTCCAGCCCCGTGCCTGATCAGGGCTCTCTCTCAACTGGCCGACACCAGAAACCCCCTCTCAGGGGCACTGCAGGGCCTGGAACAGAGAAATGGCGAGATGCTATTGCCTTCTGGACATCTTAGTCTCCCTTCTCCTCACCTTGCAATTCTTTTTATTTCTTTCAGTTCAGCACCTCTTCCCCTGACTTGTTTACTTGTCTTTTTTATTTACTTATTTTTAACTCTTCCTCATTAATCAAGCTCCTGAACATTTAAAGAATTACAGTTTAAAAAGGCAAAACAGGGTCTTTAAAACAAGCTTTAAAATTCAAGTTCTCTTAGATTTATAAAAGACATCACAATAGGCCAGAACCAGCCAGAAGAATAATAGCAGCTGGTCTTCTTCACCGCAGCTCGCCCAAGCCCAGGATCTTTAAGATGTCACTTCCTTCCTTCCTTTCTTAGTGGCATGCAAAATTCATGGTAATTCTCAGAAGTAGGTAGTCTTGCAAGCAAATGGCTTTGATTCTCTGTACAATTGGCTAATTCTACTCACTCCCACCTACCTGTCTGAGCGAGGATGACTTGAGAACAGCAGCAATTAACCCAAGAGAGCCCTGTGACAGATCAAAGCTCTCTGGAGCACTGAAATCTCATTGAAAATAAAATTATCGAGTCTAGCCTAATGATACAAATATTGTTCGGGTTTTAGAGTATATATATTAAACATAAGAAGTGAAACAGCTTGCATTCTTCATAGCTGCTACCTAAGAAACAATCCTCCCAACAATGAAAAGCAACAATATTTTAGTGATTCATACTAAAGATGATGATTTTTCCAAAATAATGGCCTTAAATGTTGATAATCAACAGTGCCTACCTGAATTCCACAGACATGCATGATTTTGGCATTTTTCAGTTGAATTGAAAATGCAAGATTACTGAATTTGGCCTTGTCTACGCTTCTGAATATTACTTAAGAGATCATCAACATGTAAGAAATATTAAATTATAATAATATGTTTCCTATTTTGATTTTGCCCTGATGTCCAGAATGCTCACTTGAATTTGATTCTCAATTCGATAATTACATTAGTCTTTGCCACATCTTTTTGCTTTAATCTAAATATCTAGTTCCTTTTTTTAAAAAAACCCAGGGTATAACTTCTTTTATGTTATAAATTGTCCAAAATTCTTTTTGGAAAAAGAGATGATATAATAAAAAAGAGAATTCAATAAAAATGACATCTAATAACAATGATGAGGATAATTCATGACACTTCACTTTCTACCTTTAATTAGTTATTTATGTACTTGTTGGAAGGCCCTCATTAGACTGCAAATTCCCTGAGGACAGAGCCAGGCCTGCTATGTCTCTGCATCTCCCATGGGGTGGGTGTTTAGTAAGATTCTGTTGGATAAATACAACCTTAGGATTAATTTTAGGGGAAATAAAATGAGGTTGTCCTTCTCCTTTCTTTTCCATGTGTTTCTCTTTCTTGTCTTTTTTCAGGGAAGACTATTGATATAATGTTTTACAGTCAGAGCAGAGCTGAGTTATATGGGGCTGCTTTTATATTGCTGGGTGAGATGTTACTTTCTCCTCTTTCCCCTTTGAAGCCCATTGTAAATTTTTTTCTTCCTCTACATTGTTCTCTCCCTCTTCCTGCATAATAGTCAGTAATGTTCTCCTACATAAATAATAACCACTTACATTTACATAAGCATCGGTAACACTGGCACATTCTTTCCAAAAAGGATTTGAGATGAGCGTCTTGGAGGATTTTTCCATTTTACAATGCACTCTCAGATGCTATAGCTGTTGTTGTTAACTAATAATTTATAGTGTACTTACCATGTGCCAGGCACTAGGCAAGGGCGTCTTGTACACTATCTCATTTAGTCCTCACAGTAATCCTATGGGGGAGCTACTGACATTGTCTGCATTTTCAATGCAAAGAAACGGTGAGGGCGTGGAACTTGCACATGTTCACACAGCCAGGATGGGGCAGGAATGGGATTTGAACCCTGGCCTCTGGCTACAAAACTGAGGCTCCTAACCTCTGAATCATGTTATCCCTTTGGGTCATTACTTCAACCCAGTGAAATAGGCAGAGGGGAGGAATGAGGATGAAAGTAGAGGAACAGCGTTTTCTGAGTGTCTATCAATGTCCAGGACATTATGCTTTCCTTACAATATCTCCTTTGGCCCCTCAGACATCCCACAAGGTAGACATCAATACCGTTAGCGCAAATGAAGAGACAGAAACTGTCTTAGTTAACTTGCTAGGCACTCAGATGAGAAGGCAGGGTTTTATCCCAGGTCTATTTGGTTCTAAAGTTCATATTTTTTTTTCCGTTGTACACGTGGAGAAACCGGCCCAAGTTTACACAGCAGGTTATCAAAAACAACACCAAATCTGGTCTTTTAACCGCCCTTTGAGGGTTCTGGTGTCCTACTGGGGTCAAAATGTGCAGTGCCTGGCTACTGAGTGTCCTTCCCTATGTAACCCTGTGGGGCAGAAGGAGCACTTTAGTATGAGTTGACAAAGAGAAATGCCATTGAATTTTCATCTCATTCAGAGCAGAGAGAGAGAATAGCTTTGGGAACCAGGCTAGTTTGAAACAAGGGCTCCTGAAGCTAATTAAAAGCTAGTCTGGAGCTGTGCTTTTCATTCCTTAAGAATGTTCGACCTCATTAAATAGGAAAAAGCATGTAGAATTTTCTGATTTTTTTCTAGGTTCTGCAGGGGATGGGGATGCTGAGTAAGTGAGACACGTTTCTACAGCTTCTAGCCTGCCCAGTGCCTGCAATGACATCGCTGTTGCTGATGAAGACTTACTGTTCTCAAGTGCTTATCACACTGGGAGGATGGCAACTGGGCAAAGCAGACACAGAAGGACATCATGCTGCTGACTCGTGGCTTCAGACTCTCAGTCTCCTGTATTCCTTCCTCCTGCAATTGCAGGGGGTGCACAAAACATTTGCAGGCATGAACGCAGTGAAGCAAATAGTTGTTCTTAGGAACAATTTCCCTTGGAGTCTTTCACAGACACCTGGAGCAAACTGGTGCTCAGGGGCACAAGGTTCCAGCTAAAAGAAACAGAAAAGTTCACAGGCTTTCCATATGTCCTCTGGAAAAAAACAGAAAGCCTCAAAGATTGTTCTAATGTTTGGACTTCAAGTTCACAGGAGTCAGCTGTAACTCAGAGGCCGTGTGCTCAAGCCATGAAGATGCCTGGAATTGAGAAGACAAGAGATCAGGTTGGCAGAGTCTTATACTGGATATCTTGTAGTTTTGATTTAGGAAACCATTTATGGAGCACCCACTGGGTACCAAACACTGTGCTAGCAGATTTGAGTATATCATATCTAATCCTTCCAAAGACTCCACAAAGTAAGTGTTCTTTTCAATTTACAGGTAAGGAAACAGGAACACCAGCTACAACCCTCATCTTCATGGCTTTTGGCCCTTGCTCAGTTAGTAGAGTACAGCCTGAGGAATCTTGGTTTTGCAAGGTGTTAGAACTGAAAGGGATATTAGAGCTCATGTCTACCTTTTGAGGATAATGGTGAAAAGAGATCCAAAGCCAGAAATGTAAATTAATTTGCCCAGGGACACAGAGCAGAGCTGACACATCCACTCAGGCCTCTGGTCCTGCATGTGGACCAGTCTTTTCTTCTCCATGTAACAGCAGGAGAGCAAAGAGATTAAAATGCCATCTGGGGTGGATGGAACAAATGTCAAGGCCTGCCCTGGCTCTCTCTCTAAGCAATGATTACCACAGACATGGCGGTTTTCAAAGGGCTTCTCACTTAATCTGCTCACCATTCCTTAAAAACGAGGAAAGGGGAACCTTTGAAGTTATGGAAGATAAAGTGACTTGCCAATGTACAATGATAAAAATGTGCATCTATGTCTATAAAATATGTTAAGCTCTTTAGAAGAAAGGTGAAGGAAGAGAGCAAATTGTTTTGGCATTTTCTTATTTCCATCATCTTGTGATCTAAGTTGTCTGACACTGCTAAATCATCCTTTCAAAATAGTGACACTTGTTTCTCTCCCTCTTTGATTTTTCTCCAAACTGCTTGGGGTTCCAGAGGACAGCTCTTCTAGAAATGTCCCTGTCTTATCTCACAAGGCCTGCAGGAAGTGTATAGTCTACAATCCCAGCCATGACATAAACACCAGTCTTTCTGAACCACATGCAGCATTGCCCAGCTCTGGCATATCGGAAATGAGAAATGGCTATATGTTCTGGGGTATGACTGCAGCACTGTGTGCAGGGTGCTTACCAAGCATTAGGGCCGAAAGGGGTTGAAGACTCCTTCAAACTCTTGTTTTCTGAATCAATTTTTACCTGTTTTTCTTCTGACCCGTCCTGATAAATTTTCAGATAGCAAACCTTTTGGTATAGTGACAGTCAAAGTCATTTGCAAAGCATAGAATAAGTGGTTTAGATGCTTAGGTATATTTTTCACTTTGAATGTTCATTCTGAGCCAGTTTTGTTTATGTATTAAAATAATAAAATAAAGGATTAAAGCCATGTTTCTAAGTTGAATGAAAAATAAGATCTATGCATATTTAAGGGTGTCTCCAAGCTACCCTTAGTCATGCTCCCTACACTTCAGCCACTGGATGCCTTGCTGACTCCTGAATAAAGCATGTTAATTCCCACTTAAAATACTGCTAATAACTTCTTCAGTTTGATATCAGTGCTTTACACTCTTACCATAAAGAATTCTAAGCTGGGCATTTCCTGAATTGAGTTAAACCTATCATGTTCATGATCTCACTTATCCCTCAAAGGGACTTATAAAATAGATAGGGAAGAAATGTTTACTTCCATCTTGCAGATGAAGATACTGAGGCTCAGATGAAATGGCCACCAGCTCAGGGTCACATGATATTCTAGATAGAAGAACAATGGGTCTCCTGAATTCCAGTCTAGAATTCCTTTCTCTATATTGCTGGGATTCGTGCTTAACTCTCCCAGATTTGGATTGTATGTTTGGTCACTGATACTTCCTGTCAACATAAGTGAAAGCACCTGGTTGCTTCTTGCAGGGGTAATGACCACATAACCCCTGCATCCCTGCACTTCCCCACCTTGATTCATGCTGTTCCCTCTGCTGGGAATTCTCTCTTCTCTCCTCTGAATGGTCAACTCCTCCTAATTCAATTTTAGGCCAACTGAAATCACACCTACTCTTTGATTAATTTTCTTTTGTGTGTTGCCATAGTGCTGTGCATGCTTCTGTTACAGCACATCAGTGGGCACCAAGCTGTAGCCAGGTGTCTCTCATGAAGTCACAGAAGGGAGGGAATTCAGTGACAAGCTAGAGGAAATGCTTGTTGAGATCCAGGAACAGTCTTTGTTTTTATATTTTTATCACTTACCACAGTGCCTGGAATATAGTAGATATTTTTTGACTAAAAGTTGCTCAGGGCCTGAAAATTAGGCTGCTCCTGAAAAGAAATGAGATGGCAGACAAGGAGTTATATAATAAAAATGGAAACTAGGATCTTAGGCTTCAGGTTTCAGAGTGGATGTCTTGAGGCATTGGATAACTTCCTACAGTTCTGTGAATCATGAGATGGTTATGAACTCTTTGGAGCTGAAGGGACTCTTCGATCCTTTTTGTAAGATGGGTCTACCGGCATTTCCTGTTCTGAGAGAGCATGAGGTCCCTCAACTAATGCCTTGAGAATTGAATGTTGGTTTGCCACTTACTGTTGCCTTAGCCCCGATTTTTCCTTTAACAAAGTGTCAAAAAGAACTTTAGATGGAGAAAATGAATTGAGTGAGGGAAAAAGTCCATGAGTCCCAGAACAACCTCCAGTTTGGTAATGATTTATCCTATTCTATTGTTAATTTTGCAATTAAGCAAGAGTACTTTACATGCCTGAATGACCCATGGATTGTATCTTAATCAAATTAATGTGTCTGCAACATAAGACTGATTCAGTCTTCAACTATTAGAATGACAAATGATGCAAAAACCTCAATTTTTTTTCTCTCCTTTCTCTCTCTTCTCCCCACAAAACCCTCTATCATGAAAGGTCAACTGACTGAAAGTCTGTTGCTTTGATGGCTAACATGAGATCCTATTGGTTAAAAAGTAAGAAGGCTGGCTACCGCCCCTCACTCCACTTCAAACCAACTGTATGTGTATGTGTGACTGACTATGTTTGTAAGTTTGGATTAAAAAAATTGTGGTTAATTCTTCTTGTTGTGTACTTCCTGCCACTGACATTTGTTGCTGTTGCTGTGTAGTGAGGTTGAGGCTGGGTGGGAGAATCAGATACAAATGACCTATATATTTATTCCCCAATTTTGACTACCCCTCTCAACCACTATTCTTGGAAAACCTGGAAAGTAGAAAACGATGGCCAGGAATGCCAGCTAGAAATTGCATTGCCCTGAACCAACCCCCATGACTTTGGGTCATCTTAGTTGATAAGACATTTGAAAAAATATGACTCTGCTTAATAAAATGGCATACTGTTTTTTTAGATTATAAATCACAAGTAATGATTTTTTTTAGAAACAGGCCTTTGTGGTTTGAGTTATGGTAACTGGGATTTAAACCTCCCTAGACTCTATTCAATCATCTTTTACAGTAACTTCAGTAAATAGTCTCTCACCCTTGTCCAATCCATTTCCACAATTAGTGGGATACATTTTTTAAAATGTTAATTAGATCACAACTCTTCCCTGTTTAAAACTCTTTGATGGGCCGGGCTCAGTGGCTCATGTGTATAATCCCAGCACTTTGGGAGGCCGAGGTGGGTGGATCACAAGATCAAGAGATCGAGACCATCCTGGCCAACATGGTGAAACCCCGTCTCTACTAAAAATACAAAAAAATAAAAAATAAATAAAAAATTAGCCAGGTGTGGTGGCTGGCGCCTGTAGTCCCAGCTACTTGGGAGGCTGAGGCAGAAGAATCACTTGAACCTGGGAGGCGGAGGTTGCAGTGAGCCGAGATAGCACCACTGCACTCCAGCCTGGTGACAAGAGCGAAACTCCTTCTCAAAAAAACAAAACAAACAAACAAACAAACAAAAACTCTTCCATGGCTTCTCACTGTACTTAGAATCAAGTTCAAAGTTCTTGCCATGGCTTAGAAGGTCACATAGTCTGCCCTTGCCTTTCCCCTTGACCCCCTCTTTTGTCCTTCCTCTTCTATACTGGCCACCCACTTTCCAGTCTTGGGGCCTTCAGGCTGGTCTTGATGCCTGCTTGCCTCTCGCTTTTTTTTTCTGGCTCACAGCATAAGGATCACTCCTTCAGAAAGGACGGATCGGACCCACCATGTAGGTTATGCCATCCCTTCTGTTATGTTTCTTTACACTATCGTATACTTTTTCTCTCATCACAAATCATAATTTGTGATTTTAGATATATTTCTGTGCTTATTTTTTATTTTATGACTGTTCGCTCAGTAGCCAATAAGCTTTATGCCTGCTTTGTTTGCCTTGGTATCCAGTTCTGGGTATATAGGAGGAGCTTAATGAATATTTATTGAAAGAAAGAATGGGCAACCCATTGACTTTCATAATACTTAAAATTCCTCAGCCATAATATGGAAATAGTCTTGTCATCATTATTCTACAGCTAGCTATGGAATTCATTCTGGTATTTGTTTCACACTGAACTTTGAGATGTTAGGATATCAATTGACTATGGAAGAAACATGAGACAGATAGTTTTTTGTTTTTTCTTTCTCCACTCCATTCAAAGTTCAGTAGCTCATGCAGTAGGGAGTAGAGACAACCCCTGTTCTTTAACCCATGAAGAACATGAAGGGTAACCACACCATTGTGACATCTCCCTTTCTGTAACCCTGTTAGTTACTGTCTCTGCCATTAACAAGCCAGGTAAATTATGAAGGAACACTTAACACTTTTAAGTCAACAGTTGAAGCCTTATTCCTCACCATCTACCTTTTCTTTAGAAATTTCTTATTGTCTAAATAACCTTGGAGAGATTTAAAAAGATGCTCAAAAGTTGTTAGAGAAGATACTAAGTGCGGAATTCCACTGTTCTCCCAATCCTTTATCAGAAAACTCAAGGCCCAGTCCCTCTGCTTCCTGGGTGGCCTTCTCTTTGCTTATTCCCTCCAAGCCTTGAGATATCAGAGCCCAGAATTTCTCCAGATATGTTCTCTTAGAACCCTAGCTCTGATTTCTTTCTAGCTCAAGAATTTTTTCCAGGGTGGACACAGAAACCTGCAGGGAGGTAAGAATAAAAAGAGTCAAAGGAGCAAAAGAAGCTACAAGTCTTTAGGAAGCCAGTGAGTATCTCTGAACTTTGATTTATCTGTAAAATCAAAGTTTAGTATATTGACCATATCAGGGCATTTAAAACTAAACTGAATTACAAATGTCATAGTATTTTTTACAGGGTGACACTCAATGTTCAATAAACATCAACTGGTTATTTCTATCACTTTCAATTCTTCCTGCTCTTCTTTGGCCACTCCAGAACGCATGTGATTCAGCTCAAGATGGGAGAAGAGTATCACTTATAGTTGAACCACCTGGTTGTTAAAGAAATGGATTGAGTTCAGGTCCTCAATTGGTTAGAAGCATTGATCTCACACCAGATTTTCGATCTCAGCTCTGTATGTATGCTAGATTTTAAAATTCCAGTATGTGGAGAGGTTTTAATAATAAGCAAATTCAACCTCCCCCGCTCATTCATAACTAGAAATCTAGTAGACAAAGAGTCTTTGGTTGGAACCATCCCACTGTCTTGTTTGGCATACATGTTCCATCTCTACTTCCCAAGGAAAGAAAACCCTGGAAAGAATGTGAGATTAACAGAAGAGAAACAAAGATGTCACCCAACTACTGGCAAATCCCATCATCAAAATAAAACTTTAAGCTTGCTATGTTGGGTCTAAAAAAATGGTTGGGTTCTCATTCAGGAAGTTTTTTTTTTCTTTTTTTTTCCCCCTCAAAACAGAGGGTCCCTGACCCTCAAGAAGCTAAGTGGATGAAAGATATAGAAAGATACGCATAGAAGATCAAGGATCCGCCTTGGACACTATGATGTTTGCCTGGGAAACATAGCTAGGCTGGTAACACCTTAGATACAGAGTTGGAAGAGTATTTCAGGTAGAGAAGCCAGCATGTGCAAAGGCCTCAGGTGAAAGAGCATGAAGCTGGGTAGAGGACTGAAGGAATTTAGGTTGGGATGGATTAGAGGATGGTAGACGGGGATTAGTCAGAGAGGGTGGCAGGAGCCAGCACATGAACATCTGGGAAGCTACATAAAAGGATTAGGCTCCACCTTGGAACTAAAAAGTGTTTTGATCAAGAAGCGATCACAATCAGCAATGCTGAGTGCTGGGTGTGACATGTCTAGATGAAAGAGAGGAAGGTGACCTGGACTCAGGCTGTGGCGATGGAGAAGGAGAAAGGAAAAGAGATCAGGAGAGTTTTAGATGGAACATTAATGGGACTTGGCAATGGGTTGGATAGGGCATGCTTGAGGAGGAGGAAGCTGTTGAGGATGATAACTCAAGAGTTTTGTGGGGGTACTGAGTACCATTCAGGGAGAAGGGAACACCGGGCAAGAAGCAGGTGTTGGCAGACAGGTGGTGTGTTTAGTGTGTGAGCCAGGTTGGGAGGTCTAGTTAGTAGACTAGTAGTAGTAGTAATAGTTAGTATTCTAGTAATAGTAGTAGTAGTTATAGTAGTAGTAGTAGTTAGTAGTTTAGTAGTAGAGAGATAAGGTGGAGATAAAGATTTGGGTGTTATCAGCATACAGATAATAGTTTTTCAAATTATTCTTCAGGTACAACCTATACCAGACCCACCTGCAGTACTCAATAAACATGGATATTACTTGGGGAGGATGGGATAATGGCTAAAGAGTTGTTAAAAGTTTTACCTGTGAAATGAGCATAGGAAATATAAATTTGAACATTCTCTCAAAGTAATGGCCACCTAAGTAATGGTGTCTGAATATTCCTGACGTAGAGTGATGGCAAAACACTGCTGGAGAAGTAGGAAGTTCTCCTTTTATTTCATCTTTTCTCCCCCTTTTTTTTTCTTGTTATCCATTCCACACCCTTTGCCTCCAGCATACACTAATTCTGTTTGTTTTGTTTCTTGGGAGGAATGGTAAAAATGAGGCCCAGCCCCGTTCTTTTTTCTTTCATGTTTTCTTCTTCTTTTTTTAGTCTAATTCGGGACAAAAAAAGCTTTCATCGAAAGAGCAGATGTCATATGCTTTGGTCTTTTGTGGTGGTTTTATTTTATTTTATTAAAAAAAAATCCTCCTGCAGATGAGGCTCATTTAAACATAATGAGGAGGCAACAAAGGCGTCGCACAGAGGAGCTTCAGATTCGGTTTGACTCAGGGGAGGGAGAACAAACAAGGAGATGTCCTGTCCATTTGGCTTTCCTCTATAGGGCCCAGAGCAGCTGCATTTCAGATGCAAATGGGAGATGCAGGAGGTGGGGAGGGGGAGGGTGTGGAAATGCCCAGGAAGCTGGTGTGCAGGTGTTAAGGATTCCAGGCATCGCTGCAACAACAGGCTCTGAAAACACAGAGCTCCCAGACAGAGCGGGCTTGAGAGTGCTTGCTTGGAGGGCTCAAGTGGACCCGCAGCTGCACTGGACATTCCTTTTTGTGGTCATCAATGGGCCCTGTATTGAAAATATGAAAGTGAGCAACTGGCACGTTCAGAGAAAGGAAACGCTTTGGAAATTGAGCAAACGCTAGGCTGAAGGGGCCACCCCTTGGCTGCCCTGATTACTTAAACCCACGTGCATGCATAAAACAGATACTGGATATAGGATACTGTGACTCCTGGGGCTGGAAGGAATCCATGGAATCATCAAACTCTTCTCTCCCATTCTATGGTGAGAAAACATGCTCCAAGGGGCGGAGCGATTTGTCCCAGGTCACACAGAGGGTTAGTGAGACAGAGAACACAAAATGGGCAACAGTGACACTTATTGAGCCCTCTCTGTCCTAGTGACTATTCAATATTATAATTTTTCAAAGTGATTTACCCAGCAGACTTATGAGCTAAGTTTTTTATTTCCATTTTTTAGTATGGGGAAATTGAGGCTTTAGTAAATTTAAAACTTGTTCCCTGAAATACTGTTAGATAGAAGGAATAAGTTCTAGTATTCAATAGTACAGTAGGATAATTACAGTTAGCAATATTTTTTGTATATTTCAAAATAGCTAGGAAAGAAGAGTTATAATGTTCCTAACACAAAGAAAAGATAAATGATGTCGGTGATGACTATTCCAGTTACCCTAACTTGGTCATTACACATTGTACGCATGTATCAAAATATCACAGGTATGCTCAAAATATGTACAACTATTACATATCAGTTTTTGAAACCTTATAAAAATAAAATAATAAAATAATAAAAACATAAATAAAATAAAAATAACAAAAAATAATACAATTTGTCCCAAGTCAAAAAGCTAATAAGTAATAATCAGGATGTGAATCTAGGTGTGTATGTTTTATTCCAAAATTCATGCTTTTTTTTCATTACACTTCATTCCTGACTCATAGGTAGTGTTTTCTTCTCAAACACAAACACACACACACACACACACACGAAAATATTATTGCATATATGTCCATAGTTTCATATTGTACATATGAAAATATTATTTCTCTTTCCATTTGTGTAAAATGTACTAAAATGTATATATATTAAAACCATGAAATATGAAACATTTTCCTTCAGACACAAACATACTACAGCACTGTCTAATACAGCTTTGAAATAGTTACTTATGGTTGGTGATAATCCCTTTCATGTAATATGTATTCAATAACTATTCGATTTTGAATTGTTCCTTTTTATTGGAAAAGGAGCATTTCATTAGAGCCAGAAACTACTGTCCACCAACATTATTATTTCTGTGACTTCCACACATTTGCATTGTGCCTGTGTTTATGAGGTGCATTTGCATGCATTAATTCAATACTTATTGAATTAATTAAGTAATTAGTTGGCAGTACCTATGTAAGAAAAGAGTAAGCAGGGCCACTAGTCCCATCTTATAGATGAGAAAACTGAGGCTCATGGAAACTAATCAATTTTCCCACACAAGGCTGATGGTGAACTCAGGTTGTCTCATGCCAGCATATTGGCAGAAGCTGTTCAGTGAGGACCATGCTGACGATAGAGATCAGAGGGAGAGAGCCATGAGAACACAAGTGCACTTATTTCCCTGCTGAAGGATGCTGTGGTCCAATGTGTAGAACTCCAGATTTGCAGACAGACAACCTGACACCCTGTGGGTGTGTGAGTGTGTGGGTGATGCTGGGAGGTGCGGGGATCACGGAGATTGTGATCTTGGTGAGGTGAGGCTCTGTGGGTGGCTTTCTTTGCACAAATGTGTCACCCTGTGTGCCTGCCTGAGGACTATGACAATGCTCATACGAATGCCTGCAAATGATCACCCATATGGGTGAATGATACCCATGACTGTGCTGGTGATATGGCCAGAGTCCTGGGTTTTTTTGGGTCCTTATGTAGTGCACTGGCTTTCAGTAGTTTTGTGATGTCAACCTGAGCTTCTGAGATCAGCCTTTCTGCAGTGTCAGTGGATCCAGAGTTCCACTCTCTCCTTGGGAAAAAATAACCCAGCAATATCTCCTACTACTTAGAGGGCCAGGAGTGTGACATGTGTATTTGAAGAATGATACAGTATAAAATCTGAGGCTGCTAGGTTTTAAGGCACCTAGATCAGATACATATTTTATAGATGAAAACACTGGAGACCAGAGAAAAAATTGCTTGATTTATTACTTTGTGCCTGTTTTTGATATTTCATGTATTCCACAAACATTTGTTGAGTAGGTATTCTGTGGAAGGACCTGCCTTCAAGGATCTGTCAGTCTAGTGGAGAGAAGCATGCATAAACAAGTCACAATGCCAATCGGTGAGCCAAGTGGACATCTGAGAGGCCCACACAGCAGAGACAGCATTTGAACCCAATCTGGAAAGATATGCAGTCTTGCCCAAGGTGGAGAAGTGTGTCGCTGTGAGAAGGAGTGGCATGTTCAGAGACCCAGGGGTGGGAAGTGTGAGATCTGATAAAAGGACTCTTGAAAGCTGGCTGAAATGTAGGGTGTGTCTCTGTATGTATGAGTTTATGGGGTGGGGTCAGCAAGCAAAGCCAGAAGATGAGGAGGTGCTGGATCATGAAAGGCTTTATACACCAGATGAAGGAGTCTAGACTGTTCCGTAGAAACTGGGAAAACCTTGAAGGATGTTAAGCAGAGGGATAGCAGAATTATAAATTAGTTTTGAACATATCATTCTGTGCACAGTCTAGAAAATGGACTGGGGTGACCCTGCAGGCAGGAAGACTGGTCTAACCTTGCTGCATGTGCAATATTTGGGGATTTCAAAGTGGTGGTGTGGGTGGAAAAGATTGTCTGGAGTCGAGGAGAGAGGCCCAGGTGGCTGTCAGGATTAGAATCCATGCACGCTGATCTCAGTCATACGGGATACTTCTTAAAAAAACACTCCATCAAAAGTGGCATTCAAGTGTGCTCTAGTGCCTGGTCTGAAAGCCTCCAGAGGAGAGAGAATGCTCAGCATTTGTTCTGGAAGACATCCCTGGGTAGGCAGGGAGTTCCCCACGAGATGAGGTGGAGGGAGTCATGGAGAAGCACTCAGGCCCCTGTTCACTTGCACCGTTTCAGAGCCAGGAACCAGCTAGGGCCAACCCCTTTTTATTTTGGAGTCATCCTTCATCAGATATAGTGTTAACTCACTTCCTTTTTAGCCCCTACCCCGTTCCTACCACCACCACCTCCTTGCTTTAGTCACTGGAGCTGAGTCATCCTTCGAGCCTATTCCTGTCTCCCCGCACTGTGTCAGGGTGAAAGGGTTTGAGCATGAGCCACTGGGCATGGACATTCCCATCTGCTGGACAATCTCTGTGACTTCAGGAAAGAAGAGAGAAAAGGAGCTGATGTAGCCTGGGTACCTCCTGTGTGCCACGCCAATGCCAGACTCATCAACATTTATGTCTTGTCACAATTGTCTTAGGCAGTGGTGTTATCCTCAGATGGGGAACATGAGGCTCAGTGAGGTTCAGTCATTTTCCCAAGGCCACACAGACCTGAAGGATTTCAAAGTTTACACTATTTCCAATATATTACTTTGCCTCTTTACATCATCTCTGGGAAAGGATGGCATTTGATTCAACTCACAGTTTAGTACCTACTATGTGCAACACACTGTGCCAGAGGGGTTAATAGAGGGTTCCTGCTGTCAAGGAGCTCAGCATCTCATGATGGAAACCTTTGATCCTTAGATTTATTCACTCAATATTATTTGAGTACTACCTACAGGCAGAGCCCTCTTGGGGGATATGGAGATAAATAACCCAGGATCTCAGCCCTGGCACACAATAGCACTGAGCACAGGATGCTGTGGGAAAACAGAGGAAAGGATATTTAATAGTCTATGAAGAATTCAAGGAAGACATTGCAGAGCTACTTTTAGACTGACATTGAAGAGTGAGTGTTTTGATAGACAAAGAATCTGGGACAGGAAAACCAGCGCTGTAGAAACTACAAGCACACTGAAGGGAAGTACAAGAAACATCAGGTATAAATAGAGAGTGGGAGTGGCTGGCAGATGATGGGTAGTTGTTGAGCAGTTGAAAGAAGCTTTGAAAGCCCCACTCACAAGAGAGGAATTCCTGAAGTCTTGAATAGTTGCTCATTCTTCTGTTGACCCATCAGCTCTTCATTGCATGTTTCCTCTACACTAGGTGCTGGGCAAAGTGTTGAGGTACAGTGGAGGCTAAAAAGTACGAATAGGGCCAGGTGCAATGGCTCACACCTGTAATTTCAGCACTTTGGCAGGCCGAGGCAGGTGGATCACCTGAGGTTGGGAGTTTGAGACCAGCCTGACCAACATGAAGAAATCCTGCCTCTACTAAAAATACAAAAAAAAAAAATTAGCCAGGTGTGGTGGTGCATGCCTGTAATCCCAGCAACTCAGGAGGCTGAGGCAGGAGAATCGCTTGAACCCGGGAGGCGGAGGTTATGGTGAGCCAAGATCACACCATTGTACTCTGGCCTGAACAACAAAAGTAAAACTGTCTCAAAAAAAAAAAAAAAAAAAAATATATATATATATATATATATATGGATAGTCCCCAACATCAAGGTGGTCAAAGACTCATCAGACGGCCACAGTTCAATGGATGCTTGCAAACTGGGATAGTGTTGAGAAGGAAAGACAGATGGTGTGAGAGACCACAGAACAGGAGGAATTGTTTTAGGGGAGTGTTGATGATAAGAAAGGGGTTATTTGAAGAAACTGGGTTTAAGCTGAATCTGAACACTGAATAGGAGTAATTACATCAAGTGTGAGTGTGAGTGTGTGTGTGTGTGAGTGTGTGTGTGTACGCGTTTGTGTGTTGAGAGAGTGGCTGGGGTAGGGGATAGGGACAGGGAATAATACTGCTTCAGAAGGATGCTATTAACAAAGAGAAGACAATTGATATAACAAACATTCTAGTAAAATAACAGCATAGGGTGGCCGGGAAACTGGTGGCACCTTGCCGGGGTCCCTGAATTCAATTATCCAGGCCATGCCTTTGTGTTCATCCTGGGAAACAGCTGCTAAGCCCTGGTCTCAGAGCTTTCACTGACTTCCACTCCTGGATTTTGCTGTGTGACTAGGATGTTTGTTCCTCAGAGTCTTCATCTGTAGAGTGGAATAGAACACACTTACGTGACTTTCAGAATACAGAATCTAATAAAAAGTGACAAGATACAAGTTGTCTATAGACATTCATTCAACAAGTTGGAGTTGATGTTTAGAGTGAGAGAGGAGCTTTGGAGCTTTAATTACACACACACACAAACACACACACACACACACACACACACAAACACACACACACACACACACACACAGAGGCCAGGACTTAATATTGTCAGCCTCTAGTAGACAGATGTGGGTATTCATTTCCATACTCACATATCTCTAAATAAAGAGGTGGGCTCTGAAGAGCTGCAGGGCACTGACACCATCACTGTGCTCCTCGGCATGCTCCTGAAAAGAGAAAACTGTCTTCATTTTCTCTCTCTCTCTCTGTTTTTTTTTTTTTTTTTTTTTTTTTTTTTTTGAGACGGAGTCTTGCTCTGTAACTCCCGGGCTAGAGTGCAGTAGCACGATCTTGGCTCACCACAACCTCTGCCTCCCCGGTACCAGCGATTCTCCTGCCTCAGCCTCCTGAATAGCTGGGATTACAGGCACCTGCCACCATGCCTGGCTAATTTTTGTATTTTTAGTAGAGACAGGGTTTCACCATCTTGACCAGGCTGGTCTCGAACTCCTGACCTCGTGATCCATCAGCCTCAGCCTCCCTAATTGCTGGGATTACAGGCGTGAGCCACCATGCCCGGCCCATTTTTTCTTGATTTGTAGCACCCTTTTTCTTCCTGGGGCTACAAAGGGGTTTCAGTTTGGAGCCAAAGTGCATCAGACACAAGCATTAGTGTGTGAACTGAGACTAGAGTCCAGATTTCCACAGCACTGGACTGCCACTTTCTGGGAGCCAAAGCCCTGGCAGTCTTCCTGTTTGTTGTACAAGAGCCTAAGAATGCTCAGACTCTGTAACCTTCAGAGACAAATGAGAAAACATTTCCATGTTATTTGATAAGTTCCCATCCCTGAGAGCTTGACAGCCTGACAGAATGTCACTGTGCTGTAGGAACAAGTGTCCTGAAGTTGGAGCATAGCATTTTGATTTCTAGCTTTGGTTCTGCCATAGGCTGTGTGACCTTGGACGTGGTCATGTCCACAATCTGAGGCCCTGTTTCCCCATATCTAAAGCAAGGTGGGTGGTACGTGATTTTTGAGTCTTGGTAGCCTTGACATGCTATGCTCCTAGGACATGAAGCTCTCCCAGAAGGACACTGGGTGGCATTTAACCTGGCCTTGACCTACCAGTCGCCTATGTTTATTGTCTGGAAGAGCCTTCTCTCTTTCTTGCTGGTGTTCTGTCACCTAAAACCAAACTACAAACAAGTTTTCTCCACAACACTTTCAGTACCAGCATTTCATAGATAATTTCTAGATAGTTTCAAGATTTTCTGTTGAGAAAGGCCCAGTGGCTCTAAACTGATGTCAAATTATATTTGATGCATAATACAGGCAGTGTAGTGTTCAATCAGTACAGGCTAAGGGAAAGGTGATGAACAGCATGATCAAGAGTAGCTGGGGTGGAGATGGGCAGATGGATTGATTTGGTCCAAACAGCCAATCATTAGAGCTTTCTCTTTTATCTCTACTATCCAATACTCTCCTTCCAAGTTTCTAGCTAAGAACAAACTTGCCTGACAGATAAGTTTGCTTGTGAAGATTAATGTTTTTCTTTTCAAGATATTCACAATGATGTGTGCAAATGTATGTGTGCATATAGCTTATATTCAATACTTTTTTTTTTTTTTAGATGGAGTCTCACTCTGTTGCCCAGGCTGCAGTGCAGTAGCATGATCTCAGCTTACTGCAACCTCCATCCCCTGGGTTCAAGCAATTCTCCTGCCACAGCCTCCTGAGTAGCTGGGATTACAGGTGTGTGCCATCACACCTGGCTAATTATTTGATTTTTTTTAACATCACCTGATTTTGATTACATCTATGATTCCTGCAATTGGTCCAGAGCAGGGAAGGAAAGTGACAAAAACCTTAATACTTAAGAAAGCCTTTTATAGAGGGCTTTTCTGATCTCTCCTCTACTGAAGACTTTTAGAAAATAAGAAAGTAGACATCATCCTCCCAACTTAAATCAAGGCAACCCCAATTCATGTCACTTCCTTGGATGCTCATGATAACTCTGTGAGGTCGGTAGGCCTGGATGAGGAAACAGAGACTCTGAAAGTCACCCAGCTAGCAGGTTGCAGCAGTAGACTCCAACTGCTACCTTAAAAAAAAATATGTAGTTGTGTAAGTCTCAGGAGAGCATGCGCAGTATTAATAGAATTTTGTAGATGAGGAAACAAATCTCCAAAGTGTTCCCTGGTTTGTGCTTTGGCCTGGCTGTGCTGTTGATTGGACAGATTCCCATCACACTGTGGTGCTTCTTTCTGTTCCATTATGAACGTTACCACTCTGGTGAGACAGTTTTACTCACGGCTCACACATCTGTCATTCTCTGTCCCTTTGAAAACCCATTTCATGGTCCAGTAGAGCAGAGTTTCATCCAATAGCACTATTGACTTGGTGGCTTCAAAGTGCAGTGCCCACCCCTGGCTGAGCTTGGGGCAGTAATGTTTAACAGTCTGGTAGTTAAATTAGAAGCAATAATAACACAATAGTCAGGTTTGGTTCTAACACACGAATGAGTCCCAACCCTCTAGCTGTAACTGAAATAAGTAGAAGGGGAGGAATGGATTTGGGATTCTTCTGTAGGATTCCTGATCTGTTCTTCTATGGCCAGACAGAGCAAGAAAACCCATGGGACCACAACACAACCCCATGATTGGAAAAACTTGTGTTTTACAGACCACCTCTCAAGACTCAATGCTGACAGGCTGGAAATAAACTAGAATAATTAATTCTAAAATAGTCACGAAGACAAATCTTCCCTCCAATTCAGTCCAAAGGTCTGGATTGGCTTAATGTCTAGAGTGTGTGCTATTTGACTATTTCTACTAAACATTAATTAAATAATCCATCTAGCTCTGGCCCCCAGAGCTCCAGGGTCCCCAGAAGTGGAATATCCTAACTGGTATCTGTCCCTTTCCAAGTTAGCCCTTGTATGAGTGCCCCGCTGAGATGAGGTAGTGGGCTTTCAGCATTCAGTACCCTCCGATGCTCCAACCAGAGCAGCTTGGTTTGCGGTTCACCTCAGGACAATGCAAACTGAGCTATGCATTTACTGTAATTCTAATCAGATGATTCTATAATTGGAAGAACACCAGTGGCATTCTGTCTTTGGAGTCTTTTCCATTAAGCAATTGAACAAGGGCCAGGGGACCTTTACTTGTCCCAAACGCAGATCGTGATAGAGACTCTGAGATCTGGATACTATGTTCCATTCTATAACAGGATCAAGTTCTTAATTTTTTCTTGGTAAGATCATAAAATGTGTGTAGCAGTCATTTCACCCGTACTTTCAATAAATTCTGACCAACTGCTCTCCTAACAATGAAAAACAAATGAAATGAGCAAAGTGTTTGTGTGTATTTGTGGTGGGGAGTGTGTGTATGTATGCTTGAATATAGTGACTGAATATTTTAGGTAAATATTTCCAAGTCTAGATTATAATCATATATGATAATTGTTGACTAAAGTAATAAGAAAAATAACCTGAATTTCTTAATCTCTCTAGATACCTCAATTAGAAACAGAAAGAAATATTATGGACAAATGCATTGGGGAACTAATTTGCAGTAGGAACTGTGCAAAGTATTGCGTTGCTTTCGGAAATATAGGAATGAATCAGACCTCGATCTTGACTTTGAAGAGCTCATAATTTAAAGAGGGAGATAAATCATGATCATAAAAATCATAATCTAAGATAGAAAGTGCAGGGCCTGTGGCACTGGGATTTAGAGGAAGGAAAGTTTACTCCCTCCTGGGAAGCTCTGGCTTGGCTTTTTGGAGGATACAGACTTTAAAGCATGGGAAGGATTTGGTCCAAGGACAAACAAGGGGAAGGAATAATTGCAGGAGCAAAGGCGAGATGTGAAGTGAGAATGTATAACTGGACAGTGTTGCCTTCACAGGCAGTTGGGGTAAATAAAGGACTCTACCAGTGACCTGAGGGATCTTGTTAAAATATAGATTCTGATGCAGTTGGTCTGGAGTGGAACCTGAAAATTTGCATTTCTAATAAACTCTCAGATGATGCTGATGCTGCTGGTTCTCAGCCCCCTCTAAGCAATAGGGAATCATTACAGGTCTTAGACAGTACAGAGTTCCTGTTATGACCTTCAACCTTGGAAATCCCTTTAAGGAGACATTTTGAGGTTGCGGACACCCACATGATGACGAGTACAACAGCATTTGCTTTTCCTTCTCCAGTTGTACTGATCAAAATAAAAACCCAGTTAGGGGTGAAAATGGACAAGGGGTGAAAAGGTTAACTAAAGACCTGGATTCTAGACACCAGATAATACACAAACCACAATGTAAATGCTGTTTTGGTTTCAGAAATGGTTTCTCCTCCTAAATTGTTAATTGAAGGGCAAAAGAGAGCTGATGAGTATCTATATATTTGAGAGTGATTTAGACCCTCTAGCTTGATTGTTAATATAATTTTATAATAAGATGATAATACTTCAGTAGTACCATGGGGAAAGAACAGGAATTAGAATCAAAAGATCTGACCTTACATTCTTTAACCTCTCTGGGCCTCAGATAAACTTTCTCATCTATAACACAGGAGAAAAATCCCTTCCCCAGCTACCTCTCAGTTCTTCATAAAAATCAAATAAGCTAATGGGTATGAAAGTGCTTTGCAGACTAAGAAGTGCCTTGCAGGTGTGATGGCTACCTTTTGTTATTATGGATGGAGGCATTAGTCTTTTCTCTGTTCCTGGGACTTGCTGGCAGAATGAGTTAGTGCAAACTCTGAGGAGAAACTGTGTCAGCCTCAGGGGCAAGGCCCCAGGTAATATGGCATGAGAGATCCTCCTGTAGAGTTTGCGTCTCCTGTCAAAGCAGGATGCACCTGCTGCCTGTAGATCAGACATACACTTGCATCTGGTTGCGCAGCTTCCTGTGATCTCTGGGGAAATGTTATCAGCAGCAATATTGCCATACAGGGCATCCCCTGGGAGTGACTTTGGGGGCAAGACTTATGTCTCATGTTCTCTGCTACCCACTGAAGGCTATTCTGGCCAAGCCCCCAGAGCAGGTAACAGTGGCAGGTAAGAATATTTGTTAGGTAAGAGGAAAGTCCAGAGCATGAAGGCTCCAAGGTCTAAGAAAAAAATTAGCAAGACACCAAGAAGCATTTTTTTAGCAGGAAAATAGGTGGCATTCAGAGAGTGAATAGGGGGACAAGAAGATAACTCCTGAGAGCCAAACCTACAAAGTCAATACCTGGACCAGAAAGCTCACTTTTCAGGAGAACTCTACTGCATTTTACATGTAATAGAACTGAGTGTCACTTAAGGTAACAGGCATTAGAAATCACCATGGAGGTCAGGTTCAATCCCTGAATTGCCTGTGAGGAAACAGGCATTTGGTAAAAAGGGGCTTGCCCTGAGTTAATAGAAGATCCCGGGATAAATCTCAGATCTCTTGATTATCTTTCTCTTGCTGTTTGAGAAGGGCCATCCTTTTTGGCCCTCCTGGCCTAAGTTTCTTCATTTCAAAAATGATGGGAAAGATCACTGTTTCCCTTGTGTGCTCTTCCAGCTCCAATATTCCATGGGTCCCAGAGACCCAGGCTTCAGTCCAGGCCTAGAGCATCTCCCCATTCAGGCCGTGTTCACAGGAATCATAGCCTCTCCCTTTATTCTCCCCTGGGGAATCTGCAGTAATGCTTAATCCCCGCTCCCAGACTCACTTTCGCAAGGGGAAATCAATAGATTCTTCAAGTAGTTGGACCACAGAATGATGCCTGGGTCTATTTTGTCAACCAGGTGGCTCTGGTGAAGGAAGTTGTGTGAGTCATTGTCGGCCAGAAATGTAAATCTGGACTGAGGCTTCCCTTGCAGTGAAATTTGGGTCTTTAGTAACAGTGACCTTCTGTACAGCACGTTACAGTTACAAAACACTTTACATACTTCATTTGTTTATCACAACTATTCAGAGACTTAGTGTTATTGTTATGCCCATTTTACAGAGGAGGAAAATAGACATGGGCACTATGGCAATTTGCCCAAGGTGACAGGAAGTGTGAGTGGCAGAGCTGGGACTGACTTAGTGAAGTCTTTGGACCTTATAATCCGTGACCTGCATACCACATCTCTTTGTATCAGGGTTCCTATTGCCTACTCAGCCTCAGTGGATAGAAACAAAAGCAAAGAAGGTCAACCTGCTTGGGGTCATTTACATGGACATGCATTTCTGGAGAAGGGATAATTGCAGCATCATTGTGGATATTACAGTCATGGAGACAGGCCTGGGAATAGGCAGATATATGGGACTGACAGCCTCTGTCCACTGCTGTCCACCACCCACTGACTCTTTCACCTTCTGTTTCTCAGACTAAAACTCACCCTTCCTGATTTAAAAACCAGGGCTTTTCTTCCCATTGTGTAAAATATGAAGCATAATCCAAACATGTAAAAAAGGATGACAAGTACTGTAACAAACATCCATCGTAGTGAAGTTTCACGCTGTTAGCTAAATATTTCCAGTTCTTTCCATTTCTGGGAACATGGTAGAATTGCACTCCTGGCCCTTGAGCAAGGTAAATCCAGGTGCTAGTCTGGGCCACTTAGCTGTGAAAGGAGACAGCGTGTGTCACTTCCAATCTGGAGCATGTAATTGCTCTCTCTTTCCTTCTGGTGCAGCTGCCAGCAAGGAGGTGGTGACTGCTCTGTCAGCCTTGGTCCCTGAGTGGCAACAACAAGCAGCACCTTCTGCCAACCTACAATGTATGAAATAAAAAAAGAAATCTTTGCTCTTTTAAGCCATTGAGATTTGGGGTTTCTGTTATTGCAGCAAAACCTAACTTATACTGACCCTTACATTCACATTCCCACCACCATGATTTTTTGAGAATGTTAACATTTCCTTATACCTGGTTCAGCTTTTTAAAGAAGCGAAATCCAAAAATAACTGTATCCTTTGTCGCTTGCCTCCTTCCAGCCCTTTTCCTTCCTCCCCAGAATAGCTACCGTCTCAAAGATGTATGCGTCTGTCCTGTCCATGTTTGGTAGATTTACTCCGTAAGTATGTGTACAACACAATATATAGTATTACTTCATGTTACTAAAATTTGCATGAATAATATTGATTATTCTAAAAATTGCTTTTGTATTCAACATTATTATTTTAGATGTATCAATATTGATACGTTAGTTTCAGTTCACTCACTTTAAATTTGATATAATATCCCTTCATATGAATGTATCACAATTTATAAAGCCTTTTCCTACTAATGAACTTTTAAATTACTTTTTTCTTTTAAAAACAATTCTCTTAAATACAAGGCTTTTTATGTAGGTATGCAAGAGCTTCTCTTGGTTGTATGCAAGAGCTTCTCTTGGTTGTATACCAAGAGTGGAATTGCTAAGATATAAGGTCTACTAAACCTCAAATTTGATAGATATTGCCAAATTTCTATCCAAAATGGCTTTTTTTCATTTACAGTCCTATCATCAGTGTCTACATGTTTTGTCATTGCTTTATCATGTCAAACATTTCATGTTGTCCGACTTTTAAAATTTTAGCCAATCTGATGGGTCTGAAATGGCATCTCCTAATTTTTTATTTTGCATTTCTTTGAGTATCAGTGAAGTTAAGCATCTTTCCATTTCTTTTAGGATTATTTCCTTTTCAGAGTTTTCCTTGTTGATATAGACTGATCATTTATTTCTATGTTTTTTTCTCCTTATGGATGTGTAGAATTTTCTTCCTCCTGTGTTCTGGGTACTAATCCAGTTACATAAATTGTAAGTGCATTTTCTGCATCTGTGACTTGCTTTTAATTTTGTTCTTTGCCCAGTTATCCTTCTCTCGCAAGCCATTGGCTGCCTGCTTGTGCACACACTTGATTTTTCAGATCATAGCAACTACATGGTAAAAATGGCTTGGAGGCGTGTTTTGAAAAACCTAGGTGAATAAATGTTGCTTGCTCTAAATATCTGTAGTAGGATATGGAATGTGTTTTTACAAGATAATCGGTGAAGGACCTGTTTTGCTTACTCAAGGATCTCATTTGCTAACACGATTGTGTGGTGAAAGCAAAAGAACCAGGTGTAAGTGGAAAAAACCTTAGTCATTAAGAGTTGTTTGGGCTGCTCAATGGTGAGTATCAGGGGTGACTGGTTTCCCCCTGCCATGATGAATCCTGGCATGATTTGCCTGGCTGTTTTGACATTTTGTAGACCTAGCATATGTGGGAGGGCACTTGAAAGACGTCTCATACTCAAGTGGTCTCTCCTCTTCCCATACACACCTTACGGATTCTTCACAGGGTGTGATGATGGGAAGCCTAGACACGCTTATCAGAAGGTAGGAAAAAATGGTGTCTTGGAAGTGCTTGTAGCTTTCCAATGAGGGGAGTCACTTTAAAGCTTTGTTTATCTTTCTGTGCCTCAGCTAACCCCAGAGGAAAATCTTAGCTCAGGACAGGAAGCTCAGAGCACCCAAAAGGATGACTACTGCAGTGCAAGACTATTTATGTCTGCCTCTTACATATCCCTCCGTGTTCTCCCCCAGGAGGCCTGGGCTGTGCTGCAGCTCCAAGGAGGCCTGCATATATCATCACTCCCTAGGAAACCAAGGGGTATGGCAGAAACCGAGCTCTGGGATCAATTATACTGGTAAAACTACAAAGGCAGGGGGTGAGCCAGAGTGTTGTGGCTTAGGAACAACTTGCTGAAAAAAGACTTGATGTTCCCAAGTAGAACCCTGTGGCCCCAGGGGAGGTGACCTCGGCTGTCTGGTCAACCAGCCAGAGTGCTAGGTCTCAGAAGCCAGGACACACCTTCCGTTCCAGTTGACTCACTTGAGTGGCAAATTCTTTTCTCCCTCACAATCCTCTCATCTTCAAAGGGAATTCATTAAGCCCCACCATGCCATCGGCACTTGGCCAGGTGTTATACTGGCCCATTAGGTGGACACAGGCCGTAGCCCCAGGGAGCATGCCAAATGAGGTGGAGGGTGGCAGCTGTGACCTAGTGACATCCCCTGAGGTGGTTTTGCAGCACCTTCTATAAACCCTCCAGCTGTTTCAAACTATTTGTGTGGGGCTTTCCACACAAGCTGTGTTCTCTCCCGTCCCCTTGCTTTAGTTCACTCTTTTCCTTTTGCTTGGAATGCTCTTCCACTCTATCTGTCAATGCACTCAAATGCCCACTCCTGGATGGAGACTTTCCTGGCAACCCCAGGCAGAATTAGCCACTCCCAATTCTGTGTATTCTCATAGCACTCTGTATCATTAATATAGCACATGCCAATCTGTGCTGGAATCATCTGCTTATATGTCTGTCTCCCTAATGGACTCTGAATTCCTTGAAGATGCATTCTGCGACTTATCCATCTTTGTTTCTTCAGCAAGAATTTGGTTGGTGCTTAGTAAATGTGTGCTGAGTTAAATGCAGAAAGGGACACAGCTCATGATTTTATCTGATTTTACCTTGTGGTATAACTGGAAGCAGGTCACGTCTGTCTGAGTTTTAGTTTCCTTTTCTGTAAAATGGGTGGGGGGAGGATACATTAGAAAATGGCCTCTAAGAGGTTTTCTGGCTCTACTGTCTATGATTTTAAAATTCTAGTCTCCTATTGAAAAACCGAGAGTTCATCATAACTCTTTAAAGACCAACATGTTTTCGTTTACATGTATCAAAGAGCCTGATGTTCCCTTCCCACCTCTAGTCTGCCACCTATAAAAAAAGTTGTGTATTGCTTAGCAGTTTGCAAATTTTCTGACTGAAGTTTCAAGAGGTTTGTGGGATTGATTGATTACAGGAAGCGTGTAAATTTTATCTTCCCTGGGGAATAAAATTGTGGGACTAATTGATTCTTTTAAAGGCTTGTATTTTCTGGTGATTTTGTCAGCCTGGGTACATGTGGAAAGGGGTCTTGTGTAGCTGCTTGTGGCATCCCTGTGTCTCTCTTCTCACCACAATGCAGGCGTCACTGCACGTGCCACACCTAGTAGTCTGTGTCCCATGAGGCCCATGCTTTTCCTAGGCTACCTCTCTGCCCCTTGAGTTACATGTTTGGAAATTCCTGCATGGATAGAACTGAGTACCCCTCGCCTTCTGAGAACATATTTACAAGGTGCTAATAACACCTAACTATGATCTTAGAACTAGTCTACATGGTGAGTCAGACGGGGCTTATTTTCGACCCATTTTTCAGATGGAAGTAAGACACAGGGAGGTGAAATGACTTGCATGAGGTCTCACAGCTAGGAAGGTCTTCTGGACCTGGCTTAATAAAACCCAATGTTCTTAATTTCATCAACTCCTTTAAAAATTACTTTGATTGCTGCTTTCTTGATTGGCTGCTCTCAGGCCTCTTGGCTGATGAAACCAGAGGCAGGTGAATTCTACCAGAAGGAAAGAAGGGGTTCTAACCCACTACTGATTTTGTGGGACAAAGTGGCTGCATTCATTAGTGAAGGGGGAAGTCAGATTAGTTAAAACTGTCCATTTGGTGGTTTCTATCATTAGCATCTCACTATGCCAGTAAATGAGCTGTTGAAGCCTGAAGTAGGGGCTCCTCCTGAAAGCTCGAGAGGATTCCAAAGCTGCTGGGCTCCGTGGAGGAACATCCAGGAGCACATGGTCTCCATGTTCCCTTTTTTAACTCTACAAAGGCAGCTAAGAGGGAGCGCAACTTGTTACTGCACATCTCTGAGTGTCAGTTTTTCTATCTGTGAAATGGGGATAATAAATCCTCCCTAGCTTACCTCAGAGGATGGCTGTGAGGGTCACATATTATGATGGAGGTGGCAGTGCTCTAGAATCTGAAAGTGCAGGGCAAAAATCAGGTAATATCATTTGCTCTTGTTATTATACTTTTTTTTTTTTGGGACTGAGATTCACTCTGTTGCCCAGGCTGGAGTGCAATGGCACAATCTCAGCTCACTGCAACCTCCACCTCCCGGGTTCGAGGAAATCTCCTGCCTCATCCTCTCAAGTAGGTGGGATTACAGGCACCCACCACCACACCTAGCTAATTTTTGTATTTTTGGTAGAGAGGGTGTTTCACCAGCCAGGCTGGTGTTGAACTCGTGACCTCAGGTGATCCACCCACCTCGGCCTCCCAAACTGCTGGTTTTACAGGTGTGAGCCACGGCGCCCAGCCTTGTTATTCTACTTTCATAACTGTGAATGATCTTAATGAAGGGAAGTAAGCCCAGCTTGATAGGTGTTTCCTAAAAGTGGCCCGAGGTGACATTATGTGGGAATATATGGATCTATGAAGTATGAACGATGGCAGTTTTTGCCCTAACCTACCCATCAGAACACTGGAGAAGACTCAGGTAGATAATGGATTCAAGGGCATTGTTAAATGATAAAAATTATCATGATGATGACTTTTTTTTTTCTCTAAGGTTAAGGATATCTCTTAATAACTTGAAAGAAATGTACTCAAACCCTCTCTGATGCTATTTTCGTCATGGCCCTACCTCATCTTGGGAGTAAAGCGTTCCACTTGGCTGAGAAGTAGGAGAGGGGCTGGGTCGGAACTCATCTGCTCAGGTTTTCTTCCTCATACCATTCGGATGCTCTTTTTGAGTCAATGGCTCTAGCTTTTTGTAATGATCTATAAGCTTCTGGCTCCTTTGGCTCTAACTAGTCCCTGAGGATCAATTCCCTTTCCAAAGAGGGTGGGTTTTTTTGTTGTTGTTGCTGTTGTTTAATTTTCTCTCTTTTATCTGGGGAAAAAATAGCCACTGTCATAGACTGTAAAAAAAAAAAAAAAAAAAAAAAAGCTGCTTTTTGGGAGCCTTAAAAATATTTGAAATAAATAGGGCTCAACCTTAACTTAATAATATCAAGTGAAAACATACATACTTTTTATTACCAGAGAGAAGTAGAGGCAGCTTTCAATATACGGGACATGCAATGGGATGTTACACTGCAAATAAGAAGATAAAACTAGAACAATAGCGAGAAAGCCAATGTGTTATGTTCTAAGGCTTGGTGTAGTTACTGCAACTGAGCATGAAATATAAACTGAGCTTCCTGGCAGGCAGGACAAAAAAGTAAACATGATGACGTACATAATATTCTTTTTCTGATTGAAGTATGTGTCCTGATTATTTGAGAGACATTTTTCCTAATATTAATTTTGAAAAGGAATGTATCACTGAGTACATTATCTGAGTATATTCATTAGAAGAGTAATGAATATGTCTTTAGCAAGAGTTTTACATCTAATGAAAAAAAGTTCTTATATTTCCATCTCATTCCTTGTTTTGAACTGCAAGCGCATATTAACTAGTGACTAAATTTTTTCACTTGGATATTTCAGAGTCATCCTAAACTGAACATATTCCAAACTGCATTCATTAACTTCTTTCTGAAATTGGTTCCTCTCCCTGTGTTTATTATCTTGGTTAAAGCATCACACACATAAGCTCTCCCTGTCAGAAAATCTCAGGTTGTTTAGATGACTTCACCCCAACCTCCAGCCCACACCCAGTGAATCCTGGAGACACTGTCTCGTTGATTTATTCAAAATCCTTCCTCTCCTCTTCACCTCCAACACCCCTGCTTCAGTTCTGGTCCCTATCGTCTCTCATCTAGCCTATTTCGATGACTTCTTAACTTGCTTTCTTATTGTTTCAGCTTGTTCTCTACACTACCTCTCTACAAACTCATCTATAAAAAATGCAAACCTAGTCTTTCTGAATAGGCTGCCCGTTGCTTTCAAGGTGAAATCTAAACTCATGGCCTGGCAGATGAAGACTTTCACCTGCTTGGTTTTCAGTCTGATCTGCTGCCACACCCCTGACAGATTCTCTGTTCCAGTAACACGGGCTACTTGCTCCCCCGGTGCACATCGCTGCCCCTGTGGCCATGTTTTGCACAGGCTACTACTTCTGTCCAGAACTCCTGCCACCTTTGCAAACCTGGTCCCCTCCTATTCTAGGAAGCTTTCCTGATCCCCTTCCAACAGCCACCATAGTGTGGTTTTCCCTCCTTTGTATGCCCCAATACCTGTGTAAATCTCAGTTATACTTACCACATGGTGCTGCAACTGTTTGCTTAGTTTCTGAATTCTCCAAGACTAACTTTTCAAAGACAGGAACGGAACCTCAGTCATCCTAGATTTCCAGCTCTATATATGTGCTTGACACAGTTGGAGCCTGATAAGTATTTGTTGACTAAATGGGCAGATGAAAGATAGAATAATGCTGTACATGGAGCAATAAGGTTGTCTTTAGGATATGTTAACTGGTGATACAGAATCAATAGGTGTTGTGTTGATCAACAGAACTTTTCCTTTAGGATATATAAAGGACTGAGTGGATAGACAGTGCTTTAGACAAACCTCTCTGAAATCATCTCTTTGTGCTGGCTTTGGGTGGGTGCTGGATGGCAGACAGTGAGTGGCTATGCTGTTAGCAGAAGCCTCAGTGGCTGGCATTCTGTGTGCCCAACCTAGGCACAGCTGTATATTTTATTCATCTTATGTGTGTTTGGGTAGCTAAGGGCAGTGATATTGCATGAAGGAAAGAAAGAAGCCTGACCAGGAAGTGGATTATAAAGGTATCTCCCTGCACAGCCAGGATTTCCCTCAAAAAGTATTGCTTTCTATCAAGTACCTGGCAGAGAATCAATGGAGAATCTTTTCCTTGTTCTGCTCCATCAAGTTTCACACCATATAAAATTTTTTTTGACCAAGTCCTGCTTGTAACTGAATTAACTGGGGTGCTTGTTTAAAATGCAGACCCCCACCCAGGCACCCCCGCCAACAGACCCTAGCCTTAAATATGGCCTCAAAGTTGGTTGGGGAAAATTTTTGAGCATAGTCCATTGCCCAGCTCTTCAGGGATAATGGTAAAGCCCTAGAATGATGGTGTCTGGGCTGGATCATGTTTTTAACCTCCACAAGTTACTTGTTGTGAAAGTTTGTGGGCAAAAGCAGTTTTGGATGCTCCTAGGCCCAATGTAATAGAGCTACTCCACAGGCCTTAGGGGCCATTCACTTTATGTCTCGCAAGCCCCACCTGAGCCTGACTGAACTTAGCAGAGCCATGGTATGGGCTTGTGCTCTAGATAGAGGACTCAAGTTCCTGTGCAAGGCTTGCCTAGCACAGCATGGATTAGTCTAGTAATAAACTTTTAAGCAAGTCATATTAATAATTCAAAGCCAAATAGGATTTTGCTGTCCTCAAAACTCTTGCACTTGCATTCTTTCCTTTGATCTCACAATAGCCCTGGAAGCAGGCAAAACCAGGGCTCTTCCCATATTGTAGACAAAGAAACTGAGATTCAGAAATGGCAGGTGACTTGTGCAAGGTCACACAGATGGGACTGCAACTGCCTGATCTAAGATTCTGACTCCATTTTCATGCTGTGCTGGATTCCACTGTGCTTGCTGATCTCTCAAGTCATCAGATTTGAAAAGAACATTACTAAGGATGTTAGAACTACATTTTAGGGCTCAGGGATGTCCATAAAAATAAGAATTTCCATCTCTGAATTATTAGAGCAGACACTTGTGGCTGAATGTTACAACTTGAGTCCCATATGTCAAGAAGGCTTGCAAAGTTCATTATAGGGTCCTAAGCCTCCAGAGAAGTTTCCAGTAGTATGTTGACTTGCATAAAAGGGAGAGACAGTGGTGGGCATCTTTTCCTCACTCCATGGTTATTGATGTCACATTGAGAGCTTGAATGTGCCATGGTGCAAGTATTTATACCACAGAAATCAGCAAAACCTATAATTCAGGGCTTTCTCACCACTGTAGAACCAGTTAAACATTTTCCAGCTTATAGCTCATGGTGACTGCACAAATTAGAGTCTGAAAATTCTCCTCTGTCACCTGCGTGGCACAGGCGTTGATTTTGCCTCTAACCACAAGTCATACCCCAGTGCCCATCTTTAAATGGGAGACTCCTTTTATCTGAGCTTGCAAAATCAGATTCATGGGTTTCTACTAATAGTCCCTTGCATTTGTGTAGTTTGTAACGTGTTTTCACATCCCTCATCACTTCTGAACTGGGTATAATCTATTGGGCAGATGTCATCTACCCTTGGTAGGACAGAAGGGCCTGGAGATCTGACAGGTAATGTGACCACTCTCAGTGTCATAGGCCTGTAAGTGGCAGCCAGGGACTTGAACTGGGTCTTCACCTCCTTGTTCTGTGCTCCTTTCCTTTGTACTAGCTACCTTCACCTAGGACACTTGCAATGTCTGGAGATGAAGCCACTGTCTAGGGCGCAGAGAAGAGTTGCCTAGCAGCAGTGTAACATTGGAGTGTGACTTAGCCATTGACAGAAAAGAACAGACATGCTAGCTTGAGAGTATCCACACTTAACTGCTAGTCCCACTTTACTGATCCAATGCAAGGAAAGAAGTCTACTTTCACTTCTCCTCTGTCTTCCATCTTCTCTTTGTTTTTTTTTTTAAAAAAAAAATAACTTTTATGGGTACTTTGTGTCTTTAGGTCCTGCTGAGGGTTCTGAGCACAACAGATATTTGGAGTCTCCTGAATGATGTAGCAGTAATGCCCTGTTCCGCCTGTTGCATAACTCCCAGCCTCATACTGCCTGGTGATGGAATTATTGATTGTTAAGCATTTCACAACACATTTTCAAAACATGCTGAAGGTCAAGAATGGATGACTCATAGGCAGTAACAGTTCCTTCTGCCTCAGTCCCTCTACATGATATTGGTGAGGTTGGTAATGAAAGTCATTGAAGAAATTGAGGCAAAAGTTAACTCTGTCCAATCCTGGCCAGCAGGATTATTAAGTAACTTGAAAAAAATAATTCCTGATACTCTATTTATTTAGTGATTGATCTTCTAAATCAGTTTGTTTTGTTGTTGTTGTTTGATTGATTGATTTTTTTGAGACAGTCTTGCTTTGTCACCCAGGCTGGAGTGCAGTGGCATGATCTCAGCTCACCGCAACCTCTGCCTCCCGGTTCAAGTGTTTCTCCTGCCTCAGCCCCCCAAGTAGCTGGGACTACAGGTGTGTGCCACCATACCCAGAAAATTTTGTATTTTTAGTAGAGATGGAGTTTTGCCATGTTGGCCAGGCTGGTCTTGAACTGGCCTCAAGCAATCCACCTGCCTCAGCCTCCCAAAGTGCTGGGATTATAGGCGTGAGCCACCATGCCTGGCTTCACTTTGTTTTTTAATACCAAGTCTCATAAATAGTATAAAGTGGGAGTTAAGGGATTTCAGTGCTGATTTTGCCACTAACTTGTTCAAAAGCACCAGAGAGTACCACTGAGGTACTCAGCTGAGGAAAAACACTTAAATGATATCTAGGGAACTTTACTGCTCTGACAGTCTGTGATTGTACATTAGTACTTTAGACAGCAGAGAGATAAACCCTGATTCCGGTTTACAGATAATTACTCATCTCTCTGCCTGAGGCCAAGAAAAGCCCTCTGTGGAGCAGTGTGGAAGAATGCCTTAGAGCACAGTAGCAGAGAGTTCCAGACCCGGAGGCAAGGGGATCTGGGTTAACTCTCAACGTTGCCAACTGTGATTTGAATCTTCTGACAGGGTGCTGGGCCTGCTAGCATCTCAGTTTTCTCACCTGTAAAATGGAGACAATAACAGTGTGTGAGCTTTTTTTGGTACAAACGTTAATGCATGAAAAGACCTACAACATGTTTCCGCATGGGCTAGTTGAAAGTTTTGGAGGAAAAAATATCAAGCTGATAATTTTTAAATTTTTTTTTTTGTTTTGAGGCAGAGTCTTGCTCTGTCACCCAGGCTGGAGGACAGTTCCACGATCTTGGCTCACTGCAACCCCCGCCTGCTGGGTTCAAGTGAATCTCATGCCTCAGCCTTCCCAGTAGCTGGGACTACAGGTGCGTGCTACCATGCCCGGCTAATTTTTGCATTTTTAGTAGAGATGGGGTTTCACCATTTTGGCCAGGCTGGTCTCGAACTCCTAACCTTAGGTGATTCACCCCCTCCTCGGCCTCCCAAAGTGCTGGGATTACAGGTGTGAGCCACCTCGCCCAGCCGTAAAATTCTTAATATGTAAGTATTTTCTTCAAAAATGAATCTAATTTGCATAACTAAAGTTTCTGAATGCTTTATCTAGAATAATCATGGGACTGGAAGTTTCTTAATAGTTCTTCTCTAGGTTTTTGCACTTTAAATACCCTGCAGGTCTTTTCATTCTAATATAACATAATCACAGTAATAAGAAGTGTGACAAAGCTCTAGTAGTTCATGGTGCCTGTGCCTCATTCACTCGTCAGCGAAGCCTCCCTCAGCATCCCCTCCCCACATCCATCCCTGCACACTGCACCCTCTCCAAGCTGCTGCCAGCCGTGCTGCTCCCCTGCCTCCTTACTGGAGTGCAAGCCAGTAAAAAAGGAAGCAAATTCGGTTATGTAAAGCACATTCTGGGTAAGGAAAGGCAAGCATGTGTTTCTGCTTGACTGAAATTGGTTTTTTTTTTTCCCCACCAGTTTGTCCTCTTATCGGGATACGTCAGAAATTAGAGAGACCCTGGCAATCACAGCTTCCACCTCCTCATTTTACAAATGAGCAACTAGGCTCAGAGTACAGAAGTGGCTTTCCCAGGGTCACACAGCCAGCTTGTGACAGAGTCAGGATTCAAGTACCATCTCCTGACTTCTCCATTGCACCAGACGTCGATAGAACACAGAGAACCTAAAAGAAGAAAGAAAAAAAAATAGAGCTTTTGGGAATATATTGGGCTTCTGGTTTTCAAGGACAATTTTATGATAAGTAGCAATGATGCCTCAAAAGCTCTGGTAGCTAGCTTGAATGAACTTATGTAATAAACATTTATCACAGAACATGTGTCATCAAACACCTGCCAGTTCTGAGCGTTGGCACCAAAGCTGCTTTCATTGTCAAAGAAAAGAGGGGGAAAGGAACTTGGCTGAACAAAGCTGGCAGACGTTTATACTAGAAAATTTAGAGGTAATTTCTAGAGGAACAGAAACACATTTTCAAAGTCTTATAAAATTTATTTAAATGTGATTGGGTGAATTTAGCAGTTAAAGAAGTGAAGAACACTGAGGTCCAATTGGTGCCTGAGGCTTCTTCCAGGACCCAGTCTTTTCTGTCTGCCTTGGGCACAGATTTCTAGATGCCTGAAGATGGACAGGCCCAGAGGTTGCCCAGAGTGATGTCTGAGATTACTGATCTCTATCTAGGCTTCCATAGAAACACATCCCAAAACGTTCTTGGTTCTTATTGGAATCTCATCTCATTTGCAGAACATGGCCAGAGTCAAAGAGACATGGACCATGTGTCACTCAGACTGAGTCCATCCATACAAAGAGAATTCTCTAGCCTGTATTGGAAGTCAATCTACATCAGCATGACAGGGCATGTAGCCGAATACGTGGCCACTTCCCTTTGGCTACCCACACATTTTTGAACTGCAAGATCTGTTCTTTATCTACTCATCTAATGGTTATTACTGGGAGAGCACTGGACTATAAATTCTGTTGCACTTGCAGGTGTAATGAGCTCTTTGAACCTCAGTTTCCTCACCCATCAGATACTATTCATTATCTGCCTTGCGGACAACACCTAGTTGTTGGGAACATTGCATGAATGGCAGGTGGAGGTGCTTTGTAAACGCTAAAGCCTGCCATGAATGTGAAGGAGTGTTGCTACTCTTCTGTGCCCAACAATGTGCTAGCACCAAGGGAGTTCAAAAGAAATGTGAGACATGGTCCCTACCCTCCAGGAACTTACAACTCATTGTTGGGAGACCAAGACACATCCCCTAAAAACAGATATGTAACACCTCAAGTCTGTGAAGTACTTACTATTTAAATGATGCCCAGAGCCTCTGAATCCCCTAGAAGTACAGAGGAGGGGGAGATCATTAATGGTGTGGAGAAGTTGGAGGAGGTGAGACGATGCCAGGTGATAAAGTAGACAGAGAAGATGAAGGTCTTTTTTTTGAGACAGGGTCTCACCCTGTTGCCCAGGCTGGAGTGCAGTGGCATGATCGGCCCACTGCAACCTCCACCTCCTAGGTTCAAGCAATTCTCGTGCCTCGACTTCCTGACATAGCTGGGACTACAGGCGCACACCGCCACACCCGGCTAATTTTTGTATTTTTAGTAGAGACAGGGTTTCACCATGTGGGCCATGCTGGTCTCGAACTCCTGACCTCAAGCAATCCACCCACCTCAGCCTCCCAAAGTTCCGGGATTACAGATGTGAGCCACTGTGCCCTGGCCTGAAGAAGGTCTTTATGGGTACGGCATGACTGCTGGAGAGTTTTGTCACCGCTGCTTAAGGAAGAGCTTCCCAATGTTGGATATGTCTGTAACTTCATAATTTTTTTTTAATTTTGCGCTTTTGTGAATTTCCTCAATTGGCTTTCTTATTGGCCCCCAGGATCACACAGAACACTTCAAACTCCTCTTACGTGTTCTTGATTTCATCATTTAGCTGAAGATGCAGGCCCTGTCTTTCTTTCTGAGTTTTCCTTAGCACCCTCCTTTTAAATTACCTTTTTCATTGGTTAAATGCCATGAAACTTCATCAATTCTAGTTTTAGCTATCACTTGACCCAAAGACAAGAGAGTTGAATCCTGGACCTTAAAGAAAAAGAAAAAAGGAAAAAAAGCTTGTGGGAACCTTATTTACCTCAACTGGGGAAATTTTTTGCTCTTGCGCAAAGGTCAGGTCCCGTGAAACTTGTGAAATAGGTGTTTTTATCTCTTTTCTTTTCCAACTGATCAGATAGATATCTTTCCAGGAATTTGGTGTCAGAAATCAAATTCAATGAGTGGGAAGTTTGACAAGATTCAGGATAGTCTTGCCAAATAGCACAAGAGAGGAGGTAAAGTTAGGTCAGGTCAAGGGGGCAGCAAAAATGAAGTTTATAACAGATATACTGTATATTTGTCATGGGAAAGGGCTTCAGTCAATAGCAATTGATATTAATAAAACATAAAAGAAATGACAATAAACAATCAGGATAACTTTGAAACAACTTCTTTTTATGTAGGTAACATTAAAGAAAATTAAAGAAAAGGAATCGCTTTATTTTATAAAATAAATGCACTACTATTTGCAAAAAAAAATTTACCTAAAAATGCTGCTACTGAACAAACAAAACTACCCAAAATTAGAGAACAAAAGCATAAAAATTGTTAACAAATAAAAAAACTATATTTTTGAAAAGTCTTAGATGATACACAAAAAATGCAGATTTGTATAAATACACCATCGCCCTGGGATGACCTCTTATCATTGTCTAAGCAAGTTGTAGTGCCACGGTGTGTTTCAGACTATGCTATAGAAAATCTTTAGCACTCACCTTAAAAGTTTAAAGTAGAAAGAACAACCTTTAACAGGATCATAGAAAATGTTCCATCAGATCAAAACAAACAAGCAAACAAACTGAAGCAGGTCATTTTTCTCTTTTTGGCACTGTGCAGGACCATATGCTTCCAGAGATGGGAATTTAAAAATAGCCTGTCACACAGCTCACATTGTAATGCTGGGACATGATGCGGGTGGGAAAGATTGCCTCACACTTAATAATAGTGACACTTCACATTTACACCAACCTCTTTGCAGAGTAACCAAGAGTATTTCTCAGTTCTTTTTTTCCTTTAAAAATAATATGATCTTCTTGATACCCTGTAAGTGGAACAGGAGGGAGTACAATTCTTCCCACCTTACAGAGAAGGCGATTGAGGCCTCCAAAGGTAAAGTGACTCACTCAGGATTACAGAGTTACCCAGGGATCAGCACTGTGCTGTTCAAAATACACCAGGCTGCCAACTGCAGCAATATCCTGGGCCTGTGAGAACCGTGGGTTCATAGGATGTTGCACAAAAAAGAGAGAAATTTGCTTCCCATTGCCTCTGTTTTGAAATGTACTGCCTTTCATCTTGAGCATTTCATAAGTTTCTAATTTTAAGGCAAATTGCTTATAAGCCATGGTGACCTATATTAGCTGACATTTGAAATCAATCTCACACCAGTAAATGCCTTAGATTTGCATTTGGTACCCCCTTGCCGAGTCATAATAACAATGTAATTTCTCACATCTCCATAATTCTTTACACTTGAAAATGGTTGTACATTCACCATCTCATCAGATCTGTATAAGCAGCTATAATTTAAGCCAGGCCAGAGTTATGATGAGAGGGAACAGAGGCTCAGGATATGAAAAAAACTTTCTCATTTGGTAAAAGCCACAGAAACTGATGAAACCCAGGTCTTCTCTCTGCATGTGTAGGGTATTTTCCTGCCAGCCACACAGCCTTTTAGGTCTAAATAAAGTGTTGAGACTCCACTGCAAGTGTGTGTGCGCTCAGGAGTGACTCTTCTACCCAGTTTGGTGCCCAGCACTCAGTTCCTAATTGGCTGCAAAACCCTGAAGGGGGATTCTAGATGTGGCGGGCACCAGGTGAAGTCAGTAGTGAGCTTCCTTTTTGGAGGGAAGGAAAATTCTTGGCATACCGATGGGTCCAGGCAGACACTTTGGATATGTGTGGAGCCCAGTGATGTTGTGTTACTGGGTAGCCTTAAACCTTATTCCAACCTTGACTCCTTCTACTCTGTGCCATAAACTCTCTCCTTCCAATACCCCCCATTCCTCTGCTGCCTTCCCCTTTATCGTACCTGGCAAAACTGCAATCCTGGTGAAATGTATATCCTCTAATTCCTCCTTTGCTTGCATCCAAACAGTGGAATGTTGTTAAGAACATTGTAAACCATGCTGATCAGTTCACTTTAAATTTGTGATCACAAACCTGAAACGGACCGTGCCAGAGGATCCTATGATACATTTAGCAAATTCACTTTTTGGTTTCTGGGTCAACTCTTTCAAACCTTTAGCTCCCTACTTGAATATCCACTATGCTCTACACATCCCATGCCCTGGGATTATGACCTTCCTTTTTGCTATCAGAGGAGAGTTATTGCATTTTTCCTTAACCCACCTGCATCTGTGCCCACATACACTACCTCCCTCTTATTATAGTGGAGGAAGTGGCATAGTTTCTAAGGCCAACCCTTCCATTTGTCCTCTGTATCCCATCTCCTTTCCTATGCTTCTCTCTTGCAACATCAAATTCTGATGTTCCTTTACATCTAACCCATCAGCATACAAATATGCCTTTATAACAACTACTAAAAATAAAAAAAAACCCAGCTCTCCCTTGGCCCTACATGTCCCTTTAACTACCACCCCCTTTCTTTAATGCCTTCACAAAAAGACCTTTAAAAGTAAGATCTACATTTCCTGTCTCCACTTCTTTAGCTCCCTTTCTCTCCTCAACTCTGCTCTAATTTTCTTCAGACTCTATATCACTCCACTTAAACAGCCTTTATCAGAGTCACCAATGACCTACATATTTCCAAGGTCGAAGTGTATTCAGCTAACTGAACTATTGAGCTGAATTGGACATGGTCAATCCTTCATACTTCTTTAAACACTTTCTTCTCTAGGCTTTGTGATCCCACACTCACCTGGTTTGTCCTTACCTTTCTGTCTCCTTGTCTGGCTGTTTCTCCTCGACATCAGATTTTGGCGTGCTCTGGGGTTCTTATCTCTATTCTGTCTGTACTCTTCTTGGATGAACTCATTGAGTCCCCTGGCTTTAAAATACCATTTATACGCAGAAAACTTCAAATCTCTATCTCTAACTGACTTCTCCCTTGAGCTTCAGACTCCATAACTCTACTTGTATATGTAAAAAGCACTTCACACAAACTGTGACCCAAACCAAACTATTGATTTAGTCTTTCTCTACCCCGAATTCCTTCCCCTCAAGTCTTCCCTATCACAGTAAGTGCTACCTGGCCTCCTAGCTATTCGTTCAACGCAAATAATTGAGTCATTCTAATATTCTTTATTTCCCTGAAACCCTATGTGTAATCTCTCAGCAAGTCCTATTGACTTTACGTCTAAAATATATGTCAAATTAGACTATTTCTCACCATCTGCACTGCTGACTATCTTATTCCAAGCTATTATCATGTTTTTCCTGCCCACACTTTTTCCCTCTACAGTCAGCTCTTCATGCAGTAGCCAGACTGATCTTTCTAAAGCCATAAATTATAAGTTTATCTCTTTGCTAAACCCTCTTACCATGAGCTATAAAACCCTACATGATCTGGTCCCAACTGCCTGTTCAGCATCATCTCCCTCCACTCTCAGCCTCATCCATGAAGTTCACTGGCCTTTTTCTCCCTCAAACTTGCTCAATACTTTCAGATATGAAGAACGTTCACTTACTTTTCCTTCTGTTTGGATGTTCTTCTTCTGGATCTACAATGGCTGCATCATCTTGTCATTCAGGCCTCAGTTCTAATGTCATTTCTGTAGAGCAAGTTCACTTGACTGATGTAACTAAGGTATCTCTCTTTAGAACCAGGTAAGTATCCTAACCTCTCACCAGAGAAGTGTTTTCATTATGTTGAATTTTAGTGAATTATAAATTGAAATTGTCTCTTGTGGTTTCTGAAGACATTATTTGCTCTGTCACTTGGTGGCCTTTTCTATAAAACCCCATATGAGGAATTCTTTTAGGTCTAAGTGCTAGAAAAGCTTTGCTTCCCTTGAGGAATTGATGATGACACAACTGATTTTGCTTTGTTTTATTTGGCTTTGCCAACACGAAGCTCAGAGCCAAAATTTTGGCTGCTTTATTGCAAATGTGTAAGAATATATGACTTGGTTGTCTGTCTAGACAGCAGTGTCTAATAGATCTTTCTGCAATCACGGCAATATTCTGTATCTGAAATGTCCAATAAGTAGCCACTGGACACATGTGGTGACTAAGCACTTAAAATGTGGCTTGTGAACCTGAGGAGCTACATTTTAACTATATTTAATTTTAATTAATTTAAATATAAATAGATACATGTGCCTTGTGGCTGCCACATTGGAAAGCACAATCCTATATATCCTATGGTTTATTGATAAGATATTGTAGTTTATTTTTATGTACTCTTCATTATTCATTATTGTATTTCCTATAAATTACCTCAAACCTTTGTGGCTGGAGGTAGAAAAAAAAAAGAAAGGAACAAAGCACAATTAAATGAACAATTGACTTTGCAGGGCATGTCAGCACGTTCATAGGGTTGAAGGAAGTGGCAAGTATACAGCAACAGTGGATCTTAAATCCTATTTCTCCTTGTGAGATCTATGGAATGGGCACCAGCATCAAGTTGGAGATTCAAGTTCTAGTTCTTGTTTTACTGTTGGACATGTGTGGCTCTGAGTCAACCAGAGGTTTAGTATGTTCATATGTGAAATGGGACTTCTGTATTGGTGACCTGAAGCCTTTGGCATCTGAGATGCTGATGTACAACCGCTGTACCCATTTCTGTGCCTTCCAAAGCCAAGCAGGCCAGCCCTTGGCTACCTACCTAAAATAGGAGGCAATACTTTGAGAAATCATCTCATTCAAGCCCATGCTTCAAGACAGAGTCACCGGTAAACTAATTTAAAACAAATAGGAAGAGTCTTACCTTCCAAATGTCTTCTGGTGGAAAATAATTCATCCTACATACTTAGTAATTTGGATGTTTTTAATACAGAATGAAGTATCATACCCCTTAGTATATAAAGGCACAGGACTGAAATCAGAAGACTTAGGTTCTAGTCCCAGTTCAGCTACTAACTATCTGTGTGACTTTGATCAAGTCAAAGTTTCTTCTTTGTTTAAATGAGAAGATTGGACCAAATGATCTTTAATTTCCTGTTTAGCATTAGCCATAACCATAGCTAATATTTATTAAGTAGTTGGAATGTACTGAAATGCATTACCTTATTTTGTCCTATGGCCACTGAGAATATTATTATTCCCATTTTAAAGATAGAAGAAACTGAGCTTTAGTGTTTCCCAAAGACATAGAGTTGGTAAATGGTAGAGTCTTTATCTGAACCCCCGTGGTCTGGATTCGGGACCCACTTTCTTACCTGCTTTGTCTTCTCTAGAATTTTGTGATTTTTATAGGCCAGAACACTCTTGTTATTCTGATTAGACAAAGAGTTGACTTAATCCTTTAAACTGAACTTTCCCAAATCTGGGTTTCAAATGGGCCCAAATAGTGTCTCTTCAGTCTTTGGAGTGGCCAGGAAGAGCTCAGCACAGCCACAATTAATGAGTTGGTTGCTACCGGGCAAGAGTGGCCTTGTTCTTTCACCCAGTTTGCTGTACAAATAATACCATGTTCTAGGTATGCTGTATATAAAAAAACATTGGGAAGCATGTGAATTTAGATGTATGTCATGACAAGGGTTTAGCTTGGACTTTTCACAAGTCATATCATACACATTTCACAAGATCCTATCACAAAGAGAAGGTTTATCCCACAAATCTCAGGCATCACTTCTTGAACATGGAGCACCTCAATCATTCCTGTGTCTCCAACTTGTTGATTTCAGAAGCTGATCCTAAGCTCATCTTCAATTGTAAATGATTTTGCTAATTGTTAGAAAAGCACATTGTTAGAATAGCTAATTGTTAAAACAGTTGGTTAGAATCCATGGGAGCTTCAGCAATTTTGAGTTCAATCCCAAGAGGGAAGAGGATTTTCTTAAGGTCAATGTCAGAGTTTGGACTAAATCCCCGGTCTCTTTCATGCCCAAGAAAGGGCCCTTTTTCCCTTTTCTGACTAGTAGTCAGGTTTACTTCCTTGGGAGATGGAACAAATGAAACATAACTGAAATTTCATCTTGCCTCTGCAGATGTCAGGAGCAAGGGAGCACCAGTGGTAGAAGAACCTGCCTCCCCTGGCTCCATCAAAGGCCACAGGCCCATGAGAATCACCCGGCCTGCTCTGAGCAGCACACTCGGAGGCCACAGCCACGCACAGGAAAGTGAGAGGAAGTGGAAACGTGCGAGCAGAGGGCTCAAAGCGACGGGCTCACCACCGGAAAAAAAAAATAAAAATAAACACGCTCAGAAATAGTGTAACTGATATGCAAAGAAGATCAAAACAAGGGTTTTAAAATATCTTGGCTGCTTTAGAGGAGATGGGGGTGGTAATTAAAGCGAGGTTGCAAATGCGTGTTAGGGGAGTGGGGCGGTTAGGTGGATGGTTCACTGAAGCCTGCCAGGACATGGGAGCCTGGGAGCCCAAGGGTATTTCAGATGAAAATGTGGCACTTATATGTGGAATGTAAAAGAAAGTTGAACTCATAGAAGCAGAGAATAAAATGGTTATTCTCAGAGGCTGCCAGGTGGTGGGACTGGGGAGATGTTGGTCAAAGGACACATTTTAATAAATTCAAGAGATTCATTGCCCATCACGGTGACTATAGTTAACATCAATACATTTTATATTGATATAAATATATATATATATATTTAATTATTTTGTTGGGCTTTTTGTTTAAGTTCCAGGGCACATGTGCAGGATGCGCAGGTTTGTTACATAAGTAAATGTGTGCCATGGTGGTTTGCTGCACCTATCAACTCCTCATGTAGGTATGAAGCCCAGCATGTATTAACTCTTTGAAAACTGCTAACAGAGTAGATTTTAAGTGTTCTTGCCACAAAAAAATAAGGCGCTACATATGCTAATTAGCTTGATTTAGCCATTCCATAGTATAGATATATATCAAAACATCATCTTGTACACCATACATATATATAATTTTGGTGAATTAAATAACAAATAAAGAAAGAAAATATGAGAGGAATAAATTCCCATGGGTAACTCAGAGGCAGATATGGACTTGAGAGCAAGAAGCCCAGAGTCCCTCAACCCCAAACTCTGCCCTCCCCAGCCCTTTTACTGTTCCCTGAGATTCTGCTCCATTTAGAGTCCTGTACATTTGTCCCAGGGCAGGGCTCAGACAGGCCAGCAGTGGAGGCACCAGGAAGTCCACCCAACTTGGCTGAACTTCAAGGCTCAAGTTCCAGTTTGGAACAAATGTTCTAGGGTTAATGGCTGGGGCTGAGCAAACTCAGGAAAGACAATCTCCCCAGTCTTGCAAAGTGAAATTCTCTTTTCTTTCAGTGTGTTGTGAAGAACTACAGAAATGTGTTCTCATTAAAAAAAAAAAGAAAAAAAAAGATTTTATTTTGAAACTGGTTCCTGAAATGGGAAACCAAAAGGTTAGTGATGGCTGTGCTGGCCGTTTTTAGCCTCCCTCCACCAGTTTAACCATCCCTAATAATAGTCCAAGAATCACAAGACATTTCCAGCACCAGAAGGTCATCAGTCAACAGCATAGGTGCAAAAGGGAGCGTTTGCTCTTCTACAGATCCCAATGGTCTCATGTATTTTAACAGATGAAATGCTCTGAAGGTGGGGTTGGGGGCGGCCTGGCCTTTGGAAATTAGTCACCACTCACATAGTTCTTGCATTTACACTTACAAAGCACTTTCACAGCTATTATCCAGTGAGATGGGCTGGGCAGAGAAAATTACCCACATTTTCCAGAAATCTGAGACTCCAAGTGAAATGGCTCAAGGTCATCGCTGTTAAACCCAAAGCACTGGGTGTGTTCTTTCCGGGGCCTTGAAGAACCACAGATGGGAATCAGTTACCTTTGCTCTAAACTTGAGCCATCCCTCTAGATGTCTTCCTTTTTCTTCCCACCCTTCCTCCTCCTTCTATGATAAAGTAGGGTACAATTAGTATTTTGATGATGAAATAGAAATTTTATACCTTTGATCCAATATTTTTTTCTTCTGTTTCTCTTATTTGTCTAACCATGAGAAGGCAAGCCCTACCCTAAACTATTTTTGAACCTGATATTTAGTAAATAACCACCAGCAGATGCATGTGAGTTGAGGTGGGAGACCCTTTTCTGAGCTGAGGTGGGAGATGACAGGTAAAGGCTAGCCTTAACTTCTGCCTGATGCACATTTGCTCTCTAGGCCTAGAGAGTATTATGGTTTACACAAGCTATGGAATTTAAGAAGAGAGAGCTCACTGTGTGCTGGGAGCATCCAGAGATATTCTAGCAATGGGTGCCATTATTGAAGAAGCACCTTGAAGATGGATCTGTGGGGTGGTGTGGGGAAGCAACATGATAAGGTCCAGGCCAAGTGTAGTGGCTCATGCCTGTAATCCCAGCACTTTGAGAGGCCGAGGCAGGTGGATCACGAGGTCAAGAGTTTGAGACCAGCCTGGCCAATATGGTGAAACCCCATCTCTACTAAAAATACAAAAATTAGCTGGGCGTGGTGGTGCGTGCCTCAGTCCCAGCTACTTGGGAGGCTGAGGCAGAAGAATCGCTTGAACCCGGGAGGTGGAGGTTGCAGTGAGCCGAGATCATGCCACTGCACTCCAACCTGAGTGACAGAGCGAGACTCCATCTCAAAAAACAAAAAGCAAAAAACAAACAAACAAAAAAGTTAAGGTCCAGAGGTTTAAAAAGTGCATTAGACATTGTGGGAAATTCACATAGCTTCACCATGCTGACATGGTGGAAATAATGTTAGGGAGATATTATGGAGTCATACTGTGGAGGGCCTTAAAAGACAAGCAGAGTCATTGGAATTTTATCCTATGGGCATTTAGGAGTTGCTGAAAGTTTGTGAATGGGAGAGCAGGCGAAGAAGAATGGTATTCTAGAAAACTCTTTTTAGCTGGGTATGCAAGATGGAAAATAACGGGAGTAGCTGGCAGAAGAAAGATTATAAGGAACACTGAACGTGGAGTCAAGAGGCTGACTATAATTTCTAACCTTGATTAGGTTAGTCCCAGATATAAGCATAAACATATATGATTATCTCCTCTCTAATATGCAAACCTGTGTGGCCTACCCTTCAGGAGGTCCTGAACATCCCCTGAATTGAGGGAGGTTAGAGTGCTTTGTAAACTCTGAAACTACAGAACAAACATGGGAGATAGTGATGCAGCCTGGCAGATGCATTGAAAACATGGGCAGGTTGGTGCCTTGGGGATGGGTGGTTGGAGGGAAGGTTGAGTGAATGCCAGCTCTCCATTTAGGAAGTATCTTTCCTCTGGAGGAGTATCCCCTTTCCTTCCTGGAAACTTCTGTGTCACCTGGCACAGACTGGGGGCTAGTGGAAGATGGAGGCATGTCAAGCTGGTAGTCAAGAGTCAAAGACAAGAAATCCCTGAGGTCTCTAGTAACTTCCTCAAGGGGAATAAAAAAAAAAAAATGACAAAGCTAGCCCTTTAACCCCAAGCTTGAAATCAAAATAAACAGTTGGGTTACTGTTTTGCAGAGTTGCTGAGTAATTGTAAAGGGCAAAGAAGAGTCAGTTTTCACAAGAAGATTGCTCAATGGAAAGGTTTTGCCAGTGGAGGTGTCTGGGAAGGTACAAGCAGAAGCCGGCTTAGTTATTGTAAGGAGCTGCTCATTGGAAGACAAGCCTTGGCCTCATGGAGAAAAAGGGTTAACATGAAACAGTGGGAAGCAAACTGCTGAACTGGGACTAGGTTAGGAGGGTTAAGAGAGAAGCATCTGGGCTTTCAGCCACCCTTGGGCTTCTAGTGGAAGCATTTCACAATCTCCTTTCTTCACGGGTTATGTCCTTAAATTGAACAGCCAGTGGGGGCATCTTGGGGTAGTGGAAAGTGTGTTGCAGGCCTGGCTTCAGCACTGCCTGGTGGTGTGACCCTTCCTCTCTGGGCCAGGGTTAGACTAGATGGGATGATCCCTGGGGCTCCTTTCAGATCTAGACCCCTAGGAGGTGTGGGGCAGGCGCAGCCTGTTTTATCAGATTTAAATTCAGAAAGGACAGCTACTGTAAATGACCAGGCTTTAGTGCTGGCAGTGACAGCTACATAAGGAATTTCAAATAAGGTCATCTTAAAGCAAAAGCAACTGCGTGCTTGCTGACCAAGGCTTGTGGATCAGATGAATCAGAAAGCTGGGACCCTTCTGAGTTCATGCTTACCAATCTGTGGGGTTCAGTGTAACTAGATGATACTTTCCCTAATCAACATCATGTATGGGGCAGCAAGTTCCCTTTGAACTTTAGAGAACATAAGCCACAGATGATTTCCCTCCCACTTCCATTTTCCCTTCTCAAGTCTTAGAAAATAAGATCTCTTCCCTTCCCCTTTCCCCCATTTCCCAAGCAGGTTCTCAGTGATAAATGTGCCACTTTCTCTCTTGCACTCACTTGCCCTTGTCCTTTCTGGTGAAAAGAACTTTACCGGTCCAGGCTTTGGGAAGTAGGGTGTCGGGGCATGAAGACAAAGTTCACAAAGCTCGACCAGCTGGTTCCTCTGGTGGCCCAGACTGGGCTGGGTTGTGTTGTGTGTCCACACAGGCAGAGAGGTACCACAGTGAGGTACTCTTTTATTTCTGAAGGGAAACCCTATTCTTCCAGAACAGTTCACAATCACCATTGACATTTTCTGGCCCTGCCTGCAGAATCCAGAGAAACATCCACATGAAATAAAGCTTTACCAAGTGCCAGGATTCAGTTTTAGATGAGGCAAATGACCCACAGGCAGATAAAGAAGGAGACAGGATAAGTGGAGAAGTCACTGTGATACCCTGTAGCATATGGGGATGGCCCTACAAGTATAGGGTGACTTCAAAAGAAGGAGGAATCACACTCAGATTGAAGATCAGAGAAGGCTTCATGGAAGAGATGACATGAGCTAGACCAATTATCAATGACAATTATCAATGTCATTATTATTTTGATGATTATGATTAAAGCTAACTTTTGTTGTTCTCTCACTATGTTTGAGGTACTGTGCTATGCCCTTGTATATTATCTCAGTTCCTCTTCATGGAAATCCTCCCCTGTTAGATAGCATCATTTTGTAGATGAGGAAATTGAGGCTCAGAGGTGATAAATTGCTTTTCCAAGGCCACCCAGAGAGTAAATGATTAGAGCCTGTGATTTCCATAGAGGTATGGATGTGAGATATTCTTAGTGGAGGGTAAGAATGACTGATTAGAGTGGGTACATCATAATTTTGATTGGGTAGGGAATCTGTGGGAGTTAAAGCCAGTGGGACTTGAAGACCAGTGAGAAGTTCAACTTTGTCTGCAGACTGCAAGGAGCCTGGCAGCTTTTGAGGAGGACAGTGACATAATGAGAAGATGGCTTTTGAGATGCTAATTTAGCCTGGAGTGCAAATGGACTCCAGGGAGGACTGACGGCGAGGGGATGGACTCAGAACTGGAGTCCAATCTTCTGAGAGGTGATGAGGGGTTGAGCTAATGGTGCCAGGCAGGAAGGAGAGTTAGAGAAGCAACCTTAGTCTGAGCAGTTGTCCGTCCATGCCCTTGCTTCCAGCACCAAAGGCACAGCAAGTAGAAAAGAAAGTAAATAAAGACAGTCTGCATGCTGGTGAGGTTCCACAGGTTTCTCGGGAGCTTGCCTGTCACTCATGTCTGATGTCAGGTGCTGGTAAGGTGGCTGCCAGTCTTTCCTCACCTTCAGGTGCAGGGCAATGCACCCTCTGAATTAGACCACTTTACCAGTCCAATTTGTATGTTTTCTCCATCACTCTTGTCTCCCCACTCCCAAAACCCCAAAGAAGTGGAATCAAATGAATCAGAGTTGTTTTCTTTTTGTTTTTCAAGTGGAATCAAGGTCTGAAGGAGAATACCTGGGCGGAACCAAAGATGGGATGCTCTGAATCATTAGTCACCTTCAGGGCATCAAACAAGAGGTGAATCAGAGAGACAGGGAGAAGGGCAAGAAGTAATGAGCTCCTGGCGCACTTGTGAATTTCAGAGGCCCCATGTAGACCGCTAGTGGGCAGATGCTCTGCTTCCAAGCTCCTGAGGTTCCTCCTGCAATGAATGTGGCTAAGGCCAAGGAAACACTAAAAATTGCAGTGGTTTTTGACTCAGCCAGGAGAGTTTAGTCACGTGTAGTTGTACTCTTCCTTGGTGCTTCCAAAGGGCTGCTTTGACATCTCAGAGAGCAGTACAGAGTGGCATTTCCAGGCCTGCCATCACCAGGACAGTGAAAGAAAGGGGTCCTAAGGACTATTTAATCCAATATGTGAATACCTAGAGTAGGCATGTAACTGAGACTCAGTCTCCCGCCTTCTTATTTTATTGATTTTACAAACATATAGTGCTCGTTATGTGCCAGGCATGTTCTATGCACTTTATAAGTTATGAATTCGTTTAATTCTCATAATAATCCTATAAGGCAAGTGCCTTTGCCCTATTTACAGATGGGGAAATTGAGGCACATAGACATAAAGTAACTTGGCCTAGGCCTTACAGTACTAGGTTGTGAGGCCTACCAAGATGTGAATCCAAGCAGTTTGGTTACAAAATCCAAACCCTCAACACTTACGCTCTGTTACTCTTTGTTCTCATTTCTACTCTAAGACTGGCATCCCTACAAAAAAGGGAGACTAGATCAATTCATTTCTAAAGGTGAACCATTTTAGAATCTGTAACACATTGTCATTCATTGGAATCAGTAAGTGTTAGGACTTAGGCTGTGCAATTATCAAGGGCTGTTAAATATGCTTTGGTGGACACAAATACCGGTATCTGTTAATTCCTAGCATTGGCTTGCCACCACCCTGATGGTGATTTGGGTGAGTCTTCTGACCCATTACAGGGCCCCAGGCCTTTACTATAGATTCTACATTAGTTTGCAACCCTCTAGCCAACTGGGTTGTAAAAATAGTGCTTAATCTAAGCAAAGAAAACTGAGATGGGGAAGTAACTATAAAGATTTGGGCTGCAGAGGTAGAGTGATTCAGCAAGATAAGGATGAGAGGAAACACTTGGCCCCAAGTGTTGACCACGTGGTGGACCAAAAACTTCAGTTTCCTTAGCAAGGAGGGTGAGGCAGATAATTAGTCAGTAGAAATGGGGTTACTTGAGTGGAAGAAATATAACCTTTCTAGTAGTCCAAATGAGAAAGGTTCTGTATGGTAATACAATCTCCAATTTCCTTGTTAGTTTAAACATTCAGTGGGATAAGGCTGTTCACATTGTAGTTTTCCTGGTAGGAAGGTAGCAGGTATAGTGGAAAGAACACTGGACTAGTACTGGGGCATCTGAGTTCAAACTTTGGATCTGCTTCTAACTAGGTGAGTGGCATTGGATGAGCCATATCTCTTTTTGGATTCAGTTTAGCTACAATGACAGTGACCTTTCATTGAGTAATTGCCAGTCCAGTCTTTGCCCTCAAACTTGACATATATTGCCTTATCTAATGCTCATAGCAGTTCTGTAGGCACTATGATTACTGTTGTGACCCAGATGAAGAAAATAGAGCTCAGACAGTATGAAAGAGAAGTTCAGTCACTACCCAAGGTAACACAGTAAGCAATGGAGCTGGGAATTTTTCCTAGGAAGTCTACCTACCTCCCATGCTCATAAATACAGTACTGAACTGCCCTTGTCTTCATAGAGAGAAGGTTGGACACTGGATGTACTATGCACAATGGGTTTTTTCAGTCCCAACATTCTGTACTTCTCTTCTATTTAGGATATTTGCGCCCTTCCAGGAAGAGCAAGTGGCTTTGCTCAGCACTGGGCTTTGGATTGAGCCAATGCTTTGCTCATGTGATTGTTGCAGTGAAATTTGGCAGGTTCCATCAACCTCCTCTGCATAGTCAGCTCTGTGAGGGTAGGGCTGCCTTATCTTCCCTATGACCCTCTTGGGAAGATCAAACAAGGCAATGCGGGAGAAAGCACTTGGTAAATGCTGAAGGATTAGGTGTTACTGTTGTTGTTTTTATCATACGCGGCATTCAGACAAAATTCTCATGGTATTCCTAGTTAAAGGCACTACAGGTCCTCAGTGAATATTTGTTGAGTGAATGTATGGACGATAGATGGAAGCCGGTGGAGTAGAGGAGCCACTGAAGTGATGAGAGATACAAGAGAAGCAGAACAGAATGAGATCAGTGGAGTGTGACCAGTGCCCTGATCTAGACAGTTTGAAAGCTGGAGATCTTCACCAAGAGTCAAGATTCTGACTTTTGATTTAAAAGCTGCAATGTGGCATATGATCTTCTTGTAACAAATGAGACACATTCTAGTCTCTTCATTGAGGAGTCCACATATGGAAGTAGGTGCCAAAGGCTGAACCATAGAATCTGGCTGTTAAAGATGAGCTTTGAAAGCCCAATACCACTAACTTTCAGGGAGGCTCCAGGAAGCCCATTAGCCTTTCTGGCCTGGGGTTTCCTCCTCTATCCAACTGGGGTTTGGACCAAGCCCCCAACCTGTTATGTCTCCATCTGAAATTTCATTCGTACATGCAGATCTTACAAGTCCTGTCTTTCCTGCCACCTGCTGACAATCAAAACTCACCTGCCTCATGTCCCATATTCCCAGAATCTCATTCTCAGCCAAGTAATATTTATCACTAGCTATTCTGATGACCTCACCTGCTGTGTGCTCTCAGGTTTTCATGTCCTTTGCTCTGGTAAAATAGTCATATTTTACCATGTCCTTGAAGACATAGCTAATGACGATAATTTTCGTCCCTGGGATAGGTTTGTAGGGGAAGGATTGTTATTGTTAATGACAATGATAGCAACCACCATTACAATTGACAAAACACTGCTTCATCCTTTATGTCATTTGATCCTTACATGGGTAGGTCTTGTCACTTTCATGGGCAGGAAGGAGGGGCAGCATGGGACTGTGAAAGCGGGGAGACTGGTGCCCCAGCTCTGTCCCCATCTGTGAACCTTTCTCTCACATTCTTCTTTTTATATGAGAGTAGTTGGTCTGATGATTCTAGGGCTTTTCTGGATTTAACCTTTTTCAAATCTAGGTATTATTCTTATGAAGAGCAAATGAGACTTAGGTGGTCCTGGCTGTTTGGGATCCATGCTATTCTTATGTGGCCTCCCTCTGTGGAATTCTTATGTGGCATTTCCAGTGTGTGAAGTTCCAGCCTGTCGTGAGATGGGTGGCCCAGGGATTGTTATTATACTCATTTCACAGATAAGGACTCAGAGATTCAGAGAGATTAAATGAATTATCCAGAGTCACAACCTGGAATTGGGCAGAATGGTGGAACTGACATCTAAACCCAGGCCACAGGATGGCCAATCCTGCTTGTGGGGTTAGTAGAGTCTCTTGGGAGCCGTGATCTGGTTTTTCTTGGACTCCCCTGGGGCCCATGGCCAGATTGGCTCCCAGAGAGCTAACTGCAGGTGGGCTTTGAAATAATTCCACTTTGAGAGAACAAGGCGAATCCCCACCTTGCAAATCCCAGCCCCTCTGACTCTGTGCCGTCTCCTCCCTCCTGAGTCCTAGGCTATCACAGTGAGCACAGCTACACACTGAGTGTTTCCTGTTTGACCCTACAAATCTATTTTTCATCCTTGTCTTGCAGCCACTCCAGGAGGCTGGCCTTTATGGATATCTTTAGGTTCCCTATTCCTTTGACTTCTGGTTGGAATCAGCCCAGCACTGATCAGGTGGTTGGAAGGCGGGAGAGGGGAGAGGTGAGCCTACTTTGTCCCCAGCACCCTCACTGACAGTGGCAGGTTGGCAATGCCAAAGGCCACAGCCCTCTCCTGCAGCTTACCAGGACTTTCCAGACTCTGGTAACTGCCTCTTTCTTTGCTCTTTCAGGCCAAGAGCAGGTAACAGCCCCCAGTTGTTGTGAGCCTTAGGGCACATTGCTATCTCTTGGTTTTCCTTAACCCTGCCTGTATCTTTGCAAATTATCATGAATCTCTTTTTGCCCACCTTCTTTAAGCAAGTCCTCTGCTTCCTTCCAGGACCTGTGACTGACACAAGCTGCCTCATTCTTCCTTGTTTCGAATCTCCCATTTCTTAAAGGCATTTATGCAGATATTGAATCTTGTAATATTTAACAAAACAAAGTAAAACCAAGCTAGGGGAGAAGCAAAAAGGTAGGATTGTATAGGGTATGGTAAGAGCACTGAGCTTGGATGGAGGGGCTGAAGGCCCAAGTTTACCACTTACTAGCCGTGTTATCTTGCCAGCTCACCTGGTCCTGCTATTAAATAGAAATAAGAACAATTTTTGCCTTGTCTTCCCCATGACCCTCTGGAAGATCAAATGAGGCAATGTGGGAGAAAGCACTCGGTAAATGCTGAAGCATTTTCTGAGCATTAGGTGTTACTGTTTTTGTTTTTATCATACATGGCATTGAGACAAAATCCTCAAAAGGCCATGCACTGTAATTTCCAAGACACTCAGATTTCCCTGTCACCTCCATGCCTCCTGGATCAGGAGACCTGGCATTTGTGGAATCCAAGATTAACGTCCAGGGAGAGTTGGCCAAGCATGGGCCCACATGGCATAGCTAAAAATACTTTTGACCTCAGTGGGAGCATCTCAGTCCCCAAAAGGGGGTGGACCTGAGGGATAGAGGGTGTGAGAGGGAAATGACCTCCATTAGCTGGGGTTAGGAGAGGGCAGGGCGAGGGTGGTTGTCACCCTTCTTTTTAAGTGCCAAGGGGAACACTGGGTTGATCTCTCTCTCTCTCTCTCTTTTCCTGTGTGTTGCAGTGGTAGTTGGGGATGGAGATAAAGATTGATCTGAACATTTTGTACTTTTCCGTTAGGGTAAAGCCCACACCTTAAAGCTCTTTCTCACGGCCAAGCCTCTTAGGAATTTTCCCAGACTGCCATTGGAGATGATAGACACCTAGAGCCAGAAGGAGGCAATCCTAGGATCTTGATTTACAGTTGATTATAGAAGCTGACTTCAGTCTAGGCAGAATCTAATCCAGGAAACTTGGCTTAATATCCCCAGGGATGGGGAGCGAGAAGGCTCATTGTCTGTATAACCTAAAGATCAGTGGTTTCCAAACTGTAATTCTTAGAGCTCTAGACCCTTGCTTCTTAAAGTTTGGTCCATGGATCAGTGGCATTGACATAAACTGGAAAGTTATTAGAAATGCAGAATTTCAGGTCCCACCATTGACCTCTAAATCGGAACCTGCGTTTTAACCATACCCACTATGGATTTGTGTACACATCAAAGTTTGAGAAACACTGTTTTAGAATCCCTTTGGGGTACCTGAGAGAGTCACCAGTGGGTGAACTCAAGTTGTATATGGTAGGGTCCCATAAGAGACAATATTTGTGAAGGGAGTGCTGTTCGCATTTTTTTTTTCAAAGATTAAAAAGTTGAAACCAATGTGGTCCTTTCCTTCCTTTGTTAAAAAACGAAATTGTGTGGATGTTAGGACCCTGCTCCCGGTGTCTCCTTCTGGGCCACGCCCCTGACTGCCCTGCCTTGCACATTACCTCCTTGGATGCCTGAGTGCTTTGTGCCCAACACAAGCTTGGCACAAGGATGAGGCGGCTCCAGAAGTGAAGGGCTGTCTTAGGAGACTAACGAGACATTAGATTGTTTCCTAGGCCATGCCATTCCCGCCTCCAAAGGTCTAGCCTTGAGAGTGCTACCTGGTGAGGCAATGATGACACAAAATGGGAACTTGTCACGACCTGGGAGTTTAGAACTCAGCTTGGTTTTCTAAAGGGGGAGGGCAGAAGGGTGCAGAGCTTCCTCCTCTGTAGGTGGAACTATGCAGGGAGATTAGTGTTTGTTTTGTGAGGAACATCCTGGCAGGATCGGAAGAAGCACCGGGAACTGAGAAGAGATAAGCCTGCTTCCAGCTGGCATCTGGGCACAGCCCTGCAGTAGCAGGCTTTCAGGATTTCCAGAGGGAGTGCTTGGCGGCCTGCAGCAACGTCTTCTCAGCATCTCAGTTTGCTGCCATTATAAATAACTGTGATTTGCATTCCCTTCACATCGTATTCTGGAGGAGTTCAAAGCATTGTGCTACCAATTTCCCCTGGCCCACCCTCACACAGGTCCCTTAGAGGCAACATTCATGTCTTCCATTTTACAGAAGGGGAAACTGAGGCTCTAAGAAGTCATGCAAAGGTACCACCTATGTCTGCGCACATCTAGGACTGGCAAACTCTGGGAAGAAGCAAGCACCTTAGCACAGCCTCAGAGCCCCCAAGACATCAGCCCCAGACTATTTCTGGCCTGAACTCCAGCTTCTCTTCCTCCTTCAACCTACCCTCTGCCCAGACAACTCAGCCCTGCCTGCCTCCCTAAACTCACTAGACCCTCTAGTTACGCAGACACATTCCCTTCTCCCCTCTCCTATCTCTATATCTCACATACACGTTTTCACCTCTCTTGTGACACAATTGTCCTCTCCTGATTGGAGCTGTCTGACAACATGCTCCCTGGACAACTACCAGACTTCAAAACCCTGCAGGCAGGGGTATGGTTCAGCCCTTCAGCTCACAGCACAATGCTGTCCTCCAAAAATGCTTGTGCAATGATGAATTCATCAGAAGACAGAAACATACAAACTAGTGGATGAAACAGAGGGAGTCTGTATTTATAGAATCTCATGGGTAAAACAGTCATGTCGTTCAACAGTTCTGATACTATGGAAGAGCTCATTCTAAAAGCATTTGAAGTAGAGGCTGTTGTTTCCTATTAAAATAAAAACGCTTGCTGTACTTTGGGGAGGTCTTGAGAGACACCACCTGGCACTGGCCTGTGACTGAAGACACTTGAGTTCTATGAGTCTCAGGGTGTGTGTATGTGTGTGTGTGTGTGTTTAACTGAGAGTACTGAGATGATTTACTACCAGGGTTGTCATGAAGATGAAACAAGGTAAGGTACTTATACATGTTTGTTGCAGGATTGCCACTCGCTATGCCTTTGATACTTAACAGCTACTAGCTAGTCAGAGGAATCATCCGTTTTTCTCCTATCACAGAGCCCAAATAATTCATGGGGATAGAGGAGAAAAGGGCAATAGGAAACTTGAAACTGAGTCTTCCTTTTCAGGACATGAATGCTCTGGATCTTAGGAAATGGTTATCCAGGATTCTAAACCTAATGATTTAAAGAAATGGTGTCTGATATCCAGCCCCATGCTAAGCTCTTCCTTAGTTTCAGTTGTGTGACTTACTCACCAGTAATTCAGGAATTGAGCACGCCTGGACTCTGGGCCTGCGGTCTCCATCCTAGAGACCTTCACACTGGGCAACCAGAGGTGTGGGGTGGAGAAAGGACTGGCCTGGCATCCGTGGGACCAGGGTTTGTCCTCTGAATCATCTCTTGACCATGGAACATTCATTTCCCCTCTTTGGGCTTTAGCTTCCTTGTCAAATGAGAACCTGGACTAGCTGCTCCATAAGACCAATCACCATAGTTCTGTTATGCAAAATTGAGATGTTCACAGTCTCTGCTCCCCGGCATCTGCATTCTTCTTCCTTCTTGTCATGTCTACCCATCCTAATGACTAGGGTCAGTTGAGTGAGAAAAAGCCTGTAATATAGTGCTTTACATGTTTAAAGTGCTTTCATACTCACTTACCTTATTCTACCTTTACAAACAGGTCAACAGGACACACAGGTGGATGTCATAATCCCCATTTTATAGAATATAAGAATGAGTCTTAGAGATGGGGAGGGGTGCTCAGTAGAGGCAGAGCAGCACCTTTGCATTCCCTGTTCTGATTTTTTCTGCCAGTGACTCCCAGGACTGGTGGCGGTTATAGTGCTGGATTTGGTTCCCTGGACCAAAACAAAGCCCCTTCTGCTTCCTCATGATCTTTCTCCCACTGCCCATTCTCCCACTGCCCAGGTCCCAGTCACCTTAGTCCTTCTTGCTTGGCCTCCCAATAAGAGTAGGATGTGGTGGAGCTGAGTCCGGGGCAGAGCCACTTGGTGAAGTTTGACAGGGGTTGGTTTTACCCTTCTGCCACTTCCTCCTTCATCCTGTGCTAAAGTATTTCTTCAGGTTTCGCCTTTTGACCAAGCCTCCACACGAGGGTCTGGGAAACTTAGAGCTATTGTTCTGTGGGTATGCAGAGGCAGAATACTGAGAACAGAGACAGTGCACGGGGGCAACCTAGGCCAAGTGTGACAGTGAGACTTCTGAGATGCATGCTTGACTTGCTCTGATGGGTTGAAAACAAGTAATTGGGCAGAAAGTCATGCACCTGGAAGATAAAATGATAAGCTTCTAAAGTGGGGGCAGGGAGAGGTAGCACAATGCTTGCAATGAAAACAGGTGTATGCATTATTAAGCAGAATTAGTCAAGGTGAGTTGGAAGAATTTAGGCATCTCTGTTGAAACATTTTTCACACCCATCCTACTTTTCTTAACTACCACCGCCCTCTCACTTCTCATTCAGGAGGTTGCAAAAGCCTCCCAACTGGTCTCCCTGTGCCAGTCCTTTCCGGCTCCTTTCCACCCCGCAACATGGATCTCAACCTACCTGTTCAGCTGTATTCCTCAGTGCTCCCGTCTGAGCATGCAGTGCTGCAACCCAGGCAAACGACTCACTCTTCTCGTCCTGTACTTTTCCATCTCCAGCCTTTGCTAGTGTGTTTCTCCCTCTGCTTAATTCTCCTACCCTGCAAGTAGAAATCCAACCTCACTCTTTCAGGCCCACTTCAAATGCCACCTCCCCTGTGAAGTCTTTCCTAATCCTACCCTCTTCTTTCCTTCCCAGAGGAATGACCCCTCCCCCCTCAGGAGTGTATAGAACACTCGATTACTTGGCCTGCCCTTTAAGGGTTCCTATTGCCATCTACCTGGTATTTTAACTATTTCTGTGCATGTCCTATCTCCCCTACCAGACGGGGATCACCTTGCAGTCAGGAAAGGGATCACTTTCGAATTTGCATCCCTCAAAGTCTTGGCTGCTGTTTAGTTATCTGAAGAATTAATAAAGACATGAATGAAGAGTACTTGTTGGGACAGGAAAGAGAAAAGCTCTAGCATCTTAGCTTAAAACTCAAATTAAACTGGTGATGCAATTTGAGACACGTGTTGAGTGAAACGCAAATAAATATGTTCAAAGAAAGCTGGATCAGAAAGAAAAGAGCCTGGCAAGGGAGTGCAACCCAGGGGACCAAGAAAATAGGTATGAGGGAGAGGGAGACAGTAATGTTTGTTTTATGCTTGGTAACAGGAGAAGTCAACAGAAGCTGGAAGAAGCATTTTAGGGTGGGACTGAATGAATCACAGAGCTTCTATTTAACCCTTATATAGCCCCATATGTCTTCCCCAGTGTAGAAGCCGTAGGAAAGAAAAGTGTCTGCAGTATTAGTCGGCATCAAGAGTTATGATTACCTTTAGTCAGGCCAGTGAATAATTTTAACATGGGCACGGTATGATCCATGCCACTGAATGTTCACAGCCTACTTGGAAAAGACGACATGGTTCCAAGCAACCATGACAAAGTATATATTCAAATGTGCCTTCAGAATGTATAGAACACTTGCTATGGGACAGTGGAAGAGCCCACCAGTAATTCCAAATAGGAGAAGGTGGAAGCAAGCACGATGAGGGAGACTTTATGGAAAACATGATTTAGAAGCAGAGGCTTCAAGAATGGGCCCAACTTTCACCAGTCTCCGGGAGTGGTCCGTGAGAAGGAGTCACAGTACAATTCAAGCTAGAAAGGTTGCCGAGGAAGGCAAGCCTGATGGGCAGGGACAGAAGGGACTATAATGCCCAGTTGGGCAGCAATGCCAGCTCACCTTTTGGAACACTTGTGGGTATTGACCGACCTGTGTTTATGCACTAGAATGAGAAAGCTCACACTGTTTTGTGTGTGTGGTGAGTAGGAAAGGTAAGCAAAACTAGAAATTACAAAAAGCCTACTGAACAATGGAAAGCAATTCTCCCTCATCTGAACTCAGTTCCACCTGTGCAGGCGGAGTGCAGACGGTGAGTCCCTAAGGCAGGCCAGTGTTGGAAAGGGAGGCTTATCTTGGTCATTCATTGTCCCTTGGCTTAGGGAAAGTGAAGGCTAAAAGTAATGTGAGGAATGAGGGACTTTTCACTTTCAGCAGATCTTGTATATTTATTGCCTCATCTGCATAGGTAAATCAGAGTGGTCAGCAGTGCAGGGTGAGGCAGCGGTTAGCTGTGCAGCTGCATGAGGAGGCTCCAGCAGCGGCAGGGCGGGGAGTCCCCAAAGCCGCTTTTGGGACCCAGTGCCTGCGCCGTCTAGAGCTAGGTGGAAGAGAAGCGGGAAGGACAGAGGAAAGGGAAAGAGAGGCTGTGGCAGAGAGGAAAGGGCTCCTAGGTGTCATTTAGGACAATCCCTCTATTTTACACTTGGGAAAGCTGAAGTCAAGAGGTCCTTGTCCACAGTTACAGGGTCCTCAAGAATTAGTGTACGTCCTATCCCTTTGCACAACTGTGGTGGAGGAGAGGGATGGGAAAGGTAGACAACTAAAAGTGAAGAGTCCATGGGTCCTCCACAAGATATGCTGGCACGCCCTCCTAACCCGCTGTTCCCTGACGGTCAGCTTCTGTCTCTTACTTACTTACGTTTCAAATCAGTGTTCTCCAGGGCCACAGGACCTTTGGGGGAAATATGTTTTCCATCAGAAAGACATTCCTGATATCCATGAAATTTGCAAGCTTTCTTTGTAGTTATTGTTGTTTATTTTTGTTTTCCAGTTGAATGGAATCCTTTTAAATCTCTTTAATATTGCTTATGTGGGAAAATCATTCACGGTCACTTATGATTTCTGAAGGCTTTGGATGGCTAAAAAACTGATGAGCATTAAGAAATGTATGCTTGCTCCACAAATTTTACTTTACATTTTTGAAAGGATTAAACTGGATTTTATTTTCGGTTTTTAAGGTGGTTAAGCTGAGAGGCAGCTATGCTCTGTTGGGAAGAGCACTGACCTTGACCTCAGAAAACCTGTGCTCAAATGCTAGCTCTGCTATTATTGTTTGTTTGTTTTACTTTGGTCAAGTCCATTGATCTCTCTGAGCGTTAATTTCCTAATCTTTAAAATGGGGGTATTAACCTCTCCCTCATTAATTTGCTTATTTAAATTTATTTAACAGATAGTTAATGAGCTTCTATTAAGTGTCAGGTGATGTTCTTGAGACTGAGATAAAATTATAAACAAGACAGCTGAAATCCCTGCTTTCCCAGAGCTTTTAATAGAGATTAAAGGGGATAAGATGTATTGAAGAGTTTAGCACGGTACCTAGCATGGAGTAGCTGCTTAATACATTCTAACAGGGGAACTCTTGGAACACTGAGTCCCGAGACAGCTGTTTCAGTCTTAGCTGTGACATTGACTAGCTGGAATCTCTAGACACATAAATACTTTCCAGTACTTCCCCTGGGCTAGTGTGGCCTTCTTCCACATAAATGCTGGGGATCATTATTCATATAGGGTTTCCACAGACAGAGAACTACTTTGCTCAGGTGAGTCCCATTTATGTAGGGAGAAGACCAGAGTCACTGGCCCTAAACATGTCTATGGAAGGGTCCTGTCCCACGCATGGGTCAATTTTAAGATCTGGAACGAAATTTCAGTCTGTTTGTTTATTGCTTGCTTTCTCCTTATCAACCCTTCTCTGGCTACTAGTAAGCAGCTTAGCTCAAAACAAATGAAAATCTGATGAAATCTGCTCTATCCCTAGATGAACTTGCTTTCACAGGAAATGGAGGTGGGACAGTTAGTGACCAGTAATCATGGTCACTAAAACTGACACCCAACTGGGTTGGTCCATCTTAAGGGATTGGTACAACTCTTTTCCAATGATGGTATATTAAAGGGGATTTCAAAATGAAGTGGGTTTGGATCTCAGAACCACCACTGGTTAACTGAGTCCAAGTCAGTGACTGAGGGAGAATAAACACTATTTTGCTCAACCCTTTTATCTTACAGTTAAGGGAATTGTGGTCCAGAAATGTGAGGTCCCTGCCCTGGAAGAGCCATCTGCTAATTAGTGGCAGATACAGTGACATGAATTTTCATAGAAATAGTCACAGGACCCAATTAGAAGGTAAGTCTCCTGATTCCCCCTCCAATGCTTATTCCTTTGGTCCTTTCCAAGTTGGAAGTGCCACATAATACTCTTCTTTTAGAATTTGAATATCCCCCTAAACAATTTCTGAGTAAATTTGATTTCTGTTCATGACATTGACTTCAACAACCACAATTAACAGCTGAATTTAAATACCTGCAGGGATGTAAAAATGAAGCATTGGGATTTATTAAGCGGAATCTCAAATACAGAAATAAAGTCAAAACGAATATAATAAATGGAGGTAGGTTTTGTTTAAACCTAAAATAACTTTTTTTTAGACAGGGACTTTCTATGATGTCCAGGCAGGAGTGCAGTTGTTATTCCCAGGCACAATGATAGCGCTACAGCCTAGAATCCCCTGGGTTCCAAGGATCCTCTTGCCTCAGCCACTCAAGTAGCTGGGACTACAGGTGTGTGCCACAGCACCCAGCTTAGAAAGAACTTTTTGACATGCAGAGCTGTCAAGGCTGGAATGTTCTGCCTTGGAAAACAGTGAGCTCTTGGCCACTGGAGGTGACCAAGTAGATGCCAGATATTCATGAGGTAGTAGGTTGGGCTGGGTGATGTTTAAGGTCCCCCATATCTTTAATATACCCATGTGGATTTTATGAGGCCCTGGTATTTAAATAATCCCTTTTTGAACCCATTTATGCATCTGTACTACCAGCTAGTCCCTACCTCTCTTGCTTATTAAATTTACTATCTACTATGTAAAGTAGTACTTTCTTTTATTTGCTCTAAAATTAACTCTTGCAAACTTTGGGGTAAGGGGAGGTTGGGATAGTTCTGTTTTTCTGAGATTTGCTGATTAAGTGCATAGTTCCATTCTATCATGTATTGTTATATCCCTTCTCAGTCTGCTCATTTTTTGATTGAGAAAAATCTAATTTTGTTAAATCTATATTTATACCAACAAGCCTCCGTCATATTGGTGATTTGAATAGTTCTTCTCTGTCCTTCTCCCACCTCCCCAGCTCTACTAAATTTTTCTTGAAGGTCCATGAATAGAACTGCCACATTTTTTCCGAGCCCACACACTGCTTTCATGTGAATATGGGATAATGCCTTTTCTATCTGGCTTCCATACACTTTCTGATGAAACCCAGCATTCCTCTGAGCATCTCAGCTTATGCAGCCACTGGAGCTCAATTTTCTCAGAGCTAATCACAATTCCTACTCTGTCGTTATTAGCTTGTAACACTGTACAAGTCACTAATTTTCCTGTACAAGTCACTAATAATGAGGAAAGCAATACTATAAAAACTTAGGAGACTCAAAGGAAAAAAAAAAAAAGATGATCCATTCAAGTGTCCTGTGTGATACCTGGTACAGAAGTTGTACTTAATACATGTTTGCGAAAGTGAAATGAAATAGACTTAAATGTGTTTCCTGAGCTATGATATGTTAGAGTCCATCATTTTATAAATAGAGATTGGGGTATATTTTACCTAAGAGAACTACCTTATATTTGCCAAAACCGAAGCTCAATTGTTACATTTTTTCCCTCATTCTTCTGAGATCTTTATGTCCTGGGAGGACTCCAGTTTGAATCCTTTCTCTATGATTTATTAGCTCTAAGATCGTGGCTCATTAACATCTCTAAGTCAATTTCCTCAGCTGTAGCATTGAGATAATAGAAATACTTGACCTGGAAACAAGGGATTTGAACCTGAATTGCCTCAGAATTCAAACCCTAGCTCTATCAATTTCTAGCTTTGTGACCGTGGACAAGTTGCTTAACCTTTCTCAATTTCCTATTATGCAAAAGGAAAAAAATAACACCCTCCTCACAGAGTCCTTGTCATAATTCAGTGAGATACTTATGTATAGCATTGAATATAGACAGCTCCAGCTTACATATAGTGGGTTCTCAACAACAATTAGTTGTGTTCCTCCTCATGTCATGGGATTGTCCAGATGTTCTGTAACTTCCAAAGAGGTGTGCAGACTGGGTGCAGTGACTCACACCTGTAATCCTAGCCCTTTGGGAGGCTGAGGTGGGAGGATCACTTAAGCCCAGGGTTCAAGACTAGCCTGGGCAACATAGTGAGATCCCCCCACCATCTGTACAAAAAAAAGATACAAATAGGTGTGCAGATATTAGCAGTTATTGTGTGTTGTAATATTTCTTTACCCAGAAGCAACATTGTGTAGTTGAAAGAGAGTGGATTTGGAGTAGTCCAACTGTGAGTCAAGTGCTATAAACTTTGAAAAGACATTGCTTCCTGAGGCTTGGGTCTCTTGTCTCAAATTAAGATGACAGACTTCTTTCTACTTACCTTGCAGGGGTGCCTTAAACATTGATAAAATCCTGATGGTGAAACCTTTAATGTAATCTGAAAATGAGGCACTATGGTGACTAGAAGTGTTCAGTGCCATTTGCAAAAGTGAATGTTTCACGACTTTGTACTTCTTCCATGTATTTCATTAAAATATGAAGTAAGACCCAAGTCAGTGTCTTACTGACTCTGGATTTCTGATTTCTGGTGATCTTTATGTTAATATCTTCTATTCAAAGGAGTTGCAATCAAATATTACTATATTGTTTCCATGATCCTTGTCAAAGATGACATGTACTGTACCAAATAGTTCTGCAATCAAGCTGTTTCTTGATGTAAAAATCTAATCACAATAGTCTTGAATCTCTGAAAATTTAAATATTTGAGTTTCAATAGTTCCCTACTTATCCCTAGTTCTAGACTCTTAAAGAACATTGGTTTGTTAAAATCCTTCCGTTGTTTTTTCCATAACAAGTTGTTTGTTACACTTCCATGATCCCACTCTTTGTTATGAATTCCAGACATGGCAATGATATTTACTAGCTTGTAATTCCCAGGTAGCTCTTCATATTAGGGTGGAAATCCTATTGGCAATGTGATGCTCCCTCTGGTTTAGTAGTAATGACAGGCTGTGCATTCTGGACGATGGCTCCACAGTTTTATACATGACTTATTCCAGAATTCTGGAGTGAATGTCATCAGTCCAGGTGATTTGTTTACTTAGTTTGTTCATTCCATTTAGTGTGTGTGTGGAGGGGGGTGGCAGTACGCAGCATGGAGCCCTGACCCGATAGGCCAGCAATTTGAATCCTTGCCCCAAATCTGCATCTAACTTGGATGAACTTGAGTAAGTCATTTCCCTCTGTAGCTCATCATTGCCATCTGAGACTCGAAGGGGTTGGATAAAATGATCTCTATGGTTCCTTCCAGTTTTGTCATTTTGTGATTCTAAAATGTGCTGTCATTCATAGTTCTTCCTGGCAAGGTCTCTGGTGGGCAAAACTAGGGCCAGCTGTAACAGCTGACAACATATCTTTCTTTTCTTTTTCTTTCTTTCTTTCTTTTTTTTTTTTTTTTTTTTTTTTTTGAGATGGAGTTTTGTGCTTGTTGCCCAGGCTGGAGTGCAACAGCATGATCTCGGCTCACTGCAAACTCTGCCTCCCAGGTTCAAGCGATTCTCCTGCTTCAGCCTTTCTAGTAGCTGCGGTTACAGGAATGTACCACCACGCCCGGCCAAGTTTGTATATTTAGTAGAGACGAGGTTTCTCCATGTTGGTCAGGCTGGTCTCGAACTTCCAACCTCAGGTGATTGGCCGGCCTCGGCCTCCCAAAGTGCTGGGATTACAGGCATGAGCCACCACACCCAGCACATCTTTCTTTTCTTGCCAGCACTCAGAAGCTTCACTTCAAATAAACTGTGGGGAAAGTATACTTGATCAAGTACAGTGGACTATGGAATTCAGCAACTAGCATGGCAACCTAGACGGACAAGAGCTCGAAAGCAGTGCTGTGAAATCATTAGTATTGACTTTCTATTTGTAAAATAAATTGAAAACATACCCATAGATGAAGTTTAGAGTAAAAATAAAGAGGGAGGAGAGATTGCTTTGCTTGTTTCACAGTGCTGGCATTGGAACTATGTCTTTATTAAGGCCTCATGCAGAGGGAAGGGACTTGAACTAAACAGACTTCTAACTTCTATTTTAGTGGCATTCTCTTGCTGATGACCTTGTGCTTGTTTGTTTTCCTCTTTGGGCCTTTATTTCTTCCACCTGTTAATAAGCATCTTGGGATAAGACAGTGCCTCTCAAAGTGTAATGTCCATGTGAATCATCTGGAGATCTTGTTAAAATGCTGATTCTGATTCAGCAGGTCTGAAGTAGGGCCTTGGGATCCTCAGTTCTAACACGGTCTTTGCTTCTCCTTCAGTCATTGAGAAGCAGAGGCTAGACAGTTTTTAAGTCCTTTTCAGCTGTGAACACTCCATGTTTCAAATAATCTCCCAACACTAGAGTGAGAAGCAGAATAGGAAGGCCTCTCTGGATGGAACATCATCTATATTAAAATGCCTTTTTGTTTTAGACAGGAAAGAATGGAATTCCTAAACTTGGGCTTAAGCAAGAGGAAAGGAAAGCACTGAAGGGGACATTTACTGTGAGGTCTGAGGTGGTTCCAAAAGGTATTAATGCTTGGAAGGAAGGAAGAAAAACCAGGCAGAAAGTTGGCTTGAGGCAGGTATAGAAGTCAGGGAAAAACAATCCACAAAAACCAGTGGTGGTGGTGTTGGAAGTGGTCATAGGAAAGTAATAAAGAGTTTTAATGCTAATTCTCCAGAGATGCGTGATTGGCCTTGTGTTTTGTAGATATTGTCCCACAGTCCATTATGGCAATCCTACAAAGCTGCAGGGGTGCAGCAATGCTGTCTCCACCATAAGGCAGAACTAAGTGGAGAGAAAGGAGGGACAATCATACGGAGAGGGAGGGGAGCCTCTTGGACCCTACAGAGCCTTAGCTCCGACACCCCAGTAAGGGGCTGGAGCCTGCTCTGCATCTGCTGTGGCTCTCCCTGGGTCACCCACCGGAGCCGCCGTGGGCAGTGGTATGGGGGAAGGAAAGTGTCTCAGCACAACCTCAGTTTCACTTCCTGCCTCAAAACACAGAGAGTCATTATATAAATATCAACCTCAGCAGCTGCTGCCCTCATCCCTCTTCTCACTATTACTCCCGAAGCTCAGCTCACAGCCAAGGCGCCTGCCAGGCCTCTCACTTTCCCCTGATCCCACGGCACTTGCACCAGGCCCGCCAGGTGGGTGCCTGGGGCAGAAATGAATCACAACTGCTCTCTGGCCCTCCAGCCAGCCATACCCAGCAGCCCTTGCGTCGCTGAGCAGGGGAGGTCGTCCTGACTGGTAGCCCACGTTAATCAAATTAAACCTTGTTCACAGACGTGACAGGCAGTCAGCCCATCCGTGGAGGCCGCAGAATGCACCGTCAGCACTCATTGCTGCTAGAGGTGGGGCAGGAAAGAACGCAGCATGTTTATATGTATATATCATAAAATGTTCTATTAAATTAGCTAAAATCACCAAAACTTTCAAAGGTGTTTTAAGTCAGGAAGCAGTGTGGTAGGTATAAAGAGTGGTCTGGAATGAAAGACCAAGAATGTGTTAGTCTCTCTAGTATGAATGAGTAAAATCTTTTTCTAATCTCCAATCATAAGAACTCCTCTTTGAACTTTGGTTCATTTTTCTTTATTTTCTTTCTAAAGATGTTACTAAAAGAACAAACAAACAAAGAAACAAAAACCCAAAAGGCAGGCCTGTCACATGATCTCCCTGATCCTCAAGTTTTTCATCTTTAAAATAATGACATGAACCTGCTTCTCTTCCAGGGTTGTGCAAGGAACATGAGATATGTGAGGTTTCCTTCTCTGCCTATTGATCACAATGGTTGACATGTTACTCTGTGTGTGTGTGTGTGTGTGTGTGTGTGTGTGTTATAAGAGAGGTTAGCAAAATGTAAGCTGTTATTCCGAGCTATTATAATTACTGATACCTTAACCATGTTGCAGCCATGGTCATGTTAGAAGCGGAAGAGCCCGGGCAAGGACTGGTAATATGGCTTCTCTGGGTCCTTAAAACAGTCAATGGAAAGCAATGTTTGGGAATCTCATCACCTGTGTGTTACTCAACTGATCAAACATTGTTAAAATATGCTCATTCTCCCACTTGATCAACTTGCGACCTAATTAGATATTTGTGATTTATTATTAAGCAACAAAAACAAATTACTAAGCAGTTTTTCAGTGCAAATCCATTAAAAATTTATTTATAAGCTTTAGAAAAAAGATTTTAAAAAGATGATGGATATTCACCAAAATGTTAACTACTGGCAATCTCTGGGAGGAGGAATTTGCATGGCTTAAATGTCTTTCTTTGTACTTTTTAAAATCACCCAAATTGGACAGGATTAACATCAGAAAAATTGACCCCTCAAGGAACACAGAGGTTAAGTGCTGTTAGCTTTTCCTTTTCCCTAAACACACATGTTGGTGTCAAATGAAGGGAAATTCAAGGTGAGAGAGCCAAAGCAGGCCACCGGGGGGTCCAAGTAAAGACTTTTTACTGAATGAGGGTCTAGAATTATTTATTTATTTTATTTTTATTTATTCATTTTTTTTGAGATGGAGTCTCGCTCTGTCCCCCAGGCTGGAGTGCAGTGGCGCAATCTCAGCTCACTGCAAGCTCCGCCTCCTGGGTTCATGCCATTCTCCTGCCTCAGCCTCCCCAGTAGCTGGGACTACAGGCGCCCAACACCACGCCCAGCTAACTTTTTTGTATTTTTTAGTAGAGATGGGGTTTCACCATGTTAGTCAGGATAGTCTCGATCTCCTGACCTCATGATTCGCCCACCTCGGCATCCCAAAGTGCTGGGATTACAGGTGTGAGCCACCGCGCCCGGCCGAGTTATTTGTTTTTTAAAATCTGTTTTTCAAGAGAGAGTGATTGATTTCTATGTTTGTCAGTCTTTCAACCATTCATCCTGTAATCATTTACTCACTTGGTAATCAAAGTTATTGGGTGGTTACGTAGGACAGAAAAAGGGCATGAATTAGCTGTCCAATGATCAGGGTTCAAGTTCTGCTACCATTTTTCTGAAGCCGTGAGCCCTTTGTCCATTTGAGCAACATGAGGCTCACTCATATGTAAAGTGGGGCTCATGGTGAACATGAAAGCTCTGAGAACTCCACAGTGCTGGGTAGAGAAGGAGTTTCTGTGACATGCAAGCCACTGAGCTAGAAATCTGAGATAGAAAGATAAGCCATTGATACAGCCTGTGCTCTCAAGAAGCTTACACTTGACTGGTCTGCTGGCTTAATGCTGAATCCAGCAGTATGGGGCACACAAAGAATCTCTTAGGTGGAATCTAGGAATCCTGGGTTTGGGGTCAATCTGAGCCACTGACAGGTTGTGTGACCATGAACCACTCACGTTCCCCCTCTGACTCTCGGATTTCTATCTGTCCCATGAAAGAATTATTAAGCCTGATGATCTCCAAGGCATTTTCTAGCTTAGACATTCTATGGAATGAGTGAAAATCAGGCAAAATTTGAAACATGTTAAAATATCCATCATGAGCCCATATGTGTCATATGCTGGTTCCTATTTGAAGAGCAAGGACATGGGAACATTTTCGGCTTGAGGCAGTACTGGCATTCCAAGAGGCAGTTCCTGGCTCTGTCAGTGCTGTTCTTCAGCTGGAAGCTCTGTTTCTCTGCTTAGCTTCTGTCACATCATGATAGAGAGAGAGTCTTATCGAAGAAGACTAGGAATACACTTGTGAATCGTGAATAAACATGATGGGTATTGAATATTTGCATGCATTTTTGTCATGTTTATTGGCTGTTTCTCGAACCTTACTATGAGTCTGAATGGGGGAGGCAGAGAGTATGAGCAGTGGGAGCCCAGCATAGAAATCCTAAGTTCAAGGTTTGGCACCGGCTCAGCAGGTGACTATCAAGGTGACATTCATTAATTCATTCACTTGTTTACTTAATCGGGAACCATCTATGGAGCATCTACTATGTGTGTTAGGCCCTGGGTTAGACATTTGAGATGTTAAGATGAGTAGGGTGTAGTTTACCGGACGGTGTGCTTTTTGAAAGCAAGTGCCTGATCCTTATTTCTTCATTGCTTGAACATGGCCCTGCCCTGAGGAGCACATAAATTAGCAAAGTCTCTGGGCAAGTAGTTTATTTTCCTAGAACTCAGTGTTCATTCCTCCTTAAGATGGTTTTGGAATTGGACTTAATGATCTCCAAAATTCCTTCTAGCTTGGATGTTCTGTTCTGCAGTTACCTAATATCTCGCAATGAGAAAGGTTTGCGTCCAGCGATGGAGGAAAGGTCACAGAACAATCTGCAGCAGGTGAAATGAAACCGCAGAGCCTCCAGAGAGCACATGAACCAGTAAGTCCCTCCTCACCTGAGAAGGCTATGAGACTAAGCCTGGTCTGGAAATGCAAATAACATGCTCGAGTACAGCAAGAACAACAGCACTGGCTTTGGGTTTTGGTGCAACGATAGGGGACCCTTAAGGCAGAAATGAGGCTTACCTGGTGACATGCTGGACAGTGCTGTACCATCCCACTGGTTCAGAATGGAGGAAAAACGTTGAAGCTGGTCATACTCTGGATAGAAAACCAGTCTCTGGGCTCCTGTCCCTCTGCCCTCCCCCTGCTTTACCTGTGTCACCAAAACTCTCCGGGGACAGCAACACCTACCTCCCATGCCACCGTGATGATTAAATGTGAAAACACATATGAAAGGTCTTCGTAAACTCTAAAGTGCTTTATACATGGAAAATAGAATTAATATCTGTGGAGGAGGGAGAAATAGAGGGGCACCTTGAAGAATGAATAGGTGCTACGTAAGTGGAGAGCTGTGTGCCTGCCTGTCAAGGAAGTAAGCACTTTATAAAAGTCAACTCATAACGTCAGGCAGGGACTATTATTATTCCCATTCTACAGATGAGGAAACTGAATTCCAAAAAGTTTAAGTAACTTGATCAAGGCCACCTCGTTGGTAAATAGTAAAGTTTGGACTCACACCGAGGAAGTCTGGCTACAAAATTTGTGCTCTTAACCAATATGCTCTTCTGCCTCCCTCATTGAAAAAAAAAATGTTTGTAATTCAATTTGATTCCAATCAATACATGGCTTGAGTGCCAGACTGGGCACTGGCTGTGTAATGATGAAGACAGTCCATGCTCTCCAGAAGCATAAGCAAATAAGAAAATACTCCAAAGAATAAGGAAATAAGATACTACAAATATGACTGGCACTGGAATAATGTAAAGAAGAATGTGGAAATGGAAAAGAGGAGGAGTGTTCCAGTGGCCGTGCATTTAACAGAGTAGAGAACCAAGCGGGTGGATAAAGAGCAGTTCAAGGTGAGGCTGAAAAGGTGATGTTCTGGAGCCTGATGGTGGAGGGTCCAGAGTGCCAGGCTAAAGTGACAGGGTGTTAGCCTGGAGAGGGTGGGCAACTGTGAAGGATTTTGGATCAGGTAAATAGTATATCAAAAAGAGAATTTTAAGAGACTTAAACTAATGAAATAGGAGAAGGACGTTTATCTGGGATCAGCACAGTTACTCTAGTCTGTGGATTGGTAAAGATAAATAAAGGTTAATTTTTCAACTTAGACTCATCTGGGAAAAAAGGGGAAGAAATTTCTGGGATTTGGTGCATCATTAATTCTCAAAACGATGAAGAATGGAGATGTGGCCATAGAAGATGAAGTTAACGGGAACCTCAGGAGTGACCCTCCTCCGTCCCACGCTTGACTTCTTTGCTTCATTGTGGTGGTGGCCTGGCTTCTGGGAAACTCCTCCAGCCATGGGGAATTCCTTGCCCAGTGAAGCAGCCTGCTTTTCTTGGATAGCTTTTATCACCACAATGAGGTTTTTCTTTTCTTTCTTATTTAACTACAAATGCTCAGTCATTACATTATTCAAATCTAGGAATTTCACTGCCTCAGTGTCACCATATTGGCAATCTCCAAAGGCCCCAAACCTTTCTTTGCTGTCAGCGAGAAAACTCTGTGGGGATCACCAGGGGATGGACCAGGGAGGCTCAGGACTGGGAGATGAGACAAGCACCCTCAGAAGGCGCAGACTTAGCTAGATTAGGAAAAAGAGGCCCAGCCAGGCAGGTGGCACAAGATGTTAGAGGTGGAAGATATGAAGGAGTTACTGCATCTGTGGCCTTCTCAGTGGAGCCCAAGAACAAGACTTCAGTAGTAACCATGTTAGTAAAGAAATAGGTGAAGTCATGAAAATCACTTGTAATTCTTATTAAGCATCCTTTGTTCTTTTCAATGAATGACTGAGGAAACCTTACAGATCATTTTTCAATCAGTACCCACTTGGTGCCAAGAAACGAGATTCACAAATGGAGTAAACACAGCTCTTGCTGTGATGGGCTTACATGGTAGGGGGCAGATAAAGGGGTAAGCTATATATATATATACACATATATATACACACACACACACACATAATTGCTATATATTATACATATATGTAGAGAGATATGCTCTGCAATGTACACATAGGAGGCCACCAGTCTGTCTATGCTCCATGAGGTCAGGACTATATCTCTTTTTATTCACAACACTATATTCTCAGTGCTTAGAATGAGGCCTGACAGACTCTCAATGAGTATTTATTGAATGAATAAATGTGTGAGTAAATGAATAAGTAACATCTGATCTAAAACCAGAGCCAGATTCTTTCTGACCTTCAGCCTAATAATACTTTACTTACTATAACCTGGAGATTCCCATTTTGTAATGTCCCCTCTATGAGGCTTGTCTTAACAGGTAGATATGAACGAATTGAAGACACCCACAATGCCAGCTATTGTTTTCTATGGCAACACTGCCCATCTCAGTGCTGGTTCCTGGGGCACATGACAAGAATATCTGGTTGAGTCCACAGGAGACAGACCTCATGGGAAGATGACACGATCATGAAGCCTGCTCATCTCCTCTACTGTCCAGTGAACTTGGGCAAAGTCACTTTAACTCTTTGGACTTTAATTTCTTGTTTATTAAACAAGTGAATATCACATCGGTTTCACATAGTTATTAAATAATTTCATTCTGGGAAAGAACTTGGCCTTGTTGAGAAAAGATCCAAATTGAATCATCAGGCCTCTTTCCTGGAGCCAATCTTTTCAGAGCATTCAGACTCAAGGGTTAGCCCTAGGGAGCAGCTGACATCAGAAGGGTATTTGAACCTATGACCTTTTGGCTTAAAAGTAAGAGTTCAACTCTCCCCACATTTTCTCTTGTGTTTCGATGTTGGCCAGGGGTGGCTGCTGCACCCTGTGTACAAACGGAAACCCCAAATTGTGTTTGCATCTATCTGGCCAAGGTACCTTCCCCAGCTCCACCTCCAGATGTTCCATGGGGGTTTGAAGTGGGAAGGAGGAGTTAACGCACCCTAGTGTCTCTCTGATAGGGGCAACTGTGTGCACCCACATGTACGAGAGATCTGGGGCTGGGAGTGTCCCAGCCTGCTTCTGTACATGTGGGCTGACAGTGACATGTTGCTTTAGCCAGAAGGAAAGTGCTTCTGTAATCACAAGAGAGAGGTTTCCCTGTCTTCTCTCAAAGAGAGTTTGGAGGCCACTAGTTTTTCACCAAACTGCCAAGCTTTCCCCATATCAGTAATATTTCAATGATGTTTACAAACTTGCCCGTCTGCTCTTTAATACACAGAGCTATGCATTGATGGTACATGTGCAAGGTCTGACCTTTTCGTAGGAAAAAACATTCATAACCAAAGCCTATATATAGCAGCTTCAGACTGGAGCAGAGGAAGATGTAGGTCATCTGACTTTTTTGTGTGTGAAGCATAATGCACGAGAGACGTGGCAGACAATTGAAAACTCATGAAATACTGCCTCTGGTCTGAGCCTTGCTAATATTTATCAAAACCTTTAAACAATGACATAGTTTTCAACTGGGAATTATAATGCCACCTACTAACCCTGAGCATAAGATTTTTTCCACAGGGGAAATTTACTTAGTTTAAAACTGTATTTCACTATGTAGTTAACTCTTAACTATTTCTTTTAAAGGGGAAAAGAACAGTTACCATCAAAATTTATTCAGCGAACAAGTATAATATTTAAAATAATACGATAGGTAATTGAAAAACATGATTTGTGTCACTTATCAGGCTCATCGTTACCTACATAAACATAAACCAAATTCCTCAGCATTCAAGGTGAACATGACCTGGAGGTTGCCTGCCTGTCCATCAGTCTCCTCAGGGTCACTTTTCATATTCTGTTCCACTGAACCTTGTACCGTTTGTTCCTTCCTGTTCCTTTGTCTTTGTCTTTGCTTCCCTTACTCTCTGTTCTTGGGAAATCTTTTTCTGGACATCTCTGTATATCCAGTCTATTCTGTAATATATGAATCAAATGCCATCACCTCCATAAATCCTCTCTTTTCTTCATTTCCCAGGCTGTTTGTTTTTAACTAGCTGACCATAGCTTGTTCTGTATTATAAACTTATTGGTGTCCATGTCTTATATCCCATTCTGATAGACTATGAACCTTCTAAGGGCAGGTCAAGAGTCATGTCTGAGGCACTTTGTACCCACATAGTGCGTAATACTGCAGACAATGTACAATACAAAACACCTATAAAATGCATCCCTGCAAAATGTTTATTAAGTAAATGAATTTGGCTTTGGAATATACTAGTACAAACATAGAATATTTATCATATGGAGCTACTATGCTAAGCACTATCTTGTTTAATGACCAATAAATCCATGAAATTATTATTATTGTCATCATTTTTAATAGCAGAAAAAACTAAAGCTCAAAGAAGTTCAAAACCTCACCAATGTCACATAGCTAGCAGAACAACAGACCAGGATTCAAACCCAGGTCTATCTGGCCTAGTGGTGTGCTGGAAGCTGGCTTGTTCCAGTTTATAAGAGCTAATTGTGAAATTATCAGGAATTTTGGGAACTGCTGGAAAAGCACAGTCATTATTAAAAAGTAAATCATAAAAACATAAATCATACAAAAATAATGGTAATAAATACTAAAAACTCACCACTTCCTATTTTTTAGGACATTTCATCATTAAATATGCTCTTGAGGTTATTTGTATTTCTTGCATTTGTATGTTAGAAATATTGTACAATGGTGTGCTGCTGTGTATCTCTTCCAAATACCACATTCAGTGATGTTGCATTGGTGGCCTGAATTCAACCATGATGAGAATATTTACACCAAGGATATTGGCAAACACAACAAATGAGGGCTTCCTCCCAGAAAGGCAGTTATTAAACATTAACAAGCATGCCACAGTCCAGCCCCAGAACTGGACTGTACTTCAGAAAGAAACAGGCTTTGGCCCAAGCACACATGGACATCTCCATTTCCAGCCTTAGTCTGCACTTGGTAGGGCCTACCTTTGGACCATCACAGATAAGTTGCTTTCTCAGAATAGAAAATTGACTTTCACAAGGCTCCTTTGAGCCTCGGGGTTGGAGTGAAAGTAATTCTTAGTGGTTATTTTATGCCTATAAAATATATCCTAAACCTCTACCACAAATTTAGTTATGCTCTTGATCATAATCATATACCCAGGAATATATAATGTAGCTCTTGTAACATTGAAATTCCAAAATATGGATATAAATGTATTTCCCCAAATTTATATTAATATCATAACCTACTGTTTTTAAGCTATATCTCCTTAGACCCTTGATTTCATATACATAGTTTCCACATCGTATACCTTCTATGTCTCATGAAATGAAATCTGAGTTTTGAATCAGAGGTTGTGAATTTCAGTGCTGTTCTTTAACTCAAGAGCAGGTCAGATAACATTGTTAACCACATGTCAACTAGCACGTTCCATTGCTAATTAACAGTTTTCTCATCTTTCCAATGAGGAGTTCGGCCTAGATGTCATCTTTTGAAGACCATTCTGGTTCTATTTCTAAATGATACTGCATGTTGCTTCTCTTCCTTAGGGCTCAGTTTCTGTATCTAAACAACAGGGGGTTGAACCAGGTAGCTCCTAAAGTCCTTTTCAGCTCCATAAACTTGTGAATTCATATGAAAAGCTGTGTTTTCTACCTAATGTGTTATTCCTATCAGATAGCATTATGCTTTACCGCTGGAAAAATGCCAGGTAACCTGCTGCACACCCAGGGCTCCCATGCCAGGAGAAGACCTGGAGGTCGAGCAGCTTCTCTAGCCAGGAGCTCTAACTGCCACAGGCCAGGGTGCTGCAGCCCTCGAAACAAAGGGAAGTGTGTGGGTGGAGGGAGCACCTCTGCTGTTTTAGATAGCACAAAGACTAAATAAGTGAGGGTGAAATATCTGTACAGGAGTTTTGATTTGATACCCCAGCTGGGTCTGCAGTGATAGGGGTGGGGGAAAGGAAAGCACAAGACATAAGACAGGTGATACTTCCTCTTAAATTGGGAGGACAGAGGAGTGATGGTTGTAACTAAAGAAAGAGTTAATGCAGAAGCCTCTGGTGTAATTCTCACGGTGGGCAGAGCACAGGAGTAGAGATGGAACGTCTCCCTCCTTACCTTTTACTTACCTATTGACCCTGAACCTACAGCTCATTTGTATCTTTATGGAAAACCAGAACACGTCCTTAATTCCTCATCTATATCTCCACCTTCAAACTCATCATCATCTATTCAACCCCTTATCATTTTCAGATTACAAAGCACTTTGGACTACATAGTCTCATTTGATCCATAAGATACCTCTGTGAAATAGGTATTATTACCTTATTTTTTTAGAGGAAGAGCTGGAGGTTTAAAAAGGGAATTGAGCTTGCATTTTTTTTTTTTTTTGGCAGGGTCTTGCTCTGTCACAGAGGCTAGAGTGCCGTGGAGTGATCTTGGCTCGCTGCAACCTCCGCCTTCCAGGTTCAAGCAATTCTCATGCCTCAGCCTCCTGATTAGCTGGGACTACAGGCCCACGCCACTGCGCCTGGTTAGTCTTTGTATTTTCTATAGAGACAGGGTTTCGCCATGTTGCCCAGGCTGGTGTCAAACTCTTAGATTCAAGTGATCCACCCACCTCAGCTCCCAAAGTGCTGGGATAACAGGCATGAGCCACCGCATGCGGCCTGAGCTTGCTCTTTTGGCTCTAAGATTGGTACTGCAAAATGGCCTTTCCCTGATGATGTCAAGACTGTTAGCTGAGATGAGAAGTTTCTGAGCTTCTGCTCACCTGAGGACTCACAGAACCACACTAGAGAAAAAAGGGACTGATAAATTCTGAAAGGGACCCTACATATAACCCACCCCACTCCCATCAATTTTCAGAAGGGGAAAATGGAGCTCACAGAGACATGTGTCATGTCCAAAGTCAACCAAAAGCCAGGATCAATGTTAAGACTCAAGCATGTGTCTCCTCCTTTCATCTGCTTGTCATTGTTCACTTTTGCCCTCTTTTCAGCCACCAGCAACATTAAGTGATGATAACTACTTAAAAACCCTTGACCATCACTGTAAGGACGATGTAACATTTTCCACCCCATGGACTGAAGAACCCTAGATGGAATGAGGCCAGCATGCTCCAATCTCAGCTGTCATTTTTCATTTAATCTTTTCCATGCCAGCAATTGGATTTATTGCTGGTGAGAATGGTGACTCATGTTCTCCTGACACCAACCAACTAATTTATCCTGCCATAGCTTTGTAGGCACAAATGTTTAGTATGTGATCAAAAATAGAGACCCCCTGTCATTCAGTAACTTATGATTAGTATTGTTGAAGCCTGAGGACTTATTCCAACTTAAATCAAGGTTTTGCCTCAAATGTAAACAAATAGGCTTTATTTTAGGAATCGTTGATTTATAACCCAGTCATGAAGTCTAGCAAAATGTAATAGGGAAAGGAGTCTCATTTGGAAGTTACCTTCCCTGGGTCTATTCCCATTTATTTTATTAGATTGATCTGTCACCTTTGGCAACTCATTTCCTCTCTCTGAGCCACATTATCCCCATCTGCCAAATAAGATGGTTAAAGTCAATGACCTTTGAGGAGTTGTCTATTTTGATGGTCTCCTTATAAGATTATATCTTTATGAGAGACATCTTGCTATAATCAAGTTTTCTATAGGGTTTGCTACTCTTTGGGGATGAGGTTAGGCCTGTCCTCTCCTAGAGTTCTGCTCTGTTTCTATAAGGATAAGGAACTCCATGAGAGCAAAGATGAACTATATTGGTTTAACCTGTGTGAAGTTCACTTTAGGATCAGGAGTGGGGTGTGCAACAAACTTCAGAATCCAATTTCACTTTTGAAACCTATTTTCCAGGCCAGATAGAAAGACCACACACCATAACCATCCAGGTGGTAAAGATGAATTCAGGGGAAACAAAATACAACAGAACATTGTATTTTAAAAGTTTCAAACATTTGTCTCAAGATTCAGCTAGCAGAGAACTTGGATCTGAAACTTGAGTCTTTTCATACATTTACTCAACTGATATTTCCTAGGTGCCTACCCAGTGCCAGGTGCTTCACTATGCTGTGGAATAATAGGAATAAATTTAAAACCATCTTGATCATAGGAGCTTAGAGTCTTGCAGAAATGATTTGGCATGTGCACAGATTACTGTAAGTTATGGCAGAGACTTCAGTGCCATGAAAAAGCTCAGAGCAAATTGAGATTCCATCTCACTAAAAGTGCTTCCCAGAGAAAGTGGTACCTTGAGTCTTCACAGTGGTCAAGCAGGATTTTAATTCAGTGTTAATGATCAAGGGATTGGGGACCTCCTTTTTTAATTTTATTTTTCCGTAAGTTATTGGGGTACAGGTGGTATTTGGTTACATGAGTAAATTCTTTAGTGGAGATTTGTGTGAACCTGGTGCACCCATCACCTGAGCAGTACACACTGAACCATATTTGTTGTCTTTTATCTCTTGCCCCCCTCCACTCTTCCCCCCAAATCCCCAAGTCCATTGTATCATTCTTATGCCTTTGCACCCTCATAGCTTAGCTCCCACATATCAGTGACAACATACAATATTTGGTTTCCCATTCCTGAGTTACTTCATTTAGAATAATAGTCTCTAATTGCATCCAGGTCATTCTTTGCGATTCAGTGTTTTCATCTGCAAAATGGGATAATAATGTTATCAACCTCACAGACTTTTTATGAATAATATATGTGTCATTATGTACTAAATCTCTTAGAAAAGCTCCTGGATCATAGTAAGTGCTCCAAAATGTTGATCATTACTTTTATTCTTAGCATTTGAGTAAAATTACCCTAAAATTTCTTGCACTCTCAAAAGAGAAATTCTTAATTCATGCAGGAAGACCCATGCTCATTGAATTCCTTTGCACATTACTGTAGAACCTACTCCAGCCTTTGCAGGTGCCCATGCTGTGTAGTTCACAAGTGTGCTCTGGTTTTCTCTCTCTCTACCCCAAAACTTGTCTTTCTCTGTCTCTCAAGCGCGCGCACACACACACACACACACACACACACACACACACACAGTAATTACTCTCTGTAGAAACTGGACTGTTTATCAAAACCCTGGGTGTAGGAGTGTCTCAAATGATTTCTGGAAACTGAAATGATTTCAGAGATACCAGGCATCAAGAATGTGGGTGTATAATACAAACAATAAGCAAGTTCATATCGAAATCTTTACATTTAGGAGAGGTGGGTTTTCCTTTCTGTTGGTTTCTTTTTTTCCAAAAGCATCATCATTTATGTGGTTTGAAAATGATCTTTCCTCTGGAAATTAGACATCGCAACATAGAACATAGAGATGTAGCTGATTAAGTGTATGAAGGGGCCAATAGCTTTTCAGAGAGGCTTCATCCTCTTTCAGGCATGGCAGCCTACAAGAATGAATTTGCTTTGAGTCATACATTTTACATAAACCAAAGAGGTTACCCCTAAGATGAACTGTCTGGCTTATTGTTCCCTACCCCCACAGCATCCCACATACCATCACAGGAAGGCATTAGCAGTTTCAGGACTTGAACTTTCTCTCAAATTTTTCTTTACTTGAACCAAGCAGAGTTGCTACAGTAAAAAATAATTGTCACTGTGTCGAGTGTAGTTAATGGCTGTGGGCATGTTGTCTTTTTAGATGTAAAGATAATGAGATCTTATTTCCCACACACAATGAGTATGGCAATTAGTAGGGAAAAGTTTGCCCTCCTGAATCCAGCCCTGTTTTCCATCTTTCTGTTTATTTTGTGAATAAGGACAAGCAATTGCTAGAGGCTGGCCAGAATTAGGTTTCTCAGAGATCATCTAGTTCACCACATAACTCTTTCATTTTATAGATGTAGAAACTGAAGGCCAAAAGAGAAAGGGACTTGCTTACGGTCACACAGGTGTTAGAACCCAGAACTCCTGCATCACAGTTCAGGATTCCAACAGTAGGAAAAAAGACTTGAACCTATAAGAACTTCTTCAGAAGCACCAATGTGTTCATAAAATAATCAAAGCGTAATGACATGATACAATAATATATGATCTGAAAGGATTATTATGGGAATAAATAATAAGGAAAGTAAAATATTCATGTAAAATCTTAAATCACTGGCCAGGCACAGTGGCTTATGCCTGTAGTCCCTGAACTTTGAAAGGCTGAGGCAGGAGCACCACTCGAAGCCATGAAGAGGTTGAGACCAGCCTGGGCAACAAAGTGAGACTCCATCTCTACCAAAAAAAAAAAAAAAAAAAAAAAAAGCCAGGCATTGTGGCACATAGCTGTAGTTCCAGCAGCTACTATTTGGGAGGCTGAGGTGGAAGGATGGCTTGAGCTCAGGAGTTCGAAGCTGCAGTGAGCTCTGATTGTGCCAGTGCACTCCAGCCTGGGTGACAGAGTAAGACTATGTCTCTAAAACTCAAAAAACCCAAACAGACAAAGAAAAATACTTTAAAGCACCAACTAGATGGCTGACAAAGACTGCAGAACATCTACTCAAGTCAAGGGGAAAATAAGAATTATTTTCTTCTTGCAAATAAAACAGAATTCCCAAGGCCATTTAAAATGTCTGTTTGCCTATATGCCTTATTTTAGCTGAAATTTCCTTTGCATAATTTAGTCCTAGGAAGTTTCATATCATTCTAGAACTAAAGATAATTTGTCTTAGTCTATTAAATAGTTAGCAATCTTCAGCTAAGCACAAGTTGTAGCTGAGGTCAAAAGTAGAAACACTAACTTTCTCTACGGCATTTGTTGATCTAACCCCAGGGTAGGAAGTCTAAACTCTGAGGAGAGGGTTCCCAGTTAAAGAGGTTAATAATATCTTTGTCACCACAAAGACTTGCCCCCTAGAACCATGGAGATTGGAAGAGATGACTGAAAGTTAATTCAGCCAGAAGATATTTTGGGCTCAAAAATGGAAGTACATACTGCTTATGGGACCTTTAAGATATGAATTTGAGACAAGTAGAGTCGCCTGTGAGATTGGGGAAGACACATTTTACACGTGTGGAAGCAGGATCAGCAGGATCAAACTTGTTTGGAGCCCATAGTAGGAAGTTCCCACAAGACAGAGTGTGGTTCAGAACTTTTGAATAATCTGAAGTGTGAAAACATGGAGCCAGGCTGCCTCTGGATGGAGTGAGCACCGCCCCACAGAAGCTGTTCAACAGAGGCTCTGGAAGGGAGGCCAAAGGGGAAGAGTCAAGTTAAGAGTGGCTGCAGATTGGAGAAATCTCCCCTTTGGTTTTCCACACTCCTAAGAGTCTGAGAGTCTAGAATTCCTTTCTCTAAAGAGGAAAGATACTAGAAAAGCCAGGGGAGACAGAATGACAAGAGGCAGGATGCAAAAACCTTGGGCAGCCTCTCTTCTCTCCTCTCATAATCGGGAGAATGATGGGATTCTGCACTCAGGGAAATGAAAGGGCAATAAACTTCCAAGGCAATGAAAGGCGCTGTCTCTAGTCCTGTATTCAGGCAACATGTGGAAGTCCTTGCTTTCAGACAGATTGTGGGGATTTTTTTTAAACACAAAAGCTTCTGTGGCTGAAGTGATGTGATCCAGATTGTGCAGCTGGAATTGCTCAACTTCAGGTGGCCCTGGGTTGGAGGACTACACCGCATGACTTGGTGTGTGCGGCATTGGCACGGTGTGGCGTGGGGTTTGTGGTGCTGGAATGGTGCAAAATTTCTCTTGAAATGTGTGCTGCTGCTTTGAGAGACCAATGGGATCATTAGAGAATGTCCACTGTTTATTAAAATGAACTCCATGGAGTACTAATCTCATAAGATCCGTGTTCTAGGGCCAAGTAAAGAGGAATGTTGTGTATCCATATTTCCTCCCTGTAGATTTACATTCAAAGGCTCTGAGAAGGGCTGTAGCAAAGCAACCTGTTTCATTTGGAATAATCCTGCTTTTTTTTTTTTTTTTTTTTTTGAGACGGAGTCTCGCTCTGTCACCAGGCTGGAGTGCAGTGGCATGATCTTGGCTAACTGCAACCTCCGCTTCCCAGGTTCAAGCAATTCTCATGCCTCAGCCTCCCGAGTAGCTGGGACTATAGGTGTGCCCCACCACACCCAGCTAATTTTTTTGTATTTTTAGTAGAGACGGGGGTTTCACCATGTTGGCCAGGATGCTCTCGATTTCTTGACCTCGTGATCCACCTGCCTCTGCCTCCCAAAGTGCTGGGATTACAGGCATGACCCACCGCACCTGGCCAATCCTTCTTTTTAAAAACTTATTTGATGGTGGTGTCAATTTTTACCTAAAACTACTGTCATCCTGGGAACTGATGCTCCGTGGTGAACACTGTGGTAACACTTTTGGGCAATTCCAAGGATGACACATAGACTCACAAAATGTTAGAACTGAAAGCAACACAGAATTTAATGCCATTCCCCCACTTTTTGAATAAACTAAGCAGAGGCCTGCAAGGGTTATACCAAAGTAATGACCAACAACCATTAACTCTGACCTGCAAGAACTTGAAATTTTAAAATGTCAACAAATGACTGTGTAACATTAGGTCATGGATTATGATGTAATATTATATTATACATAAGGTTAGACAGCAGTTACAAGAATACTGGACTTAGAATCAATAAAGCTGGGGTCTAATCGGAGGCCTCTGGCTCTGTCACTGTCACTGCTTAGGTCCATCTTTCTACTTTTGTTAGTGTTGTGTGCCCCCATCTCTAAAATGGGAAGAATAATGCTTGTGTGGCTGATCTCAAAAGTTCCGGTAAGAATCAAGACAGAACGAATGTGAAAGTGGTTTATAAATTGCACTGTGATATGTAGGAATCTTCCTTCCTCCTAACATATTGATGTTACAGCAGCATCAGGAGGATGTGAGTATTTTCCATTGCTTTTCTCATTGTGAGGGTAGTTTGCATGAATCTGCCACAGACTCCATCTTTCAACCACTTTCACTGTTTAGTGAGGTGACTGGTTACCTCAGCGAGCCCTCAGCAAATCTAGTTACCCCCTTGAGTGGAATGCTGGATCTGTGATCTTACACACACCTGACTAGCAAGGGAAAGCAGAAAGTTATGAGCAAGGTGAAAGTCTCAGCAGATTTTTGGACATTTGACTTCTAGTACTCACAGACACCTATGAAAAAAACAAAGGCTTCCGAATTTTGTGTTGTTAGGACTCAAAAAGAAGAAGAAAAAGAAGAAGAATTCAATAACAGTCATCACCAAAAGACAGAAAGAGAGGAAGACAGAATGTCTGCATTGAGAAAATCTTGGTATCTTATCTCTGGGATGTTATTGATGATCTGAGTATAGTGCAAAATCTTAAGTGAAATGAATTGGTGGTTTCAGTTCCGGATATGGTATGCAAAGAAAAAAAAAATTTGCTCTTTGAAATTCAACGCTTCCTCGTCTGTGCTTCAGGAAGCCACACGCCTGATGTTGAGCGTGGAAACTGACTCATTTCTAGCCCTTTGAGATTAGCCTCTCTAGCCCCCAGACTGTGGGCAGGATCTGGGCCCTAATGGGAAACTAGAATTGGGTCTGTCCAAACCTGGAGGAGAATCAGACACAACCTCATCGGATGCACATCTCTTTTAGGGTACTCAGCCTCCCAGAAGTTTCTGTAGGCAGAGGACCTTCTATACAAACTATCTCCAAAGCTTTTCAACTTGTAATTGGCAGTAGGTAGGTTGCCTGAAGTGGCAAAAAGCAAAAATACAAATACAGTGCTTACCAAGCACTTATCTTCAGAGTCGTGTTAAAGTAAGCTGGCCAACTGCCCCCCACTCCTCCCTTGGTGGAACAACACGTCTCTGACACTTTCAATTTAAAGACTCACATGTGTTTTCTCACCAACAAGCCCTAGGGAGTAACGAAACTTTCTTCTCCTTGACTCTCCCAGCAATCTGTTGATTTGGTGTCAACAGGTATTACAGGTATCTGTGTGTCACTTAGGCATTACATTTATTTAGAAAAGAAAAGTATGTTAGAGACTGGATGTCTCCCCCTGCCCCATTAAACTGACACAGGGAACCCCAGGATGACAGGGAGTTCAGATCTTCTAGAAGTGACCACTCCAAGCTTCAAGCTTGACCCTTTAGACCTTAAATCAGTGGTTTCCAAACTTTTTGCATACCCTCCCAGTAAGAGAAATAAACACTTGAAATGGCTTTTTTGCTTAATTCTGATGGACACATTAAAAAAACAAAGCGTTTGTCTAGAGGTAGTGAGAAGAATGCTGATTTAAATGAGAAGACAATGAGAGGCAAAGTGATGTTGGGGGCGGGGTGGGGAGAACAACTCGAGACTTGGCCTAGGGTCAGAAGATCTGAGTTTACTAACTTAATCTCACTAAGCCTCACTTTCCTCATCTGTAAAGTGTGAATGCTAATTACAAAATGAGATCACATATGTGAAAGCGTTTGCCTTATAAATGGTAAGGGATATGCAAAGGTTCATAGCTATTACTATGTATAAGCTTTTAAATATTAATGATTAATTTGTGTTAGAAATGAAATTTCAGACTTCATCATAGAATAAGGTTTAATCTTTCCGATTTTCTTATCTGCAAAGTTTTTATAAAACATAGTTGTCCGCATTATTGATTTATTTGCATGCCACTTACTTTAAAAAAGGATTTGAAGTAACATATACTGTTAGTCACAGAAATTACAGGATCATTAAAACACAGATGAAAGATTAAGACCTTGTCATGAAAGGACAGCTCGAAGAAAAAAACACAGAATAAGAATAATTTTAATCAAGCATATGATGTGATTTTGAGCTTCCCAGCAGCTTAGACAAGAAAGGAACATGCATTGCATTTCACAGCCCTCTTCCTCTAGTAAAGGAAGAATAGCTATGGATCAAGGGGGACCCAGCCCTTTCTAGCCCTAAACTCCACAAGAAATGTATCATGTGCAACCTTATATAAGAAATATCAAAAATAAATTGGGTGGTATCTTCAAACCGAAATGTAGCAAAGATACTATTCAATCTGACCACTAGGCGAGATTTTCCTTTGTGAATCAGTGCTTGCCTTCCCAGAACTAAACAAACAGCAAGATGATTAATATAAGGAGCAGGCTGCCTTAAAAAAAAAAAAAAAAAAAAAAAAAAAAAAAAAAAAAAACGAAAACAAAAAAACAGAGAGAGAGAGAGAAAGAAAAAGAAACAGAGCAGTGAAAATCAGAATGCCTGCCCCAGCCGGCTGGGGCGTGTCGCTGTCACCATTCATTAGGGGGTGTCAAGAAGGCGAGGCAATACGTGAGGTGCCTTGCACAAGGTCACTTGGTGTCTGTGAAACTGACTCTGCATTCTGAGTTCCTTAATATGATTTTTTAGGTCACAGTGTTCTAGGCAAAGCTCCCTGTTGATGTACATCTCTCATGCAAGATTTAGATCACCTCTTTTCGGGCAGAGCTCCATGGAAACACCGCCCATGATTTCTGAAAAGGAGTCTGATTGGGCCCTGGTGATACCCGGCTGGAGTGGACAGTGATCTCTGCAGTGGACACATTGCTGGACTGTTGGCAAGGCTACAGCTACCAGAATCTAGTCCTTGTAGGCTATTATTATTCTAATGCCATAGTAAATTCCTGTTTATCCAAAATGGCTAGGAAATGGGGCATTCTGAGCAATGGAAAATTCTGGTTCATTGGGTTACCCTCCATATCATTTACTGATTCTTGGTTTCAAAATAAGTAAATTACAACACACTTTGCTAATCACTAAAATGATAGTGGGTATGATTTAAGCTTTTTTTTTTATGATCCATAAGGTACTTCAGGATCTATTAGCACCTAATACCATTGTTAAGATCGCGACTTGTCATTTTCAAGGATTTGAGGTAGAAATGCAGGAGGTGGGGACAATTGGGCTGCATCAGTATTAACTCCCAACCAGATCGCTGGAACTGCTGCTGCAGTTGAGTTGAATCATTTCTTCCTTCATACCAGTTTGTTGGCAAGTGAAATAATAAGCATAAACATATTATCATAGTGCCTGGTATAGAGTAAGTCATTATTTTGTTATTATTTTTTTCCTCAAGAACATCAGGGGAAAGAAGAAAAGAATCGAATTCTTAACTAGCCAATTTGGTGTCTGAACAAATTCAATTCATAGAGCATTAGTTCTGACAGGAACCACGAAGAAAATATGCCTAATTTCATCATTTTCTGTAAAAGATAATTAAGGCCCAGAGAGGGAATGTCACTATAGCCTCATGTCTGTGAGGGGTTAGAGTTGATACTAGAACCCAAATATTCTGGGGCTAAGACCAGGGATCTTTTTAGCAGACCAACTCTTACCTTTATGCAGAGTTTCTGCACAGCAGGAAACAGAGAGCTGGAGGAGAAATGGCCTGTTTGCTCGGGGACTCTAGGAACTTACCCTATCAATACGGTTTGAAGGTCATCAAAGTCCCCTTCTGTACAAAAGCCCTGGCTATGACTCCAAAACACTTCACAGGGTAAAGGATTAATGAAGTCCCCATGATTCAGTCAAAATGAAAACTTTTTAAAAATAGCAAAGAGTCACACAACTCCCCACATCTGCAAGAGTAACTTTTTAAAAAGTCACCAAGACAGGTTTAAATTCCTAGCTTCGTCCTTTACTTTGCTTATGTTTTGAAGCTTGATTCATCCCTAGTTCTGTCTCTTACATACTTTTAAAGATAAACTTGTACTCACTTAACTTCCAAATTAATTTACTGTAAACTCCTCCCTCTGAAGGAAGAGGAAGAAGGAAATTAGTGATTTTAATGCTGATTGCATTTTTGAAAGGACTCAGTTTCTCGAAAATGAGCTTCTTTGTTGGTTAATAAATGTTTTCTCTGCCTTAGTTTCAGATTCTGATTGTTCTCTTTTCCTCTTGCCATTCTCTGAGCTCTCCTTCTGCCTTTGATCATGGGCCTGGAAATCTGCCGTTTGTACATGAGAAAAGAGAGGGCTGGGATTTCCATTACCTTCCAGAGTGCAGAGGGGACTATCGCATGAAATCTCTGTGAGGGACCAACTCCTATAACTGCTGCCAGAAGGGTGCTTTTTGATATCTGGCCTTCTATATCACATCTTTATTAACTCCAGGAGACTTATTTTCAGAGACATCTGGGTGTGTATGTCCATGCACATGCATACTCACGTTTTTCTATTTTCTGCAAATGCCTTGTGTTGACTATAAGCACAGAGTTGATCACAGACACTCTTAGGAGAGTATCAGAGAGGTCACGTGTCCAACCCTCCATGAGGCTCAAGTCCCTGCCAAGCCAATTCCACCACTTGGCATCCAGGTAAGAAAGGGAAGCAGGCAGGGAACAAGTCTCAACACTTTCTACCCCACCCTGCTCTCAAGAGCCTCCAGAGACCCCCATTGCTTTCCAGGTGCATTCTAAACCCTGGAGATTGGCACTCAGAGGAAGGAACAGGGTTTCCTGTTTGGCAATAACTGGCACTAGATAATATTTTATTTTAATAATGATGAGGCTGGTCTCTAAGACCCGGCTGACCCCTCCTGTCCTTCATCTTTCAACATTGTGAAATACCTCCCTTCCTTCTCTTACCCATCCTCTGCTGTGCCCAAGTCTCTGCTTACCTTCCCCCACTGCTCTGTACTTTGACTTCTCCTTACCCTCGTTCAAGCATTTTTTTCTGACTGTCATAGTCAATCTCCATTTCTCTCTGTTGAAGACACTTCCTCCTTTATAAAGTATTCCTTCCCTCTTCCTTCAACCTTCCAACCTTCATCCACATGGACTGTCCTCTCTGTGCCCCAAATAACTTACCTTAGGCACATTAGCAATCTCTCTTACTAGAGTATAAACTCCTTGAAGACAGGAACCACTTTATCTCTCTCCATATTCTCCTAACAGAGGACTAGGCCTGTAGTGGTGTAAGACAGGCCTTCTTGCATGAATGGAATCTCAGGTCAGTCTCACCTTTATTCTCATAAGAGGGAATGGTGTGTCCTCACTCTTTTCTCCTCCACTGAAAGCTGAATTAGGAATTATTTCTCTCCTGACCTCTGACCTAAATCTATACAGGTCTGTCCTGAAGCCACATCCACAAGATGATGGGGTGAACAAAAATAACCACGGGAGCTGAGTGACATAGCGGAATATTCACGCCTGTCCCGGCCTTCACATGGGCCTGGAAATTTACAGGAATGTATAGCTGTGCTGTTGCTGAGCTGGCTCAAAACCTGTTTTGCTCGAGCCTTCTTCCCTCACCAGATATGTTGGGTATGGTGAGTGTTGCCAATTGGGACAGGAGAACACCCAGCCCAGGCCCAGGTTTTATTTATCCCAGTGCAGCAGGCTTGCAAGTTAAGGATCCACAGACTTTTCAGTCCTTAATATGAACCTGGGAGCGTTTTGAGATATCTCAAGCAGCCAAGCCAAGAAAGCTTTCTGATTCCAACGGCAATAACCAGTTGTGATTTATTGACTATCAGACCCTGGAGCTGGAAGTAACCTTAAAAATCACCTTATGTGATTCTTTTCACAGATAAGGAAACAGATCATATTTGCCTTGCTTTTAAAATGAGGATAGATTGTATTTATTTGCTTAGTAATTCATTCATCCACCTATCCATCCTTTTATCCAATGATCTATTACCAACTCATTCATTAAATATTCACTAAAGCTAGGTGCCCAGCTTGCACTTAGTTCTAGACATAAAAACATAAATAAGATATGGCTTCTGCTCTCTAAGAGTTTATTATACCTACATGCATACACAAACACATAATTATGATTCAATGTGGTATATCCTGATACAAGTGTAAACAAAGCATGTTATGAGCACAGAGAAAGCGGTGACTAATCTGCTGTGCCTGGAAGAGTGAGGGGAGAGGTAACATTCAAACAAAACCTTAAAGGGAGAGAAAGAGTTCTATAAACAAGGAAGGAGGAAAGGGTCAGATTCTGAACAGCATCTCAAAGGCTCAGCCTGAGGGGAGTGTGCAGCTGGCTGGGACTCCTGAAGAGGGCTGTGGTGCAGAGTGCAAGACCTGCACTGTGGCGGGGGTGAAGGTGGTATAGAAGCCTAGCATGAAAATTTCCATAGCTGTGCTGAATGTCTGAGCTTTAGCTTGGGGCTGACAAGGAATCTTAAAAAGTTTTCAGATGGAGCAGTGTCACGTCAAATTTACATTTTGTTAAGACCTCCTTGGCCATAGTAAGAAGAGACAGAGACTGTTGCAATTATCCTAGAAATAAAGTCAGCCAGAGTAAGCTTTCAAACATATGTCAGACCATGTTACCCACTTGCTTATAAGCCTCCATGCCCCATACTGTCTGTCCCCATCACAAATCCCTGTTTTGTTTGTTAAGGTAGTACACATTGCCTTATTAAATCATTTTATTTATTTGTTAGCAAGCTAATTGTCTGTCTCAATCCTAAAGTGAAAGCACCATTAGAGCAAGGGCTATGTGTGTCTTAGTCAACATTGCGTCTCCAGTCCTAGCGCAGCAACTGGGGCATCACTGGCCCCACAGAGAGTTTGGAGAATAATTGCCAAGAACTTGACCTCAGGAGGTGGTAATGGGGAAAGAGAGAAGGTGAGGGAAGATGACCCTCAAAGGCAGAAAACCAGATCCTCTCTTTTCAGACCCACAGCCCACTCAGTGAGTGGACAGTAGCTGTTTTCAATAGACGGAGAATGGGGTGTGTTCTTCACTGACTGAATTTGCTGCTCACATCTGAGAATTTTTATGACAGGCAATCCTGTTTTCTCTCTTGCCCTCTTCACCCTGTGTGTTTCCCACATTATCCGGCTGTTCAATGTAATCTTCCAAGGATCCTCTACTCTGTGCTTCTGTGTTCTAGCCTCAACCCTGCTGCTAACTAGCTGTGGGACAGACAAGCTACTTTCCTCAGGGCTTTGGTTTCCTTAACCGTACAAAGAGAGCGCTCGCCAAGGACCCATACAATGCTTTCTAACTTACATGCTGTGATTCTCAAATTTCCCCAGCGACGGCAAGAGTTCTTCTGTGTTTTCATTTTATAAAGTGTACAATGATTATGCACAAAATCTCACAAAACAATAATTTTTTTATATACCCCTATTGTCCCTCTCAATTTCTAGCCATAAGTGTTTTTACAGTGATAATCAGAGCATGTGTACAATTTTGCATTCCACTCTCATGCTTGCCCATTATTTGTTATATGTCTTTCATTTTGCCACAGAGTCTTCTCATTTATCATTTTAATGGCTACATAATTTTTCATGGAGTTAATATATCATAAATTATTTAACCATTCCTAAATTGTTGGAAATTTGGATTATTTCCAGGTTTTGCTATTTTAAAGCACCTTGACCATATAGGGTTTTTTTTTTCTTTTTTTTTTTTTTTTTTTAAGAGGCGTTTTACTTAGAGTAAATCCCTGGGACTGAGATTATTAGCTGAGTTTTATGACCTTGAAAGGTATTGCCAAACAGCTCTCCAAAGGGATTGTTTCCATTTGCGTTCAGTTTGTGTTCCACACACGAGCATGCCAGTGTCACAGAAAGCTTGCCAACATGTTTTTTTAAAATCAATTTCCTTTATTTTTTTCAAGTTCAACTTGTATGAAGTGGGGCTTTCTGATTGTTGCTGTATCAGGGTTATCATCAGTGAGGCTAAAATTATGATACAGAGCTTGGTAAATAGAAGCACTTAATAATCAGTATTGTTATTATAAAAAGAGGAATCCTAGGAGGATGAAGCATGCTTGTTCTATCCTCAAACCTCTTTCTTTTCTACTCCTGCCTCCATTTCAATTTACTGCAAATAGTTTCTCCTTACCTTCAATGTTGCCTCCAATTAAAGTGCTACCAGTTCTTCTCTATTCTAAGGTAGCAGAGGCTCCTTAAAGTTAGAAGTCTTGGGCCACGCTGTTTCCCCACTGATTGTCCCCTCCTTTCCATATCTCTGTCAAGAGAGGATCCTCAGTAAATATGGGTTGTTCCCAAAGCAGATTCTTATGTTCCTCTGAAGTCCTCCTTTCCAGAGTTGCCTTCTCCTACTTCTCATCTTCCCAAAGACACCCTTTTGTTATTTGAAGATGATGATCATTTCCCCAGTGAACATTTTCTTCTCCAAGTTGAATATCTCTTCTTTTTAAGGCATCCCTTATCCTACTCAAATGTTCATCTTCTCACAGTCCTGGTTGCTGCTCACTGAGTGAGTTCCAGTCTGTAAATTTCTTCCTATAAGTGTTTGGCCCATTCATCTATTAAAATTTAGTAGACATCATCCAAGCAACAAGCAGGAAATGAAGATGAGTAAGACCTTGATCTTGGCCTCCATATGCTCAGAGTCCAGTGGGTCAGAGGGAAGCACAACCCCCCAAGACTTTGGCTCTAGAGACCTCCTAGATAGCAGGCTGATGAGTAAGTCAGGGAACGACACCCACAGGTAAGTCTGATGGTCTCCTTTGATGAACCAAGCCTATCTATGGCTCATTGGTAAAATGATGACTGTCCTACCAAGTGGAAGCTATCATATACCATTTGGCAGAAATGTCATAGCATCCCAGAGCCTGAATTTCTGAGGCTTAAACCAGGAGAAGAGTTCTAAGCAGGATAGGAGATGGCTACTCATCAAGCAGAGCTAATCCAGGGCCATGTTTAAAGATGGAAAGTGAAATACCTAGGCCTCTGCCAAGGTGAGGCTCCTCGCTATTTAAAGAGCTTGCAAAAGTCTAAGGAAAGCCAGTTTCTTAAGTAGGAAGAAAAGGAGTCTGCTATTAACCGGAGAGAAAAAGAATAGAGAAAACTTTGGTTTTGCCCTGCCATTGTTGGGTGACATGGGTTATGTCACTTAGCTACTCTAGAACTTAGTTTATTCATATGTGGGAATGGGCAGGGTTGGACTATTTAGTCTGTAATGTACCATCCAGCTCTCATAATCTATGATCTACCGAACACCAAATTCTGATTAGTCCCTCTTGACTTCTTGAATCCTCCCTCACCCACCCTAGAAAAGCACAAAGAAGAAAGTGACCTCACTGATTACTGCACAGATGTTGGAGAGCCCGCTAGGACTCCATGATCCCTGTAGCGACTATGGTGATCATGCCCAGTTGTGGCTAAAATATGTTGCTGGCAGGATTTGTACTCAGTGTACTGAGCCTGGTGCTGTGGCTGCTGCCTCTTACTTCCTCTCATTAAGGCAAACCACCATCTAATTTTTTGTTTTCCCCACATGTTTTGAGTTTGCTGCTTCCCAGCTCTTGCTATTAGAACAGGCATAATTAATAACTCCTGGCACCTGGAGCAGCCAGATTGGACAATCTGCCTTTTGCTTTCTCGAACTGTCTTATGACCAATCTGAACGTCTGAATTTATATCCTGGACTTAATAAATGGATTGTTTTGTAATCTCCAGAAAGAATCAGAAACTCACCACATTACCAGCAAAAACAAAAAAACAAAAACAAAAAACAAAAAAAAACAAAAAAAAACAATTATTTATAGTTCCTAGTGGAAGTTTTATCCCACCTTTAAGTTAAGAACTGAAAACAAACTGTGGTCTCATCCTTTCTCAAACTTCTGCTGAGAAGATGATTTTGTGGCTTTCTTTGGTCATTGTTTTCCATTCTGGGGTCATCAAGAGTTTATTCCTAAAGTGTAACTCATTCAACTTCTGTGGCAGCCTAGACCTATTTCCTTAGCAGAATTAAAAACAAAGACTCATCATTCTCAGTTTACTTTTCTTGTGATTGGAGAAATTTAAGGATCTTATTAGCATGCTCTATTTTTACCCTAAGCAATCACAATTTCCACCTCAGGGCTCCCACACCCAAACATCTGGCATATCTCATTCTGTCATTTGAAATCTTATTAATTTGCCTATTTCACTTAATTTGTAGAACGAACATGATCATTTAATAATATTCACTGTGCTACTCTATTTTCCTAGTGTTGTGGGGAACACAAATTTGAAGAAAATAAGGTTTCTGGGCCAAGTGCAGTGGTTCATGCCTGTATTCTCAACACTTTTGGAGGCCAAGGCAGGAGGATCACTTGAGGCCAGGAGTTCTAGAGCAGCCTAGGCAGCTTAGTGAGACCCTGTCTCTACCAAAAAAAAAAAAAAAAAATAGCTGAGTATGGTGGTGTCCACTTGTAATGTTAGTTACTTGGGAGGCTGCGATGGGAGAATCAGTTGATCCCAGGAGTCAGAGGCTGCAGTGAACTATGATTGTGCCACTATACTCCAGGATGGGGGACCCTGTCTCAAAAAAAAATTCTGCTTAAGTAGCTTACAATTTATAAACAGAGGTAAATTACTGAATATAATACAGGGTTGAGTTATGCCAAAAGTTGTAACAGTAATATAAACTAGTGCTTCCAGAACTTTTCTGCACATTGAACTGCCTAAGGAGCTTAAGAAAATCGTGACTGCTGTATCCTATTCCCAGAGATTCTGATTTAATTGGTTTGAGGTGTACGCTGGGCTTTCTAAGTTTTAAAAGATCCCCAGATGATTCTAATCTGTACTGGCCTAGTAGACGAACTGGGAGACACACACACACACACATACACACACACATACACACACATACACACACACATACACACACACACAAAGATATTTTAATAGAGAAATTTGAAATGTTTTCATGGAGGAGTAGAGTATAGAATTCTACTTGAGGCCTGGTGTGATGGCTCAAGCCTGTAATCCCAGCACTTTGGGAGGCCCAGGTGGGCAGATCACCAGGTCAGGAAATCAAGACCATCCTAGCCAACATAGTGAAACCCCGTCTCCACTAAAAATACAAAAATTAGCTGGGCTTGGTGGCGTATGCCTGTAGTCCCAGCTACTCAGGAGGCTGAGGCAGGAGAATCGCTTGAACCCGGGAGGAGAAAGAATTCTACTGGAGATTCAGTTTAATAGTGAGGATTAAGTTGCTGGCTTTGCAGTTATAAACTGGAATTTGAACTTCAACTCTGTATCTTAGTGGCTGTGTGTTCTTGGGTGAGTTACCTGCCCTGTCTGAGGAGCAGCCATGAGCAGCAGCACACAGGGTCTGCAGGAGTGCAGAGAATATGGAGAAGGCAATGTGGGGTAAGGGGCAGGGAGGGGGCACATAGCTTTTCCTGCTGAGAAAAGGTGGAGATTTACAAGAGAGCATACTCAGAGGAGACAGAAAAGAAGTGGTGGATGAGGTAGATCTTGAAGAGGAAAGATTGTTCCTAATATCCAGAAAAATCTCTTCTCCCCATCCAGCCCTCTCACCCAGATAAAAAGTCGGTTTGGCTGAGTTTCTGCTATGATCTAGAATACAAATCAAGAAACCACGGCTAAAGAGCCAGACCAGAGTCACATTCTTCCCAACAGATCTTCACAAGCTGGGCGCAGGAGCCTCTTCATCAGCTGCTTCCTCCAGTTGCGTTTCTCGGGCCCTTGGGCAGTCCCAATGAGAACAGAGGAAATTATTGAAAAATTGCCTATTAAGTATATAATGAAAGGTCAACAAACTAAAAAATTGAATATAATGAACAGAATACTGAGAATAAAATACCCACACTCTGAGTAAATGCAGATCTGCTCAAGTTAGCAATTGATTGCTTTTATTGGTTCTATTGTAAGGTTGGCTTAAGTAATAAGTGGCTATTACACTGAGAATGTTGGTTCCTTAAGTTCTGTCAGGAGGCCCATGACAGGGTTGAAAGAAATAAAACTACATTTTCAAATGAAAAACTAGTTTTGTTAGAGGATAGCAAAGAATTTCAATAAGATTGTCACATGAATTGCAAATGCTTGGAGGAGGATGCTGTAGACGTTTTGCAGAACAGAATCAAGTTATAAAATGTAGAGGCTACAAAGGGCTTTGGGGTTCATCTCATCCAATCTTCTGTGTGTATAGATGGGAACATGAGAGTCCAGAGTGGTGACATGATTTGTGCAAGGTCACATAGTAAAATAAATGCTGAAGAGGGAAGGCAAATTAGTTTCTTTGTCACCTAGATCTCATTTTCCACAAGGAATAAAACACCTTTGAAAAAAAATATTTTCAGTCAGGAAAAGCTGGGCTTTTCTTGAGTGACAGGTTACTTAACAACTGTTGAACCTTGTCACACACCTATGATATGGCCACAGGACTCCGTGAATTTTGTAAAACAATCTTATTTCTTCAATCCCTCTTCCTATCTCACCTTTACCTTTTCTTGCCTCATTTTCTTTCCTTTTTTTTTGCATTAATTTATCTTTGTTATATTAGAAGTATCAGTACAATTTATCTTAAATTTTTTGTGGAACAAGATAGGATAAAAAGATGTAAGTAGCTTCATTTGACTTGTACCATGCTCTCATCATAGACAGAATTTATATTTATTGAATATTCTCTATGTGTGTATATATATTATTATTTTTAAAAATTCTCTTGACATCACCGTGAAGTGTGCTATATCGTTATTTTCATTTTGCAAGTGGGAAAACGAATCTTGTAGATGTGAAGAAATTGTCTGGATCATACAACTGGAAGGGAGGAGGTTGAATTCAGCTGTGGGTGACCTCAGGGTTCATGATCCTCCCCTATGCTGGGTGACTTACTGTAGATCTTCATTGCCCTGGAGCAGGAAAGCTGGCTGTGTGCACTGAGTGGCCCGAATACACTGTTTCTCCACAATTCTCTGTTGCTCGATTCTTCAGAAGTGTCTATTTATTTCACTCAGCAAGACCTCAAATATTACTCCAAACAACTGGCTTCCAAAGAGTTGGCTATTTTCCCTGTTTTTAATGTTGGGAGAAGAAACTCAACCAGTCATTTTTCTTTTTTTACTCCGTTACTTTACAAGAATAAAAATAATCATATTAAGATGTCAAAAATAAATTTTAAATGTGCAAATGTGGGAGAAAGACACCTCCTCTCTGGGAGAATCCAAAGTAATTTAAATATACTCCTGTGTGCTCTTTGTGTGAAATGCAGTGGCCACAGTTCAAATTAAGATGTTAACAAGATATTAATAAGAATGAGCTGGGAATAAACACGGGATTGCAAAATCAGTTCACAAAGTCATTTAAATTAGGAGCACACGATGTGATTGGGAGTCTGCATGCCCTGCCCCTGTTGTCTGTGCTGGCTCCTAGGAGACAGGCCTCCTTTCCACTGCTTCTTCTACTGACAAGTTGATGGGCGTACCTTCTCTGTGCCCAGTCCTGAGCCAGAAATGAATAGGAGAATAAAAGAACTAGCTCTTGCCCTTAGCGAGGTCCAGTGTGGTTGATGAATTTGACTTTGGTTAGAGTGAGCAAAGCTTACGCCCAAGAAACTATTAGAGTTCATTATACCCAAGCAGGGTTAATTTCAGAGCTGAATGGCTGATACTATAAATTTTGACTACTGTAAAGTTCTACAGTGATGGAGCTTGGGGTAACCTCAGGGATACTTGTGAAAACCCTCATTATATAGAGGGAGTGGGTTCCAGGAAGACCCAGGGAGAGAAAGGGACTGGCCCAGAATATTACAGCTAGTTAATGGTAATAATCATGGCTATTCATTTGTTATCAGACCCCGTGCTATACAGTGTATATATTCAACTTCTTATCTAATCCATGACAGTGTTGTGAGGCAGGCATTGTCCTGTTTAGGGATAAGGAAACTCAGGCATAGAGTTGGGAGCTTCTTGCCTGTGATCACATAAGATAGCTGTAGAGGAGGGATTTGAATCCCCTTTACGTCTGACTGCAAAGACCATTTTTTTTAACCTTTAAAAACAGATATGGGACTAGCATCTAGAATCAATTTCACTTTGGTGTAATGCTTCCTTTAGCATAGAGAACCTTTGGTATATTCACTGATTTATTTGATATGCATTTTTCCGAGGGCTGACTATAAGCAGATCTTGGGCTAGACCCTGGGGATATAAAAAATTAATAAGTGTAAGTTCTTAACCTCCTGGAGCTCAAAGTATAATGTAGTGACTGACACATGAAAAGGAAAATTACAGTACAGTGTGATAAGTGTTATTATGGAGACATAAATAAGTGCTGTGAGAGATTGGGGCAGAGCGAAGGGTTCTGCCTGGAGGAAATAAGGGGCAACATCACAGAAATGGTGAAATGGGAGTTTGGGCCTTGAAATATGAGTTTACCAATCACAGGAGGCCAGAAGTACTTTCCAGAAAAAGGTAACAGCACATGCAAAGGCCCCAAATTGTGAAAGGAATTGGTACGTTTGGTTAAGAAGTTCAGAGTGGCTGTGTGGGGTGGCAAAGCTGAGGATGAAGCTTGAGATCAGATTGTTAAGTGTTATGTTCCCCAGCCAAGGAATTTTGTCTCAAGTTTATGGGCAATAGATCATCAATAGGGATTCCTAAGCAAAAGTGTGTCTTGGTTAGATTTGCTTTTTAGGAAGATAACCCAAGGAGACATGGAGGACAGAGAGCAGATGTTGCCGTGGTCCTGCTGAAAACTAATGAGGGCTTGAGCCAAAGCATTGTGGATGGAGGGGAGGGGTGGATGAGGCCTATTAATTTCTGAAGTTAAACTCCTAGGGTTTGTTGACTGACATGCGGAGGGTAAAGGAAAGGAAGTGTCTAAGGAAGACTCTGTGATTTCTAGCTTTAGAAGTAGAGTGGAAAAATATGCTGTTAACCAAGGCTGAACACAAAGGACACAGAGCACATTTGGTGAATCTATAGGAGAGGGCTCTTTGGAGCACAGTATTTTAAGTTTCTGTAAAAAACACCCCACTAGAGATGTGAATAGGCTTTTGGGAAGACAGAGATGGTTTTTGCGGGAGAAGTAGGGACTAGAGTCATCAGGGTATAATGGTACTTAAAGCTCTAGAACCAAATGAGTGTTCCCAGGGAACTTTGGGTGGTGGGGTCAGGGGGAATAGATAGGCTCAAGGTGAAATCTTGAAGCATCCCAACATTAAAGTGTGGGCAGCATAGAAGAGACTGTGGAGAACCAGGAGAGAATTTCAAGACTGATGAAGAGTTGGTTTTTAGTGCAAATACCACTTTGGGAATGAGGAGGATGAAGACTGCAAAGAAATCATTTGATTTGACAATGAGGAGGTCACCAGGGACCTCATCAAGAGGGTTTTCAGTGGTGTGAGTATGTGTGTGGTTGTTTATAAGCCAGGTTGTAGTGGGTGGGGTGTAGGCAAGGAGTGAGATCATGAAGATGGCAATACATACTCAATAAATTTAGCTGTGAAGAGGAGACAGCTTTATCAATTACTGGATGAAAAAAATGGTTTTAAGAATTTAGAGAGATTCAAGGACACTGATAGGCTGAAAGAAAGGAGTTCCAGAAACAGGAGAGACTGATAATCCAAGAGGTAAAGAGGATAACTGGTGAAGCAGGTCCTTGAAGAAGGCTGAAGAGAAAGGGACTAGTTCATAGGTGGTTGGACCAGCCATGGTGAGAAGAGATCCCTCCACCTCTCTTCTTACCATCAGGGAAGAGGAACAGAGAGGTTTGCTGGTGGTGTGTTTAGAAGAGGAGGAGCAGGAGAAACTCAGAGGAAATATAGTGATTGTTATGGACTGAACGCTCATGCTTCTCACCCACCACCAACTGTATATGTTGAAGCATATCCAAAGTGTGATGGTATTTGGAGGTGAGGCGTCTTGTAGATAATTAGAGTAGGAGGGTGGGACCTCATGAATAGCATCGGTGCCCTTATAAAAAGATCTCAGGGAGCTCTCTAGCACCTTTACTACCATGTGAGTGTAAAACAAGAAGTTGGCAGTCTGCAGCCTAGATGACGGCCCTCACCAGCACCCGACCATACTGGCACTCTGACCTTGGACTTCCAGCCTCCAGACTGTGAGAAATAGATTTTTCTTGTTTTTTGTTGCCATGCAGTCTACACCACTTTGTTGTAGAACTCAATCTGACAGTGAGATTCTAGTTGCATCCCATCATTGCATAGATGGGGAAATGGAGACTCAGAGAAGTGGAGCAATTTGTTCCAGTTTGTGATACAAGTAAATGGGGGAGCCACGGCTGTGAATGGCATCTCCTGACCCCCATGCCTGTGCTCTTTTCACTCCCCACCTGCTTCTCAGACTCTCATGGCCTGGGGAAGATCCTGAAACAAGGGAGGATGAGCAGTGATATCTAACAAATATGCCAAAAGCGAGGTGAACTGCTTTGAGATTTCACCTTGAGTCTATCTAACAAATGATATCTAACAAATGTACCTCCTCACAACCAGGCACAAGCTCCTCAGAGACAAGACCCTTCGGAATGTCTTCTGGGCTTGTCAAATAGGCTCAAATATACTTAATACTCTGTGAATCTCCTTTGAGGCACCTGGCCCTGCATTCTTCACAAATAACCACATAAAATAAGAACTCTAAGACCCTCATCTTTTTCTGGTGTCAGCTCTCACTTGCTTTCTCTCAGCTAGTTCTTTCCATACCATCCTCACTTGCTTCTTACACCTACATTCTATGGCTTCCAGCAGATGCCTGGAATTTTCTTGCCAGATTCTCCCTAAATGAAGATTCCTCTGGCTCACCTTCCTGTGGTCACCCTGAGTAAGGCTCTCTTGGCACTTTGCAGTCCCAGAGTCCCTCATGCAGGCAGGGATCCTCTAAGGGCAGGTTTTCACTGACATCACCCTAACTTCCTCAAGTGGAACTTGAACATATTAGTCATTTCATGCTAATGCCACAGTTTTTACTAATTTATATTTTTTTAAAATAGTTTTTTAAAATTTTTTAAAAAATTATTAATCCAGTAACTGTTGAGAGGATAGTGCCTGGTGGGGGAAGGAGCGATGAGTCAGACACAGTCTCTGTTTTCAAGGAGTTTTTGTCTAATATTAGGGAGCAAAACAGCAAATTAAACAGCAAGTGTGAAAGTGATTAGCAGGGTGCCCAGCTTAATAGGTGAGAAATTATTTTCATTTAAAAACTGATATACATAAATATCTGAGAAGGGATAAAGGTGGTTCTAAGAACAAGGAGATTCCTAGATTTAGTTAGAAGCACAAGGGAAGAAGTTGAATATGAACATGAAGCATGAGTCAGGTTTGAGCAGGCAAAGGTGGGATTGTTGGGGGGGTGGGCACATTTCAGATGAAGAGAGCTTGTCTAATATGCCACTGTGTTTACAGGTGAAGCCAGCTATTGAGAGAAAACCTGGAAGTTTAGTGTCTCTTGTCCCACAGCAATGGAGTACAAGAACTGAGACCCATGCCAAATGCTGTGATTCCCAGGGCTGGTGGCCATGTGCAGGACTAGTTCCCAAGGAGAAGGGCCAGAGGGCTTTGGGCGCTCCTCCCTGCCCCCATTCTGACTCATTGTGGGACCGAGCTGAGTTTAGCGCTTCATTTCCCTTCTTCAGGCCAGCGCGATTTGAATGCACCTGCCTCCCTTCTGTCCCCGCTGCCTGGTGAGGATGGCCGTTGTGAGGGGCAGGGAGTACTTCCTAATTGTGTTCCTGTGGTCTAGGTCCCACGTGAAGGCTCTTGGCGGTCTCACTCAAATGAGGTGGGGGCAGCCTGACCGCTCAGTCACACTTGGAGGATGGGTTGGCTAGTTCTTCTCACCCTCTGGTCTGGTTTTGAAGTTGCAAATTTCTTAAGTTGCTCTTAAGAAAGGTGTGGGCCAGGGCTGGCGGCGGTGAAGTGGAGTGGCGGCGGTGAAGTGGAGTCTTCAGAGAGCTGTCAGGTCTCAGCCACTGTGCTCCGTATCTTCCTCCTGTGCATCCTATTAGCTCCGGAGCTCCCAACCTTCTCCTTTCCACAAAATTAGACACATCTGAAATGCAGAGCAAATAGTCTCACAGGGGAAAAAACAAAAAAGATGAGGCAGTGGAGGAAGGGGGAGACAGTAAAAACTACAAAATATTTCCATGCACCTGGAAGGGTTAGTGTCCTTCCATGCAAAGTGAGTTTGTCTGGAAACTCCTGCTACACGGATTGAGGGTTCACCTTGTTTATCTGCCAGGACACAAGAGCTTGGCTTATCCATCCAGGGCATTGCTCCCACCAACCACACCTGCACAGTGGTGAAGAAACTACAGAACTCTGAGATGTATTATTATCACACCATCCTCAGGAACTGGGAGACAGTAGGGTCAATGTTCTATACAGCAATTAGAGGTGCTGACCTGTTTGAATTCTCTTGGTCTCCAGGGCAGAGGATGTTGGTGGTGATGATGATAATGCTATCAATAACTTTCTGTCATAGTGAGTCATACTGCTACAAAGGACTTTCACATTTATTGACTCATTTTATCTCAAAAGCGCAATGGAGACCCCATTCACCTTCAGAGTATCCCCAAAAGATAAGCCACCATGGCTAGTAAGTGGACTTCAGTATAGACTCATTATTTAGAGCGGAATATAGTGGAACTTTTGGGATTTGCATTGTGGTCTTGCCCTTACCAGCTGGGTGACCTTAGACAAACCACTTCACCCCGCTGAGCCTTAGCTTCTTCATATGTAAAAATGTGTTAATAATAACTGTCTCAGAGGGCTATTGTAGGGGTTTAAGTGACTTCATGTAAATAAAAAGGCCATTATAAACTCTAAAACATTATGCAAATATTAATTGCCTTCTATACAAGAATGGGCTATTTGCAAAAATGAATGTAAATATAGTTTGAGATGGCAGGTGTGACGTGCCTGAAAGAGCACTTTACTTGGGATCTGAAGATGTGTTTTCTATTTTGGCCTCTACATGTCAGGTGGCAGTGAGGAGTGTGGCTTTCAGACAGGCAAACACAACCATGCAAAAAAAAACGGTGGCCACCATCCGCCTGTCACCTTGTCACCTATGGTAGACTGAATGATGGTCCCAAAGATGCCCATGTCCTAATTCCTGGAACCTGGGACTATGTTCTCCTACATGTTAAAGGGACTTTGCAGATGTGATTAAGTTAGGGGTCATGAAGTGCAGAGATTATCCCATGTCATCCAGATGGGTCCATTGTAAGGTGTAGGAGGAGAGTTGTGTGACAATGGAAACAGAGATTATATGCATTGAAGATGGAGGAAGGGGCCACAAGTCAAAGAATATGAGAATCTCTGGAAGCTGAAAAAGGCAAGGAAATACATTCTCCCCTACAGCCTCCAGAAGGAACTCTCCCTGCTGGCAGCTTGATTTGAAAGCCCAGAGAAATTAATGTTGGATTTTTGGTTTCCAGAACTGTAAAAGGATAAATTTATGTCATTGTAAGCCACCAAGTTTGTGCTGGCTTTGTTACAATGGCAATAGGTAACTCGTGTATACCACCTCAAAATAATTCGGCTCCTATTTTCTTTCTCCCAACCTGAATCCAACTTCTGAATAGGCTAGTGGGCATTCCCAAGTTTTCCTCTACTTTTTTGGTGGGCCAGCCTGGAGCTGACCTTTCTAATTCTGCACAGCTTATGCATCACTGGGATTGATAAATGATAAACTAACTCATTGGTTCTGCACCCTAGATTGGCTGGAGCTCTTCCTAGGGGTACTCAGGCTCAGGAAATGCAGCCTTTGTGGCTTTGAGCAAGTCAGTTAAACTCATGGGCTCTCTATTTTTTCATCTGTCATTTGGGGATAAAATTTCTTTCTATGCCTACCTCACAGGGTGAAGACTTAAGAGAAATGATATCAATGAAAGCTCTCTGCCACTTGTAAAATGCTCTACAGGTATGAACCCTGTTATCATCATCATTAGCATTATTTTATTTTTAAAAGAGTAAAAACGTTATTAAATGAAATGAGTTATAAGTAAGAGTTTCTGTTTTTTTCTTTCTTTAACTTTTATTTTATGTTTGGGGGTGCATGTGAAGGTTTGCTACATAGGTAAACACTTGCCATGGGGGTTTATTGTAAATATTATTTCATCACCCAGTACCCAATAGTTATCTTTTCTTCTCTTTCTGCTCCCAGCCTCTCTTGGTATTATTTTTAAAATATCGAATTTTCCAGCTTAATCTCTTTCAAACTTAATATATATGTTGTGGCAATTGACAGACACTCTGATTCTAGACAAGGCTAAAATAATCCTAAGGAGAATATCCAGTTGAGCATTGGCTTTTAAATATCTGGATTATTCATAAGCTTGAACTTCCAGTATGGACCCCAAAATATAAAAAACAGATGCTGTGGGGCCATTAAATAATTGTTCAGTAATATCACCCATTTGGAGATGGTGAGGCTGGGCAAATTTCACTTGCCTTTCTCTTCGTGGAACTGAAAATGGAAAAGACACATGCTAATCAGAAACACGGTCATCTGAAAACAGGGGCTTTAAAAATATCTTTCGGCCACAAGATTGCCAAGAGCAGAGGAGCTGTGCATTACTGCAAAGCCCTGCTTGTTATATCTTGCCAGTGAATAATGAAGACTCCCACTAGTGACAGGCTCTTTCTCAAACACTAAAACCACAATTTACCTAAAGCTCGCCCTGGACCCTCAGAATCATTTATTTGCCACAACCTCACTAGTCTTCTCTGACTTGATGAGGATTACAAAAAACTCCAACAATCATCTGGTAAATTTGCTCAGAGGAGCAGAGAATATTAGAATGCAAGGGGAAGGCATTGGTGGAGGGGGCTAACATTCATCAACCACTTAAGTCAAGTTTCAAGACTCTACTTTTCCACACATACTATCTAATTTTACACTACTGTTCTATTTTTGTGGCTATTATCCCCATTTTACAGAAGAGGAATCTGGGGTTAGAGAGATTAGGTAACTTCAGAAGATCGTAGGAGAATGTGGTAAAGCTGGCTTTCCACACTGTGTCTAGTTCATCCCTTTACAAAAAAAGGAAAACGAGAGGAATTGATTGCCTCAGGATCATGCACTTACTTGGTGCCCCTTGAGTTCTAAAAGTCAGGCTCGCTGAATAATTTGTCTTGACCCCCCACTTTGAATCTACTCCCAAAGGGCTTTCCCCTGTTACTAGAGATGCCCCTGGCATGTGTCTCTGCTGCTGTAACCAGATTCAGCAGCAGAATGGAGAAAGGGGCATGTCCCAGTTGCTATTGAGGCATAACAAAGCAACCCAAGCTTAGTAGTTTAAACTGTGGGTTAGAAACTTAGGGGAGACTAGGCTGGGCATTTATGGCTCGGGAGCTCTCATGTGGTTGCAGACAGTGGCTGAAGCTGGAAGAGTTGGGGAGGAGGGTACTGGAGCAGTGGGAGGCAGGCCAGGCATCTTTCAGGGTCCCTCCACATAATCCTTCTTTATGGACCACTTTGGGTTTCCTCACAGCATGGCAGCCTCAGGGCAGTTGGACTGCTTCCTTGGCAGTTCAGTGGTCCACATGCTAGACCCTAGAGAACAAGGAGGCAATGGCATCATTTTCTTTATGACATACCTTCAGAGATCACACAACATCACTTACTCTATATTAGAATGATTGAAAGTGAGTCACAACCCCACCCAGATTCAGAGGAAGGAGACTTGACCTCACCTTTCGATGGGAGAAGGCCATGTAGTATGGCAGTCTGTCATGGCGAGAAAAGGCTGCAACAGTCGGAGCAAGATGAGGGATCTCAAACACTGAGAAGAGGGCCAGTTATTTGTGCACAAGAATATAAACACAGTCTCTTATTGACAGAGAAGCGCCTTTATGAAGAGAACCTGGAAGAACACTAGCAATACCCTATTACTTAGCAAAAGAGTGTATTAAGCTGACAGCGGGACAGGGGCATATTAGAGAAGGTCCCCAGATTATGTCTGGGAAGATCAATCAGTTTGGCAAAAAGCTCACAGAGCAGGGATTCCTGGAAGCTAGTAGAAAGAGTTCTATACAAATTGCCAGATTATATCTTACAGACTCAACCTTTTCTTTGAAAACATTAAAGAACTTAAGTTTTCTAAATCGCTTAGTTGCCTTAAAACATCCCTATGTTCCCCCCAACTTAGCCGAACGTTAATAGATTCTGGATATATATTAATGACCATTTCCATTCAATTATCCTTCGATAAAGCTATTTTAAAAAAATGAAAAGGAAATGCTATCTACCAGGTTGCTTTTTACTTTATTTGATGTATTTTTATTTCTTAAATGAGCATTTACCTTTACCAAGTTCTATTCTATGTTCTGGTATAAACAAACATGAGAGCACCCTGCCCTCCACAGGTGAGAGCCACCCACTCAATACAGAGGGGGCAGGGGGTACGGGGGGGGGAGCCATGTGTATCCCATGAATGAAATCCCAGGCCCACGTTTCTGAAGGTACCATGTGGAAGATAGTATTTAAATCCTGCTGTGTGTATGACTGATTTAAACCCCTGGTTCAAGTACATGGTTGTTAGTTGAGCGTTCTCCTCGGGTCATTCATTGTGTGAATTAAAAGAAACAAGGTATGTGAAGTACTTGGCACTTGGCATGTGGTGGGCATTCAGAAAAGTGGACTGCTTTTATTGGGTTGGGTTTTATTATAATTTAATATTAACATTGTGGTATGAAAAGTGACTTCCTGTTTACAAATCACTTTCTTATTTTTCATCTTATTTAATGATAGCAATCCAGTGATTCAGGCATTGTAATTATGGTCCCGACTTTACACACTGGGACATTGATAGTCAGGGAGGTCAAGTGACTTACCTGGGGTCTCTTAGCTAATACGCGGCAGAGCGGGGATTTGGAACCCAGCAATGACACCAAAGCGATCCCTTTTCACCTTACCATGCTGTTCCCTAAATTGACAGATGACCTTGTGCAAGCATTCCATAGCCCACCCTTCAATCTGGCCTTCAATTTCTACATCTGCAAAGTGAGAGGACTGAATTAAATTATGTTTGAGGCCCCATCCAGGTTCCAGCGACTCTGATTAAAAGCGTATGTTCAAGCACAGACCCTGCTTGCTGCAGAGCTCCTTGTGAAGATCCGAGCCCGGCTCCAGAGGGGGCTAGAGCCTGGACCTGTGCCCAAATCACAGGCCTGGCTTGGCGTCCATCACTGTCTTTGACTGCCAAAGGACAGAATTCTCTAGAGGACCTAACTCCAATCTGGCCAACTTCTGATGGCCTAAATTATCCTCTGACCTCGAACTTTTGATCATCTGAAGCTTATTTTAAAAATGGCTTAGAAATAGCCATTACATCTCTCTGGAGACCCCTTCCTTTCTTACCCTCATTACGTTCCTCCAACAACAGGGAAGGGAAACTGCGAGACAGGCAATCTGTATGTAATTTTTGTCTCTACTGCTGCCTTTCTGTGTGACCCTGGGCAAGTCATGTCATAAACAGAGGCTTATCAATAAGGGTTATCCTTTCTTAAGGATCTAGGAAGCCATGTGGCTTCCCCTTCAGAGAGAATTGGAAGACCTAGTACACATGACTTCAAGGTAAGAAAACCATCAGATTTTCTGTAACAATTAGAAAAATCATTCAGGGCTAGTCTACTTTAATTGCCCTTCTTTAAAAACAGTTTTTCTACTGTTTTGAAAAGAAAACAGGTGAGGAAAATGCTTTCTGTATCTGGCCCCAAGAGAGATTTTAAGTCTTTTTTTTTTTTTTTCTTTTTCTTTTCTGTTTTTCTAATATGGTTTTGCCTTTTTTTTTTATTATACTCTACATGTGCACATTGTGCAGGTTAGTTACATATGTATACATGTGCCATGCTGGTGCATTACACCCACTAACTCGTCATCTAGCATTAGGTATATCTCCCAATGCTATCCCTCCCCCCTCCCCTCACCCCACAACAGTCCCCAGAGTGTGATATTCCCCTTCCTGTGTCCATGTGATCTCATTGTTCAATTCCCACCTATGAGTGAGAATATGCGGTGTCTGGTTTTTTGTTCTTGCGATAGTTTACTGAGAATGATGTTTTCCAATTTCATCCATGTCCCTGCAAAGGACATGAACTCATCATTTTTTATGGCTGCATAGTATTCCATGGTGTATATGTGCCACATTTTCTTAATCCAGTCTATCATTGTTGGACATTTGGGTTGGTTCCAAGTCTTTGCTATTGTGAATAATGCCACAATAAACATACGTGTGCATGTGACTTTATAGCAGCATGATTTATAGTCCTTTGGGTACATACCCAGTAATGGGATGGCTGGGTCAAATGTATTTCCAGTTCTAGATCCCTGAGGAATCGCCACACTGACTTCCACAATGGTTGAACTAGTTTACAGTCCCACCAACAGTGTAAAAGTGTTCCTATTTCTCCACATCCTCTCCAGCACCTGTTGTTTCCTGACTTTTTAATGATTGCCATTCTAACTGGTGTGAGATGGTATCTCATTGTGGTTTTGATTTGCATTTCTCTGATGGCCAGTGATGATGAGCATTTTTTCATGTGTTTTTTGGCTGCATAAATGTCTTCTTTTGAGAAGTGTCTGTTCATGTCCTTCGGCCACTTTTTGATGGGGTTGTTTGTTTTTTTCTTGTAAATTTGTTTGAGTTCATTGTAGATTCTGGATATTAGCCCTTTGTCAGATGAGTAGGTTGCGAAAATTTTCTCCCATTTTGTAGGTTGCCTGTTCACTCTGATGGTAGTTTCTTGTGCTGTGCAGAAGCTCTTTAGTTTAATTAGATCCCATTTGTCAATTTTGGCTTTTGTTGCCATTGTTTTTGGTGTTTTAGACATGAAGTCCTTGCCCATGCCTATGTCCTGAATGGTAATGCCTAGGTTTTCTTCTAGGGTTTTTATGGTTTTAGGTCTAACGTTTAAGTCTTTAATCCATCTTGAATTGATTTTTGCATAAGGTGTAAGGAAGGGATCCAGTTTCAGCTTTCTACATATGGCTAGCCAGTTTTCCCAGCACCATTTATTAAATAGGGAATCCTTTCCCCATTGCTTGTTTTTCTCAGGTTTGTCAAAGATCAGATAGTTGTAGATATGTGGCGTTATTTCTGAGGGCTGTGTTCCGTTCCATTGATCTATATCTCTGTTTTGGTACCAGTACCATGCTGTTTTGGTTACTGTAGCCTTGTAGTATAGTTTGGAGTCAGGTAGTGTGATGCCTCCAGCTTTGTTCTTTTGGCTTAGGATTGACTTGGCGATGCGGGCTCTTTTTTGCTTCCATATGAACTTTAAAGTAGTTTTTTCCAATTCTGTGAAGAAAGGCATTGGTAGCTTGATGGGGATGGCATTGAATCTGTAAATTACCTTGGGCAGTATGGCCATTTTCACGATATTGATTCTTCCTACCCATGAGCATGGAATGTTCTTCCATTTGTTTGTATCCTCTTTTATTTCCTTGAGCAGTGGTTTGTAGTTCTCCTTGAAGAGGTCCTTCACATCCCTTGTAAGTTGGATTCCTAGGTATTTGATTCTCTTTGAAGCAATTGTGAATGGGAGTTCACTCATGATTTGGCTCTCTGTTTGTCTGTTGTTGGTGTATAAGAATGCTTGTGATTTTTGTACATTGATTTTGTATCCTGAGACTTTGCTGAAGTTGCTTATCAGCTGAAGGAGATTTTGGGCTGAGACAATGGGGTTTTCTAGATATACAATCATGTCGTCTGCAAACAGGGACAATTTGACTTCCTCTTTTCCTAATTGAATACCCTTTATTTCCTTCTCCTGCCTAATTTCCCTGGCCAGAACTTCCAACACTATGTTGAATAGGAGTGGTGAGAGAGGGCATCCCTGTCTTGTGCCAGTTTTCAAAGGGAATGCTTCCAGTTTTTGCCCATTCAGTATGATATTGGCTGTGGGTTTGTCATAGATAGCTCTTATTATTTTGAAATACATCCCATCAATACCTAATTTATTGAGAGTTTTTAGCATGAAGGTTGTTGAATTTTGTCAAAGGCCTTTTCTGCATCTATTGAGATAATCATGTGGTTTTTGTCTTTGGCTCTGTTTATATGCTGGATTACATTTATTGATTTGCATATATTGAACCAGCCTTGCATCCCAGGGATGAAGCCCACTTGATCATGGTGGATAAGTTTTTGATGTGCTACTGGATTCGTTTTGCCAGTATTTTATTGAGGATTTTTGCATCAATGTTCATCAAGGATATTGGTCTAAAATTCTCTTTTTTGGTTGTGTCTCTGCCTGGCTTTGGTATCAGAATGATGCTGCCCTCATAAAATGAGTTAGGGAGGATTCCCTCTTTTTCTATTGATTGGAATAGTTTCAGAAGGAATGGTACCAGTTCCTCCTTGTACCTCTGGTAGAATTCAGCTGTGAATCCATCTGGTCCTGGACTCTTTTTAGTTGGTAAGCTATTGATTATTGCCACAATTTCAGATCCTGTTATTGGTCTATTCAGAGATTCAACTTCTTCCTGGTTTAGTCTTGGGAGAGTGTATGTGTCAAGGAATTTATCCATTTCTTCTAGATTTTCCAGTTTATTTGCGTAGAGGTGTTTGTAGGATTCTCTGATGGTAGTTTGTATTTCTGTGGGATCGGTGGTGATATCCCCTTTATCATTTTTTATTGCGTCTATTAGATTCTTCTCTCTTTTTTTCTTTATTAGTCTTGCTAGCGGTCTATCAATTTTGTTGATCCTTTCAAAAAACCAGCTCCTGGATTCATTAATTTTTTGAAGGGTTTTTTGTGTCTCTATTTCCTTCAGTTCTGCTCTGATTTTAGTTATTTCTTGCCTTCTGCTAGCTTTTGAATGTGTTTGCTCTTGCTTTTCTAGTTCTTTTAATTGTGATGTTAGGGTGTCAATTTTGGATCTTTCCTGCTTTCTCTTGTGGGCATTTAGTGCTATAAATTTCCCTCTACACACTGCTTTGAATGTGTCCCAGAGATTCTGGTATGTTGTGTCTTTGTTCTCGTTGGTTTCAAAGAACATCTTTATTTCTGCCTTCATTTCGTTATGTACCCAGTAGTCATTCAGGAGCAGGTTGTTCAGTTTCCATGTAGTTGAGCGGTTTTGAGTGAGATTCTTAATCCTGAGTTCTAGTTTGATTGCACTGTGGTCTGAGAGATAGTTTGTTATAATTTCTGTTCTTTTACATTTGCTGAGGAGAGCTTTACTTCCAAGTATGTGGTCAATTTTGGAATAGGTGTGGTGTGGTGCTGAAAAAAATGTATATTCTGTTGATTTGGGGTGGAGAGTTCCGTAGATGTCTATTAGGTCCTCTTGGTGCAGAGCTGAGTTCAATTCCTGGTTATCCTTGTTGACTTTCTGTCTTGTTGATCTGTCTAATGTTGACAGTGGGGTGTTAAAGTCTCCCATTATTAATGTGTGGGAGTCTAAGTCTCTTTGTAGGTCACTCAGGACTTGCTTTATTAATCTGGGTGCTCCTATATTGGGTGCATATGTATTTAGGATAGTTAGCTCTTCTCGTTGAATTGATCCCTTTACCATTATGTAATGGCCTTCTTTGTCTCTTTTGATCTTTGTTGGTTTAAAGTCTGTTTTATCAGAGACTAGGATTGCAACCCCTGCCTTTTTTTGTTTTCCATTTGCTTGGTAGATCTTCCTCCATCCTTTTATTTTGAGCCTATGTGTGTCTCTGCACGTGAGATGGGTTTCCTGAATACAGCACACTGATGGGTCTTGACTCTTTATCCAATTTGCCAGTCTGTGTCTTTTAATTGGAGCATTTAGTCCATTAACATTGAAAGTTAATATTGTTATGTGTGAATTTGATCCTGTCATTATGATGTTAGCTGGTTATTTTGCTTGTTAGTTGATGCAGTTTCTTCCTAGTCTCGATGGTCTTTACATTTTGGCATGATTTTCCAGTGGCTGGTACCGGTTGTTCGTTTCCATGTTTAGCGCTTCCTTCAGGAGCTCTTTTAGGGCAGGCCTGGTGTTGACAAAATCTCTCAGCATTTGCTTGTCTGTAAAGTATTTTATTTCTCCTTCGCTTATGAAGCTTAGTTTGGCTGGATATGAAATTCTGGGTTGAAAATTCTTGTCTTTAAGAATGTTGAATATTGGCCCCCACTCTCTTCTGGCTTGTAGGGTTTCTGCCGAGAGATCCGCTGTTAGTCTGATGGGCTTCCCTTTGAGGGCAACCCGACCTTTCTCTCTGGCTGCCCTTAACATTTTTTCCTTCATTTCAACTTTGGTGAATCTGACAATTATGTGTCCTGGAGTTGCTCTTCTCGAGTAGTATCTTTGTGGCGTTCTCTATATTTCCTGAATCTGAACGTTGGCCTGCCTTGCTAGATTGGGGAAGTTCTCCTGGATAATATCCTGCAGAGTGTTTTCCAACTTGGTTCCATTCTCCCCATCACTTTCAGGTACACCAGTCAGACGTAGATTTGGTCTTATCACATAGTCCCATATCTCTTGGAGGCTTTGCTCATTTCTTTTTATTCTTTTTTCTCTAAACTTCCCTTCTCGCTTCATTTCATTCATTTCATCTTCCATCGCTGATACCCTTTCTTCCAGTTGATCGCATCGGCTCCTGAGGCTTCTGCATTCTTCATGTAGTTCTCGAGCCTTGGTTTTCAGCTCCATCAGCTCCTTTAAGCACTTCTCTGTATTGGTTATTCTAGTTAGACATTCTTCTAAATTTTTTTCAAAGTTTTCAACTTCTTTGCCTTTGGTTTGAATGTCCTCCCGTAGCTCAGAGTAATTTGATCGTCTGAAGCCTTCTTCTCTCAGCTCGTCAAAGTCATTCTCCATCCACCTTTGTTCCGTTGCTGGTGAGGAACTGCGTTCCTTTGGAGGAGGAGAGGCACTCTGCGTTTTAGAGTTTCCAGTTTTTCTGTTCTGTTTTTTCCCCATCTTTGTGGTTTTATCTACTTTTGGTCTTTGATGATGGTGATGTACAGATGGGTTTTTGGTGTGGATGTCCTTTCTGTTTGTTAGTTTTCCTTCTAACAGACAGGACCCTCAGCTGCAGGTCTGTTGGAATACCCTGCCGTGTGAGGTGTCAGTGTGCCCCTGCAGGGGGGTGCCTCCCAGTTAGGCTGCTCGGTGGTCAGGGGTCAGGGACCCACTTGAGGAGGCAGTCTGCCCGTTCTCAGATCTCCAGCTGAGTGCTGGGAGAACCACTGCTCTCTTCAAAGCTGTCAGACAGGGACATTTAAGTCTGCAGAGGTTACTGCTGTCTTTTTGTTTGTCTGTGCCCCGCCCCCAGAGGTGGAGCCTACAGAGGCAGGCAGGCCTCCTTGAGCTGTGGTGGGCTCCGCCCAGTTGGAGCTTCTGGGCTGCTTTGTTTACCTAAGCAAGCCTCAGCAATGGCGGGCGCCCCTCCCCCAGCCTCGCTGCCGCCTTGCAGTTTGATCTCAGACCGCTGTGCTAGCAATCAGCGAGACTCCATGGGGTAGGACCCTCCAAGCCAGGTGTGGGATATAATCTCATGGTGCATAAAGCGCAGTATTCGGGTGGGAGTGACCCGATTTTCCAGGTGCCGTCCGTCACCCCTTTCTTTGACTCGGAAAGGGAACTCCCTGACCCCTTGCGCTTCCCGTGTGAGGCAATGCCTCGCCCTGCTTCGGCTCGCGCACGGTGCGCGCACCCACTGACCTGCGCCCACTGTCTGGCACTCCCTAGTGAGATGAACCCGGTACCTCAGATGGAAATGCAGAAATCACCCGTCTTCTGCGTCGCTCACGCTGGGAGCTGTAGACCGGAGCTGTTCCTATTCGGCCATCTTGGCTCCTCCCCCCGAGATTGTAAGTCTTAAATGTAATATTAGTTTGAAATAACACCATTCCTTTTTTTTTTTTTCTGTTTGCCTCTTCCCTGTTTATGGATGGGATCAGATGTGACTGAAGGTCACACAGAAAGTAAGTCTGTGTACCATGCTGATTGAAGTCTTTCTGCACCATGTCCAGGTATTGCTTTTCCCGGGTCATGCCACTTTGCTCAGGTTCTAACTCGTCATCTGGCTTCATTCTGCAGAGACTCAGGCAGGAGACTTCTCTATCCCCTAAAGAAGGGAAAGAGATGCTGGGCTTTGCAGAGGATGAGGAGCATCTCCTTTCTGGCCCCTCTGCCTCCAAATTAAGAAGTTTTGTTTCGGTTTCATTTCAACAGAGAGAGAGAAGAAAGAGCTGCCTGACCCATGCTCCACTTCCAGGACAGAGACAGCTCAGACCCCTCTCCGGTAGCTCTCTGAATGCTGCCAGCAGTCCCCAGAGATAGAGAAGAGGTCAATTGCAACAGCCCTGTGAGAGCAATTGCACAATCTACTACAAGGCCACAGGGCAGGGGATGAGATGATTCTGGCCATGTGGGGCAGTGGATAAAATGCTGGCCAGGCCTCTGGTCACCACTGTGCCACCAACTCACTTTATAACCTAAGGCAAGGTATCAGACCTCTTTAAGCCTTCATTTCCCCATCTGTCAAAGTAGGAAATGTAGTATTTTGCAGAACAAAAAACTATCAGATAGTACCAGATATCCGAAAGTATTAGATAATACCTTAGTATTATCTAACCCAACCTGTTTATTTGATATGCTTGGTAACTGAGTACTGGAGATGGGGAGTGTCTTGCCTAGGGTTACATGGCTGTAAGTAGCAGGGTCACTTCTAGAAGGCAAGACCTCTCCTGCATGCTGAAGTGCTGCTTTCTATTTTAGATGCTCTCCAAGGTTCTCCCCGGCTCCAGGAGTCTGCAGTTCTAAAGACATCTCCCCCTATCAGCTCTGGCTGCCGTCTTTGGACGTAGTCTTGTGTCAGTCACCATATGTTTCTTTTGGGACTCTTGGGGACATATTATGTCCAGCTACTTCCATCATTACAGAGTTCTTCAATGTCATGGAAGGCCATCCAAATGGTCTCAGTAAAGCTTCTGGTGGGTCCTTGTGATGTTTGCACTCATCCAGGATCATTTCAGGGAAAACCTTCAGACAGATGCTGAGCAAGATCAGGGGCAGCATGGCCTTATGTTTATAGAGAGAGACATTATAGTGACCACCAGGAGACCTGTTTTCTAGTCTGACTTGGCCCTTGAATCGCCTTGTGACCTCAGACAAGCTTCCAAGACAGTGTCATATTCAAAACAAATTGTTTGAACTAGATGATCCCTAAAGTATCTTCCAGCTCTGACATTCCATAGCAGAATATTACCAAATCTCTCCATTCCTTGGGGAATTTTGTTTAGAAACTAGGAGGATAATCTTTGCTCCAGGAAATCTGGGAATGCTTGCAGGCCTGAGGATCATAAAACCAATATTAGAAAGGAAACCTAAGAATATAATGTACACTTGGGCCTACCTGAGGGTGAAGGGTAGGAGGAGGGAGAGGAGCAGAAAAAATGACTATTGAGTACTGGGCTTAGTGCCTGGGTGACAAAATAATCTGTACAACAAACCCTTGTGACACAAGTTTACCCAAATAACAAACCTGCACATGTGCCTCTGAACCTAAAATAAAAGTTTAAAAAATATATATAGTGTTCTGTACTTTAGCTCATATTTTCCAGGGTCCATAACAAATGTTCATAACATAATTACATCTTAATTTTCATATGCAGAGAGGTAGATGGGGAGATTGGAATAATGCTTGTTATGGAAATGAATTATACTGTAACAGAATATTATTGCACTTGATTATACTGGGGCGACATGATCGGATCCACAGCTTCACAGACGTAGATCCTGCCTTCAAAGCTCATGTCTTCTCAGGGAAGCTCAGGCATAGGTATAACTAACTCAAATACAAAATATGACATTTTAGACCCAATAGGAAGGATTTTAGAGGGGAGAAAAAACACCTCCTGTTGTGGGGGTATCAGGAAAGTCTTTATGGAGGAGTTTGAATGTGAGATTGGTTTTGGGAAAGAAATGACAAGGAGAGGTAAAAGGGGGCCAATCAGAGGAAATCTATGAATCAAAGCAGAGGCAGGGAAATTATGTGAGGTTTAGCCGCTAGTGAATGGGCCATTTGCCTGGCTAGGGCATAGGGCTGTGAAGAGAAGTGGTGAGAAAGAAGACTAATTATATTTATATGTCATATCTCTTTGGCTAGTACACAAGTACCTTTAGGTCAAAATCTTTGTTCAATTCTTCTTTGTTTCCCTACTAAGGATGACACATAACCATCTCTCAAAACTTTTTTAATGAATAAATCAGTTATATTGCATGGCACTTTTCCTCCCAAACCACCAAGGTACAGTATAGACACAGCCATATCTTAGACTCTGAAATCAGGTTGAATACAATACTTATCCTGTAGATGTGAAGTACCATCCCTCAGCCCTATAACTGCAGATAGGTCATCTCTCACCTGAGGAAGGGAGTTGTGTCATGTTCACCAGCCCCTAATGTTAAAATGTGACATATACATGACCTGTACAAGATGCTGAATTTAGCAACTCTGATGCAGAAAAAAGCCCATCAATTACAGTGCTTTGCGATGGCCTGTGGGGCCAGTTCTAGGGACAGCAAAACAAAGAGAATCTTAGTAATCATCACTGGGTTGCAACAAATGAAATCCCCTAAGAAAATGTGTTGATAAATATTTACTGAGATTCTGTCACTTAGCAATGTAGTAACCAGACTGCTGCCAAAAGAAAAAAAAAAGACTAGGGGGGAATCTGGACTTTCCTGTATCCAGAGTATAGTGGTGGGTAAGAAACCCATATTTCTATTGACATGAGAAAATTGTACAGAACTACTTATATCTGTGTACACATGGGTACAAGTAAAACTAAGGAAATCTGAATAAGATACATAGATTATATCTATGTGATAGCTTAGTTGTGATATTGAACCAGTAAGCAAGATGTTACCATGGAGAGAAACTGAATAAAGGGTACATGGAATCTCTCTGTATTATTTCTTACACCTGTATGTGAATCCACAATTATCTCAAAAATTTGTTTTAAGTCCCAGATGGATTCACTGGTGATTTTTCTAAAAAAGAAATTATACCAATTTTCCACAATCTCTTCTAGAAGATAAAAGGAAAGGGAATACTTCCTAACTCATTCTATGAGGCCAGCATTATCCTAATACCAAAACCAGAAAAAGACATTACATATAAAGAAGTAAACTACAGACCAATATCTCTCATGAACATTGATGAAAAAATGCTCAACAAAATATTAGCAAATTGAATCCAACAATGTATTAAAAAAGTATAAACCAAAACCAAATGGGATTTATCCCAGGTATGTAAGGCTGGTTAAACATTTAAAAATCAATTAATGGAGGCCAGGTGCGGTGGCTCATGCCTGTAATCCCAGCACTTTGGGAGGCTGAGGCAGGTGGATCACCTGAGGTTGGGAGTTTGAGACTAGCCTGAGCAACATGGAGAAACCCTGTCTCTACTGAAAATACAAAATTAGCTGGGTGTGGTGGCACATGCCTATAATCCCAGCTACTCAGGAGGCTGAGGCAGGAGAATCACTTGAACCTGGGAAGCGGAGGTTGTGGTGAGCCGATATCGCGCCATTGCACTCCAGCCTGGGCAACAAGAGCGAAACTCCGTCTAAAAAAAAAAAGGAAAAATAAAATCAATTAATGCAATTAATCACATCAAGAGGCTAAAGAAGAAAAATCGCATGATTATATGACCAGATGCAGAAAAAGCCTTTGACAAAACCCAGCACTCATCCATGATAAAAACTCTCAGCAAAATAGGAATCCGGGGAAACTTCTTCACTTGATAAAGAGCATCTACAAAAATACCTACAGTTAAAATCATACTTAACAGTGAGAAACTCAAAGCTTTCCTACTAAAAACAGGAACAAGGCAAGGATGTACCTTTTCATCACTGGTTTTCAACATCATACTGGAAGTCCTCACTAATGCAATAAGACAAGAAAAGGAAACAAAAGGGATACAAATTTGGAAGGAAGAAATACGACTGTCTTTTTTCACAGAAACAAATGACGTAATTATCTACATGAAAATCCTTAAAAAATGACAAAGAATACCCTCCTAGAACTAATAAGTAATTATAGCACTGCTGCAGGACGCATGGTTAATACACAAAAGTAAATTGCTTTCCTAAACACTGGAAATGAACAAGTGGAATTTGAAATTAAAAACACATTACCATTTACATTAGCAATCCAAAAGTGATGTACTTAGGTATAAATCTAACAAGTATGTGCAAGAGGAAAACTGCAAAACTCTGTTGAAAGATATCAAAGAACACATCAATGAAGAGATATTCTGTATTCATGGATAGGAAAACAACAGTGTCAAGATTTCAATTCTTTCCAACTTGATCCCTATAAAAGTATCAGCAAGAATATCGGCAAACTGATCCTAAAGTTTATATAAAGAGGCGAAAGGCCCAGTATAACCAACTCAATATTGAAGGGGAAGAAGAAAGTCAGAAGACAGACACTACCAGACTTCAAGACTTACTATAAAGCTACACTAATCAAGGCAGTGTGATATTGGCAAAAGAATAGACAAATAAATCAGTGGAACAGAAAAAGAAGCCCAGAAATAGATCCACACAAATATAGTTAACTTATCTATGTCAAAGGAGGAAAGGAAACACAGTGCTGCAAAGATAGTCTTTTCAACAAATGGTGTTGGAATAACTGGGCATCCATATACAAAAAGAATCTAGATACAAACTTTATACCCATCACAAAAATTATGATCCACAAAATGGATCATAGGTCTAAACAGAAAATGCAAAACTATAAAGCTTTTTAAAGATAACATAGGAGAAAACCTAAATGATCTTGGGTCCCATGATGACTTTTCAGATATAACCACAAAAGCATGGTCCTTGAAAGAAATAATTGATAAAGTGGACTTCATTAAAATTAAAAACTTATGCTCTGCAAAAGACAATGTCAAGAGAATGAGACAAGCCACAGACTGAGAGAAAATATTTGCATAAGACACATCTCAGAAAAAGACTGTTATCTAAAACATAAAGAGGAGTCTTGAAATTCAACAATAAGAAAATGGGCAACCTTATTAAAAACACAGGCAAAAGACCTAAACAGACACCTCATCAAAGAAGATATACATATGACAAGTAAGCCTATGAAAAGATTTACAACATCATGTGCAATTAGTGAATTGCTAATTAAAATAATAATGAGATACCCACTACATGCCTATTAGAATGGCCAAAATCCAAAGCACTGAAAATACTGATCACTGGTGAGGATGTGGAGCCGGAGGAACTTTTGTTTATTGCTGATGGGAATGCAAAACGATGCAGCCACTTGAGACAGTTTAGTAGTTTCTTATGAAACAAAACATACTTTTACCATATAATCTAAGAATTGTGCACTTGGTATTTACCAAAGTGAATCGAAAATTTATGTCCACACAAAAACCTGCACATCAATGTTTGCAGAAGCTTTATTCATGACAGCCAAAACTTGGAAATAACCAGTAGACGAATGGACAAAAAAAAAATATATGGTGCATAAAGATAACGGACTATTCTTCGGTGCTGAAAAGAAATGAGCTGGCCAGGTGCAGTGGCTCAAGTCTGTAATCCCAGCACTTTGGGAGGCCAAGGTGGGTGGATCAAGAGGTCAGGAGGTCAAGACCATCCTGGCTAACACAGTGAAACCCCCTCTCTATTAAAAGTACAAAAAATTAGCCGGGCGTGGTGGCACGTGCCTGTAATCCCAGCTACTTGGGAGGTTGAAGCAGGAGAATCACTTGAACTCAGGAGGTGGAGGTTGGAGTGAGCCAAGATCACGCCACTGCACTCCAGCCTGGGTGACAGAGTGAGACTTTGTCTCAAAAAAAAAAAAAAAAAAAGAAATGAGCTATCAAGCCATGCAAAGACATGGTGGAAACTTAAAATCATGTTACAAAGAGAAAGAAGCCAATCTAAAAAGGCTACCTACTATATGATTCCAGTTATATGACTTTCTGGAAAAGGTAAAACCATGGGGATAGTAAAAGAAGCAGTGATTTCCAGGAGTGAAAGGGAAGGAAGAAATAAATAGGCAGAGCAAAAAGGATTTTTAGGACAATGAACCCATTCTGTATGATACTGTGATGGTGAATGCATGTCATCGTATCTTTGTCAAAACCCATGGAATAAAATGTACAACAGCAAGAGTGAAATCTAATGCAAACTGTGAAGTTTGCATAATAATGATGTGTCAATATAGGTCTACAGATTATAATAAATGTACCACTTTGGTGCGGGATGTTGATAGCTGGGGAGGTTGTGTGGGTATGTGTGTTGGGGGAGTGGGGAGAACAGGCAGTACATGGGAGCACTCTATTTTTTGCCCACATTTGCTCTGAACATAAAACTGCTCAGAAAAATAAAGTTTATTAATTAAAAAAAGAAGATGGTCTTCAGCAGCACTTCTCAAAGTTTTGTCTTGGAACCTCCCTAAATCTCTGGAATCCTATCAGAAGGTTAACTAATTTCATGATAGCACTGACACATTATTTGCCTCTTTCAAACTCATTCTATCATGAATGTACAGTGGAGTTTTCCAGAGGCTACATGACATGTGATTTTGCAACAGACTGAACACAGCAGCAGCTGGGAGAATCAAGCAGTCCTCAAGCCAGACATTGAAGAGATAACTGCAAAAATATAAAACAGCATCACTCTTCTCACTGTATCTGTTTTGGTTTAGAAAAATTGTTATTTTTCAAAAAATATGTTATTTATTTAACATGTAATGTGTTTATTATTTTAAGTAAAATAATAAATACTTTTTAAAAAGAATTCTGATGTTTGTTACTTTGTGCAGGAGATAAGATAAAAACACAGCAGTGAAAAGGGTATGCATTGGGGCTGAACCTCTCTCAGCCAGCGTAAGTAGAGAAGACTTCTCATCAGGCAGAAAGTTGCATTTGGATTTGCCTTTAAAAATGGGTAGGATTTAGACACTGGAAGATTGCTGAGAAATGAGAAGAAGACATTAAGCAGAGTGGAAGCATGGTAGACAAGGCCAGTGCGCAACGAACATGGAGTCTAAAGCACAGCATAGAAAATGGAGGACAACATTGGGAAGTTGGATGGGTCAAAAGCAGGTGAACACGTGTGGAGAAAAGAAATATGGGAAACTTTATATCCTGAAGTCCTGGTAAAAGGGAGGAAGTGGTTTTTCCTTTGTTTTTATTGTTGTTGTTTTAAATCAAGTTTATTGAAGTGTAATTTACATACAATAAATTTCATCCTTTTTAGCATTGAATTCTCTGATTTTTGACAAATGTGTATAGTCAATGTAACCACCATAATCAAGATCTAGAACAGTTGCATTACCCCAAAATATTGCTTCTTACCCCTCTGTGATCAATGCTTCTCCTCGCCCCCAGTTCCTGGCAACCAATGGTCTATATTGAAGGCCAGTATTTTTTCCGTTCCTAAAACACCATAAAAATGGCATCATAGGATAGGTAACTTTTTGAGTGTAGTTTCCTGCACTTAACATAATGCATTGAAAATTTATCTGTTTTGTTATGTGTATCAGTAGATCATTGCCTTTTATTGTTGAGAAGAAACTGGTTGTATGCATTTTCCAGTTTGTTTAACCACTCACCAATTAACAGACATTTGGGTTATTTCTAGTTTGGGTCAATTATGAATAAAATTGTTGTATACATTCATTTATAGGAATTTATGTGAATGTGAATATAGGTTGAAAAGTGGTTTTATTTCAAGTAAAAATGGTGAACTTAGTTCAAAAAAACCAGATGAATAGAATCTCAGCTCCAACAGTGTGCTTGCCTTTTTTATATCCTGCATGTTGGTGGTTTAATGACTGTAGCGTCAGGATTCCTAGAATTAATTATTTTAAACCCAATTTTACTAATGAGAGACATGAAGCTAATATCTAAAATTAACTTGCCAGTTTAGGTGTCCAAGAGGTTCCTGCAGGAGGCAGGAAACCAGCTGGAGAAGTTCATAGGCAAATAAAACAAACAAATAAATGAAAATCTCCAATCTTCTTTACCCAACCTCTTAGTGTCAGCCAGGAAGATTATGGTTGATGTAAAAAAAAAATTAAAGGTAAAAACTGTTTGCATTTTCAAAGGGTTATGTGTTAATCATATACATGAGAGTCTGCTAAATGAGGCTCAAATAAATTGTAGTCCAGTAGTAAGCCCCATGTGGAGGACATTTACCTTCTCCGTGGCCAAAGCTCCGTCTATGGAATGGAGAGCAAGAGATATCACCATGAAATTTCAGAGGCTTGAATACCACAAATATTGAATGTATGATCATTTCAATAGGCTGAAATTTGCCATAGTACCATCCACCATGAATGGACTTGCTGGGCAAATGAAAAGTGTGGGGGAGTTGCTGAGGAACTACTTACCAGAACAAGTCATTCTGAGGACCCTCCCCACATTGAGAAAAAGCCATACTGCCAAACCTTATGCTGATTGACAAACACCATAATCCCATCATTATGTAGATTTCTCTAAGGGCACATACTAGGAAACATTCTACTTCTAATTGTTCCATGTTCCTGGGGAAGAGAGGATGGCATTTTTAAAATAGATGTTCTTCAACCTATAGACCGATAGAATCTTTGATATGAAAGAAAGGGGAAATTTAGTTAGTCCAATTCCTCAACAGAATCCCTTCCGAGTTTCTTCGTAACCCACTCCCTCAAAACTTGAGTACTTTCAATATTCTTCAAAACCTAATCACTTTTGAGATTGAGCTCAAATATCTCCTTCTCTCTGAAGCCTTTCTTGAGGCTTCAGTTAATTACTCCTTTCTCTGTGTTCCCATTGTATATTACCTCCACCTGTCCTGGAACATTTGTCACAATATATTGTTATCTGCTCATTTGTCTATCTTCCTCCATTGCTCTATGGGTCCCCTTAGGATCAATAATTCTGCTATACTCATTGCCTGCATCTCCAGTGCCGTAAACAGTGTCCAGCTTGAAGTAAGTACCCAATAAATATTTTTAATTTATTTTGATTGCATTGGTTACCTACTTGTCACTGACAGTGACTCACTAACTTCTGAGGCAGCCTATTCTGTTAATGAAATATTTTGTCTGATAGAAAGTTGGTCCCTATAATGAGTCAAACCATGTATTAATTTCTACTCACTGTCTTTTTTTTAAATTTTAGATCTTGGGACTCTCACATAAATGCTGGGGGATTCACCACCTTACTAGACCTTCTAGGTATTTAAAGATAGCAGTCATGACATCTTTGATTCTTCTCATTTCCTGGCTAAATTCTGTTTCTTTACTTTGTCTAAGTTAAGATTTACATTATCTGCAGAATTAAGGCGACATTATCCACTGCTAAAAATGGCAGCAGCTATATGGTGGGAGGAGTTTGAATTGGAAGAGATTGTTGTGAGTCATCTCAACTGATCTCATTGACTGATTTTTCCTGATGATTTCTTAACTTTCTTTTACCCCAAAGGCATGATATGTGCTTTTGAGAAGGCTGGTAGATTAGATATTTAGTTGCATGCAGTGTTTCTGTTAAAGATCATAAAAGCTTATAATAGGAATCTGTAGCTTATCTCCTAGTTTAAAGAATGGCCAATGAAAAGGAGGGCTTCTGAAATAAAGGTGAGGAGCAGGCAAATGTCCTTAATATCCAAATTAAAAAACTAACTTCATACTGACAACACGACCAAGCAATTTGGACAATTAGCAAATGGCCAGTCACTTCCACAACAACAAAATCAAATTACTATCTGATTTCAGGGATCCTCTTCTTTAGAAAAATCCCTTCATATACATTCTGAGATATTCTTAAACTATTATATTTTATTTCAAAACAATTCACATTCATTCAAAAAACCCTAGCATGGCTGGGTGTGGTGGTTCACACCTGTAATCCCAGCATTTTGGGAGGCCGAGGTGGGCAGATCACCTGAGATCAGGAGTTTGAGATTAGCCTGGCCAACATGGCAAAACTCTGTCTCTACCAAAAATACAAAAATTAGCTGGGTGCAGTGGTGCGCACCTGTAATCTCAGTTACTGGGGAGGCTGAGGCATGAGAATTGCATGAACCCAGGAGGTGGAGGTTGCCGTGAGTCAAGATCGTGCCACTGCACTCCAGCCAGGGTGACAGAACAAGACTCTGTCTCAAAACAAAACAAAACAGCCCTAGTATACCACTGCATGTTAAGTTCAATATTAGATACTGTGGATACAAAGTCGAATACGACAGTTTCCAAATTCAAAAAGATCCTGTTTCCTCCGTGGGCCAACATAGCTGTATCAACAAATAATTACAGGTACAATGACACAATGGAGAAAGAGAACTTTTAATGACATCTGGGGTGGTCATGAAAGACATTGCAAGAAATAACACTTAAGCCTACTATAGTATCATTGTGTAGATATAATATTCATAAAATTATGCAGTTAAGCAAAGTTTATGTAAATGAACCAACCATACCAAAAAAAAAAAAAAAAAGCTGACCAATTTCTTTTAATTTTACATGATGGGTATTTGTTTTCATATTTATTGAATATACCTTTACTGAAAATCTTCTAAAAGCCAGATATTCACCAGGTATTAGGAGAAAGACAATAATGAGTAAAACATGATTCCTTCTCCCAGAAGTTAGAGTAAAATAGAGGACACAGATGCATACACACTAATACAAGGCCAAAGAGAGTGCAGTCTCTTGGCAAGAGAGTAGGACCAAGGGTGAGGGGAAAAGAAACTTATTCTAGATCCAGCTCAGCCTCTATTTATTCATTCAATATTTATTGAGCAAAATAAACATAATCCTTCAGGAGCTTTTACAGACCAAACACTATTACCATGAGGCTTTGAGCAGTTGCTTTCCTTTTCCAAGAGGTGCTTCACCACCTACAAAATAATGTCTTTATTTGCCCTGGTGTCCAGAATGTACATCTCTTGACATGTTATTTCATTATGGATGAACCAAGAAGGAAATGAAAGGGAAACAGTTGAGGAGAACTGAGAACTAAATTTACCGGTCTCAAAATTCTGTATTGGGCAATTTGGATTATCTCGTAGAAAGAGCTGATTCTTTAAATTCCATTCCAATGATATTGTTGACCACAAGTAGGATTAGAGAAGGGTGGGGTGGCCTTGATGTTAATAAAATTTACCAGGCATGATGGTATGGAATGATGATTTCTACCCCTAAATATATCTATATTCCAATCAGACTGCTTACAATTCCATCAATCGCTCTTCATTCTTTGGAGTCTGTAAATTATCCACGAAAATGCAGAGAAATCCACAAACCATGGGTTTTTCAATATGAATCTAGTCTCTTTTGGGTTCTAATCTGTGTCCTACATATACTGCCCTGAAGATGAAAATTGGTAAGAATTTGCTATTTGGAAAAAAATAGCAAGAAGAGCATGCCAGGCACAGGACAGAGCACAAGCAATCTTCTGAGGTGAAACATGCATGCTCTGTCCAGGTATGCTAACATACCATGTTTGGAATGGAGCTTCAATCAGGGAATAGGAGGAGACAAATAATTCGGGAAAAGAAGTGGGTCCAGATTCTGCAAGACATTAGATGTTAGGCTTAGGAGTCTTTTTTTTAAAAAAAAGTTTTGTAAGTAAGGGCCAGAAAATGTTTTGGAGAGATTAATCTGGATATGCCCTACAGGATAGGAGAGGGCAAAGAGGTATTGTCGTAAGTAACTTCCAAGACCGCATGCCAGAAGTAAATACAATAGTGTTCCATTGTATGTGTGTGCTCTATTTCATGAGCTATCAAATAGCAGGTGGTCCCTGTCTGGGGTAAATTCCCGCTCTGTGTTGGGAGACGGGGATTTGGCCCTCTGCATGACTGGACTCTGAGCCGCAAGCCTCCTGCTACCGTGAGGCAGACAGCAGGCTTGCCATAGCCATCCCTACTCCAGGTTCTTGGGTGAAAAGGCAGAGCAGGCAGGGGTCTTCCTTGCTTCACTTTTAGTGCCAAGTATCTACATATCAAGTGATATAGTCTCACATGTTACTTCCATTTCTTTAACATATTTCTTTGGAATTGAGTTTGTGAATTTAAAAAAGAGCCAGAAGTAGTTGGATGTGGCACACGACATGGTGTTGCACAACAAATTCATACCAAGAAAAACGCCACCATTATAACATTCCACCACACTTATTAGTGTATTTTTCTGCATTTTAAATAAAAATTTAATATATACATTTTTAGCTTTGTATAATGAAATAATTTTAAACTTGCAGAAGAGTTGCAAAAATAGTACAATGAATTCCATATACTCTTCCCCCATATTCCCCTAATGTTAACATTTTTACCACACTTGCTTTATCGTTCTTTTTCTACAAATATATAGAAGGGTTTTTTTTTTTTCTCTGAACTGTCTGTGAGTATGCTGTAGACATGATATCCTTTTACTCCTAAATACTTCAGGGTGTATTTCCTAAAAACAAGGATATTCTTTTAACACGACCACAGTATAATTAGCAAAATTATGAAGTTAACATTGATACAATATTAATGTTAATCTATACACTCTATTCAGATTTTGCCATTTTTTGCATTAAGGACCCTCTTGCTCTACTCTCATATGTTGGCATGGTTTGCCAATGATCTTTTCTCTGGTGAGGCCTTTTATTGTGATGGGATTCCCTTTACTTTCGGTGTCAAAATATCCTTTATTTGATGGGACAATAGTATTTTTATTTACTAGTATTTTTAAATGTTTATTACACAAAATTAAAGATGTCAATCTTATGTCATTTCTTCTTATTTTATTGATTCATTAGTCAAGTTTAAAACCACTGGCATAATTTCGCTAGTCCTCTATTGTTGGACATTTAAATTGTTTCCAGACTTTTAAAGTTCAAACACTGTGGCAGTAAGCAAACTTATATATTTATCTTTTCATTAACATGTGGTTATTTTTGTAGGATAAATCCAAGAAAATAGAGAAGATCAAAAGAAGATACATAGCTGAAAACACTTGAAGGTATAGACTACCTTGAAAGTCACGCAAGAACTGTTCTTCCTGCTTTCCATATCCAAGGTAAATACATTATCCCAATCAATCAGTTACCAGGGTTAAAAAATTGTCTGCAGATGTGAAAATACATATATATATATATGTAACCCCTGCCTCCCGACTTTCTCCAGAGATGAGCTTTTAATTGCTGTGCATTGGAGAACAATCAACTTTCCCTCTTCAGTGTCAGGGTGACACAAATTTCTGCAGGCCCAGACTCTTACTACAAATCCACTTATATCTCTTCCATCTTGGCTGCCAAAAGGGTGTTTTCCTCTGCACCTAGCATTTTGAGCAGCCTAAACAGGTCAGGGAAGCAGAGAATAGCTTCCATGTGCTCTAAATCAACTCTGAAGGTTCAGTAGAGAGGTCATCATCTTCAGCAAGTAATGTTACCTTTTCCTTTTATTTGGTTTTGGTGATGCTGTTTTCAAGGTATTTGATGAAAATATTTTCAAACTTTCTGTGTTTCCTTAGTCAGAAAACCCTTTGAAGGAGCCAATGGGAAGAGGTAAATGGCTCCAAGTTCATTTTCCAGGAAAGCAGACTTTATATCAAACAGCTGAGCACATTTCCCTTCACCACCTAGAGCTGGCTCATAATCTGAGTGAGATTTACACCTCCCTACACCAAACTGTGCATATACAATCCTAGAATTTTAGAGCTGAGTGGAGCTTTGGGCCAAACTGTGCATTTTACAGATGAGGGAAATTAGCCTCAAGAGTGGAAATGCCTCCCTCCAGGTCTCACGGTGAACCAAGGCCATGGCTCCAACAGGGTGCAGTCTCCTGGAGGTGCAGCGAATCTACTGGGATGCCAGGATGTTAGAACTTCTATTTATGTAATTTTTGAAATGATTATAGACTTCACAAGAAGCTGCCGAAAGAAAATGGAGAGGTCTCACTGCACCCTTCACCTACTTTTCCTCTGTGGTAGCATCTTGCATAACTGCAGTCTTGTTAAAACAAGGAAATGGACATCAGTACAAGCCAGAGTCTGTTTGTATTTCCCGTATTTATATGCACTTATTTGTGTGTGTGTGCTTCTATGCAACTTTTTTGCATGTGTAGAATTACATAACCACCAAGAATTGTTTATATTTTAAATTTAGAAAAGAAAGACAACTGAATGAATGTTTAATAAGTGCACGGGCACTACTGCCTATATTGCTGTTTGTATGTGCATTTGACAATTGCATGCTTTATGACACCTGAGAAATACCTCTCACCTGAGAAGAGGAGTTGAACCATGTGGCAATCTACATTTATTTTTTCTTGAACTCTCAGTGTATCGTCACATTCATCAGTTTACAAGAGCCCCATCAAGCGGATCTATGGATGATGTTATCCAGTTTCCATTAACCTAATCTTTCAAAATGGACTTCAGTGAGTTAAAATGATTTCTGCCTTAAAAAACCTCTGCAAGCAGGCCCGGCGCGGTGGCTCACGCCTGTAATCCCAGCACTTTGGGAGGCCGAGGCAGGTGGATCACAAGGTCAGGAGATCGAGACCATCCTGGCTAACATGGTGAAACTCCGTCTCTACTAAAAATCCAAAAAAAAAAAAATTAGCCAGTCGTGGTGGCGAATACCTGTAGTCCTAGCTACTCGGGAGGCTGAGGCAGGAGAATGGTGTGAACCCGGGAGGCGGAGCTTGCAGTGAGCTGAGATCGCGCCACTGCACTCCAGCCTGGGAGACACAGGGACACTCTGTCTCAAAAAAAAGAAGAAAAAGAAAACCTCTGCAAACAGTAGATTGAAGATAATACTTACGTTGCAAACACAACCAGACAACAAGGAAATGGCAGAGTTAACCCTTTCTACTCCTGGTAAAAACTCTGCCAGCCATGTGACAAGATAAAAGCAATTATCATCTAACCTGAGCTGACAGGAAGTCAACAAAGGACAAAATAACCTGTCCAGAAGATATTTTGAAAACGGATTTGTATCCATCGTTGTTTACAATGTAAATGTATATTTTGTCATGAGAAACGGAATGATGAGAGGAGGCCGCGATGATGAGTAAGACATCCTAAACATGACGACAAGCCTTTATAAAATTTTCAGCAATATTTAAAGTCATGTGATTCTCAATAAGAGACAAAATACATACCATTAAGGAAGCACTATTCCTTTTACAATGTAGCAGCAAACTAAAGCACAATCCTTTGCCCATTTATTATCTGTGACACGTTGGGTATAACATGGTGCCTTGCCCATAGGGCTGTTGGAGAACCAAGGAAGGAAAAGATGTGGACATACTATGCTTTTAAAACACTGAAGTTCTGTGCAAATACAATATTATTATTAATTATTTTAACATGAAATTTCAGAAGAAAACTCACTGAACAGGAATGTTATTATCTAACAGGCAAATATTTGAACAGATTTTTTTTTTGGTAGTCTAGGTGGAGAAATAATTATTTTGGGCAGAAAAATATGTTCAGGGGTAGCAGGATGGTAGAGTATCTCCAGACCGGGATTTCAGTGCTAACGCTGCCGTAATACAATTTTTCCAACCATCTGTTTTATCATTTGCAAAGGCAGTTAACACATAAGCCATCTCACAATGTCATTGTGAGGACTGAAGGAGACAATTATATGTAAAGAGTTTGGCATGGTGCTTGGCACACTGAAGTTTTTCAAACCACATTAGTTATCTTTCTCCTCCCTTTCTCCTTTTAAGCAGCTCCTGAAACACACTCCTGCAGAAAGCCTCCGCCCTACTAGGATTACATCCATTTCGCGTCTTCTTAACTATAATGGGATATTTTTGGAGGACTGGGCTAAGTACCCTAATTTTTTTTTTTGTTTCAGAAAACACACAGCATTTAACAGTTTTCTGCTTGCAGTGAGTGCTTAATATAGGCTTATTTGATGAATGGTTGAAATTAATTATCTCTAAAAGAGAACAAATGTGGAGCCTCAGGTCAAAGTCCTTTGGTCTCAGGATTTCAGACACTAACTGCCACTAAAGGATTACTAGAGTGTTCTCCTATCTGAACCCATAGTGGATTGATATAATAGAAGTATAATAACCTCTTTGATATGTACAGAGCATTACGGTTTCCAAAGCACTTCCACATTTATCATCTTATTTGAGCCTCACAACAAACCTTTGAGTTACTCAGGCAGCTACTACTACAGAGAAACCTTAGGCCTGGAAAAATAAAGCAGCTGACCCAAGGCTGCCAGGCCAGGCATCGGACACAATACTGGTACCAGTCACCGTTTTTTGAGCACAAGCATTGTGCCAGGTACACAAAGTACATTATTTTCTTCAGTCCTCAGAAGACCCTTGATTCAGTTCCTACTGCCACTTTAAAAACTATGCTGAGGCCAGGCTTGGTGGCTCACATCTGTAATCCCAGCACTTTGAGAGGCCGAGGTGGGTGGATCACCTGAGGTCAGGAGTTCAAGACCAGCTGGGCCAACATGGCAAAACCCCGTCTCTACTAAAAATACAAAAAAATTAGTTGAGTGTGGTGGCAGGCACCTGTAATCCCAGCTACTTGGGAGGCTGAGGCAGGAGAATTGCTTGAACCCGGGAAGCGGAGTTTGCAGTGAGCTGAGATCACACTACTGCACTTCAGCCTGGGTGACAGAGTGAGACTCTGTCTCAATAAATGAATAAATAAATAAAACAAACAAATAAATAAATAAAAACTATACTGAGACTTTGTGGCATAAAACAACAATTTCATTATGAGCATGGATTCTGTGGGTCAGATATTCAAAAAGATCACAAAAAGGACACCTTCATGATGTCTAGGGCCTTAGCTGGAAGATGCAAATGTTGGGGGCTCAACAGCTAGGGACTGGAATTGTCTGGAAGCATCTTTAGTCATGTCTGGCAGTTTGTGCTGTCTGTCTGCTTGGACTGAAGCACCTACATGTGGTCTCTCTCTGTTGCCTGGGCTTCTTAATAGCGTGGTGGCCTCAGGATGATCATATTGTTTACACAGAATCTCAGCCCTCCAAAAGCAAATGTCCCTCACCCCCCAGAAAAGGTGGAAGTTGAGTCACCTTTTGCAACCTATCTCTGAGGTCACATGTCATTCCTTTTGCTGTACTATATTGGTTATATGCAAATCACAGGCTCACCCATATTCTAGGCAAAGGACATAGATTTCACGCTTTGATGGGAAGAGAGCTTATGGAGTAGAGGAGATTTTGTGGCCATCTTTGGAAAATACAATCTGTCACACTTTAAATGGAAGGCCGAGGCAGGCGGATCACGAGGTCAGGAGATTGAGACCATCCCGGCTAACACAGTGAAACCCTGTCTCTATTAAAAAATTAGCTGGGCGTGGTGGCGGGCGCCTGTAGTCCCAGCTACTCAGGAAGCTGAGGCAGGAGAATTGCTTGAGCCCAGGAGGCGGAGGTTGCAGTGAGCCGAGATCCCGCCACTGCACTCCAGCCTGGGTGACAGAGTGAGACTCCCATTTCCAAAAAAAAAAAAGAATGGAGAAATCGAGGCTGAGAGAGGTTGAGAGACTTTCTTGAAGTCATGTAACTAATATAGTCGAGTAGCATTTCACCCAGGTGTTAGGATTTCAAAGTCGATGAGTAAAGCAAACATTGTTTATACTCAAAATTACCTTGGAAATCCTTCCATTTGTTGGTATAGTGCTTGTGGTTCCGCATAAGCAACAGGTCCTTGTGCATCATCCCATGCTCCCTGGGGTACATCTGCTAACTGAATGAAATGATGGGCAGAATCCTGTGCACTATTTAAATTGTTATCTCACTTTTCAGAGTGTTAATGTTTAAATTCCCATAGGTGTGATACATTTCAAAAAGTGGATTTAGTATTTGACCAAGCTTGGTCTAACTCCCAAGCCCAATCTCTCTTTACACTTCTTGCTGCCTATAAACCACCTCTAGAAGGCTGAAAAAGAGATCACTTTCAGGTCCATCTAGGTCAGTCTCACTGTCACATGGAGTGGGCAGGGAGTCACTGGAACCAGGCCTGAGTTTGCAATTCAGATGTGATTTTCAGGCTTTGTCACTGGCTTGGCTTCCACGTGTCTAAACCTTGTTTGTGTTGAAGCTACATTTATTAATGAGCATTTGGACAGCCACCTCCCTCTTCCCTGTTGTCTCTTCTCAGGTCTTCATGGAAATGGGCAGTAGGTGAACTGAGACTTGAAAATGAGTAAAATGTCAATAGATAGAGATAAGGGCATTTGAGGTACACTGAACAGCATAAGCAAAGGCATGGCAATGGGAAAGTGTAGAATGCATTCAGGGACTGGTGAGCAATGCAGAGCTAGTCATATTTGCTGGGGATAGATCACAGAGGTCCTACAACACCCAGCTAAAGACTTGATTCTAGAGTTAATGATGTAGGAAAAGTAATCTGGTCTGCTATGCATTTTAGCAGTAATACTTTGGAGACAGAATGGAGGAGAATTTGTACAGGAGAGTGAGGCTTGAGGGAAGGAGACTGGTTGGGATCATACTGGTGTAGAGAAGTAAATGCCTGCCTCTGGTTAAGGTCAAGGTGTCTGAGTAGGGAAATGTAGGGTCTTTGCCCATGATCTTTACAACAGGTTTGGTACCAATAAGGAACTAGGTAGGCCTCTAGAGTTAATAGGGCAAATGACCACTAAAATGGCATGACTCAGCTCTAATGCCCAGATAAATCTCCCCTTCTAGGCCTCAGCACCTGAAGTTTCCAATTTGATAACTTGACCACATCTTCCCATGTGGTTTTCTCCTACTCCACCCCCATCACTCCCACCAAAGTACCCACAATCATGAATCTTTTACTCATTATTCCCTTACTTTAATTTTTGCATAGTTTTATCCCATCTATGTGTATTATTTTAAAAGTATATTTTATTAATGTTGTTCTTAACATTTCTGAAAAGGGCATCATGCACAATTAATTTTTATATTTTCACTTTTTAACTAAAATTATATTATGAAGACTCATCCATAGCGTTGCTTGTTGTTGTAGTTCATTTAATTTTTACTGCTGTTATACTCCTCTGTGTGAATGTACCATAACTTATGTGTCACCTCTCCTGTTGATGGGATTTTTGTTAGGTTCATTAATACGCATAGTACTGCTATGAACATCCTTATTTATATTTTCTAGTATATGTACACAAATATTTCTTTTAAGCATAGTCAGAGAAATAAAATTCCAAGGTCATGGAGTCCATAAATGTTCAATTTCACGAGATAATAATTAAGCTGTTTTTTCTTAGTGGTTTTACAGCACTTCCAGTTCCAGCTATGACTAACCTTCTCACCAAAAACAATTATTAAAATTGGTCAAAGTCTTTGAAAGCATGGGGAGAAACCAAATCAGGCAAGAGTGAAGGCGTTACTATCACTGAATAAGGGAGGCACACACGGTGATCTCCATGCAGCTTTTTCCTTGCTTACACATTTGAAACCATGGTGGAGGGGATTGGGGCCCAAGAAGAAGGAAGTGTTCTTACTGGGCTGAGGACCAGAGGCCAGTATTTGGGGTTGCCAAGGTAGCTGAATCTTCAAGGGGAAAGTCCTGAAGAGAAGAGAAGCACAGCAAGAGACCCAAAAATTGGCTGGAAACTTTCCTTTGAGTCACTGCCTGACTCCTAATGTACATATGCACAGATGAACCCATCAGATACAGAAAAACAGCAACTAAGAGACCAAAGAGCTAAGCTGAGATGTCAGCAGCATGAGGTGCTTCAGGTACAGAAGTTGGAGTGGATGGGCCTTGGCAAACAGCTCAGACATTCAGTTTCACCCCAAGAAGCACCACAATGTAGAAGGGAAGACAACACTTGAGGAGTAAGACTATATATCTGAGTATTTTTTATCATGCCTTCCCATTTGATTGAAGATTTAGTTGGATATTTTTGTATACTTCTGCAAAAGATGTCTTCTTTCAAAATGATGTCTTCTGGTTGTTTATTGCTAATATAGGAAGGATACAATTGCAAATACAATTGACTTACATAAATTAATCTTATATCCAGTCACCTTGCTTAACTACTGTTACTTTTAATACTTTACTGGTGGATTATTTTGAGTTTTCTAAGAAAAAAATTCTATCATCTGTAAATAATGGCAATTTTATTTCCTCCTCACCAATCTTTAAGCCTCTAATTCCCTTTTCTTTTCTTTTCTTATTTTACTGACAATATTTAGTTTAATGGTGAATTATTTTTATGGATTTTCTAATATTATCTTCATCTACCACTGAGTAAGCTCAATGAGATATATGACCTTTAACATGCATGATTGGATTTGATTCACTGAAACTTTCTTTAAAATTTTTACATCTATAGTAATAAGTGGCATAGCTGCATTAACTTTTTTTATAGCTCTTTGCTGATTTTGGTATAAAGTTTGTGATCTTCATATTATCTGATAATACTCTATCAATATCAGTTTAATTTTATTCTATTTTCCTGATTAATAATTTCCTATCATTTTACATTCATCCTTTGCATGTATTTTGCTTTAGAATATGTGTAGTGAATGGTAATATTTGAATTTTATTTTTTATTTGGTGAGTTAGCTCATTTACAGTAATAGTAGTTATTCATATTTAGGACTTTTACTCTGTTCATTTGTTATTTCAATCTGTCACACTTTTCAGTGATTTTTATTGCTTTGTTTATTTTTTAAAAGTTGTCTTTGTTTTCTCTCATATAAGGACTTTAATAAACTCTAATGATCCTCAGCCTCCTCTAGCTCTATCATGTTGAGTTCATCTAGACTTTTAATTCTTTGTTTTTGTAGATATGCTTTCTCTTTCTCTTTTCTTTGGTCTCAGCTATTTTTTAAGACAATCCCAAACTTCACAAAGATATTTGGTCACCTTTATTTCACATATCTCTTGTATTGTTCCTTCAATTTGTTTCTACTTTATATATGTCATTGAAAAATGCTTTACACATACATCTTTGGGCATGAAATGAGACTGTACATCTTGGGTGTTTTTTTTTTATCATGCCTTCACATTTGAACGAAGGTGTAGCTGGATATGAAATTCTGTACTTTCAAAATTTTGATAACACTTCTCTATTATCTTCTTGCATTCTTGCTTGCTGCTGAAAAATCTGATATCATTATTCTTTTTTCTTTGAAGGTGATTTGCTCTCTCTGTTTGCAAGCATTTACAATTTTCCGTTGTCTCTGATATTGTTAAATTTCAGCAAAATTTATATCTGGGAGTATGTTTCTCCTTATCTCTTCTCGTTCTTGCTCTCTGTGGGTCTTTTCAACTTGAGGTCTTTTATGTTTTGTTAATTCTGGAGGAATTATCTCCATTATTCCTTCAAATATTTCCTTCTCTCCATTTACAACTATTTTTTTTCTTTCTAGGACTGCTTTTGCCTTTTATATCTTGACTTTTACATTTTCTATTTTTAAAATAATTTTCTGCTAAGTAAAATTCCTCAAGCTGATCTCTTAGTTCACGAACTTATTCCTCAGCTAAATCTTTTCTACTAGTTATCACCATTATCTTAACTATTATATTTGTCACACCTAAATTTTTACTTGATTTTTTTTTTTATTACTATACTTTAAGTTTTAGGGTACATGTGCACATTGTGCAGGTTAGTTACATATGTATACATGTGCCATGCTGGTGCGCTGCACCCACTAACTTGTCATCTAGCATTAGGTATATCTCCCAGTGCTATCCCTCTCCCCTCCCCCCACCCCACAACAGTCCCCAGAGTGTGATATTCCCCTTCCTGTGTCCATGTGATCTCATTGTTCAATTCCCACCTATGAGTGAGAATATGTGGTGTCTGGTTTTTTGTTCTTGCGATAGTTTACTGAGAATGATGATTTCCAATTTCATCCATGTCCCTACAAAGGACATAAACTCATCATTTTTTATGGCTGCATAGTATTCCATGGTGTATATGTGCCACATTTTCTTAATCCAGTCTATCATTGTTGGACATTTGGGTTGGTTCCAAGTCTTTGCTATTGTGAATAATGCCGCAATAAACATACGTGTGCATGTGTCTTTATAGCAGCATGATTTATAGTCCTTTGGGTACATACCCAGTAATGGGATGGCTGGGTCAAATGGTATTTCCAGTTCTAGATCCCTGAGGAATCGCCACACTGACTTCCACAATGGTTGAACTAGTTTACAGTCCCACCAACAGTGTAAAAGTGTTCCTATTTCTCCACATCCTCTCCAGCACCTGTTGTTTCCTGACTTTTTAATGATTGCCATTCTAACTGGTGTGAGATGGTATCTCATTGTGGTTTTGATTTGCATTTATTTCTCTGATGGCCAGTGATGATGAGCATTTTTTCATGTGTTTTTTGGCTGCATAAATGTCTTCTTTTGAGAAGTGTCTGTTCATGTCCTTCGGCCACTTTTTGATGGGGTTGTTTGTTTTTTTCTTGTAAATTTGTTTGAGTTCATTGTAGATTCTGGATATTAGCCCTTTGTCAGATGAGTAGGTTGTGAAAATTTTCTCCCATTCTGTAGGTTGCCTCTTCACTCTGATGGTAGTTTCTTTTGCTGTGCAGAAGCTCTTTAGTTTAATTAGATCCCATTTGTCAATTTTGGCTTTTGTTGCCATTGCTTTTGGTGTTTTAGACATGAAGTCCTTGCCCATGCCTATGTCCTGAATGGTAATGCCTAGGTTTTCTTCTAGGGTTTTTATGGTTTTAGGTCTAACGTTTAAGTCTTTAATCCATCTTGAATTGATTTTTGTATAAGGTGTAAGGAAGGGATCCAGTTTCAGCTTTCTACATATGGCTAGCCAGTTTTTCCAGCACCATTTATTAAATAGGGAATCCTTTCCCCATTGCTTGTTTTTCTCAGGTTTGTCAAAGATCAGATAGTTGTAGATATGCGGCGTTATTTCTGAGGGCTGTGTTCCGTTCCATTGATCTATATCTCTGTTTTGGTACCAGTACCATGCTGTTTTGGTTACTGTAGCCTTGTAGTATAGTTTGGAGTCAGGTAGTGTGATGCCTCCAGCTTTGTTCTTTTGGCTTAGGATTGACTTGGCGATGCGGGCTCTTTTTTGCTTCCATATGAACTTTAAAGTAGTTTTTTCCAATTCTGTGAAGAAAGGCATTGGTAGCTTGATGGGGATGGCATTGAATCTGTAAATTACCTTGGGCAGTATGGCCATTTTCACGATATTGATTCTTCCTACCCATGAGCATGGAATGTTCTTCCATTTGTTTGTATCCTCTTTTATTTCCTTGAGCAGTGGTTTGTAGTTCTCCTTGAAGAGGTCCTTCACGTCCCTTGTAAGTTGGATTCCTAGGTATTTGATTCTCTTTGAAGCAATTGTGAATGGGAGTTCACTCATGATTTGGCTCTCTGTTTGTCTGTTGTTGGTGTATAAGAATGCTTGTGATTTTTGTACATTGATTTTGTATCCTGAGACTTTGCTGAAGTTGCTTATCAGCTTAAGGAGATTTTGGGCTGAGACAATGGGGTTTTCTAGATATACAATCATGTCGTCTGCAAACAGGGACAATTTGACTTCCTCTTTTCCTAATTGAATACCCTTTATTTCCTTCTCCTGCCTAATTGCCCTGGCCAGAACTTCCAACACTATGTTGAATAGGAGTGGTGAGAGAGGGCATCCCTGTCTTGTGCCAGTTTTCAAAGGGAATGCTTCCAGTTTTTGCCCATTCAGTATGATATTGGCTGTGGGTTTGTCATAGATAGCTCTTATTATTTTGAAATACGTCCCATCAATACCTAATTTATTGAGAGTTTTTAGCATGAAGGGTTGTTGAATTTTGTCAAAGGCTTTTTCTGCATCTATTGAGATAATCATGTGGTTTTTGTCTTTGGCTCTGTTTATATGCTGGATTACATTTATTGATTTGCGTATATTGAACCAGCCTTGCATCCCAGGGATGAAGCCCACTTGATCATGGTGGATAAGCTTTTTGATGTGCTGCTGGATTCGGTTTGCCAGTATTTTATTGAGGATTTTTGCATCAATGTTCATCAAGGATATTGGTCTAAAATTCTCCTTTTTTGTTGTGTCTCTTCCTGGCTTTGGTATCAGAATGATGCTGCCCTCATAAAATGAGTTAGGGAGGATTCCCTCTTTTTCTATTGATTGGAATAGTTTCAGAAGGAATGGTACCAGTTCCTCCTTGTACCTCTGGTAGAATTTGGCTGTGAATCCATCTGGTCCTGGACTCTTTTTGGTTGGTAAGCTATTGATTATTGCCACAATTTCAGATCCTGTTATTGGTCTATTCAGAGATTCAACTTCTTCCTGGTTTAGTCTTGGGAGAGTGTATGTGTTGAAGAATTTATCCATTTCTTCTAGACTTTCTAGTTTATTTGCATAGAGGTGTTTGTAGGATTCTCTGATGGTAGTTTGTATTTCTGTGGGATCGGTGGTGATATCCCCTTTATCATTTTTTATTGCGTCTATTAGATTCTTCTCTCTTTTTTTCTTTATTAGTCTTGCTAGCGGTCTATCAATTTTGTTGATCCTTTCAAAAAACCAGCTCCTGGATTCATTAATTTTTTGAAGGGTTTTTTTGTGTCTCTATTTCCTTTAGTTCTGCTCTGATTTTAGTTATTTCTTGCCTTCTGCTAGCTTTTGAATGTGTTTGCTCTTGCTTTTCTAGTTCTTTTAATTGTGATGTTAGGGTGTCAATTTTGGATCTTTCCTGCTTTCTCTTGTGGGCATTTAGTGCTATAAATTTCCCTCTACACACTGCTTTGAGTGCGTCCCAGAGATTCTGGTATGTTGTGTCTTTGTTCTCATTGGTTTCATAGAACATCTTTATTTCTGCCTTCATTTCATTATGTACCCAGTAGTCATTCAGGAGCAGGTTGGTCAGTTTCCATGTAGTTGAGCGGTTTTGAGTGAGATTCTTAATCCTGAGTTCTAGTTTGATTGCACTGTGGTCTGAGAGATAGTTTGTTACAATTTCTGTTCTTTTACATTTGCTGAGGAGAGCTTTACTTCCAAGAATGTGGTCAATTTTGGAATAGGTGTGGTGTGGTGCTGAAAAAAATGTATATTCTGTTGATTTGGGGTGGAGAGTTCCGTAGATGTCTATTAGGTCCGCTTGGTGCAGAGCTGAGTTCAATTCCTGGTTATCCTTGTTGACTTTCTGTCTTGTTGATCTGTCTAATGTTGACAGTGGGGTGTTAAAGTCTCCCATTATTAATGTGTGGGAGTCTAAGTCTCTTTGTAGGTCACTCAGGACTTGCTTTATGAATCTGGATGCTCCTGTATTGGGTGCATATATATTTAGGATAGTTAGCTCTTCTTGTTGAATTGATCCCTTTACCATTATGTAATGGCCTTCTTTGTCTCTTTTGATCTTTGTTGGTTTAAAGTCTGTTTTATCAGAGGCTAGGATTGCAACCCCTGCCTTTTTTTGTTTTCATTTGCTTGGTAGATCTTCCTCTATCCTTTGATTTTGAGCCTATGTGTGTCTCTGCACGTGAGATGGGTTTCCTGAATACAGCACACTGATGGGTCTTGACTCTTTATCCAATTTGCCAGTCTGTGTCTTTTAATTGAAGCATTTAGTCCATTTACATTGAAAGTTAATATTGTTATGTGTGAATTTGATCCTGTCATTATGATGTTAGCTGGTTATCTTGCTTGTTAGTTGATGCAGTTTCTTCCTAGTCTCGATGGTCTTTACATTTTGGCATGATTTTGCAGTGGCTGGTACCGGTTGTTCGTTTCCATGTTTAGCGCTTCCTTCAGGAGCTCTTTTAGGGCAGGCCTGGTGGTGACAAAATCTCTCAGCATTTGCTTGTCTGTAAAGTATTTTATTTCTCCTTCACTTATGAAGCTTAGTTTGGCTGGATATGAAATTCTGGGTTGAAAATTCTTGTCTTTAAGAATGTTGAATATTGGCCCCCACTCTCTTCTGGCTTGTAGGGTTTCTGCCAAGAGATCTGCTGTTAGTCTGATGGGCTTCCCTTTTAGGGTAACCCGACCTTTCTCTCTGGCTGCCCTTAACATTTTTTCCTTCATTTCAACTTTGGTGAATCTGACAATTATGTGTCCTGGAGTTGCTCTTCTCGAGGAGTATCTTTGTGGCGTTCTCTGTATTTCCTGAATCTGAACGTTGGCCTGCCTTGCTAGATTGGGGAAGTTCTCCTGGATAATATCCTGCAGAGTGTTTTCCAACTTGGTTCCATTCTCCCCATCACTTTCAGGTACACCAATCAGACGTAGATTTGGTCTTTTCACATAGTCCCATATCTCTTGGAGGCTTTGCTCATTTCTTTTTATTCTTTTTTCTCTAAACTTCCCTTCTCACTTCATTTCATTCATTTCATCTTCCATCACTGATACCCTTTCTTCCAGTTGATCGCATCGGCTCCTGAGGCTTCTGCATTCTTCACGTAGTTCTCGAGCCTTGGTTTTCAGCTCCATCAGCTCCTTTAAGCACTTCTCTGTATTGGTTATTCTACTTATACATTCTTCTAAATTTTTTTCAAAGTTTTCAACTTCTTTGCCTTTGGTTTGAATGTCCTCCCGTAGCTCAGAGTAATTTGATCGTCTGAAGCCTTCTTCTCTCAGCTCGTCAAAGTCATTCTCCATCCACCTTTGTTCCATTGCTGGTGAGGAACTGCGTTCCTTTGGAGGAGGAGAGGCGCTCTCCTTTTTAGAGTTTCCAGTTTTCCTGTTCTGTTTTTTCCCCATCTTTGTGGTTTTATCTACTTTTGGTCTTTGATGATGGTGATGTACAGATGGGTTTTTGGTGTGGATGTCCTTTCTGTTTGTTAGTTTTCCTTCTAACAGACAGGACCCTCAGCTGCAGGTCTGTTGGAATACCCTGCCGTGTGAGGTGTCAGTGTGCCCCTGCAGGGGGGTGCCTCCCAGTTAGGCTGCTCGGGGGTCGGGGTCAGGGACCCACTTGAGGAGACAGTCTGCCTGTTCTCAGATCTGCAGCTGCATGCTGGGAGAACCACTGCTCTCTTCAAAGCTGTCAGACAGGGACATTTAAGTCCTCAGAAGTTACTGCTGTCTTTTTGTTTGTCTGTGCCCTGCCCCCAGAGGTGGAGCCTACAGAGGCAGGCAGGCCTCCTTGAGCTGTGGTGGGCTCCACCCAGTTCGAGCTTCAGGGCTGCTTTGTTTACCTAATCAAGCCTGGGCAGTGGCGGGCGCCCCTCCCCCAGCCTCGCTGCCACCTTGCAGTTTGATCTCAGACTGCTGTGCTAGCAACCAGCGAGACTCCGTGGGCGTAGGACCCTCCGAGCCAGGTGTGGGGTATAATCTCGTGGTGCGCCGTTTTTTAAGCCCGTCGGAAAAGCGCAGTATTCGGGTGGGAGTGACCCGATTTTCCAGGTGCCGTCCGTCACCCCTTTCTTTGACTCGGAAAGGGAACTCCCTGACCCCTTGCGCTTCCCAAGTGAGGCAATGCCTCGCCCTGCTTCGGCTCGCGCACGGTGTGCGCAACCACTGACCTGCGCCCACTGTCTGGCACTCCCTAGTGAGATGAACCCGGTACCTCAGATGGAAATGCAGAAATCACCCGCCTTCTGCCTCGCTCCCGCTGGTAGCTGTAGACCGGAGCTGTTCCTATTCGGCCATCTTGGCTCCTCCCCCCATGCTTGATTCTTTTTATGGTTTATTGTTTTCATTTCATATTGCTAACATTATACCTTATTTAAAAATATGCATATGTAAATTTTTAATCTGTCTGTTCTAACACCTCTGGTTTCTATGGAATCTGTAATTCAGTTTGTTGGTTTTTCTTTTTTTTTTCTTTTTCTTCTTTTAAATTATACTTTAAGTTCTGGGATACATGTGCAGAATGTGCAGGTTTGTTACCTAGGTATCTACACATGTACCATGGTGGTTTACTGCACCCATCAACCTGTCATCTACATTAGGTATTTCTCCTAATGCTTTCCCTCCCCTAGCCCCTCACCCCCTGACAGGCCCCAGTGTGTGATGTTCCCCTCCTGTGTCCATGTGTTCTCATTGTTCAACTCCCATTTATGAGTGAGATCATGCAGTGTTTGGTTTTCTGTTCCTGTGTTAGTTTGCTGAGAATGATGGTTTCCAGCTTCATCCATGTTCGTGTAAAGGGCATGAACTCATCCTTTTTTGTGACTGCATAGTATTCCATGGTGTATATGTGCCACATTTTCTTTATCCAGTATATCATTGATGGTCATTTGGGTGGGTTCCAAGTCTTTGCTATTGTGAATAGGGCTGCAGTAAACATATGTGTGCATGTGTCTTTATAGCAGAATGATTTATAATCCTTTGGGTGTATACCCAGTAATGGGATTGCTGGGTCAAATGGTATTTCTGTTTCCAGATCCTTGAGGAATCACCACACTATCTTCTACAATGGTTGAACTAATTTACACTCCCACCAACAGTGTAAAAGCATTTCTATTTCTCCACATCCTCTCCAGCATCTGTTGCTTCCTGACTTTTTAATGATTGCCATTCTAACTGACTTGAGATGGTAACTCACTGTGGTTTTGATTTGCATTTCTGTAGTGACCAGTGATGATGAGCTTTTTTTTTCTTATGTTTGTTGGCTGCATAAATGTCTTCTTTTGAGAAGTGTCTGTTCATGTCCTTTGCCCATTTTTTGATGGAGTTGTTTGTTTTTTTCTCATAAATTTGTTTAAGTTGTAGATTCTGGATATTAGCCCTTTGTCAGATGGATAGATCGCAAAAATTTTCTCCCATTCCGTAGGTTGCCTGTTCACTCTGATGGTAGTTTCTTTTGCTGCACAGAAGCTCTTTAGTTTAATTAGATCCCATTTGTTTATTTTGGCTTTTGTTGCCTTTGCTTTTGGTATTTTAGTCATGAAGTCTTTGCTCATGCCTATGTCATGAATGGTATTGCCTAGGTTTTCTTCTAGGGTTTTTATGGTTTTAGGTCTTATGTTTAAGTCTTTAATCCATCTTTAGTTAATTTTTGTAGAAGGTGTAAGGAAGGGGTCCAGTTTCAGTTTTCTGCATATGGCTAGCCAGTTTTCCCAACACCACTTATTAAATAGGGAATCCTTTCCCCATTGCTTGTTTTTGTCAGGTTTTTCAAAGATCAGATGGTTGTAGATGTGTGGTGTTATTTCTGAGGCCTCTGTTCTGTTCCATTGGCCTATATATCTGTTTTGGTACCAGTACCATGCTGTTTTCATTACCGTAGCTTTGTAGTATAGTTTGAAGTCAGGTAGCATGATGCCTCTGTTTTGATCTTTTGGCTTAGGATTGTCTTGGCTATATGGGCTCTTTTTTGGTTCCATATGAAATTTAAAGTAGTTTTTTTTTTTCTAATTCTGAGAAGAAAGTCAATGGTAGCTTGATGGGGATAGCATTGAATCTATAAATTACTTTGGGCAGTATGGCCATTTTCATGATATTGATTCTTCCTATCTATGAGCATGGAATGCTTTTCCATTTGTTTATGTCCTCTCTTATTTCCTTGAGCAGTAGTTTGTAGCTGTCCTTGAAGAGTCCTTCACAACCCTTGTAAGCTGTATTCTTAGGTATTTTATTCCCTTTGTAGCAATTGTGAATGGGAGTTCACTCATGATTTGGCTCTCTGTTTGTCTATTATTGGTATATAGGAATGCTTGTGATTTTTGCACATTGATTTTGTATCCTGAGACTTTGCTGAAGTTGCTTATCAGCTTAAGGAGATTTTGGGCTGAGACAATGGGGTTTTCAAATAGACATTCATGTCATCTGGAAACAGAGAGCATTTGACTTCCTCTCTTCCCATTTGAATACCCTTTATTTCTTTCTCTTGCCTGGTTGCCCTGGACAGAACTTCCAATACTATGCTGAATAGGAGTGGTGAGGGAGGGCATCCTTGTCTTCTGCCGGTTTTCAAAGGGAATGCTTCCAGCTTTTGCCATTCAGTATGATATTGGCTGTGGCTGTGTCATAAATAGCTCTTATTGCATTGAGATAAATTTTGACTTAGTGATCTCCTCATTCACTAAGTCATTTCTCAACAGAATCTTTTCTACTAGTTATCATCATTATCTTAACTATTATATTTGTCACACCTAAATTTATACTTGATTCCTTTTTTTTTTTTTTTTTGAAATGGAGTCTCACTCTGAGACCCAGGCTGGAGTGCAGTGGCACGATCTCGGCTCACTGCAACCTCTGCCTCCCAGGTTCAAGCAATTCCCTTGCCTCAGCCTCCCAAGTAGCTGGGATTACAGGTGCACACCAACATGCCCAGCTAATTTTTGTATTTTTAGTAGACACAGGGTTTCACCATGTGGGTCAGGCTGGTCTCGAACTCCTACCTCAGGTGATCCACCAGCCTCAGCCTCCCAAAGTGCTGGGATTACAGGCGTGAGCCACCACGCCCGGCCTATACTTGATTCTTTTTATGATTTCTTGTTTTCATTTCATATTGCTAATATTATACCTTATTTAAAAATATGCATACATAAATTTTTAATCTGTCCATTCTAATACCTCTGGTTTCTATGGAATCTATAATTCAAGTTGTTGGTTTTCCTTTTTCTTTCTTTTTTAAAAAAATTAGTGCTTCTCTTTAGATCCAGCTTCCATTTCTTTAGGGTATAGATTATTCTGTCCAGCAATGCCAATGACTGAAGGGTTGAAGGTCAAACTTCCGTCTGCACTGACCTGCCTTGATGAGTTTGAGATGGGGATAGAGCGAAGCATGCACCTAGAGTGGTGGGTTTCAGGCATCAGGAAACCAGAGTATATCACTCCTCATCCACCACACAGCTCCTCAGATGTATTCTTTACTTTAGAAAGAACTAGCATCCGGGAAAGGCGATGGTAATCCACCAGCCCTGGCGGTTTAGAGGGAGAGAGTTGGGCAGTGACCACCTGTGGCCCATCCATCATTGTCTATTTTTTTTCTCACTCCCACCCAGGCACAGGGCTTCCACACTACCCTAGTTTTACATCCCAGGAGCACTTGTTCAAGAGTTCTAAGCTCGTGCCGTGTCTGTCCCAAAACAGTGAGAGTGAGAGGGAGGAGAAATGAAGTCTAAGAAGCAACAGCTTTTATTTCATCCTTCTACAGCAGCCTGGATACCTTTTGCTTTAGGCTAAGACCTTTCCAGATACACATACTTGACAGTTAAAAAGAGTTTCTGTCTCCCCAGGGGTTCCTCATAGCTCTCTCTACCTCTCAGTGTTTTTCTCTATAGTTCCCTAGAGCTGCTAAGTCAGCTATTTCAGCATCTTCTTTGGAATTCCACTTGACTTTTCCTTCTTACAGGCTACATGCTGTCTTTCCCCATCTGCCTTCCTTTAAAACATAGGTATCCCTGGGATGGCAGCACGCTGAGTGCCGCTGTCAGCAGGTGCACTGGGTCAGCTCTCCTTATGAACTGGAAGAGGGATGAGTGCCTAGGGTAAATGGAAGGAGAACTGACCAGAAGTTAGGATGGGGCTTGTGTCTCATTCAGTCCCAGACTTGCTGGGTGGCTTTAGACAAGTCGCTTCACTTCCCTAAGCCTCAATATTCTCTTCTGAAAAGTCAAGTGAATAATAACACCCACCTCATTGGGCTGATGAAAGATTCAGATGAGAAATTGGATGTGAAAGGACTTTGAAACTGTAACATGAGGTGATTTTATTGATCATCTGGAGGCAGGGAAAGAAGCCTTGGGGTAGGTGAAAATTCACTTTGCCAACCTCAAAATTGCACTAAGTGTTGGCCCTGTTAAAAAAGCCTGATGCAACTGAACATTCCCTTAATATAGAGAATGACGAATCTGTATTTGTTGCCAGAGTTGTCACATTCTTCCAAGAGTGCAGACTTTTATGGGCCCCTGGAAGCTCCGCCGGGGTCTATTTCTGAGGATGGGAACATTGTGCTTCGTTGGCAGGCTTCTTAAACCAAGGCCTCTTGTGGTCATTGAAGAATCTGGGTCTGCCTTTTCAATGTTGGGGTCAAGGTATTAGATCCAGTCAGCCAATGTTCGCTGATTTGGATTCACAGCTTCTGCTAAACTTGGTGCATTTTGCTTCTTTGTTTGATGGGGGTCTTTTTCTAGTCTTGTTAGATGACTGAGAAGTGGGAAAATAGAATGGAGCTGGTCCAAATCAAAGACAAGTAGCAGAGGTGGAAATGAATAAGAATAATGTGTTCTCTGGGAATTTATACAAGGACAAGGCTAATGAGACTTTGTTTTCAATTACTTAAAATGTAGTTTGTCATTGAAAAGATGATGTAATGTCTTTAAAACAGAAAACAAGCCAGAATCCCACACCATATCCAACTATTTGTATTTTTGCACATTCTTATCTATTTCTTGTCTTTTCATCATGCATGCATAATGTATATTTCATTTTATGGCCTGAATTTTTTTCACTTAACATTACATAATAAGCATTTTCCTTTTAAAGTTTGCATTTTCATGACTAGCTAATATAATTTTTGATGCTGTTTTATAATTAATAATGCCATTCCCTTACTTGAGACCTTGGAGTTGTCTTTAACTTTTTGTTTATTTGCTTGCTTTTTTGCTATTGTAGTGTCATGAACATCTTTGTACATTTTGCTTTTTGCTGTTATTGAGTTATTACCTTTGCATAAATTCCAAAATTCCTAACAGTGACATGGCTGGGAAATTATGTCTAGGCATCTTTATGACTCTTGTATTCTATTTTCAAAAAACAAAAAAAAAACATCTTTCAAGCATTCACTGTTTGCTCAAAGATTTTTCTACTTTAATATGTAAGTGTTTCAAATTTGTTTTCTTTTGTACTTTACTGTTTAACAGCAAAGTTTAATGCTTTCCATGTGTTTTGGGTTTCTTTAAATCATATTATTAAAATTAAAAAATATTCTGCCATATGTTTTCAGAATTTTTTGAAAACACCCAAGAAAATATCCCAAAAAATATTTCCTAAGGAGTTCACATTTCCAAATTAATCAGCTATAAGTGCTTTGTGGCCACAAAGCAAACAGAAGTGTCAAGCTAATTTGTCTTTCATTTATCTCATTAAGTGACTCTCATGTGTAATTCAAGTCCTGTCAGCAGTGTTTTAAGGAATATTGAAAAAAGACAGGGACATTACCCCCCAAAAGTTTCCATTCCAGTAAAGTTATTATCATATGACTGACCAGCCTTCAAAAATTGCTCAGTGTTGTAAGAAAAGGACAGAATAAGAGCTATGGGATTCAGAGAATGGGGAGATTATTTCCAGCTTGAGTGACAGAATGTGAAGAGTCAGAGAAGGCTTATTGGAGGAAATTGTATCTGAGCTGAATGAATAGGATGTGAGGTAGGGCCTATCTTAGGGTAGCAGAGGGAAGTGAGCTGGTGAGAATCTTTTGCCCATCTTATGTGAGGGAGCTCTTGACATTTTAACTGTCTTCTAAATTGTAGCCACTCCTTTCCAGATTGGGAAATGGAGTGAGGCAGCGATGACCAATTCATGGTCACATGAAAGGGACAGTTCACATGAAAGGGACAGGTTTCCACATAATGCGGCTTAAAAAAAAAAAAAACTTGAAGAAAACAAAAAGGGGCCAGTTTCAACTGACTCCATATAGGTCTTTCAACTTTCCATTTTGAAAGACCTATAATTCGCAATGAAGTTTATTACCTTCCAATCCCTTCTATAACTTGGCAGACAAAGAAATCGAGGTATTATTTGTTGCCCTGGAATAGACACATAAGGCTACTTGCTACTGGATGCGAATAGTCCAGAACCCTGGCTGTTCTGTTCCTGCTGATTGATGGTTCAGGAGGCTGAAAGGATCAAGATCTGGGCACTCTTAGGACCCACTGGGCAAACACTACATGGAAAGTTCTGCAGGTAGGTAAAGATGATTAATAAAAACAGTTTCCAGACCTAATCAGCGTGATATATAATAAATGAATTGGGCATTGAGACTGGTAAAGAAAAAAAATTATTATGGCCCTTGATTGGTCCTACCGTCACCACGCTGTCTACCATAAGATAGAGAATTTTTAGTGTTACACAGAAAATAACATAATACAACTCTGAAATTTTGATCATTTGTGTGATCAGATAAGTTGTGTTTTGCATTATCATTCAAAGAGCAAAAGCCTTCACTAGCACTCTTTTTTCCACCTACAACAGAAGTTGTCTCAACAATAGCTTAGACATCGATTAGAATAATAGGTTTGAAGGTACCTTAGGCGCTTCTAATCCACTCTTTTTCCCAGTGAAAGAATCCTTTCCATAGTTTTTCTGATAAGCCACTGGCACCCACTAACAACCCAAGCCTGAAAAGCATCCAAAGACCGGATATTTACCTATGAAACATGTTATGGACCAGTTGATGATAATAATGTTTTGCACTTACCTGATGATGTCATTTCAGTAGGTTCAAAACAAGGGATCAAATAATACTCCCATGCCAAGCAGGCAGAAAGGTAGCAAATAGATTTCTTAGAATCCTCATTTCACAAATAGAGCAATTTAGTTTACGTATTTGCTGATTTATTTAACCCCTATCTCGTTTCAGAATTGTTTCAAGTAGACAGGGTACTTTGGTTTCTGGATTCAATAGCGGTTGAAAGGTTAGAAAACAGTTTAAAAGAAGGGAAGCTCTTTGCATAATAGAGAAAAATAGATTTGCATGAATATATTTTGTAAAAGTTGCACAATTGGGTGCAATGCTTCTGTAGAAAAATTCCTGAAAACATTCAGTGCACCACTGTACTTATTATATTAAAAATTCTAGCAGCTGTGCTTTTCTTCTAAATTAAGGAAATAAAGGAGTATCATGAGCTAATGCCACATCAAAGTGGCATGTTTCAACACTTCAACATCATGTGTTGCCAGAGTCAAGTTTTCCAGGAGCCCTGGCTCACCCCTCTGTTCCTGGAGGCAGATGTTGGAGTGGTCACTCCAGGGCAGCGGCAGTCAGAATTTCTTGGTTCTCCTTCCAGATTGTGGCGAGGTACTGGATATGCTTTTTCCCACCTTAGTTAGTTTCTCTGGCAAATCCCTTTGCCATGTAAAGGGATCATGGTCAAATGGACACATTTGAAAGGTTGCCATGTGGAAAAGGAGCATAGGCCTATTCTGCATGATCCCAGAGGATACAACTAAGACTGACAAGATAGTCCCTGCTGCAAAGAGATGGATTTGGACTTTATATAAACTATGAGGAAAATAAGTCTTCTTAACTATTTAACACTTACAGGATAAACAACCTCATTTGACCTCATTTGCACTATTTAATTTAATTTAATTATTTCAACAACCCAAGAGGCAAGTATTATTAATTTTTAGGGACTGGGAAACTGAGACTCAGACAGGGTAAGTAACTTGACAAAAGTAATGCCATTTCTGAGTGTGCCAGAGCTGAGACTTGAGTCAAGCCAAGCCTTACACCTGCTCAGTCATGTGGAATTAGTTTATGGAATTAACTACTGAGTTAGACTCCCTTGTAGAAAATGGAGTAGGGAAAAACCCATCAAAATCAAACACAAATTAATAAGCAACAGGTTACTGTGCAATTTATAAATGATCGAGGTGGGTCTAACACCTGTAAAGGCATAGATTTAGAAGATGCAAATGCAGACATCTGTAGACATCTAAGGATGTTATAGATCCTGTTTTACGAATGTCTGCATATGCCGAGTGAGGATGAAGGCCTGCCCAAAGGATCCTCATGTAGACATGATCACTATAAACCATGTGAAAAAAGAATCCCAGGCAATGAGAGAGTTGGTCTTTCTGTTCCACCCCTGTCGAGGAAAAGAAAAGAAGCTCTTCCTTTCAGAACATTGTAGAAAAATTGATATTATGACTTAAAACTAAAATACTATGAGGTCCAGGGAAAGGGAGCAATTTTCCCAGGGTTCCCCAGCAAAAAAAGGGACAGGCTTTGCATAGGCACCTAAGTCCCATAAAACCCTCAGGCCTATTGAGGTTCCACTGAGCAGCACGGCCTGTGAGTCTCCATTCTGACCAGGAGGTTCTTTTGCCCCAGGCTGTGGGCTCCATGAGGGCTGGCGGGGCGCCTCTCTCATGCCTCCCACTAGTTTTGAAACCCTGCATCCCCACTGCTAGGTCCTCAATCAGTCTTAGGAATCTCAACCTACTTTCCTAAACCGATTTCCACTATTCCCACTTGCCAAGTTAAGGCACTCAGCTTGCCTAAAAGTACCAGTTAGAAATGGAAAGTGTCTCAGAGATCATCTAATTTAATCCTGGCATTTTACAGATGAGAACACAGGAAGCTCAGAGAGAATTAAGTGGGTTTCCCAGTCACTGGTAAACATTGTGCGTGGTGCCTATTATACGCCATGTCTGATGTTAGGAAGCCCCAGTGGCTATGATGACCTATGAAAATGGGACCTCTCCTGACAAGGAACCCACTAAATATCCAGTTGTAGGTGCCTGGTGGCTGAGCAGGGAAGGCAGGAGCTGAGATTCCTGGGTTCTGGTGTTTTATAATGCTGATTCACAGGCAGACTTTGAATCAGATTGGTCTCTTTCCTGGGCTTCAGTTTCTCCAGTTATACCATAAGTGGGTGAGTGGTTTTCACATTCCTCCTCTGGGGACTGGTGAGGTAATGGCAGGTTTATACTGAGGGAACTTAGGAGACTGAGAGCCCAGAGAAACCAGGGGCCTTGTGGGATGTCTGGCCTGTCTGTGCAGAGTGTTCTGCACATGGCACTCTCCTTGTAGATTCAGAAGGGAAGGCCTGGGGAGAAATGTGGGGGGTGGGGTCGGGTGCGGTGGGGGTGGGGGAACTAGACGTTCCCACTGTTTACAGGTTTGAAGTTTTAGTAATTTAAACTTGGCCCTGGTGCATGTCATACCAAAGGGACCATCCCTGAATGATTCACTTCTCTTCAGAAACTCCCTGTGCCTGGGCTTGCTCCTGGAGGGCAGGGACCTTGGACTTTACTGGCCTCAGTACAGTGCCCGGCTCACTACAGGCACTCAATGCTGTTTGTAATGTGGTGTGCTTTCCTCCTCCAGGGAGCATCTTGGGGTGGTAATAGACCATGAGCTGCTTGCTCCATTTTCTTTGTTTATGAAAGTGCATACCATTAGACAGCCTTGCCTTAAAGGAAAAAGTGCACACTCATCTACTCCTTTGTGAAGTGGTTGAGAGTCTGTCCTGCATGACAGTGCAGTGGCTGCAGCTCCCTGAAGCAAAGCAAAGGATCTCTAGCACTGTGCGGTAATGGAAAGAATATTTAACTAGAAGTCAGGATGCCAGTATCTAAGTACTGGGTCTGTGCTAGGAGACCTTATATGAGTCATAGACATGTGTATGTGGCACTTTAGAGTTTAGAAAATCCTTCCTGTACATGGTTTTATATAGGCTTCACAATAAACCTCTGCATGCAGCAGTATTTCCCCATTTTGTTCCCATTTTCCAGAGAAGGAAAATGAGTCTTGGGGAGGTTAAAGGACTCTGGAGTCCCGGAGATACTTGGCAGTGCTGGGCCTTGATATAAGGTCTTGCCAACATCAGAACCTCTTTTTACGAATGTTCTTTTGATAGCCTAGGTCCCAGGTTCATCTATGCAAACAAAGATAGTGGGCAATCTCTACAATCCTGTTCAACCCTGATATTCTGTGGCCCTATGGATCAATTGAGGCAGGTGCACTTGCTCTCTAATACTGTGTCCTTAGCACTTGAGTTTACACTATGATGTTGTGCTGTGAGACAGAGAGAGATATCAAGGGAAAAAGTGACACCATCACCACCATCTTCTGAGGATGGCGTCAGAGTGAGAAGGGGATTGGCTTTGGAGCCAGATCAAGGCAGCATGACATCTTGTCTCTCTCAGTTATTGACAGTGAGACTTTGGACAAATCTCAAAACCTCTTTGTACCTCTGCTTGGTCTTCTGAGTTTTCAAATGGATGCAAAGATACTTACTTACAGGTTGATGATTGTGTAGATCACATAAAATTGCTTTAAAAAGGCTGATACATTTATTACCTGTATGCAGTTTGTGATGTGTATTAAAAGTTAGGTCCCTTTCCTTACTTTTGTCTGGTAGATATAAAAATTCAGCCTGTTGTCACAACAAAGATTTGCTTAATTTCATGTGGCCCTGACAGTATAAGCTCTGTCTGCTGGAAGGGATAGTGAGACCACTTGCACTCCTATCCATTGGAGTGTATCCAGGGCCAAAAGAGGACAAAGTATGATTTGATTGGAAGTGAGAGTAAATGGGCACAACAAGAAGTATCACTGCATATGAAAAATAATTTGAGAGACCCTTGTCTGCCTTAGTTCATATAAATTATTGATATTAACCATAATAAAATATCCATGTTTACTTTCATATTAAAAGAGCATCTGGCATAGAGCATTGCTCAATACTTATTGGTTGAGGAAGTGAATTCATTTTTGAATGAAAAATAATGCCTTAAAGTGTTTGCCACCAGGTAAAATTGATGTTCTAGGAAGATTCATCATACTTAACTGTGGCCTTCGGTACCTTGCTGCACAACCCCTCACTCCTACCCTGAAGAGTGTGAACCCCACAGAGATTCATTCTTTTATTGTGCAGATGACAGATCTAGACTGGCAGATGTAAAGTTGTAAATGCTGAGTTGGTCTAAAACCCAGGTCTCCTGAGTCTCAGCCCAGGACCATACCACTGAACCACACTGCTTTGTCCTTAGGTTTCCAGACCTTCGGGCTTTCAGCTTCTCTGTATCATCTGCTTTTTTGGTTCCTCCATACACAATACTTGGAGGTTAGAATTGAAGAGCTTTCTGTGCTTTGCTGGGGCCGTGTTTCACAATTTTGACAAATATTCAGCTTGCCCATGTTAGTTTTCAGAATCCTCAGCGTTAACTGTTTGAAGAATATGGTTTGTGAAGGACTTTATGACTGTTTTGATTATTTCTTCCGTGTATATCTCCAAACTATTTGAGTAAAAACATTTTTGTGCTTGGGAGAAAAATACTAAGCCTTGCCTTGTTTCTAAGGAGAGGAAACCGAGGTCCAGGGTGAAGAAATTTTCTCAGTTAGATGTAGTCCCTGGAATGACAGCCTGAGTTCCTGTATTTCATCCTTTTTAGGGACCTATAGCACACTAGTTTTCTGGCTTGGACACAATCTTCCCTGAAACCCAATCTGGGAAACCTTCCAAGCAGAGACACCCAATTTTGCCAACCTTGCTGCCACCTTCCCCAAGATACTCATTTCCCAGCATACCAAACGTTTCCTCTTTCTTCCTTCCCCCACCCCTCTCCTCCTTCCCCTAGATCTCTTCCTCTGCCCAACATTTCCCTGGCTGTCAGAACTTGTTTCTTGTCAATTGCTTCTCCCTAAGCCTAGATACACCCAATGTGGTGTCCTTGACAAAACACTGTGTGGGGGTGATGCAACAGCCCAAGGTGTCAAAATAATTAGGTAATTAAAGCAGGGGAAGGTCAGGGTTTCTTCTGTTTGGAAAGACAAATACACACACAAAGAGAAAAGCAGAACAAGGAAGCCAATTTCACATCTCCTTTGTTTCTCCCTTGCTCCTTGACCCAATGTGAAAGCTTAGTGCCTATGATCAATTCTCTCAGAGTACTGGAATAAGAACCCACCTGACCTAGTATGCTTGGCAAGTTTGAACACCAAGGAATAGAACGTTTAAAGGTTTCAACACACCCTTGTTGTTGTCTTGCCTGTTTGTTTTCACACCAGCCCCACCCTGAGCTTCTACTGGTGCAATGGCCCCAGATGGTGGCTCAATGCCATGGATGGGATATTGCTCAAAGGAGTCTGTGGGTACGAAAGGCGGAGTCTCCTCCCAGGAAACCAAGCCTCAAGGTCATCTTCTCTTGGCTTTTATTTGTTTATTCGCTCAACATTCCACAGTTATTAAGAGCCTGCTATGTTTTAGGGATTGTGCTTGGAACATAGGATGGGGCTGAGAGGAAGCAGAGAGCAATATGAAATAGCCCCTGTCTGTCCGGGAGGAGCTTACTGTCTAGTGAGAAAGTGGCCATATGGGCAAATATCATAGTTTTGCTGGGATGACAAGTCTCTAACTGAGGTCCGAACAAAGTTCTAGAGATCTCAGAGAAGGAAGTGACCAACTCCCTGGAGGACTCTAGGAACAAGTGACAAAGGAGGTGACATTTGAATTATAACTTTAAGGATGAGTGAGGTTTCTCCAGACAAGAGGAGCAAAGAGGTCATTCTAGGCAGAGGAAGAGCATATTCAAAGGCAGGAAGGATGAAAGAGCATATTGCTTTCTGAGAATGTGGAGTTCATTGATACTAAAATTGGGGCTATGCTGGGGTAGGTGGGAATGAAGAGATATGGCTGAATATGTTGATAGGGGCAAAATCAAGGGTGTCCTTAACAAGATGCCTGGAATATGGCCTGCCCTGATGGCATCAGGGCACCACTGGAGATTCTGGGGCACAGGAGATGAGAGTAAATCTATAAGGCAGTGGCGGCAGCAACACTTCCTCCAGTTGTCTTCCTGCTGGGGACACACTCTCAGGTCTCCTCTCCTCAACCATCAGTTCTACTTTTCTCAGCCATTAAATAAGGTAGCTTTCAGCATCAGCCTCTTCCCAGGAAGAGCACACACTCAGATGACTGACTCCGGGGACCCAGAGACTCTCCCACCCACAGCTCAGCCATCCAAGTGAAGTGGAACTGTAGAGTGGTTACACAAAGGGCTTTGGCTTCAGAGTCCCGGTTTTGACTGGCTTCAGACACCCCTGGTTTGAACCTTGCCTCTGCCTGTTATCAGCAATGTTATATTGAGCCAGTGACTGAACTCCTCCAAAGCCTCAGTTTGCCTTTGTAAAATGAGATTGCAGGGTAATCATGCCTTCCTTATTGGGTTTTCTTGGGGAGGTAAATCAAGGGCAACACCATGCAAGTCACCAGTTAGCATAAATTTGCCGTGTTACACAACACCTGATTCATAGCACACGGAAGTGTTTTGTAAATTGCGTATGTGATAGACCTTCCAATTGGCGTTTTTTAGCCCTGTTACCAGCTTAACACATCATGTGTCTTTTGATAATGTGGCACTAAGATGTGGGCAAGAGGCTCCCTTACCTTGGGCCACATACTTTGTTTCTGAAGGTAAATGCCACCATGTACCACAGACAAAATAGCAAATAAACCTGAAAAAGAGGGTGTGGGCATGTCTATCGTTCAGGATCCAGTACTCATAGCTGGCGTAGCTGGACCCATAATCTCAAACATCCGTTTTTGTGACAAAAACCGTTGAGGCCCCCAGATCTACAGATATTTTGCCCTGTGTCGTTGAAACAAAAGGCGAATGTGTCTAGACGCTGTGAATGTTTGAGAGTTGTGCTATTATGGACTTTGGAGATGGGAGTTGTACAATTACGGACTTGGAGATGGATAATGCTTTGAAGTACAAAAAAATATTTGAATGGTTAAAGCACTTAGGTAAGAGAAATAAAACAATTAATTCACTTGTTAAATCCTTCCTCTCAGCATAAATGTAATAGATTCTTGATAACAAAGTAGTGCTGAGTGTCCATTTGCTTGCTTCTCTTTATGTTGTAATCCATGACTCTGAAGGTAGTCACCAGTTAGCATGAATTTGCCATGTTACTTATGGCAGTTGAGGGATAGTTTGCAAAGTGAAATAATTCATATTATTCTTAAATTTGTGTATTTGTAGGTTGAGACATAATCTGTGTGACAAATATGATACAGATTCATAATATTTTCAACTAATTGGCTATTAAAGGCTGGCATTATTAGTAGTTTAATGTTCTTAAAGAAATGATTAAATAAGACAGAATTAAAATTCCAAAAAATTAAAAGAATTAGCTTTACCTAAATAATTTTGATTTAAAATGTTGAGATATATTATCATTTAATTATAGTTTTCTTTTGAATTTTAACTAATAATTTTTAATATTTAAAGTTTTTTTTTTTTTTTTTTGAGACAGAGTCTCGCTCTGTTGCCCAGGCTGAAGGGCAGTTCTGCGATCTCAGCTCATTGCAACCTCCGCCTCCTGGGTTCACGCCATTCTCCTGCCTCAGCCTCCCGAGTAGCTGGGACTACAGGCACCCCCCACCAGGCCTGGCTAATTTTTTTGTATTTTTAGTAGAGACGGGGTTTCACCATATTAGCCAGGATGGTCTCGATCTCCTGACATCGTGATCTGCCCACCTCAGCCTCCCAAAGTGCTGGGATTACAGGCGTGAGAGAAGAAATAATTTTGAAAATGTATACAGAAAGTACTTTTTAAATTTTTTTACATTTACTTTCATTTGCATTTTTAATACAAATATAGTCAAATTGTAGGCACTTTGAATACCGTTAGAATTTGTCATACTGTTTTTTAGATCAGCATTGTCCAGTAGAACTTTCTTATCACAGAAATGTTCTTCACCTGTGCTGCCAAAATGGTAACCACTAGACATATGTGGCTATTGACTATGCGAAATGTGGCTAGTGCAACTGAGGACATTTAACTTTTATTTACTTTTAGTCAATTTAAAATTAAATTTGTATATCTACATGTAGCTAGTGGCCATTGTGTTGAACAGCACATTTTTAGATCATTGAAACAGAACAAGTCTAGAGGATAATTGAAATAGAAAAACACAAAAGGCCTGCAGAAAAGAAGAAAGCTGGAAGAGAAACAGAAATAAAGAGGTGATCTGCCTAATTATTTAAAATAGAAATAATGAGAGTAAGCAAATTGACTTACATGAAGAAAAGCCAGTGTAAACTGGAAAAAAAAATGGAAAAAAAAAGCAGCAGTCGGATAATATACAACAAAGACAAAGCAAATGCTTGAATGTTAGCATCAAGTTTTTAGAATAATAATACTATTTAGCTAAGCATAATGATGCATTCTGTGGCACTAATGGATCAATCATTTCAGGTGAAAAAAAGAGAAAATTTCTGGATCTAGTGGGAATTACGTGGAACGTGGTGTTGAAAGGTCCACACATGTAAGACAGATTAAAAAGGAACAAAATGAATTTTCATTACTCAATTCATCAAGATTGCTCCAGGGGCAAAAGTCACATTGAACAACTAACAGTTATGCATATTACTGAACTATACCGAAAAAGAAAACAAATATATCAAAATTAATATCACTGGTTTTATACTGCCTGTAAAGGTACAGATTTTGATTTCAGTGAACTAAAAAAAAGCAATTTTTAGTTTTAGTCATTTATTTAAAAGATTGGCAAAAGCAATCCTATAATGACACTAACATGGATGATAAGGAAAAAGGTATAGAAGCTAGATTTTAGGCAAAAATCCAGAAGCATTCTTTGTACTATATATGGATCATAATTTAAATTTGTTACTGGAAGATGAGCCTCAATTGTGCTAACTGAAATTACATTTGGAAAAATTCAAAGATTATATTCAGTATTTTGGGGACCTGCCCAAAGATAGAGCATCTTGAAAAAAATATATCATATTTGATCTGACAAGCATTCTTGAACACAGGAAGGAGAATGCTATTAAAACAATTTGATTTAATAGAGACAAGATAGAATATGCACTAGAAGAAATAAGCAAAACAGTAGAATATCCTCAAAGAAATATTGAATTATAGTCTTTGGTGGAAAAAAATTAATTTTGAATTTACACTATCCCCTGTTATTTGGCATGAATTATTGCTTTCTGTTAATATTATTAGCAAAATATTATAACCAAACACATCAAAGTTTCGCTTTTTCACTTTTAAATAATTTTTTTCTTTTTTTAATTCAAAGAAAATGGTTTTTCAGGTCAGGTTCTCTGGCTCATGACTGTGATCCCAGCACTCTGGGAGGCCAGGGAAGGAGGACGTCTTGAGGCCAGGAGTTTAAGACCAGCACGGGCAACATAGCAAAACCTCCTTCTATAAAAAAAATAAGTAAAAATAAAAATTAGCTAGGCATGGTGGTGAGTGTCTGTCGTCCCAACTGCTCAGGAGGCTGAGGCAAGAGTGTTTCTTGGGGCCAGGGTTTCAAAGATGCTGTGAGCTGTGTTTGTGCTACCGTACTCCAGCCTGGGAGAGAAAGAAAGAAGGAAAGAAAGGAAGGAAGGGATGGGAAGGGAAGGGAAAGGAAGGGAAGGGAACATAGAAGAAAGAAAGAGAGAGGGAGGAAGGAAGGGAGGGAGGAAGGAAGGGAGGAAGGAAGGAAGGAAGGGAAGGAGGGAAGGAGGGAGGGGAGAATGAAAGAGAAAGAAAGAAAGAAAATCGTCAGAATTAGAAAACTACAATGTCAAATATGCAATTTAAGTGATATCCCAATAAAATAGAAAAAAAAACTAGAAGAAAATAAAATACCTGGCGTGATTACCAGCGACAAGATTCATGTATAAGTAATCCCCAAATTAACTATATAGCTGTTTTCTAGCTGCTATAGATCAGCTGGAAAATAGAGAAATTTGCTCAAATTTCTCTCCATTAAAGAGAAATTTGAGCAAATTGAGCAATATATTGTTTTCAGTTTTTGTTATTATATTCCAGCATTTTTAAAAAATGGAAAAAAGTTAAGAAATATTGTGGGCACTAGAACTTTGAGAGCCTGTGTAAATGGTGCTGATAGAAGTAATAGAGATGTACTGTAGAAGCATTTTCTGTGGTAGTGATACTTTATCATATGTGACCCATAACAATGCTCAAAAATAAAAAATAAGATTTATGGTTCATTTTAAAATCTAAGTATTGTTATAATAATTTTATTAACAATTCCAGCTGCTATTCTCTCAGGCAAATGGATGCAAGGGATAATCTGGTGTTGAACCCTCCAGGAAACACTTGGAATTTCCTTCTGAGAACTAGAAAAATGGGACTTTTGACAGACAGCTATCCGGGTCATTAAAGATAGAGAAGGAGCATTTTCTGTTTTTTGTTGTGATGATTTCTTTCTTATTGTTGACTTTGGTATTTACTGAGAATACAGACCGCTAATCTTCTGTGAGCCCAAAAATATCTGGGTTTTCTAATTTTTGAGATGTTTATCTGAACTCAGAACTAAGTGACACAGAGACCCGGGCTCTGGTTGTCTAGGAAACATTTGAAACAAGACCAGACGTCTTTTCTCTTAAACATGATCCCCCTTGATTTGTAAGTTCTCATGCATTTGAAGGGCATTTAACTCCCCACATTCATAACGTTTTCTAGCCTTCAGGTATAGGTTGCATTTTGCAAGAGGCATTTGACGCATGACAGGAAGTCTATCAAGGGAAATTATACCTAAACCTATATCTGCATCCGTATCTATCCCTACATCTATAGGGATCTGTCCAGCGTTTCTGTCTTTCAAGTATGCAATTTCAAACTTCTTACCAGTGAGAGAGAGAAATATAAACTGGACCCTTGTTTGAAAATGCGAGTATTAAAAAGAGCCATGTCTAATGTCTAATTCTCTGAAACAATTTCTGGGTGCAATATACCTTTAATGCTAAGGTGTTATTCTTCTAAGTGCCTGGTTAACATAAAGGTTTTATATTATACAAAAACATAATACCATGATTATGGAAATAAAAAGCCACCCACAAGCTTACTATCTTTACAAATCATCTATTTTCATTCTTTCCTGTCTTTTCCAAAAAAGCATATTTTTTTTTCACAGTGTTGGATGTGCAGCACAAATATAATTTTGCATTCTGATCTCCTTCCTAGCATCACACATGAGTAATTCCAGTGTGGTCTTTATAATGACCTATTTGAATGACTTTAAAATATTACTTTAGTGGATATATTATGATTTATGTCAGCATTCAAAAATCATTAAATCTTTGGGGGACATTTAAGTTGTTTCCAATTTACTTTTTACTTCTATTATCAATATCTCTTTGGCCACATTTCTGCCATTTTTTTTGTCTTCAATCATTTTCTAAGAGCAGGATTGTTGAGTTAAAAGAGATGAAAACTTGATGAAATTGTTGGCTGTTACCTCCTTTAATTAATTTACTTTTAATCACAGTCTTTCTCCCTCATTTAAACAAACTAACTTGGTAACTCACTAATTCACTAAATAACTAGCTCAGTGTTCCAGTTTCCTGGTTTGTTCCTGGTCAAATCCAACTGGTTCACAGGGTCCTTTGCCTTTTCTCCTTCCTGACAATGAGCCTCTGGTTTGCAGATCTTTACACAAATAAGTTGCAGTGATAACTTTTTGCCCCAAAGCCTGATCACTTCACAGATCTATTGTCTGACTTCAAGGAATTTCCCCTCTGCAAAAGCCTCGATGGGACAGTGTCAGTGATTGTGAAAGGAGAGTACTGGTAGGTCAGATGAGGCTGGGCTCCTGGCCATCAGCTCTTTCTGTCTCTTACCAATTAGGTCTGTGCCAAGGCATCTTGGGCTCCGCCACCAACTTGTCCCACTGGCTCTTGCTAAAAGGTAGGCAACCATGTGAGCGTGGGCACTGGTGCTGGTACTTACCATATGCCCGCTTTTCCTGGAACTGACCTAGGTCCCATGAGGAACACATTGGGCAGTCAGGCACAATCTTTACCCTCAAGAACACTGTAGGCTGAGGAGATATGTGTGCTCTAAGAATATGGTTGAGAGTTGATGATTCCATAGAGGTTCAGAAGAGAAGGATACTCTCATGGGCCCTAAGGTAGGACTAGAAGGACAGATAGAAATAGGAGAGGCAAGTCATGCGTACAACTGAAGTCCCAACTACTCAGGAGGCTGAGGTGGGGGGATCACTTGAGCTCAGGAGTTAAAGGCTGCAGTGACCTGAGATCATACCACTGCACTCCAGCCTGGGTGACAGAGCGAGAGCCTGTTAAAAAAAAAAAAAAAAAAAAAAAAAAAGGTAGAAAAGAATATAGAGGATATTTATGGTTGGTGCAGAAGTAGTTACGGTTTCAGCCCAGTATCCACAAGCAGAGCTTTTTAATTCATCAGAATTAGAAAAGTACAATGTCAAATGTGCAATTTAAGTGATATCCCAATAAAATAGAAGAAAATAAAATACCTGGTATGATTACCAGAGACAAGATTCATGTATAAGTAATCCCCAAATTAACTATATAACTATTTTCCAGCTGCTATAGATCAGCTGGAAAATAGAGAAATTTGCTCAAATTGGTGTGATGGCTTGATTGCTGCCACGATCAGCTGCCCTCCTCCAGGCTCTGCCTACACCTGCACACAAAACACTATGGCCATGCATAGACAGGGTTTACTCTGACACCCACCACAGTTTTGATCTTCGGGTAAACCTCACACTGTGGGGCCTCAGAGTGTTAGGTTTGCTTCTCTAAGTCCTCCTGAAAGTGATTATTAGCATTTTTTAAAGGTGTTAAATAAAAATTATATAAGGCCATTGTTTTGGACTACACTCCTGCACTAGGTCCCAACAGACCAGAGTAAAAAATCAAAATGATGTCATCCTTGATATAATTCCACGTCACCAAACCTAAGCTAAGTTGTTATCTGACTGGAGGAGAATCAGAAGAATTAGCCAATTTCCCAAACAGGCCAGTTTACATCTTCGGTTGGCATAATAATGAAGTTTCACTTTTTAAATCCTTACACAAAAAAGGTAGGCTGACCATGGATAGAACAGGAGGTCATTATGTTATTGAGACACACCAGGTGCAGAAGGATAAATATCAAATGTTCTCGCTCATGTGTGTGCACTGAAAACTTTGATCCTCTGGAGGCAGAGAGTAGAACAATAGAGGCCAGAGGCTGGGACGAGGGTATGTGTAGTGTGGGGCAGAGTGATGACGGGAGGTTCGTTGATGGGTACATGTATGTTTCTCCCAACACATAGAAATGGTAAATACTCAAGATGATAGACCCTTAAATACCTTGACTTGGTCATCACACACTCTATGCACATAACAAAACATCACATGTACCCTATAAATATGTACAAATATCACATATAAATAAACAAAAATTTTTAAGACAACCTTAAAAAAAAAGGCAGCCTGAAGTAACCTCATGTTAATTAATCAGTTATTTTTCTCCTGTTCTGTCTAAAAGGAACTAATAGTCTTTGTACTTTGCTCCTGCTTTCTTCAGCCCTTCTCTGTCTATAAAGCAAACCTCTTCTGCTCCGTTCACTGGGACACTTACTTCATTGTACGGAATGGAGTGTTGCCGGATTCTAGAATTGCAAATGAAGCCAACTGAGATCTTTAAACTAAATTTGTTGTAATTTTGTCTTTTGATAAAAGAGATGTAATCATCTAGAGTTCACTAAACCCAAGGATGTTTAAAATGAATGGAGAGTTGGCCACATGCCCGAGGTTCACCTATTCACCCAGGCATTACCATGCAGGCCATTTATTTCATAATTTCTCATGAGAAACTGTGGCAATAGCCAGAGATAACAGAGGTGGCAGATGAGTCAAGGAGGGAGGGTGACTCAGAGGCAGCCATCTCTGCCCCCTTCACTGGCATCCTTGAGCATGCCAGCGTCCATAGAGACTTAGACTTCTGTTTGGATATTGCTTTAAAGAGATTAAAGGATCTGCATTCCTGGAAGCCTCCTTCCCTTTTTCTGCCCTAGGCCCTTCAGACCATGCCTCAGTTCATTCCTTTGTAATGATATGAATTCACATTCCTTGGGAATTTTTTCTATGCCAGGAATTAACTCTGTCTTTTACGCGCATTATCTTTTTTTGTTTTGTTTTGTTTTGTTTTGTTTTGTTTTGTTTTGTTTTGTTTGAGACAGAGTCTCGCTCTGTCGCCTAGCCTGGAGTGCAGTGGCTCCATCTCGGCTCACTGCAAGCTCCACCTCCCGGGTTCAAGCCATTCTCTTGCCTCAGCCTCCCAAGTATCTGGGACTAGAGGTGCCTGCCACCACGCCCGGCTAATTTTTTGTATTTTTAGTAGAGATGGGGTTTCACCGTGTTAGCCAGGATGGTCTCAATCTCCTGACCTCAAGATCCGCCCGACTTGGCCTCCCAAAGTGCTGGGATTACATACACTCATTATCTTATTTACTTCTTACCAACTGCCACACAGATAGGATGATTATTCCCACTTTACAGATGAGGAACCTGTGGCAGAAAGAAAGTAGCCCATGGTGAGCGTAGTAGTGCCTGATAGAGCTGGAATTTGAAGATAGGTTGTCTGACTCTAGAGCCCATGCCTCCGGCTACTCTGGAAGTCTGCCTTCTGTAAACAGGTAAACTTGGAATGTCTGCATCACAAGACAAACCCCATAATCTCAAATAGCAAGTGAAAGCTGAGGATCCTTAGACTTGGCTTGTAATAGAGCAAGAAACCTAGAGGAGAGGAAATTAGTTAAGGAATATTTTTAGGCAGTCTTCTTCCTATGCAGGCAGCCACAGAAGGCCTGGCTGGTGGAATATATCTCACTAGTTCTTGCTGGTCGTTGGAGGAGGTCAGTGGTCCTTAGGAAGGAAGAGAAAACAACATTTCTGGAAGAGAAGGAGCCGAGCTGTTTAACAGCTCTCTTCCAGACTCCACTTCTCTGTATTCTTTGTGCAATGCTTTTTTTTTTTTTTCCCTGGGGGCGGGGTGGGGGGAGTTGTGATGAAATTTATTACCCTCAAACACAGCTTCGATCATGTCTCCTACTGCTCAAGAACCTCCAAATAACAGTTTCCCAGGACCTAAATCAGCAATCTTCAAACTTCTCTAAATATGTAACCCTAGTGCTGAAGAAGACTGGCATGTGCACCTCGATAGATTTATGGTACATGTGTGTGCCTGTGTGTAGAGCCATGCCAATAGATTATGCACTTTATAATAACAAATTAAAACTGGGAAGTATAACAGAAGATATGAACATGAAATGAAGACTATTTTCAAATGCATGCTATTCTTAATGACATCTTACTATCTTTTCTACTGTCTCAGGGCATAATCCACACCTTAGACAGGGCTCACCATTAATAATAGTGAATGTAAATCCATACTTGAAGCACTCTTCCTGAAAATTTGAATTTTTTTTGTTTACTGTTTGATATATATGATCAGGTCATCATTAGTTTTATCCTCCCCAAAATGTGGCTAAAGGAAAGCTAGGATAGGAGAAAAGTCAGCTCTGCCATTTTCTTGTCGTTTGCTTGTGTTCGTTATAAGTGCTATTCTCAATCCACAAGTTCTTTACAGAAATCTTTTAAAAATCACTGGTCTATTATGTGACTTTTTATTCAGTTAAATCTGTATAAAAATCCATAAACCCATGAAACTAGATAATTAAGAATGGTGTTGTGGGTACCTTGCAGACCCTCTAGGGCATAAAATTTCGACCCCTCCCTCAGAATAGCCTTAGTTGGACATGTGGCAAGAAACTGTGTGAACAGGGATCTAACAAGGATCCCATATTCAATCTGTATATGAAATAATAGTACTTTTAAACTTTTCCCTTTTAAAAAATAAAAGTAAACCTGAATGAAAATTCATTATGATTTGCACACCCTTCTGAGAGCGCACACTGCACTTTGGAAATCTTTGATCTACCGAGATAGGATTTCTTAGGCTTCCAATATCAGTGACCTACTTCTTTAGCCACACCTCCAATCATCACCGTACCTGCCCCATTCCGTGATGACCCACACACTCAACTGTACAAACACATAGGGCTAGTCATCTTCTCTGGAAACTTTCTTACCACAAGACCTGGCTCAGGCTGTTCCCTCTGCTTGGAACACCCTTGCTTTCCTTTGCTGCCTTTAGAAATTTTACTAAAAACAATGCCATCTAACATTTATTGACTTCTTACTACGTGCTGGACACTGTTGACAATTCTAGAAGGTAGGTGCTATTCTGAGAAAGCTGAGGAGTAGAAAACAGTTCAAAGCCAGTCAGCTGGGAAATGAGAAATCCAGAAAACAAGCCCATGAGAGCTGCTAATGCTCATACTGTATCACTGTAGGTGTGTTTTAATTTAATTTTAATATCAGAATAGATAAAGTCTTCACTAAACCCTTCCCCTCTTTCTACTACTAGGGAGATGGGATTAGTTGCTTCCCTTTTAAGTTTTCACATCAGCTTATTGATAAATATCATATAGCATTTATTTCACTCTGCCATATACTGCTATTATTTGTGTACATGTCTCATATCTACAACTATACTGTGAGCTCTTTAGATGAGAAACCACACTGGATCCTTCATGGCATATAGCAGAGACTTAGTAAAGTAAATATGGTCATTGAATGAATTAATTAATGGATAGATGGAAGAATAAATGAATGGATGGGGAAAAACAAAAGTCATAGGTTGGGTATAATGTAACTTGAAATTTCCTGGTGGCCCGAGAAGCACACTACAATCTAGTATGCGCCTGCAATAGATTACAAAGATTTCAAACCTCAATAGGAGACAAGATTTCATTTCTCAATACTTATGAGAGCACTTGTGAGTTACCTTACTCTTTAATATGTAATGGCTAGTTGATAAAATCTCAAACTTGTATCTATGTAATCTAACATCACAAAACACTGAGTGCATTAAAGAGCTGTTTCTCTATTTTGAATTTACACTGGAAACCTTGAATGACTCGAGAAGGATTTTTGGATACGCCATTTTAATGTTGGTGATAATGAAAGTCATTTACAGAAGAAATTTTAGCTGATTTTATATTGAAATTAACAAACACATGCACTAGAGTTTAGGAATTTCTCTTCCTTAATTTTACTGACTCAGAAACTGAGACTTACAGATGTGAAGTGATTTGGCCAATAATCATGTCATCCGGAAGTCACAGAGCTCATACCCAGCCCCAACCTTTGAGACTTAATTCCCATGCTATTTCCCCATTCTGCTCCTCAAACACAAAATGAGTTCTAGAATGTCAGACATTTGAGCTATTAGAAACTCTTTACTATGGGCATAGAGTGAATAGCCCCGTTTTGGTATTTTGGAAATGCCATTCTGTATAAATCTGCAGCCTGGAGCATTCTTCGTAGCAGGGGAGGGACTAGCAGGCATTTAATCCCTAGATGACTAAACAGAAGCCCAGTCCATCTGTGATAAATATTCCTTCCAAGGGCCACAGGTGTGCACGACAGAGCAAGCATCCTCCTTTTCCGCCTCAGTGCTGAAACCATCATAAAATCATTCCATCCTCTGCTTGGTCAGTTAATTCTTCCTTCCTTTTTTTTAAAAAAAAATTCTTATTAACATTTGACTGTGTTCTTATCCAGAGGTACAATAAAAAGCACTCTGATGATAAGCTGCACAGTAAAACAGGCTGTCTGGCAGGTACCTACTAGAGTCAGGGATGTGAGGGTATACAGATAGGGTCTTATTCTTAGTTCTCTAGAGCTGGAAGAGAGAAAGGCAAAACCCAAAGCCTCCTTGCCCCTTTTCTCACCTTCCCTAGACGTGGCATCTGCACCTGGCCAGATGACAACCATAGACTCCCTTGAAAGAATGGTTATTAAAGCTACCTTCAAGTCCCATCCTATAACAATGGTGGAAGTGAGAGTGGAACCTAGAGGACAGAACTAGAGAAGAAGGGTGCACACTAAAAGCAATATGTTTCCCATTCATTATTGAGCAGAGCTTCCTGACAGATACACAACAGAGAAAGGGGCTGCTTTCTGGAATAGTGAGCCTGCTGTCATTGGAAGCACTTCATCTGGACGATCCCTCCTTGAGAGTAGTATATAGGGCAGATATTAAGAGAGTAGATGGTTTGGCTTCATCACTGCTAAAACACCCCTTCCAGCAATAGCATTTTGTATTTCTCCAAATATTCCACATTTGAATGCCTAGGGAGATGGGTTTAGCAAAGCTCATCTGTTCCGTAAAACTTGGCCACAGTACAACGCCTGCTGCCTGGTCACAAAGCATTTTATGGACAGCTGTTTCCACCCCTATTTCAGAAGTGTGGTGAAAAGGGAATTCAGAGACAGGTGAGGGGCCTTCCATTACGTGAGCTGGTGGGAAGACGCCCCCAGCTCCAGAGCTGCCTCATGCCTGAGCCCACACACTTCTCAATTGGATCTTAGCTCAGTGACTTCCAGCCATATGAAATGAACCCATTCCCCTGGGAAGCCCACTACCCCTAGGAATGCCTTAGAAATCTTTTTTCTAGATTATAAAGTCACACAATCGCAGTGTTTGAACAGTCTTAGAGGTCATGGAGTCAAACTCTCTGGAATCCACAGGAAAGCAATGTTTCCCACTGACTCCTGCTGAGAACTCATAAATGGAATGAGCCCAGTGGAATCCTAAGGAATTCTGAGCCGAGAAATAAATAGGGCAAAAGCCACAGCCAAGTCTTCTGCAAGCTTATCCCAAGGAAACATGGAGCCAGTCTTTACGGAGAGAAAGGGCTGAGTTCCAGGAGAGGGGAAAATGTATAATGCATTGAGGTTGCAAGTGTTTAGAGCAACAGGGAACAAAAATGACACAACAGTCAGGCACAGTGGCTCACGGCTGTAATCCCAGCACTCTGGGAGGCCGAGGCAGGTGGATCACTTGAGCCCAGGAGCTCAAGACTAGCCTGGGCAACATGGCGAAACCCTGTCTATACAAAAAATACAAAAATTAGCCAGGTGTGGTGGCACGCATGTAGTCCCAGCTACTTTGGAGGCTAAAGTGGGAGGATCGTTTGAGCCCAGGGAGATCATGGCTGCAGTGAGCTGAGATTGCGCCACTGCACTCCAGCCTGGGTGACAAAGCGAGACCTTGTCTTAAAAAAAAGAAAGACACAACTGGGAGTCATCTTTCTCTTGAATGGTCTGCATTTCACAGATGAGAAGTTAGCAGAATCTAGGGGAAAGTAATGAATGGGGAATCAAGAAACAGGCCACCACTGACTTGCTGTGTGACCCTTGGAAGAACTTTTAACCTCTCTGAGTCACAGTTTCCTCACGAGGATAATAGTGTGTGACCAGGTTGATTGGGGGATCAGATGAGATAACAAACATGAAGCACTTTTAAGTGGTAATATTAGACAAATGGAAAATGCCAATATGATCAACTCTGCCTTACGTGCTTTTTTTAGTGTCCCCAGGCAAAAGAAGTGAGTTGATATTATTTTTCCCTATTTTCAGATGCAGAAGTCAAGGCACAGGGATGTGAACATACGTGGGTCATGTTTCATAGTACCTGGACCAAGAGAAGAGGTCTCTCTATGTTGAGAAAATGGCAATGCCTTCCCACAGCATGGTACTTCTTCTCCTTCTGAGAATGATACTGTTACATAAAGGTTTTCGGCGGTGCCCCAGAACACGGAGATTTCCTTCTGCCCAGCTGCATGAGGCACACATATCCTGGGATGGCATTAGGAAGATGGCCACTTTCACATCAACTTATGTACTCTGGCACCAACCTCTCTTCTCCCTACCCAGCCCAACTTCCCACCCACTGCTATTGGGATGATATGTGCTCTTGGGTAAGGAATGCATATCCAAATGCTACCTCAGATCAGGGAGGTAATACCTGGCCTCAATTCTCTGCCCTTAAAGAATCTTGCAGCCAAATTGGGTAAAGAGTCAAGACCCATCGGTGTGCTTTATTCAGGAGACCCATCTCACGTGCAAAGACACACATGGGCCCAAAATAAAGGGATGGAGTAATATTTACCAAGGAAATGGAAAGCACACACACACAAAAAAAAGCAGAGGTTGCAATCCTAGCCTCTGATAAAACAGACTTTAAACCAACAAAGATCAAAAAAGACAAAGAAGGGCATTACATACTGGTAAAGGGATCAATGCAACAAGAAGAGCTAACTCTCCTAAATATATATGCACCCAATACAGGAGCACCCACATTCATAAAGCAAGTTCTTAGAGACCTACAAAGAGACTTAGACTCCCACACAATAATAGTGGGAGACTTTTAACACCTCACTGTCAATATTAGGCAGATCAACAAGACAGAAAATTAACCAGGATATTCAGGATGTGAACTAAGCTCTGGACCAAGAGGACCTAATAGACATCTGTGGAACTCTCCACCCCAAATCAATAGAATGTACATTCTTCTCAGCACCACATCGCACTTATTCTAAAATTGACCACATAATTGGAAATAAAACACTCCTCAGCAAATGCAAAAGAATGGAAATCATTACAGTCTCTCAGATCACAGTGCAATCAAGTTAGAACTCAGGATTAAGAAACTCAGTCAGAACCGGACAACGACATGGAAACTGACAACCTGCTCCTGAATGACTACTGGGTAAATAACAAAATTAAGGAAGAAATAAATAAGTTCTTTGAAACCAATGAGAACAAAGACACAATGTACTAGAGTCTCTGGGACACAGCTAAAGCAGTGTTTAGAGGGAAATTTATAGCACCAAATGCCCACAGGAGAAAGCAGGAAAGATCTAAAATCGACACCGTAATATCACAATTAAAAGAACTAGAGAAGCAAGAGCAAACAAATTCAAAAGCTAGCAGAAGGCAAGAAATGACTAAGATCAGAGCAGAACTGAAGGAGACAGAGACACATGGACACAGGAGAATGAGAACACATGGACACAGGGAGGGTAACATCACAAACTGGGGCCTGTCAGGGGTGGGGAGTGGTGGGGAGGGATAGCATTAGGAGAAAGATCTAATGTAGATGAAAGTTTGATGGGTGCAGCAAACCACCATGGCATGTGCATACCTATGTAACAAACCTGCACATTCTGCACGTGTATCCCAGAACTTAAAGTATAATATAATAAAAGAATCTCATAGCCATCATCTGTTGTATACAACAGACCTCAAATTAGTCTCCCTCTGCTTCTCCAACAGTGTGGCCTCTTCTATGAAGCTGTCTACCCATGGGTTTCCCCAACATCCCATCCCCCAGCCCTCAGGTTTCTCCTCCCCATCATCTTCACTTCAGAAAGAGAAATGAAAAAGAAATTCAAGTGACTCATCGGTCCACATAGGCAGGAGTGGGAGAGGCTGAGAGAGTGAATTTGTGGGTCCAGATGAATATTTCCGCAGGCCTCTTGACTGCTTCACACGATCTGCTGTGCTTCATGAAAAAGAGGATATAAAAATCTGAGTGGTGCCATATTGTCTCCAAAAGCAGCCAGAGTGAAAATGAAGTGTGACTGCTGCCTCCCAAAACGCAGGGCAGCTCCTCCCTCACATCCACAAATGTGGTTCAGCGGGCTGCCTTGCCCTGTTTCAGGAAGCCTACGTGGAGGGCACTGTGGAGCCCCAGCCACCTTCTTCACACAGGGCTATCTGGGGCTTCAGTGCCAGGTCCCCTGGATACACAGCAGAGTCTGCTGGGGGCACTGACCAGGATGCCAATGCAGGGGTGCTTTCTCGGAGGCTCATCCCACCAGCAGTGCCAGGTTTGACAAGCCCCACAAATCTATGCTCTTTGGCCGCCTTGAGAACTTTCCAACCAGGGATTCTTACTGAGCAGAGTGTGCATGGCGAGGAAGAGTCAGAGTGGGGGGGGCCTTGCCCCTCCCTCAACCAGAGGGACTCTACTTTAATGTACCTTACATACTGGGCACTTTCCTAAGATTTCACTGGAAAAAATCGGAGCAAACAAAAATGGAAACAACCTGGAAAGCCCCCATGGGTCTAGCCCAGTGGTTCTCGAACTTGAGTGTGCCTCAGAATCTTCTGGAGGGCTAGATATAAAACACAGATGGCTGCGCCTCTCCCCAGACTTGCTGATTCATTATTGCTGATATTTCATTTTTATGTTTTTGTTTTTTTGAGATAGGTTCTCACTCTGTTGCCTAGGCTGGAGTATAGTGACCCAATCACTGCTCACTGCAGCATTGACCTCCTGGGCTCAAGCAATCCTCACACCTGAGCCTCCCAAGAGGCTGGGACTACAGGTATGTGCCACCACACCTGGCTAATTTTTCTCTCTTTTGTAGAGACAAGGTCTTGCTATGCTGCCTATGTCTCTAACTCCTAAACTCAAGCCCACCTCAGCCTCCTAAAGTGCTGGGATTACAAGCATGAGCTACCACACCCAGCCTAATATTCTATACTTTTAATAGGCTGTCATGGGATTACAATGTTGCTTTCTTGGGACCAACATTAAGAACCACTACTCTGGCCCAGCTTCCCTTTTAGATGCCAGGACAGGTGACTCTTCCAAGGTGCCTCAGCAACTTAGAGGCAAACTGGAATAGAGCCCACTCGCTGACAGCCCCTCCCCCTATTTTCTATCCCACCCCCACTTCATCCAGGGCTTTTCTATCACACCTGCTCCAGCACAGCAGGGCCCTGGATAGAGAAAACTGCTCCAAGCTGGGCTTTGTCCCATGAGGAAAGGGGCACCCTAAAGCAGAGCCCTCGCTCAGCCCAGCCGTGTCCCCCATTTTGGGAAGTGGCACCCTACCCCCAGGTTTTCAGGATGCCCCTCAAACTTGACTTATCCATGCTTTCATTCCTTATTGAGCCTTCTGTGATTTCTTTCCTTTATTCTTTCACCGAACACATCCTTACTGAGACCTTCTAGGTGCTGGGTGCTGTTCTAGATCCTGAGAAAGATATAGAGACCTGTGGGAGACAGGCTCCTCCCTGCCTTCAAGAACTTTGCAGTTGGGTAGGAAAATAAGCCTAATCAAGTTACTACACTGTAAAGGGGAAAGAAGGGAGTGTCTCAAAAGGTGTGTGAAGGATGAGGAATGGGGAGGGGCTCATTAGTCTGGCAGGGAGCTGTTAACAGAGACAGGCATGGGCATCGGATGAAGAGGACATAGTCAGTGTAAGAAATTAATGATTAAATCATGAGAAATATTTATTGAGTATTCACTGTTCACCAATTGCTTTACATCTTTTATCTTCACAACCTTCCCTATAGGAGGCGCCATTATTAAATTCTTGTTTACAGATGAGGAAACTGAAGCTCAGAGAAGCCATGCAACTTGTCCAAAGCCACACAGCTACTCAAACTCAGGCTTTCTGGACCCAGAACCTGATCTCTTAACTACTACTCTACCATCTACGACTACTGTACCATCTCTTACTACTGTACTATCTTAATTGCTGTCAGCAAGGGACAGACAGCTAGCACCTATTTGGAGGGCAGTGAAGAGCAGGTTTCCTGAAGCATTCCACAAGTGTCAGGGGGTAGTTGGAATACAGTGAGAAAGATAGGTTGGGGCTTAATTTATGGAGAGGCTTGACTGCCAGGGTGAGTGATTTGTACCTAACTCAGGAGATTGTAGGAAGCCACTGAAGGATTTTGAATAGGAAAAGTACACGTGACACAGCTGTGTTTTAGGAAAATTCCTCTAACAGCAGTAGGCAGATTAGGTTGGAGTGGGAAGACATTGATGACCAGGACACCACACTGAAGTTTACTGCAGGATTACGGGAGTGACAAAACAAAGGCCTGACTTAGGGCAGTGTGGCAGAAATAGAGCAAGACTCAAGGACAGATGCTCTCCTCACCACTGTTATTGTAAATAATTTTGACCACTGACCACATTCTTGACCTATCTTAACTCATGTCATTCTCCCAGTAGGCTGCTACATCAGATTGCTTTCCCTTTGACATCTCTTGCCCCTTCTTCATCTCTACCAATGTCTCCCCATTGGCAGTTTTCCTGTTTGGGGATCAGGGTCTCAGACCTCTTCTTTGAATGTATAGGAATCACAGGCTAAGGAAACTCAGGATTGAGGAATCATGATCACTCTCAGAACTGTTTATTCTCTCCATTCTGAAGCTGATGAAACAGAGGCCTGGAGAGGATGAGTAACTTGTATCTAGGAAGTGATGGTGCTTGGATCAGAGGTGGGAAATCTTTCCCCCACCTGTTAACGTCGTGTTCCCATTCTCCTGCTTCCTGGGTCAGGCTGGAGGCCCTGCAGCTGTCGGGAGTGCCAGATGGCATCTCAGTCACCAGGCTGGAGGGTGCCTGAGGACCCTGCGGTCAGCCCCAGCTGGCAGCACCACCTCCCAACTGGCACTGTGGACACCAGTGTTCAGAGGGGCTGAGTGAAGGAAGCACGTGTAGCAGAGGGGCAAGAATGCAGGTGACTCATGCCCTTTGCAGTGTGACTTACAGCTGTCCATGGGGCATCCCAGCCTACGTGAGGCAGTTGCCATCTTTGCTGTCAGAGAGTCACTCTTGACCCAGGCAGTAACTGACGTCAAGAGCAGAGGAGACAGAGTTTGGTTGTAAAACGGACCAACTGTGCAGAAGAAGCAGTACCCAGCTATGAGCGAGGAAACCTCGGCTCCACTCACAGATTTGCTCTTGCCCTTTACAACTGTGTGACCTTAGGTAAGATGTCACCTGACCTGAATAAGCCTCACTCTTCTAGTCTGTTCACGGGTACAATAATCTTTGCCCTCACTATCTTGGAGATGTGAAGAGTGATCTGTAGGCTAGAGCTTGAAGGAAAAAAACAAAGCCTTCTGCAAACCTAGAGAGTTCCAAACGTGTCATTACTATTATCATGATTCATGCGAATACTAATATCATTAAACATTCATTCCAAAAGGAAATGTGATGATAAAATGTTAACATATCTCCATGAGGGGTACATTTGAACTCCGTACTGTTTTTGCAACTGTTCTGTAAGTTTGAAACTACTTCAAAATAATTTTATTTAAAGTTACATTCTCTTTAATTACCTTCTCTTCCATGCAACCAGGTTCACTAGGCAGCAGCCATACCTCAGTCAATAAGAGAGGACAATCTCTGCCCTTGTTGAGTTTATATCCTAGCAGGCAAGGGCAAATATTAATCAACACAATAAATATGAAAATTGTCTGCTGTGTTCGGAGGTGCTAAGTCCTATGGGGAAAAAAAGTAGAGCAGCATGGAGGGGTGGGGAGCAGAAGTCCCAGATTTGGAGTGGGGAACAGGTACCAACTTGCAGGCTGATATGTAAATAGCATGGTCAAGGTGGGGCCTGGGGGAGAAGGTGAGACATGAGCAGGCTTGAAGAAGAGGAGACTGTGAACTGAGCATATGTCTGTAGGAAGAGTGTGCCAGGGGAGGGCAAAGGACTAAAATAGGAGCACATCCTAGGAACAACAAGGAGGCCAGTGTGGCTGGAGCAGTGTGGTCAGCTATTGGAGTACCTGGGAGAGTAATGGGAGATAAGGTCAGAGAGGCAATACAGGGTGAGTCTTGTAGGGCCTGGTAGGCTATTTTGAGGACTTGAGTTTTTTTCTCAAGAGTAATGGGGTACCAAGGCAAGGATTTGAGTGGAAGTGTGACATTATCCAATGCACATCTTAAGAGGATTATTTTCACTACTGTGCTGAGAATATACTAAGGGGCACAGGATTGAAGCAGAGAGAAGCAAGGGTTGAAGCAGGTAGTAGGTGATCACAATATTCCAGGAAGAAATGCTGGAAGTTTGGATCAGAAGGATAGCTGCAGGTGGGGAAAAGCGATTGGATTCTGGATACGTTAAAAGTAGAGCCAGCTGGCCACAATGGCTCACGTCTGTAATCCCAGCACTTTGGGAGGCTGAGGTGAGTGGATCACCTGAGGTCAGGAGTTCAAGACCAGCCTGGCCAACGTGGTGAAACCCCATCTCTACTAAATATAAAAAAATTAGCTGGGAGTGGTGGCACGTGCCTGTAATCCCAGCTACTTGGGAGGCTGAGTCATGAGAATTGCTTTAACCCGGGAGATGGAGGTTGCAGTGAGCCGAGATTGTGCCACTGCACTCCAACCTGGGCAACAAGAGCAAGACTCTGTCTCAAGAAAAAAAATAAAAAAGTAGAGCCAACATAAGTCTTTTAAGCTTTTTGACCTAAAATCCATCTCCAAGGCCCTTTCTAGCCCTAAAATTCTTTGACTGCTCTAGAATATCATCATCATCTCCTCAAACCCCTCTGCCCAAGTGTGAAGAGAGAGGCAGACATTGTGCTACTTTTACACTTACAGATCGAAATTCTCTCAAGTGGCCTGAGGTTTCTGGGATGACGTTTGCTCGGTCTTATTTCATGCCTGAGTATAAATACAGCACACAAGAAAAGGTTGTCTTTCCCTCAATCAGAGGAACTGCCAAGCACAGATCCAACCCACAGGGACTATGGAGAGGCCGGAAATGTCAAAAAGAGAAGTATGAGCATGAAATTGTACTCCCTAATGAAACACCTGGCCCCTGAGAACAAAGTCCATCCTGTCACTGTTCTTGATTGACAGGTGTATGGTCTGTCACTTAGGCAACACCTCTTATCTGCCACTTGGTCTCCCCAGCCCAGTGATTCCCCTTCAACCTCCCCTCCACATTGTCACTAGACACACGATTCCTAAGAGCAGTGGAGTGGTCTCTGCACTGGCATTCTCAAAAGCCCTGCCCTTGCCCACGAGTACCTATGCTGTATCACACCTTTATGAAGGACCCTCTTCTTTAGAAAACCACCTCTTGCTCCCCTAGATCCCCCAGTCACTGGCAGAGGCCATCCAGGTGGGAAGAAGGGTGAATTCACTTTGGAGGAACTGCAATCTCTTGACCTCAATTCCACCTTGGCAGTTTCTGTGTGATACAGCCTTCTTCACTTCCTGCCCTAATTGCTGTGCAGTGTTACCATGGGCTGTTAAACAGCTGCCACCTTCTACCCCAGACCTAAATGCCATCCAAGGGCAGGTAAAAATATTTCTCTTTTCACAGAGATTGTTGGAGGAGTCTTCTAGAAGAAGCATGCTAGGAATTGTGCAGCATCCCAGGGGCCCGTCCAGTGCTCCTGGCCTGTCTGGCTCCCTTGCCTTGTTCTTTGGGGTTGGTCACCCTGCCAGCTCTCCTTCCCACAACCACCCCTTCTGTGCTTCCTTCTTAAAGTGTATGGGTGGGGCTGAGAGTTTTGTTCTGGAATCATGGAGGAATAGAAAACATTTCAGCTGACGGGGCCTCAGCACTCATTCCTTCGTTTAATAATCAGTGGAACCTGTTTCTTTCACCTTCCAGGTAAACCTGATCTGGAGTTGTATATAAAGTATACACAAGCAAAGCACCTTTGGTGGAAGACGGGTCAGGAGTCCTACTTTAATTGTCCTCCAACCACTCTCAGAGATTTGGAGGCCAAGATACCAACCCCATAAACTCCTAATTTTTTCAAACCTTTTCATTTTGCACCTGATGATCCTCGAGGTAGAAAGTCTTATCCCAACTCAGTCAGTCAAAAAAGGGCCTGGATTAGGACTCCAGTTTCCTGACATTCAGCTCAGTTGCTTTAAAGAGCTCAGGCAATTACTTCCTGTTGACCAGGTCTGACAAAAGAAAAAACAAAATAAAATAAATAAGTAACGTGATCAGGCGTAAGACTATCAGGTGCAAAGATCTCAGGGCTTGGCTGTAGAGCACTGGGACTGCTGGTGGCCATGGTACCAGAATTGCTCCTCCCAGCTCACCACAGCCAATGGCATTCCCCTCCTCTGGTCCACTTTCAGTGAGGTCATGTTGGCAGCTTGACATTGGCTGTGGTGGGAAATTAGCAAATACCACAAGAGGGGAGATCTCCATCCTCTCAAGAGCTGGTAATTAAACATTTTCCAGCACACCAGTGGCTTAGGGGTATGCAGTCCTGTCTACCAAGTCCTGAAATAGACCTTCTTGTGGAATATGAGATGTTCAGGGGCCAGGTGCAGTGGCTTGCACCTGTAATCCCAGAACTTTGGGAGGCTGAGGTGGGCAGATCATTTGAGCCCAGGAGTTCGAGACCAGCCTGGTCAACATGGTGAAACCCCATCTCTGCTAAAAAAAACAAAAATTACCTGGGCGTGGTGGCATACACCTGTAGTCCCAGCTACTTGGGTGGCTGAGGTACGAGAATCACTTGAACCCAGGAGACGGGGGTTGCAGTGAGCCACTGCACTCTAGCCTGGGCAACAGAGCAAGACAGCCTTAAATTAATTAATTAATTAATTTAATTAAAGAGATTCAGGGACTAGTCATGATGAATCACTCAAGGAGAACTTTGGAATGGTCTCATCCATAAATGACAGACTATAATGCCTAAAAATCTCTCTGATAAGGTATATGGGCCAAGCAGCTGGGTAGAAGAAAATAGAGAATGGTGAGGAATGTGGTGAAGCATGACTGTCTCTTAATTTGCTAGGGCCGCCATAACAAAGTATCACAGACTGGGTGGCTTAATTTAGTGTCTTACAGATCTGGACACTAGAAGCCCAAGATCAAGGTGTTGGCAGGAATCCTTCTGAGGGCTGGGAAGAACGCAGCTGCTCTACATCCCTCTCCTAGGCTTGTAGATGATGATCTTCATGTTCACACGGTGTTCTCCCTGTGAGCCTACCCGTTTCCGTGTTCCAATTTCCCCCTTTTATAAGGACATCAGTCATATTCGATTAGGTCCCACCCTAATGACCTCATTTTAACTTGATCAGCTGTGTATACTCCCCATCTCCAAATAAGGTCATATTCTGAGGTACAAGAGGTTTGGCCTTCCACATATGAATTTTTCAGGGACACAATTCAATCCATAACATACGGCAGGATGAAAAGAAATCTGAGGGTCAGATCCGACCTACCAGCTGCCGTGATGTAGTCTACTCACAAATTTTATAGGTACGGAAACTAAAACTCTCAAAGAGAAGCAAGTGGCTCTCCAAAGGTAGTGGGCCGAGAAAGGTGGAGACAGGCCTTCTGATTCCCAGGCCAGGGCCTCTCTATGCCACTTTTGGTCTCCCCTGATTTGGAGGACGATTTCACCAGCTGGTGCATCACCTCAACACCCTGGAAGAGTCTGTAAGCAGCCAGAGGGCCAGGATGTGTCTGCCCATCTACAGACTCCTCCGAGCTGGCAGCATGGGTAAAACATATAGAAGATGTTCAAAAATCCCATGTTGAATTTCATCAAACTCACTGATTTGTCCTTAGTAGCGGTTCTGAGCGCTCCTGGGCTCAAGGTTACTTTCTGGTCCCTGCACCATAGGTTGCTTTAAGGCCTTTATTTTTTCTGGTAGTCCTTTTTTTTTTTTTTTTTTTTTTCACTACAGACTGACAAAGTGGAGATAGAGAAGACCAGCATTAGAACTCCAGGGTTCACCCACTCTTCTTGATAGTAATTGAGACAGCAAGTCAGATCATTTGTTTCAATTCCCAGACCTACTAGATCTATCATATACCAGCAGTTTGATACCATACTAACCCCCTCTGAGTCTCGTATTCTTATCTGAAAATTGGGGCTAATAATACTTAGCTTACTCAACAACTCGTTCATTTGTTCATTCAATCAATATTGTGGGAACTGCTCTGCATGCTGGGCTCATAACAGTGAAAAAGCAACATAGTCCCTTTCTCTTGCCCTTCAATATGAGAAACAGACTACAGTCTATTGTTCTATTCTGTGATAATACATCATAGAAAACTACTGGCTGCTGGGGAAACAGGAGCAGGATAATCTAGGTGAACTTGGGCACAGGCTGAATCCTAAAGGGGAAGGGCCATCCAGGTGAAGGGTGGAGTGGGAAGGAGCAAGTATTGTCAAGGGAGCAGAAGGGGTCCACAGAAATGTGCTGGGCATAGGGATTCGCATGCCCAAAGATCTAGATGACAAAGAGTATGGTGGTGAAGATTAATGAGATAATGAGATATGTATCACATCATGCCTGGCACTAGAACATGCTCGGCAAATGCCTCTTGCCCTTTTCTTTTAACAATATACCTATAGATTTTATTTCTCATCTCCAAGACCAGAAATGTCAGCATAAAATGGAAAAATATACATTAGTAATATGACTGTAAAATTATTGAAATCCATGTGCTTATTTATGATATTCTCAACAAGGCATATTTATTCATTGGAAAGGCGTGCATTTTATTTTTCAGATACATGAAAGAAAAGTATTGTAAATATATTTATGCATGTGTATTTTTTTTTTGCATGAAACAACTACTCTTCCTTGCCCATGAAAGGAAGAGTAGTTACTACCATCTGACTTCAGATTTTCATTGAATACAAATGTTATTGTTTGTTTTATAGGCTTTCATTATCTTCACACACCTTTCAATCTTTGATCCCAGGCTTTTCACATCAGAATTCTCCACTGAACTCGAGACTATATTGCAGAAGCTTTATGAAATATATACATAATAGGAAACCCGCTAGTACCCATTAGGGTACATTGCTCATAAAAGTAAGAATGAGAGCAATGACCTCCAATGCATATGTGTTTTTATTTTGTGTGGGTTTTTTGTAATGGACACACCAACAGAAAGCATATTCCACCTTTATTTAAAGCAATATTGGCCCATTTTGCACAAATTAATATTACCATTTCAACTGATTTGTTGTCTAGTTGTCTAGTAATTGAATACCAGTGTGAACAGAGACAAAACTAGGTAGAAACATCATGAGATATTTTGATAAGCACTTAGTATTTTTTCCAGATGTGTGCATAAGCACTGAGTATAACTTTTCCTTCTTTCCTTTTCTTTTCTTTTTTTAAGTATAATATTTCAGTGTTAATCACTTGTATTTGTCTAGTGCTTTGTCAGTCATAATGCACATCCTCATGTGTTTCTTCACAGTATATGCATGAGGAGGGTGGCTATTTCTTTTTATTATCATTCTCATTTTACAGTGACATAAATTTGTTCAAGGTTGTGTAGGTTCTAGGCTGGGTACGGTGGCTCATGCCTGTAGTCTCAGCACTTGGGAGGCCGAGGTGGGTGGATCTCCTGAGGACAGGAGTTCAAGACCAGCCTGGTCAACATGGTGAAACCCCATCTCTACTAAAATACAAAAATTAGACGGGTGTGGTGGTGGGCACCTTTAATCCCAGCTACTCAGGAGGCTGAGGCAGGAGAATTGTTTGAACCCAGGAGGCGGAGGTTGCAGTGAGCAGAGATCACGCCACTGCACTCCAGCCTGGGTGACAGAGCAAGACTCCATCTCAAAAACAAAACAACAAACAAACAAAAAACAAGATTGTGTAGGCTCCAAGTGACAAAGTCAAATGTCACTCCAAAAAATTCTGGGCTCTAGAAAATCTCTTCCAGATCTCTTCCAGTTCTGAATTTTGGTAGCATAAAAGCTCTGTGAGGACAGAGACCTTGCCTATTTGTTTCAGCATTGTATCCCCATTGTTTAGTATAATGCCTGGAAAGTCTAAAGAACTCGATCAACAGTCGTTTTGGGTTCAATTGAAGTCTGTAACCTATGTTTTCTTGTAACATCAAGAGTTGACGCTGAAGAGATTATATGTTGAGGAATGCTAAGCAGTTGGTGCCCAAGAAGGTAACAAACTAAACCCTATATAAGACCCAAGAATATATGGCATATATCTGTGCCAGAGCAGCAAAAACAGCACCCACAAGAGTGTAGTGATTCATGTCACAGACAAACATCACCACAGCTTGTGACTGGGGGTGGGGTGAAGAGGCTGTTGGGATATCCCCTGATTCCATTCTTGCTTCTTCCTTTCCCTAAAGATATCTCTACAGGATGCTGGAGCTCCAAGGGTCTTCTATAATTTGGTCTGAAAAATTCACTGGGTTTTTCCAGTCTGTTAATACTTCCTTCTTAAAGCTTTAGCTTCTCAAATTGGTACGCATTTAATTTAGTTGCAAAATTAGTTGCTTATTAGTATGACATATTAAACCAACAATTTACCCATAAATAGCCTGCTATAATTTACACAGCATTTTCCCAAGACAATCATTTTATAGATAAGGAAGGAAGATCAGGGGAGTTAAGTGTTTTTCCCCAGATCGTACAACTAATAATATGCTGCACCAAATTTAGGTCTTTTAACTCAAGATCTCCAAGTCATTCCAGTATGACACTTCCAATGTGACATTGGGGCTGCCTAACAAACAATCCATGAAAATAATGGACTATAAGAAAAGCAGGGATGCCTATTTGCTCCTGCTCAAAATCTTCTTTTATTCACTGTGAGTTCCATAAGCACAGCCCACTCTTTCCCGCTCCCCATTCCCAAATCTCTCCTGATTAGGCCTGCAGTGACTAATGGTTGTTGTAGCAATGTCTGTGAATTTTTAGGGTGGAGTTGGAGGACCTCATTTCTGAGCACTTTTCCCCGTAATCACCTTCATAAGAACATGGTCCAGATGTGCTCTCTCAATATATTAAAAATTAAGCTCATTGTGTTCTCTCCAAACTTTCTCTTTGTCTGTAGTCTTTAGCTCTGTCCATAACATGCTCACCTGCCTGGATGCCTCAGTAAGCAAACCAGAGGCCATCCTAAGCTTCTCTCCTCCACTTTCTTTCTCTCCACCATCCAATCTGTACAACTAGTTGAGTCTTCCTCTGGGGTGGTTCTTCAGTATACGTCTATATCCTGACCCTAAGGCCACTTTCAAGTCCCCATTGGATCTCATTTGGGTTTCTGCAATACAGTCGCCTAACTAGTCTCCCTGTCTTTCATTTCCCACCAGTCTCTAAAATGAGGAGTATAAGGGGAGATTCTGCTGTGTACATAGCGGAAGGAGCAAGGCTGGGATCCATCTAAAATGCCATATAACTTTTTTCAAGATCAAGCAACAGACAATGCCAGTATGTGTGCTTGTTTCTGTCCCCTCTTACCAACTTCCTCCCCACCTTATTCTCATCACATTTCCTTCAAAGAAACCACACTGTTGAACAACAGTTGGGCATTCTAAAGCAGGACTCTATGCTTGGTCACAAAAAATGGCATCCTGGCCTAGGCCAGAAGGAAGATCATAGACAGCAACACCTAACAGGAAGTTGACATGACCTCAAAACACACATTACACTTACATGCTGGGCAGGGGCTGAGGCTCCCCAGGATGCTTCTAAGCAGAGGTACCCAAAGAGTTTTTCTGCAGCCCCCTTAGGGACACACAATCTGCTTTGAATCTTTGTTACTCTTTCTTTGTTCACAGTCCCCTGCTCTCTGAGGTGCTATTCCACAGCAGGGACCAAGTGATGAGAAAGGACCACTAGGTTTTGGAACCAGAGGCCCCTGGTGATCATGGTTAATTCTCTTCACCTCTTGGATCAGTTTTCTCACCTGTTAAGTGACATTCACCAAACTCTCCTCATGGGTCACATTGAGAACTGAGAATCCCATAACATATTGAGGTTGATGTCTGAGAGGGTGAGGACATTGGTTTTGTAGTCAGAAGAACTGGAGTTTAGGTCCAAGGTGTAATATTCACTATCTAATGTAGGCCCAGTCAGTGAGCCTCTCTAAACCTCTGCATCTTCATCTGTTAAATGTGATTAAGACTATGTCTCTCATACAGGGCTGTTGTCGGGGTCAGGTGAGACAATGCCTATGAATCATAAATTACAAGACATATCTAATGTTATAATATTATTCTAGTTGTTATGGAGTGCTTTCTAGCAGGTAGATGTTATATCATGGCAGAATTCTCTTTACAGCCTAACTCAGCATCTTGCTTGTTAGAGGTGCTCACTGTATATTTGTTGTCTGGGATTCATCACACTGAGTCTCTTGACCCTGCCTGCTTGGGGAGAGCATGCCTCCAGGGTATATGTGATGCAGAGTTGGAAAATCCCAGTGAAAGGGATCCTGGCTTGTCTGGAGGTGGCCTGTTGCTGTGGGTGGTCAAGACACCAAACAGTGGTGCAAGAACTACAAGACGAGAGAGATCCTTCCAGGTGGGGAGCACTTACAGAATACCTAGGAGCATTTTGGTTAGATTGCCTGTTTACATGTGAGGGTACTCACACATGTTTCTGGTGTGTGTGTATGTGTGTGTGCATGTGAAGAACAGAGAACATTGGTCTCTTTGACCCACCAACCTTCTGCAGCCAAGTCAGCCATGCCTTCAGTGGAGCTGGGGAAGAATAGAAAGAGTGCTGTACTGGCATCACAAAGCCTGTGCTTTATCCTGGCTCTGCTGTGCCTCTTCTAGGCAGAGCCTCAGTCGCATACTTTGTTTCCCTAAGTCTAACCTTCCTATTCTATAGAACCCAAATTGCCTCACAGATGTCTGCACAGATCACAGCAGGTGTTAAGGAGCAGAAAGCTCTCTGGGAAATGAGAGTCCCCTTCTTGCTACAGGGACACTGAAGCACAAGGAAGACCACTGTCCCCAAAAGCCAGGATCCATTTCTACCTGTAGCACCACTGGCAGCACCTGCTGTTGGAAAGATCTTCTTCCACAATTTCTGAGAACTGTGCTCTACCATGCCATTACAGGGACTCACTGAATACTAAAAACTCTCAATTGTTCATGGATCAAAAGTAAATGAATAGGACACTGTAACCTAAAGGCAAGGATAAGAAAACTGGGATTTAAATGTGCTGGGACTGTAAAAACAAAAATGCTAAGGAGTAAAGCTTTACCTAGTAATGAAAATAAACCAGGAGAAAGAGCACCACACCAGAGCTTAGAAAGCTTCTGTTCTTTCCTGCTCTCCCCAGTTGTTCCCTGAAGACCAGGCCATGTCTTCCTCATAATTGCATATTACTGTGCCTGGCACATACTAGAAAGCTATTTAAAATTATGTACTTGTTAGCATATTGACATGATAATATGTTCACAATGTATCATAGTGAGTTATAACAGCAGTATGGGCAGTGTGTATACATTTCTGTAAAGAAGACTGGAAACTGATAAATATCATTATGTCTGCATGATATAATTCAAAGTTATATTAGTTTTCTTCTTTTTAATTTCTAATCTGTAATTTTCTACATACAGCATATGTTAGTTGTGTAATCAAAGTTTAAAATGTACATATAAATATGTAACTAAACAGTTGATCCTTGAACAATGTGAGGATTAAGGGTGCTGATGCCCTGTGGTCAAAATTCCATGTATAACTTTTAACTCCCACAAAATTTAACTACTAGGAGCCTATTGTTGACAGAAAGCCTTACTGATGACATAAACGGTCAATTAACACACATTTTGTATGTTATATGTATTATATACTATATTCTTACAATAAAGTAAGCTAGATACAAGAAAATGTTAGTAAGAAAATCATAAGAAAAAGAAAACATGTTTACTATTTATTAAGTGGAAGTGGATCACCATAAAGATCTTCATCCCCATCATCTTCACATGAGTAGGCTAGGAAGGAGGAGGAAGAGGAGGGATTGGTCTTGTCTCAGTAGTGGCAGAGGTGGAAGAAGTGGCAGGAGAGACAGGAGAGGCAGGCACTCTGGGTGTAACTTTTACTGAAAAAAAATTGGCATATAAGTGGACCCATAGAGTTCAATCCTGTGTTATTCAAGGAGCAACTGTATTTTTTAGTACATCCTTTAGCTTTTTATTTCCTTTTGGACTTTCACAGTAAGTTACAAAAATAGGGATTTGGGAGTTTGAGAAAGAACGAGATGTTAATTCCTGTAAAAATTAAAGTGTTTGTAAATATTGTCATCAGAAGCAATAATGGAGGTTGTTTTTGCTCCCAATGACATACAAAGCACCACTAAATGTGAGACACTAGCATGTAGTAGGGACTCTGAAAGAGTTCATACTGTCTAACCTGTTAATTCCAATCACATTGAAAACAACTCATATATGGAGACTTGGCTCACCAAACTCAAGATATCTACATGCTGGATCACTATATTGGTATAAAGATATTTTTTAGGTTTTAAAATGTCAAGTGTACACATGTCATTTTATAGAAATGTTCATATAAAATAATGCTGTGTCCTGTATATATCTACTTATAATTCTGTGAAAATTTATGTTTATTAAGAAATATAAAAACTCAAGCAATGTAAAATAGAAGTTACTTATAAGTTATTTATTTTGTAGTATCACTTAGTTTTATCATTTTTATTGAAACCAAGTAGAAAATATAAATGCTTGCACATCAATAATTGAAATACTTTCCAAGAGTTCCTCAAAATTTCAGACAGTTGTAGCAGAAGGTGATAATGAAGCAAACATTCATAGACTACACTATTGCTGGGAGTGTAAACAGATCTATGTTCTCTATGCATGACTTGGATATACATATGTCAAATTTTAGAAGTGTCATTCACTTAGTTCCATCAATTCTATGTTAAGAATCTCATTCGGCCAGGCGCGGTGGCTCACGCCTGTAATCCCAGCGCTTTGGGAGGCCGAGGTGGGCAGATCATGAGGTCAGGAGATCGAAACCATCCTGGCTAACACAGTGAAACCCCATCTCTACTAAAAATACAAAAATTAGCCAGGCATGGTCGCACGCACCTGTAGTCCCAGCTACTCAGGAGGCTGAGGCAGGAGAATTGCTGGAACCCAGGAGGCGGAGGTTGCAGTGAGCCAAGGTTGCGCCACTGCACTCCAGCCTGGGTGACAGAGCGAGACTCCATCTCAAAACAAAACAAAACAAAACAAAAATCCCTACAAGGAGAACTATAAAACACTGCTGGAAGAAATCCTAGATGACACAAACAAATGGAAAAACAGTTCATGCTCATAGACTGAAAGAATAAATATTGTCACAATGGCCATACTGTCCAAAACAACCTACAGATTCAATGATATTCCTATCAAGCTACTAATGTCATTTCTCACAGAACTAGAAAAAACTATTCTAAAACTCTTATGGAACCAAAAAAGAGCATGAATAGCCAAAATAGTCCTAAGCAAAAAGAACAAAGCCAAAGGAATCACATTACCCAACTTCAAACTATACTATTCAGGTGAAATATTTGGATCATTAAGAAAAAAAGAAGGAGAAGAAGAACAAACTATGCTATAAGGCTAGAGTAACCAAAACAACATGGTACTGGTACAAAAATAGAAACATAGACCAATGGAACAGCATAGAAAAACCAAGAAATAAAGCCACACATACAGCCATCTGATCTTCAACAAAGTTGACAAAAATAAACAATGGGGAAATGATGTCCTATTCAATAAATAGAACAGCGATAGCTTGCTAGCCATATGCAGGAGAACGAAACTGGACCCCTAGCTTTCACCATAAACAAAAATTAACTCAAGATTAATTAAGGGCTTAAATGTAAGGCATCAAACTATAGGAATCCTAGAAGAAAACCTACGAAACGCCATTCTGGATATTGCCTTTGGGAAAAAATTTATGACTAAGTATCCAAAAACAATTGCAACAAAAACAAAAATAGACAACTGGGACCTAATTAAACTAAAGAGCTTCTGCACAGCAAAAGAGGCTATCAACAGAGTAAACAGACAACCTATAGAATGGGAGAAAATATTTGCAAACTATGCATCCAACAAAGGTCTAATCTAGAATCTATAAGGAACTCAAACAATTCCACAAGCAAAAAACAACCTCATTTAAAAAAATAGACAAAAGCTATGAACCGTAACTTCTCAAAAGAAGACACACAAATGACCAACAAACATGAAAAAATGCTCAAGTTCACTAATCATCAGAGAAATGCAAATCAAAACCACAATGAGATACCATTTCACACCAGTCAGAATGGTTATTATTAAAAAGTCAAAAAACAACAGATGCTCTCAAGACTGGAGAAAAGAGAATGCTAGAACACTGTTAGTGGAAACGTACGTAGTTCAGCCAATGTGAAAAGCAGATTGGAGATTTCTCAAAGAACTTAAAACAGAATTACCATTTGACCCAGCAATCCCATTACTAGGGATACATCCAAGAGAAAATAAATTGTTCTACCAAAAAGACACATGTACCTGTCTGTTCATCATGCACTCTTCACAATAGCAAAGATAAAGAATTAACCTAGGTGCCCATCAGTCGTGGATTGGATAAAGAAAATGTGGTACACATATGACATGGAATACTATACAGCCATAAAAAGAATGAAATCATATCCTTTGCAGCAACGTGGATGCAGCTGGAGGCCATTATCCTGGGTGAATTAACACTGAAACAGAAAATCAAATACCACATGTTTTCATCCATAAGTGGGAGCTAAACAGGGGACACTCATGGACACAAAGATGGCAACAAAAGACACTGGGGACTACTAGAGGGGAAAGGAGGGGGGAAGGGTTAAAAAATTGTTGGGCACTATGCCCAGTACCTGGGTGAAAGGATCAGTCATACTCCAAACCTCAGCATCACACAGTATATCCAAGTAACAAACCTGCACATTTACCCCCTGAATCTAAAATAAAAGTTGAAATTATGTTTAAAAAATTCACTCAGGAATAACCAGAGACCCAAAGACATTTATCTCATTATGATTTGTGATGGGAAATAAGAGAAGTTACCAAAGTGTCCAATAGTAAGAAACACATTGACTCACTATAGTCATAGGGTGAAATAACTAGGCAGCCACTAAGAACATTTCATAGTGGAAGAGTATTTAATATTATGAAAAAGAGTTTCATTAAAACATACAAACAGCCGGGCGCAGTGGATGACGCCTGTAATCTCACCACTTTGGGAGGCTGAGGCAGGTGGATCACTTGAGGTCAGAAGTTCAAGACCAGCCTGGCCAACACAGTGAAACCCTGTCTCTACTAAAATACAAAAAAATTAGCTGGGCATGGTGGCGGGTGCCTGTAGTCCCCAGCTACCCAGGAAGCTGAGGCAGGAGAATTGCTTGAACCTGTGAGGCAGAGGTTGCAGTGAACTGAGATAGCTCCATTGCACTCCAGCCTGGGTGACAGAGTGAGACTTCGTCTCAAAACAAACAAACAAACAAACAACAAAAAAAATACAAGCATTAGACTACCAAATAGAACATGCCATGTAATTACACTTTTTAGAAAAGTGAAAATCAAAATATTGACAAAGGTTTTTTCTAGGTGGTAGAATTATGAGTAATTTAATTCTTTTTTTAATTTCCAAATTTTCTATAATAAATATATAGTATTTTCCAGTTAATGAGCATTAAAAATGGGTAGCAGCCAAAAGTTCTGAGGTAGACTATTTTTTTGTTAAGTTGAAGACAGAAATTTCATCCCCCATATCCAAATCCTTTTGACTCTACCTGCCAAACATTTCTTCTCCTCACTAACACTTCCCATGCCCCCATAAGATACAGAAAAATTCCTCAGCCTGATCCTGTTGCTTCCTGGATGGAAAGCCTTTCCTCTGGGCCTCCTCTCTAGTCTGCTAGTATCAGTCTGGAATTGGAGGGTCTATCTTCACAGGCCCTCAGTTTCCTCATCTTGAAACGAAAGCTTGAACTTGATAAATTCAGAGGTCCAATCCAAGTCTGGTCATGAATAAAAGCCATGAATTCGATTTTTACAAGCTTTTCTCATCATTGGCTTATATGGAACATCTACATAATATTGATAGCAGATATTGATGATGCAGTGAATGTTTTATGGGTTTTCTCCTTTTTTTTTTTTTTTTTTTTTTTGAGACAGATTCTTGCCCGATCGCCCAGGCTGGAATGCAGTGGTGTGATCTCAGCTCACTGTAACCTCCACCTCTCCCAGGTTCAAGCAATTCTCCTGCCCCAGCCTCCTGAGTAGCGGGGATTACAGGTGCATGCCACCACACCCAGGTAATTTTTTGTATCTTTAGTAGAGACGAGGTTTCACCATGTTGACCAGGCTTGTCTTGAACTCCTGACCTCGCGATCCACCCACCTCGGCCTCCCAAAGTGCTGAGATTACAGGCGTGAGCCACCGCGCCTGGCTGGTTTTCTCCTCTTGTGTAGAACACTTCAAGTGGCACGAAGCCTCTCAACCTTCCAGACCAGCCTCCCTTCTGTGTCCTAGAAGAGCAAGACAGGCATTTGATGTTGCGTTGTAGCATTGATTTTTATTTCTAACCATTTTTTTCTATGTACTTTTTGTTGTATATTTTATCTTTTGTTTTTTATTTTATCTTTTGTTTTTTGCTTATTCTTTTTTATTTGTGTGTGTATGTGTGTTTATTTTTGATGTATTACACATAAGATGAAGGCTTTAAATTTTCCTGTATGTAGAGAGGAATAAGGAAAGCCCAATATCATGTTGAACAACATGATACTCTGATTTGAAATCCAAACTTGATTTTTTATTCTAGTCTGATATTTAGAAGTTGATAGCCACATTAAAAATTATGAGTCCCAGCCCACATTACGATACATGAACTGTTGTTTTGAAGTCATGTTTCATCATTCACATAAAAATGAGGTGTTAAACACTAATTGCATACCTGGCACCTGTGTGGGAACTCTTCCCTCCAGACAATCTCAGCCCTCCACTCAGGGAGACCCACAGGAGAGAGCTCCACCCAGGGTGGGGCATCAGCTTGGGCTAGGGAGAAAAGCAGGCTCATCCAGTGGTGTGAGGCAGTGTTAGTATCTACAGCTCCCAGAGAGCATACTGATGGCTTTCAGGTGATGTATAACTAAAATGTAAGCGGGTCTCTTGTCCACTAACAAGGCATCGACTACGGAGCATTTACAACCTCAACTTCCAGTCTGGAAAGCATGTCATTCAGGGTACGATAGGACCCTAGACCAAAGCTTCCATTTCCATCAACCCTCTTCAACTTTGTAGAAAAGTCATTTTCTCTTCAAGCTTAGTAGATAGATCTTTCCTTCACAGATGAGACATGCTCCTTCAAGAGCTCACCTAGGGAGGGTGAGGGCGTTAGCTCTGGGGCCAGGCTGTCTGTTTCTGAATCCTGGATTCTCTCCTTCCTAGTCGTGAAAGCATGGGCAAGTCTTTTAACTTGTCTGGTCCTCAGTTGAGTTGCCTTATCTATAAAATGGGAAGAAAAATAACAACTCTGACCTCATTAGGTTGTTGTGAGGATTAAATAGTGCTGAGAATAGTGCCTGACACAAAGTAAGCCTGCAATACATGTCAGCTATCCCCATCAGTGAGAGAAACACTTGTCAATCATGAAAGTACAGCATGGTGTGATATACGCTTTAATAGAGTTGTGTGGCTGGGAAATGATTAATTCTGAGGGATTCACAGAAGACTCCTGATCCAGTTAGTGTTCTATCAGACAAGCAGAACCACTTTGTATGATATAGGACCAGAAATTTATTGTCGGACCTTACTGAGTACAACTGTAGGAAATGGCTAATCAGTATATGTGAGGCTGTTGCTTCTGAGTTTGTGCTGGACTTTAAGGGTAGGCAGTGGAGAAAGAGAAATAGCAGTGGAGGAGGAGAGAGCAATGATGGTCTGGACCTTGCCAGGCACACTACAGCCTATTCCTGTCTCTCACAATATGTGGTGTCCTGCACCAACCTTCTAAATATTAAAACAGTAGCTTCACTTCTATATTTCAAATATCATGCAAAATCTCTTGTGGCCAAAGCTAATATGGAACTATGCAGGGAAGGGGGTCTGAGAAATGTAGCTCCATCTTATCTAAGTTGACCCAGCATAAATTAACCACATCTCCACAAAGGAAGCAATGGAATGGGTTCTAAAAGAGTAATTGTTTGCTATGAGGACAAATGAGAGGATATTCCGGATTCAGGGAAGGTAGTGTGCAGAGCTATGAAAAAGTCTGCTGCATTCAGGACATTCATAGTGGCTGCAGCATAGGCATTTTGCTACTAGGCGATGGAATTAGCCCAACATAACCATGAGCCATGGTAGCTAGAGGAAGCACAGATCCACCTATCCATTGAATCACATTTTTTCATTAACAAAGACTGGCTTCTTTTTCTTCTCGGCTAATGTCTTTCCCATTACCAAGGCAATTAAACAATAGCAGTGAAAGGAGCATTGAGCCTGGAGCCAGGAGACCTGGGTTTTAATTCCAGCCTTGCCCCATGCTCTGTTGGTGACTTTAGATGATTTTTTCACTCTCTGAACCTCAGTAACCTCATCTCTAAAGGAGAGATTGGAACAGAAGTGACAACTAAATCTCTAGTGTCACTTCCAACTTTAACATTATCTGGTTCTTGGCAATTATAGCATGACAAAAGGGGTACAGTAATTTTCATTCTGGTGAAAGCCCAAACAGAAAATGCAGGACTTTCTGTCATATCACTTCACTTTTATTTCTAGACCTTGGAAGCTGGTAAAATGGAGCTGCCCATGGTTGTTCCTGGAGTCTAGGCCTGGCCTAGATTAGGTGTCCAAGGTCAGCTCAAGGCTAAATCTTATTTGTCTTGGAAGCATTAGTCTTTCACTGTGCTGGAATCATCCAAGGCTGTCAAGAAATGTTGGATGAATGAACATACGGGATCTGGTCCTGGATTGGTCTATAGGCTTAGAAATTGTTTGTATGGATGACTTTGAGGGGACCTTATACACACTTCCCCTCTTAGGGGAGACTCTGAATCAGAAACAGTTTCTTCAAGTCTGCTCTAATATTGCCCTATATCTCTAGGAGGATTACAGGATTGAATAAATAGGGAGTGGGTCAAGACAAAGGTCTAGTGCATATGTGAAATTATGCAAATTCCAAACAAGAAATGGCCACCTGGCCCTAGATCTTATGGACATACTAATAAATATTTCTGAATGGAATAATTCTAGACATAGGTATCTATCCCTCCTAAATTACTGGGGGAAAGTCAGACTAATGCCTCAAACTTTTTGGTCTGTTTTCAAAGATGTTCAAATGTTGCATCCCAGGGAAGCCGTGGTGGTGTTCTTTGTCACGTCCAATAAAATGTTCTTATGGAACATTTAATTTTCTTTTCTTATGGAAAAACACTTTTGCTAACAAACAAGGCAGTATTATTTTATGTATGCAACCTGTAATTGTGGGAAACATCAGCTTTGGAGTCAAGAAAGCTGGTTTCAACTCTGGGCTTTATTGCTTAATAGTTGTGTACGTAGCGGATGAATTATTTCATCATTGAATCTCAGTTTCTTCATCTATACAAAGGGCGTGATAACACTGTTCATAGATCTTAAAACAGATGGTACATATAAACTGCATGGCATATGGTAAGTTTTCCATAAATACCATTTATTTTTCTTATTATTTTTCAAAAAGTAAAAATAATAAAGATATCATATTTCTGAGTTCTCTCATTGTCTGTTATTAGTTTGTTGTGTTATATGATTGTCCTTGCAAGCAGACAAGTACTGCAATCACCAAGAGCTTGAAAATAATTTAAGAAAAAAAAAAGTATTGTTACTACTATTATTATTTGCACACAAATTGCTAAGACACTTCCAATTTTGGAGGCAAAACCCAGAATTCTGAGGGTGTATCATTGTGGCAATCTCTGGCTTTGCACAATCATATTTTAGACATTAAATAGCTCTGAACCTTGTATTCTAGATCCATAGGCCACAGCAAGCTGAAAGGTTCTTAGAGGCCATCCTGAAAAGCCCTTCTATGGGTGAAGAAACTGAGACTCAGAGACAGAAGTGGCTTGCCCAAGATCTCCCACATGATTAGAGACAGTGTGAAGACTGGAATTTGTATCTTCCGATTCCTCATCCAGTAACAGCTTGTTGCCCCAGAGCCTTTGCTGACTCACCATGTAATCTTGGAAAATTCCCCTGACTTCTGTTTACTGGTCTTTCCATGAAACAAAAGATGGCGAGGATATCTCATGATCCATACCTCATGCAGATGTCAGTGGATTTGTTAGGACTAGGCTGCAATACACATTCGGCTCTGTAGAACTGGGCACAATCCATTAATAATTCATAAAAGACACCTAAGTATTACAAAGGGAAGTGGTTTGTCATTGTCAGATGGAAGGAACCTCCTTTCACGTGGTGGGGCAATTCAATGTTTTGCAGTCCATAGTGTACCCAGTGACCCTGCCTGAAGTCACTCAACCTCTCTCAGACCCACTGTACTCAACTGGAAACTGAAGATATGGCCAGAGTATCATTAAGTTTTCTTCTAGCCCTAATATTCTCATACTTTATCAGTTACTTCAATTTAGAACCCCATCATGGACTAACTGTACTTCCCAATAATAAGGATCCATAGCAGCTGAGAGTCACCAGCAAGAAAATCAAAGCAGCTAATGAGAATGAAATTGAAAGTAGGAAAGGAGTATAGATTTCTCTTTAAGCGTTGCCTATCTGGTCTAGAAATGTTACCATGTAAAGATACACTAAGATCTCTTAACATTGAGTAAGATTTCCAGTCAATGTTTCAGAAGCATTCCAGGTTTCCTGTCTCTCTTCTGTCGTGGGGTGAGCATCTTTCTATGGACTCAATCTATGGCCATGTATTGACAAGCTGTAATGAAAAGCCCGGATACGTGGATCCAGGCCAGGATTTAGGGCCAATTTTTTTTTGGCTTTATTTAATCTCACTTTCTCTGGGTATAAAAGACAGCATGGAAGAGAGCTATAATGCCTGGCCGGGGAGTTGCAGAGGCCTATTGTTGGCTGGCTATTTTAGCCTTGGCCTTGCTATTTCCACTGAACCTCCATTTCCTCCTCTGTAAGACAAAGGGGTTGGTTAGATGCTCTTTACAGTTCATTTAAATGCTAGCCTTCCACTTTTTGGCTCTCCTGGGTTTTCAGAGCAGAGTCTCTGAAGGAAGCATCCTTGACCAAGTTTCGTTTCACAGCCCAGAGATCTCCATTCCTGTTCCCTCAGGGGCTTGGGCACAGGAATTGGGTTGAATCCATTTGCAACTGAAATCTGTTCACTGTAATAAGTATTTGTGTTCCAATAATTTTCTAACAGCTTGTAATAAATAAAGCCAAAGGCATTCCTCAAGGAACTGCAATTAAAGATGCATCCATGGTAGGGGGTGGAGGTAGCAGGGGATCTGGAGGAGGGAGACGAGGCTTTCTCTTGAAATCCTGCTAAGGACAAGCAGCCACAGCTCTGGTACCATAAAACTGCTGAACTGACAACGCTTTAATGGCATCACCTCTCACTAGTCTCAGTTTAATATGTTCCCTGAAGGAATCCTTCGTCTGTGGAGACAGGCATAAGCTGACACATTCATAGAGAGTCTTCTTGAAAATGAGCCTAATGAGTTTACTGTCACTTCAGACGGGTTGGAAAGTAATCTGTGGATGAAAGAGTTAAATTTCACCAGCTTGAGCTGTGCAGTGGGCAAGCCCCAGCTGAACATTTGAGGAGTGAACACGCAGAGATAGGCAAAGTTCTTCAGGTTCAAAGGCTTGTTTGGGAAAAGAATCCAAAAAGTTCAGATGCTTTTGCTGAAGCTTATCTGATTTATTCAAGCTGGGGATGGGAGAATGCAGAGGCATTTGTGGAGCTAACCAAACATAAGATGTGTTCTTGCTTTGCACTTTCTGCCTTAGCTTTTCGGCTTATGTGTGTTTTGAGGGGAAATCTAATCCACATGTTTCAGATCCTTGGTATTGGAATGCATGAAGGTGCTGGCTGGTCGTAGGGCAGCTCAAATGACTAGGTGATAAGTAAGCAGTATGGAGATCATCTGGGCAGAAATACACCAAAGAACGGAGAAGATCAGTCATTTCCCCAAGTACTGCTATTCCCTGGGGCCTTGTCATCACCTGGTAGGAGGAGGGACCATGCTGGAGTGTGCATGGGAGGTTTTCACAGCCAGGCCTGGAAGTGGCACAATCACTATTCATTGAGGCAGAGAACAAGGCTGAAAAATGCGGGGGTTCAGGAAAAAGAAGCAAAGTGACAGGACACCATATAGTCTGTGATCCCGTGCACAGCTTAGGGGACATGCATAAAAACCTGAATTTAGAATTAGAACACACAAGCTTGAATACTTGAGCAACCATAGCCTCAGTTTCCTCACCTGTGAAATGGATATTTTGATCAAGAATCCCTGCTTCATGCGGTTGAGAAGACTAAATGAAATAATGGTGATGAAAGTTTTTGGTTCTGTGCTTGGTGCAAAAAAAAATGCACTGAATAAATATTTATTTTTTATTGTTTAATTTAAGTTAGATTTAATGCAAATCCTGGTTCCTTTGTGTGTTCCCCAAACTGGTTTACCCTGTCTCCAACCCAAAAATTCTCATTGTCACTCTGAGAGCAGCAAGAAGTACATTCTCTCTGGAAAACAATATAAATTGGCTCACATATTTTTTTCCACGCTAAACAGCATGATTTCAAAATGCTGGAAAAAGCCAGAGCCAAAGTAAATTCCCCCAACCTTTCTCTCTCTCTCTCTCTCTCTCTCTCACACACACACACACACACACGTGAACTTTTAAACCTTGCAAATCAGACAAGTGAAAAAAAAAAAGAAAGAAAGAAAGAAAGAAAGAAAAAGCCCAGCCTTCCATTGCTTCACATCGTATATATATCGAGTTCACTTCACAAACACAAGGTGCACTGTCAGAAGTGCCTTCGGCAAAGTTTGTACTTTGCTTGAATTCTAACTTTTGTTTACCAAGGTAATAAACCAGTCCTCTGCTGCACCAGGTGTAAAGCTATTATGAAAAGGCATATTTGTATTTCACCCCACCTCAGATGTACGGTATGTGGGACATCCTGCACTGTAAGAGCAGCCTGGATTTATTTACAGAGAGAGGCGCTCAAGCACAGAGAGGAGTGTCTCCAGGCTGGTAAAGGCTGAACCCCTGTGAAGAACTGGTCATCTAATCTTCCTCTTTTCTTTCGGCCACCTGCCCCTTCAGGCAACAGCGCCTTCCCTCTTTGCAGCGACAAATCATCCAGCCTGCCAGCAACCCTCCAGGGGCCTTTGCAGTCTCTGTGTAGGCAAGTTACGTCTTCCTGAGTTTTTTGTCCTACATTTTCAACCAATCTATTATTGACAAGCCTTGTACAGCCAGATTACAGTAGGCAAATGCAGCAGCTGAGGAAACGTCTCCTACCCTGTGCCTGAAAATCTCCACAAGCTTTTCTTCCCCTTCCTTCACAGGACCTGGTCATACCCTGATGGGCTATCTGAGGCCTGGGATGGGTGGGAGGAAACTTTCACCCAAATCTCTGAGCTAAATGGCCCGGAACTCACTCTAAATCATCTACTGAAATCCTGGCACAGAAAGGAGGAAAGAATGTATGGAAAAGGGCAGACTTAGAATGCCAGGGCCATTAGCCCGGGCAAGTAGAAGAGCTGCAAAGGGGGTCCCTGCGCTGTTGTTGATTCCAGGAGAGTCTGGCAGACCACCCAGAAACTTGCATAAGGCACACAGCAGCAGCAGTGGCATCCCAGCTCAACACGTCGGCTGCATGACACAGGCAATTTTCTCAGTCCTCGGCTGGAGCCTGGAGCCTCCCATTTGTCTTCTGGGAGGTAATTCCAATTTCTTCAGAACTTTGAGTTCTCATATTTCCTAAGCCCCTAGTAGGTGCAGAAGATTCAGCCAGGGCACTAGCCCATCTTAGGCACTCAATAAGTATTCTTAAACAATGAATTGGGCCGGGCGCAGTGGCTCACACCTGTAATCCCAGCACTTTGGGAGGCCGAGGTGGGTGGATCACTTGAAGTTAGGAGTTTGAGACCAGCCTGGACAACATGGTGAAATCCCATCTCTACTAAAAATACAAAAATTAGCTGGGCATGGTGGTGGGCACCTGTAATCCCAGCTACTCAGGAGGCTGAGGCAGGAGAATGGCTGGAACCCAGGAGGGGGAGGTTGACGTGAGCTGAGATCACACCACCACACTCCAGCCTGGGTGACAGAGTGATAATCCCTCTCAAAAAAAACAAAACAATGAATGAATTCTAGCTTTATCACTTTAAAAAGTAAAATCTTGAGCAAAGATCCCTTTGTGAACTCATATTTATTATGTCTAAAATGGGAATTATAAAAGTTATTACATTTCAGAATTGTTGTTACAAATAAGAAGCAGGTGAAGAGCCCTTGGTAAGCTTGCAAGAACTGCACCAACATTGGTGGTCACAGGCATGTCTAACACCTCCTCATGCTCGTGCATCTTGACCATGCTTTGCCAGTCATTGTCTCCCTTACATTGCCTGGAAACTCAATGCAACACACATCCATTGAATGACTACTGAGGTTTAGGTACAGTGGAAAGCACAGAGTGTATAGAGATTGATAAAACATCCTTGTCCTCAGGGAGCTTAGTAAATGAAGAACGAGTGTTGGGAAAAGACATTTCATCACTGAACACATCATTATTAAGTGTGTAATAGTCAGTCATTCAATCACTGTTCATTGAGGGCTAATTATGGACCAGGTACTGCTCTTGGCATTGGGCATTGTTTTAGTTAGGGTAGCCTCATGTAATGAGTCAACACAGAACTTATTTCTTGCTCACATAACAGTCTTGGAGGAGAATGTAGGTTGCTGGGGCAACTCTCCTTCACTTAGTCATTCAAGAGGCCAGGTTTCTTTCATCTCGTCCCTCTACTACTCCCTGAGGCCTTGTCATCATCTGGTAGGAGGGGGGACCATGCTGGAGTGTGCATGGGAGGTTTTCACAGCCAGGCCTGGAAGTGGCACATATATTTCTACACATGTTCCATTAGCTGGAACTCAGTCACACCTAACTACAAAGGAATCTGAAATGAGCCCTGCTCTATTTTCAAGAAAAAGAAAGATTTTGGTGAACATCTAACTGACTGATACAAGGATATAGCAAATATTAAGATCATGCTCCTATCCTCAAGGGGCTTACAGGTTTGGGAAGGTTATGCTACATAAATAAACACATAACCAAAATCATCTCAGGTATCATGAGGAAAATAAAATAAGGAAATGTGACTGTCATTTAAGCTGAAGGGGGCCTTTCTTAGATGGAGTAAGTGGTCGCCTAACTAAATAACAGTCGAGCTGACATCCAAATGGTGAACAGTTATCAGTTAAGAGAAAGACAAGAGGAGAGGAGTCCAGCAGAAGCTACAAGTGCAGGGCCCTGAGATGGGACGTGCCTGGGATATTGAGAGCAAAGCAAAGGCCAGTGTGGTGTGTGAATGAGGGCAGGACACACAGAATGAGAGTGGGAAGCTAGGGAAGGGCCACATGATGAAGGGCCTTAGAAATCATGGTAAAAACTTGGATTTTAAACAATAAGTTATATTTCAAGATTCATGGAGACCAACACAGAGAAGGAATAGATACCAGTCTGGCAGGAGGGGGAACCATGCTGGAGTGTGCATGGGAGGTTTTCACAGCCAGGCCTGGAAGTGGCACATATATTTCCACTCATGTTCCGTTAGCTGGAACTCAGTCACACCTAACTACAAAGGAATGAATGAATCTATCCTCGGATTCATTAGTCCATTCATTGCTCTTCCCTCAACCACAGAGGGATGACCCTTGTGTATCCCAAGTACCCACATCAGCTGGCTTCCCCTGGGCACAGCCAGTGGGAGACATTGTCAGGAGACAGAGGGGCAGGAGGCAGGAAGAAGCTGGGTTTATTTCTCTCCCTTTCTGCCTCTGCCAGCACCTCTGGCTCGTTCTATCCCCACCCATAGCTCCAGCTTCTACTGGACAGGCCCACCGTGGTCCAGTTTCTACCAGGTGACCCTGGCTTCTGGATTCCAGTAACATGACCTCCTTTCTTTATCTCTCTGGCCTAGTCTAGCAGCACCAGCGTAATAACTTCTGCTATTGCTAATGTCTGGGTTAGCTTCTTAACTTCTTCCACCACCTGTGTCGCCAGTGACCTACATTAAACTCGTTCTGCTCAGACACTTAGAGTAGCTTTAGTTTCCCTAGTGGGACCCTGATGACTGATACAAGGTACAAATCCCTTGCTGTGAGAATGCCCTCTCAGCACCAGGTATCAGGCCTGGCACATAGGAGGTCTACAGTGAATGTGTTGCTGCTGGCTGCAACAATACAAATTTATTCTCTTGCAGTTCTGGAGGTCGGAAATCTACAATGGATTTCACTGGACTAAAATCAACAAATCCGTAGGGAACAATCTGTTTTCCTGCCTTTTCCAGATTGTAAAGGCTGCCTGTACTCCTTGGCTCCTGGCCCCTTCCTCCATCCCCCAAGCCAGCAATGGCAGTTCGAGTCTTTCTCAAGATACCACCACTCTAGTTCTGACTCTTCTACTTCTGCTTCCCTCTTTCCTACTTATGGGTCTTTGTGATTACACTGGGGCCACATGAATAACCCTAGATAATTTTCCTGTTTTATGGTCAGCTGCAGCAAGCTTAATTTCATCTGCAACCTTAATGCTCCCTTGCCATGTAATATAACATATTCACAAGTTCAGGGCATTAGGACACGGACAGGACATGGACATTTTTGTAGGGCCAATATTCTGCCTACAGAATAGTGTCTGAGTAAATAAGTCAGAATGGGAGAGGGGAGGCTATGAGGGCTTGCTAAGGAGACAACAGCAGAATGCCTTATACTGCATGTAGTAAGAACTCAATGCCTGTGAGTTGAAATGAACATAGAGGCATAGAGGTACTTTGAAGAGGGCAATTGGGTCCCCTGGTTTAGAGGTTCTTTCTAGGATGCTTGAAGCACGGCTCGCAGTTTCACACCTCTGAGAGTGTACTCTTGTCTGCTTCGCCTGGAAGGCAATGCTGGGACACAGCTCCTGTTAGTCTCTCACCCAGGATGGCACGTAGGTTTCTTGTTTTCCCAAAGAAAGGTTCCCTTCGGAGAGGGGAGTGGGTGAAGGCAAACTGTTGGCTGCAGCACGTGAGGCCCATCAGTTCCAATTCAGGGACAACTGGAGTTGATGCAGGCGTTCCATCCAAATGTAATCAAACGCCTCCTGTTGCCAGACGATGTGCTATTCAGTGGGGGGCTGGTGAGGGTTGTTGTGAATCCGAGATGCCTTCTGTAACTTTATCAGATGGGTACTGGGAGGAGAGGAAGGAGAGCAGACAGGGAAATTCACTTCACTGGTAAATAAACTTCCAAACTAGCAGATTCCTGAAAAACTCCTGAAACTGCCTACTGGGGAGAAGATCCACAATGAGACTGTGGGTGGTGAAGACTCAGGTGGGAGGATCTGTGTCAGTGTAAGCCCGTGGGGCAGCGCACACGGCCCAAGATCTCGAGGGAAACCCTGGATCCCGCTCCTCCTCTTCTTTATGTGTTGGGGGTGGGTTGGGGGTGAGTTTGAAGAGGACAGAGTTTCGGTAAGCATAGAATGGCTTTCTCTATTTTAAGCAAGATTTTATGGAAATGACTTTCTTTAAACTGCTTCATTTGAACTGGAATTCCCCCACCCACCCCTCCCATGCTTCCTGCCCACCCCCAGCACCCTAGGGCAGAACAAGATGAGGAAGAGTACTTGCCAGGTCTGATCTTGGAAGAAGGTGAAGCCTGCATTTAGGAGCCTGGCATGGGGGTTAGTGTCTTAGTCGCTACACCGCCGAGAACTGCAGACTCTGATATCTATGTTTCTGAGCTTTTCGAATCACTTTGGTTACTGAGGACATCTTTGGGAAATCTTTGGGATGGATGCCTGTTAAGGGAGTGTGTCTCGGTTGAGTACCTGCAACTACTGTTGTCAATATGAGAACATTACTTAGAAAGACTTGTACTATATAAATTTGCTTATGTAACTGGCATAGAGGTAGTATAATTGCATCTTTTATCAGCACAGATACATTGCATTAGGGATGTATTTCCTTCTCATAACAATTTTTGGTTCCTGAGAACCTTGAAGGATTAAGGGCTATTAACTCACTCCAAAATGTACAATGGTAGGCATAGGACTCCCCTGGAAGGATTTATGAGACATTTAAGAGAAAGTCTGGTTGTGGGAGGCAGGGGGCGAGAGAGAAACTGGCTTTTCATTGCGTACCCTTTTGTGCCTTTTGAATTTTGTACCTTATGTGTGTGTTAGCTATATAAAAATCAACAAAATGTATTTTGTAATATACAGAATCATGATTTCAACTACACAAAATCAGACATATACAAGAAGGAAACTACAATAAAATTTAAATAGCACCAACTCCTTGTAATGAGATTGTTTCTCTTATCTTTCCTTTTAGATATTTTCTACATCTTCCTCAATTAATAATAATAATAAATAGGGCTTTTTCAATGATTTTATAAGCTGCATTTTTTTTAAATTTTACTTTAAGTTCTGGAATACATGTGCAGAACGTGCAGTTTTGTTACATAAGTATACATGTGCCATGGTGGTTTGCTGCACCCATCAACCCGCCATCTAGCTTTTAAGCCTTGCATGCATTAGGTATTTGTCCTAATGCTCCCCCTCCCCTTGCCCTTGTGTGATGTTCCCTTCCTTGTATCCATGTGTTCTCATTGTTCACCTCCCACTTATGAGTGAGAACATGTGGTGTTTGGTTTTCTGTACCTGTGTTAATAAACTGCATTTTTTAAACAATCAGGGAGAACAGTGTTTTCATACGCCACTGCTATATTAATCTATATAGATCAGGGCTCGAGCTGATACAACAAGTCTCCACCCATATGCCTTTTTCCTTTTCCAGTTTCTTTTCAGTTTGCCAGTGAGTGGGCTGTTTCTAGGTCTAATTCGTGGATCTCTTGTTGTTCACTCAGTCATAGTGAAACATCGTGAGTACATCACCCTTCGTGACGGCTAGGTTTCAGCGGCTAGGTTTCGGTTCAGATAACCTCATCGTTATCATGATCATATCTTCCGTCATCCATCACCATCACCCACTGTCAGCAAGCTCTTCTCAGTTCAGTGCCATATGCATTTTTTAAGCACCTGCAACCTTGGGCCCCTCATAGAGCCATGTGCTATGGGGCATGCGGAAGTGAATCCAAACTGTTCCACCCACCAAGATGCTGAGTCTTGGATAGGAGACAGCATATATGGAGTTAGCTTTGACTGGAGCCAGAGAGTGGTGAGTGCTTTCAAAGATGTCATGATGCAATATGACTATCAGGTGGGAGAAGCAGGGAATACCTTTAAAAGATAGCATGGGATATAATGACTCTCTGATGGGAGAAACACGGAGGAAACTTTCCTTCCTTTACACTTTCTGCATTCTTCACCTTGCTTCTCTCCATGTCCTTCGTCACACTCTGCAATAAGTTATGTCCTTGTCTTGGACCTTTCTTACCTACTACGGCCCAGGTGAGTATGCAATGTGATAGAGATACCAGCAAAATGCTATGGGGCTTAGAGGAAGCCGAGATTAACTCCACTCTGGAGGCAGAATTCTTTGGGGAGGTAGCGTTTGAACAGACTTCGAGGGACAGATGGCATTTAGATAGCAGAAAGCAAAAGAAGAGTGAGCTGAAAGAAAGAGGAGGGCAAAGGGAAGTGGGTTGCTGTGCAGTGATGCACTTTTCTGAACTTCAGATTCTATAGCTGCAATGTGAAGTTGATAGCACCACTGGCCCCAGAGGTTGCTGTGAGGATCAAGCGGTGCACCCAATAGCACAGCTAATATTTACTTCACACCCACTGGGTGCCCACAGTCACATAGCTAGCAGGAGCAGGGCCAGGAGATACATCCAGGGCTCAGAAGGAAAGCCGTTGATTGCTATAGTATAGTACCCTCAAAGGATGAAAAAGTCGTCCATAAACCACTTTTACAAGTGTAAATTATACTACTCCTTCTAACTTAAACCTGACACTTGGACCCTAGAGTTTTCTTATCTAAAATTCTAGTTTGTTTCTGAGCTTCCTGGATAGTCAGTAGCCTGCTGACCTGGTATCTAGTCTGATTTCCAGGCTGTTACTCTAGATGTGAACACTCTCAGAACTCAAGAGTGGGTTTCAAACTGGAGGACCCAGCCTGATTTGGCCTGGCTTGAGGCATTGGGAGGGCCACTCACCCTAGGTCTGACTGTGACCAGAGCTCCTTGACTTCCTCTCTGAGGAAACCACCAGCATTCAGAAGCCCCTCTTAGTTCTAAAGTTCTCAGCTGCTGAAGACATGAGCCACTTAGATGTCTTCCAGGTTGATGGCCTTGCTGAAGAGAGGCAGCAGCGGGCCAATATACTTCCAGGTATGTGGAAAGCCAAATAAAACAGTCTTGCCTTTGCTTAACACCATGATGCCTTCTTTAGAGGAGACTCATTCTTACTGGAGAAATGCAAGTTAACTCATAGCCCAGGGGAATCAAGTCTTGCAGCTGGTGTCATGGTCGTATTCCCTGAGAATGTTCTCCCTTGTTTGTTTTGAATACTGCTGTGGTGGCATCTGCGATGTCACCATCACCACGACTGACAGAAAAATTATCCTGGAATAAAAGTTCCTTTTCTTTGGTCTCTCAGGAAAAAGAAAAATCTTCAGAGCGATACCACATGTTTGTTCTGTGCCTTTTAGCTTACAGTGTCTTTCACGTAAATTACTTTTGGTCTCCTAACAACCTTGTGGTGATGTGTGTGTGCAAGAGGGGATATGGCACAAAGAAGGCTCATGGAGGAGAGGAATTACTTCCTCTGGATTCATGGGGTCCCTGAGGCTCAGAGAGGTCAAGCAACATGATGAAGTTCACACAGGCCGTCAAAGATAATGCAGGAACTCAGATGGTGGTTTCCTGCCTCCAGACTTCATGCACTTCTAACTTTCTTGAGCGCCCAGGGACACCACATCTTTAGGTCAACAGAAATGGAGGGAGCCTCTTTGTTTGGTTACTATACCTTCTGAAGTCCAGTCTCAGCTACATTCTTTTAAGGAATCCATCAATTTTAGTTGAAAATGCAACAGAGGTGCTGTTTCTCAACTGGGGGCAATTTTGCCCCTGGTGGACATTTAACAATGTCTGGAGACATTTTGTGTTGTCACAACTGGACAGAAGGGAGTGGGTGTCCCTAGTATTTAGTGACTAAAGGTTAGAGATTTTACAAAACATCCTACAATGCACAAGGCAGCCACCACCCCCACCCCCAATAACAAAGAATTATTCAGGCCAAAATGTCTAGAGTGCCAAGGTGGGGAAACTGTGTTGGAGGAAAAACAAAAAACAAAACAAAACAAAAACCCTACCTCCAATTCCCAGATCACCATGCACTTAGAAAGCTTTTCATAATGTCTCATTTCTAAAACCGACTATAGATGTTTTGCAAGCATATTTTTCTCCTATCATAAGGAGGATCTGCTAAATATGTCATAGCTGGAAGGGGAAACTGAGGCCCAGAGAAAAGAGGTGACTGTTCAAGGTCACCCAGCTAATAAATGATGGAGAAAGAACAGGCCCATTCTCCTGCCCTAAGGAGAATGCATTTTCTACTTCATCATGCTAAGCTTTGAGCCATTTTCTGACTCACTGATTCAATAAATGTTGTGATCTGAATATGCTCACTGACACAGACTTGCTTACAGCTTATTCTCACACAAAAATGAGGAGATGTGAAAAAAAAAAATACGAAGACATGTGAAAAAACCCAATGCAATGTGAGAAGAACCTCGTTGATTCTGCCTCAGTTCCCTTGATGTCTTTAGACCCACACCCACGACACAGCTAGCTGCTGGACAGAGGGGCTTTTAGTCTCTTTTTGAAGAGATAAAAGGTAAAAGCTCTCTACTGGAAATGAAACTGACGTCATTGAAGCCCTCAAGTTTCCTTGCAGAAGGCACATTACTGAAAATATCTAAGTTTCTTGGAACTTCAATCTTTTTCTTTTTTTTCTTATTTGATTTTCATAGCTTGTTCTGTTGGTTTAATGTTTGTTTTTCACTCAGCCAGTCAGTGAAACTGGGTTGGTCAGTGAACTTTCTAGGGACTGGAGGTTTCACTTTCAGGGTCTAAAAGTTTTGGTTTGGGCTTTTAAAGCCTTCATTAAGACAATTAGGGTTTAGCATTCCAGGCCAAGAGTGAATTTAAAAGATATGCATGCAAGAATTGCTTAGATAGTATTTATTGAATAGGTTAATTTTGACAAAATATTTATCCAACATGTGCTCTGTATTAGGCTCTGCCATAGGCAACAGAGAAACAGCCCTGAGCAAGACCCAGATGCTTTCTTCCCTCTATTGCTGACAGTCTGACTGGGGAAATTAATCAGTAAATAGTTCTCATCTACCCCTTAAAAAAAAATCCCTTACACTCTATGGAAGACTGAGCTCAAATTTTATTCTCTTACTAGAATATCCTTACCTTTTTTTCTTGGTCAAATTCCTATTCAGTTTTTGGGGATAAAAGCAAACGCCAACTCTCAAAAAAAAAACCTTTAGAAATCTCCCTAGGTAATCAGAAAATGCTTGTTCAGTACATCTTCAACCTCTTCTCCAAATGGTTACAAAACCATTCAGCATGCATTGTGGCCCCTTGTGGGAAAGTGGTGTAGGCTGTTCATTAAGAGGCACCCTTGTTTAAAACTAGATTGTATCACCTGCTGGTGCCTTGAGTAGTTTACTTAGACTCTCTGAGCCCAGTTTCATCATCCGTTGTGAGGATGAAGTATCGCACAGCCTGTGCAGTACCTGGCATATGGCAATTGCTCAGTACAGAGTTAGCCTAAGTGTCAGGCACTAAGCTCTCTGTGCTGCAGAGGATCCAAAAATTCAAGTGACATGGGCACTTCTCCCACAGAGCTCATAATATAGCAAGTAGAAACGTTCACAAAACCTCTGCAAAAGATAGACCACGACATGTTGAGAGGTGACAGCGCGCTGGCAGCCCTCACAGCCCTCGCTCACTCTCGGCGCCTCCTCTGCCTGGGCTCCCACTTTGGCGGCACTTGAGGAGCCCTTTAGCCCGCCACTGCACTGTGGGAGACCCTTTCTGGGCTGGCCAAGGCCAGAGCTGGCTCCCTCAACTTGCAGGGAGGTGTGGAGGGAGAATGTTAGAACATTTATTATAAAAAGTATTGAGGAGCAGATGAACATTAGTTCTGCATGGTGGAGCTGATTATCGGCAAAGGTTCTTAGAAAGGATAGAATTTAAGCTAGAGCACGAAAAGAGGATAGGATCTTTGAGGCAAGTCTTTCAGGCAGAGGAGGAGGGGAAAAAAGTGTATTGGGCATGCCCAGAAGAGGAAATGGCTTACCCCACAAAAGGCAGTGAATGTGAGAGCACTGGGTGTGGCTAAGCCTTTGTGTCGCTGAAGGGTGAGATTTTAGAGGTAGAATAGGTGTGAGAGAAGAGGGTTTGAGATACGGGTGGAATTCAGTATGGGATTATTAGCAGAGTTAATTGGAAAACAGCATCAAATTTTTAAGGGTTTGAAATGCCCAGTGCAATGTTTGGACTTCCCTCTGAGAGCAAAAGGGAGGCACTCATGTTTCTGAGTACAAGGATGGCTTGAATTGATGAGATTCCTGCTATCAAGTTGCTCCATCTGGTCAAGAACAAGGTAGAGAACAAACTGTAAGAGGATGTGATGAGTGAGACACTAAAAGCCTGAAAGAGGAAACCATTAAGGAGCAAGGCTTTAAGAGAAGAAAAGAGGAAACCTAACACCCTGATCATTCCTCCACCATCTTGTGCTCGTCTATTAATGCCTGTCTTCCTCTCTTGACTCTGAGCTCCTTAAGAGCCCAGCACAGTGCCTGTCATTCAACAAAACTTCAGAAAATGTGGATAAAAATAAGAAATTGTAGATAACTTCAGACATAGTAAGTATAGTGGATAGGAAACAAAGAGTGTTAAGGCTAGGAGACCTCTTAGGAATTTTTTGCAATAGCTCAAGTGAGAACTGTTAAGTCTGGAAGAAGTGCAGTGGAGTGGGCATGGAAGGGCGAGGATCAACAGAGATAGAGTAGGTATCGGGCTGGACGCAGTGGCTCATGCCTGTAATCCCAGCACTTTGGGAGGCCAAGGAAGGCGGATCACTTGATATCAGGAGTTCAAGACCAGCATGGCCAACATGGTGATACCTCGTCTCTACTCAAAATACAAAAATATTAGCTAGGTGCAGTGGTACATGCTTGTAATCCCAGCTACACAGGAGGCTGAGGCAGAAGAATCACTTGAACCCGGGAGTTAGAGGTCACAGTGAGCCGAGATGGCACCACTGCACTCCAGACTGAGCGACAGAGCAAGACTCTGTCTCAAAAAAAAAAAAAAAAAAGGAGGTATCAGGGATTGGTTGGAGGTGAGGAGGGTAAGCGAGGAGGCAGAGAGTAGAGATACTGAGTCTGGGTGCTTGGAAGCGTGATGATGCCATCAACCTATCAACTCAGAGCAGAAGGGCTCGAATGACAAGGACATTGCCCAAGCAGGAATTCAATATATATTTGCGGAGAGGATGGATGGGTTGATAGATGGATGGGTCTTCAACATAAGCACGGAATTATAGACTCATTTATTATTGGGGAGCTTACATATCATCAGCCCTATTATTCTATATATGAGTGAAGTGAGGTAAGACAAGAACTGACTGCTTTTGATCACATAGCTACCAGGTGATAAATTTAGGGCATGAAACTCCTAAGCTAGTGTTCTTTCCAGTATGTTATATAGTTATTTTCTTCAATTCTTAAAAAGAATTTCAGAGGAAATGGTATGCATGAATATCATATACCACTTGTAATTTATTTTTTTAACTAAAAGCTACATTGGGAATTTCATTTCCGTTTCTCTGATTAAAATAGGAATTCTAAAAGTCATGCATATTGATTGAAAAGTCCTCGGCTTTGGGGCCAAATTCTTCCAGTGGCTGTTACCTTCTATAATCCCATTTTCCAAGACATTTCTCTCTTGCCTACCCAGATTCACAACTTGCAGAATATGAAGCATGCCTGAAGAACTTGTACAGCAGAGAGGGTGGCATAATTTTAGCCTAGAGGTAGTTCTAAGGGCAGTTCATCATTTTGCAAAGGTGAAATTAACTTTTAGAGAAATCACGTGGAAATTTACTTTTAGATGAATCACGTGGATCTAAAACAAAAGGACTGATTTCCTTAAATCACATCAAAAACCAGTCCCTTGACTTTTTCACACTTTGTGTGTATCGAGTGCCTGCGACATGCTCCTCGGCTCTCTAGTTGTCCTAGTGGAGAGGATGATACAAAAGTTTAAGATACAGTTCTTCCTTTAAGGAGTTCTTATCCTAGGTAAGGAGATGAGATTCATATGGGAAAAAAAAATCACACAGTAATTAATGATGAAACAATTGTTTCTTTTCCTTGGTAACTTTCAGGCATTAAACAACAGATGGATTAAGTGAATCTCAACCTGGGAAGCTTATCACATCAAATTTTTGGGGGGTATTTGTGGGTGACTACAGCATCTCGGCCTATAGGTCATCAGTCTCTGATGTCAGAGAACACATCTTCTCATTTTCTTGTCCTCCAGGGACAGCATTACGGTGGACAGTGAATCAACACTGTTGCCAGGAGGCAGGCACAGAGTTTGAGTGGGGAAAGGGAAAAGGTGCAGGAAACCCAGCCTCGGAGGACCCATCAGGAATCTCCTCACCTTTGTTCTCTCTCTTCTCCAATTCGTCTTCCACACTAAACCAGTTGTTAAGAGCTTCTTAGAGTCCCAATATTGCTAGTATGTTCTGATAATGGCCATAACATTTACTGAGCATTACTTCATGGCAGGCACTGTCCTGAATACTTCATGTGCTATACATACATCTTATCGCATAGTGACGACAGATCTGGAGTGTTGGTCCCAATGTTGCCAATACCTAGGTGGTTGCTATTAGACAACTAATTCTCTCTTTGCCATTTCCTCATCTGTTGAATGATGAGGGAGTTCCAGGTCTAAGAACTATGGAAACATTCTGCTCCAAATGCCTGTTGTTCGATCCACAAATATGCCCCAAGATTATCCCACCAATTGGTTACATCAGGCTGTGCTGGCCACAGAGTGGCCCACGTGTCTGTTTTCCAAGGCCAAGTGCCTGGTCTAACTGTGTCCCTAGCTGGGCCTGGCAGAGAGGTGGTGGCCGGGCCAGCAGAATGATGTTGGTACAGGAAGAGGATTTTTCTCAGGATAAAAGGCTGACTCTAGCCTGCAGCTCATGGCCTTTAATAGCCTAATGATCACGTGAGAGTCCTTGGCTTGGTCTGGCCTGGCCAGGCCCTGAGCACTGGCAGGAGAGCCCCACCCAGGTTAATTGATCTGTTTCTATCCTCTGACAGGCCCTGGGCAGGAGTTGGCACATTTTCCTCTGTGCACAGATCTTCCCCGTGCCAGGCTTACAAAAGGAAGTTTCCGGAGCTGAGCAGGTCTGGCACATTTCAAGTTGTCCTGAGTCTTGTCCTCATGGCTCTCCACTTCTCTTTTTTCTCTCCAAACTTTTCTCTCACCCGCTCCCTAGCTGATTTTGTTCTCTTTTCTCATTTTAAATGACTGACCTTCCTCCTCCTTTCCTTCTTTCCTTCTCTTTTCTCTCCCTCCCTCCTTTCCATCTTCCCTCCCTTCCTTCTTTCCTTCCTCCCTTCCTTCCTTCCCTTTTTCTCCCTCCCTCCCTTACTCCTTCCCTGCCTTCCTCCCTCCCTCCTTCTCTTCTTCCTTTCTTTCTTCTTTCCTTCCTCCCTTCCTCCTTACCTCCTCCCTCTTCCTTCCCATGTTTATTTGTTCTGTCTTTTTCGTCTCTGTCTTCCTTATTCCAGTACCCTCACTCCAGATTCTCCCTCTTTCTCCAATCTTTCACCAATATTTCAGAAATTTCTCTTTTGCTTTCCTGCCTGCCATACTGGATAGAAGTCAGATGGCTATTTGTGTAATCTTCCCCTTCTCTCCTCCTTCAAGTGTTTGAGCAAAGAGGCCACATTTTCTTTCACTCTTTCCGAAACAGTTTCAGGTACCACCCCTGGTGTCTGACCCTTGTCACATTCCACTCGCAATAACCAAGTTGACCAGTGCCGGTGCCCAGACAACAGATCCAGGCTTGTAGCCAAAGCCAGTTGGGGGTTAGCTCTGGGAGGCCCTCATGCTGAGACTGGCAACCCAAAGTTTGCAAGTTGTCTTTTTGTTCTTTTCCTTCACCTCTTGAGCCTAGGCAGGGTCACTCTGTGTACTCAGGCTACACTTGAGTAGTCACGGATGAGTGCTATAAATTCATAGGTGTAACAACATAAGAGATCAGATATAGCCAAGACAGATCTGCCCATTATTTGACCTTTCTTGATTCTTCATAAAGAATGAAATGGAGGCCACTGCTATGTTTGCCATCACTCTGAGGGCCTCCTAGGGCACAATCAGGTTACGGACGAAGTTCTTATTTCTTCTATTCATTCATTCAATAAGCATAACTGAATAGCATTTCCAGCATTGGAAACAAGGACACAAAGGTGTTCCCGGTTCTCAAAGAGCAGACAACTTAACAGAGGAGATGGACCTTAGAAAAGCTTGAGGTAATTATTAAGGAAAATACCGATGAAGTGCCATGGAATATAGACTGGCTGTGGAAGACGGTAAAATACCCAGAGAAGAAGATATTTGAGCCAAGTCTTCAATTGTGGCAGAAACAAAAAGACCCAACCATTAGCAGGTGTGCAAGATAGCCAGAGGGACTGGTATTAATTAAAAGGAAAAAACCACAAATCATTTGGGGAAAAGGCACAAAAAATGAATTAAACCCTAACAAAAACTAAGAGCTAAGAGTCAAGGATTTAATCCACTCACTCTCCCCTTCCAATGCCACTGATAATTTTACTTAAAGTGGATGTATGCCAATCAATTCCTCAGCCCCAATTCAAGGTTAGACATCCAAAAGCCAGAAGAATGACATGCTAGAAAGATGATTTAGAACCAAAAGGTTTGAAACATGGTTCTGTCTTTAACATGCTACTTTGAGCAAAGTTCTCCCTCTTTAGTCCTCAATTATATTCCAAGTTCCCCTCAGCTTTAAATGTGATGTTTGTTTCTAGGACTGAGAGTGATTTGTTGGGTTCTGCCATGACCCTGAGAAGAAGGCCTTCTGTGTCTTCCATGTTTATTTGTCCTGTGTTCCTAAAGCCACAGTCTTTTGGGGAAGGAAGTGTGGGGCATATTTTTACACATTTTATAAATGAGGACTAGAGAAATGCGCAAGTCCTACCCTCCCCACCCCAAATCATGCTATTCACATCTTTCCAAGACAGCAGATGGAAAAAGGCAGATAAAAGACTGAAGTTATGTCTTTAAAAGGGTAGAAATCTGTATGGCATCCTAGAGCAAGAGGATGAAGAGGATGACGCAGTTTAGCCCCTAAGGAAACTGAGACCCAGAAAAAGCACATGTCTTGGCTAAGGTTACAGAACATGTCAGTGGCACAGCTGGGACTCAGAGGCTTGTTGGGCCATTGGTCAGTGCTCTTTTTATTATGCCAAACATGCTCATGTCTCCTCCTCAGCTTTTCAGGAGCTCCATGGCCAGTTCACCTCCCCATTCTGACACCTAACGCCGTGAGGCTCCGTCCTTGAAGAGATGTAACATGTTCTGGAGAAGATGTCAAGGGTCACTTCGAAGTGTGCACAGGTGAGTTAATGAGAGCTGCTGCCTTTCAATGTGGGCTACTGACGCTTTCTCCAACAGGTAGGTGTCTTGTGTGCAAAGGCCAATAGTATTTCCTGCAATCTGGAGGCAGATTCTGCTCACAATCTCGAGACACAGCAAACTCTCCCCACCCGAGAAGAGGATGGGATGAGGCACACTGAAGAGGTAGGGAGGAGGAGATGGAGAAAAGATATATTTTTGTTTGGTGGAGAACACACACTTTTCAATTTCAACCAAGACGTTTGAAATGCACACAATCACAGTTTCTTCTCCTTTCCCTCAGGAAAGAAAACTGATCCTGTAGCCACAGAAAAACAGGACTGAGACCAGGAAGGGCAAGTCGTGTGTGTCAGCATTGTGGACCTTTATATAAATAATAATTTTCCAGTGGGAACTGTGATCTCTTCTTGTCTCTTCTATTTTTAAATGCTAATTACTTCTGATTTTGTTTACGTAGGCGGAGCTAATAAGAACATTTGCTTCATAACCATTGAACCTAATGTATCTGTTTTTGGACACTGGTGATTTATTTTTGCACACATGCTCCAAATTGGTGCTAATTACTTTAAAGGATCAGAGTTTCTATTCCAAGAGGGATGACGACAGAATGTCAATTTGGAGTCTCTGAGCATAATGTCCCAATTATCAATGCATTCCAGACCAGAATGGACTTGGCACCTTCTTGAAGGGATTTGGCTTCACTTTTATCAGCCAGTCCCTGGTTGTAGCTTCATTAAAACTTGCTTTCTAGTAACTTGTGGATGTGCCTATACTTTTCTCTGTCTCAAAGACCCTTCAGTGTCATATCAGTATCCTGAATACCTACCTTTTCATTTCCAGATCAAATACTTCTCCCTCTGAGCCTTTTTTGATCTCTTTGGCCCAAGATAATTTTAATTCCTAAGATTTTCTGATTCCTTTCTTAAAGAGGTTAGCACTTTCTACATTGTATTGTAATCATTTGCTGTTACATTCTTACCTCCTTTCTAACAGATAAGCCCCTTAGTGACAATACCTTATCTGAATTATCTTTGTCCCCACTGCACACTGAAACTTCTCCTGGTGCCCTGTACATAATAAGTGCTTTACACATTGATTTAATTGCGGTTTGTTTATAATATCCTACATGCTCCAGAAAGATTTTAAGGTAGATTTAAATAAATATTTATGCAACAAAGGAATGAATACATCTATACGCACACAGAATTACTAAAGTCTATAATCAATATATGAAGTATAACTACACAGTACAAAATTTAACCATCATACCTAAAAGAAAAACAAACACGATGCTGTGGGGAATGCTTGAGAGGTAGTAACAAAGGCTTTAAATCTTAATGACCACCAAAGTAACCCACATTCCTGATATGGTATTTGCTCAACATGAATGTTTAGATGAACAGGAGATGAAAACTATCTGAAGTGAGGGGAGGGGGTGTCACTGACTACACAGAATAAATATGGAGCATATTGTGACCAAGAAGATATGGCCACAGAGGAAAAAGAGCAAAACAGGTCCATCCTAATTTGTTCATTTACCGTTCACTTATTCATCCCACAAACTTGTATGGAGAAGCCCCTATGTCAAATGCTATGCTTGCACTGTGGATGCAAAGGTAAATAAAAACATCCTAGTTTAGCTGTTTAGACCAGGGGTCAGCAAACTATGGCCAATGGGCCATCTCCGGATCACTGTTTGTTTTATAAATAAAGTTTTATTGGAATACACCATGCCAATTCATTTATATATATATCTCTTAGCCACTGTTCCTCCACAACTGCAGAATTGAATAGTTCTGAGAGAAACCTTATGTCCTGCAAAACCAAAATGTTGACTGTTCCTCATCTGTCCCTTTACATAAAATGTTGGTTGACACTGGTTTAAAAGTCATTAAAATACACTGGAGACAGTGCCATGTGGGGTAAGGACAGCGTTCTGTGGAAGACAACTCAGTCTTAGAAAGTCAAGGAAGGCCTCTTAGGGCAGAGACCATGTGTTTCTTGCTCACTGTTGTATTACAAGTGCCTGACACATAGTAGGTGCTCAGTAAATATTTGTTGAATGAATAAACAAATGATGTTACTTCTAAGATGAGAGTGAAGGGATGATTGGAGTAATCCAGGACAAACGTGGAGGGATGGATACAGCACATGCAATGATCTGAGGCAAGAGAGGTCCAGGTGTCCTGGTAAGCAGATGCTGTCAGTTGCAGGGAGAGTGAAGTGAGGTGTGAGGTTTGGGATAAGGAGAAGATAAGGCTGGAAAGTGAGCAGGAATAAGATCAGGCAGGGCCGCTTAAGCCTCCTGTAGAGTTAGGGCTTTATCCTGAAGGCCATGTAAAAAAAGTTTTAAGCAGGACAAATATAAGTTCAGAGAGTGCTTTAGAAAGACCGCTTGGGGTGCTTTGTGGGAGACCAGAAGGAAAGCAAACCCAGGGCTGGAAGCTGGGTTAAGAGCTGTGGCAGAAATCCTGGGAACTGCAGTTAGGCAGTGACACTGGGGATAGGGCTCAGTAGACAAATTTGAGAAAGATTTAGGAAGTAGAGTTGATAGGACTTGGCGGCTGAGTGCTTAGGGATGGAGAGTCACAGCGAGCGGGGGTTAAAGACGATAGCAATGTTTCTGCCTTGAGAGACAGGTAGTGGGGAGGGCAGGGCCCTTTCTTTAGATGGAAACACAGGAGGAATAAAAGGTTAAGGAGAGGGGGGAATATTGGCTGCGCTTGGGGCATGCTGAATTCAAGGTGCTTATGAGATACCCAGGAGGAATTTATACACACAGGTTTGAAACTCAGATGGGCAATCTAGTCTAAAAATCTAAAATTGGAAGTCATTAGAATCAAGAGAGTAATTAAAGCCATAAGAGTATATAACATTTTAAGAGAGAACTTGTAGAGTGAGAAAGGGTCAAAGAAAATATTTTTAAAACCGGAGGAACAGCATTCAATAGAATAACAGAGCTCAAGCAGCCCTTAAAAGATACTGAGAAAGAACATCCAGGAAGACAAGAAGAGAACCAGTGAAATTTGATGTGACAGAACCAAGGGACATGATCTAGTTAGGGTCAAGAATTTCAAAGAATTAAGAAATGTCTACTGTAATAAAGATCGAACTGGAGATAGAGCCAGGACAAATTTACTGTTGCCCTTCTTGACAGCAGCTCTGATAAAATGGTGAAGGTAGGAGCAAAACAAACATGAATAGGAGGTAAGGAAGTGGACAGAGTAAGTGCAGACAATCTGTGAAGGAATTTGGGTAGTAGGTTAATTGCTGGAGGCCGGTAGAGGGAGGTTTTGTTTCATCTTCCTTCCTTCCTTCCTTCCTTTTCTTCTTCCCTCCCTCCCTTCCTCCCTTCCTTCTTTCCTCCTTCCGTCTCTCTGTTCCCTCCCTCCTCCTCCCCTCCCTCCCCTCCCTCCCCCTCCCTCCCTCCTTCCCCTCTTCCTTCCTTCCTCTCTTCTTCCTCCCTTTCTTTCAAGTTAAGAGATATTTAATCATATTAAATATTAACTAGAAATAAACAATAATCTAATTTTAATAAATCACCAGGAATTGACTTCTTCAGATGATTTCCATAAGTTTTATCCCTTTAGAAAAAAAAAAATTAGTAACTCAACATGTTCTCTTTTTGTGTTTAGTTTCCGAGAAGCCTAGTATCAAATTCAGTTCCCCCTAGATGACTGGTAGAATTTACTGCCACTTCCTTCACCTGTTTTCTGTTCTGTTTTATATCTCAATGTCTTATTTAGATGTAATAATTATTATGATCAGTTAACAAGGACTTTCACACTGCTGTCTCACAGCAACCATCCTTCATTCAGTGCATATTTAATGAGTGCCCACTGTGGTCACACACTTTGCTCTGTGCAGCAGATACAACGGTAAGAAAGCAACACAGTTGCTGGTTTTACAGTCTAGTTGAGGAGACTGACATTAACTGGACCATTATCCTAACAATTACAGACTGTGGTAAGTAGAGCAAAGGAAAGTCCTGGAAGCCATAAGAATCTCAAAGGTCAGGAACAGCGTCCTTGAGATGTGAAGGATAAACAGAGACTTGGAAACGGCAAGGGTAACCTTCAGTCAGAATGAATCTCCTCTATGGAAACCCCATAAATGATTCAGTTCCTGCGTGGACACCTGCAGTGATGGGAACCAAAGCTGCATTTCTAGACAGTGCTTATAGTCAATAAGGGGCAGAATTTGGCTCATGTAACCTCTATCTAGAGGTAAGTACCTTGAGCCCACATAGAATAAGCTTAACTTCTCTCTAGCACAGACTTCACAACTGGATAACAACAGCAATTAATCTCCATGTATATATAGGTATAGACATATCTGTTCTCTCATGGTAAAATGCATAGGTTTTCCAAAGTTCTCTGTTTCCAAATAATGTCATGTTTATAGAGACTTCTAATTGTTTGCAAATATCCATCCTTAGCTTCTTCTATAGAAGTACAACCTGTTGCTCCTAAATACAGAATTGTTAGCTAGACATGTAGCTATCCGAAAAAAACAACAACAACTCTATGTTTCAACTTATTTTGCAGCTAGGTGAAGTGGATTGCTGATAGATGTTTAACAACCAGCTCTCATGGAAGAAAAATAAGATGTAGCACTTGCCAATTCTATGGTGTTAATTCTCCCATGGCAGATTTCAGGCTATCACATGACTCACAATCCACTCTCACACAACCCTAGGACAGGGCTCCAGCACACCACTGGGTAGGCAGGACCGTAAGACAAAGTTCTCCATGGGATGTGAGTGGAAGCAATGCATGCAACTGCCCAGTTGTGCCTGAAGTAGAAATAGGAGGCTCCACTTCCGCTTGTCCTCCTTCCAATGGACTGGAACACAGACATGGTGGAGAGTCCATTTTGTATCGTGTAGATCATATAGAGCAACAAGTTAGGAGGAACTTTGCTTCCCCACACCTCAGAGCTACTCTATAAGCCCTTGTCTCCTGGTGGGTGATTTTTTAATGTAAACAAGAAAGAAATATCTAACTTGTTTCAGCCATTTTTATTTTGGGCCTCTGTTAGAACAAGTGAATCTGTTTTCTAATGGATAGAGTAATCTATCACAGAATGGCAACCTGACCACTGCTCTAACATCACACAAAAACCGGCTACTTACAAGGCGTAGTCCTAGCAGGTGAAGGATACATGCTGCCAGCTCTCAGGGAGCCCAGCCCAGGGCAAAAGATGGCAAATACACACATTGTTATTGCAAGGAAAGAGGTGATGAGAGCTCTGAGGCAGGCCAGATGGTCAACCACACAGACTTAAAGAAGAGACTCATTATTATTATTATGAATGAGGTAATATTAGAATTCGACTATGAAAGATGGTTAGAATTTTGACATGTAGAAATGAACAACAAAGCATTTCACTGAAGGGATTCTACTTTTCATTCAGATTTTGGATTCCAATCATTCTGAAAATGTGATCCTTCAGAAAGTTTCTAGACTTTTTTTTAAAACATTTTCCTTCTATAATAGGACAAATTAATATTGTGAAACTATGACAAAAATGTTTCAAATATTTAAGAGAATCAATTGTTTTCCAAGTCTCTGATCCCTCCCATTTACAAAGAAGCCCTTGATTTGTTCATTTCAAAGAATTTCAGTGGATTAATTAAAGCATTCCTCTAAGTGCTTTCCTAAGCAGTGCTTTGTGGGCTTATTTTGAATTACTAAAAGTGCACAAAGACACTAGAACTGCATTTTTATAAAAAACTATAATGCCAATTTTCACTAACGCAAACAGTTCTCTCTTTCCAATTAGTTTTTCTTAAGGGAAGAAATGATGTCTTATGTGTCTTTTTTATTGCTTCACTGTGCCCAGGACTTCTCAATGCTGTCCTGGGCACTGAGAAGCAATAAAAAGAAATATTTATTGGTTAGTAAATATTTATTGATCTGAATGGGAATTGCAGAATTTGAAACTATCAAGGAGGGTGTTGGAATTGTAGGATGACGAAGGGACTAGAAAAGGACCTGAGGTCGTGAAAAAAAGATCTGGCATGGGAATGAGCCTTTGAGATTCCCCATCAGATCCTGGCAGTAGGGCCCTCATCTCCTGTTTCCTTCATTTCACAGGTTAGAAAGTGGAGACTGAAGGAAAATGGCCTTGATGGAGGTGACAAGGCCACTGAGCTTTAGGGCTGGGTCTAGCTTGCTAGTGCCTTTTCAAGGCAGCTGATCCTTGTTTTCATGCTTTTTATTTCAGAGTTGTGCTATCATAGACAAAAGAAAGAATCCTTTGCATTTTTGACATTTGAATATATACTGTATTCCTGCCTCAGTAAATAAATGCATGAGAAAATATAAAGTAATAGGAATAAAGTCACGTTTGGAAATTCCAAGATTTGAAAATGTAAATCTTTTTTGTGAAGGAAATAAAACATTACAATTTGGGGGTCCTCCTGACCCATCAGAACATCAAGAAATTATTTGCTTAGCTTCTCCATTTCTGGGAAGTGAGGGCATAAAACTGTCAGGCAGAGTCCCAAAGAAAGAGCAGACAGAGGCAGGGCGCGGTGGCTCACACCTGTAATCCCAGCACTCTGGGAGGCCGAGGCAGGCGGATCATGAGGTCAGGAGACTGAGACCATCCTGGCCAACATGGTGAAACCCCATCTCTACTAAAAATAATAATTCAAAAAAATAGCTGGGCATAGTGGCATGTGCCTTTAGTCCCAGCTACTCTGGAGGCTGAGGCAGGAGAATTGCTTGAACCCAGGAGGAGGAGGCTGTGGTGAGCCGAGATTGCACCACTGCACTCCAGCCTGGGTGACAGAGGGAGACTCCATCTCAAAAAAAAAAAAAATGGAAGAGAAAAGAAAGAGCAGACGGAGCAAAAGAGCTTCCATTCCCATGGGGTTGTGTGAGGCAAAGCGTGAGACAGAGAGAGGAGTGCAGGGAAACAGGGTGGTGAGGCCAGACTAGGGTGCATGAGGAGTCTTTGTTAGGTGCTAAACAAATGGAGAAGATTGTGATTCTTAACGCCAGCAGCTCTAAATGATATACTTGAAACCCTCTAATACAACAAATGGAGAAGACTGTGATTCTTAACGCCAGCAGCTCTAAATGATATACTTGAAACCCTCTAATACAACAAATGGAGAAGATTGTGATTCTTAACGCCAGCAGCTCTAAATGATATACTTGAAACCCTCTAATACATCAGAAACAAAGCACATGTTGAGTATTTCTTATCCAAAATGCCTGGGACCAGAAGTGTTTCGGATTTCAATTTTTTTTTCTTCAGATTTTGAAATAGTTGCATATACTGGGGATGGGACCCAAGTATAAATGCAAAATTCGTTTATGTTTATACACATAGCCTAAAGGTAATTTACACAATATATTTAATAATTTTGCACATGAAACAAAGTTTTTGTTAAACACTTATGTGTTGGATTTTCCACTCATGGCATCATGTCAGTCCTCAAAAACTTTTGGATTTTGGAGCAGTTCAGATTTCAGATTTTCAGATTAGGGCTGTTCAACTTGTGTATTTATGAAGAAAACTTCTAATGGAGAAGACAAATGTGAGACTGAGAATCAGATTCTGGTCCAAACTCAATAACTTTCATGTAACTTGGACTGTTTATCTCCCTTGTGTGTCTCAGTTTCTTCACCTACAAAGTGGGATCTCTTCCAAGTTTAACAACCTCTGCTTCTTTCATAGGTTAAGATCATAATATTGATGTGGCTGAGAGAATTTCAGCTTTTCTGATTGTAATGTACTCTACTATTAACTTCTGTGAAGTCCTAAGGATTTTTTCTTTTGCTTCTCTTAACACTTAAGAATCAGCTAAATTATTTAGCTTACCTCTCACTTTATGATTCAAATCATTAAGAACTAAGAGAAGCTGGCCGGGTTCAGTGGCTCATGCCTGTAATCCCAGCACTTTAGAAGACCAAGGAGGGAGGATTGCTTGAGCCTAGGAATTCAAAACCAGCCTGGACAGCAAAGCAAGACCCTGTCTCCACAAAAAGTAGAAAAAAAAAATTAGCTGAGTATGGTGGTGCACACTGACAGAAGTGGGAGGATCCTTGAGCTAGGGAGTTCAAGACCGCAGTGAACTGTGATTGCACCTCAGCAACAGAGTGAGACCCTATCTCAAAAAAAATAAATAAATAAAAAATAAAGCAAACAAAACAAAACAAAAAACTAAGAGAAGTCATATGGAACATTATTTTCCACAGCTGGAAGGAAAAATTGCCTATATATTTATCAAAGATAATATTTATTTGCATTACTCTAGAGAGGTAGAAACAATCACATAACTAAATTGAGTTTAAACTTCCATAAACTCTCTGTCTCATGGTTCAAGCCTTTAAGTTATCCCTAAACATAACCCAATGATTTCTCTTTATTTGGCGCCAACAGTATAGACTATTATGGTCCAATCCGCAATCATTTCCAGCTTAAACCCTTGGACTGGCCTATTAATCCATCTCCCTTCTCCTCACCCCATCCCACCCTCCTCCTCTGATCACTCCTCCAAGTCTGTTCTCCACAGAACAGCCAGGGTGATCAGATCGAAACCCTCCAGTGCTCCCCACCTCCCTGACAGTCAGAGTCACAGTTCCATCTAGACCCGTGAGGCCTGACAGGCCCTTTTGCTGCCTCCAGCCCCTCACCTCCCACTCTCTGTTCCAGTCACCCTGGCCTCCTTTCTGTTCTAAAGACACCCCAAGCCTGGCCGGGCGCGGTGGCTCACACCTGTAATCCCAGCACTCTGGGAGGCCGAGGCGGGCGGATCACGAGGTCAGGAGATCGAGACCATAATGGCTAACATGGTGAAACCCCGTCTCTACTAAAAAATACAAAAAAATTAGCCGGGCGTAGTGGCGGGCCCCTGAAGTCCCAGCTACTCGGGAGGCTGAGGCAGGAGAATGGCGTGAACCCGGGAGGTGGAGCTTGTAGTGAGCGGAGATGGCGCCACTGCACTCCAGCCTGGGCGACAGAGCGAGACTCTGTCTCAAAAAAAAAAAAAAAAAAAAAAAAAAAAAAAGACACCCAAGCCTGCTCCAGCCACAAGACCTTTTCAAACCATGTTCCCTCTGTCTGGGACACTTATTCCCAGATAGCCACAGGTGTGCTCCATCCTTCAGATCCCAACTCATATATCACATATACTAAATATCACCCCCTGTGTCCCTTAGCTCTTTATCTCCTTTTCCTAAACTATTCTGCACAGCATTTAGCAGATCCTGTTCTATTTCCTATTCATGTCTTTCTTGTGTTTCCTCCCACTAGAATAAAACTTTATGAGTTCAGAGATTTCGTCCGTTTTTTGTCTCTAGTGCTTAGAAGTTTGTGTGACATATCGTAGGCATTCAATAAATATTTATTGAACGAATATTCAGAGTGAGCTGCTTTTCTCACGATGACTATTTTTGAAATGTATCTTTTGTCCACTTTAACGTTTATTTTTTAAAGACAAATACTGTATATTTTTATACATAATTATTTTATTTTGAGAGGCAACGTGTATGTTCTCTGATGGAATAACTCAAATTAGGAAACATTTATTGTTTTCTCAGATATAAAAATAATGACCTTAAAAATCAACTATCCCTTTAAGATCATAGTCAACATGGCAAATTTCTGGGCACTGCCAAAGGGTCGACAGAGCAGTCAACTGGAAAAAGTACAGTAGACTTGAGGAGTCTTATCCTGTCACACCCTCATGGGGCCATTTCTACCAAGTTATAGAGTCCAAATGACTTACGCTTTCTTTTTCTCCTGAGAAACTTAAACAATTCTACAGACAGAGGTGCTAAGTAACTATGTCATCCAACAGTGACTACACCGATGTAAAGCATTTTCTTTAGATTGTAAGGCTGTTATATTATCCTGATTCTATGAGTGTTAACAATACCAGATGGCTTGGGCTCAGGCAGGCAGCATTTCTATTTAGCTGGCTGAGATATCAGGAGGTGCCAGAGATGTACACAGAGTAAGAACTCTGGGAACAGGGCCCAGAGCCTCGGTGGAAGATTTCAAATCCAGGCTCAACCACTCCACACTGGGTGAGCTCAAGCAAGCCACTTAATTTCCTCAGACCACAGTCTTCTCTTCTGCAAAATATGAGTCACAAACAATTCCTGCTTAACCACCTCATGGCATAAGATAACCGGTTTGAGAGTTTCTCAAAGTGTATACAACTCCATGAAATTGCTCAGTAAATGACTAAAAGCCTTTATCTGACTTCTTAGACTGATTCCTGAAAAGATGAGTGTTAATGTCTGGGTAGACAGTCCCAGCTACATCCTGCCCATCACCAAAAGAATGAAATCAGGGGAGAAAGAATTCCAGCTCTACAACATCTTACTTTAAGATATACTCTGGGACCAGACACGGTGGCTCACACCTGTAATCCCAGCACTTTGGGAGGCCGAGGCAGGTGGATCACCTGAGGTCAGGAGTTCAAGACCAGCCTGGTCAACATGGAGAAACCCCGTCTCTACTAAAAATACAAAAAATTAGCCAGGCGTGGTGGCGCATGCGTGTGATCCCAGCTACTTGGGAGGCTGAGGCAAAATAATCGCTTGAACCCAGAAGGTGGAGGTTGCAGTGAGCTGAGATCGCACCACTGTACTCCAGCCTGGGTGACAGAGTGAAACTTTATCTTAAAAAAAAAAATCTATTTCTGCAGATATGCTCATTTGTCCAAAACACATCTACTGAGCACCTACTGTGTGCAAGATTTTGAACCTCAGATTCTGCAGAGAGAAGAGGCCTGAATGTAACCCAGGTCTTATCCTCAGAGACCATGCATATGAACTCTTTTACAATACAGAAGGTGATATGTGAAAAGAAAATGAGTCAATTCATTTAGCCTATGGCAATCACTTCAGTTCTCTGGGCTTTTGTTTCCTCTTCTGCAATCATGTAATAATTATGAGGTGTTTACGAGGATTAAGATGGGATATATTATTTCGCTTAGGTGCTTTGTAAATCATGAATTGCCATCCATGTCAATTCCTTCTTCCTTTTTTCTGTCTACTTTTTCTTCCTTCACCCCCTCCTCTCTTTTCCTTCTTGCTCCTTCTCTTCCTTTTCGCTCTTTGTTTTGATAGGAGCCCTGCTGTCTATCACTGAGGCATTATCATAATTAGCTGATCTAGTCTGATCATTAAAGTGACAGCACAGCTGGAAATCTTTTGATCCAACTTGTTCCCTTATTATGGCACAGGAAGGCTGAGAGTTGCTGGTAAATCCAACTCTTGCCTGATTTAGATGACGTTTTTTCCAGTTTGTTGCTATACATAAGATATAGAATGGAATCAAGGTGAATAATAACCTTTATTTTCTTAGGGTTTGCATGTAACTAAGGGAAAATTTGTTTAGACACAAAATTAAAGTATTTAATATTTCAAATCAGTTAGCATTTATGAGCCAAAATAGGCACACCCACAACTTCTGGGTTCAGCGCTTTTATGTCCCTAGCCAAACCTTTGTTTCTGGGAACCTGTGATAGAAAATAAAGCCTGAAAGAAACTTTAGAGGTCAGATTCTCTGATGCCCCCACCTTTTCTTTGGACAATAAACTGAGGCTCAGAAAGCAGAGGAATCTGCTGTCACATGATTAAATTAGCAACACTATATCTAGAACTCATATCTCCTGATTCCCATTCTATTCTTCTCCCATACTCTGCTGTCTACTTTCCAGGTCCAATGGGCTGGGAAGCCACAGACTCCGATTCCTTCCATAAGCTCTCCTTCTTTCTGTTTACCTTGGTTTTCCTCCTTTCAAACATCCCTCTCTCCCAAACACATACCTTCTTTCTGCATTGTACCTTCTGACAGTCAAGACTCTTTAGCCCCAGGGCCATCAAAGCCACAGTCGGACTTGTAAATAGCCCAACATACACAAGTGCCCAGTGCGCTACATGTCTGTCCCCATAGTAAGCACTGTCTTATTTAAACTTCACAATAATCAGTAAGGTGTCATTGTTCTATCGTATAGACTAGTCAGCTAAAACTCAGAGAACTGTGTGTGACTTGCCTCAGGTCATAACACCTGGACAGCAGTAGGGCTAGGATTTAAATCAGACCTATCTAGTGCCAGAGCTGGTGATTGCCTTATTCCCTCTTCAGCATAGCCTTGACCTTAGAAAAGAGAACTCAGTGGTTTAAGTAAACACCAAGGGGTAATTGAGTCTTAGCTCTTTTATTTGAGAGAAATAACACTGTGACCCTGGGCTCCTGAACATTTCTGCATCCCTTAACCACATATAAACAGTGAGAAGTAGGACAAGTCACTTCATTCCCTCTCAGATAGGATAAATGATAATACCTCCCTAACGTAGTTGTTGTGGAAATTAAGAATTAAAATAGATAGTGTTTGGAAATACCTCAGGTAGTCTGTAAATGACTATATAAATATTAAGTTTCCATAATTGGCTTATGTTTTTACTAATCCAAATGTTGACTATAATATTGTTTATACTATTTTATTGTAAGCCTTCTCAAATACTTTAGTTAAATAAATAATCTATGTGTACAATAAATGCCTGAATAATTAAAATATTTTATTGGATTTTTATATCTAATCTCTTACCACAAGAGAGGAAGTTAATTTACAGCTTATAATATTATCATATCATTTCTTTCATCTAGTCAAAAAAGAATCACTATTGTCATCTTAACAAACATTTACTGAGCACTTGCCAGAGACTGGATAAGTATTTTATTTCTCATGATCTCACGTTAATTCTTCATTATTATCTCCATTTTAGAGATGAGGAAACTAAAGCCCAAAGCATCTGAGAAACTTGACTAAGATCTCATAACTGTTAAGTGAAAAAGACAAGTTTTTAGTATGTGTGATGTTCCTGCTATTTTATAGCACCTCTGTAAAAATAAAACTCTCAAAAGGTCTTAAATGGCCTTCAATCAAGGTATTCGGCACAATACAACACAGGCAAAATGTGAAAGCTAATGAGTGGATGTGTGTATATGTGTGTCTGTGTGTTTGTGTGTGTGTAGGGGGCAGAAGGTTGGAGGGGAACAGGCAGGAATGCATAAGAAAATTTAAGCTAAAGAAAACCATTGTAAGGGATCACAGCCTGTAGCTCTACACTTCATATAGAGAAACACATGCACAATTATTAACTGATTCATTTAACAAAAATGATTGGTAGCTTAATATGTGCAAGGACTACTGTTCACACTTTAGACAACACAGAACACATAGTCACAGAGCCTCCTTTTTAGACCTCACAAATTTCCAGATAAATTGTTAGATAATTACCTATATACTTAAATTATTTTATGTAAATAATTTACACTCGAACAACTTGCCTGTGGGGGTATGCTTAAAAACTGGTTCGTATCCGAACTGCTCTTTTATGTAACTGCTTAAGGAAAGGAATAAGGAGAATGTCCAGCCTCAGGGGATATGAAATTAGGAGTTGGAGCAGAGGAAGATGAATTACTTAAATGGGTCGAGACACTGGGACATAGGATACTTTTACCTTCAGTAGAACTTTGAGCTCTTCACACACAAAAAAGTCTAGTGTCCTGAAATCTAAATAAAGCAAACTGGACCTCTGATTTCCCAAGGTTCACGTTAAGAGCCCAACTCATCCATGGAGGACAAAAGAAATGAGAGACTGGATTTTCATCATAGGTAACTCCAAAGTTTAGTCAATAACAATTTCTTTCAAAGGCCTTTAAGAAACCTGGGGTGTGGCCAGAGGAAAAGTACCCAGTAGGCCAACCAGGAGAGGAAGGAAATATCTATAGCTAATTTCATTTTGCATAGCACTCATTGCTGCAAAGTGCAGCAAAAGAGAGTAGCCAGTGGTGGCAGAAGCAACCCCAAGCTGCAGGGCCCTGTTGTCAAAATTTCTCTTCTTGGCACTAAGGAAACATGGCCTCAGCTTCCCTGTCGCAGTGGGCTTGCATCCCTCCACCTCAGAAATCAGAAAGGGTCTTAGAATCAGGAGCCATGAAATTCCCACCCCAACCCATTCAAGTAACAGCTGTTGGAACAGACGGGTTATCCCACCTCTCCATGTGAGTTTCTTCATTGGTAAAATGGGCTCATCTCCACCATGAGCCTTCTTCATAGGGCAACTAATCGCTCAAGTGACATGATGGATGGTTAAACACATTGGGAGGTGATCAAATTCCCCAAACATGAAGGAATAGATTACTTAAAATCTAAAGGTGAGAATACAGATGTCACACCCATCCACAGTTGAAAACAAAAAAGAAACTAGTGAATAATGCACATAAATGTACAGCTACATGCCTGGCCCATTTTGTATGGAACCCAAATTGCTCAACTAGTTTTCATGGTGCTCACCAAGATATTTCCAACTCTTTTCTCTAGGATTGGCACAGCCTATCCCCTTTATGTCTCCTATACTTTTGTCAAATTAATCACCCAGTGACTCAGGAGTTCAGAACATGAACTTACTCTTTAATACCTCCACTTGTTTGTTGGGGCATCTCCACCTCCTGGAATGCCTGTCCTCTGCATGTCTGTGTGTGCAGACCTGCTCAAATGCAGCCTCCTTCTAAAAGGAAGTCTTCGTTGATTTTCTCTGTTGTAAGTCATCTCAACCTTAATCTGAGCGCCACTTATCATTCTAAAAAATTATTTATTTATTTATTCATTTATTTATCTATTTCAGAAACAGGGTCTCACCCTGTCACCCAGGCTGGAGTGCAGTGGCATGATCACGGTTCACTGCAGCCTCAAACTCCTGGTCTCAAGTGATCCTCCCATCTCAGACTCCTGAGCAGGTGAGACTATAGACATGTGCCATCACACCTGGCTAATATATATATATATATATATATATATATGTATGTATATATATATATGTGTATATATATATATATTTTAGAGATAGGGTCTCACTGTGTTTCTCAGGCTGGTTTTGAACTCTTGGTCTCAAGCAATCCTCCCACCTCAGTCTCCCAAAGTTGAGATTACAGGTGTGAGTTACTGTGCCCAGCCCCTTATCATTTTTATTTGTACTTCACATTCTAATAATTTGTCTTCTCCTGAGTTTGTTGTTTCCTTGAGAACAAGGATTATGCCCGTTACCTAATGGATGACATTTATCAAACACTTAACATGTGTGATCTCTTTTAACCATCACAGCTAAATAAGGCTGTTGATACTGGTAGTTTTCATTTTGGAAATGAAGTAACAGGGGCCCAGAGAGGTTAAGAAAGTTGCCAGAGTTCACAGGTATTAGGTGAAGTCAAATTGGAAACCAGGGATTTCCAGTGTAAATCCTTAATTCTTAACATCCATGCCTCCATTTATTGTAGGTGTTTGGCACAGGAAGTGCTTAATAAATGCTTCTTAATTGAGTGAATGAATAAATACATGAATGAAGAAAGTGTGAATCTTCTAGTATGAATGTTCTCACTCCATGTGCAGGACCTCACATCCTCTTTCCATAGTGACTGCACAATGAATGTTTGCTGAGTTCAATGACTGAAAGGATCTATACTAGGGCAGATGTCTAGGGGACTGCTGAGACAAGAAGGCCGCAGAGGTGAGTCATTTTTCAACAGACGTGAGTCCTGTTTTTTGGGGGCTTACATTTTAGGAAGATGAGCATTGACTGGTATTTTTCAAGTTTAGGGAAGGGTAGATGTTGGCAGAGAAAAGATTATTCAACCTCAGAGAATGATCAACAGAATATTCAGAGGTAACCGGTAAGACAAGTCTAATTCTGAGCATGAATAAGCTTCTCCTTAAAGAGGAAATTGAACTGAAGATCACGAAGAATAACTAGATGACTCACCCATCAAAATAGGAAGTTCTCTCTGGTAAGGAAGATGGTGGCATTGAGGTGGCAGAAACCACAAAGATCCTCCTCAAACACTTACCACATAGCAGACTTCACTCTTGCTACTTGGGCTACTGTCTCTGGAGTGGAAGACCTGTCCACTGACCAGGACTTGATAGAGGCAGTGAAGCACTGTGTTAAAAAGACCCCAGGCCCTGGAGCCGCTGCCTCGCTCTGAACAAAGACTCCCTCATGTAGCAGCTGTACAAACTTGGGCATTTGTAAAAGTAGATATAATAACAGTTCCTTATGCACCGACTTATTATGAAGACTGAGAGTTAATAGCTGTAAGTGTATAGAACAGTGCCTGGCTTGTACTAAGCATTCACTGGAGGTTAGCTATTTTTATTGTGCTTCTATTGCTGACTCTAATTGTTTGTATATTTGAACTGAAGAATTCTCAGTGAGTTTTAGAAGGAAGAGAAGATGCTTACATATCACTTGGGTATGAAACAAGAGTATAAATCATACATCTTACATCTCATAACAACTTTATTCACAAGATGATCTTCTTTCATCAGCCCAAGGACTGGCTTCTCTAAACTGCCACATAATTGTCCTCTGCAGTAGAACTCCCCATAGACCATTATGTTTTATGTTTATGGACTTTCACCCAAGACTTTAACAGCAGCAATGGAAGGATTCTGCTAAAATCTTATGTTTCATTTTCTTTTACTTTCGGACCATTGGAACTATTAGAACCCATGATCTATTGTTCGTATATAAATATTACTCTAACCTGGAAAGTAGCTCTTTCTTTATTAAGGCAAATATTTATTTAATCCATGTTTTCTATTTAAAACATCAAAATATATATTTTAAAAATGCATACATTAAAGAAAAAAATGTATGCAAAGAATTTATAACCAAATGCTGGACTTAGCATTACTGCAAAAAAATCCCACAAGTTCTGATTTTCAATTTTGCAGATAGTCTTTACTATAAACATGTTTTAGTATAAACAATTTTTAAAATTATGACTGGTAAATAAATATTTCAGAATGTTATTTATTTATTTAAGTTTGTATATCAAGCATTGCCGCTTAACACCAGATGCTACAGTTTTAATTTGCATTACTATTATTAATTTAATACATTAATAACATGCATTAAATATGAGAAACACACCAATAAATAAAGGAGATACTTCCTTAACTGACTGATGAGATAATTAAACTAATAGCCATGGAATTTTTAAAAAGTCTCAAGTTTTTTCCATACCAGCACCAGCCATATAAAATGTGTGGGCTTTGTTGGTGGATGGGACACAGAATGGGTTTGAGAAATCTGGAGAAGATGGTAGACATGGTGAAAAACAGCACAGATTTTGAGGCCAGAAGACTGGCCTCTAAATCTTATCTCTGCTACATTGGCTATCGGTCTTCTGAGCCTCAGTTTACTCACCTGAAAAACAAGCATAATAACACCAATCTTACAGAGTCATTGGGAAGATGAGTGCTATAATGTACGTAAAGTGGCTAGATCACAGTAGATGCTTAATAACTAGCATCTTATCGGGGGATCATTTTGATTTATTTGCATGCAGATACAATCAGACAGTGTTTGCATTGTTTATTTGTTGTGTTTTGATCATTTAAAAGGCCTATTAGCAATCCTCACTCCACAAGGTTGCCACCTGGGGAGACTACAGGGTTGGCTCATTTCTCTGTTCCACAAAACTTTCTATAGTTCCTGCTCCAAAGCACATTAGAGAAACCATCACACCCTGTACATACTCAACATATTATCATTGATAATAAAGAGTAAAGCACTCCACTAGGTGCTGGGAGACTTATTTTAGTTCTGGCTTCATCTCAAAAGAGCTCTGTGAACTTGGGCTAGCTGCCTACTTTTTCCAGGCCTCAATTTTCTAGTTTCGGGATAAGAAAATCAGATAAGATTTCTTCTGGGAAAATTTCAGTTCCAAAACTGTATTAGGAATTTAATTCTATGATTTTCTGACCTAGGGCATGGGTTCAAGACAAAAGAGAAGAGGAAAAACCTGTAAAAATGACTAAGGAGCTAGGACATAATAACTGTCCATCTCATTTCCAAGAATGTGATATTGACCTGGTTTTCACATGATCCCCTAGAAGCCAAAATCAAAGTAGACCAGATCTAGCTCCCTTCTCTGTGACCAAGGGAAGATTCCCATATAAGCCTTTATCATCAATACCTAAATCTATGATTTATAAATATTCCTCTAGTCCTGTCAATAGATGTGTACTGTGTGCGGCATATAATTTTGTCTATCCATTTTGCTGACCAAAGACTTACATATAAGTTGAGAGTGGGGGTATATTCTGTGGTCATAGATCCTATTTGCATCCATTGAGGTCAGTAGCCATGCCCATAGCCCCCAGATATCATTGGTAAGTGCTAATTTGCTGTGGTAAATTTCTTCCTATAATTGAACAAATAAATAAGTCCAAATTTAAACTCTTCAACTTCTAAATGTGATCAACCATGGTATGAGCCACCTTGGAAGGTGGAGAGTTCCTTGCCCTGAGATACCTAAGAAAAATCTGGATAGACACTTTGGTAGGGGCATTATATGTTGGAGATTCAGATATGGAGTAATCCAAAAATTTTATGATTCTTTGGTTCCATTTACTCTTACCAGGCCCACTCTGGGAATGTGAGTAATGAGTTTTATTTTTGGATATATTAAAAAACAACAAAAACAACAAGTTGTCCTACCCTTTTGGGGAAGAGAGAGAAGCCCGCTGTGCACATGGGCTAATTGAGTCTTTTAATACTAAAGACACTAATATTCCAGGATTCTGAGCCATGGGGTTCTGCATAATGCAATTTAATTAAATATAGATGGCAGCACTGGGGAAAAAAATGTGTAATAGAGGTAACTGACATGCCCAAACCTGGACCTGGCAAACAGGAGGGGCCAAGATCACCTTACTGGTATTTGCTGTGGTACCTGACAATTACCTGCTGGCTCTCTTCTCCTTGGGTCCTCTGCGAATCTGTGAACCCTGCTTATTTTGTGCTCAATTCAGTGCCCACGGCTCAACGGATTGTTCTATGACTAGTCCAGTCCTTCTCTTGGCATGCTGCCTACTCCATGTCAGAAGTTAAAAGGTTGCACTTCCTTAAAATGCAGTATTTTCCAACAGAACCTGCATCAATCAACCAATTAGTATAACTACGCATGCACTGCTCACGGCTCCATGCTGGCTAATGATCACTGGCTTTGTCTTATGCAAGGCTGGTCTTTCCTCGATCCAGCTAAGAAATAACCACTTGAAAGGAAGTGCATGGGGAGATTTCAAACACAACAGGAAGAACATCGTGTCAAATTGCCATAGTCGTACAAAAGGCAGCATTTGCAGCATCTGTCCATACCTGGTAAGAGTGATGGGTCTCAGTTTGAACGCTGGGGTGTGGAGGGTGACTCAGGAATAAAAGAATGGCCTGGTGAAGGAGTGACTGAAGAGGCTTTCTGCCCTAACTCTCACTTCTTGGGCTCCTTAGCAGGCTCTGTAACTACCTCATTTTCCTGATTTCTATGACTTACCCTGGGTCCGTGCTGATTTGCTGCCTGGATGAAGGAGTAGCACAGACCAACATCGGTAGGCGTGAGAGTTGGGTCTGTGCACATAAAGAAGGGTTCAGAATCTGTACAGGACTCACCCTGGCTTCCGGCAGAACCTAAGACGAGGGAGAGAGGCCCATCCCTGGTGTACCTGAAAGGCCAGGTCCGTGCTTGTTAATTAATGCAAGGCACAGTGCTAAGGCCTGGCTTGCCCCGCTGTTCTCTCTCAGGAGCCACAAATGGGTGATAATACCACTAGTTAGAGAGCAGGGCTCACGTCTCTGCTCCTGCCCGCTCCTGTCTGGGTTTGCTATGACCGTCTCTGTTGGAAGAAAACTATTTGGCTCTAAACTAAAGTAAGTCTTATTAACCATCATCCTTTCAAAGAACACGATTGTATTGTTCTCTTTCTACCCTCTCTCCTCTTGCTTTGTCTTTCTTTTGGTTGTTTCGTCTCTGGTACTTGTTTAAGTGGGGGATTTAAATGTTTGGCGTGGTCACTACAGAAGCCCAGACGTAAGATCTTTGAAGCGGTTGGTGAAAAAAGGGAAGTGATACTATTGGGTGAGGGGTGACATCAAAGAGAAGCCTATGTTCTGTTCCCTACGGCGTGGCTGGGATTTTTTACTCCAAGAAAAGAATTAAACAACAACGCTTTCCAGGAAAAGAGTGACTTTCCTTTTTTTGCCCCTCCCATCTTCTTTTCCTGATCCATTCAGACATACAAGCAATTTTGTTTTAAGGAGAAGCCTAATGCAATTGAGCACTAATACTATAATTATAATTAATGAAAATAATAATATTCGAATATCTTATACCCTTTCTGTTTATCTTTGAACAACACAGTAGTAGTTACAAATGACAAATATGAATATTATCCCAGTTTTTCATGGAGGAAACCAGGGCCAGAAAGTCAAATGCCTTGCCAGGGTCATACATCTGATATTTACCATCAAAATATAGTCTCCAGTTTTTCGACTTTAGGCTCAGCATGTTTTTATCTACACCTTGCTGCCTCTTCCCACATAATCTTTTAAGATTAAGTCTTCAGATTCCAGAGTTGGGGCCATGGAGTTACTAAAAGGCCTAAGAAAAATGGGGCTTTGAAAAGGTCATATTCTCATCCTTCTTACTCTGCACTGTGCTTGAGTATTAAAAGGCTGCTTTGAAAATTCACTGGCCCATGATTACTTGACTAATGCCAGTAATAAAATGCATATATCAAAACCACACACTTTTATTTGATTTTTCTCAGCCCATTACTTGTCTTAGCTGAGTGGCCAGCTATGTGTAAGCCTGAATGGTAGGAAGGTTTTCTGGAAGCAATGACCAGTTATGAAGTTTCTGTTGAGATCCAGGGAGCAACTTTAGGTAAGCATATTTTTGTTATCATTCAGAGGGACAAGAGATAGACCTTACATCCAGTTCATCAGTGCCAGAAGGGAGCTTTGCCAACAGGGTCTCCTCTTTGATCACCACCTGGATCTCCTCTGGAATCCTGGGAAGGAAAGTGATGGATGTTGATCAGAATGCTGCTGTGGGCAGGGTTTTGAAGAAAACTAACCAATTGAGTGTGTCTGGCTGTGGGAGAAATTTTCCAATTCCTGCAAATAAGGCCAAAATTATGGGACCATTTCTCTCCTCTTTCCTCCTCTTGATCATTATCAGCATCATAAAATCAACCATAGGTGTGACTCTAGAGAGATGGAAGTACGGCGAAGAAGGAACACTCAGCCAAGGGGCGTGGAGTCCTGGTTCTCTCCAGGCTCTTTGTGGTCTTGGACAACAATTTGACTTTGTGCTCTTTAATGTTCCCATTTATTAAATGATGAGTTGGACGATACTGCCTTTGACACTTCCAGGCCTGATATTCTCCAATTCCTATCTACCTTGTCTCTCTCCCATAATTAACTTTATAATTACAAGTGCCTATAATACATTATTTTGAGTTTTCTACAGAGAAAAAAAAAATGCAAGGCAGATTAAGAAGTAAATTAACAATAAGTATTAACAAATAATTTCTAGTTTGAATATTTGTCTTCTTTTATATTTATTTATTTATTTATTTGAGACAGAGTTTCACTCTTGTCACCCAGGCTGGAGTGCAGTGGCACTATCTTGGCTCACTGCAACCTCCATCTCCTGGGTTCAAGCAATTCTCCTGCCTCAGCCTCCTGAGTAGCCGGGATTACAGGTGTGCGACACCACACTTGGCTAATTTTTGTATTTTTAGTAGAGATAGGATTTCACCATGTTGGCCAGGCTGGTCTTGAACTCCTGACCTAAGGCGATTCACCCGCCTAGGTCCCCAAAGTTTTGGGATTACAGGCATGAGCCATTGCACCCGGCCTGAATACTTGTTTAGTGTACAAAATTAGAAAGCAAGTAAATGAAAATGAAAATAAAACCTCTCCATTATCCCATCAATCAGAGATGTCCACTATAAAGATTTTGGTAAGTTTTCTTCCAGTGTCTCTGTATATATATACATATATATATACACATATATATATATGTATATATATACACATATATACATATATATATACACATATATACACACACATACACATACATTTTATATATAGATATACACATATATCTATGTGTATCTATTTTATATATAAAAATATTTTTCTTTTTTTTTAAATCAAAAAAAGAGAATTTGTTGTCTTATGTAAGTAAACAGACCAGGTAAGACTTGATCCAGGATTCAAACCATGTCACAAGGAGCCGAATTTTTTTGTTCTCCAGTTTGAGACTCCTCTTTCCCAGAGACAGTCCAAATTTTACTCTGATTGGTTCTTCTTATACCATAAGTATATATAAAAATATTTTTCATTGAGATTTCAAAAGATTTTTTAGGACTTACTCTCACTATATACCTTTGGCCTCATATCAATTGTATAAGATCTAATTCCTATAATAAATCCATTATTCTGTATTATTTTTGGTTCTGCTTTCCTGATTGAACCCTGCTGGTACAAAGAGTGGTTGAAACTCCTAAGCCTTGTCACATCTGGGTTTTGGTATTGGGTTCTCCACCTAGACATTTTCCAAGAAAGGATTTTGAAGCACTGAACAGTGTGTTCCAAAACAGCTACAGGGTTTAAAAGAATCAGCCGTTTTCTATTACATTTAACATTTATTGAACATATACTGTACATGTCAGACCTGTGCTAAATGATTTATTAGTACATGTATTATATTACTTAATCCTAACTCCCTGCGGGTAAGTATATCATTCCTAGTTACGAATAAAGAAACTGGGGTTCAGGGATGAGCCAAAGTTGCACAGCTAATAAGTGGCAAGGTCATGATTCAAACCTAGGCAGTTTGTTTATGAAGTCCACACTCTGTCTTCAAGGTAAGTCATTCACTGACGTACCAGGCTGGAGAGGCCTAATCTATTGGTGGGATGGCAGGGTATTTGTTAGTTGCTTGCACTGTGAGAGTGCATGAGCTTGTGAAATGAGTCCTGGTGAGGAAGGTAGCAGGTGTGCTGGAATAAGCACTAGACATGAAATCAAACAGACATGGGATTTTCCCATCACTTTCTTGTCTCAGCATCAATGCTTTCATCTGTAATAGAGAGATAATCATATCAGTCTTACAGGTGCAGATTGTGGTGAGGATAGAGAATAACATGTAAAAGCACCTGGCATGTTTCCAGGCATATAGTAAATGCTAGTGGAGTTTAATTGATTCTGAATCTGAGCAGAAAATTTTAAGTTGAGACCTGGTTTTTTAATCTCGGATGGAGCACACTTGATATGTGATTTTGAATAAGATATAGGGCCTTTCTAGGCTCAAGTTCCTCATCTTCTTAGGAGGTGATTAAACTAGATGATGGCTACCATCCTGCCTAGGATTCTAGGCTTTTAGTTGGTATTAAGAGGAAGGAATGTGGCAGATGGTATTTTCCCTTCTCACATCAGCCTGAAATGAGGCCAAATTCTCGAGTACAGTGTGTTTCTCCCTTGGCCCCTCTGCCCTGTAGATATTCTTGACTAGATCCAAGCCCCTGGAACTTTCTGAAAGGTTTGAGGTCTGATGAAAATCACAACCGTTTCTTAGAAGGAAGGGGTGAGGCCTGTATCTTTGACTGCCTGGATGCTGTTGCTTTTATTAGCTCTTCTAGGAAAGGAAGGTCACAGCTTTATAGGTTTCCCAATGCAGATAGAAAATAAGTCCTTTGACTTGCTCCAAAGAATTCAGTTCGGAAATCACAAATACAGATGATTTATTGGGTCCCTTATACTCTATTATTTTGTGATTCAGCTGTAAATTAACACATTAATTGAATGTAACTGAAGAGCTCTTGGACACTAAGCACTATACAGCATAGAGAAGGGGCATGATTCTCCCTCTAAAGATACCTCTCTCTAATCTGCCTCCTTTAAGGAAATATAAACCAACAGTTGAAGAGGAGGTGCAAATTTTGGTCAGATTTTCCAGAAAGGATGCTGAAGATTTTCTCCTATCTCCCTGGCTATTTCTCATTCTCCTGTGCTAGTGCCTTCTCCTCTCCCAAACTTCTGAACAAGGAGTGGCCCAGGGCTTAGCCATTGAACCTCTTCTTGTTCTGTGCTCACTTCCTTGGAGATTTTATTCAGTTTCACAGGTTTAATAAAATCTTAGACCCTGAGAACTCCTAAATTTCTATCTCCAGCTAGATTTCTCTCCAGAACTCTAGATTCAGAAATCCATCTGCCTGCTGAGTTATCTGCCTTTGAATGTCTATTAGTCCTCTCTAACTGAACATACACAAATGGGAGTTCCTGATATGCTTCTAACTCCTTCAAACCTGCTCAACCTAAAGTCTTTCCTATGTTAGTAAATAACAAGCCCATTTGTTACAGTTGCTCAGGTGCAAGTACTTGGAGCCATCTTTGACTCCTGTTTCTCCATAACCCACTTCAAATCTATCAGTAATACTATTGTCTCTGACTTGAAAATATGTGCAGGAATTCAAACATTTCTCACTACCTCCCAGTCCAAGCCACCATTGTCTCTCTCCAGGATTATGATAATTTCTTCCTAAACAGCCTCTATGCTTCCACCTTGTCCTTCTCAACAGAGCACCCAGAGGGATTCTGTGAAAGTAAAATTTAAACGCTGTCTAAACCTTCGGTGGCCTTCCACCTCATCCAAATTGATAGGGCTTCCAAAGCCATATGAGGTGTCTTTTTTTTTCTCTCCATCTTCATCTCCCCCTGCTCTGCCCTTTCTCACTGCCCCCACCAAACCAGCCTTTCTGAACACTCCAGGTATAATCTGGCCCTGGGCCTGTGCCCTTGCACTTCCCTCTGCCTGATGTTCTTACCTCGATGTCCAAATGGTTCTTGCCTTCACCTCTTCTCAGTCTTTAATCCAATGTCTGATGCTCAGTGAAGCCTTTCCTAGCCATCTTATCTCAGATTGCATTTGTCCCTTCATATATGTCCTATCCCCCTTTCCCTGTTTTTTTTTTTTTTCCTTTTCAACATTTATTACCATCAAAAATATACAAGCCAGGCATGGTGGCTCCTGACTGTAGTCCCAACACTTTGGTCTCCTATGTTGTCCAGGTTGGTCTCATGCTTGAGCTCAGGAGTTCAAGACCAACCAACATAGGAGACTCCATTTTACAAAAAATAAAATCAAGAAAATTAGCAGGGCATGGTGGCACACACCTGTAGTCCCAGCTACTTGGGAGGCTGTGGTGGGAGGATCACTTGAGCCTGGGAGGGCGAGGCTGCAGTGAGCAGTGATTGTGCCACTGCACTCCAGTCTGGGTGACAGAGTGAGACCCCATTCTCAGAAACAAAACAAAACAAAACAAAACAAAACCATACATATTTACTATTGAATTTATTGATTATTTCCTTCCACTAGAACAAAACTCCACATGGGCAGTGGAGCGCAGTGGAGGGCATTCAGTAAATATTAATTGAAGAACTGGGTTGGATGGTTGGTCAACAGCTTCATGGAGGAGCCTGGGTTTGAGCTATGTTACTGGCCACAGAGAGGATCTGAGCAAACAAATAGGCTGAGAAAGAAGTGCTTGGGAGAGAGGGACACTGAGCAAAGGCCTGGGTGGGAGCCCAGTGGGGATGGCTAGGGCTGGACTAACTCATCTGTTTTCCATCAGCCTTCACCTTCCTGGTTTTCTTTCTTCCAGAATATCTAGTGTCTTTTAGGATGTGGTAACAATCCTGTGGCTTCTTGGTATAATAGAAAGCTCATGGATGGAATTCAGAGTCATATACCTGAATCTAGAAGTGTCACAAGCCACTTTACCTCTCTAACCCTCTGCTTGCCCATCTGTCAAAGAAGGATAACAACACTGGCTTGTGTTTCTCTTGGGGCTGTTGTGAAGATCAAATGAGGCAACAAATGGAAAAATGCTTCTCACAGTGAAAGTTGGATGATTATAGTGGGGATTAGTAAAACGCATCTGTGTATGGCTGAAATAATTACTCAGAGTCATGTCCAGATTATTCACCATAGTGGTATGGAAAGGGCTAGAGGATTCCAATTGGTGACTAGTTCAGAAATCCTTCATCATTCAGCTTTCATATATGGGAGCTACATGGGAGGAGGAATTGGAAGATGTACCTTCCTGGGGATGTGTCAGTGTGCAAATGAGGAGCGATTTATCCCTCGTGTACCAGGTTCTAGTGATTCATTCTTCTCCTTTCACCCTTATAAAAAATTTATGAGTTAAATATTAGTATCTCATTCTTTAGAGGTAGGAAAACCAATGCTCAGAAAGGTTAAGTAACTTGCTCATTGTCATACAACTATTTGGTGTCAGAGTCAGAAGAAACCATTTTGTCTCAAGAGCCTTGCTCTTTCAGTAGGCTACCTTTTCAGACACCTTGGTGCAAATAATTAAGCAGCAGCAGCAGCACTATCCCAGTTACCTAAATTTGGGCAAGTGAATAATACGTAAGTCTAACATTGGGGAGCCCAGGCGGATAACAGACTGAGCTATTAAACACAATTCTGAAAGTGAGAAGGAAGGTCAGTGTGCCTCTAAACCCATGAATCCTAATCCTTGTCTAGGTCACTGCCTTGTGCTATGAATGCTTCCTTTCAGCAGTGCCTGGTAACAATTTAGAAGAAACCAAGATTTTGAGTTAAAGTTTTAGTAAGAGCGTAAGAATAATAAAGTTGGATCAATGTCCAGTGGTCTTTCTAAGCATCAGAATCTTTTTTTTTTTTTTTTTTTTTTAAAGCAGTGGTATAAAGGCCGGGCATGGTGGCTCACACCTGTAATTCCAGCACTTTGGGAGGCTGAGGCGGGTGGATCATTTGAGGTCAGGAGTTTGAGACCAGTCTGACCAACATGGTGAAACTCCATCTCTATCAAAAATACAAAAATTAGCTGGGGGTGGTGGCGGGCACCTGTCATCTCAACTGCTCGGGAGGCTGAGGCAGAGAATCACTTGAACATGGGAGGCGGAGCTTGCAGTGAGCAGAGATCACGCCATTGCACTCCAGCAGCCTGGGCAACAGAGTGAGAATCTGTCAAAAAAAAAAAAAAAAAGCAGTGGTATAAGAAATATGATTATTTTGAATAATTAGTAAACCTAGTCTAGATTTTAACTAGCAACACTTTTGCAGCAAGTTACCTGCTGCCTGTCACATAACGGGGCTTAATAAATGTTCACTGGCCGGGCGCGGTGGCTCACGCCTGTAATCCCAGCACTTTGGGAGGCCGAGGCGGGTGGATCATGAGGTCAGGAGATCGAGACCATCCTGGCTAACAAGGTGAAACCCCGTCTCTACTAAAAATACAAAAAATTAGCCGGGCGCGGTGGCGGGCGCCTGTAGTCCCAGCTACTCGGGAGGCTGAGGCAGGAGAATGGCGTGAATCCGGGAAGCGGAGCTTGCAGTGAGCCGAGATTGCGCCACTGCAGTCCGCAGTCCGGCCTGGGCGACAGACCGAGACTCCGTCTCAAAAAATAAATAAATAAATAAATAAATAAATGTTCACTGAATATATGCATACATCTATATGTATATATATAGCATGTATAGTAACAGTATTGTTTTGATAATTATGTATGTAAGTTCATTTGTATAGATGATGAATGTACAGATGGATGGATACAGGGCCCAGATGTCAGAGAAATGTCTCCCAAAATAGCCTGTAATCATGTATAGGAAGCTGACAGAATGCTTACTTTGAAAGTGAATGCACCAGAAAATTTACAGGGTACCTACTGGGTGCTGATGAAAGGAAATAGAAGGCATATCTCTTTGCACTTGCCTCAGATAACCACAAAAGGCATATATACAATTTTAAATAAATCATTTGTATAGTTTAGAATTGCTTGAATTTGGAGGCAAAAGAGGACTGTTTTCCCTTTAGTGTGACTCAACAATCACAGGATGTGAGGGGTGCAGGAGGCCTGGGTCATCTGGTGCATTTAGCCATTTTAGATTGAAGATTGAACTGCATAAAGGAAAGTTACACAGTGATTCATAGGCAGATGTTTAAAAAAAAAATAGAAATAAAAAACTCCCTCTCTAGCTGCCACTGTTTTCTGTAGGTGCTATGGATATCCTCAGAAATAGGTATTTGCAAAGATGCGGAAAATTTGGTAGGACGGTATAAAGTCAATTGCGTGCGCTTTGGATTTATTTCAACCTGGGTTTGAACCTCCTTCATCTGGTTACTGGCTCTTCATCTCAGGGAGTCTATTTGCGTTTTGAACCTCTGGCTCCTGACTTATGAAATGAAGATACCTGACTGCATGTCTCCTGTCGGGATGAAATGAGATTACATTGGAAGGGGCTCAGCAGACTGAGTACCACCTCACACTGTTTCTCAGTATTTCATTCTTCCTCATACCCACAAATTCTCCCTTTGTCTCTAACGTCCTGGGTACCCTTGGGCCAGGCACAGACTGCTTCCTCCCCTCCTCATCTGCTACATTCAGGTGTTGGATCAGACAATATCTAAGATTCCATTCAATGAGTCTAACTGTCTAGTCCCATTTTTTACCAGAAAGCTGGGATAGCTGGACAGTATATAAAACAGTCTACTTTGTACACATTTATGTTTACAAGACATTTACTATGCTTTGCCACATTTAATCCTTAATACCTGCAGAGCAGTAGTTGCTTTCACCTTTTACAAATGAGCAAGCCAAGGCAACAGGCATAGAGGAAATAATCCCATACCTCTGGCTGTCAATCAGCATGCAGGGAAGACTTTTAAAGGCTTGACAACAGCATTCAAACACAAGGCTCTTCATGATACCCTTGGCCTTAAAAATCAAGTGTAAACTTCCCAAATTCACTCTGTCCCTTCTACCCCCTCTTAAACTAAGAGCTTTAGTCATCTTATCTTTCTTTTTTGTTGTCTCTTTTAAATGTTGCCATTCCAGGCTGAGGTCATGACTCTGTCTCCTAAGAACCGTAATCAAATTTGGAAGACAACAGGACTGAACGCAGAGCCTTCCGTACCTGGTTCCCAGACTGAACATGCATAAACAAAGCCGATGGCTGGGAATTCAGCCCTTGTTGCCTGAGGCTGTGGGGCTGGCTGTGAATTTTTACCCAGCTCCTACCTGACTGTCTTTTTTTAGCATTTGACATGCTTGCTGCTGGATCCATGATAGAGCCACTCTCTCAAGACATTGATTTATATTCTCCCTTGGGGGCCTAGAACTATGCCCTACACAATGGGTGCTCACTGAGCTGGAGATGGTATTGCCGCCAATGCAGTCCAGAATTGCATCAAGTATTTTAGCAATTGCACCAAATTATCAGCCAGTCTGATTCGTAGCCCTTCCCACATAGATTCACAAAGCCCACTTTCAGAAACTAATTCTTAATAATGCAATCAGTTCTTGGAAACTGAAGCCGAGTTTCATATTTGAATGTTGACTTTCACCATGCAGGAAAGTTGGCCACATGCAGGAGTGACTGGAAGATTTTGGCAAAGATATTAATTGGGATTTTCCATTCTCAGAGAAGCTGCATGTGCTAATGCACAGGTAATACTCCATTCTCAGGGTTCCTAGTAGAGGCAGAATTGAACTGTTTCCCCTTTTGAAATGCAATAACATCTACTTCTCAGGGCTATCATGAGGATGAAATTAGAAGATACAGGAAAAGGTTAGCACAGAGCTTTGCTCAGAGCATTGAGCAAATGTATTAGTTGTTGGGACTCTTGTTTGAAGTAAAAGGACCAGGTTTTGAACCTCATTCTGCTGCTCACTAGCCCAGTGCCTTTCCCGTTCTGGGTCCAGATTCTCTTATCTTCTAATGAGAGTACTAATTGCCACATACTTCACAGAGTCATGATGAGAAACAAAGAATGGCTGAGAAAGTCCTTTGAAAACTAGATGGCTCAAACAAAATAAAGCATTATTAGGTATATGTCTAATCCCTGTGCCATGGTTTCAGCCCTTCTTTTTGTACGAAAAGCCTTCCCTCCCCATACTTCCTCTCTTTAACCTGCGTGTTGAAGTTCTATCCTTCATTCATAAGGCAGTAAAACATTAATAGCTAAGATTAAAGTCTTCAGATTGCTAGGGTTCAAATCCCAGCACTGTTTTTTATTAGTTGCTTGACTTTGGGCAAGCTACTTCACCTTGCTGTGCTTCAGTTTCCAGTCTGTAAAATGGGGATAAAAAAAAAATACCCATTTCATAAGATTGTTGTAAGGACTAAATTAACAAGTGTTAAGTACTTAGAACAGTATATACTCCATACTATATAAAATGCTAGCCATAATTATTTCAAGGCTATGCTTATTGTTTTGATGTCTATTATTTCAAGAATATGTTTATCATTTTGCATTATTTTATTATTATGTTCAAACCCCACCCCTCCAAGAAACTTTCTTATATCTCTGAAGCAATCATGTTCTCGAAGTCAACCAAAGTATATTGATTGTAGCTCAGTTGTAGCTCTGGTCATTGCTTGTGTGTTTGTTTATATCTCCCTCCCCCACCAGCTTTGGGGCCCTAAGTGACAGAGGTTTGCTCTTTTACCTCCGTACACATGGTCAGTGTACATTAAATATTTGTTGAATTGGATGGAAGGTATGCAAAGCAAATGTATACACATGAATAAACCTAAATTTATTGTATAACAGCTAATAACACCCTCTACATAATAACTACATTTTCAGACTGAACAAAATTACAACCTTTTGCACTCTCCCTGACACATAGTATGTGCTAACTAAATGTATTTACTTGAAAATATGAGAAGATAAATAAAGGTGCATAAACTCCAGTAAAAGTCTCAGTCTATTGGGTCCTCTTCCTTCAAAACATGTGCGAGATGGGTAAGTTGCTTATCTTAGGCACCAGGAGAGGATTAAGATACCAAGGAGAAGAAACAAATAGCTACTGACCTCCAGGCACTCACATTCAAGAGGAGAGACAGTGCAATTACTAAATAGTCACAGGGGGTCATAAGTGCTAAGCTGAGTAGGATGAAATAGCACAGCGATGTGTGTTCAGCAGCTCAGTCATCTCTCTAAGATTTGGACCTTCTCAACATCAGATTGCCCAGGTATGTTCATTTGGGATGATTGTACCTTCTTTTTCAATAAGTAAGGAACCAGGGGAAAAGATTCCAAGTTGACTAAAGGCAGAGGGGAACAGGTCAGTTATAAGAGTGTGGTAGTTCGCAATACAGCAGGTGAGAATATAAAATGAGGAGGTAAGACCATAAGCCACGTCTCTAGAACATATCTCATAGAAAGTGCTTCTCAGTCTCAACCATTTTGATGTCAAATGTGGAGAAAATATTGTGAAACAACAAAAACTATCCTGGTCCAGTAGAAGGGAGACCTAGTTTCTTACCAACCCCATTTCCACCAGTGACTTTCCTCCCTAAAGCCCCGATTTCACTATCAATCGAGAAATGAGTTTGAACTTGAGTATTTCTAAGGACCATTCCACTTTCACTGCTTTTTGGTTCTATTTTTTAACACCTGATCTGATATGAAAGCCAACTCTTTCTTCTAGCTTCAAATACTACCTCTATTTTGATGAATCGCAAATGCATATCTCAAAGCCAGACATCTCTTTTGAATCCAAGTCTTGAATATCACCTTGCCTACTTTGCCATCTACCTCAGTTGTTCAAACCAGAGTTTTCAACAATTTCTCCACCTCCAAAAGATTTTCATTTTACAGTGTTTTTTGCTTGTTTGTTTGTTTGTTTGTTTGTTTTTTAACTCAGTAAGTGGAAACACATTCGCCCAGCTGCCCAATTCAGAAACTTGGGATTCATTCTTGATACCTCTCTTTCTTTTACCACACACTCTGGCTTAATCTGATTCATTGTTAAATGTTGCCAATTCTAACTTCAAAGCAACTCTCAAATATTTCTACACCTCACCACCTATATGTCAAAGGTGTGTAGTCCAAGCTACCTTCATCTTTCACTAGGACTCCTACAATAGTCACTTAGAAAATTGCCTCTTGTCCATTTCTAATTCGTCTTCTACACAACAGCTGGGATCGTTTTCTTTCTTATTTATTTATTTATTGAGAGGGAGTTTCTCTCTTGTTGCCCAGGCTGGAGTGCAATAGTGCGATCTCGGCTCACCACAACCTCTGCCTCCCGGGTTCAAGCGGTTCTCCGAACTCAGCCTCCCGAGTAGCTGGTATTATAGGCATGTGCTACCACGCCCAGCTAATTTTGTATTTTTACTAGAGATGGGGGTTTCTCCACGTTGGTCAGCCTGGTTTCAAACCCCTGACCTCAGGTGATCTGCCCGCCTCGGCCTCCCAAAGTGCTGGGATTACAGGTGTGAACCACCTCACCCAGACTGATCCTTTTCTTAAAATGTAAAACAGATCATGTCAATCATGTCACCATCCTGCATAAAACCCTTAAATGGCTTCTTGATACACTTAAACTATAAATTCCTGACCATGGTCTATGAAGGCCTAAATGATCTTGATTCTCCCTCCAACTTTATCTTCCACCATGCTGGCCTCTTTCAGGTCTCTGAACATGTCACAATTTTACCCACTTTAGTGTTGTCTGGTCTCTGTTTCCTCTGCCTGGCACACTTTCCCCTCACTCTTGGCCTGACTAACCCATCTTCCTTTTTCAAATCCCAGTTTAAAGTTTACTAGAGAGCTCTGTACATGTAGGTAACTTATCTCCTTCCCCTGTCTTTTGTTTTGTTTTGTTTTTTGAGACGGAATCTTGCTGTATCACCCAGGCTGGAGTGCAGTGGCGTGATCCCTGCTCACTGCAACCTCCGCCTCCCAGGTTCAAGCGATTCTCCTACCTCAGCGTCCTGAGTAGCTGAGATTACAGGTGTGCACCATCAGAACCAGCTAATTTTTGTATTTTTAGTAGAGACAAGGTTTCACCATGTTGGCCAGTATGGTCTTGATTTCCTGACCTCAGGTGATCCGCCTGCCTCAGCCTCCCAAAGTGCTGGGATTATGGGTGTGAGACACTATGCCCGGCCCTTCCCTCATCTTATAGCACCTGATTTCCTGTATCTCAGTTATCATACTTCATAATAAAATACTCATCTGTGGATTTGCTTGTGTAATGCTTGTCTACTCAACTATATTCTGAGCTGCCCTAGGAATGGGTCTGCATTGTTCTTTGCATCTGCAAAGTCTATCCCAGTGCTTAGCATAGAGTAGGTGCTCAATTCATGATTGGTGGTTAAGTTTATAACCTTTGTGTATGCATATTAGTAAGATCTAATGATATGAATACATGTTTATTCCATGCTGAAAAAGTGCAATCAAGTGGGCAATGAATGAGGAAATAGAGTTGACTATGTCCCATTTCTCTAATTTTTTCAGTTCTTAACTCCTAGTATCTTGTAGCACTCCTCCATTCTCTTACTGAACCTTCCAGGTTTTCAGGGTTGAGTAGAGAAGTTTGGTATGATGTCCCCTGTGCTTTGCTCCCCCCAGCTATATTTAGCTTTGTGAAGGAATGTGGCTTCCACAGGTATGTTTGGGTGAGAGGTGTTGGGAACAGAATGGGTGGAAAAACGGAAAAAAAAAAAAAAAAAAGAAAAGAAAAGAAAGAAAGAAACTATGTGGAGGAGGTGCCTAGCCTCACTCAGCATGAATGTTGCCCAGGATTCCTGATTTTGTCCCAGCTCATCCACTTTGGAATTTTTATGTTTATTTAAAAAGGTTTTCATTAATTTATTTTAATCTTTAAGATTGCAGTTTTTATGCCATATACATCAGCATTCTCTCCCTCCCACCTCTAGGAATCCAAAAATAAATAAGCATGGGCTTGGTGCTGGCAAAACTAACAAGTATGAGCAGACAGCTCCTGATTCCAGGAGTTTTCCTGTGCTACGACCACCTCCATGCCTGGTCTCTGTGGAAGCTGTCATGTACCTATTCCTGTTGAGTCTACTGGACTTCTTATTCCATTTAGTTACCTACTGTTACAGACTACAGAAAGTAGGAAATGGGTTTTTGAGTAGTTTTTCTCTCTTTATTTTTTTCTTAAAACACTAATAAATGTCTGTTGCTTCATCTGCCTGTTGGTTGCCTGATTCCGTTACTGGAATGAAAAGTCCTTACTGCTTCTCTCCAGTCCCTATACTCATCATTTTGGGTTTGCTGTCATTGTTTGAAGACAGGGTTTCATTCTGTCATTCAGGCTGAAGTGCAGTGGCATGATCATAGCTCACGGCAGCCTTGAACTTCAGGCCTCAAGAGATCCTCCCATCTCAGCCTCCCGAGTCACTGGAACTACAGGCATGAGCCACCGTTTTCTGGCTTGTGCTCGTATTTTCTTTCATTCCTATCAAAACCAACTTGCTCCTAATCCCTTCTTATATTCACCTTGACATTCATGGGATCCACTCTGCATTTGTTGCAGAGGTTGGAAGGATAGATTTAGGAATTCTCTTAGCAGGACCAGGGCATTTCCTGTCTTTTAGGCTTTTGATAAGAAATTACCTCTTTGTTTTGATAACTCACTCATCAACTCAATTGCTTAAACAATTTATAAATAACCACCTTGTTGATCTTATAAAACAGCCCTAATAAATTTGGCTTTTGCTTATACCTTTATCTAAGACTGAAGAGAGCTCAAAACAACTGATTTTTTTTCCATTTGGGTAGAGGAGAGGGATGGGGAGGAGCTAAGGTAAAAAGAGGGGGAAGAAAGAGGAAGAAGGTACCAAAAAGGAGGATCTAATACTGGATTTCAGTTCCCACTACTGGGAAATGGTTCATTTCCAATTCTGCATTTCAAGAACAAGAAGGCTTTCTGGTGGTTTTTTTTTTAATCCTCTTTGGATCAGTATGAATCCTTAGTAGCAACATATGTCTTCCTATACTTAAAGGGTTAAAAGATTTTGGGAAGTGAAATAATTGTATTTGAGGATGGTTACAAAGTCAAGACAGGACACTTTAAATACATTGTTCTCCAGATACAATCCAAGCCTCAGACTCTGTTACTTAATAACCTGATGGCTTTACTTAACTGCAATAGTTCACTCATTAGTCCGTTCATTCATTCATCAGTCACTTAGAACTGTGAATTATGATTTTCAAAGTATTTTCTCCTCCATTGTGCTTGATTCCCATGAAAATCCTACAATGTACTCCCTTTACAGAAAGTACCATTTTAGAGAACAAGAAACTGAGACCCACAGGAGTTAGTCAGTTGTGGAGATTTAACTGAAACCCAGATTCTCAGATCCCACATTGAATTCTATTTCAGTTTTACCTACTTTAATTGAATCAACATTTTCTAAGTGAGCACCATGTAATGAACACAATTCTAAGAAAACGAAAACAAAGTACCTATGTCCTTGAGAAGCTTATAGTTTAGCAAAGAAAGGCAGAGAGCAAGGCTTGGGTTGGAGAGGAAGAAAGTGCATGGATCCTTGGAAAATGCTGAGGAATCTGGTGTAGAAAATTGTGGTAGAAGATAAGACTGGAAAGAAGTGAGAGGACCTGAAGGGCTTGATTGATTGATTCATCATCAAATCATCAAGTCTTCTTTATATGCCTTCCCAAATTGTGGCCTTCAGTAGCATCATTACTAATATTTTTTTCTGTCCCATTTTCTACTGAGCAATTTGCTGGCATTTTAGTGCCAGTGCCTCCAAAGGGCAAGGTTGGTCTGAACAACTTGATGTTTAGATATTGAAAGCTGCTGGACTTCAGCTAATTGTAACATTGCTTAAATCTTGTCTGGTGGCATTATGCATGTGCCATTATGTCATCTTGCCCTTGCCTGGCCACAGAAAATAAGTGGTTACAACTTCTGGCAGACAGACCCAACCCTGAGGCAGGATGGGCCATGGAAAATAGGATGCTGTGGAAATTGGTCTGGGTGCAGACCTGGCACCTGGAGATATTACCTGTTGTCAGTCTATCACCCAAAGGTCTGGAATGCCCAGAGAGCTGAGGTGAACTTGGTCTTAGTTGAGTAGGCATCAGGATCTACTATATGTCAAGTCCCTGCTAGGGGTAGTGTTTGGTTCTGGAGTCCAGACTGTGGACATTAATTGAGGTTGTGTGCTTTGGAATAGCATAATGCTGGGTGATCTGTCTGCTCATGGGAGAACCTGATGGGTACCAAACACAAGAAGCTATCAAAATCAGGATCCAGGCTCTCCAATGAGAGGGCTGACAAAAGTTAAGCAGGAGTAGAGGCCTGCAGTCCAATACAGGGCTCTAGTCTCACTGGGGGAATGAGCATTCTTGCAGTAAGGCTCCGGTCCAAAGGCTGAGACAACATGGTGATGATGGTGTAGAGAAAGCTGAGGTTCTGTTGTGTCTTCCTGTTTGCAGATCTTCCTGCATTAGGTGTTGGTTGCCAATCAATGGTATGTTGACGTGGCTGGGTTATCCGTCATTCCAATAAATACTAGATGAACCACTCAAAGTGGCTGAAACTGCACAGGGAAGGACTCAATGCCTCACCCTGATGGGGGATTGGGGTCAGGGAACAGCCTCTGAGAAGGGGCTATAGAGTTTTACTGGGAGCAGAGTCCGGACATTTGGAGGCCAATCATGGCTCAAGGACTATCTTTTGCAAAACCTAAAGCAAGTTTCAGAACCTTTCTGGGCTGTTGTTTCCTCAGTAGACTATGTGCCCTGTGGAGTCAGGGGCCCGTATTTTATTCGTATTTGTTTCACTAGCATCTAGCACAGTGTCTACCTCACAAGCAGCAGTCAGTGAAATGCATGTTGTTTGAACGAGTGAATGTGAGAGTGAAGACAGTGACCTGAGCATGCAGAATCCCATCAGCAGTTGAAGGGAGAAGGGCCTTATCAGGCCCATATGCTTCTTACCCTCGCCCTTAGATTCTTTTGCCCTCTCCTCTCCTCTCCTCTCTTCTCCTCTCCTCTCTTCCCCTCCCCTTCTCTCTTCTCTCCTCCCCTCTCCTCTTCTTTTCTTTTCCTTTCTTTTCTTTCTTTTTCTTTTTTTTGCTCACACTTTTCTTTTACCATAGCCTTTAGATTCTGATGCCTACCTTTATGCCCTTCTTTAAGACCAGAGACCCAATGAATGGGTCTTCTTATCAGCTCTGTGATTGATTCTCTGATGAAAAAAACATTGAGATAGTTCACTTGAAATTTTTTTCCTCAGCATTCACTGACCAAACATTATAAAAATGTTAAAAAGTCACTTATAGACCCCAAAAAGTTCTATCTACAAGGAGAGCTCATGAGTGGCCTCATATAATAACCAGGAAAACCTTTAACATTTGCAAATGCCATGAAACACCAAAAAACAAGATAATCACAGTATGATAAAGGGTGCAAGACCTACAGAGTCTACTGCATCTCATTATGGTCAATGTGTTCAGAAAGAGTGACATTTTGTTGGCATGGAGACAAATGTCTCCTAAAGTGAAAGGTCTTCTCCAAGCGTGTGTGGATACTTTCGACTTTTGCTGTAGTCCCTAAACATGTAGGTGGCTTCAACTTTAAGTCAGATATTCAAACCTGTGAATAACGGGACTAATTGTTTGCATTTAAAAGGCTTCAATTACGGCTTTTTATTTCTTGAGTGTGTGTTTGTGGGATAGATAGATAGATAGATAGATAGATAGACAGATCGATAGATAGATAATAGATATTAAGCATTTTGGAAGATAAAAAAAGAATAAAGCCGAGAAAAGCGTTCATAATCCTACTACTGTAAGAGAGCTACTGTAAATATTTTTGTCAATTGTGTACTATTATTTACATCCAGTCTATTTTCTACAAAGAATATATTTTTAAAAATTGCTGTGAATATACTGTATACAAATATTATATAGATATATAATATGCATATATCTCTATATACATATTCTACTTCTTTCCACTTTACATATTACCATAAGTATCTTTCAATTCTAATTTTTCGAAATTAGTTGTATTGTAATTTACTTAATCATTCTTCATCCAACATTCTTTCTTCCAGCCTAGTCATGATAGGACATGTAGGTTGTTCAAATTTTTTGTTGTTAGAATACAGCGCTAGGATGCATATACTCATTCACTGATTTTTCCTGTATGTTGAATTATGCATTAAAGATAGATTCCTAGAAGTGGAATCTCTGGGTCAAAGGGTCTGCTTATATTTATGATTCTTGGTATATGTGGCCAATATATCTGAAAAAGTCATACTAATCAACACAGTAGGACCTAGTCTCACTGCACTTCACCAAGAGTTATTTAAATGTTGGCTTTCACAGTGAATATAAGTGTTAGTTCAAAGATCTTATAACTACTTGGCAGAGAGGCCAATAGATGTCAGAAAACATGAAGGGAAGAAGAGAAGAGACACTTAAAACTCAAGTGCAGCATTAGAAGTAAAAGCCATTGATAACTGACAATTGGTTAGAAATTAAAAAAGCATCTTTGAAGTCATAATGTACATCAATACAATAACAGGCCTCAGTTTACCAAAGTGGATACTGCAACAAAATAAATGATTCGGGGTGAACTGGTGATGGGAATCAGCTCTGCCACCAATTTGCTAAGTGGTGTTTGCAAATTGCTTTCCTCTCTGGACCTTTCTCAACTGTAGAACTGGTAAGCCGAAAGATGAAGATAGATGCTTTCAGAATTTAGAGAATTGGGTTGTACTCAGATAATGCAGACAAACTCATAGGGTTAAGGGGTCTGATAGGAGCTTCTCCTCTGTAGACACCGAGACTCATAACTCTGATGAGATCCACAGTTCTATTGGAGTTGTGCAATGAAATAGCAGACACTCTTGGAATCTCTTGGGGCTCCCCCAACTTCATGAATGAATCTCTAAGTTCTGCATGCCCCATATAAACTGATGACAAGATCTTTGAGAGCACTGTTTCCTTAGTGGGTTTCCACAGAGAAATTTTGAATATGGGGGTCCACGAAGTGGCTTGAGCCATCTACCCCAACAACAACATTTGGCCTTTGGTGCCTCTCTAGTATTCTCCTGATGGTTATGCAGATGGTGGCATACAGAAATGGAGTAAATTAGTAAACTAAAAGAATAAATGAGGTGCCCCATTTCTCTGACTCTATTCTAGGAAAATGAGTGAGAAGCAGGATCTCCCAGATTTCAGGAGAGATCTGGGTCACTTTTTGGAGGTTTCTGGTATTGAAAATTATATATATATATCCTCCAGCTGTATATATATATATATATATATATATATATATATATATATATATAACATCTCTATATGATATACGTATCTATCTATACCTCTATAGATATCTATAGATATCTATCTATATCTCTATATGATATATAGAGATATAGATATCTCCTCCAGGTAATAGACTTAATTTTTAAGAACATGTTTCAATTCACAGAAAAATTGAGCAGATGGTACAGAGAATAACCCTGTGCCCAGTTTCCCCTATGATTAACATAATACATTATATGGTACACGTGTAACAGTGAAACAATATCGGTACATTATTATTCACTAAAGTTCATCATTGATTCAGATTTGTCTAGGTTGATCTTATGTCTTTTTGTGGCCAATTATTCCATCTAAGATTCGACATTATATTAAGTTGTCATGTCTCCTTAGGCTAATCCTTGCCTGTGACAATTTCTCAGACTTTCCTTGTTTCTGATGACCTTGATGGGCTTGAGGATTACTGGTTTTTTGTAGGACGCCCCTCTACTAGAATTTGTCTGATGTTTTTCTTATGATTAGACTAGTATTATGAGAGCAGGACCACAGAGAGAAAGAACAATTTTCACCACATCCTATCAAGAGTATATACTATCAAGATGATTTATCATTGTTGATGTTGGTCTTAATCCCCTGGCTAAGAGAGTGTTTGTCAGGCTTCTCCTAAGCTATTTTCCCCTGACTACCTTTCCATACGGAATATACTCCCCGGGAAGAAGTTACTATCTATAGCCCACAATTAAAGAGTGTGGGTTTCTGTTTCTCCTCCTTAAGGCCGGCACATGTCTATAAATTATTTGGAATCCCTGTGCACATCTATATAAATAAATTTGGAATTACGGGATGTTTGTCTTTTCTCTCTGGTTTATTAATTTACTTAATAATTTATTTATAATAGTATGGACTCATTACTTTTTTTTTTTTTTTTTTTTTGAGAAGGAGCCTCACTCTGTTGCCCAGGCTGGAGTGCAGTGGCACAATCTTGGCTCACTGAACCTCCGCCTCCCGGGTTCAATGGATTCTCCTGTCTCAGCCTCCCGAGTAGCTGGGATTACAGGCATACGACACCATGCCCAGCTAATTTCTGTATTTTTAGTAGAGACAGGGTTTCACCATGTTGGCCAGGCTGGTCTTGAACTCCTGACCTCAAGTGATCTGCCCACCTCGGCCTCCCAAAGTGCTGGGATTACAGGTGTAAGCCACTGCACCCAGCCCTGGACTCATTAATATTTATTTTATACTTTGGGTTATAATGTAAAACACTATTCTATTTTGTTGCTCAAATTGTTGCAGCTTTGGCCACTGGGAGCTCTTCAAGTGGCTCCTGTGTCTTTTTGAAATATCCCTCACCAATGTAGTTTTGTTTTTGAATAATTCCTTACTTTAAGGTGCTACAAGATCTTTCATTCTCATTTGTGTATTTCCTGCCCCAGTTTTAGAACTCAACAATTTCTCCAAGAAGCCTTGGTTCCAGCTGCTGAGAAATGGCATTAAAACTGAGACCAGCCTGGCCAACATGGTGAAACCCTGTCTCTACTGAAAATACAAAAACTAGCCGGGCGTGGTGGTGCAGGGCTGTAATCCCAGCTACTCGGGAGGCTGAGGCAAGAGAATCGCTTGAACCCGGGAGGCGGAGGTTACAGTCGGCTGAGATCGCGCCACTGCACTCCAGCCTGGGCAACAGAGTGAGACTCTGTGTCAAAAACAAAAACAAACACAAAAACAAAACAAAACTGAGCTCTGAGCACCAGGTGTGCTTGTTGCTACGACAAATATATTTCAAACCTTATATTTTTAACACCAGCACCCACACAACTACAATACAATTGCACTATTCATAAAACAATTATAGATTATTAACAACATTCAATCATGGTGTCATAGGAGCCTGTGGTCCTACACTGGATCCCACACACAAAACTTGCATATGATGGTCATCTTCTTTCAGTCCTGTTAGGATTGAAAGAGAGATGTATAGCCTCAGTGGAGATAATATCAAAAGTCTAATTTTATTTATTTATTTCTTTCTTTATTTTGAGACAGGGTCTTACTCTGTGGCCCAGGCTGGAGTGGTGCCATCATAGCTCACTGCAGCCTCAAATTCCTGGGTTCAAGAAATCCTCCTGCCTCAGCCTCCCAAGTGGCTAGCACTACAAGTATGTGCCATCATGCCTGGCTATTTTTTTTTTCTTCCGTTTTTTTAGAGACAGGGTCTACGTTGCCCAAGCTGGTCTTGAATCCCTGGTCTCAAGTGATCTTCCCACCTCAGCCTCACAAAGTATTGGGACTACAGTTGTGAGTCATTGTGTCTGGCCCAAAAGTCCAAATTTGAGGCCTTCTTTGGATGTGTGGCCACAATAAATGGCTCTTGCAAGGCTGCCAACCCCTTACACTCTTTCCATAATATGCCATAAGAAAAGCATACTGGATTTAGAAATAGGGCATGAAAGTTCTGAATCCAGCTGTGTTAGTGTTATAGCATATATAGCAAGTGGATTGTGTCTGGGCCTCAATTTCCAATGATACAAAATCAGGAACATCAGATTGGATAATGGCTAAAGGCCCTCCCAGTTCTAGCACACTATAATTTTCAACAGACTTACACTGGGGGAATACAATTGGCTCCACTAGTCTTTGTATACAGGCCTAATATTCCAGAAAGTCTAAACCAGTGGAGGCATGGGGGTGCGGAGGTCGCGGCTAATAAATCAGAGTCATTTTATTATTTTTTGGGAATGCCAAGACCTGTTAAAGGCTTTAGATAGTCTAGACAATCGGGCCTGAGAAACTTTAGACCTTTCTTTTTAAAGAATGAAGATCAAAAAAGTATAAAAAATATTGATGGAAAGTATCTCTTTCATTGGTTTCATGTTCTGATAGATCAAGACTTCTTCCTCTTTTTTTTTTTTTTCCTTTAGTAAGGGAAAACTCCTCATCTGCTTTTTCCTCTGACTTCAAATAATTACCTTTAATGCAGTGATGGCTGAGCCACCTCTAAGTTTCTTACCAGGAATCTCTCTCTAGGTTTTTATTTTTTTCTTTTTCTCTTCCTTCCTTCTCTCCTCTCTGCCTCCCTCTCTTATGCTCTCCCTCCCTCCCTTCCTTCCCTTGAATGTTATGATGTGTTTTTTACATCCATATACTACCCAGTGTACAAATGTCATCTCCTTCCTATCATTGATGGGGACAATTTGCAAAAACAAATAGAAGGAAAATAAAAAAGGAAATATAGGGCAGAAAAGACACTTGGGAACTGTCACATTTGATTATGAATGCTGGAGATCAAAGGTGCAAGGTCTTAGAACCTACTTCCTCCACCTCTTAACGTTTAAAATCTTCAATTGGCTTTTGAACCCACTCAGCAAAATCCCAGACTTTGGTCTACAATTGGTTAAAAATTGATAGAGTGAGGATTCTGGGACTGCCTTCTTTACTTAGAAGTTTACATTTTAACTCCTTCCCTAGCCCCAGGTACACATATACACACAGCTCCTTTCCACTCCTCTCGCACAGTTCTGTAAATATGTTTTGAAATGTAAAGGTACAGAACTAAGCGCAGACCGGCATCCCTCAAATCATCGGGGCTATTCCTTCACACAGCTGAGGAAACGGAGTCCTCACAAGTGGCTTTGCTCAATGTCCCATAAAGAGTTTCAGGCACAGCTGTAATTAGAAACCAAGGGTTTGTGTGTGTGTGCGCGCGTGTGTGTGTGTGTGTGTGTGTGTGTGTTTGCAACAAATACAGTGTTTTTTTTTTTCTCCCTACACTGTGCCCCCGTGGAGTCACATTTGTGTGTCTGTGTCTCTGTACGTACATAAGTTACACAGACACTGACATGTAGGAAACGTGCACCAAAGTGTCTGTCTTCTGACCTCAGGTAACAGTATAATGACTTGAATTTCAGGCAGCTGAAAGGTTTCTGCCGGTGGAGGTTGAAATAAACAAGAAAAGCCACTGTGGAGATGTGAATGGAAAAGTACCGAGCCCTCCCTCCCTCCGCACATTCTTCCGCTCTCCAGCTCTCCCTGCCATCGAGCTGGCTTCAGATAGGCTTCTGCATGGTCAGGTGTACAAGAGGGCGGTGGGGAGAAGAAAAAAAAAATGCAGGCACAACACGCAAATCAAGTTTTTCCACTTCTAGCCTTAGGTAGTAGAGACAGCTAAGTACAGCAGCCAGCAGCCCGGCAACGGCAGCGGGTGGACCAGCCACCCTGAGTTTACAAACACTCAAGTGCTTTCCTTCCCTCATCCCTCTCAGAGTCCAGCTGCTGCTTTCCTTCATGCTAAGGTTTCATAGGAAGTGAAAACTCTGCTATTCAAAACAGCGATCGAACGCAATAAACAAATCATTACACACCCCCTAACCCCCATCACTTCTCTATTTTAAGCTTCTGATATTTATTCCCATTTTAAATAAGTGAGAAAAGTGTGGAAAATTAGTGTTTGGGGGTAAACTCTGAGCCAGGCTGAAAAGGTTTCTAAAGGAAAAAAAAATCTCAGAACAATAAAGGCTAAAAGCAGGCAGCATATGGATGAAAATTAAACACTGATACTTCCTTTTCAGAAGGCAGTAGCTGGAAATTATACACTTTTTTAATGTCTCAAAACTTTCTGCTCATCTTGCTATGTTAAAAACGCCTTTCTTTCTCCAAGGATACTACAAAAAGCTTGTTTACAACAGTTCTAAATGAAGGATTTGAAATAAAACGAACAGGTAAAATTTAACAAGTCTGATAGATAGTGTCTCCCAAATCTATCAAAAGCAGTGCCAAGTACTTCAATGTAGCTGAGAGGCATAAATAAACCCAAATGACCATCAAAACTCATCATGACTTGGAGTTCGCTCTGAGTTTTGCAGTTTACAAAGAGACCATGGCAGCCTTGCTTCCCTCAGTTCTACAAGGACACAAGATATACACCTACAGACTCAAGTTGTCAGATTACACTGATCCTCTAAAATGACAGAGGGCCAGCAAATCATGCAGACCCATTTTCAGTTGTGTTCCTGGGGTCACACATGCTCCTAGTGAAGACCCAGCCTATAATCCTGAAAGAAGAAAGCCTAGAGAAGGTGATTGATTTGAAAAAGTCTTCCCAGTTTTAAAATCTTTAGTCCTATGATGTGGTATCTTAAAGACCTACCAAGGTGCCAGAGGTTCCTGACAGGTGAAACCAACTTCCTCTTGTGAGCCCCCTTAGAAAGAGGACAGAACCGTGTTTATTCCAAGGATAGGTTCTTTTTCAGCTATGACTGAATTGTGGGGAAGGTTTTGCAAGGGGGAATTGGATGTGAAGTCTGTTCTTTTCCTCAAATAGATGTAATATTAGGACCAGGCTATTTTATTTTGTAATAAAGCTTATATTTACCCAGCAGCAATGATCAGGGACCTATTCTTATGCCCAGTCCATGAGGCAAAGAGGTTGGCCTGGTCCTCTACTGAGTATTAGCAGCCAGTAACCATTAAATCATGGGACTAGTTGAAATGTAGTGCCCCGAAGTCTGCAGGAATTATTCATACGACCCCAGACATGGAATCACTCTTTAGAGCTTCTTAAGGATGATTTAAAAGAATCAGAATACGTTCAAGTCAGCCCTTTCTTTAATCCTGTAACACGGCACTGCGGGAGTGAGGGAGGCCCACATAGTGATGCCAACTGGATACTGAGGAGAGGTCAAGAATGAAAGAAGAAATGACATTCTGGAAGAAATTCAACTGGTATAATATTTGACAAAGTTACTTTCCTAGGAATTGAAAAGAGATTGAGAGGCGGGTGCACAATTTTCCTCACCATTCATTCAGTTCAAAGTAAAAGAGACTCACCGAAAAGTAAGTGCCTATCTTTAGAAAATTTTCAATAATGATTTTCTCTTTCTTTCTAACTGGTCTTCTGTTCTGGTCAATTTCTTTCAGTGTAAACACATTGATTTGGCAAAAAGCAGTAGGAAAATGTGGCACTCTGGCACTTGGTCCCAGAAATAATATGCTGGGAAGATTTGAGGTCCCTGGTGATGAGGTTAATTATATATGAACCAGCCCTGGTGGGTTCTCCCTCTAGGGGCTCACTGCAGAGAATTAAAGAGGGCTGAGGTATGAGAAGGGTGAATTCCTTCCCAGCCCCCACTCTGGCTGGTTCTACTACTGCCTTAGAGAGCAGATTTCCCTTTGCTCTGCAGCGCCCCCATGGGGCTAAGAGTGGAGTGGCAAAGGGAACACAGGAGGGACAAGCTGTGTTTCAGGTTGAGGGGGGCGGTGGATGAGGCTGAATGGCAGTTTTGACAAAGAAAAAAGTGACCAAAAATCATAAAAATAATCTTTTGAGGGCCCAATAGTAAGGCAGAGCCATACAATTCACATTCCAAACCATATAGATACGTCTGAGAAATCCTAAAGTGCTAATTGCTCATAAAAGAAAAAATTACACATATAAACACACAAAGAAAATCCCTTCCACAAAATCGGGGTGTCATTTTGCATCCAGCGGGATTCATTTTAATTTCTTTGAAAATGAGAAGGAAGGGGACTCAAATGAAAAAGCAGATAGTCTGCCTTCTGGCAGAATAAATCTGAACTTGACAATATCATGTGTCTTTGGGGGTAAAACGTACATTTCAACAACAGTGACAGGATTAGGCCTATGTATATTTTTCAAAAACCGTTCACAAGACAGGCTTTTCTGCAGAGGCTGCAGTAATCCATCTGTCAATAAGTATTAAAATATTCAGATTTCACAGGGACAGACACTTTAACGCATATTTCCTAAGCTCCAGCCCTTGTGGAAAATAATCAACCTCTTTGCACCTTTCTGGGTTTTAAAACCTAAAATACAGCCTTTAAAAATGTGTGTGTGTTGTGGGGTAGGGGGGTGCATTGCCAACAACATTTTCGGTGATAGATGGAACTTCTTACGGGACTGTCAATGAAAGAGATTTTCCAAATATCCCAGCAAACAGCAATCTTTCACAGCTCTGATCACTCCTCCATTATAAACCCAAATTTTGGGTTGAGATAGGTAGATTATTTTAGACATATCTTTATTAGAAATTAACAAGTGACGAGATTTTGTGGAAGCTTTAAGAATTCATCTGTAATTTAATAAGTCGCTTGAAGGACTCTCATAGCCAAGGCTCAGAACAGCCTGACCTTTGAAAGCTGCTTCTGGTCCAAACATTTTGGGCTAATTCTTGAGGAATCTGAAATATTATTTTCCCCTCACACCCTTCTTTTAAGAGAGAGACATAAAAGAAACAAGAGTCTCCCTTATTCAGGGATGAGTAGGAGGGGAAAAAACCCGAACCAACATTTAAATAAGGAAACTAGCAGCTCTGAACAAACAAACTAGGACCCACAATGAAATGATTCTGCACTGCAATTGCCTTTAAAAAGAAAGTAATAGAGAAAAAGAGAAGGAAAGAATTTCTCCTTCTTCTCTACCCCCCCCCCACCCCACCCCCCAACTCAGCTTCAAAGCTAAGAAGACTGTGCTGCGTGTAGTGCATTGTAGTTGTGGCAGTCTGTTCTAAATACAGGCAGTATCTGTGATACTGGCACGGCAGGCCTTTAGAATTCCCTCCGGCTGATCTCTTAAACACAGACTGAAGAGATTTTTTTACAACGACCTTGAAACGAGCCTCGAAAACAAAAATCTCAAGACCTTAAGAGAAAACAAAACACAAACAGGTATTTGGCTCACAGAATTTTGTAGAAAACACACACATACCACCCCGCCACCCCCACCCTCCCCCCCACACACACGTTTCTTGCAACAAGAAATTTCCCAAGAGTCAACAATAACAGATTAAACCCACCACTTGCTGTCCTGGAAAGAAACAAACCAAACCAAAACAAATCCTTTGAACATTTCTCTGAAGTGCAGGAGAGACACACTTCAGCAAAAGTCCAAGGGGGAAAAAGAAAATTGCACCAAAGGAAAAAAAAAAAAAAAAAGTGGGGGCTGGGATTGTTACATATGGCCAAAAATTTAAGCTTCTTTCAATAGTATTAGTATTGAAATAATACATCTTTAAAACGCTTGAGGGATTAGATAGGGAAAGAAAAGGCACGTACAAAAAAATCCAACCGATGCCGATCCTGTGATTTACGTAACACCACAAACTTGCAAAAGGCAAAAAATCAGAAGCAAAAATCCATAAACCATCAAAATACAGAAACCAAAAATCCCAAGCCACCACACCAGAAAGAAAAAAACCCAGAACAACAGCAAAAACCCCTGTCCTAAATAAAAATAAAGCAAATGAACCCACCGAAAACTGCTTGGCAAATATTTTTCTCGTGGTGCCTAATATTCTAGTTGGAAAGAGCTGTGATGTTTATTTTATTTTATTTTTCTCTTACTCGCCTCTCTAACCCTACTATATATATAACATACTTTTCCCAGTGGTTCAAACCTCTCGCTCCCTTTTGTGCATTTAGCTCGATCTGCTGAGTTTATGGGTAAGAAAGAAGGAATTAGCCCCAGACCCCGGGAAAGCAAAGCGCACTCCCCCTCTTATGTCACCGAATAGCAAATTAGTTCTCAGAATTCCAGAGGCCGAGCTTTGCTACAGCGAAGGCGCCGACGTCACAGAGGAGGAGCCCACGTGATGGTGGCGGAGCAGGCCATACCATCGTCTTGGGCCCGGGGAGGGAGAGCCACCTTCAGGCCCCTCGAGCCTCGAACCGGAACCTCCAAATCCGAGACGCTCTGCTTATGAGGACCTCGAAATATGCCGGCCAGTGAAAAAATCTTGTGGCTTTGAGGGCTTTTGGTTGGCCAGGGGCAGTAAAAATCTCGGAGAGCTGACACCAAGTCCTCCCCTGCCACGTAGCAGTGGTAAAGTCCGAAGCTCAAATTCCGAGAATTGAGCTCTGTTGATTCTTAGAACTGGGGTTCTTAGAAGTGGTGATGCAAGAAGTTTCTAGGAAAGGCCGGACACCAGGTGATTATTGCTGTTGCTGCCGCCGCTGCTGCTGCTACTGCCGCCGCCGCCGCTGTTGCCGCTGGTGCCGCTGCCGCCGCCGCTGCTCATGATCATTATTTTACCTTTTAATTCTTTTTTTTTCCGCTCTTGCCAAATGCTTTGGCTCCAAGTTTTCTATGTGTATCTATTGATATAAATGTATATATTTATTTATTCTAGCTGTCAGGTGTTAAAATAAATGCCGAAGATTAGTCCCACGTCTCTCCCACCATAGGATATAGATTGTTATGTATTTATTATTATTATTGTTGTCTTTGAGTGAATCGGCCGGTTTGGGGAGGCTTTTGCCACCCTCCCTTGTGTTGTTTTGGTTTTTGGAAAGGAGGTGGAGGAGAGGAAGGAGGGGAATTAGGGGGCGGCCGGAGCAGAGAGGACGAGACAGTGCTTGGGGGGTGATTCGGGCTAGTCTGGGGGCTGTCTGGCCCCAGACCGCGGAGAGGACGCGCGCTCGCGCTCTCGCTCTTTCTGCTGCTGCTTGCGTACGGCTTGTGATCTCTCTGGATTCGTGCGGCTGTGTTTTTTCCCTCTTTTCTCGCTTGCAAACTGCTTTCCTTGCTCCGTCGCTCCTGGCCTCCGCTTCCCTCCCTCCTCTTTTTCCTCGCCTCTTCTTCCTTCCCTTCCCCTGTCCTTCTGGGTAACTCCGGGAGGCAAAAAGGGAGGCTGCCCGCTCGCTCGCCCCGCTGGCTCTCTTCCATCGGCCTCGGTCTTTTAGATTCCCTGCCTTCGAGCCGAACCGAGATTTGGAAGGAAAAAATGCAAGCGAACTCTTTGGGTTTTTGTTTTTGTTTTTTTGGTCATAAATCCAGATGAGATGAAGTATCGTGTCTACTATTTCCTTTCAGAGCCGTGATCTTCCTAATGAGAGCCGAGTGTTTTGGTGTTCCCTGCCCCTGTGTTTTGGGGAGCTTGGGGGCGGGGATGTTGAACACTTTGAAAATTATTCTTTCTTGGTTGTAGTCGAGGGAGTCGGGAACCTCCGCGCGCTCTCCCTGCTCATCCCGAGGAGAGAGACTGATGGCGGGACAGGGCTTCTTGGGGTGGGTGGGAAAGGGGTGCGCACTGCACCTGCGATGCCTTTCAGTGTGCGGGGGGACTCAGGGAACCTCGACAGGACAGCCTGGGAGAACGAGAAAGGTGGCGGGATTTCTGGCCGCTGCGGTGTTTGTATTTTGGGCGCTGCGTGACTCTGTGTTGGCTCCCAATGGCTGTTGCCTCCCTTTCCTAAATTTTATTTTATTTTTTCCCATGGTGCAAGCTCTGTAAAAAGGGAACTGCGGGCCTGAGCGTAGTGGACGCCAGGCTTCAGATTCCCGAGGTCCTTACCTTGGGCGAGGAGAAAGACGAACAGAGCCCCAGCCCGCGTTCCTTATGTGCAAGACTCAGGAGGAGAGAAGGGCACTTTGTGGCCGTGGCTGAGGGGACCCGGCGCGGGAGGAGCGGGCGCGGGCGCGAAAGGGAGATCTTTGTGAGTGATTTTGCAAAAATAGATTGCGAGGTTGGTTGGATTTGCAACCTGTGGCTCTCCTCGAGGGAGTAAGAATGGGGGAAGGCGCGGCGGCGGCGGCCCGGGGAGGGAGTGGGTAGAGTTGGAGCCTCAGAAATCGGCTGAGCTCCGGGGGCGGGCGGGGAGAAAGGGCGGGGGGGCAGCAGGAGCTAGGGGCCACCCCGCTGCCGGATGTAGTGACCGTGGTAAATGTCTTGAGAACTGTGGGTTGCGTTGCCTTTATGATGCCGTGTTATTGGAACCCTGGCGAAAAATGGAACTAGTGTTGCAATAATGAGTTTTAAAGCTCCCCCATGGAAAACAAAAACACAACCAAACCGATTTTTTAAAAAAATGAAAAAAGACCCTCTGTGTTGTGTTCCCTTCTACGATGGTTGTGTTGGTGGCTGGGGTTTGGGGGTGGGGGGTCCTGACAGTTGAGCAGATAAATGACCCCAAACCAGGTGCTGAAAGTCCCAAGCTGTCACAGGGCCCCTGACCACCTCAGAGAGCCAATCTCCACTCCGCGCCCCCTCCCCGCCGGCCCCCGCCACCCCACAACCCGCCAGGATTTAATCTTTTATGGATTTTTTTTTCAGTTTATAGTTTCCAGGAGGAAAGTCTTGTAACGCTTTACTTTTTCTCTTCTTTTTTTAAAGTAAAGTGAGTGTCAGTAGATGTGTTTTTTACAGTCTGGATTTTAAAAAAAGTGGGGCAGGAGAGAGGGAACCAGGGAAAGGGCTGTTTAGAAATACAGTTTGTGGCTCTGAGCGATGCCACCGGCTTCCTCTACAGAGACTGCCAGTTTCCCTTTTTCTTTGCAAGGTGTGTGTGGTTTTAATAAATAACTTAAAAAAAAAAAGAGGGGGCGGCAAGATCCATCAGGAGACAGGTATCTATTTTGCTCACTATTTACTACCAAGAGCCTTTGGCACTAGAACAGAACCTCGTAAATCTGCAGCCCAAGTTGAAGTTCATCTGGCCCTAGTCCACACGCTATTCCTGGAGGTAGCAAACATGAGCTCAAAGAAGAGAGATGAAATCACATTCTTGCTTTAAAATATATACTTTTTTAAAAAAGACGAAAAGATATTTGTCTCTGGGGGAGGAGGAAATGGCGAACAAGTACCAGGAGATGGGCATTCCCTTACTCTAATGACTGCAGTTGAGTCTTCAGGCCAAAATAGAAACCTGTAGATGGCAACTCTCTCTCCACCTCCCCGCCCCGCCCGCCACCCCAAGCTTATAAATAGAAGTTTCCAGTATCCTATTTGGAAGACTTTCCAATACTAGAGGCCGAAGCATTGGCTAGTTTTAAGGGTTGTTGATAGTGACAGTAAGGCTAGATGCTGTTCATAAAAACTGGGCGACTTGAAGGAGACAGCCAGAAAAAGTGGGAATTCTCCAATTGCCCCTTTCTTCTTTTCAGTTTTGAAGGGTTTTATACCAATGCTTTCTTGAAAAGACTAACTTATTCTGGGTTTGGTGGATAGGGATGGGACTCTAAATGCTTAAGTTGTCGTTTGCTGAGCCCTTGAAGAGTTCCAGTTATTGGTTGAGTAAATGGTAGCCACGGCTAGATGTCAAAACCCTTCCTTCCCTCTATCCCCTACAGGGTAATGACACTCACAACCCACTTTGTTGTGAAAAACTTAAGAGATATAGAGGAGGCGGTGCAGCAGCGCCACCCCTCGGTGGGTGAAACTATTGGCAAAAGTCAATTTTTGAAAAATATTGGGAAGTGAACTTATGAAACATTTTTCCCCCAGAGATTTAAAAAAAATAGGGGAGATAAAACTAACGGATAAAAAGGACTTTGAAGTTTATCAAGTAGGGAAGAAAAATGTTGCTTTCCAACTAGGATGGTGTTATAATAGGCAACGTGGTTCTAAGGTTTTTTTTTTTGGTGGGGGGAGGGTGCCTGGTTGATTTTAAGTAGAAGAGTTCTCCAGGCGGAGGTAGCCCGGCCTTCCCCTTGGATTGACTTCTCAGGGCATCTTAATTCTGCTGCCTGTCTGATACCGAGATAGTGAGGGATGTTTTGGTGTAAAACACCATAGTGGCTGGAAATGCTGTAGTTTTGCCGGCGGTGGCAGGACGTATGTGTAGGGGGTGTGTTGAGGAGGTTTGTGGATGGCGTGGAGCAATGGTAGGCTGGTCTGTAGCCCTCTGTGAATCAACATCGAATGGCGCGTGCCGGTTTCCAGCACTGCGCAACAAGTGGGACCGCCGCTGCCGCCGCGAGCACAGCGAGGGTGCAGCGTGGTGGCAGAACTGGCTGGTTTCTCTTTGCCCCAGTGGAAACCAGGAACGGCCCCTCCCAACCCTCCCGATGTCCACTCCGAGACCCACAACTTCACCAAAAGACCATACCCGACTCCCCACTCCCCCGCTTTGCCAGGCGCAGTGAGCCTGAGTGGGATCCAGCACTCGGCCCCCAGCGCCCCTTTCCTCCGAGAAGATCAGGAGTTTATTCCCGACTTTCTTTGCTGGATGACCAGTGTTTGGCAAGAATCTCTGCCAATACTGTCGAGTGCCATTCTGCCTTTTGAAGACAAGTGCACCTTCTTTCCCTTCCCAGTACATAAAGCTTTTCGGAGGCTGGGGGAGAAATCAACTTATGATACATGAAACCAGCTCCAGATACCGCGTTGTGGTTGCTAGAGGCGGGAGCATCGGGAGGAACGGAATTACATACACTAAATTAAATGTTTTCTAGCTTTGCTTTTAGAGGCAATCACACCCCCAACCCTCGCCCCCACCAGACAGAAAATAAAGAGGGGCGGGTAGGGATCGGTGTGGAAGCTGCGGCCGCGCGGCGATTCTCGGACGGGCTGGCCTGCCACCTAGCGGTGGGCTGAGATCGAGTTCGCGGCCATGGGCGGTGGGCTCGCCGTTCCACCTCCCGGGCGGCGGTACCCTGACCAGATGCTAGGACTGACAGAAGGAGGGCACCCTCCAATGGGGATGGCATACAACCTCCAAAGTTTTGGCAAGAGGGATGAAAATCAGAAAGGCCTCGCTGCTTGCCCATCACTCAGCGATGAGCATCTATTTGCACTAAGAAAAACCACAAATAACCCGCTTCGAACACACCATCTTCCTGTCCCTGTGGCCCCTCTTAGGGGAAGTCGGTAGTGGAAGGATGCCACCTAGGAGCTCAGGGGCTTTGGGACGTACAACTCTGTTTTGCAGTTGAGGAAACAGGCCCGACGAGGAGGCTTGTTAGTGGTGAGTTAGTGACTTAACCAGGACCAGATTTTAAGCTTCTGAATTTCATGTCAGTGACTGAAAGCCAAAGGCGGGTTTATCTCAGCTCCTTAGAAGTATTTATGAGAAAGGAGCGGCTGCCAGAACCATGAGTTTAACCTCTTAGGTCACCTTTGTTGCCAGTGTTCATTGGAAACCGCTCCCCAGCAGTCTTGGAGGATTTTTTTTAAAGAAAATATGGCCTAAGATTTTCGGTAATGACACGAAAAGCCCAGATGGTGCTGAAGGGTGTGGGTCTCGGAGCTCGGGGGTTTGCGTGTTAAGAGGGGGGTTAAGGCCTGGACCAAAGACTTGCAGGGCGAGCCTCGATTCTGAAATCGCTCTCTTCCCCTTCCTAACATCCTCTGCATAGTAGCCTGGCGAGAAACCGGGTGTGTGTGTGTGAGGGGGTGGGGGTCATGTGGATAGGCCAGAATTTGTGCCACAACAGTTCCTCCGTAAAGTTTTCTTTCTCCGAGCTCGTGACTTAAGATGGCAAACGCGCGTCCGCATGCTGGCGGCCCCTAGCGGCAGCAGGCGCGCTCTGCAGGGGGAGACAGCGCCGTCGCCCCCGCCCGGGTCGGCGGGGATCGAGTTCGGCCCCTCCCACTGCGGGAGCCGTCGGAGGCCGCGTCGGAGAAACGCGCCTCTGTTCGGACTGGAAACGAATCTGGGAACGAGTTTGAAGCGCGGTCAAGTTTGACTCATCGCTTTCCAAGGACAGTTAGTGCCTTCCATCTTCATTAACGTGAATAAGGACCTTGGCTGACTTCTTTCCAGATCGGATTTTTAAAGGCATTGTTTGCTTGAGGAGATCATGCTTCTCCCCTCCCCCGCCAGCCTTTTTGCAAAGGCTGAGCCCAGTCCAGCCAGGACGGCCGAGGGATCTCTGCTCCGGGACGCGATTTGCTGGCATTGTCTTCGGGCCCTTCTGGAAGGCTGTCTCGCGCTGAGCGTATGGGGAACGTCCCTTCTGCAACTCCTCTTCAGATCTTGATGATAAAACACATCCCTCTGTTTTATTGCATTTCCTAGAAGCTTGCAGGCTTGCAAGAGCACTGTTGGCAGGAAACGTGATAGAAATGAAAGTCAGGACACAATGTCCCCGAACACCTCGGTTATCCAAAGCGGCTGTCGAGGCCATCGCGTTATCAAATTCGCTTTTATTTACTGTCGTCTCCTGCACCCTCCCGTTCCCCAGCCAAGAGGGCGAAGAGTGTTTTCCCCCAAGAATAAAAACAGCTCCGCGATTTGACCTCACCCCCTGCCGCCGGACCACGGTGGTGTCTGCAGCCGTGCAGCTAGTTGGCTGAAACACTGCTGAGACCGGGAGCCCCACGGCAGGGCCCCTGATGCGGGGTTCACTACGGCAGTTGCAGCCTTATTAAAATTCCTTGTCCTTGTCCCTAAACAGTGCTTTACACTTTCAGATTTCCCTTTGGATTTTTCAGCGGGTTATTGGAGTTATTAGATTACCAATAATCCAACAGCCTCTGTAGCCTCTCTGGCTGGAGAGGAGGGGGGAAGGGCGGAAGGCATTCTCCAAATCGGGAGGCTCTGGCCAAACTAGGTCAATGGGAAGGAGGGGAGGGGCGAGAAAGGGGTTGACGGTTTCAAACCTTGATGGAGGGCTCTCTCTAGCGTTAGGCAGCGGTAAAAACACCATTCGGTTTGAGCTCCCGGAACCACGGGACTCCTAATTTCCAATAAATGCACTTACTTCATTTTAACTTCCCAGATTCTCATCCCTACCCCTTATTAAATCCCAACCGTCTCTTTCACCTTTATCCCACCGGGCGAAGGGGTGAGAAAGCCTCAATGTAGGATTTTGAGGCCAAAGGCTCGTTCTTTGCAGACCGACTCTGACCCTTCCGCTTGCCGCAGAAGGGATGAGCGGCGCAGTGTGACGCCACTGGCTAGTTTTAGGACCAGACTGCGGCCTTTGTGGCTGAGTCTTTCGCTGTCCCCTAGCCCCCGAAAGCGCACCCCGGAGCCTGCTACCGAGACCAATTAGGACATGGCACCCGGGGGTTATAATTCCCGGGAGGGCCACAGGAAGGCGAGGCAACTTTGGAGAGTGCCAGTGCGCGCGCAGGGGTCGGGGCCCCGGCCTTTGCCGAGTCCAAGCTGTGTCTCTACGGTTTCGGGGAAATCGGATTCGGAAATCCTTACGGCTTGGCAGCTCCTGTTCTAAAGACTTTGGGCGGAAACCAAGTGGAGCTGGGTTCCCGTTCTTGCCAACGTAGGCGGAAGGGGCTTTCTGTTTAGTTTTTCTCCAACCTTGCCTGGGGCGCCTATGATGGAGACCCTCAGCCCCTAGGGACTCCATCTTTTGACCTTGAAGTCTCGCTCAAACATTCCCCTAAAAGAACGGGGGTGAGGGAGAATGGAAGGCAAAAAGAGGGAAAAAAGCAAATAAACTTCGGAATCGGACAACTTAAAGTCTCGATATGAGCCTCGGATTGTATTCGAACTCCTGGGTTCTAGACCCAGCTCTGCTACTAACTTGTCTGACCTTCCCCATTTATAAACTGTTGTGGGTGAGAGGTGGGACTAGGTGAACTCTGAGAGCCCTGCACTCGGCGCGGACGAGGGATTTAGGGGAAAGTGTGCTGTATTCCCCGCGAGCCTTCCCCAGCGGCCCCGCCTCCCTGGGTGAATCCCCGGCGGCCAGCGCAGCGCAGGCAGCGATCCTGGCGGCTGCCGGGGCCGGCAGCTTCCTGGAAAGTTACTTCTTGTTGGAGCCGGCAATAGGCAAAGTGTGTTCTGTGAAATCCGCAGAGCCGAGATTGACTACGTTCCGGGAATGAGAGGGCTGTGTCATTCCCCTCATTGCCTGCTGCATTGACGGCGTAACAGGAAAAAAAAAAAAAAAAAAAAAAAGGCATACACACAATGTTAGCTACCGAGGTGCACCAAAAGTTTTATTTGAATGTAACTAAATTAAGGGCCGCCACGGTCATACCACAAAGCCTCCGTCGCGCCTTGCGGGGGGCTTCGAGGTGGATCGCCCAGGGGCGGGCAGTCCCTGGAAGACAGGTACGGAGTGGTCGGGGTGGGGTAGCGAAGTCTGCCTAGGCTTGCCCCGGCGCGCAGGGCTGGTGTTTGTGCTCTTATGTGTGAGCGAGAAAATGGGGCTTTCTGGTGCCAGCCCAGGGGAGGAGGGAGGAAAAGGATGGGGTCTTTTGTATTGGCTTGCTCTCTGGCTCTTAACCTCGCCTCTCCCTCTTCTCTCATTTTCTCTCTCTCTCTCTCTCTCTCTCTCTCTCTCTCTCTCTCTCTCTCTCTGTCGTTTCTGCTGTCTTCTCTCTCTCTTTGCTTTTTTTTTTTTTTGGTTCCTGTTTTCTTCTTCAATGGAAAGCTCTTTTAAAGGATCTGTCTTCTCAAGGAGCCTAGTTGGCTATGCACAAGGAAAGCGCCAAAAGAGCTAAAGGGAGGAAGGGAAGAGAAAACATTTAACTCTCCCATGGTGGTTACTGACCCAGCGTGGGTGCGGGGAGATTGGGATGGGAAGTCCAGGTCTGGGGGCAGCCAGCAGTTGTCAGTTTCTCATTGACAGCCCTGCTCCTTGGAGATTGTTTTTGTGGGTAGTCTTGTGTGTGGCATTGGTGGAATGGCTGAATCTAGGAGACGCGGCGTGTCCAGAACTTGCTGGAAATTGGTTTTGAGATTTTGGGCAAGGCCTCTCACCCGGAGCCTCAGTTCCCTCCCTAATAAAGCAGGGCTGTTATAAGGATAAGATGCAATCTTGAGGGGGTGGGAAAGGACTAAGAGCTCTGTAAAAATACAAACCAAATGCTGGTGGTGCTTCCACACCTGCGGCATTTGGGGTGGGGGTGGTGACAACATTGCCCACACTCAACCCACACACTCAGGAGTTGGGGGGGGCTGGTTCTTAAGACGAGTTGGCTTGCAAAGGAGTGAACTTGAGAAGGACCTGCGCCTCGTGTATGTACATTTGTTTTTGGCCAGGCAGAGGCTTACGGTGAAAAGCCCAAGGCCCAGCTGACAGTGGACACAGGGGAATTTGTTTGTTTGTTTCAATCCGCATCTGGAGTGAGTCATTGCCACTTGTCATGGTGAAATGGCAAATCTGGGCTTCCTGTGGTTCCAGAAGCCTGCGACTGGAAATCCACAAGCGAGCTGGTGGTTGAAGCTGGTTAAAGAACAGCCTAGGTATTCCAGAAGTGTTTGAGGATCCCTTCCATGAAGGAAGAGAGGAAAGTTTTTAAGTAAACCTCCCACTCCCATGTGTCTTCAGCTTTCTTTTGCAAAGGAGAAAATCCTTGAAGTTTGGTAAAGACCGAGTTAGTCTATCTCTCTTTGCCTATCTCGAGTTGGGCTGGGGAGAGGAGGAGATAGGTTCTTTTGTCTTTTTCTGTCTTCTCCCTTCCCCACTTCCTTCCCTCCAGTCCCCACTCACTCACATGCACACACTAACCTTGGAGCCGATGGGATTGAGTGACTGGCACTTGGGACCACAGAGAAATGTCAGAGTGTTTGGTTACAGACTCAAGGAAACCTCTCATTTTAGAGTGCTCATTTGGTAAGACTCAGCAGCCTGGAATGGGGCAAAGTGTTTGTGTGGGGGAAGGAACTTAAAAATGAGATTCACCCACATCAGGGTGCTGTCTTGCATGTTCTACAGCACGTAGGCTGATTTGGAAAGGGGACAGGAATTTGAGCCAGAAGACCTAGGGCCGGGTCACCAACCATGTACATGGCCCAACATGACCTTGTTGGCCTCAGGCCTCTTTACCCAGAAAATAGCTCTAAAAGGTTCTGCTTTTTTTTTTTTAAAGGGGGGAAGACAGTTCAAATATTGTTTTATTTTGCAGCCCACATTTGATCATAAATGAGGGTCTTACACCTGTGCTTTTAATGATTTTGTTTTAGAGAAGCCGGTTTGGAAGGAGGTACATATTTCATTAAATCTCTTCAAGGTTTAGTGCTCCCTGGCCAGTTCTCAGCTAAATCACATAGTTAAGTCTTTTACCAGCAGGGAGAAGCACAAACTTAGAAGCAATGGCATTCTGTCTGGTCTTAGACCCAGTAGGGAAGGGAGAGAACACTTTGAAAAAGAAGACAAAGGTTTTCAAGGAATACGTAGACATGACATCTCAGGCTGTGTTCTGCAGAGTCTATATTCAGTCTTAATGTTTCAGATGGGCAGGAAATACTGCCTAGCTGTTTGTCTTGAGCAAGCCACTTGAACCCCTAAGTCTCAGTTTCATCGCCAGTGAAATAAGGATAAAGATATTGGCCCTATCGTCCTTGCGGAATCATTCTAAGGCTTGAAAGATAATATTTTAGCAGGTTTTGAATGACGTCCAGTGGTTTTAGGCCACGGACGAATCGTTATTGTTAATGTTGACAGAACCATTTTTCTTATTTTTTCTTTCCCATAAACTCTAGTGGCCTTTGGATAGTATAAATTTTTTCTTTGAAGAAGGAAATATATGTATGTATGTATGTATAACTAATTAATGTATGCAATTGTACTCCCAGTACTCTGGATAAAAACATTATTATCTCATAGCTTCGGGTGCCTGTTGTTTCCGTAAGAGCAGAGCTGGAAAATGTTTGTTAGCTTGTGGTAAAACCACACCAGCTGGCAAGCTGCAACTATCAAAGCAAAACTAAATGTGTATGTCCTAAAATAAGACTATAGTGGACAATCTTACATTCGTTAAATCAATTTCTGTTTGCTTTCTTCTCTTCTCTGTAGGTTTTGAGCAAAATTTTGGACTGTGAAGCAAGGCATTGGGTAAGTAAATAAAATTATATGCTTTAAAATGTTGGGACAAACTGTTTCTTTTGAATTTGCCAATACATGTGTCTCTGTGAACTTTGCCACTGTTCATTATATGAGACAAGGATAACCAGTTCCCTCTACATCACTCCTAGTCCTCATCCTTCACCTCTGTATTAGACTGTCTTACCACTTGCATGGTCAATCATTGTTACTCTTTCTTTGTACAAACTAATTTAGCCAGCTAATGTTCACCAACAATATGCTAGCTCCTCGAGGTACAAAAGTCAAGCAACTCTAAAGCCTAACAGTAGAGAGAGACCAATGGTGACTGAGATGATGAAATAAGATACCTATGAGAATAGCTATGAGTTTTGAGAGCCTCCTATGAACGAGGAATGTATTTCTAACTTTTATAACCACATAGGTATTACTACTTCCATTTGGGGAAACCAAAGCCCCAAACCAGTAAACAACCTGCTTAAAGTCCCACAGCTAGCAAAAGGCAAGTCTAGCCTGATAATCTTAAAACACAGTGTCTTGACTGGGCGCGGTGGCTCATGCCTGTAATCCCAGCACTTTGGGAGGCCAAGTTGGGCAGATCACGAGGTCAGGAGTTTGAGACCCAGCCTGGCCAACATAGTGAAACACTATCTCTACTAAAAATACAAAAAAATTAGCTGGGCATGGTGGCAGGCACCTGTAATCCCAGCTACTCGGGAGACCGAGGCAGGAGAATCACTTGAACCTGGGAAGGCGGACTTGCAGTGAGCTGAGATTGCACTATTGCACTTCAGCCTGGGTGACAGTGTGAGACTCCATCTCAAAAAACAAAAACAAAAACAAAAAACACGGTGTCTCTCCATTGCAACATACTCACTACCTGTCAGTGCTTGGCAGAGTATTTGGTATGTGGGAAAAACACTCAACAAATATTCATTCCCTTTGCTTTTCCCCTAAAGGGCTTTCTATCCCAACTTGTTGGATAAAAGTTATTCTCCCCATTTTAAAACTATGAAGAATAATGGCCAGAGTTGGACTATGAATTGTTCAAAGATCAAATACAAGGGACCTGAGTTGCATTCTGTACCTTAGCAGGCTAAGCCACCTGCTCTGATACCTGTGGCAAGCAGGAAACAGGTTCTGGAGGACTAACAGGATTTTGGCCTCTTTTTTCAAGTGAAGACAAAATGGCCTCGCCGGCTGACAGCTGTATCCAGTTCACCCGCCATGCCAGTGATGTTCTTCTCAACCTTAATCGTCTCCGGAGTCGAGACATCTTGACTGATGTTGTCATTGTTGTGAGCCGTGAGCAGTTTAGAGCCCATAAAACGGTCCTCATGGCCTGCAGGTGAGGGATCTGAAAGGAAAGGGTGGGTAAGTCAAAGTGGGGTGATGGTGCTGGCAGCCAAGCAAGGCAGAACATGTGGGCCTTTTACTGCATCTGGGATGACGTCTCGCTTTGTCTCCAGATCTCAGCACCATGGCGTGGCACAGTAGGCTCCCAAGTGAATGAATGAATGAATGGATGAATGCACTTTTAGAAAAGAAAGAGCCACGTTCTGTGGGCATAGAGGGAGAAAAATTATATACTGCCCCAAGAAAGGATGTGTTTGGGGCAGACATGGAGAATAACTTCAGTTAACCAGTGAAAAAATGAGAAAAGATTTCAAATGAACTTTCTTTGTCTTTAAGTAGCTTAAGCAAGTTAATTTGAAATGTTTTGCTCTTTTATGCTATAAATGTATTTATTTTTTGCTACAACTGAATTTCCATGGGTGTTCAGAGTATATGCAAGAGTTAGTGAGAGTGAACTAGCTGATTCTTCATGTTTATCAAGTATTTCGAGTTTTCAGAGCAATTTTATATTACATGATATCATCTTCCTGGATCTTTTTAGTAGTCTTCAGTGTTATGCATTACACTATTGCCTTCATTTTATAGATGGTAAAAGGAAAGCACAGGGAGGTTAAATGATACAGAATCAGGGATCTCTATTGCTATTTGAAAACTTATCCAACATCTACTCTAAGCACCTGATTTTTAATAGTGGAAATAACAGAGGCTTATGGAGATATAAAAATAATAGATAATGTTTAGTGAATGCTTACTATATGCCAGGCATCATTCTATATCCTTTACATTTTTATTCTTGCCACAACACTATAAGGTAGACATGATTGTTCCTCCTACTTTGAAGATGAGTAAAGCAAGATGCAGAGAAGCTAAATATCTTACCCAAAGTTGCATAGCTACTTGGTGGAAGTCTGGCTCACTTCTGGCAACCCACTCAGAAAAAGTAGAATCAAGAATCAAGATGATAGCTCAGAATTCTTCTTTACAATTGAGTACTCTTTCCACCACCAGACAGCATGGCACCTGGAGGCATTGCTTGGGGTTTGAGTTGGGTCTTCAAGGAATAACAGACCCTCTGTTAATCTATGGACTTTGATAAAAGCAGTAGAGTATAGATGTAGGCATATTTTTATTTATTTGTCATTCATAGCCAAATTCTAAAAAGAGATAGAATTTTAAAAATAAGTGTAAATGCAATGGAACAAGAAGGAATGCTTATGACAAAGGTAGACTAAGAATAGTTACTGCAAAGGGGCTAAATTTAACTCTGGTAATCTGTACAGTTAAGACTAAAAGGAAAACAGGCCCTGTGACTTTAAGAATATTCACTTAACCCCCCTGATCTTAGTTCCCCTATTTGTAAAGGCAGAGAGTGATAGTACCTACCTTGCAGCGTTGTAAGGAGCAAACGATAATGTATGTAAGGTGCTTAATGACTCCTGACATTTGGTAAGCTCTCCATAAATAGCAGCTATTATTAATTACCGTAGAAGTTCTGGAGGTAGGCCCAGGGGAAAGGGGCTGAGTATCAGTGCTGACTGTAAGGGATCACAGATTCGATATGTCTACTATAGTGGGACATTTGTTTGTTTTACAGTGGCCTGTTCTATAGCATCTTTACAGACCAGTTGAAATGCAACCTTAGTGTGATCAATCTAGATCCTGAGATCAACCCTGAGGGATTCTGCATCCTCCTGGACTTCATGTACACATCTCGGCTCAATTTGCGGGAGGGCAACATCATGGCTGTGATGGCCACGGCTATGTACCTGCAGATGGAGCATGTTGTGGACACTTGCCGGAAGTTTATTAAGGCCAGGTGAGTTGCTACCCGGGTGGAAGCGTCGGAGATGGAAGAGATAGTCCCCGATCAGAAACCTTTGATAATTCATGCATACAGAAAAAATACTCCTCTATGATATGCTGCAACCCACATTTCCACTCTTGTTGCACACTTCTGCTCTTCTTAACTCTTGTGCCCCAGGCAGACTTAACTCCTGTGGCTATACAGGTATGTCCTATGCATTACCGCATCTTGCTTTCTTCCATTCACTTAATATACCCTCTCCTCCCACCCATCCTGCAAGGCTAATCTTGGATGCCAGCTCTTCCATGGAAGTGTTTCTGATTAACACTTTTCCTCCCTCAGCTCTTCCTCTGTGTTGTGAAGCATTTTGCTGGTGCTTTAAACTTTCCTTCTATTTTAATATTTGCATATGTATTTTAGTTCTCCTTTAGACTTCTATTATAACTATTTACATATGTGCCTTAGTTCCCGACCAGACTGTGAGCTACTCAAGGTTATAGGGGCTATCTTACTCACCTTTTATGTCACGCTGCTCCTACTAGGCAGGACATTTATTGAATTGAATGGAGTTCACTGAGTTTAATCTCCTACCTGAGGGGTGATAAGACATGACCTTCATTTAAAGATGAGGAACTTGAGATCCAAAGAAGTGAAGAGCTTCACTAAGTGCAACAGAGACTCAGAGCTTAACTTCTTTAGAACCTTTTGATCCAGCCATGCTAGGGTGATTGCATCCTCGCTCAAACAGAAGGGTTTTCCAGGCTGTGTTTGAAAACCTCCAGGAGCCAGGAACTCAGTGTTCCCAGAACCACACAGCATACCTTGGACAGTTAGAAAGCTTCTCTTTTTGGCTTCTCTTTAACCTTCTTATGGGTTCTAGCTCCGTTAACTGTGATCATGGTGAGCTTGCCTATTTATTTCACCCACATGATGTTCCTTCAGGTATATACAGCTAGAGTTCTTTGTCTCCTGTGAGTGATGACGGTGGCAAGATCATCATTGCTGTCATTTACAAGTACTTTCAGTGGCTCAGGCCTTGTGCTTAGAATGGCTGAGTAACTGGCTCCATGTCACCAGCTGCTAAGTGGCACAGCTAGGTTTGCAAACCAGGTCTGGCTGCTCTAGACCAGGGATTCATACATTGGCATTTGCTGCCTGTTCTTTATGTAAACTTTCATCAGCATCTGGGACAAGTTCTTTCTTCAGTAGGCTACTCGTTTGTGTATGATCCTCCAAAAGTGTCATACCAACATTGTATAAATTCTTTTCCTGTTTCCCTATGTGTAAAATGGAGATAATAATAACCACCTTTCCTTCCTTTCAGGATTTTGCATGGGTGAAGTGAGATAAGGGCTTTGAAAGTTTTATGTGAGCTATAAAATTTCATAACATCAGAAGAGCTATAGATTCACACACATGCATAGATATGTGCCTTAAACATACAAGATTATGTCTAATCAGGCATAGATCATGCCGGAAACTCACTTCCCTTCTCTGGGACTCAGTCTTCCCAATTTCAGGCTGGATTTCCAGGCTTCTAGCATAAATGCGTTGTAATTGTGGTTCCCTGCTCCAGAGCCACGTCACCTATGTCTAGCTAATTCAAACACAGATGTGGTTATATAAGTGTCACTGGAAGGTCATCTATTTAACAGTTCTGATTTGGGGCCGGTGTCTTTCCTCTTTTTTTCTTTCACAGTGAAGCAGAGATGGTTTCTGCCATCAAGCCTCCTCGTGAAGAGTTCCTCAACAGCCGGATGCTGATGCCCCAAGACATCATGGCCTATCGGGGTCGTGAGGTGGTGGAGAACAACCTGCCACTGAGGAGCGCCCCTGGGTGTGAGAGCAGAGCCTTTGCCCCCAGCCTGTACAGTGGCCTGTCCACACCGCCAGCCTCTTATTCCATGTACAGCCACCTCCCTGTCAGCAGCCTCCTCTTCTCCGATGAGGAGTTTCGGGATGTCCGGATGCCTGTGGCCAACCCCTTCCCCAAGGAGCGGGCACTCCCATGTGATAGTGCCAGGCCAGTCCCTGGTGAGTACAGCCGGCCGACTTTGGAGGTGTCCCCCAATGTGTGCCACAGCAATATCTATTCACCCAAGGAAACAATCCCAGAAGAGGCACGAAGTGATATGCACTACAGTGTGGCTGAGGGCCTCAAACCTGCTGCCCCCTCAGCCCGAAATGCCCCCTACTTCCCTTGTGACAAGGCCAGCAAAGAAGAAGAGAGACCCTCCTCGGAAGATGAGATTGCCCTGCATTTCGAGCCCCCCAATGCACCCCTGAACCGGAAGGGTCTGGTTAGTCCACAGAGCCCCCAGAAATCTGACTGCCAGCCCAACTCGCCCACAGAGTCCTGCAGCAGTAAGAATGCCTGCATCCTCCAGGCTTCTGGCTCCCCTCCAGCCAAGAGCCCCACTGACCCCAAAGCCTGCAACTGGAAGAAATACAAGTTCATCGTGCTCAACAGCCTCAACCAGAATGCCAAACCAGAGGGGCCTGAGCAGGCTGAGCTGGGCCGCCTTTCCCCACGAGCCTACACGGCCCCACCTGCCTGCCAGCCACCCATGGAGCCTGAGAACCTTGACCTCCAGTCCCCAACCAAGCTGAGTGCCAGCGGGGAGGACTCCACCATCCCACAAGCCAGCCGGCTCAATAACATCGTTAACAGGTGATTTCAGAGACTGTCTGGGTCTGAGGTCAGGGGTTACCTGGGCAGGGTTCCATGTCGTTTCTTCTTTTCTTGCCTGAATTGCTGAGCCTATTAGAGGTGTGGAATCAGTGCCTATAGATTGAGTTAGTCTGAGTAAGGAAGTATTTTACACTTAAGTAGTGTATATTTTTTCATAGCAAGAGAGATAATTCCCTTCTGGGGCAGAATAGCATTCTGTAAATCCCACAGGCACTTCCTGTGGTCTTGATGTAGCAGGGGACCATCCTACTACCCTTGGACTGAGAGAGATTGTGGGCTGCGGGGAAGCTCTGGCTCAGTTTGACCCTGGTCAGTGATCTTTCTGCAGATACTGTTTGGAGATAAACTTGAGGACAACTCTGGGGTCTCAGAGCTTGAGTGGGCAGCCCAGCTCTGGCCTCTGGGCTTGCCTACACACAGGGAGGAGAGGGTGGTCTTGAGGCCCTGCCCCAGGTGCTGAGGCTGTTTTTACTCCTGTCCATAGGTCCATGACGGGCTCTCCCCGCAGCAGCAGCGAGAGCCACTCACCACTCTACATGCACCCCCCGAAGTGCACGTCCTGCGGCTCTCAGTCCCCACAGCATGCAGAGATGTGCCTCCACACCGCTGGCCCCACGTTCCCTGAGGAGATGGGAGAGACCCAGTCTGAGTACTCAGATTCTAGCTGTGGTGAGTCCTTTTCCCTCCCTCCTCTTGTCAGGGAGAAGGAAGGCCCCTCTGCTCCATAGGTTTTGTGCTCCATTTTACTTATGCTGTTGTCTCTGATTGGAGCAGTCCTCAATTGGAAGTCCACTGGCACTCCAAGTCACCAGCCGTTCATCCCACGCTTCGCTTCTTGGGGAACTGGGTTAACCAAAGCAAGGGATGGGGTTTTAGAGTTGATCTGGGGTAATCAAGACTTACCATACAGTCATTTTAGCTTCATGCCAGCAAAAGTAGCTTGTGGGGCTGGCTGTAACTCCCAGAGCTTTCTCCATTCCTCTATACCAAAATGACTAGGACTGACCTGTGTGCATGTTATTCTCTGCCAGGCTGTACATTCTGTAAGGAGAAGCATCTGACCTTATTCATTCTCACATCCCCCATAGGTAGTAGTAAGTCCCTAGCATGGGGTAGGAACTCAGTAATATTAGTCGAGTTAAAAGAGTTGAAGAGAATTATTAAATTGCAGTTTCTGGATAGTTGGTGGTTGGCATTCCCAGTTTTTACCAGACAAAAAAGTCTAAATCTTCGCCCAGCTCTGGCTACAGTAATAGAGCCCAGTAGTACCTAATCAGGGTAAAATCACCGTGACTTCTCATTTTCAAATTGTTACAACAAATGAAAAAATAAATCAGCTGCTTACACCAAGAGATTTGGCACAGGGTCATGGACCCATAGATGGGAGAGCGGGGACTGTCCCCTCCTGCACCCTGGCTAGTTTGCCTTTGCTCTGCACTCCAGTTCTTTTTCTCTGGGCCTCTGTTCCCACTTCCACCATCAGCTTCGGTCTCCCAGTCTCACAGGAGGATTTGGAGACATGAAATCCAAATAGGTGCAAGGGTGACCACAGAGTGTTCGTCATTGATTCCTCCTTCAGTGACCTCAAAGTAGAATTGAATTTGACCTATATCTTACATTCCTGGAATGCTTTGTGTTTTATTTTGTGTAATATAATATCCTCCTGTGAGGTAGGCAGGACAGGGATTTATTATCTGACTTTGAAGACAGAGATACAGAGAGAGGCTCAGAGGTAAAGGGTCTTGCCCTAGGGCTTCTGTGTATAAATGTAAATAAAACTGTAAACTTATTTTTAAAAATCAATTCTCAGAGCTCTTGGGGAAAGAAAATCTCTGTTGAGCTTTCCTCAAACTGGCGCAGGCCCTCTGAGCACCTGTTGGTTTGAGCTTCCCTTCTGTACCTTAATTCAGTCCATCTCCTTTCTCCCTTCTCTATGGCTAAGACTCTGAATGATAAGAAAAATAAAGTCCCCACAGATCCTTTGCTCCGAGCTCCCATGAATGTCGGGTGGGTGAGTGAGGGACTGAGAGTTCAGTTTGGCACAAGGGGTAGCTACAGAGGAGAGCGGCCTTAGAGCCCTACCTCCCTTCCTCGTGCTGACTTTGGTGTCCCCCTACCACCCTCCAACAGAGAACGGGGCCTTCTTCTGCAATGAGTGTGACTGCCGCTTCTCTGAGGAGGCCTCACTCAAGAGGCACACGCTGCAGACCCACAGTGACAAACCCTACAAGTGTGACCGCTGCCAGGCCTCCTTCCGCTACAAGGGCAACCTCGCCAGCCACAAGACCGTCCATACCGGTATGGCCCTGCCCCACACGACCCGAACTCTCCACAATTATTGGGGCAGGACAGGGAGAGGATCCTAGAGAAAGCTGTGTGGGGCCTGGAGACCTGGTGGGGCAAGGCAGGAGGCAGGCCCCATCCTGGCCTGAACGAGGGGTCTAACCCTGTCTTGTCTTTGCTTAGTGACTCGACTCATCTACTCCCTGTATCCTTTGTCTTTCCTCTGAGATGCTCTATCCTGCTTTTCTGCCTTTGCTGGGGTCAGAAGTGTTAATCCCACTGTACAGGTGAAGAGACTAAGTCTGGGAAAGACAAATAGATTCAATTTTTGTAAAGCCAGAAAAAAAAGCCTGTTGATTTGTTTCAATGACTTGTTCCTTATCAACTCACATTCCTTTACCAGGTAGCTTCTCATGACCTGCTTGTTGTTTAAAATCTACTCTCTTAGTACCGTAAATGGCCCTATTATCCCAAAAACTTTCCATGAAGGAAGGTTCAGCCATTCTATTGGTTTCCTCTGCTGAGCATCTACTCAGGCCCAAGCCCCACCCCTCTTGCAAATGGAATCCAGCTGTAGTTGCCACAAGCGGAAAAATCTGTTTGTTCTAAAAGAGAGAAACTAGAGCAGCCTGATTGTGTCTCCCTGGTGAATGAGTTGATGAGTGAATCTGTCTTATCCAAGGGAAAAGCTAGAAGAACCTTCCCAGGTAATCTGAAGTAGCCCCTCAGGTTCCAGAGAGGGAAACTGAGGCCCAGAGAAGGAGAGTGACTTGTCCAGGTTCCGCAGGCAGATAATCCTAATGACAAAGCTGGTTCTAAAGCCCAGGCTTCCTGGAATCTCCCCCTCTCCTATCCCACACCTGGCATTGTTGCTACTCCGTGCCACCACTTGTTTCTTGGCCCTGGTCCCCTGCGAGGTATGCAGGTGCGTGTGTGAGAGAGGGCTGACAGATGTGGGGGCAGGCCCCTGGATTCTCTCTCTCACATTCCCTAAGGGAAAGGAAAACACAAGTGGCCTCAGGGAGGAGCAGGCTGCTTAGAAATCCAGGAGCCACGGACTGCAGAGACCTTCCTTATTGAATATGGCTTTTCTTTTTCCCTTTTTCTTGGTAATAGGTGAGAAACCCTATCGTTGCAACATCTGTGGGGCCCAGTTCAACCGGCCAGCCAACCTGAAAACCCACACTCGAATTCACTCTGGAGAGAAGCCCTACAAATGCGAAACCTGCGGAGCCAGATTTGTACAGGTGAGCAGAGTGGGCAGGCGAGCGGAGCGGGCAGGCGAGCGGAGCGGGCAGGCGAGCGGAGGAGTGGGCAGGCAAGCGGAGGAGTGGGCAGGCAAGTGGAGCGGGCAGGCAAGCGGAGCGGGCAGGTGAGCAGAGCGGGCAGGAGAAAGTCCCACTCAGTCCCCGTGTGCAGGTGAGCAGAGCGGGCAGGTGAGCAGAGCGGGCAGGTGAGCAGAGCGGGTAGGTGAGCAGAGTGGGCAGGTGAGCAGAGGAGTGGGCAGGTGAGCAGAGTGGGCAGCAGAAAGGCCCACTCAGTCCCTGTGTGCAGGTGAGCAGAGTGGCCTGGAGAAAGGCCCACTCACTGGCTGTGTGCTAATGAGGGGCTGCCCAGAGGCCTGCAGCCCACCCCAGAAGACCTCTCATGCCTTCTTCTTCGTTCAGGTGGCCCACCTCCGTGCCCATGTGCTTATCCACACTGGTGAGAAGCCCTATCCCTGTGAAATCTGTGGCACCCGTTTCCGGCACCTTCAGACTCTGAAGAGCCACCTGCGAATCCACACAGGAGAGAAACCTTACCATGTACGTAAGCCTCTTGAGGCCGCTCTCTGACCTGCGGGGATGTGGAGGGCAGGGAAGGAGGTGGAGCGCAGGGAAGGAGGTGGAGCAGGGAGGCAGTGGAACTGTTTGCTCCCATCTCAAGCACACAGTGGGGCAACCACTACGCTAATGGTTGGAAGACCTAGATCTGGGCCCAATGGCCAGACACCCTGCTTGACCTTGGCCCAAGCATTAGGGGACTCATCTTTAAAATGAGGGTATGGGACTAGGTGATCTGGGCCTTAGGAGAGGAGTCTAGACTGTGGATACATAGACTTGATTCACTCCACCTAGATTCATTCATTTCACAAATACTTATTGATTGCCTCCTGGACACCCCATACTGGGCTAGATGCACATTTAAGAGGAGCTAAGGTGTTTGAGAAGGAACAGTCTTAGGAGGAGGAGAACAAAAAGAATGTTATAAGAATTAATGATGTTACAGGAAAAAATTAAAAAAAAACATAAAGAAGGTCATTTTAAGAAAGAGGAGGCGGCCAGCCATGCAGCACGACACTGTGGATAGGTTCACTGGGATTGGAATGTTCTAGGGCGGGGTCTCGGCAGCTATAGCCTGTGTGCCAATGTTTGAACATTCCATGAACTAGGAATGGTTTTTACAGTTAAAAAGTAAAAGAATATTTTGTGCCATATGCAAATTATATGAAATTTAAATTTCATTGTCCCTAAGTAAAAGGTTATTGGAACACAGCCACGCTCATCTGTGTACGTTTTGCCTATGGTTGCTTTGAGGAGTTGATGACATTCTTCTAGGTGGTGATGGGGACAAGAAGTAATCAATGAATGGTTAACCTACATACCGGAGGTTAACCTGCAAAACATGGTTATTTTTGTTCACTTGTTGATCAAGCTGTGAGTGAATATCTTCTTACTTGCTGTTTGGGCAAATTCGTTATCCTCTTAGTACCTTAATTTCCTAATCTGTAAAGTGAGTTTGAAAATAGTATCTACTTCATGGAGTTGTAGTATTAACTAATGATTAAAGTGTTGAGGATAGCACATGCACATAGTAATAGTAAAATAAATATCTGCTATCATGATTTGCTAGAATTTTAGATGCCTAGGATATCAGAGTTGAGAATGACTTTCAGCCTGTATTGACCCAGGCCATTCAGAAGGGAGATCCAAGGCCCGGAGAGTGAAATGACATGCTGGGGACACACAGCGGTGAATGGCATAGATACAGTAGATTCTCTATGTCTCCCAAGACCAGAGAGTTTACACATGGCCCTGCTCATTTTTTATTTGTCTTCATCTATTTCCATTTTCACTTGAAAACATATACTCTATCTGAACATATTTTATTACCCTTTTTGTTTTAGGATAGTTTTAGATTTATAGAAAAGTTGCAAAGATTGTACTGAGGGCTCCTACCCGCACCCATTTTATCCTATTGTTAACATCTTACGTTAGTTCCATACATTTGTCACAACTAATGAACCAATACTGATAATATAATTATAAGCTAAAGTTCGTACTTTACTTACATTTTCTTTGTTTTTATCTAAGAATGTCCTTTCTCATTCAAGATCTCATCTAGATTACCCCATTACATTTAGTCATCCATTTTACTTTTAAGTAACTTTTATCTAAACTAAAGCGCTTATTACCCATTCATTGAATTAAATCAAGAAACGGCTCCACTTGCTAATGTTTAGTTAGCTTATCTAGGATATATACCCTAGGAAAGAATATAACTGCATTTAAAAAAATTTACCCTAGACTCCAGAATTTCCGTGAATTCAGACTGATCTAGTCCATTTGTCCAGATGTGTTCAGATTAATTGCATAATTTGAATAAGAGGTATATTCTGTGAGGTCCTAGGAAGATTATAAAGTTTAGGAAAAAAATAGCCACTGCCCTCAAAGTGTTACCCACTGAAGAAGGATCCATGCACACGGAGGGCTGTGTGGTAAAGGTAGAAATCTTACAGAGGCTCAAAGGAAAACAAGGATTATTTTCATCCTTGAGAGATTCAGAAATGCCTTAATCATTAGAAGAGTTTGCATCTAACTGCACTTTTGGATAAGACTCAAACTTGTGGAGTTAAGGCAGGGAAGGACGTCTCTAGCAAGGGAGAGGCAGAAGCAACACTTGGGAAAGCAGGGAACGGACATTTGCACAACGCTAGCTTATCTGTCGGCAGAAGCCCGGATGCATATGGGTTCTTCACCTGGCCTTGGAGAGGCAAGAGCTGCCCCAGTCCCTCGTAGGGAGAATCTTCCTCTCTGGGTCTTTGAGCAATGACATCTTTCTTGGGTTGATGACAGCTAACAGTTTGCCTCTGATATCCCTGCAGTGTGAGAAGTGTAACCTGCATTTCCGTCACAAAAGCCAGCTGCGACTTCACTTGCGCCAGAAGCATGGCGCCATCACCAACACCAAGGTGCAATACCGCGTGTCAGCCACTGACCTGCCTCCGGAGCTCCCCAAAGCCTGCTGAAGCATGGAGTGTTGATGCTTTCGTCTCCAGCCCCTTCTCAGAATCTACCCAAAGGATACTGTAACACTTTACAATGTTCATCCCATGATGTAGTGCCTCTTTCATCCACTAGTGCAAATCATAGCTGGGGGTTGGGGGTGGTGGGGGTCGGGGCCTGGGGGACTGGGAGCCGCAGCAGCTCCCCCTCCCCCACTGCCATAAAACATTAAGAAAATCATATTGCTTCTTCTCCTATGTGTAAGGTGAACCATGTCAGCAAAAAGCAAAATCATTTTATATGTCAAAGCAGGGGAGTATGCAAAAGTTCTGACTTGACTTTAGTCTGCAAAATGAGGAATGTATATGTTTTGTGGGAACAGATGTTTCTTTTGTATGTAAATGTGCATTCTTTTAAAAGACAAGACTTCAGTATGTTGTCAAAGAGAGGGCTTTAATTTTTTTAACCAAAGGTGAAGGAATATATGGCAGAGTTGTAAATATATAAATATATATATATATAAAATAAATATATATAAACCTAAAAAAGATATATTAAAAATATAAAACTGCGTTAAAGGCTCGATTTTGTATCTGCAGGCAGACACGGATCTGAGAATCTTTATTGAGAAAGAGCACTTAAGAGAATATTTTAAGTATTGCATCTGTATAAGTAAGAAAATATTTTGTCTAAAATGCCTCAGTGTATTTGTATTTTTTTGCAAGTGAAGGTTTACAATTTACAAAGTGTGTATTAAAAAAAACAAAAAGAACAAAAAAATCTGCAGAAGGAAAAATGTGTAATTTTGTTCTAGTTTTCAGTTTGTATATACCCGTACAACGTGTCCTCACGGTGCCTTTTTTCACGGAAGTTTTCAATGATGGGCGAGCGTGCACCATCCCTTTTTGAAGTGTAGGCAGACACAGGGACTTGAAGTTGTTACTAACTAAACTCTCTTTGGGAATGTTTGTCTCATCCCATTCTGCGTCATGCTTGTGTTATAACTACTCCGGAGACAGGGTTTGGCTGTGTCTAAACTGCATTACCGCGTTGTAAAATATAGCTGTACAAATATAAGAATAAAATGTTGAAAAGTCAAACTGGCTTGGTCTGGAGGGCTTTTCTTGCGTTGGAATGGGGCCTGGCCTGCGTCTGACTCCCTCAGCTCCTAACCTAGTGGAAAAAGCTCTTGGAGGGAAGGGGCTGCTGGCTGCTGCATTCTCAAAAACGAGCGTCTTTTGAGATGAGGCTAGGTTCCTGGTACCTTGGCATGAACGCACATTTGGATCCCAGCACCAGGAGGGACTGCGGACTCCAGGCCCTTTCTGAAGAGCTCAGGTGGGAGATTTTGGAAGGACCTCCCACTCAGCTCTAGGCTAAGCACTTTTGTTTTGTTTTGTTTTGTTTTGTTGTTTTTTGAGACAGAGACTCGGATCTCAGCTTACTGCAACCTCCGCCTCCTGGGTTCCAGTGATTCTCCTGCCTCAGCCTCCCAAGTAGCTGGCATTACAGGTGCACGCCACCATGCCCAGCTAATTTTTTGTACTTTTAATAGAGAAGGGGTTTTGCCATGTGGGCCAGGCTGGTCTCGAACTCCTGACCTCAGGTGATCTGCCTGCCTCAGCCTCTCAAAGTGTTTGGATTACAGGTGTGAGCCACTATGCCCGGCCTAGGCTAAGCATTTAATGACTTCCCTCCTAGCTCTGCTGACACATAGATAGGCATCTCTTCTTCCTCTGAACCTCAGTTTGCCCAGTTTTGGAAGTGAGAAGGCCCATCTTGCTTTCTGGCTTCACGAACAATTTCTCTCTCCTCGGCTCATGGGGCAGTATGAAGGCATGTGGCCCCAGACATATATTTCTCAGCCTGAGTGCATCTGGGGCTTTTTGGTGTCTGCTGGGTGATTGGCAGACATCTGCAGACTCAGAAGCTTTATGAATGGTTAGTGGCCAAGCAAACCTCCATCCCTGCAGAGGTGCTCTGTCCCAAGAGCCCTGCGGCAGAACTCAGCCACCTCCTCCAGTGTGACTTGGGACAAGCACTTTCCCTCTGGGTCCCCTTTCCAACCTGTCCATGAGAGTGAACTACACCATTTATGATTCCCTGATTCAGATGTAAGTTCACCCTAGCTTGCTTTGCACCTAGTTTTATTTTACCTCAAAAAACGCCAAGGATCAAGTTTGACCTGAGAACAGTGAGGACAAGTGTGGTTCTGGTCACTGGCCCAGAGGAGAAGCCTGCACACCCCCCTTCCTGTTCCTGGGTGGCAGTGGGGAGAGCATGTGGAGTTGAGCCTGTCCCCAGGGCCATGGGCCCACTTGTTGGGCAGCCGTGTCCCTTGGCAGTGCCTTTGCAGCAGGCTCCGAGCACGTGCTGGGAAGCCATGGGAGCTGACCACCCAGCACCCCACAGAGAGCCTCAGAAAGGCACAGCACCCTCTGCCAGCTGCATGGCCTTTCAGCTCAGGTTTCCTTTGAAAATGACTTTAAAGGACTTGCCAGCTCGAGGCCTCAACTCACCCTGCTCTTTGAAAAGGGAGAAAATGATCCCTCTGCTCCCATAGAAACTTGGCAGGAGAACTTACAAAACAGACAGCTTCAGGAATGACAATTCACAGGCCTAAGGGAAGCTGGCCCCAGGGTCCCTTTGCTCCCAGAGTACCTCCAAGTTTGTTTGCATTTCATTACTGTTTAATAGAGAGATGGAGGGGCGAGGGCAGATAGTGTGGGTGGCCATTTAAACAAAAGGGAAGATCAAAGAGTGAGTAACTGCAGCCAATTGACAATCAATAATAACTAAAAAGAAAAGTCTCTAAGCAGATAAGCCAGGGCAAAGGGAATATAAAATGTTTACTAAAAAGCAAGATGTAAATGCAGCTTTTCACCCATACATGGAACATGCGTGGTGTTCTACATTGTGGGATTTTTAGAGGATAGGTTTCTGAGGATCAGTGTGATGAGGATGTGTAAGGGGTAATCCCAGAGAAGCGGGGTGGTTAGAATTATGCAGAGCTATTTAGTAGTTGGAAGGGAAGGGGTGGTTAGAATTATGCAGAGCTATTTAGTAGTTGGAAGGGATGGGGTGGTAAGATCACCTAGCTCAAATCTTGCACCTGACCCATGAAAGGATTGAGGCAGGAGGGCTGAAGGCACTTTCCTACTGCCGCCCAGAGCCTGGGGTGGAGAGTGGAGAACAGGCTCCTGCTCTTTACACAACCCTAAGGGAAGGAAAACCAGAGGCAAATGTTCCATTTTAATTTTTAATATTTATTTATTTATTTATTTATTATTTTATTTTTCTTAGAGATGGAGTCTTGCTCTGTCACTCAGGCTGGGGTGCGGCAATGGCACCATCATAGCTCACTTGAACTCCTGAGCTCAAGCAATCCTCTTGCCTCAGCCTCCAGAGTAGCTGGGACTACAGGGGCCACCACCATGCCTGGTTACAAATGTTCCGTTTTAGACATGGGGAAATGGAAGGAGGAACTAGTCCAAGGTCCCGCAGCTAAAGGTGTCCGGGTAGGCTGAGTTCGCACAGTGGTTGTCATTAGAACTTTAATCAGTTCAATTCAATTGTTAGGCCTCAGGCTTCTTGGAGAAATGAGCTATTCCCTTTGAAATCTGGGTTTCCATTTTCTCTCTCTGTCTCACTCATAGTAATAATTAATAATAAGGCTGGTCACGGTGGCTCACCCCTGTAATCCCAGCACTTTGGGAGGCCGAGGCAGATGGATGACTTGAGGTCAGGAGTTCGAGACCAGCCTGGCCAACATGGCGAAACCCCGTCTCTACTAAAAATACAAAAATTAGTCAGGCGTGGTAGCGCATGCCTGTAATCCCAGCTACTAGGGAGGCTGAGGCAGGAGAATTGCTTGAACCCAGGGGGTGGAGGTTACAATGAGCCAAGATCGTGCCACTGCACTCTAGCCTGGGCAACAGAGTGAGACTCTGTTTCAAAAAAAAAATTAATAATAATAATAAGTTGTCCTGTGTTCTATCAGAGACATGCATTGGTAAGCACTAAGAGAATTAGAATGAGGAATAGGAGCAGAGAAAAGCTGACCCCTGAAGAGTAGCTGGGCCACATTAACGGCAAAGCTCCAGAATGAGGTCTGCAGAACTAGGGTGACCTTTCAGGATCTAGTTCTATGAAGCTTATAATTGTGTGGGGGTTTCTAGTCTTAGATTTCTAGGATAATCCATCCCTCTTATAACCACTGTATAATGGGGTCACTGCCTTCATTTCTACACCACTGCCGTTACTTGGACTGGCCTGTATGAGTCTATTTCCTGGAACCAAAGGAGCATAATTTACACACAGATAGCCATGCTTCTGGGGAGTCTGCCATTAGAAGGACCCTTACGCTTCACAGATAGCCATGCTTCTGGGGAGTCTGCCATTAGAAGGACCCTTACGCTTCACAGATAGCCACGCTTCTGGGGAGTTTGCCATTAGAAGGACCCTTACACTTCTTTGACTAGGCCCAAGCTTCTCTATAGTGGAGGCCAAGGCATGCTGTAATCCCTCCAAGGTAAGAAACAAAATGTTATTTACCCAAAATACTGTACCCAGTTGGAAAGTGAATGTTCCTCCCATCCCAGAGCAGAGATAGGAAGCTTCAAAACAGTACACAGAAGCCCAGCCCTACCATGGGAAGGCTGCCCATTACATGAAATATAGCATCCAGGGCCTGCCTCCAAAGAAGAGAAAGCTTCAGCACTCACTAAGAAAGTGGCCTTCTCTCATTCCCTATGACTCATGGGAGAAAAAAAGAAAAAAGATTAACACAAAAAAGTGGCCTTCTAGAAAGACAGATGCCCAGGCAGGAGGACTTTGGAGTCTAGGAAGGAGACCTAGTGGGGTTTACAGCCCCTGGGTACTACATTGCTCCCAAACGTTTGGGGTCTAGCCCCTTATTAAATGAGGCTGACTCATTTAACCCCAGATGACAGCTGCTCAACATATCTAAAAGATGAGTTTCCTGGGTCTTTCTTTCCCTTTAGGACCCCAAGAAGGCAGGTTGGTTATGTAAATACATATGGAGTTGGGATCACAGAATATTGTAACTGGAGAGAGCTTAGTGATAATAATTCTTCCATAGGCAAGGAAACCAGGCCTGAAAAGAAAGGTGACATGCTTAAGGTCACACCAAGAATTCTTATCAAACATCACCTGACTCCCAGTGAGGTTTGTAACGTGGTTCCAGCCCTCAAAGGTTCGTAGTCAAAATCACAAAACAAAACATGGACATATATGGAAGGAAAATTACAAGGAAACACCAAAATATATAAAACTATGGCTAATAAATTATGTTCCTCAATGAAAACATATAGGCACAGGGAGGGAAACATCACACACTGGGGCCTGTCGGGAGCTGGGGGCTAGGGGAGGGATAGCATTAGGAGAAATACCTAATGTAGATGATAGGTTGGTGGGTGCAGCAAACCACCATGGCACATGTATACCCATATAACAAAGCTGCTCATTCTGCATATGTATCCCAGAACTTAAAGTATACTAAAAAACTGATGTTCCTATGGATTCTGCATATCTTGAGAAGGGGCATGTTCAGAATGGCAAATTGTCCATTCACGGCAGTACAAGGTGGACAGCCATGTTGAGCTGGTGGCCCATGGAGAGGCTCTCTCAGGGTTCTCGTGTGTCTCCCATTTGTTCTGTGGAACTTCAGTGCCTCCTTCCATCTGGACAGAGCTGTCCTTTGATGTCACCAGTAGGAGTCACCTCTAGCGGTGTAATTAGTTTGCCAAGGCTGCTGAAACAAAGTACCACCAGCTGAAATGGCTTAAACCATAGAATGTTATTGCCTCATGGTTCTGAAGGCTGGAAGTCCGAGATCAAGGTGTTGGCACTGTTGGTTTCTTTTGAGGGCTGTAAGGAAGAATCTGTTCCAGCCTTCTCTCCTACCTTCTGGTCATTTCCTGGCAATCTGGCACTCTTTGGCTGGTAGAAGCATCACCTCAATCTTTTCATCTTCACATGGTGTTTCTGTGTTTGTGTCTCTGTATCCAAAGTTCTTCCCTTTTTATGAGGTCATCACTTGTGTTAGATTAAGGCCCACTCTAATGATCTCAACTTAACTAATTATATCTGCAACGACCCTATTTCCAAATAAGGTCACATTCTAAGGTACTAGAAGTTAGGACTTCAACGTATGAATTTTGTGGGGACATGATACAATTCAACAGAGGCTGTTCATGGGAAGAAAGATGAAGAAAAATGCTCTCAGAAAAGGCACCACCCTAGCTTCTCGTTTTCACTTTCTTCTCGCTGTCAAAGACTCAGGGAATTGAGATTTGGAGAGCCTTCTCATTGCCAGTAGGCTTTACACTCACGGTCTCAATTACCCTCACGACAACTCACTGAAGTGGGTTTGTCTTCCCTCTTTACAGATGAGGTGAATGGGGAACAAGAAGGTCATGGCACTCAGCTAAGATCAGGCAATACGTCTCTTTTTTCTTCTCTAGCTAGTTTTGTCTTTTATGTCACTGGTGGGTCTCTGTCCAAAAGAGCACGACAGGACAAAATAATTGTGCTCTGTGAACGACACACTTTGATCATGCAGATGGGAGAAAGCTGTAGATCTAGGTAGGTCTTTAAGAAATAGGAATCACCAAGAACTTACATACCAGGCCATCATGGGCTTGACAAAAACCTCAACAAGAACTGGAGACTATTATAGTTAATCATGTCTTGAATTATCATGGAGTATTTGAGCTTACCCCACTGATGGTCTCATCCAGCAGTTCTGTACCATAGGAAGATTTCAGACATTCTGCTTCTTGCTCTCCAGATGATTCTGACTTAGAACCAGTGGTGAGAATTCTGATCGAATCCAACTCTATCATAAAGGAAAGGAAGCCAAGTGACATTAAGCAAAGAAATTCTATAAGGACTAGGACACAGCTCCCCCAAGGCCTATGCCAGTATTAGTTCCTCGGAAATAATACTACCATGATTTCCTATTTCCAGAAACCTCAGTGCTGCCACTAAATGGTTACCTTCTTCATATACATTCATGTATCTGATTACTTCTTTGACAGAACCCTGGCGGGGGGAACCTTATATCAATGAACAGGAATTATAAAGAGGAAGAACTCAGCTTGATAGAATAAAGGATTTCCTGTGTCTAAAGATGGAACGGGCTTTGGGTGAGCATCTGAACTCATCACTGAAGGTGATTTAAGCTTAAGATGTGTGGTGAGTTGGCAGCAATCTTGGCTTGCAGGGAGGGTTGGATTAAATGACTCTAAGGTCCCTTTCAAACTTGAGATTACACAAGATCCTACCCCATTTAGAAACTGATTTTAATCATGGCGAGGGATTCAGAGTAAGTGTTTCCTCCTAGGAGTCTCAGGACAGCAGGGCCATGGAAGTCTGGGGGCCATTTGCGGAGGGTTGTAACCTGTAACCTGTAACCTGTAACCTGAATTGCCCTGCACTCCAGGGACCAAGTTGTGTCTTTCTTTGTTTTTTGTTTGTTTGTGTTTTTTTTTTCCTAACGTACAGAGGCTTACAGTTTCATACATATCATTTTCTAATAGTGAGGCTATAATCTATCTCCCATCATTTCTACCTGGTGCACCCTATTCTTCAGTCACATGGAGAAGCTCACCATTTCCCAAACCTGTGAGGCTTCAGTGTCTTTGCAAACACCAAGACCCCTGCCTAGCAAGTCTCTTTTCTCCATTTACCCTCCCTTCAGTCCCTCTCTTCTTCCAGCCTGTGAATTTCTTCAGCCTGAACAACTGTGAGCGTCTGTACAGGTTTGTTGAGTGACGGAGCAAAGGAGTGAGTGCATGATTAAGGGTTCCTACTGGTCCCTGCTTTCTCTGAGGCTGTTCTACTGGTGCATTCTAGCAAATAGCCACAAGGTGGCAGGGTAGACCAAGCAGTGAAGGCTGTAGGTGCCACTTTTTCTGGCTCCAGGGAAGCAGGAAGGTATAAATGGGGCCAGTGCTATTTTTTGAGTTGGTCTCCTATGGCTTTGTACCTATTCTCTTTCTAAATCCTCTTCGTCATCTCAGCAGAGCCATTTAACAGAACTGACTGAGGGGCTCTGGCCCCCAAATCTTTCTTTCGGAGATCTACTTGAATGTGTGTAAAGTTCCACTCTGAATCATTCCTTTGGGGATCAGGAATTTCCAGCTCTTCTCGAAAAGGTAAGGGGTTATATCTCAATTCTTGGGCAAAAGAGGCCAATTCCTAGTAGAACTGTGGAGAGAGGCAGGGGTTTATGATATGACACTAATCTAGTGTCTAGTATAACAAACTTTACAAATCACAAAAGCCTTTCATCTCCAAGGGTTCACTTAATCCTCACCACAATCTCGCCAGTTAAGGAAGCAAGATATCCCATTTGGCAAGTGACAAAACTGAGGTTCGGAGAGGAGAGCCTAAGAACACCTGGCTAGCGGGTGAGGGCCGAGAACAGACCATTTGCCTTCTGACTTGCTGTCAGACACTCAGCTAGCACAGGCAGTAACTTTGTGTGTCAGTGGTTGAATTAACAAAAAGGTACACCTATCTTTGTGAGGCAGGAGAATAGGGTCTGGAGACAGAGAACCTAAGGCCAATTTGCACTGGTTTCCTAGAACTGAATAAAAAGGAAAACCCCATCTCTCCACACCCAAGTAACAAAAGGATCCGAGGCTACTCCCTTTGCAACTTGCTCCCCCCACCCCTCCTGCTTTTCTGCCTTGCAAATTAAAAATGAAAGTACCTCTGATTGGTCCCCTCCTGCAACCAATCAGACTGATTGTAGGCCTAGTCTTCACTTGCATAGGGTGTAACTTTGTAACTTCATGTTAGCCTCTGATTGGTCACCTTCCATGTCCAATCAGATTGGTTGTGAGCCACTACTTCATTTACATAGGGTGTGAACCAAGTAATCAATGGGAAGCCTCTAGAGGGTATCTAAAGCCCAGAAGATTCTGTAACCAGCGTTCTTGGGGTGCTTGCTCAAGCCCACTGCCAGTCTGTGGAGTATACTTTCGTTTCAATAAATCTATGCTCTCTTTGCTTTATTCTTTCATAGCTTTGTTTGTGCATTTTGTCCAATTCTTTGTTCAAAATGCCAAGAACCTGGACACCTTCCACTGGTAACATTTGTGTACCCTTGAGCACAGCTTTTTCAACTCACAACAGTGTAAGGAGAAAATTTAGGCTTTTAGGGTTGGTATTCTCTTAGGGTCAAAATTGTAAATTCTGGGAGTAGACAGAGAGGAAGCCACTGGGACATGCCATGGCGCCCACCACCTGCATCACAGTGTAGGCCCGTGTCCCTGGACGGCTGGTGCCTAGGCTGTGGGCTGGGTACATCTCAATCTCCTCCCTGCTCCCCTTCAGTGCTGAGGGCCTGAGGAGGTGCCCCTTAAGCACTGGTCTCCTGATTACACTCAATGACTCTGGGTGGTTTTGGGTGGGAGACAGCATCAAATCCCTGCTGTCCTGGGCCCTGCCACAGTGAGACCCAGAGCAAACAGCTTTCGCCTTGATTGAAGACCAGGCTCTGCTGTTGACCAGCTACTGGCCTTGGTCAGGAAACTTACCGTCCCTCAGCCCCAGCTTCTGATTGCAAATGCAAAGACTGTATAGGATAATCTTCAGGACCCCTTTTGGAAACAGTGACAAGGACTTTTCTGGTCAAAGTAACTGAGTGATGGAGGTAGGAGATTGCTCTCACTAGGGGTGTTCTGGGAATATAAACCATTCGTTGAGACCGCAGAGTTCTAATTCCTCGGGTCCAGCCCTTTCTCATCTATTGTTCCCAAGTTTTCCTGCATCCAGGAGACGAACATGCATGGACTCAGGACTTAGAGTTTTCTTATTCATGCCTCCTGATATTTTCACAATTCAAAAGGGGCTAACAAAAAGACACTAGTTATCAGAAATTCTAAGCCATTTTTCAGCTCACAAGGGGCTCAAAGTTCCTCTACATGTAACAATATGGAACTTTGCTGAGACACACTTTGTCTTTTTAAAAATAGTATCTATTGTTCTGAATTTAATTTCAAAGTTAAAATATGTTAAATATACATAAAAACTTGAAAAACAGCTATGACAAAACATAATAAATAACATTTATTAGACATTCACCATATACTAGGAGCATTTAAAAGTTTTTTAAATTTTTAAATAATTATGGACTCACAAAAAGTTACAAAAAATAGTGCAGAGAGGTCCTGTGTACCCTTCTGCAAGTTTCCCTCAATGGTAAGGTCTTACCTAACGATAGCACAATATCCAAGCCAGGAAGTTGACTCAGTGGGTATAATCCACAGACCTTATTCAGACTTACATCGTTTTACATGCACTCGTGTGTATGTGTATGTGCGTATGTGTGTGTGTGTGTTTCTATGCAATTTTGTTGTATGTGTAGATTCACATGGCCACCACCACAACCAAGATATACAGCAGTTCCATCATCTCGAAGACCATTTGTGCTACCCTTTTATCGTCATCCTGTTTCCCTCCCTTCATCTCTAACCTCTGGCAACCGCTGATCTGTTCTCCACCTCTATAATTTTGTCTTTTTGAGAATGTTCTATAAATGGAATATATAAGTAGAAAAATAATATTAAATAACATTTACTGAGCACTCACTATGTGCCAAGAACTGTTTTTGGTTCTGTGCAAGTATAAGCTTATTTGATCCTCTTCGGAACCCACTGTAATCATCTCTTTTATTATTCTTACTTTACAGATGTGGAAACTGAGATTATTACCCAATTTTATGCAGCAAGTCACTGGCAGAGCTGAGAGGAAAATCAAGATCTGGCTCTAGACTCTGAAGTTGTAATTATCATATTATCTCTCTAAATTGAGTCAGCATAAATGTTTAAGAATTAAATACAGAAAAGCATAATTAAGAAAGATCAACAGTAGCCTTAGAAAACTTCAATGGATTGGTGCCATACAGACCACATTCTCTAAGAACAGTACAATTAAGTTAGAAATCAACAATAAAAAGGGAACTGGAAAAATTCCACTTGTTTATATATTTTTAAAAAATTCCTTCAAAACAACTCATGGGTCAAACAAGGAAAGCTGAGAGTTTACTTCTAACCGGAGAGCAGTGGGTTCCCTAATGGCATAGTGCATGGTGCAGGTGTTGATTTCTTCAAGGCTGAAAACAAATAAAGGTAAGACTATCTCTGCCCCAGACTGAATCCATGAGGGCAGGGACCATGTTTCAGTCATGCCGACAGCCTCAGAGCCTCACCTGACAAGGTGTTAATAAATGCTTACTGAATGCATTTAAAAATAGACACCCCTGGACACCACCCATATTCCCTTAGATCCTAAAGCGCCAACAAAGCTGGAAGACTCTTTGAGCCATTGGAATCAAAAGCACACTGAAACCAAGACAGAGATGCATAGAAACAGCAGAAGGGGTGGCTATGCATATTAGGATCAGTGAGAGCACTTTGCTTTACATGGTGCCTTTAGACATCCAAAATCTCAGCAGAGAATGGGGCTTCAGAGGTCAGCACCTTTGAAATTTCTAATTCGGCACCTAGAAAATTGATGCTCAGGGTACTAAACTGATTTACCTAGGGTTATTACAAGTTTGAGATAAGAATCTAGGTCTCCTGACTCCCCATAAAGAGCTTTGTGCCAACAGAGTGGACCCTTGACATCGCCAGAGAATTTTTGCCTACACTTTCAGGAATCCTCAAGTCGAAAACCCAGAAATGTTTGCAAAGGTTTTCAGGCTTTTACTGAAATCCCATTTAGAGAGAATTATGGTGTATTAATCCGGGTTGTCCAGAGAAATGGAATTGATAAGTACTATATGTGGGGTGTGTATATGTGTTTGTGTGTGTGTATGTGTATTTGTATGGTTCTCCATATATTTAGGTAATATATACACACATATACACATATGTATATCATATACACACACATATATATATATATATGCACATATACACACACCTAAATATATGGAGAACCATACATATCATATGGTTCCCAGGTTCTTCAGAGAAACAGAACCAATAAGATAGATATTTATGTGTGTGTGCTTGTATAGGATATACACATACATATAATATATGATATATATATATATATATATATATGGATATTTAGGAAGACATTTATTATGAGGAATTCGCTCATGTGATTGCAGAGGTTGAAAAGTCTCACAGTCTTGCCAACTACAAGCTGAAGACTCAGGAAAGCCAGTGGTACAGTTTGAAGGCCTGAGAGCCAGAGAGCTGATCTTGTAGATTCCAGCCTGAGTCTCAAGGCCTGAGAATCAGGAGTTGAGGGCAGGAGGAGATCAATGTCTCAGCTCAAAAGTCAGGCAGAGAGTGAATTCAACCTTCCTGCATTGTCTTTTTGTTCTATTCAGGCCCTTAATGGATTGGATGATGCCCATCCACGTTGGGAGGGCCATCTGCTTTCCTCAATTCACCAGTTCAAATAGCTGATCTCTTCCAAAAACACCCTCACAGACACATCCAGAAATGGTGTCCAAGCAGATATTTGAGCACCTCTTGGTCAAGCGAAGTTGACATATAAAATTATTCATCATACATGTGTTGCCAATGCATGTCCTCTCACAGACACATCCAGAAATCGTATCCAAGCAGATATTTGAGCACCCCTTGGTCAAGCGAAGTTGACATATGAAATTATTCATCCTACATATGTTGCCAATGCATGTCCTCACATCATGTTAACATTTTTTTCAAATTTTAATGATGTTTCCTCCCTCTTTAGATAAACATTTCACACAGAAACAGTATTTTATTTATTTATTTATTTTGAAACAGAATCTCACACTGTCACCCAGGCTGGAGTGCAATGGTGTGATCTTGGCTCACTGCAACCTCTGCCTCCTGGGTTCACACGATTCTCCTGCTTCAGCTTCCTGAGTAGCTGGGATTACAAGGGCATACCACCATGCCTGGCCAATTTTTTGTATTTTTAGTAGAGATGGGGTTTCACTATGTTGACCAGACTGGTCTGGAAATCCTAACTTCATGATCTGCCCACCTCGGCCTCCAAAAGTGCTGGGATTACAGGCATGCCCGCCAGAGACAGTATTTTAATAAATTCCCAAGGTACTGCCTGTGCAGTGGAACATGCAAGCCACGGTGAGGTGCTGATGCAGGTTTCAGATAGGGGCACTCATGAGCTAATAGAGGCTCACAAACAAGCTCCGAATCTGTGTCTCACAAGCCATTGTGCACCAAACTTGGAAGATGTCAATGCCATATAACTTTTTTTAAACATTAGAGATACTATAAAACACTGCAATGTTTTAAAAAATCAAATACATTCTTTAATCAAATAAATTCTAAATGTTTAACAATAGTAACTTGGAAAAAATGAAGGGCAGGGAGAGTGGGACAAAGAGGATATGGAGCTTTCATTTAATAGTTAATATATTTTTGTATCTTTTGAAATTTTACAATGAGATTATTACTTTAAAAACTGTGCCTAGGTTCTACTCCAGGGAAGACAGAAAAAAAAAAAAAGGAAAAAAAAAACTGGGCCTAGGGAATAGCTTAGTGGACAAATATGCATAGTCAGTAAGCCAGATTGTATGAGTCCAAATCCCAGAACTGTCACTTATTAACTATAGGACCTCCAGTAAATCACTCAACCTTTCTGAGTCCCAGTTTCCTCTTATGTCAAATGGGGAAAATAATTATAGTATCCACCTCATAGGGTTCTTGTGTGTGCTTAAATGAATTAATATATGTAAAGTACTTAGAAAAACTCATAGTGCATAGTGAGGACTTTATCACTATTACCTTTTATTATAATTAAAGTATATTAAATTAAGGTCAGCTCCTGCAACTAGTATTTAAGATGAGGAACTAGTCTGCTATTTCTTTGCCCAGCTTCTGATGCCTCGAGAATCAGCTTGAAGCTTTTGCTATTTCTTGCATCATACAAATTCTCTGGATAGAATGAGTTTGGTGTTGTCCCCTGACCAGCTTCCATCAATGGGTCCCCTTGGACATGGAAACCATTTTGGACTGAATCTTAAGAGTTTCTTCACCCACTCAGACTTCATTTAATTGCCTTTCAGGTCATGACACAGATTAAGTAACTGTTATGGCACCGGCACCAGCAGTTTCTACTTTATCATCACAGAGTTTACTCTTCACTGTAAATTGTTTTCAAACTCCTTCTTTCCCCCTGCTTACCAGCATAAATCCACATTAAGATTTTTCTATCTTCCTATAGCATGAAAAATCTAGGTAGGAGATTTAAGGCAATTTGGTAGATATAGCCCGTGGGTGTCTGTGTTCATTTGTCACATGCTGATGTACTACTGGAGACTTATAAGCATCAATGTATCTATTTCTCGTTCACATGTACCTTCATTAGGGAAAATAGTCCATAGAAGTTTTACGGACAATAAAAACTCATTAAAAATTTAATATTCCAACTCTATTAATAACTTTTCAATATAAAACATTGTAAACTATTTCTCCATCTTCTCATCACACTTAATCCAGTAGGTTTCAATTGGGAGTGTACAAAAGAATACTCAATGGAGTGTTCTCCCTAGAGAACACTTTTGGTTAATGGAGTGAAGGTCCTTTTCACACCTCCTACAGAGGGATCTAGATTTGCAAGGAGCTAAGCAGATTAGAATTCACGGCAAGTGTGTCATGGAAACAGCATTTTTAGACATCAGCCAATTTATGGGGAAAAGGAAGAGAGAGCAATGCGTTTAAATAGCACATTGTTGATATGCAAATAGGATCATGTAGTTCAGGCCTAAAACGATTTAGTAATTTCACGTCCCCTCTAAGGCAAAATCTCAACTTTGCCAGGGTGTTAAAAACTCCATAATCCAGGTCCCATGTATCTTTCAGGCCTCAACTTCCATCACTCTTCTGTGTGATCCAGATGTCCTAAATGATATGGAGTCTCAAGAATGATTCTATGTCATTTCATTTTCTAAGTCTTTGCCCATGCTTTCCCCTCCTTAGGGAAAAGCACCCCTTTAACATTTTTTTTATTTAACTGCCAATTGGTCATCCTGTAAGGGTTTATTCACATACCACTCCTTCTGTGGAAGCCTTATTGACTTCCCTACCTGCTGTGACAATGCATGTTTTCCAAAGACGATCACATTGGTATCTCCCGACTTGCATCTTCTTACAACATAGCTTTGACTTTCCTCCTATCCAAATGTGGGGTCTATGCTCCTTTACCTTGAATCTGGGCAATGGTGAAAGTGTTGCCTTGTGACTTTTGAGGGTAGCTCATAAAAGGAAGCACAGCTTCTGCCTGATTCTCTTGTGACACCAGCCCTTGGAACTCAGCCAGCATCCTGTGAGGAAGCCCAGGCTCCATAGAAAGGCCATGTGTAGATGTTTTGGCCCATAGACCTAGCTGTGGTCCCATCTCACAGGCAGCATCAACCTCCAGACATAGGAATGAATGAGCCTTCATATAATTTTTCCAAGAAGACCTAGTTTGTTGTTGTTATTTTAACTGGAGAATGGTATTAGGAACCCAGATGTGTGTGGTAGGTGTGCTCATTGCTACTGGGGTGGGTCATGTTTAAAGAAATGTTCACTCTGGCCAGGCACAGTGGCTCATGCCTGTAATCCCAGCACTTGGGGAGGCCGACGTGGGTGGATCACGACGTCAGGAGTTCGAGACCAGCCTGGCCAACATGGTGAAACCCCATCTCTACTAAAAATACAAAAATCAGCCAGGTGTGCTGGTGCACGTCTGTGATCCCAGCTACTCAGGAGGCTGAGGCAGGAGAATCGCTTGAACTCAGGAGGCAGAGGCTGCAGTGAGCCGAGATCACGCCATTGCACTCCAACTTGCTTGACGTAGTGAGACTGTCCCAAGAAAAAAAAAGAAAAGAAATATTCACTCTGCGTGAGATGAAGTGAGGCATGCATTGGTTCTTCATGTGCTCCCACTCTATATCCAAATTTAACTATAATTGTTCTGGCTTGTAGTTGTGGCCATTTTCTTGTTTCACTAATCAAGGGATCTTTCTGTTTTAAAATTCTTTTTATTCTGGTCAGTGGGTTTTCTTGTAGAATTCTCTCTTCCCAAGCTTTACTTATATTTACCTTGGGACTTTGCAAGAAATGTAGCTTTTTAACTATAGTGTCTATAAGCATATATCAAGAAAGCTCAAATTTACTGAGAAATATAAAGATCTGCATCTCATATGCTTTGTTTTACATCTCATGTAAAACATCTTCGTTTAACATATTTGTTTTACATCTCATGTAAGATCTGCGTCTCATATGCTTTGTTTTACTATAAAACCTACCTGCCTTATCCTTGGGAGTAAGAAAGCATTTTTATAGTGTGTAGTTATGCTCTTTCCAATTGTTTGACAACTGGGGAAATAAATTGAAGTGTTTCTAGCATATTTAACTTAACTCTAAGCAAAGCCTGATCATTTTGGGCCTGTGACTCCTATTGACTGTGTATCTTCTGGTTCCAATGTCAGAGCTAAGTGGTCTGTTTAAATCTTTACTGGGGGCTTTTAACTGCCTGTTTATGCAATATCTATGTAATGTTTGTCCAATTTTATGCACTTGAACAATTTTATCTTGATTTTTGGATAAGAAAAAGGGTAAAGTCAGTATCCAGCCTTAAGGGTAAATACAATACTAATGAGTGTATTAGTCCTTTCCCTTCTCACTCCCATGTAAATTGAAGTACATAGTCAATTCTGGGAATGTAAAGTCTCCAAGGAAGTTAACTGAGCTAAGTGTTGGGGCCAAACAGCCTTTCTGACTGCTCATCAAGGAATCCCCATCAGTCTTTGGAAGGTGACCTGTTTCCTAAAGATAGATACTCAAGGTAAAATTCGTTCTATTTATCGTGAGAGACTTGCCTCAGGAATGGACTCAGCTTTAATGGGTCCTTTCCTTATGTGAATTGGTGTCTCCTGGAAAGCCCTGGAACTACAAATGTTCTACTGGGTAAATGTGTGTTTAAAAGGAAAGATATATATTTTTAAAAGTCTGCCCAGGATATTGACCCCAGCCTTGTCATTTTTAGAATGGATGCTTTAAAAGCCAGCACAATCTATCCCATGCTCCCTTTTCACCCTGCCTTGATGGCTAGGAGTGTCCCAGAGATGAGTCATGGCTATTTTTGTGTGTGTTGAGCCTCAGCTCAACAGAAACTAGCAGGTTCTCTGAGTATAGCTAAGGAACTCTGATGAAGGCCCTCAGCCTCTTGGACAGAAGCAGCATAGGCTGTACCTGCTGAAAGTGTCCCCAGACCCTCTATATTCTTCCTTCCTAACTCAACCCCTATCTTTTTTTTTTCTCCCTTGCATGGAGCACACCCTATTTCTATCTGTCTTTTTATGTATTTACATCCCATAATAGATTCGTCACCAAATCTCTATCTAGGATAATAAGACCCGGAAAAAAGGATAAGTAGATATAGTCACTCTTAATACAGATTCCAGAGCCTTTGGGGTGCTGGGAAGCATGGTGCACAGAATTTGGGCCCTTGGACACCAGCAGAAACAGAATGTCACTTGCCTGCAGTTGCTCTGGTTGCTGCCAATTAATAAAAGGGCAGCGTAAAATCTTCCTGGGAAGATTCCACTATGTGCCACTATTAGAGAGCCATGGACTGCTCTGTGTGGCCTCCCCTGAGATTCAGAGGTCAGCTCCCACCCAAAGAGTGGGAGCTTGGACCATGCTGTCGCTAAGTGCTACATCCTGGGGATGGAGAGGCCTTCCTAATATCTCTTGAAAATACTCCCCAGGGGATCTTGGATTCGCCCTATAGCATCGTCTACGGTTCTTTGAATTGCGGAGACACAGGAGAAGATAGGACACACCTTGCATTTGTCCTGGATCTATTTCCTGGTAAAGAAATATTATAAACCACTAGCTCATTTTACTCAATCTTCTTTTTTTGTTTTTCATTTTTGGCCTCCAGTAGCCTGTGGGACAACATATCCCATCAGTAACAATGGCTGGCAATAGAAGGGATTCTTCCCAGGACTGGAGTAGGTGGAGAGCAAATTTGTCTCCTCAAGAACATGTATTGAAATCTCTGAAGCAGAGGTGTATACAGTTTTCAGAACTCTCCAGGTGATTTTGATGTACACACCTTTTCAACTCTTCATTACTTTGTCATTTTAAGCTCCACACTGGCATTTCTTACATTACTCTAATAAGTAAAATTGAATAATAAATATTTTACAAAGCTCTTCATTAACTTGCATTCCAAATTGAAGGGGAAAAGTGATTCTTTTATCCATCCCCTCCCCCTTGCTGATTTGTTTGCAGAATACAGGTGCTCAGTATTTTATTTTATAAAGAAATAACAATTTCTTTATTTGAAAAAGTATTGCCTAGACAAAATATGTATAATGAAGCTGCCAGAGTGTGATGTGGCCACAGCTGTACACAATATACATTTGTGAGCTCTTAAATCGTGGGTTCTGGAATAAGATAGTGTCATTCGCGGAAAATTGAAGTAGTAATTGTGCTCACTGATTGTATGAAAAGTGAAAACAGTGCTGTTACACAGAAAGATGAATTCTATTGGTCTCTGCTTAGAAGCTGCTATGCTAAATTAAACCTGATACTAGGCCTAAGGGGATTGCATTATTTGAGGAAAAAAGAAAATACAGGTAAACCCTGACAATTCTCATCCTCTTTCTGTTTTTCCTTTATTGCCATTTGTTCTGGGAACAAGGGTATACTATTTCTCAGAGGTTCTTTCCTGGCACGAGGGTCTAGGCCAGGCCATAAGCTCATCTCAGCTTCGTTCAGTTCCTGGCCATTCATGGATCCCTCTGTCTCACCTGGTCTGGTAACTGGCTTCTAAGGGAATCCCCAGTGAGGTTTGAGCTACCCAGTCCTGAGAGCCTGGGCCAGTAATTTTCCATTTCCAGGCCTCAGTTGTTTTAATTCAATGTCAATAAATTTTGGTTAAGAAATGAAGAGTTCAAGAAATAAACCAGATTTTTAAAAATAAAAGAGCTCTTCTAGAGCTGTCAGTCAATGGTTCAAAGACAATTGTGTCCTTTCTGAGGTCTTTAGCACAAAGCCGCTAGAGTAACACTTTTCATTTCAAGAGAGAATCCAGTGACATTGTCCCTGACTTCACACTTCCTGAAAACCACTTGGCAACTCAACACCAAGAGCTTCCGGTTCTTAGCAACCTGTTTCACTTCTTGAAGCTCTTTACTGTTGGAACTCTGCGTGTCTAGGGATCCAGACTTCCGGGTTAAAGAATCGTAAGATGATTACAGTTGGAAGTTGGACCAAAGCTAGGGTAAGCAGCCATATGCCTGGTCTTTTCCATGCTCAAGGCAGCCTCCCTTCAGGTAACCGTGTCTTCACTTGGATTACCAAATTTGAAGTCAGATTCCCCTCTGGTTTCTAAAGAATTTGAATTGGGCATCACAGAGCTACGGATGCTCTCTTGCTCCAGCTCAGCAGTAATGGAGGCAGCAGGAGCCTGCAGCACAGAACAAACTCATTACCCCAGCAGCCACCTTAGCCTGGCTTGGGACCAGGAACTGAATATGGGCTCTAACAGTTCTATGACGCTATGAATCTGAAATGTTATTACTGTGCTTTGCATGGCATATGAAATTACATTCTAGCTCACCAACTGGTCTAAGATTGCCCTGGGCAAAGAGATGTTACTTCTCACTCAATTCCCTGTTAGGAGCACAATAGTACTAAAATAAATAAACAAATGAGCTCGGTTTCAGAAGGCCTAGATCTGAATCTTGGATGAGCCACTTAGGGGTTGCATAAACTTCAGTTTCCTGATCTGATCTGCTTTGGCCAGCACACAGGTCAAGCGGTTTGTGCTAGGCACATGGTAAGTGATGGTCACAGCATATCAGGGGGTGTGGAAGCAGCAGGCTCTGCCTTTCCCTGTCCCTCATTTCTCCTTGACTTCCTAGGGTGTCGTACTTACCATAGCACATGATGTGGAGAATGCTAGAAGAGCAGTTGGGTGAAGCAGGGCCACCAAATAGTCCTTGCCTCCTGGAGACCTCTGGAAATCCAGATGAGTGTGGTCTGAGGTTGGGCCTCCCACTGTGCTTGCTCCTCTCAGGCCTACCCAGCGCTGCCTCTGAAGCCTAACTCAGGGCCCTGAAACTCCCCCTTGGGGCTTCCCTTCTCCCCAGCCCTCACTCTTGGTGCCCTGCCTGGCTACCATGGTAACAGGTTCCAGGGTAACAGAGGAGGGAGCTGGGTCCTGTTTACTCCCAGTCCTGCCGATGAGGATTCTGACCGTAGACACTGAATTGTCCCGTACCTATCCGTGCTCTTTCTGTGTTCTCACCAGGGCTGAGCTCGAACTGCCACCTCTGCCAGCAGGACCATGTGTACCAGCTTGACCACTTGTGAGTGGAAGAAAGTCTTCTATGAGAAGATGGAGGTGGCAAAGCCAGCGGACAGCTGGGAGCTCATCATAGACCCCAACCTCAAGCCCAGTGAGCTGGCCCCTGGCTGGAAGCAGTACCTGGAGCAGCACGCCTCAGGCAGGTGAGAGGTTCAGTGGGGAGGGACCTTGCAGACAGCCCCTGGGTCACAGCTGTGGGGTACTTTCCAAGGAGAGACAGAGCCCAGTCGCGGGCTTATTCTGGTGTCAGCTCAGATGGGGAAAAAGACAAAGACAGCCGGCTGGGTCAGAGAGTTCTTGCTTTTAATCCTAGCAATACCACTAACTCCCTGGGTGACCCTGAGAAAGTTATGTTCCATCTTTGGGTCTTAGTTGTCCACATTAAATGAAGAGCTGTAATATCATCTATGTCCCTGCAATCTCTGACATTTAGAGTGAGTTGGAACTGAAGGAAGGAGGCCATGAGGTCCATTGGGGAAAGTTTTAATCTAGGAGTTGGGGGAATGCAGGGGGTACAGCTATGCTCTGTTCCTAGATATGTTTAGTGAATTAATCCAATTTGATCTGAATACATAAACATTTATTGACCACCTGCTGTGTGCTACGAACTGGCTCTATATAGCTAAGTAGCCTTGTAAACTTGGCAAGTCTGTTTCCCTTTCTGGCTCTCAGTTTTTATATTTACAAAATGAGGGGGTTGGTCTTAGATAATAGATCCAATCCACTCTAGCTCTATTATCTATGCACCTGTGATAAAAAGATTTAGCTTTGAGCAAAACTTTCTTTAGGAACTTAGAGCCCAGGGTCCCACTCTTTATAGGAGCTGCACATCTACCACAGGGCAAAGAGTCCTTGAGGCCAAGGGGACGAGGCCGTCTAAAGTCCACATGCCTTTCCTCCTTTTAGATCATGATTGGGGACTGGGACTACAGAAATTCCTCCCCAGACTACCTCAAGTCCATCTGTAGTGTCTGTGCAGGCCTTTTTCCTGTGTCCTTGGATTCAAGAGAGGCCAGTAAGTGGCTGTGCTCTGGAGATGTAGCCAGAACATGGACACAAAGGCTGGGTTGTTCACGTGTATGTGTGTGAAGCTTCTCATGGTGCAGAATGGTGCTGAGGGTGGGAACAGAGGAGGCAAGATGTGGGTAGGGAGCTTACGTTTGTACTCTTGTCCCAAGACCTGGAATTATTGGAGTAAACCTGCCTTGTGAAAAAAAGACAGAAAACCAGAGGTTGGCTGATTCATGTCAGTTCCATCAACTCAAGAAGCATCTATTGGGTACCTGTTATGTGCTGAGCACTGGCTCTGCCTCTAACTAGCTGTGTGTACATGGATGCCTCTCTTACTATCTGGGCTTCTGTCTCTTCTCAGTGAAATAAAGGGCTGACTAGATGCTTCTTAAGCTCGCCTGCCCCCAGATCTGATATTTTTGAATTTAAGATGTGAGGCCTAACTTGATGTAGGTGAAGCAATTCTGGGTTGGTTTGATGTAAAAAGGTGTAGAAGGAGACTGAAAACATAAAGCATTTGAACTGCCTGGTGGAAGAGGTGCAGATGCCTGGAAACTTGAGTGCCCAGGATCCAGAGTTTCGGGGCTGAGCTCAGCAAGCTCATGTCTCCTCTTGCTTCAGAGGTCAGCTCCTCTTACTCCTGGCTGGTGACTTGTGGCTCCCAGCTGGCCTCAGGAAGAGCTGAAGAACTGCTGCCCATGAGCTTATTTGTGCACAGGCTCACTCTGTCTCTAAACAGGCAGATGCCCTGCAGCTCTCACCCAGCACTGGGGGCGGGGAACCTCTCCTGGTTCAGTACCAGCTAGGTTCCTCTGACCTGCCAACCCCACCTTGGGCCATTCTGGGTACTGTTCTATGCTCATGTGATCAGGCTTTCAGGGGTCAGAGCCAGGCTTGGCCTCACCTCTATCCCATAGCCTGGGTTGAGTGGTGCTTGGCATATGGGAGGTGTTGAATGGTGTCTGTTGGATTGAATTGAGTTCCTAATCAGAAGTCCTTCAAGGCCATCATACAATGGATCCAGAAAGGGCCAGTGATGAGGACAGGGACAGCCCAGTGGACATCTGACTGCCTGTGAAGCCTCTATAACAGAGGCCTGGAAGAGGCTCATCTCAGGGAAGGAAAGAACTGCCCTGGAGGTCAGGAGTGCTGCATCACTGAAAGTGTGCAGGCAGTGGTGGGGGCGGAGTGAGTGGGGCTTGCCTAGATGAGCCCCAGGCTACCACCCACAACACTTCCTGAGACTGGGACTCTAGAAAGCCCAGGTTACGCCAAGTGGCCTCTGTGCATGTAAGAGAGAGAGAGAAAATATATGTGTGTGTGTGTGTGTGTGTGTGTGTGTGTGTGTGTGTGTGTGTGTGTGTGTGGAGTGGCAATGGGAATGAATACCCTCTTTTCCAGTCCCCACTGCAGGGCTAGAGTGGGATCTAGAGAAGACTTGTCAAGAGACTGGGGAGTGTTCTTTGTGAAGATGTAGTAACTAAACTTGGTAGTTCCTCCTAAAAGCCAGTTGATCCTACCCATCTACCGGTCTGTCCATCCCATCATTCTCAGTGGTTTACTGAGGACCTACAGTGTGCCAGGGTCTGTGCTTGGCACAGTTAGAGGCGTCTCTTCTCCCCAAAGTAAGCAAGATGCATGAGTTAGATGGTGTATGTCATCCTTCTTATTAGAGTCGCAGGAGGTCACAGAGGAAGGACCCTTACTGGACGCCAACACACTACATTTCACAAATGAGAAATGAAGCCCAGAGAGGGGGGGATGACCCTGCACAGCGCCCAGGTGCAACCTTGAGTGCATCGGGCTGGGGGGCAGCTGAGACCGCAGGAGGCACGCTCTAGAGCACTGCTGGATGCCAGATGGCTCCGGCACTGGCTCCTGAGGATGCTGCTCGGGTCCCAGGGGTGCTCACCAGGAGGAGGCGAGAGCAGGCCGGCCTTGGAGTGCTAATGAATCCACAGGGCAGTAAACACTGCCTCCATCTCCAAGCACGGGCACACAGGCTTTTTTTTCCCTCTCAGAGCTTCTCAGGGCAGGCTTCTCTGGGATGCCCACCTTCTCCACCCCTCCTTCTCCTCCCGGCAGGTTCCACTGCTCCTGGTGCTGGCACACCTGGCAGTCTGCCCATGTGGTCATCCTCTTCCACATGTTCCTGGACCGCGCCCAGCGGGCGGGCTCGGTGCGCATGCGCGTCTTCAAGCAGCTGTGCTATGAGTGCGGCACGGCGCGGCTGGACGAGTCCAGCATGCTGGAGGAGAACATCGAGGGCCTGGTGGACAACCTCATCACCAGCCTGCGCGAGCAGTGCTACGAGGAGGATGGTGGCCAGTACCGCATCCACGTGGCCAGCCGCCCGGACAGCGGGCCGCATCGTGCAGAGTTCTGTGAGGCCTGCCAGGAGGGCATCGTTCACTGGAAGCCCAGCGAGAAGCTGCTGGAGGAGGAGGTGACCACCTACACCTCTGAAGCCTCCAAGCCGAGGGCCCAGGCGGGATCCGGCTACAACTTCTTGTCTCTTCGCTGGTGCCTCTTCTGGGCCTCTCTCTGCCTGCTCGTTGTTTACCTGCAGTTCTCCTTCCTCAGTCCTGCCTTCTTTTAGTGGAGCTGGTTAAGGGTGGGAGAGGGCACATGGGCTTGAGAGTGGGGAGGACACAGTCTGGACTTGATCCTGCTACAGATTCAACATATGACTGGACAATCCGGTCACCTCTCTGGGCCTCAGTTAATGCATCTGCGGAATGAGAGGATTGCATTAGAAGATAGGCAATGATTCTTTCACTGGATGTGACAATAATTGGGGGAAGGGGAAAAGGGTGTAATAAAGGTTTTAGAGCTTGCCAGGATTGGTGCTAGTACTAGGTCAACAGGAGGGACCTGCTTCCTTTCTCTCCTCCACCTCCATCTCTACCTCTCCTTATGCTTCATTTCCATATATCTTCCCCCATTATGACCCCATTAGGTTCTGTGTTAATCCTGCCTCGTCCTTAAGCTCACCTTCAGCTGCCTCTGCCCATCCTGCCTTGCTTCCTTTTGGAGAGGGCAGTGGCCCCATTCAATGCTTAGGGACAAGGTACCTGGTCCTCTCCTGGAGAGCCTGCTCCTGTCGTTCTGAAACTTAGTTTTTTTACTCTGGTGCTAGGGTCTGCTTGGCTGGAATTGTCTAGACCTGCACTGTCCAATATGTTGGCCACTAGCCATATGTGGATATTTCAATTTAAATTAATTAGAATGGAATAACATTAACAATTCAGTTCCTCAGTCACACCAGCCACATATCAAGTGCACAGTACCCTTATGTGGCCAGTGGCTAACATATTGCAATGTACAGATATAGAACGTCATTACAGAAATTTCTGTTGGTGAACTCCAGTCCAGAACTTGAAATTCCCACTTAAATGTATGTGGACTTATACCACCAAGAGGTGGGTGCAGGTTTAAAGGTGCAGCATGAAGCCTTCTGGGGCAGGTAAAGGTGGTGTGAGGTTTGCTAAAGGTAGATAAACACTGTAAATAGATTATCTCTGTGCTCCTGCCTCTCTTGAGTAGCATCTGCAGTGTTGTCTTACCTTATTTCCTGAGAGGATATGGAAAGTGGGTCTGGGCTGGGTGCGTTGACTCACGCCTGTAATCCCAGCACTTTGGGAGGCTGAGGCAGGCAGATCACGAGGTCAGGAGATAGAGACCATCTTGGCCAACATGGTGAAACCCTGCCTCTACTAAAAATACAAAAATTAGCTGGGCATGATGGCCATCATGGTGAAACACCATCTCTACTAAAAATAGAGAAATTAGCTGTGCGTGGTGGTGCACACCTGTAGTCCCAGCTACCTGGGAGACTGAGGCAGGAGAATTGCTTGAACCTGGGAGGCGGAGATTGTGGTGAGCCAAGATTGTGCCACTGCACTCCAGCCTGGGTGACAGAGCAAGACTCTGTCTTAGCGGCGGGGGTGGGGGAAGAAAGTGGGTCTGGTCAACTGGGTCTGGGAAAGAAAGTAGACCATAGGGATGGGGTGCCAATTGCCAGTTGCTTACAGCCCCTTTGTAGGGTTCATAGACCTTAAATGCCACAGTTGTGTCTTTTTTTTTTTTTTTTTTTTAAGACATGGTCTCGTTCTGTTGCTCAGGCTGGAGTTCAGTAGCGGCATCACAGTTCACTGCAGCTTTGAACTCTCAGGCTCAAGTGATCGCTCACCTCAGCCTCACAAGGGGTGGATCATACACACATTTTTTTTTTTTTTTTTGGTGCAGTGGCAAGATCTCGACTCACTGCAACCTCCACCTCCTGGGTTCAAGTGATTCTCCTGCCTCAGTCTCCAGAGTAGCTGGGACTACAGGTGTGCGCCACCATGCCTGGCTAATTTTTTGTGTTTTTAGTAGAAACAGGGTTTCACCCTGTTGGCCAGGCTGGTCTTGAACTCCTGACCTCAAGCAATTCACCCGCCTTGGCCTCCCAAAGTGCTGGGATTACAGACGTGAGCCACCACCCATAACCCATACACATGTTTTAAAGTGCGTTTATACATTCCTGTGCTCAGCAGAGATGTGGTAGGACACACTAGCTACCCATGATGCAGGGAGATGCTCCTCTTTCATTATGTATGAAAATACATTATGGCAAATTTGATAGCCATCCTAGTTCCTGGCGATGGTGAGAGAAGGGGCAGATGAGGCAGATCTGCAGATGTGGATCTTCCAGGTGAGAGCAGGGCTGTGTGTCTCCACTCAGGGGAGGTCATGCCCAAGGGGAGGTGTGAGCAAGTGGAGGCAGACAGCACCTGTCCCCCAGCACCTTCCCCTCTGGCTAGTCCATGGGACCACCCCTTCAGGGTAAATGCATTTGCTGTTCCCATTCCCTCAGGCATAGCTGTGAGGCGGGCAGTTTGACTCATGAGCCGGGTTCAGATGACACTGTGTTGATCACTGTCTGGAATTGGAAACAGAAACTCTCCTATTCACACCCTTAATTGTCCCGACATTCACATCTTTCTATAGCCCACCTTCAGAGCCCCCACGTGGGGCCTGAGAGCTGAAGGTGAGGTTCAGGGATGGAGTGTTTGGTTAGATGTGTTCTCAGAGAGGGGCAGCTTTGAGCACTGTGCCCCACCTGCTGTCTGTCTCCACAGGCTGGCTTTACTCAGCACTGGCAAAGAAATCCTGGTGGCTTGTCAGATTTCTCTGTGGACCTGCAAGAGCAAAGAACTAGGCAATCTGGAAGAACCTCTGCCTTTATTTGGTTGGGTTCAGCAAAAGAGTACAAAAAGAGCATCAGGCTGGAGTGGTTGTAAATTAGCAGGAACATGAGGTTCTGGATTCACTTTCATCAGCTGCAGATGGTGCTCAGCAGGGCTGGTGCAGGGTGTGTGACCCTCGGGGCCATTGCCTAGCTGTGGATGCATGGTGTTTCTGGGAAAATGGATGTCAAGGAGCCCAGGAGTCAAGTGATCTCCAGAGAACTTGGCCAACCCTGGGAATCTTAAGGAACACGAAGGGACGGGACTGGGATGAAGTGGCGTCAGCAGCATCTGTTACTGAAGTTGTGGTTCCTGGGGGTAGGGCTAAACAGCCAAGATTGTGTCAAGGGAGAGGTCATGCCTCAGAGGGTCAGCAAGGCTGGGGCATCTGAGTTGAGGACTGTGAGTTGGGGGATGATGAGCCACTGAAAACGGAAGTGAGGACAAGGGGGCTAGAACAGATGAAAAGAAACGGGGTCTGGGAAAATGAAAGATAAACATATTCTACTTCTCCTTCTCCACCAGCTCATTTTCTCAGTATGTAAGTACAGCTGTGTCTTTTCTATAGTTAACTAGAATGACACTGCTGTGATTCCACATTCCCCTTGGACTATTGCCATTTCATTAAAAAGAAAATTCTTTCAAAATCAAGTTTCTCAAAGGAGTAGATTACATTTATCTCCATCTCTTTATTTACTCCTGAACCCATGGAAATCTCATTTTCATGTTTCTGAAACAGTCACTAAATACTCCATTGCCAAACCATTGGCCACTTGTCTGTGGTCAAAGAGACTCCTGGTTGACCCCAGGCATTCTAATGATAGAGACATCTGCGCAATCCCCGGAATTCTAATGATAGAAGCAACAGGGCGACCTCATGAATTCTAAAAATAGAGACTCATGGCCTACCACAGGCATTCTAATGGGAGACACTCCTGGCTGACACTGGGCATTCTAATGATAGGGACACCTGGGTGACCTCAGACAATCTAATGATAGACACCTGAATGACCACAGGCATTCTAAGATAGAGACAAACCATTGGCCACTTGTCTGTAGTCATCTTACTTGATGTGTCCACTGCATTTTATACTCCCTCCTTGAAGATTCTATGTCAGTACTTGCTCCTCCATCTGCTCTTTCATTTTTCTCTCCACTGTAATATTCTTTGTGGGAGCTTTTCCCTCACCCATCCTGGGATTCTCCTCTCACTCTGCTCATGTTTCCTCAGTAACATACTCACTCATAATTTCCATCATGTTCACCCCATAGGAATTCCTGGTCTTCATGGCTTCTCTAAGCATTTCCATGGAGCTCCAGGCCCACAGACCAATTGACCTGTTCACGGTGTGCTCCCATCAAAGGCAGCATGACTAAAGCTGGGCTTGTCCCTTTGCCATCCGAACCCATTTCTCTTACTTCTCAGAAATCTGGATACTGTCCCCTGATCCTCTTTCATGGCCCTACCCCACCCCACAATAGTTGGTCACCATGTCCCATGTCCTGTTGATTGTTCTTCCCAAGTACCTCTGGGGTTGCTCTCCTTTCTTTCCTTCCCTCTACTGCTGCCCAAACCCAGTCATTTAGTGTCTCTTGCCTTAGTAGCCTCCTCAATAATCTTTATGCCTATAACCTCTTCCCTTACAATCCACTTTCCAATCTGCCACCATCCTAGGGTGATTTTCTAATTATCAGCTATGATTCACACAGTCCTGTGCTTGGACTCTTCCAGAGCTCCCTCCTGCCATTGGACAAAACTTAGTCTCATTAGCCTGGCACACTTCATTTCCAGATAATAATAAAAAATAACATTCGTTGAGAAGGAGCCCCATAAACATTTGCTATTGCAATTATTTACTGTGCATGAGGTGCTGTACTAAGCACTTTTATGTGCATTACCTCACTGAATTCTGAAAACAACCCTTTGAGGCAGGTACTATTTTACCTCTATTTTACGGCTGAGGCTTAGAGAAGGTAAGAAACTGGCTCATGGTGACCTAGTGAGTAAGTCTCGGTGCTAATATTGAAATCCAGGGTTGCCGTGACCCCAAAACATGAGTTCTCAACCACTGTGCCATCCTGCTACTGCAGTTAAGCCAGTGCCCTTCAAATTCTGCTGTTCCCTTTCCCTGGAACATCTTACCCCACTGGTTTCCAAACATTTTTCCTTCACTCTTGCTTGGTTTGAGCATTAGCTTCCCTGTGAGCCTTCCTTCACAGCCCCAGGCAGTGTTGGGATTTCACCACCTGAGGCTACCTCTGCTACTGCCCTTGGCATGCTGTGTTGTCATTACTTGTTTGCAGGTGTATCTTCCCATCACTGTCAGGTTTTTTTTTTTTTTTTTTAATCTTTCTATCCCCAGAACCTGGCCTAGAGTAACTGTTTAATCAGAATTGCTCACTGACCAAATTCTTGTCTTGTTAGATGCAATGTTCCCTATTATATCCTTCCTCCCCCTAAGAACAATGTTGTATATATTTCATGCACTGCAATACCTCATACCCCCAAGCTGGACGGGAAGGAAATGTTGGCTCTGTGCTAGCTATGATGTTTAATTTCCCTTTAATAAAAACCCATGACATACACACTATAATTATTCACACTTACAGAGGGGAAACTGAGGTTTTGTGAGATGTCGAGTTTTGTAAGGCTAGTGAGCTAATTAGTTTAAACTTGATACAGGAGCCCAGACTGCTGAGAAATAAAAAATTAAATAAATCTATTTTTCTTTTTTCTGATACAGGGTCTTGCTCTGTCACCCAGGCTAGAGTGCAATGGTGCAATCTCGGCTCACTGCAACCTCCACCTCCTGGGCTCAAATGACCCTCCCTCCTCAGCATCCCAAGTAGCTGGGACTACAGGCACCCCCCACCACACCCAGCTATTTTTTGTATTTTTTGTAGAGACGAGGTTTCACCACGTTGCCCAGGCTGGTCTCGAACTCCTGAGCTCGAGCAATCTGCCCACCTTGGCCTCCCAAAGTGCTGGGATTACAGGCATGAACCACCGCACCCCACCTAAATTAACCTATTTGAGCAACATGAACATGTATGGAGATGTAGCTCAGACAGTAGGCAAGGACCACGGCACCTTGCCTGGAGGGCAGAGTTACCCACTAATATCTGGATGACAACTGGACTTAAGCCCAATATCCAAAGACAAGAAAAGGAAGTTAGACTTCTAGCAATCTAGATACAGAGGTTTCTGAGAAATGCGCAAACATTGTTTGCTACAATAGTTGACAAGAAGTCCAGGAGAAGCTTGGCATGGTGGCTTATGCCTGTAATCCCAGCACTTGGCGAAGCCAAGTTGGGCAGATCACTTGATCACAGCAGTTCGAGACCAGCCTGGGCAACATGGTGAAACCCTGTCTCTACAAAAAAATACAAAAATTAGCTAGGCATGGTAGTGTGTGCCTGTATTCCCAGCTACTTGAGAGGCTGAGGTGGGAAGGATCCCTTGAACCCAAGGGGCGGAGGTTGCAATGAGCTGAGATTGTACCACTACACTCCAGCCTAGACAGCAAAGCCAGACCCTGTCTCAAAAAAAAAAAAAAGTTTAGAAGAGAACTCTTGTAGTTATTTGGTGTGAAATTAACCCAGTGATAATATACCTTTGTTGCTTTAAGATGGAATAGATATTTGTTCCCCACCTCTTATGAGGCCTGTGTGACCTGTCAAGAGTGGCTTCTTATTTATTTTTGTTTCTGTCTATATCATGTAACTATATCTATATTGTAGGTGTTACAGTGCTTAATAACCCCCTTGTGAATCTTTGTGCTAATTTTGCACCGTTGAGTAAGAAAATATGGTTTTCACTGATTACTGGTTGGCAGTCGTTTGCAGAGTACCTGAAGAGGACAGTAAAATACACAAAAGAATGCTGTGCTGGTAGTCTGCAAATCAGAGCACCAGTACAACAAGACAGTGGAATGAGGATGACGAACCCATTACCAACCTTGGAAAAACAAGACAGGGAGTATGTCCTAAAGATACAGCTGTATTTCCTTAATTTTCATTCATAGTTCAACATATATCTATTCTGGACTATTTTATTCTTGGCTTGTCCTAAGTTTCAGGACCACAAAGATAAGCAGACATAGTCCCTGACTTAGAGGGACTACAGTGGTTGGAGTGGGATCCAATGTGTGCTAGTCAGTGCTGCGCTAGGAAAGGGGTGAACCTGATCATAACCTGGGGATGTGGTGTTAGAAATGGTGTCTCAGGGCCGGGCGCGGTGGCTGGTGCCTGTAATCCCAGCACTTTGGGAGGCTGAGGTGGACCACGAGGTCAGGAGATCGAGACCATCCTGGCCAACATGGTGAAACCCCATCTCTACAAAAATACAAAAATTAACCAGGTGTGGTGGTGGGCGCCTGTAAACCTAGCTACTTGGGAGGCTGAGGCAGGAGAATTCCTTGAACTCAGGATGTGGAGGTTGCAGTTAACTGAGATTGCGCCACTGCAGTCCAGCCTGGCGACAGAGGAAGAGTCAGTCTCAAAAAAAAAAAAAAAAAAAGGAAATGATTTCTCAGAAAAGGTTACAGTTTGAAGGAGGAATAGGAGTAGGTTGGGAGGTCATTCCTGGTCTGACAGGGAGCTAAGTGCATCCCAGGCCAAGTGGAGAAGAAGGAAGACTTAGAGGCAGAGTTTATTTATGTTCAAGGAGCAATAAACAAGTGAGTACCAGAGGTGGGCAGGAGGATGGAGGGCGAGAGCCATGGAGTCGGGGCTTGTGAGTCTGGAAGCATTGGCTAGAAATAGAGCAAAACATCAAGGTAGGCTGGAGTTGGGTGAAGACAGGTCTCTTGGCTCAAAAAAAGGAGTAAATTCATTCTGTGGGCATTAATTTTTGATAGACCTCTTATCATCATTTTTAGAACTTTAAAAGCCAAAAATAATGTGCTGAACAACTCTATCATTGTGCCCTCTACAAACATTTGAAGGACCATATATTTTGTACTAGGCACTATGCATGTATTAATGCAAGAATTCAACAGTCCCTCCATTCTGATCTTTTTCCATCCATCTTTGTTTCTCACTCACATAGCTGAGAATCGTTTCAGTTCTCATCTTTAGTTACAGAAATAAATTATCTCTTTAAGTGCTCTGTGGGGAGTGGTAATCTGGGCTCCAAATCACAAAACTGATAACTTTAGTCAAATAACATAAAGCTTTGCTTATTTAATGCTGAAAATAAAGTCAACTAACTAATTTAATAACCAGTCTAACCAATTTGTTTCTGGTCCCAACTGTTCACAGATGTTGAATTCAATTGAGAAAATTATAGTATTGATGACTTCCCTTTTGCTTTTTTGTTTCCTTTTGTTTGTTTCTACAATAAAAATGAATTACCTCTTTAGAGATATACATATATGCATATACATTATATACAGTAGATTCATTAAGCAAGGTTAAATGTTCCTAATAAGAGAAAATAAAGTATATAAAACCTTTGACTATATATGAATATGTGTTTGTACTCACTTATCAGAGTGTGTATATAAAAGATGGGAAAGAGAGTAGCAGGCTCTGACACCTGGGATGGCCTGGCCCTCACAGCCAGGCTGCAGGTCTCTCCTGTTGTACATGAGCAATTCCACAGAACACCAACCTCATGTAAGGCCACTCTGTGATGACGACAGATCAAGGCAAGCCTGAGGCCCCCCTATATAGTCACGTCTGAATTCAGATAGAAACGTGAACACTGTCCAAACCACGATATGACTAAACAACCCTGCATCTTGGCCAGTATGAGTGGCTATTTCTTTACCAATCACAGCTTTAGCCTCATGCTCTTCTTCTCACCTTCTAGGGAAGATTCATTAAGATACCCAATCATAGAGTGATCCTCACTTTTTGACAGCAACCAGTTCAGAACAAAGCCCCGCTTAGGTGAACCTTCCCCAAACCACCTAACATATGCTCAAATGCCACAGTATATTTTAATACGCTGTTACTGAAATGCTTCATGATTCTTGTGGGCATCCTCACTTGTAGCAAAGAGTCAAAAAAACTCAGCTGTGTTCAGTGACGGGTATGTTCCTGGTGGTCTTTGGCTTAAGGACATTGACAAAGGGATGTTATATTTCTTTTTCTAGTGTCTGTGAGGCATTCAGATGTCTCAATGAACCTAAATGAAATAAAATTATGCAGAAAAAATGTTTCTGACTGTAATATATTTAACAGAGAAATCAAAACAAAAAAATTAACCAAACTAAAATAAAATGAAATTAGAGTGTCTGGAAATTTTAAAAGCATGTTTTAAAATTTGGATTAAAATGAAACAAAATATATTTGTGGCTGATCTAGAAATTAAGGAGAAGGAAAATCCTACGTGTAAAAATACTTTGTTTTGCTGTTTCTTAATCTTTTAAAAATTTACTTTACAGAATTGTTAGACTTTAAAAAATAATTTTCCTATAGAAAGTTGTAAAACAAATGTATATGTTAACCTATATTCTTATGTTTATTTCAAATATTTACATAAGCTATGAATTCTTTTGGTAAATGGGAAGGAATTTAACATACTTTCTTCTCTGCCAACCTGGATTTCCAATTTTGTCAAAATAATCTACTATTTTATAATTAAATTCATAGAATACAGCTTATACATTCTCTTTCACAAATTATATTAGACAAATGCATTATATTCCATAATATTGATAAGAAATTTAGTAATGAACCTTTAAACTTTACAGGTTTGTCCTCATCATTTTTATACCAGTCCACTTTACTTTTGAGTTCTTTATTTTGCTTATTTTCTTCATTTTACTTAAAGTACTTTGGTGAGTAACATTTTCAGAGAGGGTACATAGGTGGTATGCTTCTCTAGGAATGGCTTTCTGTAGCTCTTACCTGTAAAAAACGGCACGGCCAGCCATTACATTCTTTTATCACACTTTTAACTTCTTTTCCTCTCAAAACTTAGAAGGCACTATTTCAACGTCTCTGGAATTTATTGTGGCGGAGTAAAATTCTGGTATCAACCTAATGTTCTTTTTTTTTCCACATTGCCTGATGTAATGATACACACACACACACACACACACACACAAACATGTGCAATAGCTTCACATAGCTTGTGAAGAATATAAACTGGAGAGTTTGTAAGGTTTTTTTCTTGTTTTATTGTTTCTTACAGTAACTTTGTCCATAGGAGAAAGAGACATTTCCTCTGATTCTTTAGATTGTTTTTATGGATTTGAACTATAATTTTTCATATGCTTAATGAAGTTTCTCTGCTGATTTTTATGGGGATGTGGAACTGGGGGAGTTCTTTTAGAGATTGTGTGGTATGTCTTCAAATTATTTGGTCTCAGACAAAGGGAGAAGGAAAATGCCAATTTTGCCCAAATTTTGAGAGGGCTGGCCAAGGGGGTGGTCGAGAGGGGGCTTCACCCAGATGCAGCCTCTCTCCATGACTATAGGAACATGGCAAAGCATTTTCTTTTCATGTTCTGCTGCAGAACAAGTTGTGGGGATACTGCTTCTCTCACTGACTGGCATGAAGACTCTCATTAGGAACTGACTTTGGAAGCTTCGTCTTTATATTACATGAGAATTTAATCTGGAAGTCAGCGCAGTGACCAGATGCTCTGAGTGTGGGGACCTGGTGCAGTTCTAGAGGCAGAGAGAGATTTGCCCCCATCGGCTGTCCTTCCACCTGTCTTCATCTCCAGATCCTGTCTGATGATAAAGGGGAAACAATCTATTTTCTCCTCTGAGTACAACAACTTCTGGTCACTAAAATGTGTGGGGATTTCTCCCCACCAATAGTCAATCAAGTCTCCAGCAGATCTGCAGCTGATTCTCTAGTGGGCACCAGCTGGGTGTCCTCTTGCTCAGTTCAATTCTGACACTTTCTGCTGGGAGGAGATAGCTTCAGACCCCACAGGTTGTGGGCTCAACCCCACAAGACTGTCCCCCACTTCAGATGTCAGTTACAAGCACGGGTTGTGGCCTTCAACTTTGGTGACTGGCTATAAAAGGGAGTTTCTATGACTCCCTCCTAGCGTTTGATTAATTTGCTAGAGTGGCTCACTGAACTCAGGGAAACACTTATATTTACCAGGTTCTTACAAAGGATATTACAAGGATACAGATGAAGAGATGCATAGGTTGAGGCATGGAGGAGGGTGGCAGAGCTCCCATACCCTCTTTAGACACACCACTCTCCAGGAACCTCCACATGTTCAGCTATCCAGAAGCTCTCTAAATCCTGTTTCTTTGATTTTTTTTTCCAAGAGAGCATCTTGCTCAGTCACCCAGGCTGGAGTGTAGTGGCACAATCTTGGCTCACTGCAACCTCCACCTCCTGGGTTCAAGCAATTCTTCTGCCTCAGCCTTCCGAGTAGTTGGGATACAGGCATGCACCACCATGCCTGGCTAATTTTTGTATTCTTAGTAGAGATGGGTTTTCACCATGTTGGGTAAGCTGGTCTCGACCTCCTGACCTTGTGATCCACCCACCTCAGCCTCCCAAAGTGCTGGGATTACAGATGTGAGCCACCGTGCCCAACCTTCTTTGAGTTTTAACAGAAGCTTTACTGTGTAGGCCTGATTGATTGGATTATTGGCCATTGGTGATTAACTCAACCTTCAGCCCCTCTCCTCTCCCAGAAGTTGGGTGGATAGAGCTAAAAATTCCAACTCTCTAACCTCACCTTGGGCTTTCTGGTGACTAACCTCCATCCTGAAGTTACCTAGGGGTTGCCAGCCATCAGTCATCTCATTTGCATGCAAAAGACACTCTTATTACTCCAGAGGTTCCAAGGATTTTTGGAGATATATATCAGAAAATGGAGACAAAGCCAAACATGTATTTCACAATATCAAACCCTGCCGCTCCCAGCTTGGAAACATTAGTTAGTGCTTTTGTTCTAGGGTTGGAAGAAATGGTCTTTTTCTTTTATTCCTATAAGGAGCTTTTCCTTTGCATATGGAGATGCACAGATTGGTCCAAAATCAATCCTATCATGACTGCCACTATATAGTACATACATATCCAAACATTTGAGAAATTTGCTATTGAGCATCTGTGGCTTCCAGTAAATACAGATCTGTCCCTACTTTGCATTTTTATCATCGCACCAACAGAGAATTTGGAACGTTTGGGAGGTTTGGATAGTAGGTGCTTGGGCGGAGTTCCCTATCTCGAACCTGAAGTTACTCCTTCTAATTTGCCTTTTAAAAATCTACTCCTTTAAACCAATTTAAATTTTAACTAAACAAGTATCAGGGGAACCAGCCCCCAATATTTCAATGTAGGTACTTTCTATTTTCCCTAAGTGTCAGCCAGTCTGAGAAATAAAGAGAAAGAGTACAAAGAGAGAAATTTTACAGCTGGGCCTCTGGGGGTGTCATTACATATTGGTAGGACCATGATGGTGACTCTGAGCCACAAAACCAGCAAGTTTTTATTAGGAGTTTTAAAAGGGGAGGGGGTGTACGAACAGGGAGTAGGTCACGAGGATCACATGCTTCAAAGGGCAATACAGATCACAAGGCAAAGGCAAAATTAGAATTACTGATGAAGGTCTACGTCCTGCTGTGCACGCATTGTCTTGATAAACATCTTAATAGGAAAGAGGGTTCAAGAGCAGGGAACCGGGGACTAGAATTTACCAGGCTGGAATTTCCCAATCCTAGTAAGCCTGAGGGTACTGCAGGAGCCCAGGGCATATTTCAGTCCTTATCTCAATCGCATAAGACAGACACTTCCAGAGCGGCCATCTATAGACCTACCCCCAGGAATGCATTCTTTCCTCAGGGTTATTCCTTGCTGGGGAAAGAATTCAACGATATTTCTTCTACTCACACATCTGTCTACAAGCTTTCTGCAAGAAGAGAAATATGGCTGTATTCTGCCTGACCCCGCAGGCAGTCAGACCTTATGGTTATCTTCCCTTGTTCCCTGAAAATTGCTGTTATTCTGTTCTTTTTCAGGGTGCACTGATTTCATATTGTTCAAATACATATGTTTTACAATCAGATTTCATATTGTTCAAACACGCATGTTCTACGACCAATTTGTATAATAGTTGTCCTGAGGTGATTGTCCTGAGGTGACGTACATTCTCAGCTTATGAAGACAACAGGATTAAGAGATTAAAGACAAGCATAAGAAATTAGTTTCACAATTTATGTTCAGAGATTGCAGTAAAGAGAGGCGTAAGAAATTATAAAAGTATTAATTTTGGGAACTGATAAATGTCCATAAAATCTTCACAATTTATGTTCTTCTGCCTTGGCTCCAGCCAGTCCTTCTGTTCAGGGTCCCTGACTTCCCGCAACAAACAAGATGATTAGAAATAAATAACTGATACAGATTTAGATGCATATTAGGTGATATTTAAATAATTGTTTTTTTTTCTAAATTAGCATTTTGTACTCATACATTTCTGGTTTTTAAAAGAGGTACTTTTCTAGCTGTGGAAGACCACTAGTTGTCTCATAATATCTGTAGTCCCTTTTCCCCACAGTAATAAGATTTTAGCTGAGCACATGGCCTTGTAGAATAAAGACCACTTTTCCCAGACTCCTTTGCAGCTGGGTATGGCTATGTGACTAAATTCTGGCCAATGGAATATAAATTACACAGAAGTTATATATGAAAAATTTTAGAAAAACTTTTTAAACAAACAATGTTTAGGTCGTCTATTGCTGTTTAACCAACCATCCCAAAATTTAGTAACATAAAATGACAGTATTCATTTTCTTATCTCTTGTGGTTTCTGTGAGTCAGAAATATGAGAAGATGTTCTGATTGTGGGTATTTTGTGGAATTACAGTCAGACAGTGGTTGCAGTTGCAGCCAGCGTTTAGGGCTGGCTGGGTAACTCTCTTCCTTCATGTGGTCTTGAGACTTCTCCAGGTCTTCTCTCCATATGGGCTCTTGGACTTCCTCACAGCATGGCCACCTTGGGGCAATTAAACTGCTCTAGTGGCTGAAGGCAATAAGAATGAATATTTCAGTGAGGAAAGCAGAAGTAAAATTTTATTTTATGACTTAGCTTGGAACTCACATAGTGTCAATCCTAATATAGCCTATTAATCAGAACAGTCATAAAATCTGCCTAGTTTTAAAGACTGGGGGCAAAGACCCTACCTTTCAATAGAAGATATGTCAAAATCATTTTGTAAGAACATCACTATAATCATCACTGGAAAATACCACCTCCCATAGATGATGACCATGTGTTTCACTTTCATCTTTATTCTTTATTTTTCCTATCCTACTGCCTCAACACAGATGTTACCATCTTTGATCATGTTCAAGACCACACAGAAGAGAGGAACAAAATAGAAGTTACCTTGGTAGCTACCATCATGCCTTATTAGCCCTGAACCATCCGCCTGAAATTTTATGTGAGAGAGAAATAAACTTCTCTGCTTTTAAAGCCATGGTTATTTATTTGTCATTTGAAGCTGAAACTAATCACAACTAATATATCAGGCTCGTCTCCTGGGTCATCAACTGGTACGCTGGCACTGTGGTCCAACATAGAAGCAGTCACAGGGCATTGGTCACATAGCACTATGTGTTGTTTTGAAACACACTGAGCATTTTTACTGTTCCCTCTCCTTAGACACATGGATCTCCAAGCTTTCAATTCTTGGGCTCCCAATCTTCACCAAAAGTTGGCTTATTCCCTTTATTTAAGTCCCACAATAAATGCCATTCTTTAGGAAGTAGTCTTTGACACCCTGAGACAACATTAATTAAGCATGTTGGAACATCATCTGGCATGTTGCCACAACCTGTTTCTGGAGTCTGTACTTAATGAACTCATCCTGTTCTGTATGATAGCTGTTATCATGTCTCTAAAACTCCTGCTTTATTATAAATTTCTTGAGGGTAAGGAGCATTTTACACTTATCTTTACAATCATCCTGCTTCGCTGTTTTCTAGTGCATTTATCTCAGAGTCTTGGTGTTCAATATGTTTAAACATTTTTGTTCTATGAATCTCTATTAAACTTCCTCTATGAAGAGTTTTTTTATTCATAATTTTGTATTCTTTTTTTCCTAAAGAGCTCCCTACTCCATACCAAATTGTATAAGTTCCAGGTCTCCAAATATCAGTATCCACTTCTTCCAGGAGGATACGAAGTTGGAAATGCTCCCTAAGGAGCAAGTAGACTTTGATAGAAGGAGATGGGCATGAACGTATTGCATACAGATGGAACAAGACAAGCAGTTTGAGACTAAAATATGTGGAACATTTTAGAAAATGGTGAGCACATATGTTTTCTGAAGGGTGAAGCATCAGTGGGAAATAAAACTGAAGGAGGAGAAGTTGGAACTACATTCTTAAGGGCTTCAAAAACCTGCATAAGGAGTGTGGGTATTTTTTTGGAAACAGTGATTTGTATTTGAAGTTTTGAAGGGAGACAATGATATGATCAGATATGTATCCGGAATTGGACTCAGACCGTACGGTATAGAATAAATTGGAAGAGACGAGGTTAGCAGTTAGTGGCAGCTAATGAGAGCAGAGGGAAGGGATGGACTGATGATGAGAAAGCTAGTTAGGAAGATTTTAAAATAGTTTACAGGAGACCTAATATGGTCCTGAATTAGAGTGGTAGTCCGTTATGATGACAATGGAGAGAGACTAAGAAGAAACACACATCTAAAGAAGAATTTACAAGAAGTGAGTAGTAAGATGTGGCTTCAAAAAGGAAGGACAGACAATGGTAAGAACAGAGGTTAGAGTCAACACGCCTTCAATGTCTCACAAGTATTTTGCATTGGTATTTTCCAGACAATTTTTTAGGGAAGCCATGACAGGAAGGCAAGTTCTTTTTTTTTTTTTTTTTTTTTTTGAGACGGAGTCTCACTCTGTCACCCAGGCTGGAGTGCAGTGGCGCGATCTCTGCTCACTGCAAGCTCCGCCTCCTGGGTTTATGCCATTCTCCTGCTTCAGCCTCCCAAGCAGCTGGGACTACAGGCGCCCACCACCACGCCTGGCTAATTTTTTGTATTTTTAGTAGAGACGGGGTTTCACCGTGTTAGCCAGAATGGTCTCGATCTCCTGACCTCGTGATCCACCTGCCTCGGCCTCCCAAAGTGCCAGGAGACAAGTTATTTTTGATGTTTGTTTTTGTTTTTGTTTCTGGCAGGGTCTTACTCTGTCACCCACGCTGGAGTGCAGTGGTGCAATCATGGGTCACTGCAGCCTCTATCTCCCTGGCTCAAGTGATCCTTCCACCTCAGCCTCCCAAGTAGCTAGGACTTACAGGTGCATGCCAACATGCCCAACTAAATTTTAAAACTTATTTTTTGTGTGTATGGAGACGGAGACTCACTGTGTTTGCCAGGCTGGTCTCAAACTCTTGAGCTCAGATGATCCTCTCACTTTGGCCACACAAAGTGTTGGGATTATAGGCGTGAGTCACAGCTCCTGGTCAGAAGGCACAGTTTTTGTTGTTGAGGAAAGTCTTTTTACAACAAAGCCTTTTGCAAGGAACCAGACTCGCAAACATGCTATTGACAGACAATAAGATAATTGCTGTAATAAGCAAGCAAACAACAACAAACCACAAGGAGCTTGTCTCGTTTCAGAATTATTTAGTTGTGGGAACCTATGTTGTAGGTTCTGGGACGATGGTGTATGTTTTTTGCATCAATCTCCTCTGAAGTTGTAAAAAGTGTGCAGAAAGGTCCAGCCTTTTTTTTTTTTTTTTTTTTTTGAGATGGAGTTTTGCTCTTGTCACCCAGGCTGAAGTGCAGTGGCACGATCTCGGCTCACTGCGAGCTCCACCTCCGGGGTTCAAGCAATTCTCCTGCCTCAGCCTCCTGAGTAGCTCGGATTATAGGCATGGGCCACCACGCCCAGCTAATTTTTTGTATGTTTAGTAGAGATGGGGTTTCGCCATGTGGGGCAGGCTTGTCTTGAGCTCCTGACTTCAGGTGATCCGCCCACCTCGGCCTCCCAAAGTGCTGGGATTACAGGCGTAAGCCACAGCACCTGGCCCGGCCTCTTAAAGAAGAAAATGAGGATTAGGGTCTGAAGGAACAGCTCTAGACAGACATGGAATCTAAGGACTAGAGGAGATTGGGAAGTTTTCTCCTGTGCTCATTGCTCATTGTGGGAATCTTTTCTGACTAGAGTTTATCTTGCCTCTCCCTGGTTCTAAGAACACAGTTTTTCTGCTGAACTAGTTCTCTTGTTAAGAACCCAAGGCTGACATCTGTTTCCCTGTGACTCCTGCTTTCAAATGCGGCTATGCCAATAGTTTATTATTATTATTTTCCTCTAAGGCATGGCATTGGTTCACCAATTTATCAGAAAGTTTTTATGGCAAGGAACTGCAGAGCTGAGGTAAACAGGAGAGAGCAGTGATTTCCCTTAAGCAAGCAAAGCAGTTGGTGATATAAACAGGTCAAAAGCTGAGTTGAGGCAAAATATACCTGAGAAAGGTAGGCTTGATCTTACCTTACCTTTAATGCAGTGGGAAGGGAGAAAAACCCCTGAAACTCTCCATATTTATGTTGTTAGCATTCAGAGAAAGCATCCACCTGCCACATATTTACTGTGCAGCTTTGGGCAAATCATTTCACTCTTCTGGGCTTTTATCTTCACACCTAACCCACCATCCCTACTGACATGCTACACCTGCTTTCCAGCCTTAAAAACTGATGTGCATAACATCTGAGGAAACTTTGGGAGAAAAAATTCCAACGTGTCCACAGTTGGGGTTTAGCTGACCGAAGCATGTCTTCCAGAAGGGAGGGTGGTGAAGTGGGGTCTTGCAATAGGAGCAACATCACAAGAGCAGACTCTAGAGTTTCTTAGTCTAATCTAATATTTAAGAAGAAGGTGTTTGGTAGAATGGGCCCGACTCTATGTAAAAGCTTGGGGTTTGGAAAGGAGCAGTGGTCCCGGGTATGGTGTGGAACAGACTCAAATCCAGCTCTGTCTGATCCCCTTGGAGCTTGGGGAAATGATAGGTGTGGCTATATGTGTTTCCTGTGGCTGCTGTAATAAATTGCCACAAACGAGTAGCTTAAAACAAGGCAAATGTATTCTCTTGCAGTTCTGGGGGACAGAAATCTGAAATCGAGGTGTCAGCAAGGCCACACTCTTTCCAATCTTACCCTATAGGGTAGAATTATTCCTTGTGTCTTCTTGCTCCTGGTGGCTCCAGGCATTCCTTGGCTTGTGGTTGTGTCCCTTCACTCTGTGTCTGACTTCACGTGGCCTTCGTCTCTGTGTCTGTGTCTTCTCTTCTGTCTCTTGTAAGTATCCTTATCTTTGGATTTAGGATCTACCTGGATAATCCAGGATGCTCTTATCTGAAGATCCTCAACTTACTTATATCTGCACAGATCCTTTTGTTTTCTTCCTAAATAAAGTTGCATTCACAGGTTCCTGGAGTTAAAATGTGGACATGTCTTTTGTGGGCCACCATTCAGCCCACTGCTCTTGGTAAACACCACTGTCTTAACAACCAGGGACCTAAGCAGCTCTGCGGTGAGACCCTCTAAAAAGATGGAAGGCAGAGGAGAGAAATAAGAGAAGAGGGGAGTTCCAGCATCCCAGGGCAGCAAGGACTGTTGTCATGTGACTCTTTAGGAATGAGTAGCCATGGAGAGAATGGCAGCCTAGAAGGTCCAAGTGCCAGCCGAGTGCATGCAGGTGGGTCATGGCTCAAGGCAGTGCATTCCAAACTCATGTTGGTGACTCAGGAGTGGATCACACACTTAATGACCAAGTTACAACCTGCATTAAACAGAAAAATAAACAAAATAGAAAATAATTGGAATAGCATAGTTTATTGTAAGAAATAAAGGTAAATATTGTTTTGAGAAATGTATGTGTGGGCATGCATGAGTGCACTGGGTCATGATGTAAAATGTCTTTCCCACATAAGTTCCCATCAAAAAGTTTGAAAGCCACCGGTGTATGAGACTCCACCCTGGCACTTTACAGCAGCATGAAGAGGGCTGTGGATCAGGGAATCGTCCTCAGTTCTGGGCATAACATTGGGATTGACCTGGGACCAAGGGAGCTCTGGCCAGGCACAGAAGCAATATCCTGGACAGCCACAAGAGGGAGCGCTCAACTCATGCAAAACCTCCTTTGGAGCTCTCCCCGCCTCATGGCCAGAAGGTGACCTTGCAAAGAAAGTGAGATATGGGTGAAAAAAAAAAAAGGGATTAGGCCAGTAAACAGTGAGATCAGTTAAAAATGTGACATCGATTGTAAGTACAGGTTTGTGAGGCTGGGAAGCTTTCGGATTACATGCAAAAGGAGGGTTTGTATTAAATCTGCAGTTTTCGAACATTGTTTCCCCTCGAAACCCTTTGTTTCTGTGAGATTTTATGCAGAATCCTAATCAATGAAATAATATCCCTGTGACAGGTGTCCTCCCCATGTTGACAGTCTCCAAGGACTGTGTGCAGAGAACTCTAGACCTAATTAGAGGAGCTATAATGAATACACTGGATTAGAAGGTATCTGTAGTCCCTGTTAGTGCTGATTCTTTGATTTTATGACTCAGAACAAAAATCTATAAAAGCTACCAAATCTTGACTTCTTTTTGAAGCCAAGTCTCTGAATGCCCAGCCCAGACACTGGCACAAAGTGTTTAATAATTGAATGTTTGAAGGAAGAGTTTATTTTGCATGCTTCTCTGCAACTGCAGCACCAATAACATAGTGCATAGTGAGCACCCTTTTTAATAGTGAACACTCTTAGAAAGTTGGTGGAGTAAATAAAAGAATGAATGAAATCCTGCCCTAAAATTTTAGATGGCGCCTTCTATCAGTCAAGCCAGCAGAGGGCAGGAGAACTCAGCTTAACAACAGCATTCTCTCTGGTGGGCGGAAGCATCCCAGAAGCATGCGATAAAGGACAGGTCTGGTTGTTTTGTAAGATTAGGAAATGCACAGCCAGAAGGATAAAGACACAAAGCATGAAGGTCCAACCTGGGGATCTCCAAATCTCTGCACACGAACCCCCAGAGCTTTCTCTGTAGATTAATACCCTTATCAGGGAATGGGATTTGGCTGACTGCCGGATACATAGAGAACAGGACAAGAATTGCCAATCTTGCAAGAGTATTTCAACCACTTGGTCAGAGAGATTCAAGGAACCTCACAGTGTACTTGTGTCAAGGAGAGAAGATAGAATTAAAAATCAGAGGTTCGGCTGGGCGCTGTGGCTCACAGCAATTTGGGAGACCGAGGCGTGTGGATCACAAGGTCAAGAGATTGAGACCATCCTGGTGAATGTGGTGAAATCCCGTCTCTACTAAAAATACAAAAATTAGCTGGGCGTGATGGCGCTCCCCTGTAGTCCCAGCTACTTGGGAGGCTGAGGCAGGAGAATCGCTTGAACCCTGGAGGCAGAGGTTGCAGTGAGCCAAGATTACACCACTGCACTCCAGCCTGGGTGACAGAGCAAGACTCCATCTCAAAAACAAAAACAAAAACAAAACAAAAACAAAAACAAACAAACAAAAAACAGAGGTTCTGACTCTGAAACTAGTTATGTGGCCTCGAGAGGGCCCTTTTCCTTCTCTTGGCTTTGGTTTTTCCATATGTAAACTGAGGGGTGGGACTAGATCATTTTTTAGTTTCTGGTCAGTAGGTGGATCCATTTCTGGCTTCAGTCCTGCCCCTGCCCTCAACTCTAGGGGTAATAACAGGAAAGTCAATGAAGCAGGTGCTTTAACCTCAACAAGGCAAAGCCAACCTCATCGCCCTTGCTGTTCTCAAGAAGGAAAAGGGGAGTAGTGGTTGAGTAAGAAGAGACAAATAGGAGCCAGAAAAAAAAAAAAAAGAAAAATGAGACAGAGGATTGACAGGGACAAGAGGAAAGCAAAAAAAAAGGAAGAAAATAGAGACAAATATAAGAGAAAGATGACAGGGAGAGGGAAGAAGGAACAGAGCTGAGTGAGATAAGAGAGGAATGACAGTGGACAGTGGTTTATGACCTAATAGTTTTCTAGGACGGTAAAAATCCAGTTTCAGACTAGAATTAAGCTTTTAAAAGATACAGATATCTGAGCCCAGCCCAGACCTGTGAATCAGAATCACTTCAGTTGGGATCCAAGCATCTGTGGTTTATAAATGTTTCTCAGGCAATCCTGGGGTGAAGCCAAGGTTAGGAACCACCTGTCTAGAGTAATACTCATAAATTTGAGTGTGAGAAAATTGGAACTGTTGCAGAGATACTTTCATTCCATGGGTGATTTTTGTGTTTATGTGGCTTCTATCATACTTTTTCAAAATAGAGGTTTCTGGATCATCTTAAAAGGAAACTTTGCCATGTATTTTCCACTGTTCCAGGGGAAGGGGCCATTGATTTCTGGCCTCATTTCCCAGACCCTGCACTGACCAAGATAGCACCACCCCTGTTGACTGCCCTGGGAAGGCTCATTGGAAAACCTCAGTTTTAATGCCTGGTTTTAGGAAGGAAAATAGGTCAAGTAAAGTGGGAGATATTCTCTGGGTGGCATAGTGGGGTGGAACACTGTTCGATTTTATTTAATTGGGAAGCCCTGAGCAGAAATCAGAGCAACAAGTGAGAAGCTTCTGGAGAGTCCAAAGGACCCACAAAGAGAAAGGGAAGCTGAGAGAATTAGGAACAAAACTTCCTTACATACCTTACCTTTCCTCTGAGAAAGGAAACGCTGGAGCGAAAATGAGGGCTCAGACATCAGCCCAGCTGCACACTAGCTTTGTAACTTAGGCCTCCATTTCCTTGCTTGATTGGGGTCATTATGTTATTAACACACTTAAGCAGTTGTGAAATAGTACACAGAAGTGAGTTAGCACTGTTGTTCACTTCTATGGCACCAGGAACATGTGCCTATTTCAGTGGTAAATAGATCTTTCCTCCCTTGGCCTTCCAATCAATATGAAAACTCTTACACTTTCAGTGACTATGTTAGCATACTCACATGACAAATTCAGTTAGTTCTTAATATATAGAAACATTTACACTGAGCTTTTATTCTTTCTGAAGCTCAGAGATGACTAAGGGATCAGTAGATATGTGTTCCTGAAAGTATCAGCTACCTAGGGTTGGGGGTTATGGGTGTTTGTGTGTGTCAAGTAATACAGACCTCAGTTAGCTGCCTTTCATTAGGCTTGTCCTACTCACAGAATCCACAGAGACCCACAAATAAAGACAGATAAATTTGTCTTCAACTCAACCATCATTTTTCAACAAATACTCTGTGCTTAACATTTTCATAATCACTGAGGAGGAAGTAAAGATAGCTGAGACAAGGGTTCTTCCCTCAGTGAGCATCGAGACTTTTATTTTTATTTTTTATTTTTTGAGATGGAGTTTTTGCTCTGTTGCCTGGGCTGGAGTGCAGTGGCATGATCTCAACTCACTGCAGCCTCTGGGTTCAAGTGATACTCCTGCCTCAGCCTCCCAAGTAGCTGGGATTATAGGCACCTTCCACCATGCCTTGCTAATTTTTGTGTATTTTAAAAATTTTTAGTAGAGACGAGTTTCACCATGTTGGCCAGGCTAGTCTCGAACTCCTGACCTCAAGTGATCCACCCGCCTCAGCCTCCCAAGAGCCTTGACACTTTTAGATGAGACATACAGAGTCCCAAGGAACAGAAATATGTCAGGGTCTCTACTAGGGGCACAAAAGCCACACTTTTGGACACAGGAGTGGGCCCCGTTGATTCTAAGTGAGAAGCCCTCAGAAACATCTTAGAATAGGCTACATTATCTTATTAGTTAGAGACAGGTTAAAGATATTCCAGGAGAGGAAACGGCATGTGCAAATGGAGGTGGGAGGGTACAGGGAAGAGTGAGTGGTTAGAGGGATTAGGAGGGCTGGCAGACAAGGAACCATGAAGAGGGAGACTCATAGGAAAGTCACAAAGGAAACACAACTGTCAGACTGCTGTGTGCGCATTTGAACACGTTCGCACTGGGGACTCATTTACAGCTTTTGAGCTAGAAAGTGACAGGATAGGAGACTGCTGCAAGAAATGAACCTGAGATGTCACCACCCATCCCTTTCCAAGGAACAGGTAACCTTACAGGTCTCTTGCCCTTTATTACCTAAAGCAATCACTTCAGCCTAGGCTTTGTGGAAGTTGGTGAAAGTCAATTTGGCAGGGAAGTCTGGCTCTTCTACAATCAGCAGTTCCAGGGGCTTGAGCTGGGAATTTTCCAGCTGAATGGAAGCCCTTGGAGGGTTGCAAGTTTTAATTCTTGTGCTCCATGACGGTGGGGTTGCTTAGAAGAAAAGGTCCCTATGTGATTTTCATCCAAGCACCCTTGAAGAATCTATATGCTCATAGCCTCCCGCCATCCCCAACGGCTCATCTCGTGCAATCTGCCCTCTGCTGCATGGTTTCTTGCTCCAAATTGATCTCCTTCTCCCAGCTTACTTAAATCAAACCTTCCACTAGCCAGCTATAAATCTAGAAGACAATTCAACAAATGAATCCATATTAAAATGTTAATAGTTACTAAGTTTTAATGTGTTATATCTCCAAGGTAAGTATATGTAAGGAAGAAGAGACTATTTTCTAATGGAGGGATTTCCCCACCCATCTGCTGCATTTCTGTGAGATCTTCCTAGACCTTTAAATCACACCCTATACATTCCCAGTGAGAAAGGCCTGCATGCTTCTTGGGTCAGAGCCTCAGCAGGGTCTCCAGCTCCCAAAGTGATTGACTGGTTCATTGGAATCACCTTCGGCTTAGGACTGGTTGCCTCCATCTGAGCAGCAATAATAAAACCTGTGACATTTTACGGACTGCTAAGCATTTTCACTTACATTGTCTTACTTGGTTCTCAAATCTTGTTTCAGAAAAACAGAGGAGAATCAGGTCCATTTTAAGCAGATACAAACTGAGTACTTAAGCCCGGGGCCTCAGACTCCCAGTCCATGGCTGTTTTTGCTGTTCCATGTTGTTCTCCCCACTGACATTTTTCCTCACTTTCTTCTGTCTGGAAAATCAATGGTTTTCTATTTGCAAAATGTCCAGGAGAAGTTTTTAGCATAAACCCACTTCCTGACCTCTCTAGAATTTGTCAAACTTGAAGGCATTTGAGAGAGCATCTGGATGACTCTCTAGGCATTGTTGATGGTTCTTCTCATTTCCTTAACTCGATATCCAAATAAACCATCATTGTATCCTGCTTACTATACTTCAAAATGAACTTTAAGTCTAACCAGTCCTCACCTTCTTCATGGCTACCACCTTAGCCCCAAACATCATCTTATGTCACCAGAACTAGGTCTAGAGCACAAGATCCCCAGTAAAAAAACACAAAACACCTCCCTGCTCCCAGCCTTTGGAACTTGGGAATTGAGATGGGCCCTGAGGGTTGGGAGCAAAGGGCTTGTATTGGGAAGTTTCAAAGTCCCTTTATGCAAATCCACACAGTTGGCCATGAGACATTTCAAAGAAAATCTGTGTTCCTTTTGCCCTGGCTCCTCTTCTCTCTTAAACACTTCTTAGACTCTTAGCTTATCTCCTTTCTTGAACTCTTGCCCTCCTACAATTAATTCCCCACTAAGCAGAGGGCTTTTTTTAAAAGAATTTTTTAAAAGAACCAAATCAGGTCAGTTTTCTTGCTCAAAAATGGTTTCCCTGCCACAGCCTTCAAGGCTTCCTGTGATCTGCTCCTGGTCTGCCTTGCTGACCTCATCTCCTAACCCTCTCTACTTTAACCACTCTGTTCAAGTCCTTGCCTTGTTGCTGCTCTTTGCATCTACCAAGCATACTTCTGCCTCAGGTCTTTGCATTGATCGTCCTTCCACCTGAGTTGGAGATATCTTTATTCAGATATTTGCATGGCTAGCTCCCTTGCCTCAGAGAGCTCTGTTCAAAGAGCTCCTCCTCAGAAGTATCTTCCGCCTACCATTATGCTCTATACTTTGCTTTAACCCTAATACATGTTGATTAACATGTTTATTCTTTGTCTTTCTCATGAGGACTCTGTCTATCCAGTTCACTGCTATATCATTGGCATCTGTCTAGCAAATTTTCTCTGGAATTAGCTGTAGAAAGAGGTTGAGTGAATCAATTTTAAGGATGGAGAAATTGAGGTCCAGAGTGAGAAAGGCAGGTCAGCAGCAGAAGCAAGAGTCAAGAATACATCTTCTAGTAGGCCTGGGAAATGTCCTCTGCACTCAGCCTCCTTTCTGATATTACGTAAAAACCAGGTTCTTTTCCAATATAAAATTCTCATCTTGAGAGAATAATAACATCTTAACATAATAGTATATTCTACTTTGCCTTTTTATTTCCTCAAATTTATACTCATTAATTATCAGAGCTGGAGGGAACCACAAAGATGACCTGCCAAGTTTTATTTTGCAAATAAAGAACCAAGGCCCAGAGAAGATGTCCCACAGTTGGTTGTGGCAGAATCAGGCTAGAGCCCAGGTCTCTTGACTCCCAGTACAGACACTTTCTCCTTCCTTGCATTGCTTAACATTGAATGTCTATGTCTATTCACAGATTATGTTGCTTTTTATTAAAATAAGTTTCTACTCCTTATATTGGCAGGTAGTCACTCCAAAATGTACGTTCCACAAGGGAGGTGGGAAATCATATCCTGTCCAGAAAAAGCTGCACATGAAAGAGGTGAGGCCTGGATGCCTTCTAGAGGTGCATGTATCCCGGCTGCAGACTGCTCGGCCAGGAATCTCTGGCATCTCTGAGTCAGGGAATCATGAAGCTTTCTCAAGTGAAGTAACATTCTCCCTGTGACCATGCCACTTCCTGCCTGTGTGCCCTCTTGTAAGGCACTGAAGGTCTCAGGACCTCAGTTTCCTCCTCTGTGAGGTGGGAATAGCATGCCCTGAAGTGTTGGATGAGAAAGTGTTTTGTGAGCAACAGAGGACTGGGTAAGGATTCCTAGTGAGTTTGGTTGGTCTGGGCAATAGCGTCCCCAATACAACCACAAAACACTTTACCCTTCCAGCTTTGAGACTTGGGAGAGATGCCCTGGGGGTTGATTACAGAAGGCTCAGGTTGGGAAAGTTTGAAGTGCTTCATGCTAAACCAACCTTTAAGCTATAACTGGCCATGGAGGGCTTAAGGGAGAATTTATGTCCCTTTTTGTCCTGGCTTCTCTGATAAGTGGTTCTCAGACTCATAACTCTCCAGGAGTTATAAAACAACAAAAGCAAAACCCTTAAGTCATCTCATTTACAGCTTCAGCTCTTCAGCAGGGTATGAGGGAAGCAACTGTTTACTATTCATAAGTAGATACTTAAACAGATAGACATCATGAGGTTTTTTGTTTGTTTGTTTTTGGTGAGAAGCAGTTGAGGAGGGAAGAAGAAAGAAAAGAGGAGAGAAAAGAGAGGGAGAGATGTCTTGAGGCAGAGACTGGGATAGGCACTGGCTAAGCAGGGTGAGAAGGCAGGGAAAGAGCCGGGCTGACCCAAACCAAAGTCAGAAAATGATTGAGAAGAGCAAGAAAAACAAAGGAATGAGGATACAGAGTCAAGAGAGGAGACAAAAGAAGGATTGAGTGAGGAAAATTCTGAAACATAAATTTGCAGAAAGGTTAAGGAAAAGGAGGAATAAGAAGGAGGAGAAAGTGTAGAGGGAGAGCACAAGGATGTGGAAGGAGGGGAGCAAGCGTCTGGGGAAGGAGACAGAAGAGATCCTAGAGCACAGGGGAAGATGGGGAGCTGCTATTTGTTCTTCGGCTGGCTCCTGCTTTGGAAAAATCCTCGTTTCCTACTCAGTGGGTATGCCAAAGACCACATCCTGGGTACAGGAGATATGAGATCATTTGGAGGTACCTAGAGACAGTCACAGTGATAGAACTAAACTCTGAGTCCTTAGAGGCCAGAGAGAGTTGCAAGATTTAGAGAATATAACATGTATTTCCTAGGACTGGGTTCCACAGCTCCAGATTCATTGATCTCTTAGACTACTCCAACACATGTGAATGACTTTTTAATGCCCCACTTTGTGCTTAGTCTTGGCTGGCCTTGTCAAGACCTGGAAACTTTAACACTTCTTGCTGTGCATTTCCGCTTTGCCTTGGATTACAAGCACAAAAAGAAATAGTGACAATTATTCAAGCCATTCAGGATACTTCCCAAACCCTTCTGCCTCTCAACACTGTGGTTCGGGTCTAAGTACTGAGAATATTTTAATACCTAATATGAGCTTCGCATGGTTTCCAGAGATGCAGCATATCTTTTTAGCTAATATTGGCTTTTTTGAAGCTCATAAGATAACAGCTCTTAAAGATCCTGTAGGGATCATCTCGTCCATGCTAGGAAATTAGCTGGTCCTTCCTCAGTAAGGAACTATTTAGATAAAAGCAGTCAGAACTCTGGCCTGAACAGTAAACATTTAACCAGAGTTCAATCAGAATTCAAGGACAGGTTTTCTTAAACTTTCTTTGTTTCTAGGAGATCAGGCAGAGCTGAATTTAACCAAGAATCTTTTGATCCTTTCCACATATAGATATACAATAGTGGTCACATATGTTCTGGGAGTTCCTAGACCTTATATGTCTAAACTGGGGCTTCCTGACATAAAACTATGCTTACCGGCCAGGAATCTGTTAGAAAACTCAGAGCTCAGTAGAAGGAACACTGGCTTTGGAATGTGGAGGTCTGGTTTTGCTCAAAGTGTGCAGTATGTGAAGGAGAACAATTTACTGACCATTACTCTGCCTTACTGATTCAAATTCTGAGGTTTATTGAATAATTTCTTAGATTGCCTTCCAGCTCTAAATTTCTCAGCACCAAAATGAAGTCCATTTCAATCTCTCTCTCTCTCTTTCCCTCCCGTACATATACACACACTCATACATATATATGGTCACAATAGAAAGGCAGGTAGATCAGAAGTCTCAGTTGCTGAGAAAGAGGGAGGGAGGGTGAGCCAGAGGTACCTTCTCCCCCATTGTAGAGAAAAGTGAAGTTCTTTTAGAGCCCCGTTACATCTTCAAGGCTTTTTATGAGATAATGGAGGAAATAAAGAGGGCTCAGTCCTTCTACTGTCCATATTTCATTCTCAAATCTGTTATTAGAGGAATGATTCTGATCTCCACCTACCATACACATGCCCTGTTGCTTGTTGGGCCTTCCTAAAATGTTAGAGTATGATGACAGATGGAGTTGTCTGGGTACATTTGTGTGCATTTAAGGGTGATAGTGTATTTGCTCTTTAAGAGCTGAGTGTTTGAGCCTCTGTTTGTGTGTAATTGAGTGTGCATGTGTGGGAGTGAAATTGTGGAATGTGTATGCTCATAGCACTGAGTGAAAATAAAAGATTGTATAAATCGTGGGGCATGTGGAATTGTGTGTGCCTGTGCGTGTGCAGTATTTTTTTTTTTTTAAGTAAGCCACTTTAGATCTTGTCACCTCCCCTGTCTTCTGTGATTGATTTTGCGAGGCTAATGGTGCGTAAAAGGGCTGGTGAGATCTGGGGGCGCCTCCTAGCCTGACGTCAGAGAGAGAGTTTAAAACAGAGGGAGACGGTTGAGAGCACACAAGCCGCTTTAGGAGCGAGGTTCGGAGCCATCGCTGCTGCCTGCTGATCCGCGCCTAGAGTTTGACCAGCCACTCTCCAGCTCGGCTTTCGCGGCGCCGAGATGCTGTCCTGCCGCCTCCAGTGCGCGCTGGCTGCGCTGTCCATCGTCCTGGCCCTGGGCTGTGTCACCGGCGCTCCCTCGGACCCCAGACTCCGTCAGTTTCTGCAGAAGTCCCTGGCTGCTGCCGCGGGGAAGCAGGTAAGGAGACTCCCTCGACGTCTCCCGGATTCTCCAGCCCTCCCTAAGCCTTGCTCCTGCCCCATTGGTTTGGACGTAAGGGATGCTCAGTCCTTCTAAAGAGTTTTGGTGCTTTTCTGGGTCCCTCAGCTCCCGAAGCTCTTGAGAAAACTATCAAAGGCTAGAATCCCCTTCTAACTCTTTTTTTCCCCCATGATAAGCGCAGTCGGTCACAGTTCAGGTGAGTTCTTACTTGGCATTCAAGAAAATTACAAAATCTGGGTAGTTGTCTGGGCACGAAGCGACAATGGCGTCTATCCCTGGTGCTGACCCTGGGAAGCGCTGACCCAGGTGCTGAAACGCAGACCTCTGAAGCTGCTACCTCTTAGCGTACCTCACTTCCAAACGTCGGGACTAGGGCAAAGGGGCAATCTAAAGACCGAACGCCGTATGTTTGAGATTGTGAGAAGTCTCGTTCCCCTACAGTTTACTTGGTAAAAATGGTAAAACAATTCTACTTTGTAGCTCGTGATGTGAAAATTGAATTAAACTGTTGGCACACACTTTATCTTACCAGAACGGTCTTTATGTGTGTGTGTGTGTGTGTGTGTGTGTTTGTGCGTGTGTGTGTGTGTGTGTGTGTGTTAAGTCTACAGGGACAGAAAGGTTGCAGAAACATTTGAGCTCTTAAAGCCTTTTTGTGTAACTTGGTAATTATAGCAACTATCCTTATTTTTATATCCTTGATTGATTTTAAATGTGACAAAAAATGCGCAGCTGTAAAAACTGGATTTTGTGTGTGACCAAATCTGTTCTTTAATTTAGGCTTTTCAAATTTTTTCCATTGTCCTCCCCACTTCTCTTTCTCTCTTTTTCTATCCCTTCTGCCCTATACAGGAACTGGCCAAGTACTTCTTGGCAGAGCTGCTGTCTGAACCCAACCAGACGGAGAATGATGCCCTGGAACCTGAAGATCTGTCCCAGGCTGCTGAGCAGGATGAAATGAGGCTTGAGCTGCAGAGATCTGCTAACTCAAACCCGGCTATGGCACCCCGAGAACGCAAAGCTGGCTGCAAGAATTTCTTCTGGAAGACTTTCACATCCTGTTAGCTTTCTTAACTAGTATTGTCCATATCAGACCTCTGATCCCTCGCCCCCACACCCCATCTCTCTTCCCTAATCCTCCAAGTCTTCAGCGAGACCCTTGCATTAGAAACTGAAAACTGTAAATACAAAATAAAATTATGGTGAAATTATGAAAAATGTGAATTTGGTTTCTATTGAGTAAATCTTTTTGTTCAATAATACATAATAAGCTTGAGTGGCGGTTTCAGTAAAGTTATTTGAGATAGGTACTCCAATGTTCACAAACATCTATTTAAAATTCTCGGTGGCAATAAAGTTTACATTTTAAATGATAACTATTATAACATGAGTCATTTTAAACAGAAATAATTTCACATAACTCTATGCATTCAAACTTTAATTCAATGATAATTACTGGGAGAGGCTGACATAAACATTAATTACATATTAAGTACACCTAAATTATATGTTGGACTATTGAAATGAGTGTGTGTGAATAGTTAGGCTGAAAAATCCAACTATCTACCAGGTTGATATGTAAAATACATAACATATGAAAAGATGGAAGGAACAAAGTCATTTGGTGGTTGAGAAAAAATCTGACTTAAATAGCTAAAATGAGGTTCTGAATTTGTTTCTAGTTTGTAAACATTTATCTAGAGAAATACCATTGCTTTTGTGTCTTCTTTGACAATCCTCTCTAATTGAACAGTGCTAAATGACTGTTTTAAAAGCAAGCTTTTAAGATATTTTTTCTCAGGGAGAAATATCACTTTTATTATAAGATTCCTTCTGGAAGTACTATAGGTTGCAAGAAATGCATATTGGCTTACCTCACTGAGTGCTATCTATATTGCAGGTATTGGAGCTCAAAATCATAATTATGAAATAGCTGAAGGAGATATCTCAAGTCTTCTCTTAATTCTATCAATATGGGAGTCAAATAAAAACACAAAAATTATTCTTAAACACTCAGTAAAGGTGATAGTCTTATAACAACATGCTAAATGGGATCACTCAAGACAGAATGTAAACATTGCTAATTTAACTTCCTGAGACCTAAAGAGATATCCTTTGGGGGATGTGTGTTTTAGCTATCAACTGCATTTCTGCATAGCTACTGGAATAAAAACCAAACATAAATATGTATGCTCAATATAAATCCTTGTAGTATAAACTAACTGATAGTATCATATAAACATTTAAGAGGAGCTTAATATTTTATAGAAAATATTTGTGTTAGATAATACACATTTGAATGTGGTTGGCTTAGAGGAAGTTAATTTCTAACAGCTGATCAAACAAAAGAAAAAAAGCCAAGCCACTTTACTAATCTCTGTGAAAACAGAACATCCTTTGATGTTCTGGTATACCTTTTATTTGCAAGACATTTAGGTGTGGGGATTAATGCATGTCCACTTATGGGATCTGTCTGTGCCAAAGGCCTTATGTACACTGGCTACCAAAAAATTCAGTGGAGTAACAGCATCATATTATAATTACAGCACAGATGAGAACACAACTTAATGATTTTCTGGGCTGTGTATGAGTGTCAGGGGATTTCGAGTTTTTAGTACCATCTTTGTTGTCAGTTCTCAATGGTAGTATGAAAATAATTGGCTTGGGAAGCTAAGGTGGGTGCATCACGAGGTCAAGAGATCGAGACCATCCTGGCTAACAGGGTGAAACCCCGTCTCTACTAAAAAAAATACAAAAAAATTAGCCTGGCGTGGTGGCGGGTGCCTGTAGTCCCAGCTACTGGGGAGGCTGAGGCAGGAGAATGGTATGAACCCGGGAGGCGGAGCTTGCAGTGAGCAGAGATTGCACCCCTGCACTCTAGCCTGGGTGACAGAGTGAGACTCCTTCTCAAAAAAAAAAAAAAAAAAAAAAAGAAAAAGAAAAAAAAAGAAAATAATTGGCAAGAATTATGTAGTCATATGCTCACATATATACATATTTTTAATTTAAAGCTTAAATTGAGTAAAACATCTGAACATAATCAACTTTCAGCCTCAGTTTGCCCATTTCTGTAAGCAGAGGGTTGTATTAGAAAAGGCACTCACATCTCTTTCAGCTGTGACTGAGGACTGCCACTTTGTGCTTTGACATTGAAAAGGGTGCTCAAGGATTGCTGATCTTGGGCTGTTTTAATTAATATGTAGAGTATAGCTTTGTTTTGCTTTGTTTTATTTTACATATACAGAGGGTCTTACTTTTTACTTCCTATTTAGTTTATTTGAGTTCCTTTTAAGTCTGATTCACTGAAAGAGTCTAGCATTCTAGCCTGTTTATTATCCATCCAGAGTGAATCATCTATATATTTTCCTTCTTCCATGCCACAACCATGTGCTTCAGCCATCCTGAGCAGCCTGGTATTTCTTTTAATGGAAAAAAATGGGTTAGGTATTCTTTACTCCTGGACCTTACTTTCCCCACCTGAAAATAGGCATACAGCAGAACTAATCCCTTGCATTTATGAGGATTCACTGAGACCATGTATTTAAAGTTCTTAGTACATGCTGAACAGTAAATAAATGTTAGATGTTACAACTGATGTCAACTTTTTTCTCATACATGGGTTGTTTTCCAGCCTCTCTTTCTTTGCCTTTGCTACTTCCTGCTGTTTCCACAGGACAAACCTAATCTAGCCTTGAAGGTCCATATTACATACTTCTTGCCCATAAAATTCTTGCTTTATACCCTCAGGTGGAATATCTGCCTTCTCTGATATGTGTCTTAATTTGTGTCTCTTTCATGTTGCTTACTTATCACTTTGAACCATTCATGATCATTGTATGAATGCATGCAGGAGAGTGAGTGAGTGTTTGTGTGTGAACTTACTTTGAATAGATATCTGTCTGATTCATATGTATGGTCCACTCAGTATCTCATATAGTGTCTTATGTATAATAGTGTCTCAGTGCTCATTGAAAAAGTGAATGAATGATCTATGAACTTACAGTGTCTAGTGAAATAAACCTCTATTTACTAGGAGGCAACATTCTTATTGCTTTAGTTGGCATAGGAAAACGACATTAGTGGCCATTCTATGTGATGCTAGTGTCATGACAGAAATAGCACATGGTTATGATTTTAATAACCACTGAAGCATGTGGTTAGCAGACTCAGTCATTTTGGAAGCTTCAACCCGTTCAATTTTCCTTAACCATGGTACAAAGCCCTCGGTAGGGCTGCTTAACTGTCCACCAACTATGGGGCTCACTGTTATAGAAAATTAGATTCACTAACCCTTTTCTCACATTTGTTTATTTCAAGATCATGTAGATCCATTTTTGGCCCTAATACCTGGCAAATTTTCTTGGCTTTGGCTGAAACTATTCTCAACATACCGACAATTCAGTTTTATAGTGACACAACGTATACCTTTAATTCTAAGTATCCAATATGAAAGGAGGCTCAGAAATGATATTGTCCTCACCACTTATATTACTGCAAGATGACTTGGAGAGACTAAGGTATCTGTCTAAGATAACAGTAAGTTGACACAGAGTTTGAACAAAGCTAGACTCTCTCTCTCCTGTCTCAGGGTTATTTTGATTATTCCACTACACTGCCCCTCAAGGAATCTACGATTCTGGATAACTACTATGTTTTATTAGTCTGATGTGAATACTAATTTTGTTCCTGGATATTACTTACCCTCCACTAAACAATCTGTTTTCTTCTGAAAGGGGACAAGACAATTGGTACAAAATAACTTGTACATTAGGAAGAAGTGGTAAAGGCATTGAATAGGAAGAAAAGAAACTCAAGGCACTGTCTTTCACTAGATTAGACCCAAGAAATAGAGGATGTTTCTGTCCTGGAGTGGAAAAAAAGGGGCTGTCCCAGAAAATAGAAAATTTTTAAAATAAAGAGTAGTGCCTTGAGAGGTAGTCTTCAAATCAGTCATGGTTCACAACCACAAAACTAAGAAGGAAACACTTTGATGATCACACCTCTGACTGTTTAGTAAATGAGAATGAATGCTTTAATTCCAGGGGTTCTGCTTTTTATTATCTAAAATGTGCCTCAATGTCAGGGATGTGCTGGAAACTGGGAAACAAAGTTTATATGTCAAGGACCCTGCTTTCAGGAAGTTGAGTCTAATAGGTAACACACATTCATAAAAAATAACCAAATGCTATAATGGAGGTTTGTACAGAGTGCTAGGAAATGACTCCTGTAGGAGCTAGGAAAAGCTGTCAATGACTCCTCTCTCTCTCTCTGTCTCTCTCACTAAACTATTCTTCTTATTAGTTTTTAATTATGTTTTAGAAGGCTAAGTGGTTTTATTCTGGATGAAATGAATAAGTTATAGGTATAATGATGTAGTATACACTTTGATAACATAATCTACATTAGCTTGAAATGAGTTAATATTTCTCTTTTGCATATGAAGAAGCTGAGAATCAAAGAGTTTAAGTAACTTGCCAAAGATGTCCCCAGCTGCTTAAAGGTAGAGATGAAACCAGGTCATCTGATTTCCAATCCAGTGCTCTTCCTACTGTATGTTAAGGAAAAGAGGAGAGTTAAAGGAAAATTGTAACTTGCTGGGCAAATTAAGAATAGATCAGCTCCAGGCCATCTAACTTAGCTCTTCAATTTATAATCCAAATGGGTATTACTACTCTATTATTGTTAGAGGAGAAAGTGATTTAGGCTCTGGGATTTGGATTTAATTTTGTGACTTTATTAGGGGCATTATTTCCAAGAAATTGTTTGTAACCTTTCTTCTCATATATTCAATGTCATAGCTTTAACTTTACTAAATGAATGAATGGATAAACAAATAAAAAATAAAATCAGTGACCTCTGGTTTTAAGCACCCCTCTTCTCATTCAATTCCTCATACACAGATTTTAGTACAACTCAGGATGCGGGCACATTTAGCTTGAAGCAACTACAAATTGACTGGCCACAGTCTTTGCTGCACAGGCCATGATATCTGCCTCCGTCATGACTGGGTAGTAGCCATGTCTTTCACCCTCTGACCTTGTAGATGTACCTGTAAAAAGTTGTCCTGAGCTGAAGTCTGGAGACCTGAGTATTTCTTTTTTGAAATTTATAAATGAGATTAACTTTTATATAAGTAAGCATTTATGCCATTGGATTTGATATACCTCCCAGGGTCTCATATGAACATTCTAGGTCACGTAAGTAGTAAAGGGTCTCATATAAATATTCTAGGTCATAGAAATTGTCATTTTATTTCTATTAGCTTCACATGTCTTCAGAATATGGTACATTAGGATGATGAAGTTGTTATCCAGATATTAAATAGTACTATTAATATAAATACTATTTCAAGGAAATTTAGACATTTAAGGTAAAGTTCAAATAGTTAAAAAAGATAATGCATTTGTAGTTAATTGCTGCTTAATCCTATCTTTCCTGTATAAAAAACCTGAAAGTACATTTTTATTTCCAATGCTTCATGAAGGTCAGATGACGAACTCCCCTAAAACTGCTGTCCTTGGGTATCAATTTGTTCAGCTACAAAATGCGCATCATAAGAGACAAAATTCAAAAGTTAAACAAGGACATAATTTTCCCCTCACTTTTCCATGTACATTTACTCGCCCCCCAAACAAGGAGGGAAAGTAATGATTTTACTAAACTTCTCACCACCCCCTTGTTCATCATCATTTTTGTTTGTAATTATACATGGATTAGCATGACGGATCCCTGTGTAAGACCCTAATCAAGTTCTACAGTCTTTGCAAAGTCTCCTGGAACTCCTTGGCTGTCAGGCTCTTTCTCTTATGGGAAATGCCAAACACTTACTTATGGGTTGCTTGTTTTATTGCAGCAAACTGATTTCCGAAGTTGTTGCTGCTGCCTTCCGTTTTCATTCTCCCCTCCTTTTTCCTCTTTCTCTCCCAGTTCCTCTTTTCTAACACAAACTTTGAGTAAACCACCTCTCTGTGTATTCTCAGCAGTGTGGTTGAAATTGACTCCATTTCCAGTTCAGGAATGATATTAGAATGGATTAAGCCAATTAGAATATACCATCCCCTGGACATAGGGATTGGTTCACCTACGGTCACATGACCATAAACTTCTCTGGGCATTACTGGGACATCTGATAGTTCTCATAGTGGATGAAGAGGTAGTCTTGAGAGCTTTTGTCAATCATATTAAGATTTTCTCTGCAGTTTGAAAGCCTGTGTTGTAGACGGCAGAGTGGAGAGATGTAATAAAATTGGGTATTTTGTGTACTTACTAAAGTACAATATTAACCTTAATTTAAAAAAAAAAACCTCACCATTGTATTTTTTTGTATGTGTGCTCCAATAAGTTCTCTTTATTTTTTAAAAGTCATTTGGGTAAGACTTTCCTTTACTTCCACATGCACCTAGAGCTATCTTGTGTTATTAGTGCTGTGTGTACGCATGTACACATGTGTGTTTCTATGGTTATGTTTTTGTTTACATATTTGTAGCTACTTATATATTGATGCTTATCTTAACGTTTCAACATGGAAGTTCTGAGGAAAAAAAGACTAGGCTTTACTAGACTTTTTATCTTTTGAAAACTCTAGTATGTGACTGGCATATACTAGCTTCTTTACAAATGCCTTTGATAATAAAGAAAAGAACCACTTACAATTTTAAAAATATTTTCCAATTTATTAAAGTGTTCTACAACTATTATCTCACTGGATCTTCACACATTTTATAATTCTTAAGTTAGACAATGGAATAGTAATTTATAACTCCATTTTTTATAGATACAGAAACTGATGATCAAGGTATTTAAACAACTTGCCCAAAGTCACTGCTAGCTTACACGGAAAAGTTTAAAATTAAGACCGGCTTTTCTGAAGAATTAACCCTTAAAAAATGTATGGCCAATTATTATTTCCCTTACCTGAGTGCTTTCTTCTCCAGATTAAATTCCTTCAGTTACTTTAACATTTCTTGCATAGCCTAGCTTCAAATTCTCCTCACCACTTTGGATGCTGTGTCCAAGAACTGCTTAAATTAATCTATATTTCTTAAAGGGAGATATCAAAAACAATATGCAATATTACAAGTGACAGCTAATTAATACCCTCCAAAATGGAACTGCTTCATCCTTTTAGAGTAGAAGACGTTCCCTTCTATTAATGTAGCCCCCGAGTGGGGCTGCAGTGCTATAGCTGTTCACTTTTGATGGGTGCTCTCTTGTTGTGAAGAACCATTTATAAACCAGTCCCAACTTTTGTTCTTAATCAAGTAGTTATAAGGAATCCCTTCATGAAGTGGTGGATATGGCTTATCTACCCACAGAAGAAGCAATGTATTAGGTGTAGAGACTGTGGGTACCTGGGACCACTTGCTTATGCAACTTACTTGTGCCTTCAAGACGTGTATGGGCCCTAAATCATACATATCATTCTCATTTGTTAATGAAATGCTGCTGTGTGCACCCAAGCTTATGGGCTGATGGATCAGTCAATACTCAATTCCTGGAAACTCAGACTGCAGTGTAACTTGATAGACTCCAGTCAAGCATTCAACCTCTACTAGGGTCTAGGAAGAAGCCAGAAGTTGTGGATTTTTGGTTTTGTTTTTAAAGGAGCATGGTTACCTGTATAGGATAGAATAGCTTAATTCCAAAACATGACTCATCATGAATCACCTACAGGAGCTAGCCAAATGTTCCCTAAAGCCCTCCTATGTGCCACATAAAATCCAAACAGGATGGCTCTTCTGAGAATTATGGTCAAAATGGTAGAGCTGCTTATATAGAAGCCCAGACCTATTTCAAAGACTTCTTTTCTTCTAAGTCTTTCTAAAACCTGGGAGATTTTCAGATTACTTGATAATGGGCCTTAGTGGTATGTCCAAAAAAGGTATATACTGCTTCCATCCTAGAATCCCACCAGCTATTTTGTCTCTTTTTGTTAGGAGGAGAGAATAGGTGCATCTTACTTCGTCTTGGTAAGAATATAAATCATTCTACCATGAAGACACATACACATGTATATTCATTGCAGCACTATTTGCAATAGCAAAGACATCGAATCAACCTAAATGCCCATCAATGACAGAATGAATAAAGAAAATGTGGTATGTATACATCATGGAATACCACACAGCTATAAAAAAGAATGAGATCATGTCTTTTGCAGCAGCATGAATGGATCTGGAGGCCATTATCCCAAGAAAACTAACACAGGCACAGAGAACCAAATGCCACATGTTCTCACTTATAGGTAGGAGTTGAAGATTAGGAACACACGGGGCTGGGTGCAGTGGCTCATGCCTGTAATTCCAGCATTTTGGGAGGCCAAGGCAGGTGGATTACAAGGTCAGGAGATCAAGAGCATCCTGGCTAACACGGTGAAACCCCGTCTCTACTAAAAATACAAAAAATTAGCTAGTGTGGTGGCGGGTGCCTGTAGTCCCAGATACTCGGGAGGCTGAGGCAGGAGAATGGTGTGAACCTGGGAGGCGGAGCTGGCAGTGAGCTGAGATCACGCCACTGCACTCTATCCTGGGAGACACAGTGAGACTCCATCTTAAAAAAAAATTAGGAACACATGGATACAAACGAGGGAAGAGTAGGCACTGGAGCCTACTTGAGGGTAAAGGGTGACAGAAGGGAGAGGAATAAAAAACTATCTATAGGGTACTATGTTTACTACTTGAGTGACAAAATAATCTGTATACCAAACCCCTGTGACACAAAATGTACCTATATAACAAACCTGCAATATACCCCTGAACCTAAAATAAAAGTTAAAAAAAATCTAAATATGACCCAGACCACTAGACCCCTAGATATTTCACTGAAGTTGAAGGCCCTTGAATTTTTCTAGAATTCATTTGCCACCTTGTAGCATGCATGTGTCTTACCAAGATGTTTTGAGATGTTGCTCTATTTTGTTCATCTGTTCCAGTCTCCAATGACATCCATATAATGAACAGGCACAATGTCCCGTGAAATGTAGAGGTGATTGAAGTCCCTCCTGAGTAGATTATGTAATAACACAGAGTTTGAGAGTTGATGTACCCCCAGCTAGGATCATGAAGCTATATTCCTATCCTGGCCAACTAAAAGCAAACTATTTCTGTTGATCTTATCAACAAGTATAGAGAGGAAAATACATTCTCCAGATCAATAGCTACATACCAGCTGCCAGGGAATATGCTGTTCTGGAGAAACAGTTGCAATTGGAGTTACTATTTTATTAGTTTTATGATACCTCACTGTCATTTTTCAACATTAATCTGTCTTTTGCACAAATCAAATACAGGTGACTTGTGTGGAAATGCTACAGGAATTACTATCTTTGTATTTTTTTAAGTCTTTGATGGTGACACAAACCTCTGCAGTCCCTCCTGAAATGTGGTATTGTTTTTGGTCTACTATTTTGATAGGCTGAGGCTGTTCTATTGGCTTCCATTTGCCTTTTTCTACAATAATGGCTCCTATTCCATGGATCAGGGAGTCATTCTGGGAATTCTGTCAGTTAGGGAGATTTTCTATCACAACTCTGCATTTTAGACCTTGGGAAGATCTACAAAGTGGGTACAGGGACACATTGTGCCTACTGGGAGATGAATCTGAACTGAAAGTTTATTGATCACTTGATATCCATAAGCTCCTACACTGACTTGTGGACAACAGTAGAGTTTTGATTTTGTAAGAATTAGCATGAGCTTGGAGCTAATGTCCAGTAATCACCCCCAAACTCTGGAAATTTCTTCTTTCTTAATGTACAGTTACCCTGATAAATGCATCCAAAGTATACATTTTTGGCTGTTTAGCAGGGTTCTTCCCCAAGTAGATCAGCCTTCCCTCCATTCAAGGAGCTCCGGTGTATGAACTGGCTCAAATATTGAACTAGTTGAAGTGTTATAGCTTTTTATTGTGCAATTCAAGTCATCTTGATGTCCACTAGATCTAGAGGTGTGTGTATATATATATATATATATATATATATAAATATGTTATATATATTATATATTTATATATATAATATATTTATATTTATATATATAATATATTTATATTTATATATATAATATATTTATATATATATAAATATATAATATACATAAATTAATATATTATATATAAATATAAATATATATATTTATATTCATATATATTATATATTTATATTATTATATATTATATATATTTATATTATTATATATTATATATATAAATATATAATATATATTTATATAAATATATACTTATATAAATATAAATATATATATAAAAATATATATTATATATAATATATAAATATATATAATATAAAATATATATATAAATATATATAATATGTATAATATATATTATATATATAATATATATATATAAAATGGGCATATATATATAAAATGGGCATATATATACATGCCCATTGACTTCAGTTTCAGAGAAACCAAGATCAATTAAAGAATACTGAATATCTCTGTAGGTCAAACCATTTTGACTTCTACTTTACCTCTACTACTTGTTGTGGTAAGGACACTCACCTCATCTCTGGCCTTAAGCACCATCATTGGCCTCTGGATACCTCAGGATCTCAAAAAAAATGGACTCCCAGGAATTCAGGGAGTTCATTTTAATGGCAGCAACTTTTACTGTTATTTCTGGCCTACAGAGAAGAGACTTCATGAGGCTTCGCAGAGCTTTTTGGGAGGCTTCCCATTCACAGCCTTGGTAGAAGGAGTGTTGCTGGTCCTTCTCACAGGACATAGGTAGGAGGTGAATGAGCAAGTGTTACATGAAAAAGCCACTCCAGTATTCCAAGCTCCTCAATCCAGGATAATTTCCTCTATCATAAACCAATAAAACGTTACTTTAACTTTATTTAGTGTAGGCCACTCTAGGGTTTAGGTTCCAATCAACTAAGCAAGAAAACTATGAGAGCCACTTCTGTCATTTGCCCATTTTCTGACAAAATCTCTTTTCCTGGAGAGTAGGCCTTTGTTATCAAGAAGGCTTGGGGCATATTTCAAAATGGTTACTTTTCTCCTGCCATCTTGGACATAACAAACGGACCTTTCTCAGAGCCCTGACTTGAAAACCTGGTGAGATTCCTGGAAGGAAAGCCCACAAATGTTTGGGGGCTTCCAGGAGTTTCTTACTGTCACATTAGCCCACCTTGCCTCCAGAAATTTATCAAGATTGCCATGGAAGTGTTCCTTCTGCTTCAGGTAAGCTGATCTAGGTTGCTGTATTTCTCTGTATTCAACTGTCTCTCAAGATTTCAGGTGACAATTTGCCCTGTTACCTCTGTTCTCTGATGAGTCTAAGAAAAGCTGTTGATTTTTAAACTTGTACAGCTTGAAGTTGTCCTTATAACTGTTCTTATTGTAAGAATGGGAATTACAACTTCCAAGATGTTTATAGGTTGGAGCAAAAACCAGAAATCCTCATTTTCTAGAATTTGCTTTTTTCAAAACAGTTTGTCCTCTGATAGTGCTATGAAGATACAATGGATATCTGTTTTCTGCAGATATTCATGAACATGCCCCTCTGGTATGCTCTCACTACACCCTGGGTATATTTATCACCTCCGTAGTATTTTCCTTACTGTGTGGTAAGTACCTATCTAGATATCATTGGCCTTCTAGACTGCAATCTCTGTGATGGCAGAGATGATATCTTGTTCATCCTCATAGACCAGTAACTGGTGCATTGCTTTGCATAGACTACTCAATAAATGAATGCATAAATGAAGCCACCTTAAAAACCAGGTTAACTACCAGCTCCCACATAGGGAAGGCAGGGTATATCCACCAATCATGACTGAAAGGGAAATATTTAGTTTTCATAATGATCACCATATTTTGAGGAAAAGAACATTTGTGCTACATAGCTTCTCTGCATGAAATGAAAAAGAAATCTAGAAGTAAGAGGTTTGCAGAGTATCTTTAGCTCTGCCTTGGATACAGGGCCTGCTTTCCTTCAATCATTTTCGGCTGCTTGGCCCCACACAGGGAAATGGATACAGCAATGTATTGCAGCTCAATGCTACTGGCTGCTGTGATTCACCACTCACTTTTGTTGCTCTGAGTCTACACTTACCAGTTAACCTTGGATTCCTACAGAGGTTGATGCTCAGGAAGAGAAGGCGCTTCTTAGAGAAGCATATACCCTTGTGAGGTACTTAAATTTTTCATCATTGGCTGAATACATCTGGTACTATGTATATAAATTTTGTCAATAAGGTTTGCCTCTAATAGATTCATCAGGCCGGGAGCATTAGTTTATTCCTGTAATCTCAGCACTTTGGGAGGCTAAGACAGGCAGATAGCTTGAGCTCAGAAGTTCAAGACCAGCCTGCACAACGTGGTGAAACCCTGTTTCTACCAAAAATACAAAAAAATTAGCTGGGCATGATGGTGCATGTCTGTGGTTCAAGCTACTAGGGAGGTTGATGTGGGAGGATCACTTGAGCCTGGGACGTGGAGTTTGCAGTGAGCTGACATTGTGCCATTGCACTCCAGCCTGTGTGACAGAGCGAGACCCCATCTCAAATTAAAAAAAGAAAATTAGATTCATAATCTCTGGGTGCAATGATAAAAATGATTTAGGGGCTCTGACTTGATAGTTAGATCCTGCTAGGTATGAGACACTCTTGACCATAGACTGAGGTTTTTCTTGAGTGTATGCTATGCCTCTTAAGGTAATATTTTGTTTGCTTTTATAAAATTGCCAATTCATATTCATCCATATATTGTTTATTTTGCATTGTTATTAAGTGGCTCACTTATGGTGGAATGTGTATATGAGTGTGTGTATAGATTTTTATTTTTATTTTTTAAGATGAACTCCTTCGATTTACGGATACTTATTGAGGGTCTATTTGCTAGGCGAGGTGGAAGCTACAAATATTAATGAGTTAAAATATTTGTCCTTAGTTCGAAGTCTAAATGCATGTTTACTAGTAACTATGATACAAGACATTAGTTCTTCAACAGTGTTAGAATCACCTTGAAATGTGTGAGAAATGCAGATTCTTGGGCCCAATCCCAGACCTAATAACTAAAAAATGTTGGTGATTGCTCCAGAGATCTGTGTTTTAACAAGCCCTCCGGGAGATGCTGGTGCACACTAATTTTGAGAACCACTTTCTAAGACAGTGAGAAAAAAATATCAGGTTTGGGTATATTTGGAAAGTCACCATAGTGACTAATATGCCATTTGTAAATATTTATGTTTATAATATAATATGCCATTTGTAAATATTTATATTTTTCAGAACTTATAACAAATAAATACAAAGTTGAAGGGTTTTTTTTCTCTTCTGCAGGGACAGGCACTATCAGGAATTCAATGTGTATTCTTCCCACCTAAAGTTTTAAACTTTTACTATATGTGTATAAAATCACAACTAATATGTTGCATTGCTTTGTGCTTTAACAATCTTTATGAATGTTACCTTATGTTATATTTTTGAGGTCTATCCATTTAAATTTTTCAGTCATTTTTATTGTTGATAGTATTTCATTGCAAAATATACCACAATATCTTTATCTATTCCTCTAGTGAGAAACATCTGAGTTGTTTCAAATTTGTAAAGAAGGAAAACAAAGCTTGTTGATGTCTTTAGTTCTTTTTTAACACTATGAAGCTGGATGATCTCTTTCTACTAGAGAAAAAAGTTAAAATCTAAATAACTCTGCTGGTCTTACAGTGCCTTTCATTTAGCCATAAGCATTTTATGCTTCCAGGCAATTTTTATGTTATAATTTGCTTTATTTGAAGATTATATAATTAAGTCCATCTACTTACTGTCCCTTTGTACTTATTCATCACATTGAGATTTGACCTCTCTGAAATTTCTTCTTTGGAAATTGTCTATAACGAGAACTCTCTGAATCTCAGCAGATGTTTCTAAACTCCATTGATTTCAGTTAGCATAAGTTCCCAACAGGTACTTCTAGGGAGATAGAGAGCTGAACAAATCAGACACTTGTTTATAAAAGTAAAATCATCTGGAAGGAGCTGACTTGAGAGGCTAACCTCAGGGTGAAGGCTGGATCTGCCTCACTGAACCCAGCCACAAAGAAAATCAATGATTCATTGGGGTGTAGACCCCAGGTCATTATAGCCCAAAGCTTTATAATCTGCTATATAGTTTGCCTTTTTAGGAAAGCTGTTTATATCTGGCAAATTTCTTTACTGTAACAGCTTCTACCATCTCCCAGGAATGCACTAATGTCCTTCAAATCCTGTCCTGAGAATTTTCCCAGAGACATGTGTGGTTGGGACCCAAGAGAGAATCAGCATCTCCTGGCTATGCCCTCACCCATCATTTAGAACTTGAAACCATTCTTGAGACTGTGAGCTAACTCATCATTCAATATTTAAACCTGCTCTGACATACCCCTATCCAGGAGTCATCTACACACTGCTGAAATGCCTCTGGTGGTAGGGTACTCACTGCTAAGAGCTCTCATGCCCTGGCCCCTCACAGTACCCATGTTCTCTCTTTTTCCTCCTAGCCATGCCTAGTTATTTACTTTTCTTTTTTCGTGTGATGTGTATTCCCATCCTTTCGTCCATCTCTGCACACAATTGAGTGTTGTCTATATTTTGTTTGTGTTTGTTTCTGAGAGTTATAAATCATTCTAAAGATCTAGAAAAGAAGTATTTCAACTATAGTGTTAAGTACATCAACTTATTTTTATTTTTTGATGGACTCTGTCTCATGGTCCACAGGCTGCTTTGATCAGCTCTTGGTTGAAATAAGAGCTAAAATATGCTGGATTTTTAGGTCTGTTGCTATCACCAAACCATAGGAAGACGTTTTGTCAAACACTGGGAACTTATTTTTTATAAATGAGAAAAATGAGGCTTATGGAAGAAAAGTTTCATATCCATTGTTACATTCAGGATTAAACTCTCATTCTCCTGGTTCTCTTACCAGTACTCATTGCATTATCTTTGTAAGACACTTGCAGGTATGAGTCTGTCATATATTAATTGCAGAATTTACAATTTGGCTTATGGGGAGGTAAGACTGTGAAGGTCATGTTGTCAATTTCTGTTAGTAAATTTGGGTAAGTGGGTTCCTAATGCTAGCTAGGTTTAGTTCTAAATGCAGCGTCCCATGGTCCTCAAGGATTAGTAAACAAAATCTTCTTTGTATATATTTAATTTAATTACAAGGAATATTGAGTGCCAATGCACTGACTTGGTGCTGTGGATATTCAGAGACATAGCCCTTGACCTTGACAAGTCCCATCTGGAGTGGAGACTGATGTGTTCATGGCTGAGTGTAGGAAGTCCTACATGTGAAGTGCAAAACAATTGCTATGGGGACACAGCCAAAAGAAAAGACTTATTCCCATTCAGGGAAATCAGAGGAACTGGGCTTTCGATAGAGGGAAGAGGGCAGAGCCATGTGAACATTTTTCCAAGTCAAACAGGTAGCAAAACAGGTAGGAAAACACAGGCTGTGTTTCCAGAATGACGAGAGTCAGTTCCAAGGTGTGTCACTGTCATCTAGATTCTCTGTTGGACCTTGAAGGACAATTTAGGCAGCTGTTTGTTTATCCGTTTTGGGGGTGGTTGATGCAGGGAAACAAGTCTTTCCCTGGAACAAGTGGAGGATGTATGAGTTCTCTTTTGAGACTGCTTGTGAGCATTTTCCAATTTCTTTGAGAGACTAAAAAGCATTAGCAGAGGTCAAGGAAAGGACATTATTGTTATACTCTGTAACACTAGAAGAAAAACACAACGTTGAAGTAGGCTGTCAAGATATTTCTCAACAACTCAACCTAAAAGTGGCTTCAAATAAAAGAGCCAACTGGAGCCTGATCCATTAGCATGGAGCCCTTTATTTCCCTAAATGAGAGCTGTGTCAGTATCCTTGTGTTTGTCTTAATTTTTACAGAAAGCTACTCACTTGGTCATACCTATGATAAGTTTAAAATTCAGGAAAAAGCATTAATCAGAATTTTAGAACCGTGGGGATGATCTATTGGATGTGTAAGACCTTTATTTTATACAAGACGCTTAGATAATGTTTGTTTTATATATTTTTCACAAGTATCAATTCACTCACTCAAGTTCTCAAGATAAATGTCCTAAGTATTTGCTATGTGTGAGGATCTCTCCTAGCATTGATGATACAAATATGCCTATGGCCTCTCTCAAGGAGCTCATGTTCTTACAGGAAAAAACTGTCCTATAAAACAAAGTTCCGACTAAGTGTGATAGCAAGTATAGTGGCAGCTCATAAGGCGGAGTAAATGAAACTGTCCGTGGGAGAGGGAGTATTGGAGAGCTTTGCAGAGGAGGCAATGCTTGCACTGGTTCCTGAGGATACATGGAAATTTATAAGATGAAAATAGTTGCAGGATGATTCAGTCAGAGGAAAATGAGAGGGAAAACGACTAAGTATGAGATGTGTTGATGAGTGGCTTAGAATCATTTGGTGGCAGGTAAAGAGACTCATTTCATACTTATTTAAACAAAAAGGGAATGCTGGATAGAAAATCATGACATCCCACAGATCCTGAGGGCCCAGAGCTGCCAAGCCAAATGAGGGGGTTGAACCAAGAACTGAAAAGGAATCCAATGAACCATAGATATCTAATTTATAGCTCTGAGTCTAAATTCCAAATTCTTGATAGAGAATAACTACCTGGCCCAACCTGGCTCGAGAATCTGTTCCAGTCGTACCATAATGATCAGAGTGGGAAGATCGTAGGGTACAAACATAGTTTCCCAGGCTCTCTGCTATGGATGAAAACTTTAAAGATGGGGCCTTGAAGGCTGCAGAGACACTCTAAAAGATGTCTGCTAATTGACTGCAAGCTGTTGGGAGACCTCAAATAAGAATTGGGAATTTTTGTAGTGCTAAAGTGCAGTGGAGTTGAGGGCGGGGGGTGGGGGCAGGTATGTCAATAGAGACAGATGAGATTGCAGGACTGGCATAGAGCACATTGTGCAAGATTCTCAATTTTTTTTTTTTTAAGATAATCAGGGACTTTAAAAAGTCTGGGCATAAAACAATCAGAATTGTGATTTGGGTGGTTAAGTATAATAGTGGTGTGGAAATGAACTGGAAAAGGACAACCTGAAAGAAGAGAAGACAGGTTAGAGGTTGCTGAAGTAGTCCATGTAAGAGGCTAGAGCCTTAACTAGATAATGAGAATGGATAAAATGAGATAAAATAGGAAGAAATTTAGGAGAAATAAATAACAGAATATTATGAACTATTCAATGTGTCTGAGGATTGAGGAGAGAAATAACATGATTGTCACTTTTCTGATATAAGCAGCAGAGCAGAAGGTGGTGCCATCCCCAAGGCAAGGACCAGAAGAGGACAAGGTTTAGGGGGAGCATAGTGGGTCTGCAGTGGGCATGGGGAGTTAAAGTGCTGGGGACCACCCAAGAGGAACTGGTGAGTGAGAAGATGGATATTCCCTCAGGAGTGAGGTTGGGGGCTACAGATGAGATCTGGGAATCATCAGCTGATGCTTGGCAGTGTAAGCCCAGGGGTGATATTGTCCAGAAAAAGCATGTAAAGTCAGAAGAGAAGCAGAAAAAGGAGAGAGTCCTGAAATGAGTCCACAGTAAGAGGTAAAAGGAAGAAAACCGTCTCACAAAGGAGACCAAAAAGAATAACCACAGAGCTGAGTAAACCAGAAAAGAAGGGTATCCTGGAAGCCAAAAATGGAGAATTTCAAAAGACTGGGAAGTCGTTTATCAGCACTTTGCACTGTTATATCTGTTTCATGGACAGTAAACTGAAACTTGGAGACTTAAAATGACAGAGTTGATTAGTGTCAAAGGCAAGACTAGAATGGAGATGTCTCAACTTTCAGTTCTGTGCTCTTATTTTCTATGGAACACCACAATACTTGCCTGCAGAGAGACTGGAGCAAGCCACCAAAATGTCCTGGAGAGGGGAGATGGGAGCCTGAGCTGTAGTGCAGGGTCCTACGTGTTGTCTGTTCCTGCCCTGCATGTACTTCAGCTGTCATCCCAGAGCAGGGGGCCGTGCAGTGAGCATAGTGCTGGCCTCTCACGTGTGGTGCCAGCCTGCAGTCCAGGTCAGCTTCCTATTAGCCCTGTGGTTTTTGTTGGGCTGGGCCTCAGTTTCCTCCTTTGTAAAATTGAGAAGTTAAAATTTATTCTCTCCTACCTCTAATATTATGATTCTTTTTATGATACAGTTTATAGATTTTCTCCTTATTACAGACAGAACAAATCCTCATAAACTCTCAATTCTGTTTGTAAGTATGAGGGTGAGGAGGCAATGAGAGGCACTGAGTAAGAATTGGAGACCTTTGTCTTTATAGACACAGATAATTCAGAATTTTACCAGCTTCTATAAAACCATGGGTGAATATGATGGGGAGACAGAAGAGCTAGGTGAGGATGCAAGAACTAATGGAGCATGAAGATCAAACAAATCAACTAGAGTGATAACAGTAAAAAAAGAAAAAAAAAAGAAGAAAAAGAAGAGAAGAAGAAGCCACAGCTAATTAAAAATAGCTGAAACCCAGGAGATGCATTTAAAGCAATCACATAGGATTGTTCAAATTAAGAACAACAAAGAAATAGCTACGCGAACTCCATATTCTGAGTGCTTTTAAAAAAATAATAAGCTGATATTAGAAAAAGCTTTTCCTTTTTCAAATTCCCCCCTCGTTGCAGAAAGAGAAAAAGAGAAAACTTTCACATCATTTTTTCTCTAGTCTTTGGGTGTTAGAATGAAAGGAGAATGAAATTAAAATCACTTCAAGCATTTTCCTTCTGGGCTGTAAAGCTGCTGGCATCATTTATCCCAGCCCCACACTTACATAATGTGGATACCACAGGAGCCCTTGGAAGTTATTAAATAAAAAGAAGACATCAAAAAATATAAAAGAAAGGCAATTAAAATGTTGGACCCAATAAGTGAGTCAGAAAACTTGATTTAAATGCAACCCAGGACCCAGAATATTGGATATTAAGGAGTGAGGGAATTCAACTGTGAGGAATAAGGGGGTTGAAAGAATACCTTTAGGAGCTGGGAGGGGACCACAGTTCCTTTGTGGCCAGGGAGTCTTTCTCTATGTAAAGAGGGAAAGGCATCATCAACTCATAGACTCTGGTAGTTTAAGAATCCCTGAACCTCGGAAGGAAAATGGGTATTGGGCAGGATGAGTGAGGAGGTATAGATCTCAAATGTACGGATCCCATGGGGTGGGATATTTGAATAAGAGATGGGGAGATAAGACTTAGAGGTTTTCCTTCTTTTGTTTTCTTTTGTTTCTGGTTTGTCGGACTGTCAGAGTGGACTTGGATGTCTTGTGTCTCTACTGGAAGTTGCACTAGCTTAAACAAGCAGGCTCTCAGTATGCTGAAGGCAACAGCATCCAAAACTCAGGCTCTTCTAGTCAAGACAGGGTCTTATGCTATCCTGGGAAGCCCAGGACCTTCCAACAGGAAGCAGAAGGTCATCTCCCTGACTCTGGCATCAAGGCAATGCCCACCTGGATCGATGGAGTCATGGGAATTTCCCTATTGTAACTGCATCTTCCCTTGAGTGTTCCTTGGGGCAATGCGATGGCTCAAAACAGCATAGGAGCGGAAGAGCTGGCATGTGACAGCACCAGCATCACTTCTATCCACTTTTTCCAGAATAGGCTCAAAAGCAGGAAGTTCAGAAATCATCAATAGGTTTAGGAGATAACTTAAAAGGCAGGTCTGGGCCTTCCAAGAAGGGAAGAGTGGGGGCTCCACAGCACAGACCTGAAATATACTACCACCTGCTCACTGCTGTAGTCTGAGAAATGTGTGTGTCAATGGGTCTCGCTGGATCTCCATAAGAGGCTCATCTCCTGCTGGAATAACCTTTGGAGATGCTATGGGAAAGAGGGTCTGCTTCTTCCTTATTTCAAATCCCACTACCACACCCTCAACTCAATTTTACTTTGGAAAATGTCTCATCCATCGTCCTTTCCTAAATCCTGGGATCTTACACCATATTCCACATCTGACAAGGTGAAAGGCACTTGTGGTAGGCTGAATAATGCCCCCAAAAAAGAGATCCAGATCCAGATTCTCGGAACCTATGCATGTTTCCCTATATGGTTATATGGTTTTGCTCTGTTTCCCCACCCAAATCTCATCTCAAATTGTAATCCCCAAGTGTCAGGGGAGGGACCTGGTGGGAGGTGATTGGATCATGAGGGCAGTTTCCCCCATGCTGTTTTCATGATAGTGAGTTCTCACAAGATCTGATGGTTTAAAAGTGTTTGGCAGTCCCCCCCTCGCTTGCTCTCCCTCTCTCCTGCCACCTTGTGAAGAAGATCTTTGCTTCCCCTTTGCCTTCTGCCATGGATTGTAAGTTTCCTGAGGCCTCCCCAGCCATGTGGAACTGTGAGTCAATTAAACCTCTTTTATTTTTAAATTACACAGTCTCAGGTAGTTTTTTATAGGAGAGTGAAAACGGACTAATACATATGGCAATAGGGACTTTGCAGGTGTAAACAAACTGAGAATCTTGAGGTGGGAAGATTATCCTGGATGACCAAGGTGGGCCCTAAATGTAATCAGAAGTGTCTTTATATGAGAGAGGCAGGGGACAGATGAAAAAGACTAAGTGACACTGAGGCGAGATGCTGAGCCCCTGGCTTTGAAGATGGTGGAAGAAGCAGCTCTAGGAGCTGGAAAAGGCAAGGAAACAGATCCTCCTCTCGAGCCTCTGGAGGAAACACTGCCTTTCTGAGACTTTCATTTTGACCAAGTGAAACTGACTTCAGACTTCTGACTTTCAGATATCAGACTTCAGACTTCTGACTTTCAGACATCTGACTTTCAGATGTAAACCAACATGTGCATTGGTTTAAAACACTGTATCTGTGTTGGTAATTTGTTACAGCAGGCACAGGGAGCTAACAGAGGGAATACCTGCCTCATGTGATGTTTTTATTTTAGGCAAAGGAATGGACATACAAACAAACAAAATGTTTTCAGTCCTGGGAGTTTGGTATGCAGGATTTTTTTTTTTTTTTTTTTTTTTTTTAAACACAGTCTTGCTCTGTCACCCAGGCTGGAGTGCAGTGGCATAATCTTGGCTCACTGCAACCTCCGCCTTCCACCACACCCAGCTAATTTTTGTATGTTTAGTAGAGACAGGTTTCACCATGTTGGCCAGGCTGGTCTCGAACTCCTGACCTCAGGTGACCACCCACCTTGGCCTCCAAAGTGCTGGATTACAGGCGTGAGACACCACGCCCGGCCAGTATACAGGTTCTATTCTCTTGTTTTTTCTTTCTATCTTAGTCTATACCAAGCCCAAAATCTTTCTTCACTTAAATATAGTTCAACATATTCCCTGACAACCATACCAGTTTGATTTGAGATCAACTTAGTTGAAACAGCTTGATGCATTTTATTGATTTTTGATGGCAACATTAAAGAAAAAGGCCTGAGGGACTGGGCTGCTCATTTCGTTTTTTTCCCTGTGGATATGAGCGAACAGCAAAAAAAGACTGGAAAAGTGGCAACTCGCAGTGATATTAGGGATCCTGCAAACTCCCTTTTCGTGGGGTGCAAATACCCCAAGTTGATCACAAGTTCTCTTAAATCTTGAGTGTGGCTTCACTGGAGAAGGCCAGAGGTGGGGTTTATGGCCACAGGCTGCACAGACCTGCCCTTCCCTCTGTCCATGTCTCTCACTCTTCAAGCTGCTCACTTGGAGTGCTCAGACTCTTTGGATGGCTTTGTCTTTTGAAGGGGAGGACGCTCAGGTCTGGAGGTCAGGAAGAATACAGTACGGAGAACTAAGGACCAGGCTTGAGTTTAGACCCTGAAGAATGGATTCCACAGCTTCTATGTCATCAGACATATCCTGCCATCAAGAAAAGAAGGTAGATATTGAAGTGAAGAACAAGGTCTGGAAAGAAAGAAAGCCTTCAGCATGAACATTCCATATGGTTGAAGTGGGAAATGGTTCTAGCAGAACTAGGCTAAAAATCTTTGGCAGCTTCAGGCTGTTGCCAGTAGAGACCTTAGTCATGGGGCTTCCTTTAAGTGTTTCTGAGCCAGAGGAGGACAAGGCTTCTCCTCCTGCTGCTAGGGATCCTGGGAGGTTGCAGATTCAGCTTTGCAGACTGGCCTAGGTTGGAGTCAGGGAGCCTGCCTGGTGCTTGATGTCTTAGACAGATCTGAGAGCTTGGGGCTTGTGGAGCTAGTCCTTCTCTCATGGGGCCACCTCAGAGTGTATGGTTTCTGTGTACTTCGAGGTTGATGGTCATGCAGGACAGAAATTATGGTTGAACGTCTTACTTAGAGCAGCTCTAAGATGATCAGGAAGATTGTTTTACACATCAGGAATGTAGTTTACTTTCCCAGGTAAAAAAAACTTGAGCCTTCAATTCAATTTTATACCAAGTTTTCAACTCTAAGCTAACCAATGTCTCCTTTTCTCTTCCTCTCCCTCTTTCATTCCTTCTTTTTCTTTCTCTCTCTTACGCTCCTTGAAGCATCAGAAATAGAAATAGAGGCTGAAATAGAAAAACCTACTGAATGAGAGGGCTTTGTCTCCTATCCTTCATGTACAGATCTTGAAACTGAGGTCAAAAGTTAGTGACAGAGCCAACTATTCATATTTTTAGTATAAGATAATCTTTCTTATACACGATGTGATGACATATTGTGAGACTATCACCAAAGTGATTTTTACTTTGCTATCAGAATGACCCTTTAGTAGTCTGTGAATTTGTTAGTGTAAAACTCAGTAGCTTCCCTACTTTGTTCTCATTCAGTTCACAGGATCACCACTTTTCCTTAGGTGCTGTGCTATTTATTCTAGCATCAAATTAGTGGCAGAGTGGGATATTATATTAACGACTGGGGGAATCAGTAAGGAATCAGTATTTCCCAAATCTATAAGGTACTTTGGGCTCAGCTGCTTTGATAAGCTTCAGAATCCTAAGGGTTTTTTCTTTATTTGAGAATCTGCATGATGTAGTTAAAAGAATATTGAACATTTAACAAGAACAACCCATTTTCTCTCATTTAATCCTTACAACAACCTTATGAAATAGATATTAATTTTTAAAATTGGCATGATTCCATTTATATGTGAAGTGTGAAAACATTTAACTCATAGAAACAGAGAGTAGAATATGTATTAGTATTATCTGTACTTTACAGGTGAGTCTTAGTGGGAGATTGTGCAGAGCCTGGACTCAAATCGGCTATGTTTGGCCTCAAGGAATTACTTGTCTATATCTACTCCTCATTAGGTAAGAGTCATACCCCCTTGACATTTCTTCCTATTAGATTTGGGTGTATCTTGGAGTGAGATCCAACATAGGCAAACTGAAAGTGTCTTGTTGGATATAGTCTGTAAAAAAGCAAAAAAAAAAAAAAATTGGGAAAATACAGTTTGCTGGGTGGGGGACTGATTGTATGCCAGTTGGATAAGTTGGACTGATGGGATAAATAAGTATCAACTCTTGAAGGATCATGAATAGAGAAGTCAGTGCCTTCATATACACCATGGAATACTATGCAGCCGTAAAAAATGATGAGTTAATATCCTTTGCAGGGACATGGATGAAGCTGGAAACCATCATTCTCAGCAAACTAACACAAGAACAGAAAACCAAACACCACATGTTCTCACTCATAAGTGGGAATTGAACAATGAGAACACATGGACACAGGAAGGGGAACATCACACACCAGGGCCTGTCAGGGGGTTGGGGGCTAGGTGAGGGAGAGCATTAGGAGAAATATCTAATGTAGATGATGGGTTGATGGGTGCAGCAAACCACCATGGCATGTGTATACCTGTGTAACAAACCTGCACGTTCTGCACATGTATCCCAGAACTTAAAATATTGAAAAAAAAAAAAAAAGAAAGAAAGAAAGAAAAAAAAAGAAGTCAGTGCCTTAGTCTGGGACAAGGCAAATGTCAGAGCACATAGACAGGTCACTTCCAAAGCCCAGCCTAGCATTCATTGGTTGGATTTAAGGTGGCTTGGCAGCAGGGAGAGCTAGTATGATTATTGGATCTCAATCATGTAAGAGTTGGAAGGCTGGCCTAGTGAGGGAATAAATCAATAGGCATTCTGGAGGGAAAGAAATGACAGGATTAGATGGCAATTAGACATAAGACCTTAAGGAGAGTTATGAATCAAGGGTGACCCTGAGATTCCTCCCTGATGTCTTTTACATCTAAAAACTGTACTAAAATAAGGTGTCCACAGGAGGCAACTAGGGTGTAGCTCAAGGATTTGGGGAAAATGTCAGGAAATATTCTCTGGCATGGAATTTAACAGAAATGCATGACATTCATCATATATGAAATGTTTTTAGAAAATAACCCACTTGAAGATGACTTGTGAATGTTGCCAGTCAATCAATAGCTTTCTCTAAATCCCTCTGAGATATCTCAAAGATATCTATTTCAAATATAATTATACGTGTCTGGAAACTTCTAATTAGTCCTGTCTATCAAGAAAATATGTTGAGTGGTAACCCTGATTAATACAAGGTAAAACATATTTTTGTGACTGGCTAAAGCAATTAACAAAGGAAAACTAGAAAAAAAAATTGCCTTATAATTATTTAGTACTTTCTAAGGGAGAGAGAATCTGTACTCCAGACCTGGAGTACCTATGGATTAGGATATAAATATCTTTTATTGGTGAGAGGGTGATTATTGTGCTTACCACAGCTAGTATTATCATACTTTGCTGAGCCAATTAAGGGCCAGTCTGTGGTTGTATACTGTCCCTCCCTAAGTTACTGGTGCACTGTCTAAGGAACTGGTCTCTGAGACTAGGCATGGTCCACGCAGGTCAATGATGATCTCAAGATGGGCCCTTGGGAAAACCACTGTTCATGGCTAAGCAGAATTCATGAATGCAAATAGGACAATACTCAAAGGAGAGGAAGCAAAAGGGTGTGGATATTTGCCACACAATGAACACTTGAAAGAAGTCAGTTCCCAGCCTTTGGATCTGTGCAAGCAGAGGCTGAACTTGTTAGGATGTTGAAAAGGAGATTCAAGATTTAACTGATGGCAGGACTCAGGGACCTTTGTGATTCTTCACATCCTGAACATCTATTAGTTTATTGAGTCGGAGGCAGAAGTTCCATCCTGTTCAAGAACCAGTGTCCTTAGTAGTCATTACCTAATGTATATTTATAACGGTGAGTCAAATAAAGCTCCAGAATTTACCAACAAAAAGCAAAAGTCCCTGAGAACAAAATGGACTTCACGCCCACAGCTTCCATTAAAGTTAATAAGAAGTTAATCATGTCAATAGAAGTGACATTGTAGAATCTTGAGAAACTTGGGGAATAGAAAGACTCAACATGATATTGGATGAACACTAATTCAAATAACTTAACTTCGCATAAAGTGCGGAGGATAAAGGACAGTGAGAAATTGTCTTAATTCTTTGCAGAGCACTCCAATTCTAGCTGCAGTAACATTGCCTCTTAGCTTGAAGTGTTTGTCCAAATGAGCCACTTTATTTAAAAAGAGTGGTTTGAGCTACTTAATAGCTTCACTACCAAGTCACGAAGGCTCTGAAAGGGTGGCCTTGTCATAACGTTGTTCCCATTCTGTCTGCAGAAGTGCCCAGTCTGATTTCCTTCTCTACCTCTGCTTTTTAAACCTGTAACCCTTTACTAATGTTTTCGCTTTGGGGTTATTTTTTGTTAATTTTTCTTGGAATCCTATCTGCTTATATATAAATAAGGAATTGGAGAAGGAAGGAAGGTGTGGGAGTGAGTGATGGGGGGGCAGAGAAGGAGGTATCCCAGCTCTTGGCAAAATTTTATAGAGTCCTAGAATGCCGAAGCTGGGAGGGTTATTGGAGATTAACCCCAATCTCTCATTTTACAGTTCAGGAAAATGCAATCCAGAAAAGGATAGGGAATTGCCCAAGGTTTCACGTAGACTAGAGAAAGGAAGAGCTGGGAGAAGATCTCATTTCCTTTAGCTGTCAGGCTGCTTTGTCTTTCTGCTGATGATCGTATGATGGTCTCCTGGTGGCCCATGGCTTTCTTATCCCTTGTGGTCTTGTGGAGTGCTTCCTGGCACCATTTATCATTGTAAACTTAAGTAGGCTCATTCAAACTACGTCACCTACTCCCCAGAGTTGACTGGCTCCTCTCCCTGCTTAGTTCTACGGGATAATAAAGTAGTACTCTGTATTACTGCTTTTGGTAGAAACCCTTCAGTGCTTCCTTCCTCGAGGCACTTGTTCACATTATTTCCTGTAGGATCAGACTGTCCTCTTAATGTCTTCTATAAAGCATCTCTTTTTCCCTCTCCTGCAAAGTTTCCTCATTCTCTCTGAACCTTCATCCAGCATTTCTGATTGATGTTCTTCTCTAAAGCTCTTATTATTTTCTAAATTGTAGTAGTTATTCGAATAAATGCCTTAAAGCACATGGTGAAGAATCTCTTGAATTAGGGCCCAAGCCCGATGGCAGGGCCTGGCACACACATAAAAAAATGATCATAGCAACAGAAAATATGAACAAAGCACTAATTAATGCCAGAAACTGTTTTAAGCATTTTTACGTTTATTCATGCTTTTAACCTCACAACAATCACATGTTGTTATTGTTTTTATAATCTCCATTTTACAGATGAGGAAATTGAGGCATGGAAGGTTTAGGTATATATTGTTCAAAGGCACCCGGCTAATATGTAATTACACCAGTATCTGAACCAAGGAATCTGGCCCCAGAGTCCAACCCTTAATCACGACTCAGAATAGCCTACATATGTTTGTTAGAATATCCATACATTCAAATCTATACCAAGGTCTAGGTTTATGTCTATGTCTCGGTCTGTGTCTGTCTGTCTGTCTCTATCTCTCTCTCTCTATCCCTCTGTTATCAGTCTACATCTACATGTCTGTCTGTCTGTCTCTGTCTCTCTCTCTATATCCCTTTGTTATCAATCTACATCTACATGTCTGTCTGTCTGTCTCTATCTCTCTCTCTATCCCTCTGTTATCAATCTACATCTACATCTACATCTACCTATGCATCTATGGCTATAAAGGTGTTAATAAGTGGTATTTACTCAGATGAGCACTCATCCCAATTATTTAAAGACTGCTTCTTTTACTATGAACCAAAGTAGTGAGTATTGTGGATTACTGAAGCATTAGGGCAAGCTGAGAGATAATAGTCTAGGGGCAAAAGTGAGGCCTTGTCTTTAATTGTCTCACCTAAGACATGTCCTGGATTTTCTGGGGAGTGAAAGTGAGAACAGCACTTTATTTTCAATTATCTCTAAAGCTTCCTTGCTTTCCTATTTACCTTTGTAGACTCATGAACAAACACTAAAAGGTTCAGGCATGTGGAGGCTATAAACAGGCTGTGTCTTCACATGAGTAAATATTAACAATATCTGGTTTTCCTGTTACCCCATCAAGATAGGTACCAGGAGCTTTAATAATTAATCAAATTAGGACCTAAAAATCATTTCCCTTTTAGGAAGTTTCTTTCTGTTAGCTATCAATTAACACTGATGACTGCAGCTCCCTTCTCAGCGTGTTTCAAAAAATGGGAAATGGAAAAGCTCTGCAGTGTGTTAATGGAGCCATAATACACATTGCCTAATGAAGCATGAAGGCCCTGTTTACTCTGAACACTGTAATTATTTAAGAGCTTTTAAAACCCAATGTCAAACCTTGACTCTCGCCTACTTCTTTCTCATGACTGGAATGAGGCACTTAATGTTTTATCTGAACTTGGTAGAGGGGAGCTGGAAATAAATAGCTAATTATGAATTTCCATTTGTCAAACTTTTTCATTGCCATGGAAGGCTTTTGCCTAGTCTGGGCTCTTGTAGATGCTTCACAGCAACTTTCAGAGCTAACATTTAATGAGCGCCTACTACATGTAGGGCCTCGCAAGGGGTATCCTGCATTGGTTGTGAGACTCAGACATGTCCAAGAGCACACAGGCATCAAAATCTAGACCTACTGCCTTTTGAGACAGCAGAACCTGGTGTCTATATGCAGGAGTCTTGGAGTCAGACTTTCTATATTCAAATCCTGGCTCCATTACTTATGACTCTGTGACTCTGGGAACATTACTAAACCTCTCTGTGATTTCTAGTCTCATGAATAAAATGGGGCTGTGACAAAGGTTTCTTGCTTAGTCAGACTTTAGTCAGGCTACCCTGAATCCTCTTTCCAACAAGGCTTTTGCAAATATTTCCTTGTACCATGTACTTTGAGCAAGAATCCTGTTAAGTCAGTTTAGGGAGATCTCCCCACACTCAATATTTGATAGCTGACCAAGCTCCTTATCCCCACTATCCCCAGGTGATATCAAATCACCCTGGCCTGCCTTCAGCAAGAATTCCGTTAGGTTGATTCAGCCCAAATCTCCCCAGACTTTATGTCTCCTCTACTAATTTTTTTTCTACCAATGCCCCACTACACATTCCTCTTTGCCTATAAATTCCCACGTGTTCTGATTGGATTTGGAATTGAGCCCAGTTCTACACTGGAGTCTCTCTTCCTCTATTGCAATAGTCTTTGGAATAAAATCTATCTTCACTGCCTTAACTTCTGTCTTCTGTCTGGCTGTGTTTTTCCCTAACAGCTAGTGATAACAACGGTTATCACCTTACGGGGTTGTTGCTTAGACTAAATGATCTGCCTTTCACAACAGTACCTGGCACACACTAAGAGCTCAGCAAATGTTAGCTGTTATTATCTAACTCTTTGTACCACATTATGTGGCTTCTGAAAAATGTCAACAAACACTCACTGCATGCATGGAAGAGGTAAAGGGCCAAACACTGGTGGAGGAGAAAGATCAGAGGCTGGCAGTAGAAACATCTTGTCCAGCTTGTCCCTGCAGTTATCTATACGGCTGGTAATCTCCTCTCCCTCTGAGATTTAGATCCCTCATCTGTAAAATGGTAGTGGAATTTCTCCTTCTTGGCAGCCCTTGTGCCTGCTGTGAAGATTAAAGTCTACATCAACATGAGAGCGATTGGAAATTGGCTGGCACTGCGCTATAAGGGAGTGCAAGTGCACAGTGCTGTCCTGTATACTTTAGGAGGTATGAGGACAGATAAGACTTATCCTTGTCCTCAAAAGGCTTGCTGCCTAATAGAGTACCCAGACAAACATATAAGTAACAATAACACCTGAGAAGTAAAAGGGCACACAAAGCCAAAAAGCAGAGAGTTGGTGTGGGGGCAAGTCATTCTCAGTGAGTTAAGGAAAAGTGGCTTCCTGAAAGAAGTCACGCCCAGGTCAAGCCTTAAAGGATGAATGAGATCTAGATGAGTGTAGAATAAGGTGAGGGCATGCCAGGGGAAGGTAATAGCAAAATAAAGGCATAGTGTTGGTGACAAACAGAATGTGCATATGGTGTTTTGCATAGTGTGGTTCAAACCCAGAGCATATCTAGGAAAAATGCAGGCACCTGGACAAAAGACTTGGCTTCAGTTTGAACCTCAGCTTTATCACTTAATAACTATGAGATTCTTAGACAAATCACTTTTTAAACTCATTTTCTACATCTGTAAAATGGGAATGCTAATCCTACCTAACTAATATTTATGAGGATTGATGAATTAATGCAGGTAAAATACTTAGAATAGAGCCTGACTCATAGCAGGTGATCAACAGATACTGTCTAATGTTCATCACCAAGAGATAAGAAGTAAAAGTAGATTGGGATCAATTTGTGTAGGACTCAGCATATTCAAATAAGAAGCATGGCCTTTATTCAGTAAGTGATGGAAGACCACAGAAAATTCATGGGCAGGCCAATGAAATGACCTCTGCTAAGAGGCATGGAAACTACTCAAGAGCTGTCTGGAAGATGACAAGGTGGGAGGGCTTCTGGGATGGATGAGCCTTGCTCATAGGTGAGGTTATGGGCACAGTAGCATTTCCAGCTACGCAGTACTTCCACATAGTAAAATGGAGAAGAAGGTAACATTTCCACCTCAGTATGAGAAAATGTAGCCATAGAGAATCCAAACAATTTACCTACTATAATGTAAATATTAGTGTCCCCTCCAAAATTAATGTTGAAACCTAATCTCCAAGGCAATGTTATTAAGAGGTGAGGCCTTTAGGAGGTGACTGGATATGAGAGCTTCATCTTCATCAATGAAATTAAGTACTGATAAAAAAGCTGCTGAGAACTAGCTAGATCCTTCTTCCCTTTTGCCATGTGAAGACACAGCAACAAGACACCATCTTGGAAGCAGAGAGTGGCTCTCACCAGACACAGAATCTTGATCTTGAACTTCCCAGCCTCTAGAACAGTGAGAAATAAATTTATGTTGTTTATAAATTACCTAGTCTTGGACATTTTGTTATAGCAGCACAAATGGACTAAGACATTGCCTAAATTCATATAGTTCAGTGAATCACTCTCAGTCATGAAACGCCTGCAAGTGCCAGTGTGTGGGGTAGGTGGGCAGGTTAGAGGGCATTCATTTTAGCTGTTGACACCCCAGTGTCAGTGAGAGGTCAGGGAGCAGGTTTGAATACTTGGGGGAGGAAAGAGCCTGAGGACTCTGGATCTCTATGGGATATGAAGTGGCCAATGGGCAGACTTGGAAAGAAAACCAAAGATGTCAGATTGGCTCAGAGTCCCCTGTGCTTTGCAGCCCTCATCTGATGTGATGTCTCTCCTGACTTCATATTGTCACCAGCACAATGGGTTTCTGCCCAGGGATCTCTGAGTTAGTGTACCTTTTGTTCTCCTCCATGACAGGAAACTGACAGACCATATGCTGGTGGATTTTAAAGGTCTGGCTTGGCTGGTGCCCACTGCCCAAGAAAAGGACAGGGGTCTGAGGAAGAATCTGACAATGATCATACCCTACAGACAGACCCTTCTGCTGCTCTCTCATCTTCCACCCGCAAAAGGAGCTCAGAGAGCAGAGGGGCATAGTAATGCTCCAAGGGTCTGATATTCAGAGACTCATCTACCATTACCTACCTGGCAAGGGGATGTGAGAAGTGAGTCCTGTATTGTCATAATGACTTCTGGGCCCCTTGAAATCTGTTGAAAAACATCACTCACCAGGTGAGATTTCTTTCTCATAAACATGTCCTCAGGAATATAACACTGAGGCAAAGTGGTTTATACAACACCTTCCTGACAAGGCCCTCCGGAGCTCTTCAGAATGAGCTCACAAATTCACGGGGATTCCTTCAGCTAGGGAGAAAGGAATGTGATAACCTTTTGGAAAATGTTTTATTTTGCCTTGACTTGTGTCAACTCATGTCATTTTCTTTAGCTGAAACTAAAAGCTGACTGTTAGAATTTTTGGCATATTTCAGTGTCCAGAATAAATTCTGAGACTTGTTTTCAAAAATCTTAAGATAATGCCTGCCCCTTCTGCACAGTCTGGGTTATATCTATTTCCCTCAAGCACAGCCTGTGGCTTCTCACTGTTGCTGAGGTTGGGTCTAAACATCTGAAGTCCCCTGACTAACTGGTCTCAGTCTTTCTCACATTATATCTCCTATCAATTTTCTTAGTATGCCTTAACATTCACATACACTTAACCTCATTTTCTCCAACCTACTAGGCTCTATCTACTTCTTTGCTTTTCTCACATGCTTTTCTGCCTGGAAAGTTCTTTGCCAACATTGGCTACTTATGAAAACCCTCCTCACCAAAGGCCACCTTCTCTTTGAAGCCTTCTCAGATTACTTTCCCTACTAAAATGATTACTTTAGTGATCCCAAAGACTATTGCTTGTACTTCTGTTATTTGATTCCTTTTATTCATTAATTCACCAGTTATTAATATCTATTTTCCCAAAAGCTACTGTATTTATGGCTCTGTGTTACACCTTGTAGAGACACAGAAATGAGTATTAAGAGAGAGAGTCAGGAAAAATACTGAAAGAGAAGAGTGTAGTAATACAATAGATACTTGTGCAAATATCATATTTTTTTCCTTCATAGACCATATATTTGCAGGAGGCAAAGTGGTATAAGGAAAAAGTGTTTGGTAATTGTCATCAAAAAAACCTGGGTACCATCACGTTAACTGGCTGTGGAATTGAACTTTCAGTTCTTCTTCTGTAAATGGGGATAATAATATCTCCTTCTTGGAGTATATCGTAAGATTGAATTGAGCAATAAATATAATGTGCTCAGCTCATGACACCAACTCAATAAATAAACCAACTCAATAAATAAATAGTTGAGTAATCAGAATTTAGTCCACAGAAAAAGAATCAGATATTTTCTGTGTACCTGAAATTGAGATGGTAAAAATCCACTCAAAATAAGAACAAACAAAGGCAAGAAAAGTATCATGTAGAAGGAGTTTCAAGGCATATTCTTGCTCATTAGTATTTACTACAATTTAAAATGTGTTTGCTCACCAGTATTTACAAGTCTACCATGTGTGTAAGCTGGGCACAAATAAAAAGCAAATAAGTAAAGTTGACATAGTCTGGATGGAAGAATTATTGACCCAGGGAAGCAAGTTCTGGGAAGAGAAGGATATTGAATTTCTAAACTGAAAAAAAGTAAGGTATTTATGAATTAGAAGAACACTATTAAAGAAAAGAGTAACCAAACCTTTAAGATTAAAATTATTTCTTCTCCTTGGTTCCTTTGTTCTTCAACATTTCAAGGATGGCACTTAAGGTAAAGAAGCCCAATACGAAGTGGCAACCACCTTCTTCACTCTGATAATTTGGAGAAGTGATGTCCTAGCTTATATCTGCTGTAGAATTTATTATATCAAAATATAAATTACTTTGTCCTCTTTTCTGTTGGACTGTGATATCCTTGGGGGCAAGAGAGAGGATAGCATTTATGGTTGTTCTCTTGGGCCTTGCTCTAAGCCAGAAAATATAAATAGCCATGGAGGAGGAGAGGAAAGGTGAGTAATATGGTTTGGATCTGTGTTGCTGCCCAAATCTCATGTCAAATGATAATCCCCAGTGCTGGAGGTGGGGTCTGGTGGGAGGTGATTAGATAATGGGGGCATATTTCCCCTTTGGTGCTGTTTTTGTAATTGTGTTTTCAGAAGATCTGATTGTTTAAAAGTGTGTGGCACCTCTGCCCTTTCTCTCTCTTCCTCTTGCTCTGACCATGTGAAGTGCTGGCTCCCCCATTTGCCTTCTGCCATGATTGGAAGCTTCCTGAAGCCTCCCCAGAAGCAGAAGCCACTACGCTTTCTGTACAGCCTTTGGGACACAGAGGCAATGAAACCTCCTTTCCTTATTAATTACCCAGTCTCAGGTATTTCTTTATAACAGTGTGAGGATGGATTAATACAGAAAATTGATACCAAGGAGTGGGGCATTTTTATAAATATACCTGAGGCCAGGCACAGTGGCTCACGCCTATAATCCTAGCATTTTGGGAGGCTGAGGTGGGCGGATCACCTGAACTCAAGAGTTTCAGACCAGCCTGGGCAACTTGGCAAAACCCCATCTCAACAACAACAACAAAAAAAAAATTAGCCAGGTGTGGTGGCATGTTCCTGTAGTCCCAGCTACTCCAGAGGCTGAGGTGGAAGAATCTTGAGCCTGGGAGGTGGGGGTTGCAGTGAGCTGAGATCATGCCACTGCACTCCAGCCTGCACGACAGAGAGAGACCTTGTCTCAAAAAAAAAAAAAAAAACTGAAAATATGGAAGCAACTTTGGAACTGGGTAATGTGCAGAGGTTAGAAGAGTTTTGAGGGCTCTCAAAGACAGGAAGATGTGGGAAAGTTTGACCTTCCTAGAGACATGTTGAATGGTTATGACAAAAATGCTGATAGTGTTATGGACAATGAAGTCCAGCCTGAGGAGGTCTCAGATGGAGAAGAAGAACTTATTGGGAATTAGATTAAAGGTCACTTTTGCTATGCTTTAGCACAAAGTCTGGCTGCATTGGGCCTGTGCTCTAGGGATCTGTGGAACTTTGAACTTGAGAGTGATTATTTAGGATATCTGGCAGAAGAAATTTCTAAGCAGCAAAACATTCAAGATGTGACCTGGCTGCTTCTAACAAACAATTGCTCATATATATGAGCAAAGAAATGACCTAAAACTTGAACTTATATTTAAAAGGGAAGTAGAGCATAAAAGTTTGGAAAATTTGCAGCCTGGCCATGTAGTAGAAAGAAAAGCCCGTTTTCAGGAGAGGAATTCAAGCAGGCTGCAGAAATTTACATAAGTAAGGAACCAAGTACTAATATCCAATACAATGGGGAAAAGGCCCCAAAGACATTTCAAAGACCTTTGCAGCAGCCCCTCCCATCACAGGCTCAGAAGCCTGGGAGGGAAGAAGGGTTTCATGGACTAAACCCAGGGCCCCACTGCCCCGTGCAGCCTCAGTGCACTGCTCCCTACATCTCAGCCACTCCAGCTCCAGCTGTGGCTCAAAGGGGCCCAGGTACAGCTTGGGCTGCTTCTTCAGAGGGTGCAGGCTGGAAGCCTTGGCAGCTTCTGTGTGGCAGTAAGCTTGCTCTGAGTGCAAGAGTTGAGGCTTGGGAGCCTCTACCTAGATTTCAGAGAATACGGAATAGCCTGGATGTCCAAGAGGAGGCCTGCTGCAGCGGTGGAGCCTTTATGGAGGACCTCTACCAGGGTAGTGCAGAGGGGAAATGTGAGGTTGAAGCCCCCACACAGAGTCCCCACTGGTGCACTGCCTAGTGGAGCGGTGAGAAGGGGATCACCATCCTGTAGACCCTGGAATGAGAGATCTACCAGTAGCTTGCATCCTGTACCTGGAAAAGTCACAGGCACTCAATTCCCCAATTAAAATGGCGACTTCAGTGATCTCAAATACTATTGCTTGCACTTTGGTTATTTCAAATAACCTGTTATTTGAGAGCAGCTGCAGGTACTGAACCCTGAAAAGCTGCACGGGTGGAGCTGCCCAAGGCCTTGGGAGCCCATCCCTTGCATCAGTGTGCCCCAGATGTGGGATATGGAGTCAAAGGAGATTACTTTGGAGCTTTAAGATTTAATAACTTCTCTGCTGAGTTTTGGACTTGTGTGGGGCCTGTAACCCCTTTCTTTTGACTAATTTCTCCCTTTTGGAATGGCAGTATTTACCCAATACCTGTATCCCCTTTTTATTTTGTGATTAACTAACTTGTTTTATGGGCTCATAGGCAGAAGGGACTTGCCTTGCCTTAGATGAGACTTTGGATTTTGGACTTTTGAGTTAATGCTGGAATGAATTAAGGTTTTGGGGACTGTTGGGAAGGCATAATTATATTTTGAAATGTGAGAAGGACATGAGATTCAGGAGGGGCCAAGGGCAGAATAATATGGTCTGGATCAGTGTTCCCACCCAAATCTCATGTCGAATTGTAACCCCCAATGCTGAAGGTGGGGTCTGGTGGGAGGTGACTGGATCATGGGGGTGAATTTCCCCCTTTGGTGCTGTTCTCATGATAGAGTTTTCATGAGATCTGATTGTCTAAAAGTGTGTGGCGCCTCTACCCTCTCTCTGTCTTTCTCCTGCTCTGGCCATGTGAAGTGTTGGCTCCCCCTTTGCCTTCTGCCATGATTGGAAGCTTCCTCAGGCCTCCCCAGAAACAGAAGCTAATTCGCATCCTGTACAGCCTTTGGAACTCTTAAGTAATGAAACTTCTTTCTTTATAAATTATCTAGTCTCAGATATTTCTTTATAGCAATGTGAGAATGGACTAATATAGGGAAGGAAAGTATAAAAGAATGAGGAAGTAAATAAAGGAAAAGTGGAGAGAAACAGTAGGATTCCCTCTCCATTCTTTATCAGAATCAGATGATAATTACAGCTTCACTTGAAGTTAATTTCATTAAATTGTGAAATTGAACAGTTTGCAGACACTCACATAACATTTATATCAGTAGTTCTCAAACATTAATAAGTGAAGAAGTCCCTTTTAGCCCAGGAATCTGTACTTTAAACAAACTCTCCAGATAACCCTGGAGCGAGTGGTCCTTGAACCACCCTTTGAGAAAGAAACACTGTATTCCCTTAGTGTCTCATTTTTTATTCATTCAGCCAATGAGTGTTTATCAAGGCCTATTATGTGTCTGGCACTGTGTTGGAATATGAAGAAACAGTGATGAATAGGTTGGGTAAAATCTCCACTTCTGTGAAGCTTGTACCTGAGTGGGGAATCCATGCAAAGGCATTCTGAAATAAATAGAACAGGCAAAAGTCTATTTTACTAATCAGGAAACTGTGATTCAAAGAGGGACTCTTCTGGCTCCAATTCAAAGCCTTTCTGAATAAACAAACAAAACAACTTACAAATATATAAGCATAAAATATACTTTAAGAACCTACTTTCTTTGTTCCCATTCCAACCATTTTCCTTTGAAAGAAAGGGAATGAATGGGCACAGGGCTTTTAATTGTTGCTCACAAAAAGTGCCATGACTGTGATTTTCATCATGGTGCTGCCCCTCAGGTCGATGGTTCAGAAATACAGGAGCATGAGTAATCTTCCTTCATTTGGTTACTTCGTGATTACAGGCATTCTGGCTCTGATGCCCTGGTCTCCCACTTGCTAGCTATGTGATCTTGAACAAGTTACATAACCTCCCTGATATTATGAACCCAAAAATATCCGAGGCCGGTCTCAATTAACTTAGAAAGTTGTTTTGCTAAGGTTAAGGACATGCCCTTGACACTGCCTCAGGAGGTCCTGATGACCTGTGTCCAAGGTGGTTTGGTCACAGCTTGGTTTTATACAGTTTAGGAGACATGAGGCATCAGTCAATACGTGTAAGACATACATTGGTTTGGCCCAGAAAGTCAAGACAACTTGAAGTGGGGGCTTCTAGTAGGTAGATAAGAGACAAAAAGTTGCATTCTTTTGGGTCTTTTACAGCCTTTCATTGAAGACACAACTCACATGTGAGTGGGGGTAGAGGAACTTATGCCTTAGTCTGACTCAGTGAATCTGCATTTTTACATAAGCAGTAGGGCAGAAGAAGCAATTGGATATGCATTTGTCTCAGGTGAGCAGAGGAATGACCTTGATTCTGTGTGTCCTTTGTACTCCATCTGTGAAGATAAGCTATCAATTTACATAGCCAAGGTGAAATTCAACAGAATTGGTTTAAGGTGAAGGTCTTGAGGCCCACAAGAAATCGCCTGTTGGCAAATTGTGAGGGAGATATGTAGCTTTTAAAGCAATCTTTGTAACTATCTTATCTTGGAACTAAAATAGGAGGCAGGTTTGCCTGATGCAGTTCCCAGCTTGACTTTTCCTTTTGGCTTCATGATTTTGGGGTCCTGAGATTTATTTCCCTTTCACAATATGGTCTTCTCTTCTGTAAAATGGTAATAAAATTAGTACCTGCCTAATAAGATTAAAATCAGTTAATTCATGTAAAATGTTAAACGCAGATTCTGGTATAATAAGTGTCCCATAAGTCTTAGCATCTGTTGTAATTGTTTATATTGTTAGTCTAAAAGTCCTTTAAATGAGTTTCCTATGGAAGTCCCGCAGTGTCTGTGAGGACTCTCCCTGGAGACTATTCCTTAGAGATGCATTATTTTCTTCCACTTAATATGTCTGCACTGGCACCTGCTTCGCACCCAGTGAGGTGCTAGGTGCTGTGAAAGGTATTGCCGTCAGGAACCTCACAATCTGCTGGTAGAGGTAGATGCCTACACAACAGACCATTCTATACAGCAGAATAATGGCAGTGCTAGGAAAAGGTAATGCAGGGCTGTGAAGGGATAGAAAGGCTGGGGTGGTAGAGAGGGCTCCATAGTAGAGGTGCCACTTGAACTGGAGAACGAAGGAAGAAAAACAGGCAAAGGACATTCCACGCCAGGGATTTAGGCCTTGCTTTACAGAGAAAATGAGAGGTTTTTAAAAATGGCCCCAGAACATTAAAAGTGTACTTTCAGACAATAATGCTGGTCACATTAAGGAATGGTTGGAATGGATTTTAGTTTTCTGTGCTAGTCCATCTCTTATTGATCCTAAGTGTCACAAAGTCTGGGAGAGGTGAAAGAACACAGCATCTTTGAGAAATAACTAACAGTTTATTGCACTATCAAAGGTTGAGCTGTGTGGAAAAAGGGGGTAGGAGACAAGGCTGGAGGGCTAGTCTGGGATCCATAGAAAAGCAGGCTCAGGAATCAACTTTCTTCTGAGGGCAGAGAAGCTATTGGTAGAAGGAGGGGTGGATGTCCCCTGACTCCTCTCTGATGGTATGCTCCACATACACTTAGACATTTGCACAAATACATTAAGTAGTCTTAGATTTTTAGAAAATCTATTTCAGAGCCATGAAGTTAAGGCTAGAACACAGAAGGTTTCAGATTCCATGCTGAAAAGTTTGCACTTTATTCTGCAGAATGAAATAAAAGTTTCATAAGAAGAGTCACGTGTACCATGGTGGATGCTGCCGGTGCCTCACTCAGGCCCCTTTAGTATTTGTGTACCCATTCCCAGGTGCTGTGAGTGTTGATGTGTCAGGCCTGCATCACTTCTCTGAAAAATGGGAGCCTTTCCAGGACAGGCCTCAGCCAACGACCATTGTGCAAAGGGCTACTTCCCTTGCCTCAGGGTGGGACTGACTATGGGTGATTTGTGCTCCTGTGGGATTGGCTCTGACTGAGCTTTTCCCCTCTGACTTATTCTACTTCTTTTACTTTCCTTCTCCCAGGTGCACTCCCCCTAGTAAATCCCCAGAATGAGAATCCCATCTGAGATTTGGCTTCTAGGGATCTTGACCTAAGTAAGCCATGTGCTAACCTGTTTTAGTAGATACTAACTCTAGAAGCCACCTACAGGGAAAATTGAAGACAGAGATTGAAAGCCTCATTTTCTTCAAACTATAGTAGGAGTTTTTAATGATGATTTATCCATCCATATTCCCTATGCTGAATCATTATTTAGCTTTTGATGTCCATTTTCATCTCTCCTGACAGTCTTGGTATTTGTTTTACCATAGGCAGTACCTTTCATGATGCCTGTAAAAAGCAGTGAAACAGAAATTCCCCTGGTTTTCTTTGGGCATACTTCTGAGAATTTTAACATTTCTCTAAGATATAAATAAGCAAAAACCTCCCATTTGCCTGTAGGTGGGTGTCTGAAAGACATAAACTTCAGTAAGCCAGCTTGTTCTTGTTGACAACCTGAATCTAATTATGCACACGCAAGCACACCCACAAACATCCAACCTTCGTCAGCCTAACATTCTGGTGCAGCGTTGATAAATATTTGTGTTTAATGGCACTTAAGGGGAGCATTTTGATTTCTAAACATTGGCTGGTGAGTAATGATTTTGCCAAGAGCACAGCAAGAATTTTGCAATCTTGACTATTCCTAGGCTTTTGATGACATACAATTACTCCACACTGCATAATGGAGTTGAGAGAAATTCTTTAAAGAACTTGTCACGAGGGAATACTTTCATCAAGAATAAGGGTGGGAACACCAAATGAATTTCAAGGCAGTGCATTTTCACATTTTAACCACCATTCTTTTCACCTTTTGACATATGACTCTTCTGAAGGGCTCTGTTTCTGCAATGGGGCAAAAGGAGCAATGATGGGCTCAGTCCTTGTTCCTATCTGCCAGGTTTTAGAAAAGCACCCACTTTTCAGTTGAACAGACCTAGGGATGAATCCCTAATTGTTGTGTGAGCTTGGAGGTGTCTTCAGTTTTGAGCAAGGGGGCAGAATTGTGAACTGGGAAAGGGTAAGATCCTATAGAGGCAGGTATACAGGGCTCCATTGACTGTGTCACTTTGGGTGAAATAGTTTTCACCTTAGGGCCTCCATTTGTATTAATCTAACATGAGAATTGTAACACCTTGCTGTAGTCAGGGTTGTAGTGAGGAGTAACTGAGATGACATGTGTAAACTAGTATAACACGGTTCACAGAGAGAACATTGGACAAGTGTGGGCTCTTCTCTAGGTGCCAGGTTGAGAGTCAAGCTCTCCAACTCCACATCACTTCGAGTCACAGGGGCACAAGGGAAGCCTGCAATGTCATCGAAAGGCCCTGGCCAGGGAGACTGGGAGGCTGCTTCTGGTCTCTCTCACTTCCATTTATGTGTTGTGGATTTGACAGACATTGTGCCTTCTATGTGTCTTCCTTTGTATTTAGCCTTCAATCGTTTGTATTTATTCTTCAATACCTTTGCCTTCTGAACCATTTACTTGTCCTTGAGTACTGGCTATGTTACTGAAGTTTTATTTTTAGAAGCATATGTTTTATTTTAGAAGTATATGTCTTAACTCTCCAACCAGGACATCAACTGCTTGAGGTTAGAGACTAATCATATTCATCTCTGCATCTACCCCATCTACCCCACCCCCATCCAGTTCATAAAATGCACCCAGCACACATTGACTGTTAAGTAAATATTGATCGATAGATGGTTTTTGGCCAGTTTGTGAATTAGGCCCTTGATTTAGAATATAAGGTATTTGTTGATATTATTTATCTTCATTTAACAGTTATTTCTTGTGTACTGGTTTAGGCACTGGGAAAATAGTGGTGAATATGATAGAAAAGTTCCCTGTCCTCAATGAGCATTTTAGTGAGGAAGAGACAATTATCAAGTGTGGAAGAGAACAGGTAGCGATAAGTGTTATGATGGGAATAACTCAAGGTGCTTTGCAGCAGTGGTAAGAGAAGTTAATAGGGTGGCCAGAGACAGCCTCTATGAGGAAGTCAAACATAAGCTGAGCTGCAGATGACCAGTGGGAACCAGCCATGCAGAGATACACAGAAAGAATGTTTCAGAATGATGGAACAGCTCGGGCTAAAATCCTCAGACAAATGCTCATGCAAATGTCCTAGTTCATCAAGTTAGGGGACCAGAAAGAATGCAGATGGGAGGGAAAGCACAGTGGGGACTGTGGTTGAGGATCAGGTTTCTAAGTACTTAAGCACATGAAATGATCCACTCTCAACACACGGCACTGTCATTCTGACTTAGTGGCTCGGTGCTTTTGCTTTTCAACATTCAGCAGGCAGCACTATTTTGACATTCTCTTGTTCTACATTGAGAAGAAATAGCCCCAAATTTCTTATGATTTCTTCCCTTTAGTAAAGTAATTTACGAGCCATACTCACTGCTAAATTTGCTTTTCTTCCCTGCACTTACCTACTTCAGAATTTCCAAAATTTTCAGAAAGAATGATGAAAAGGATGCTAAGTTGTCACTGATCTACTTATTTACAGTTTTTTTGGGTTTTTTGTTGTTGTTGTTGTTTGTTTGTTTGTTTGAGACAGAGTTTCGCTCTTTCACCCAGGCTGGAGTGAGGTGGCATGATCTCGGCTCACTGCAACCTCTGTCCCCCAGGTTCAAGCGATTCTCCTGCCTCAGCCTCCCGAGTAGTTGGGATTATAGGCACCTGCCACCACACCTGGCTAATTTTTGTATTTTTAGTAGAGACAGGGTTTCACCACTTTGGCCAGGTCTCGAACTCCTGACCTCAGGTGATTCACCTGCCTTGGCCTCCCAAAGTCCTAGGATTACAGGTGTGAGCCACCTTGCCTGGCTTATTTACACATTCATTTGTTCTTTATCTACTTTCCCAAAAGATTTGTGGCTGCCTATGTTAAAAAGCACAGATTATCTATATCGATACCTATATATAAATATATCTATATCTACATTTAAATCAAACAATTTAAACAAAATATTATGACAAACCAAGTCATACCACAGCCTATGCTGATGGGATGGTGAGGAGCTGCACGCTGTGCCAGAGAAGGTAATGGAGGGGCACAGCCAAGCTGCCAGGCAGCCGGTACAACAACTTCCCACAGCCCACAATGTACTCACAGTTTTGAGTTTCATTCCAGTTATGGAATGAGACTGTGAGGCCTCAGGCAGCTCACCTCCCTTCTGGGCCTCAATTTCATCTGAGAAATGAGGGAGTTACTAGGTAAGAAGACTAAATCTGTGGGCTTGTCTAGCTTTAACATTTTGTGTTAAATTTTGTGTTTAACACTCTAGTTGTGGCTTGAGCCACAGACTGGCCAGAGTGGAATTGCCAGGTAGGAAAGGGTACTTGGAAGGGGTCAGTCCTGCTGCAGGAGAAGACAAGGTGTTCCAAAAAGGCCTGCTCACTCTTTAAATGGCATAGTGTAGTGGTTAAAAGCCTACATTCTGACAGGTGGACTCCCTCAGTTTGCATCCTTTGTTCAGTTACCAAGTTTTTCTTTGCATCTTTATGTCATAGGGCTTGTCTTAGTCTTTTCAGGCTGCTATAGCAAAATACCACACTACTGAGTGGCTTATATACAACAGAAACTTATTTCTCCGAGTTCTGGAGGCTGGAAAGTTCAAGAACAAGGCACTGGCTGGTTTGGTGTCTGGCAAGGCCTGCTTCCTGGTTCACAGATGGCCATCTGAGATTGGAGTAAACACAAAATGTTTCTTCTCTGCTCTTACGCCACAACAATCAACACAGAAGACTTATGTGACTAAATGTTTAGGGATTTTCTCTCTACCATCAAGCAAGCATTCAATTCTGTAGTGGATGCCAGCTGGGTGTCTTATTCAATTCAATTCAATTCAGTTCTTACACTATCTACCTGCAGGGCTATCTACTGAGCCCTTTCAAGTTGAAGGCTCAGTCCCCAAGACTGTCCCCTACTTTTTTTTTTTTTTTTTTTTTTTTTTTTGAGGTGGAGTCTCGCTCTGTCACCCAGGCTGGAGTGCAATGGTGCAATCTCTGCTCACTGCAACCTCCACCTCCTGGGCTCAAGCAATTCTCCTGCCTCAGCCTCCTGAGTAGCTGGGATTACAGGCAGCCATCACCATGCCTGGCTAATTTTTGTATTTTTAGTAGAGATGGGGTTTCACCCTGTTGGCCAGGGTGGTTTCAGACTCCTGATCGCGAGTGATCCACCTGCCTTGGCCTCTCAAAGTGCTGGGATTACAGGTGAGAGCCACTGCGCCTCAGGCTGCTTTACCTGTGCTTCTGACCAACCAGATATAAATCAGGGATCTCATTACCCACCTCCTTGGGTTCTATAAATTTGTTAGAGCAGTTCACAGAACTCAGGGAAACACTTACTTATGCTTAATGGTTTATTATAAAGAATATTACAAAGGATACAAATAAAGAGATGCATAAGGTGAGGTATGGGAATGGGCATAGAGCTCCCATGACATTCCTGGGTGCACCACCCTCCAGGGACCTCTACGTGTTCAGCTATCTGGAGGCTCTCTGAATTCTGTCCTTTTGGGCCTTTTATGGAGACTTCATTGGATAGGCTTGATTGACAGCCATGTGGAAATGTGATTGGACAAGAAGAGTATAATCTAATACTAATAACTGAGCAGGGATCCCCAGCAAGTCCTGCCTGTTCAAATTCTTTTTGGCCTCTCTGTGCAGTGTTCCTTCCCCAGGGTACGAGGCTGAACCTCTTTGGAAGCAGAGGTCTTATGATCTACAATCAGACAAGGTGGGTCAGAAAATTTCTTTATGACCAGAGGTGGGGGAAGATTAGAGTGTATTTTTAGTTTCTAAATCCTGCCTTGAGGAGAAAAAGAAGCAGGTGAAAAAACGGCAGGAGAAAGGTCAGTGAGAGAGAGCTTCTGCTTTCTGACACCTAAAGTGCCCCAGCATTATAACAAAAGACTGTAATAAGGGCTATGGGAGTGATAAACTGGGAACTGTGGATGAAAACACACACACACACACACACACACACACACACACATATACAATCTCATAATATCACACCATATTTTTACTATGTTCTCACATGGCTGAAGGGGGCAAATGAGCTCTCTGGGGTCCTTTTTACAAGAGCACTAATCTCATTTATGAGGGCCTCTAACCTGACCTAATCACCTCTCCAAGGCCCTGCCTCCAAATGCCATCACCTTGGGGGTTGGGTTTCAACATATGAATTTTGCAGTGACACAAATATTCAGTGTTTAGCAGGTCTATGGACACAATGAATGGTGTTAATACTTCTAAAATGGGATTAATGGTAGGGCGGCTGACGACATTAATGACAATTATTCATGGAGAACACTAAATGTTCAGAAAATAGGAATTCCTGCTGCTGTCTTTGCTACTGTTCAGCACCCAGAACTTTTCAAATTAGAGGATATCACTGCTTCCATGCACGCTCATGCCCAGAGAGTGACTCTGGCGAAGGCTTTGAGCAATAATGTAAGATAAGATAAGAGCCTGGACCCCCACCTCTCAGATGTGATACAGAAGTGAACAGGGTACTCAACAAGAATTGCTCTCATTTACTGAGCATTTTCGGTGTGCCATGAGCTGTGATGGATACCACATGGCGTCTTTTCATACAATTTTGTCAACAATGCTGTGAGGTGAGTGGAGATGTTGAGGATCGGTGCAATCTATCCCTGCTGGAACTCAGGTCTGTCTGACTCAGAAGTCCATGCTCTTAAAGCAAGCCAAATACTTGTGGAATGTAAAATGCTAACCTCTGAGCACAGCCAGTCTGGGGACTGCCAGAGTGCTCTCTGATGCAGGAAAATACATCTGAGGACAGGGAAGCCGAGTGAGGTGCCCAGAAAAGACAATTTGGAAGGTGCAGGGTGAAAATAGAATCAGTCTCTCTTTCTCTCTACACACATATACACACACATACCATATTTGTGGCATAAAGCTTTCCACTTAGAGTCAGAAAACTTGGATTCGAGTATTTGTTGCTCTTTCACTTACAGGGATGTGAACTTTGGTAAGTCATTTCCCTAGTTTTGCCACCTATAAAATGGAAAGTCAGGTATTTCTCAATTTCTTCATAGAGTAGCACAAAGCTTAAATCCTATAGATAATGGATGTGAATGTTCTTTGTAAGCAGTATAGCAGTATTAATGGTATTTGATTTTTAAAATCACTTATACTCAATATTACCAAGATTTTGGATTGCCTCCTTCCCGGAAGACTTCCCTCCCTTTTCAAAAAATCATGATCATCCTTTTAGCAATGATTCTGTCCCAGAGGACAACCATGTGGATCAGGGAAAGAACAAATTGCCTTAATTTAGTTCCAAAGATATTTGAAGAGATCAATTTCCAGAGTGTTGTCAAGGGGCGAATGTGTGGACACTGAATTTTAGTGAAGAGTAATGGCTCACCTCTGTCAATAGAGGCAACAAGGAGCATGGTGAGGGTGGGAAAGCTGCCAGCCCGTGTAATCTGCAGCTGAGAGAGGAGGCTTCCATTCGAAAGCAAAAAGAGTTAGGTGGAAAAGCTTAGTTCCTGTCTTTTTCTTTTTGGAGAAATGTAATTACTGTGTTGATGTGTTGACCATTCAGGTTTGCTTGTTTTGTAATTATTTCTTCCTTCCTTTTTCTTTGTTTATCCTACCTTAATGGGATAATTAGACCTGCAGGTGCTCATCAAATACAGTGGGTGCCTGGGAACGCACTCCCTGGAGGGTGGGTAAGGCAGGTGCCAAGAGAGGGCCAATGCAGGGGTGCAGGCACAGGGCTGAGCATTATAGCTCTCAGCACTCGTCTGACTTGGACACTCCTTCCTGAGTGGGAGGGTGCACTTGTTAAAGTGTCTGTTTCCGAGATGTGTCTCTGGAGAGCACAGAGTGAGCCAGTGTGAGGTCATCTGGGTCTGCCCCTCTCATCCATGTGGTCTGACCACTTAGCCTTCTGAGTTTCAGTTGCTTCATCTGCAAAATAGTAATAATGATGCCTCCTGCTCCTCAAGGCTGTGGGGAGAATCGCATTCACAATGTATTCTTTTATTCCCTCAAAAGGTCTTAACTGAGCAACTACTGTGTTCCAGGCACTGGGAATATAGCCATGAAAATACAAAGATCTCATTCCCTAGGGAGCTCACATTCTACAAGTAAAATGTATAGCAAGTCAGACAGTGAGGAGTGCTGTGGAGAAGCATATCATGGGAAGCGGACAGGGAGTTTCAGGGGAGGTGGGCACAGTTGCAATTTTCCTTTAGGCCAATAGGAAAGATAACATTTGAACACAGTTCTGAAGTAGGTGAGGGAGCAAGCCAGGTAGATATCTGAGGGAGGAATGTTCAGGATAGGGGAAACAGTAAATGCAAAGTGATGTGATATGTGTGAAAATACCTTATAAATGGTAAAGAATTGTCTAAGAATAGCTGTTGTTATTATAACTCTTAAATACAGATAGCCTGATAACAGAGATTTTTCATCAATATGTATTACTGCCTTGTAGTGCTACAGAAGTCTTTCTACAAGTTCCTATCAAGTCTTAGCAACTGAGCAGTTCACGGAACTCCTCGGAGAAAGGCACAAGACGGTCTCTCTAGCATTTTCACCTTCTTCACAGTATTATTCCTGTAGTAACCGTTTCTTAGGCCATGTTTAAAAGAACTACAGGCAATTAACAAGTCAACTAAACTTAAAAAAAAATGGTCAGACCAGTTTTGCATTCTGTGAACCACAAAGAAAAAAGTAGTTGCTGAATGTTTTTTGGTTTCTGCTTTACTTTTCATTTGGTTGTGCTAGAATGGTGAAGTCTGCCTCCCTAGTATAAAATGTACATTTCTACTGACATTTAAAAAATGGCTCTGAGGGTTTCAGACAGAAGTCTCTCTAGATGTGCAAGAAGTTTCAATTATTCTGTTTGGGAACATTGTCATTTTTTTTTTTTTTTTGAGATGCTTTTTGGTGTCGGGAGGCCTCAGCTAAGACACGTGGGAGAGTTAATGAACAGAATTGATAATGACAGATAGGAAAATTGATTGTCAGACAAGAAATGGTAGGAACATAAGCAGGGAGATCTGTCTAGGGAGATGGAGGATGGGGCTGTCAGTGATGGGAAATAGAGATGGGTTGTGGTAGGGGAAATACTATAGCTACTGACAGAAGACAGTGCCAACCTGAGACTGGGCAATGGAGCTCAAAGGCATATGACCATTTAGGACTTAAGAAGAGAGGCTAATTTCTCATTGCATTGTTTCTGGGCTACTTCTTACCTCCCAAACTCAAATGGATTCAAGGCTGGTAAAGAATGTCAATATGATATTGCTAAGCCTGGCTTTCTCTGTTTAGCCCCTGGATAAGCTTGTTATTCCAAGCTCCTTGTCTTCCAGCCTTCCCATGGCTAGCAGCAAAGACAATTAGTCTTGTGATCTTGCGTTGCTGAGCTTAAAAGAACCTCTTGTCCAACAGTCACGTTGCAATGGAGGATGCCCAATGCCTTGAAACAGAAAGTGACTTTGATCAGGTTCCTATAGGCATTTGATGGAAAATTCAGGACTGGAGCCAAGGTCCAGTCTCCAAGTTAGGAACTTTTAAAAATCATTTCATGTTGTTTGAGAAGAATACTCCATGTTAATATGTGTGATTTGTTGAGTGGCCAATTTGTCAGTGTTTACTCAGTAAACCTACAGAGAGATCCTGTTCTGGCCAGTGTTCAAATGATAACTACACCTACACCTAGACAGTTGGATTCTGAAATATTTGGAAATATGAGCCAAGGAAAGTTGAATGGATAGGGCAAAAAATGCATAGGATAAAGTATGACTTGGAGGACTTGGGTTCACATCCTGACTGATGAGATACTGGCTGGGGGCTTTGGGTCAGGCATAGAACCATGGATGCATATGGTCAGGAAGGAGCTTAATGAATATCTAAGTCAACTCTTCATCATTTCACAGTCGCCTGTGCCATATCTCTGAGCGGTCCTCTGGTCCTGTGATGGTACAGGGGCTCATTTCCAATGACGGCAACTCCAATTGTTGGAAAGGTCATTTTCTTGCCAACCTAAACTCATAAATTCATCTTTAATAAATTTCTCCAATATTACTTCTCTGGACCTCAGTTTTCTTGTTAGAAAATTGCAAATTATATTACCAGTATGTTCTACCTCTCTGATGGGGTACAAGTAAGATTATACAATAAAATACAATAAAAAAGAAGCAGTAGTGATATAGCAAAAAGTGCACTGGAAGTCCCCGCTACCTACTGTGAGACTGAAAAGTCTCTTTGAGCTTCAACTTTATGCTCCATAAAATGGAAATGGGAATACTTGCCCTTTTTCGCTGGCAGGATTTTTGTAAGGATCCAATAGAGAAGATAAGAAAAAGAGGCAATACAATGTAGCCAAAGGAATATTACACTGGAGAAAGAAAAATCTGCCATCAGCTTCCTACATTTAATCACTTTACATTTATGCAGAAATCCTTCAACATTTCTGAGCATTAATTTCCCAACATGCAAGGTAGAGGCATAGTACTTACTTCTTCTTCCTTTTGCAAGGTTGTTAAAATCAAATTATCTATGATTTGCACACCGCCACTCTGGGTGCGTGTGTTAGGTTATGGTTATTCCTCTGTGAGTGTCAGAGAGCCCATGCCTTCCCTCCACATTCCTTACTATGCCATGCTCCTCCAGGGAGTCAGCCCTTATATCAGAGGCCACTGTGACAGTGGCTTCATGTTATCAAGAGTGGGCGATCTTTGCTGGTGTCTGAAAGCCAAGGTAAGCATCTCAGGCAAGCCTTGGGGGTGCTTAGGGCTGAATATTCACTTGTCTTCAGCAGAACAAAAGGCAGCCCTCCATCCTGGCCACATTCATGATGGATTAAAAAGTGTACTCATGTCACTTCTCCTGTGGGCCTCAGATGCCATCTAACTTAGTCATAGTGAAGGTGTTTCATCTAGCACTCGGCCAAAATTCAGACTCAAGCTCTCCAACACTCAATGGATTAAAAAATGTCAGAGCTGAAAGCAACCTTTGATCATCTAGTCTACCTCTGATTGTGTAGATAGGGAATCTAAAGCCCAAGGAAATTCTTACCCCAGAATAAGTCACAGTTAATATCACAAAGAGGCCTAGGACTCAAGGCTCCTCACTCCAGGTGCAGGGCTCTTTGATTCACACCATGCAGTTGCAATTCAACAAATAGTGAGGGCCTACTGTGTTTTAGACACTGGGTCAGACTCTATTAAGTTCCCAAAATGAAAAGGCCTATTCCTGCTTGAAAAAGCTAGAGAGTAATTCAGGTGATTTGCATGCAAATAAACAACTCGAGTCCAACTCTAGTCTAGAAAGGCTTTATCCTATACCTCTTTATATCACTATCTTTCCAAAAGTTAGTGTTGAGCAAAACGGGCCAAATTTCTAACTCTTAAAGCTTGTTTCAATATCTCTAAAATGGGGACATTATGTATTCATTCATTCATTGACTGTCAAATATTTATTAATACCTACATACCACATTATTCATAACTAGGGCTGTACATCATCATTAGAACTTCAACAAAACACGCAAACTCAGGTTCCACCTCCAACAGACATACTGATTTAATAACTCCAGAGTTAGATCTAGAGGATTTGCATCATGAACAAACTAACTCAGGTAACCATGACAAGCAGCCAAGTTGAGAATTCATGGTTTACCATATATGAGATACCGTACCAGACACTAGGATTGTGGAGGTATACAAAGCCTACACTTGCTCTCGAAGAACTCACAGTCTAGTTGGAGGTGGGGAGTCTGGAAAGATGGGTTAACTGGCTATGATATTGCAGTCTGATAAGTGTTATGCCAGAAGCAAACACTAGTGCTGCAGAATATAGCCCTAGGGCACCTAAGTCATCTTAGAGAATTGGGTAAGGCTTTCTGGAGTTGGTTGAGCTGAATCTTTAAGGATATATATGAGTTAGCTATTAATACTTGGATGACCTGGGTGATGTGGGTAGTTCAGGGACAGAGAAAAATAGGAAGACAAAATGTCATTTAATGTGTTCAGAGAATTGCAAGAATGAATGGGAAAGGAGTGGCGAGAGACAAGGCTGAGGAGGAGGGTAGGGGTGAACCCTAGCAGGCCTTTATCCTCTGGGCAATGAGGAGAAGCCAAGGATTTACTTTAAGCAGAGGAATGACATGATTCAGTTTGAACTTCAGCAGATTACTTTGGCAGCTGTGTGGGGAACAAATGGGGAATACATTGGGAAAGACAGAGGGAGAGAGTAGGTTGAGGTAGTGATAGTTCTGCTTGTTGTCTACACCAGACTGTTGGGAGATGCTGTGAGATGATGGGAAATCACTCGATAAATAGTATCCCTCTGCAGAAAAGACACATGTGCCATTACTTTCATTACACTTCACGACTTTGAGCGGAGTCAGGGAGTCACAGTTAAAAAGGAAAGGGACTGAAAAGGTGGTTGGTGGAAGAGTTAGAGGGGAGGAAGGGAGGGAGGCAGGAAGAGGACAGAGGAGTACTTGGTGTCAAATGGTGTTTAAAATATTCTTCTTGCATCACACTAGCTCTTAATTGGTACCAACCACTGAGGGGCTGATTGATCCCAGCAAGAGTCCAGCAAAACAGATAATTTCTTACAAGCATCTGAAATTCATGAACTCTGTGGGGTCCCACACACCAACGCTTTGTTGTTGCTAAAGTCTGAGACTTCCTTGAAGGGATAAGTATCCAGGGGTGGCAGGGTTTTTTATTTTTTCTTTTCAAAATGCAGAATATGTTTATGTAGTTAATGCCTGTGGTCTTGCTGAGCAGATGAAAAGACAATACAGCAAAGAGCTGGGCTACCAAGCTACTTATTAACGTAATGGACTCATTAAAGAGCTGTTATGGCTAGAAGGATGTGTGCCGTAAATCTAATTTTGCATTAAGGCCTTGATATATAAAAGACTTGCTTACCACACACTCAGGGTTTGGGTCAAAGGAAGTTACCCTCTAATGTTGCCTGTCATTTACAACTAGAACATGGGTTCTCTTCAGATTTCTTGGGCATTTATTTGCACAGTGGGAAGGCAGACTACACTTATTGAGAACCTAACTATGTGCCAGGTAGTTTGTCTTTGATTATTTTCCCTTAGAAGCCCTATCAGGATAAATACTTCTCTTTCTCAGATTTGAAAACGAACCAAAAAAGACTACATCATCTGTCCGAGGTCCCACTAGTAAATGCTTTGGAGAGTTATCTGGGCACCAAGACTACAGAGCTTTTGAGTTAAGGCATGGTTTTGGCTGCTCATTGAATTACTTTTACTGACATTGGCATAGTACAGACAAAGCATTTTATTTATTGGAAGTGTGTAGATATCGATCACAACAGTATGCTCTTTATGACGACTTTCAGGTCTCAATACTGGGATATACTTGCTGTTTCTGGAAGCCAGTTTGTGTTTGTCTCCTAGAGAAAACTTGATATATCAGAAAGTTGTGGAACTAATGCGCAAGGCCTTGGCACCCTGTTAGATTAAATAGGACATTAGGAAATTCTTTGCGGATGCTAACCCTACCCTGGGTTTCCCCTTATTTTGTTATTGAATGTTTTTCTAATCTATTTACTGTAACAACAACAATGATGACATACACAACAACAAAAACCTTCTCCTTATTCTTACGGTGTTGAACAGGCTGCCTCATTTTTCTCTTGGTGTGTTTAATCTTCAACTCACACATGCACACACACACACACATGCCTCTTTCTGTGCTGCTTTTTTTACACTATGCCCTGGGACAGATTGTGTGTATGTGCATTTGTGGTACAAGTGTCCTTATTAATTCCAGGTAGATCCATGGTGAAGGCTAACACATCCTGTTGAAGTTAGTTAGTGACTTTATGACAAATATCCGCCTGCTGTTAAAAATGTGATATCATGCAACACAATCTTTAGATGTTTGTTCTCGGTGACGTGAAAGCGAGTACTGATTTTTTTCTCCTTTGTAAACCATTTGGTTGTCATGTAGACTCAAGCCTTTTAAAGAGAATAACAGAAACACCCTGTTAATTTGTCATGGAAACGGATGAATCTGGACCTCACAGTCCATTAGGGAGACAGACATGTATGCAGATAAATTATGATCAACGTGATGCAATAAGGATACGATTCTAGTTATAGAGGACTACCTTATAGTTTACATCACTTTCTCGTATCTATTAGTTTATTTGATCCTCACAATGTGGTGGCCATGCCAAGAATGAAAATCCTGTTTCACAGATGGGGAAATGGAGGAACAGAGAATTACATGTCCTGTTTGGCCTGAGTCATAGTTGAGAATTAAACCAGTGCACTTTCTCTCTTACATAGTGCTCATTGCTTGCCGAGTCAGAAAGAGATTCTTTTATGCTTGACTCTAGGAAAGCAAGCAAGACACTAAAAACTTGATAAAAGAACAAACAACAGAACAAGTTGGTTTAATAACAGATTTATTTCCCGTGTCAAGTGTTCTGCCATTTTCACAATACTCATCAATTTCCCAGAGCATCTGAGCAGAAAGATCATCCATTCTGGCTTCTGTGAAATAGATTTGCATCTTGATTCTTTCTAGACCTTTCTCACAAAGAGTAGGCCCCATTTATGGTGGTTCCTCATTACTCGGATGGATGATGTGTTCAGCTGTAAGGACACTGTTATTATAAATAGCAAAATGGCAATTAATACTCTCCTCAACTCTTACGAGTTAGAAGCCTCCCAGGAACATCCATTTCAGGAACTTTCATTTCAAAGGAAATGCCGTCAATAGGAAATAGTTATTTAATTTCCAAGCAGGCTGAGAGCTTTTCTATTTAAAAGCTTCTACACAAATATAAGTGGATTATTATATTAATCATTTTTAATAAGGCAGTTGAGGCAAGAAACTGCCACAGAATAAAAACAAACCAGAAAACCCACCCCACATCAAGAAAAGCACGTTTTAGGCAAATCTTAACAAATGAGACCTTGAGTTTTGCTGCCCCCTGCCTGTGGCAGATGTATTTGCTAGGAAGCCCTGTGCCCTTATTTGGCCACCCCCATGTCTTGTAGTGCAGTAGAGAGAAGAACCATGAGCCTGGTATGGCAGAAATTTTGTGAAGTTTGGAGCCAGACTCTGAGACAGACTCTGATTATCAGAGAGTAATCCTTTGTGAAGATAATGTTACTAACATCATTGGACCAGAGAAAAAGATGCCTCTTTCTAGACAATCCATTTTCTCTCCATCAGAGTAGTTGCTGTGAGAAAAAAGGTTGTAAAGCTTTTGAAAGCAGCTAGCTACCTTGGAAGGTTTTATTCACTAAGCAAAAGGCAAACTCCATTTTGAAGTTGTCAGCATGGGCCAATAATGATATTTAGATAAACTCTACTACTGGTGAATTAAAAATTGGTGTAATAGATTTATTGATTTCCAGAGAGTTTCAACTGAGGCAGCTTCAATTTTTATCATTGGATTTCTTCACAAACTCTGTGCTGTCATCCCAGGTAAAGTGATCCCAGCTTAATCGACAATTGTCTTCTTATAGACATTTTATGTAGGAGATGCTGCTTATCACTCACAGCCACACTGCAAGGAGGACATAAATCTCTAGTAATGCATGTGGACCTTTTCACATACTTGAAGGGGGTAGATGCTCACACACATCCCAGCCCACTTCCTTTAGAACGCAACCACACACTGAAGAAAGAGCTATTTGAAGTGTAGAACTGCCCACTATGGGCTATTCACGAAACTTGCAGTGAGCCAAACTTCTCTTTTGCAATAATTTAATCAAATGCATGCAATGGTTTGTCTTTAGAGGACTTCAAAATGATGTCAGATGAACACTTAGGGATGCTGGCTAGAGGGTTCAACTCTAAGGTTTCCTCCAACCCTGAGGTTTTATTATAACATTATCCTATGCTTTCTAGCTCTAGCTCTGCTCTTGATTTTGGTAATCTGAGTAAATAAATTGGAAAGTCCTTTCTGACTTGAGAATTTTACAGCTCTTCTGTTCTTTGAGATCAGTGGAAAGCATTATCTTGCCGATAAATTCCTTGGAGACATGTCACACTCACCTTGGCACAATTGATCATTTCTTTCTTAATAGAAAGTCAACATTTTCTTCATGAGAAGAGTTATTGGTATAATATATTTTCTGAAATCTCCAGGACTCAAGAAATAAAAGATTCTTTTTCATATCCTTTCAGTATAAGGAAGGATTTCTTAATTATCAATATAAACCCAGGCCAGAAAATGGGGAATATGGAGATAATAAACAAAATTCACCCCAATTCCATCATCATAACCCAGCTATTAAGGCTTGTCCACCTTGTCCATGACATATCCATAGTGTCTTGAACAGTGCCTTGCCCATAATAGGGCCTTAGTGCTATTTGGTAAAGGAATTAGTGAATGAATTATAATTTTGATATATTTTCTTTTAACCCTTTCCCTCATGCATATTTTTCATAGCTATATTCATAACATTTATGATGGCTTTTGTACCTTGCTTTTTCTTTGTTTTATGTGCCATTATAGAAAACATGCTCACTGGGGCCATATAGTCCTCTTAATCATCGTCTCTAATGGCTAAGTAATATAGCGAGCACTTTCTAACGTAGCTGCCTAAAGATTCAGTGTGTTGCTTACAGAACTAGTGTTTTCCTTAACCCTAGCAGTGTTCACGCATAGGCTGGATACTCATGTATCAAGTATGAGTTGAACTAGATGCATGGCTTTAAGACCACTTTCCAGTCTAAGACTTACAAACTTTGAGGACCAGTCATTTTGCAAAAACTAACAGGCTTTCACAAAACATCACTATCAGGAATACAAGCATTTCCAAGAACCACCCCTTCCCACTCACACATCATATTCCTTGATACCCACTACTAAGTTTGTAATGTAAATTTGAAAAACTATGGAGCGTTACTTCCTTAGAAATAGCCACTAGTTCAGAATTTCTTTTGGATTAACAAGTAATAAGGAAATTCCTATGTGTCAAGTACATTTTGAGATGACTAAACCTCAATCTCTGATCTCAGAGTATTCAGTTAGCAGTTATTAACGCTGTATTAGACATTGAGCATACAAGGATGAGAAAATACCTCTGTCCTGTGGAACTCAGAATTGACAATGAGAGGAAGGAGTTGAGGACTGAGAATAAGAAAATAACCAAGAGAAAATAAGGTAAATGCTACAGAAGAGTCATGTGGAAGGGGCTGCCTTGACTCCCAAGAGAGCTAAGTTAATTCTGCATAATGGAGTAATATCTGAGGTCAGAAAGCCAAGACATGTAGACTAACAACATTTAACAAGGAAGAAAGAGCTAAATGTCTCAAGAGAGGATGGAGGAAAGTGGGAGGTTTTTGTTTTTTGTCTGTTTGTTTGTTTGTTTTTCCGAGAGGTGTCCAAGAGGGATCCAATGCCACGGGATATCCAATTACACTTCGACAAGGTTTATGACTGGATGTGAGGATGGTAAAAGGGTTCCATTATGATAGAATAAATCCAGTAAATAGTGTCTGTGTTTAGATCCCCAGGACACAGTGTTTGCCTTTGTTTAATGGTTTAACTTTTTACTTGTTTTCCCTTTCTTTTTTTTTTTTTTTTTTTTTTTGCCTTTTCGTAGCCAGAGGAAGAATTTGCAGCAGCCAGCACACCAGCGGCTCTGGTGTTGGCTTGGGAATGCATAAGTGAAACTGGTCCACCTTCAGCTATGCTCTCCTTCCTTTGGAGCCAGACCAGCCAACCTGGAATCAGCACTGAAATTATGCCCAGAGCCTCCTCCCTGCTGCTGCATGCCAGGCAGCCCCTGTCTTGCCTGGCCTAATGTACCTCTCTGGGAGACAGTGTGCACTGGCATTTCTGCCCAATGGGACATTACCTGCCTGGGCCTCCGGTAAAGAGCAAATCACTGTTAGAAAATTTGAAATGGTTGCAGAACTCAGGAGCAGATGGCCTTCTCTCTCCACTGGGAGGGAAGAGACGAACCCCAGAGGAGAAAGAGAAGTTTTCTCTTTCAGAATGGCAGAAAAATGTATCTTCATAGAAGCAGCCATAGATGACCATGGCAGGCAGTGCTCTTGGAGAAGGTCCATGGTAACTGCCTGTGATATAGAAGTGGACAAGGGAGGCCACAGCAGAAAGTGGCCCATACATACCCTGGTTCATGCCAGGCCAGAGCCCTGAGGGTGCTAACAGGGACCCTGAGCTTAGAGGTAGAAAACCTCAGTCCTAGCCTTCTGATTCCAGATTAAATAAGATAGTGATAATAAAAAGTAATAACAGCAAACATATAGAGCCTTTTTTATGCACTAGGCCCTGTTGTGAGTGCTTTTACATACATAAATTCTTTATTCTGTTTAGTCTTTGTAGCAACTTTATGAGGTAGAAACAATTGCAATCCCCATTTTAGAGAAGATCTATGAAAATAATGCCTGTAGAAGAATAAAAGCTTCTTTATATGAAGCACAGAGTGTTAGTTCTAGTAAACCTCCCAGGGCTTTTGTGGGGTTCAGATGGGATCACATCTGTGAAGCACTTTAAAGTGCTGTCCATACATGAGAGAGTCCCATTGCATCATGGTTTCTCCTGCATTTTCCTTGTCCATTTGTTGTGAGCAAATGGTAAATGGCATAAAGCCAATACTGCAAGAGAAATCAATGGAAGAGACCCAGCACCCCGTGAGTGATTGCAAAGGAAGGAAGATGGAGTAAGTGCCAGGAGGACAGCCCAAAGAAGCTTTAAAAAACACAAAAGCAAAAAACCCATAACCTTCTTTTCTGATTGAGAGTAGGGTGGAGGTCAGGAAAAAGCCTCTAGGGGAGATTGCTTCAAAATTAAACTTCAAAGGGTCAATAACTCTGTGCTGTTCTGCCTTCTTCCCAATAATGACCTACCACTGAATATCCTGTGAATTCTTTCTTTTTTATTTTGTGTTTTTGGTATTTTACAGCATTTTAAGAATGTGTTTGAAGCCCCAAATGAAAACAACTCTATCAGTCCTATTTGGTCATCACAAGCAGACTTAAGCTGCACAAACTTCCAGGGGCACCATTATCTGTTTATGAACAACAGGCAATCAGGCCAATGAACCATGTTATTGTCATTCCTCTCATGTCTCTCAAATCATTTTTCATCTTGACTAATCAGGAGATAAAGTTGATCCTTCTCCACTTTCCACCTCCATACTCATTTCAGTTCCCTGCAGTTTCACGCTGGGCTGGGCTGTTTGAAATCTAGTATAAAACACCCGAGAAGAGCTATAATTTTCAAATTTGCCCATGGGTAATGTGTGTAGTAAATGTAAAGTACTAGCAATTTGGTTGTTTGAGATGCAATGATTTTTTTTTTTTACATCAATGTGCAGGGTCTGAGGCAGGCACAAGTTTCCAGAGGCAATATATATCACTGCTGGCCAGACCCCTGGGAGTCCATGAGGGTCACCCAAACAAGAAAGGGAGGAGGCAAAGTGAGGAAACCAAGGGCCCCCTCAATGCTGATCCCTGTGGAAGTTTTAACACAAGACAGCACGAGGGGGTGCCTACAGGGGAACTACTGGCTGGTTACCTTGAGGGGTCCTAAAGGATGCCTTCCTTCCCTCAGAGGATTGACCATGGCCTGGTATCTGACCCCCAATCATGTAGGCTCAGGATTGATTTTATTACCGCCAGGAGTGTGTGCTCTTCCAGGGCAGACTCATACTAGCCAAACTCACAATGCTGATGCACAAAACTACAGCTTCTCAAGGAAGGACCATGGCCACAAGGCCCAGACCACATACATCAGTATGCCAGAGCTGTCTCTTCACAGAAGAAAGCCTCCCTGGGAAGCTAAACCTTAATCAGGAGGCTGCTCGCTGAGAATGAATTCATATCAAGAGGAATCTCACAAGGAAAATAGTGGCATCAGGCTGTCCATCCAGCAAAGGCCTAGGTCTGGACTCTAATGATTTTCCCTCCCCAAGACAATGCTTGCATGGACACTAATAGTTCTCCTCTCTGTGACATTCTTTAGTGATGCATTTCTGACTAGCCATCCCATTGTCCACGTTGGCTGAGGCACCAAGTTCTGGAAAATCCTGTCTCTGTGGTTTGAACTGCTTGATGTTTACATCAAGCAGAGTGAACAACTCTGCTTCCCAGACTTTAGAAGAGTCATGTCTCTCAGCTTTTTGGCTGCCTTGCCTGTGAAGGGAGGGGTTGTTGGTGGACTCATTGTGGGATAGAATTTAGTCCAGGGAAGGGGTCTAATGGTCAATACTTTGACCCTAAATTTTCTGGTTGATTTGGCTGCAGATTTTCTGGGTGACTGTATGACCTTTAGTAAGTTAATGTCTCTGAAACTGTGACTGTATTTTTGTGTTAGCAGCTAGGAAGTGGAGAACAAAATCTGTGGCTTTTTCTGGCAACAGTGTAAGATCATGTGGCACACATTAACTGTGCTGATCTGAGGATCTCTGGCTTTTTGTTTTTGTTTTTTTTTCCTACAATCTGCTCAACAATTGTTTTATACTTTTATATTTTTGTAAGCTGTCTCATACAAGCCTCATTCCCTAAACAGAATTGAGAGCTCAAAAATCTCAATGTGCATGCTGGCAATGAATTTCTATATATAAAAGAGAAATAGCTGCAAATTTCTTGGGACACTTGAGAAAGAAAATGTAATTTTGTGAAGCTATTTGAACTCCTCAGATAGAAAATGCTATTTTATAGTCCTATGTGAGTGCAATTGCCTTATCTATGAGATTTGGCTGAACTTCTTGCATATGAGGGAGAAAAATGGTGAAGATGGAATGGGAGTGGGGAGGACTTTATGCACAAGAAGGACTTTGTGCACATTGGGAGGACTTTATTGATGGGGGCAAACTTCATGTGTATCTCCTGGGTACAAGGGGAGTGTAAGGAGGGGCAAGAGAGTTAGAAGTCTCAGAGAGTCTCCGATTGAAAATGAAGGAATTCAGGGAGGAGCTTTCTAGGAACCTTATTTCTTATCATTGGAAATGTGAAGCTCCTTGCTTCATGGGGTTTACAGACTGGTTGCTTCCCTGTGTTGGGACCATGGAGATACCTGGCCCAAATTCACTGCAAAAATGAAGAAACTAAGGTCAAAAGACAGGATGTAACTCGCTCAAAATCACCAACATTTAGCAGCCAAACTCGGGTAGAATCTGGGCTGGGGGGTCTTACAGCACAGCTCATTTTCTCCAGGCTCATGCCTGACACTTCTCCTACCTATTTCCAGTTTACTCTCTGTTTAATTCTGCACTATGAATGTACCATTGTCCTTCCCTCCTCTCAATCCCAGATTGGAGACAGAAAGATGTCTTCAAGGAATACTTTACAACAGACTAGCTTTATGTATTTCATTTAGGGAATAACTTCAGTGGCAAGTAAGATTTAAAAAATGGCATAGATAACATATAGAAATCTGTTTTTCTATCAAGCAATGAAAGACTCAGAGGTGGACAATCTATTGCTGGCACATCACCCATACATGTCGATGGTGATCCTAGGAACTCCTATGCAGCTCAGCCGTCCTTTGTGTTTATGTGACCTACGATGGTCTCAGGATGCCTGCAGGAGCACCAGCCATATTATTATTCTAATTAAGAAGCATAGAGAAGGGGTTCTGAGCGATCATCATGACAGATGGGAGGCAGAACTAGATTGCAGCTTTGACTCAAATGGACAGAGCAGGGTGTGAAGGCTCATATCATGAATTTTAGCTCCAGAATGACTGCAAGAACAAACCAGGAATCCTGAGAGGACCCACAGACCCTCTGAAGGAAGCCGACTGCTTGTGCAGGACCTGGGAGACATCCCAAATACTGTGAATGCCTCAACTGCAAAAGTGGGAAAGGGAGAACCTCCATCCCTGAACATACACCTCCACTGGGGAAAATGAAAGTCTAGTTTGCAGGAGAAGTTTCCTACCTTAGCTGGAGCTGAGTCAATTTAGAGAGCTGAGTGAAATGCAGAGGTAGAGGAAGCAGTGGGAAAGGTCCTGGGAGCTTGCTGCATCCCCAAACAGGCCATTCCTGCCTGGCACCACAGAGATCCTTTGGGAGGGTGGCCAGAGGCATGGGGGGAAATGCCACAGGGAGAAGAAAGTCTCCAGCTGAATTTGTAACAATTTGAACCGGGCAAGAAGCCTCCTGGCCAGAACTCCAGGGAGGGTGCAAATCCAGTGTGCAGACTCCACAGGCTGGGGAAGAGCCAAAGTCCTGTTCTTTCGAAGCTGGGAGGCGGGTAGCCTGGGGCAAGTTCTTAGCCCTGCTTGCCCACTGCCTGGAAACAGACTCAGTGCTGTTTGCTGGGGGCATGGTGGGAGTGAGACCAGCCCTTCAGATTGTGTGGGAGCTGGGAGAGGGCTGTGACTACTGGCTTTCCTCCACTTCCTTGACAACCTGCATGATTCAGCAGAGGCAGCCATAATCCTCCTAGGTACGCAACTCCAGTGATCTGGGAATCTCACCTCAATCCCCCACAGCAGCCACAGAAAGACCTGCCTAAGGAGAGTCTCAGCTCAGACATGCCTATCATTGCCCCCACCTGATGAGCCTTCGCTGTCCACCCTGGTAGCTGAAGACAAAGGGCATATACTCTTGGGAGTTCTAGGGCCACATCCACCACCAGTTCCTCTCCATAATACCACAGCTAATGCTCTCTGGAAAGCACCACCTCCTGGCAGGAGGCCAACCAGCATAAAAATAAAATATTAAACCACCAAAGCTAAGGACCCTCACAGAGTCCATTTCATCCCCCTGCCACCTGCACCAGAACAGGTGCTGGTATCCATGGCTGAGAGACCCATAGACAGTTCACATCACAGGACTCTGTGCAGACAAGCCCCAGTACCAGCCTGGAGCCAGGTAGACTTGCTGGGTGGCTAGACCCAGAAGAGAGATAACAATCACTGCAGCTCGGCTCACAGGAAGCCACATCTATAGGAAAAGAAGGAGAGTACTACATCAAGGGAGCACCCCATGGGACAAAAGAATCTGAACAATAGCCTTCAGCCCTAGACTTTCCCTCTGACAGATCCTACCCAAATGAGAAGGAAACAGAAAACCAACTCTGGTAATATGACCAAAGAAGGCTCTTTAACACCCCTCAAAAACCATACCAGCTCATCAGCAATTGATCCAAACCAAGAAGAAATCCCTGATTTACCTGAAAAAGAATTCAGGAGGTTAGTTATTAAGCTAATCAGGGAGGCACCAAAGAAAGGTAAAGCCCAATGCAAGGAAATAAAAAAAAGACAATATAAGTAGTGAAGGGAGAAATATTCCAGGAAATAGCATAAAGAAAAAAAATCAAAACTTCAGGAAATATTGGACACACTTATAGAAATGCAAAATGTTTTGGAAAGTCTCAGCAATAGAATCGAACAAGTAGAAGAAAGAAATTCAGAGCTCAAAGACAAGGTCTTGGAATTAACCCAATCCAATAAGACAAAGAAAAAAGAATAAGAAAATATGAACAAAGCCTCCAAGAGGTCTGGGATTATGTTAAACCACTAAACCTAAAAATAATTGGTGATCCTGAGGAAGAAGAGAAATCTAAAAGTTTGGAAAACATATTTGGGGGAATAATCGAGGAAAACTTCCCCAGCCTTGCTAGAGACCTAGACATCCAAATACTAGAAGATCAAAGAACACCTGGGAAATTCATCCCCAAAAGATCATTGCCTAGGCACATTGTCATCAGGTTATCTAAAGTTAAGACAAAGGAAAGAATCTTAAAAATTGTGAGACAAAAGCACCAGATAACCTATAAAGAAAACCTATCAGATTAACAGCAGATTTCTCAGCAGAAACCCTACAAGCTAGGAAGGATAGGCGCCCTATCTTCAGCCTCCTCAGACAAAACCATTATCAGCCAAGAAGTTTGTATCCAGCGAAACTAAGCATCATATATGAAGGAAAGATACAGTCTTTTTCAGACAAACAGATGCTGACAGAATTTGCCACTACCAAGCCACCACTACAAGAACTGCTAAAAGAGCTCTAACTCTTGAAACAAATCCTGGAAACACATCAAAACAAAACCTCTTAAAGCATAAATCATACAGGACCTATAAAACAAAAGCACAATTTAAAAAGCAAAAACAAGAAACAAAATAAACCAAGGTACACAGACAACAAATAGCATGATGAATACAATGGTATCTCACATCTCAATGCTAACATTGAGTGTAAATGGCCTAAATGCTCCACTTAAAACATACAGAACTGCAGAATGGATAAGAACTCACCAACCAACTATCTGCTGCCTTCAGGAGCCTAACCTAACATATAGGGATTCACATAAACTTAAAGTAAAGGGGTGGAAAAAGGCACTTCATGCAAATGGACACCAAAAGCGAGCAGAGGCAGTTATTCTTACATCAGACAAAACAAACTTGGAAGCAACAGCAGTTAAAAGAGACAAAGAGGGACATTATGTAATGGTAAAAGGCCTTGTCCAACAGGAAAATATCACAATCCTAAACATAAATGCACCTAACACTGGAGCTCCCAAATTTATAAAACAATTACTAATAGACCTAAAAACTGAGATAGACAGCAACACAATAATAGTGGGGGACTTCAGTACTCCACTGACAGCACTAGACAGGTCATCAAGAGAGAAAGTCAACAAAGGAACAATGGATTTAAGCTATACCTTGGAACAAACGGACTTAACAGATATATACAGAACATTTCATCCAACAACCACAGAATGTACATTCTATTCAAGAGTGCATGGAACTTTCTCCAAGATAAATCGTATGATATTTATGATATCTATATGATAAGCCATAATATGATAGATAGACCATATGATAAGCCATAAAATGAGCCTCAATAAATTTAAGAAAATTGAAACTATATTGAGCACTCTTTCAGACCACAGTGGAATAAAACTGGAAATCAGCTCCAAAGGGAAGCTTCAAAACCATGCAAGAACAACCTATCAAAAGCTCTGGGATACAGCAAAGGCAGTGCTAAGAGGAAAGTTCATAGCCCTAAATACCTACATCAAAAAGACTGAAAGAGCACAAACTTGACAATCCAAGGTCACACCTCAAGGAACTAGATAAACAAGAATAAACCAAACCCAAACCCAGCAGAAGAAAGAAAATAACCTGAGAAGAACTAAATGAAATTGAAACAAACAAACAAAACATAATACAAAAAATAAATGAAACATAAAGCTGGTTCTTTGAAAAGATAAATAAAATAGACCATTATCAAGATTAATCAAGAAAAGAAAGAAAATTCAAATAACCTCATTAAGAAATGAAATGAGAGATATTACAACTGACACCACTGAAATACAAAAGATCATTGAAGGCTACTATGAACACCTTTACACAAATAAACTGGAAAACCTAAAAGAGAAGGATAAATTCCTGGAAAAATACAATCCTCCTAGCTTAAATCAGGAAGAATTAGATACTCTGAACAGACCAATAACAAGCAGCAAGATTGAAATGGTAATTTAAAAATTACCAACAAAAAAAGTCCAGAACTGGATGGATTCACAACAGAATTCTACCAGACATTCAAAGAAGAATTGGTACCAATCCTTTTGTCACTATTCCACAAGGTAGAGAAAGAGGGAACCCTCCCTAATTAATTCGATGAAGCCAGCATCACGCTAATACCAAAACCAGGAAAGGACATAACCAAAAAAGAAAACTACAGACTGATATCCCTGATGAACATAGATGCTAAAATCCTTAACAAAGTACTAGCTAATCGAATCCAACAACACATCAAAAAGACAATCCACCATGATCAAGTGGGTTTCATACCAGAGATGCAGGGAAGGTTTAACAAATGCAAGTCAATAAATGAGATACACCACATAAACAGAATTAAAAACAAAAATCACATGATCATCTCAATAGATACGGAAAAAGCATTTGACAAAATCCAACATCCTTTATGATTAAAACTCTCAGCAAAATTGGCATATAAGGGACATATCTTAATGTAATAAAAGCCATCTATGACAATCCCAAAGCCAACATAATACTGAATGCGGAAAAGTTGAAAGCATTCCCTCTGAGAACTGGAACAGGACAAGGAAGCCCACTCTCACTACTCCTCTTCAACATAGTACTGGAAGTCCTAGCCAGAGCAATCAGACAAGAGAAAGAAATAAAGGGCATCCAAATTGGTAAAAAGGAAGCCAAACTGTCACTGTTTGCTGAAAATATGCTCGTTTATATGCTGAAAATATGGCATTTTCAGTGACCTGGATGAGACTGGAGACTATTATTCTAAGTGAAGTAACTCAAGATTGGCAAACCAAACATTGTACGCTGTCACTGATATGTGGAAGCTAAGCTATGAGGATGCAAAGGCATAAGAATGATACAATGGACAATGGATTTTGGGGACTTGGGGGGAAGGATGCAAGGGGGAGCAGGGATAAAAGACTACAAATAGGATGCAGTGTATACTGCTCAGGTGATGGGTGTACCAAAATCTCACAAATCACCACTAAAGAACTTAGTCATGTAACCAAATACCACCTGTACCCCAACAATGAATGGAATTTTTTTAAAGAAGCATAGAGAAGGGTAAGAAACACAGTAACATGTGCAATCTTATTCAGACTCCTTTAAAGAGCTTCTTAGAACCAGCTCCCTACAAGTGACTATGTTACATGTCTACTTCAATCATAAGGGAGGCTGGGAAGTATAGTTTTTAGCTGAGTATTTTATTGACTGAATAAAATTGGAGTCTATTCTAAGGAAGAGAGTAGGGTGGATATTAAGCAGAGAACTTTCATTCTCTGCCACTTTTATGACCACGGGTAAATTAATTAACCTTTTAAAGTTTACTCATCTATAAAGTGGAAATTAAATAAGGTCGAATATGAAAAGTACTTAGCAAAGTATCTAGCACGGAGGAAATGCTAAAAAATGTAGACTATCCAGAATATAGAACAGTATTAGCTTTTTTATAAGACATAAAAAATTTCCCACTGTCATTAAGGTAGAAGTGAGAACTATTTTTGGAAGGAGGAAAGAAGTTATAAAATTTGGAAGGCAGATATTTTATTTCCTTTTCTAGCCAGCACGTTGGGTGATGAATTTTCTGAGGTGTTCTGGAAGCTTTTGTTCTTCAGGGGACCTGTGTCACATTTAGGAGAATTACAAAAGCAAAGGTGGTCCTCTGCTCAGCCATCACCTCTTCCCAGAAGATGTCTCTGAACCATCAGGCTGGGCTAAATGCACCTCTAGGAAATTCTCTCTTTACATGTCTGCCTCTCCCTGGTTATGAGCTATTGAGAATAAGCACTGTGTCTTAGTCACCGTCATCTTCCAAGAGCCCAGCGCAGTACTAGGAGCATGGTAGAAAGTCAATAAATGCATATTACATTGGGAGTAGCGGCTTTGGGCTAACTCCTTTAATATCTTCCTTGGCCAGATGCAGAGAAAACTTAAAGCTTTCATTCCTAAAATGCTTCTCTGTTGGAGAAGTCTTCTGAAAAATGAGACAGGCATTCAAGTTTCTCCGTGCTACACTCCATCAGGGAATGTGCAAAGCCCCAAAAAGCCTTCAAGTTATAACTGAAAATTACAAAGATGAAAAGATGGGCATGATACTGATATTTTTGGGATCATGGCCCTGGTAAGTGTCCCTGGGAGTTAGTATTGTACAGGGGATTCACACTGAACCTAGAAACAGTTCTTGGGTCTAAATTTTGATTCTGCTACTTGGTTACTAGGATAACGGAGGAGACCAAGTTAATATTTCATCTTTGTGGGGGGCAGCTAAAAACTCTCATGGATGGGAAGAGCTTTGCACTGAATGTGAAGGACCACCATGGCTGTGACTGGTGGTACTCATGAAACCATTACTGGCCTCTAATATTCACCTTACTGAATGTATTAGTTTGCTAGGGCTGCTGTAACAAAGTACCACAAACTTAGTGGCTTGAACAACAGAAATGTATTGTCTCACAATTCTGGAGGCTGGAAGTCGGAAATCCAGACATCGGCAGAGTTGGATCCTTCTGAGGGCTGTAAAAGAGAATCTGGTCCATGCCTCTCCCCCGTCTTTTGGTGGCTTGCTGGCAACCTTTGTTGTTCCTTGGCTCATAGAAACATCACCCTTATCTCTGCTTTCATCTTCACATGGCGTTTTCCCTGCACATGTCTGTTTCCATCTTCAAATTTCCCCTTTCTATAAAGACACCAGTCATATTGGATTAGGGTGCACTCTAAGGACCTAATTTTAACTTGATTGTCTTCGTGAAGGGTCTCCCTCCAATTAGCATTACATTCTAAGGTTCTGGGAGTTAGGATTTCAACATACAATTTTGGGGGACATAATTTAACTCATAACACTGGGGATTGTGAAAGGTCAATAAATGAATAAATAGGTTATTCTTGATCTGAAGATGAAACTCTGAACTTTAACTCCATTTAGTTCCTGGTGAATGTGGAGGCTACAGCCACCTTTTCTAATTCAAATTTCAGTACTTGCTAACTCTGTCCTGTTTAACTTCTTGAGTGTCAGTTTTCTCATCAATAAAATGAGAATCTTAAAAACATTCTGCTAAGTTTGTTGAGATTATCACATGTGATGGCATATGATAAATGACCACTCCCTTTCTTCACAGCACTGTGAGATAAAGTTGAGAGACCAGAAAAGGAGTGGTGGTGGGCGCTAGGCTTCATAAAGCAGTGATGTTACTTTTTCTAACTATATTGTTTTTGTGAAGAGCTATTTGAGTTTGACGCTTTGGAAACGGAAAGCAAGCAGTCAGAAAGCTTTTTGAGCTGACAAGAGACAAGCTCTTTGATAATCCATCATCTTAAATTACCTACCCTGGATCATGTCCTGCTATTTTTGCCGATGATATCACCAATAATGACTTCTATTAACTTTCAATGTGCCTTTTTTATAAAGAGATGATTCGTAAATAAAAATATCCTCCCAGACTCTGTTGATGACCTTGAAAACTATGAGATTTGATTTATCATTCCAATACTTTGCACTTTTACAATACATGATCAAAATACGCCGAAAAAGGAAGCTTGAATAAGTGACCTCGTTGTGATGAAGTGGAAGATGACTCTGAAATAATATAATTCAATCTCCGCATTTTTCAGATGAGGAAACTGAGGAACAGATGAGGAGACTTTCCTGAGGTTGCCCAGCAGGCGGAACCTGGACTTGAACCAGGGAGTCCCACCTCCCAGTCTTTACAAGTTCCTTTACTTTGTGCTCTGGGCTAATTAATGTTTTAGGCAGGGCCATTTTTGCTTCCTGGGTCTCAGTTCCCACTTGTAAGAGGGACCGGAGCAAGATTCTGTTCTGGCATTGCTTCACAGAGCCACAATCAGGCAACTCCCACATGTCCATCCTGCTCCTCAAAGCAGCAGGTCCTCCCTCCTCTCCTGCTCAGCCCACCACCCTCGTGTCTGAGCCCTGTGGCAGCACAAGAAGGCAGAACCTGACCCAGCTTATAGTGGTGACCTTCAACTTCATCCAGAAATCAGTGGCTCTGAAGGAGTGTTCCCTGTGATAAATAACAACACACAAAACTAAACCATGTTAGTGAAAATGGCTATTGTGCAGTGGAGTGTGTAAACGCTCTTCAGACTGTGGCAAATTGGAATCCCGCCCATCTTGCTAGTGAAGTAACCTTGGTCAAGTTAGATTAAATCAAACTAAGCCAAGTTACTCAATTGTTTCATTAGTACTGACAATAAAAATACCTAAGGTAGAAGGTTGTTGTGAGTATTAAATGAGATAACATAGGTAAAGCACCTACAGAAGACCTGGCACATGGAAAACACATTAGTAAAGGTATTTTACAAGAGAAAATCGAAGTGATCCAGTGGTTCTTAGCCTGTTCTAGATGTGCTGGAAGCGATCTCCCCCACAATACACTTACATGTGCAAACGTACAAACAATCTGGGGAGGGGGGTGTTATAATATTCCTGAGACCCATATGGAGACCTTATGGGCCATGATTTCTGCTTAAGAACTCCTGAAGAAAACTCTGTAAGGCTGTGCTTTATTAGTTATTCAGTGACATTTCTTAAGTTTGCCTGACAACTAGAGAAGCACTATCTAGATGTTCCATAAATCAACTGAATCATAATGTTGTACGAATAATACTCTTTGGCAAGGGCCCGAAATAGAGTAAGAGTAGGAACTTTGACGGGAGAAATAAAAAGTCCCAAATTTCACATTAACTGAGAATCCAGTTAGCAGTTATCCAAAAATAAGAAATAAAGTGCCTCATTATGATTCTACAAAATTAGAAAAAGCCAAATGTGAGATGTTAACAGTTTTTAGAGTCTGAATCCCAGAGATGTCAAAGTGATCTCTTGGACTCCTGGCCGTGCTGACCATGACCCTGACAGTGACTATGACCATGGCCCTCCATTTGCATGGGATGTGCCTGCCCAGGGCTGCCCAAGCCCCACTGCTAATAGAAGTGCTAGGTTGTTTTGTTCCCCAAGATGCCCTTTGTGGAATTAGCAAGAATCCATTTAACTAGTTGGCTCATTTGTTTGTTTTCAAGAATCTGTAACCAACTCTTTTCTGAAGAGACTGTGCTCCACTTACACACTCCTTGTTGATAGCACAGACATTTACTAAGACCCCCTATGTGCAGAACTATGTGGTGAGCTGTGTTTTGAGGGATGCAAAGAGAAACGGTCCTTTATGTTTGTTTTTAGTGTAAACTGAATTTTCTGGTTTACACTCTTTCTGTTGCATGCTCCTCCTGGCTACACTTTCACTCCAATTATTTTATTTGCAACACTCAGAAAGATTGTGAGAAATGTCTGATGGTGCTTTTTATTCCTACTTTACAGATAAGCCTGAATGCACGTTACTCTGGGCCATAGTAAAAAGAAAGTTTATGTACCCTTATTTCAAATGCAACCACTTTCCACTGTACAGAATTGCCCTCCACTTGCTTGGTTTAATATGACACAGACATGTATGCACAACTGACTGTAATGGAAGGCAGCACAGAGGAACCATGAGAGTTCAGAGATCAAAAGAGATCCCTTTCCATGGTCCGAGGGGAGGGATCGGAGGAGACTTTGGGGAGGTGAGCTTGTTGGCCTTTCCCTATTGACATCTCCAATAGAGATTGGAGGAGAAGTGACTGAGCAATCTCTTTACTTCTTCCTATGTCAAGAAGACTTGCAGCTGATCTACATCTATGTATAGCTGTAGCTGATTCATATCTTGTATAGCACATGCATGGTTAGTTTTCTGCATGCACACACATATATGTTTCTTTTCCTGCTGAGCCAATCATTTCTATTTAAGTACCCATCACTGTATCCATATTAGTTCCTGGGCCATACAAAAGAACCACAAACTTATTCTCTTACAGTTCTGGAGACCAGAAGTCTGACATTAGGTGTCAGCTGAGTTTGTTCCTCTGGAGGCTCTGAGGATGAATTAGCCTCCTTTCCTCTTTCCTGGCTTCTGGTGTTTGTGGTAATCCCTGACATCCTTGGGTTGTAATTGCACCACTCCAATCTCTGTATCCATCTTCACATTGCATTTCTCTCTGGGTCTGTGTGTCTCAAATCTCTTATAAAGCCACCAATCATTAGATTTATGGCCTACTCTAAATCTAGGATAATCTCGTCCTGAGATTCTTAACTCAATTTTATCCACAAAGATCCTACGTTCAAATAAGGTCACTTTGGGAGGTGCTGAAGCTTAGGACTCAGACATATCTTTTTGGATGACACTGTTTAACCCGCTGCAATGTCCAGACGGGACTTAGCTTCCCATCTTTGGTTAGAGATGATTTATGCTTTCTAATGAACATTTATATTATTTGTAGCAGTAACACTATGAAAGAGATACTCATTTCAAAGAGAGTGACATTCCATGTAAAAGAAGGGAAAAAATCTCTTAGTTGAATAAACGAGGAGAGGTAAATGAATAACACACCACAAATGATTTACCTGCAGCTGCAATTTAAAGGATATTTCTGTGGATTCATCCCTCAAGTATAAAGTGCTCTGAACCTCTAGAAGAGTGGCTTGACTGTAAGTGTCTAGATACTACTTATTATGCAAAAATCCAGGATTGCTCTCATATCAAGTGCCTGGACTTATTTTTCTTAAGAAGTGTTAGATAAAATATTTTTTGTTACACTGTGAAAATCAATGTGTATTTCAGACAGTGTGTTCTTTCAAGCCTCTATTTGCCAAAAAGAACAGGGCACTTGAATTACACTGGGTCACAGAGATCTCGTGTAAGTGGGTTGTGTACAATGAGGAAGACAGGTGACTAGGATATGAGCTCATTTTGGCATTGTGGAATGCTAGAGATTTAGACAATCAGGGTTTGATTGGAAACCTTTCGCGTTAATGTACAGTCACTATAGATGTTTACCTTGACTTGAGTTATCAAAGGAAAAACATGAATGTAGCTAAATTGTCTTCAGTGGTTCATATATTTAGGTTGACGCATTATTGCTTATTTTATGCCCAGCATGAAACAGGAAAGGAAACTCAACAATATTTAGATTGGGATTATGGTTTCAATTTTTTAAAGGATAAAAATGGTGCAGAAGTCTTTTGGGGGAAATAATGACTATTTATGATAAATAAAAAATTTTGCTCTTCTTTTTTTTAAAAAAAAATATCTGTTCCCTGGAAGCCAGGTTTATTAAATGATTTAGCCTCTTAGTTTTCAACCTCAAATCACCACATGACTTGTGGTGACCTCAGAAAGTATACATGGCAAGCCTAATGCTTTGTGAAGGTTTTCTTTAGTGCAAACCACTTTTGGACAACAGTTTATCCCTTCACCTGAGGACAATAGATTAAAAAGTAAGAAGCTGCCATGACACTTCACCAAACATCTTCTGCCCTTTCTTTAAAGGATGTTGAAGGTGACTAATGGGGTCTGACATGTTTTTGTTATGTATGAAATATCAAAATGGCAAATCCTAATGTTTGCTTCATCCGAGGACACTTTCATACCTTATGCTTTACCTTGTCAGCTTGAATTGATATCAAGCTGGGACAGGTCATGACTGTTCCTTTGATTCTCTGTCATAGCTAAAAATGCTCAGATCAGCTGCTTAAATGTGTGGTAAAATGTGTGAGACCATGTGGTGTAGTGAAGAGGACACTGGAGCAGCTGCCAAAAACCTGGGTTCCAGTCTTGACTTTACTAGCTCTGCAAACCTTGAAAAACCAATAGAAATCAGTAGATATTTATTGAGCACTTAACATGTGCCAGTTCTTGTGCAATAGAAGAGCAGAGAGACAACTAAGACATGGATCCCGCAGAATGGTAAAATGTTGAGGTACACTCATAAATATAACTTTAATATGAGGGATAGAGGTTTATGCCACAAATAGGACTAGATTAAAAGCTATAGCAAGCCAAGGAGGGAGCAATTTCTTAGGTTTGGGAAGATCAAGGAAGATTTCATAAAAGAGGCTGATCCATGAGCTGAGGCTAGAAGGTGGGGTAGGATTTGAGCTTGTGGTAATGGGCGTTGTGGGTGGGAAAGACAGTGCAGACAAAGTAAACCATGTGATCAAGCTCAGGGAGATAGTAAAGTGCACAGCACTGTGGAGACTGATGAGACACCTGTTAATTGCACGTGCAGGGGTGTAAGGGGGTAGTGCAGTGGGCTGAGAAAGCCAAAGCTACAAAAATATTGAAGCTAAGTTCTCTGTTGAGATTGATCTATTAGAAGAAGAAGAAAGAGAAGACAAAACAAAGAAGAAAGGAAAAGGATGGATGGAGGAAAAGAAGGAAGGAAGGAAGGAAGGAAGGAAGGAAGGAAGGAAGGAAGGAAGGAAGGAAGGAAGGAAGGAAAAGAAAGAAAAGCTAAGCCTGGGGAATACCTATGTTACTGTTCAGCACCTCTGCTTGGTCAAGGAGCAAGTGGAAAAAATGCCCTTTGAGAGGACCATGTCCTGTCACAGAAACAGTCTGATTCAAAGGCCTGGTTGGTCAAAGGGGCCCCGAATTTCTGCCCAGATCACTTTGACAGGCTTCATGAGAGACAACAAAACATGTTTGCTTGTGTAAATCCATCCAAAGTTTGTGTAGGCTCTTCCCTGTACTATGGCAGACAAACTAAGCATAAAAATGGTATTAAGAACATTGTTCTAACACTTTGTGGTTTATGAACTCTTGTAAATACAATGCTTATGAAAGCAGGCAATGATATACCATTTTATGGTATAATATCTTTGCCTGCTTTCATAAGCAATGTATTTACTGCATACAAGGGCTCATAAACCACAAAAAGAAGAAAGAGGGAGAGAAGGATATTAAACTCAGGTCTCTTTTTGAGATCAGGTGTTGGTAGGATGGTACAATTGTGCAAAAACCCCAAATTTTGATAGTGGCAGTGTTTCAAAGTTGGGACAATGTTGGCGACCTTACAAAAATGATTTAACTGAATTCTTGAAGAGAATATTAATTTGAGTTTTATGGTCAGCACTGTAAAGCATCCTTAGGAAGTTATTTACTTTCTTTCTCATGGATAATAATATTTCATTTTTAAAATAAAGGAGACAAACCTGATTTTAAAAAGTCTTCCCTTTCTTTTCTTTGTATGATTTTAAGTATATGCCAGTATATAGTCAAACCATCATCCAGATTTGTATCTGCATGTTATTAGATATTCAAATAGAATAAATTTTCCTTTGTTTAAATATATAGTTAATGCATGCATAGAATTTAAAATATTCAAACAGTACAAAAGAACAAAAATTAAATGTAAAATAATCCTCTACTTCATCATCAACCCCTCTTACCCAAGACAGCCAGTGTCAGTATTCTTTCTTGTTAATTTTACTAGCAATTATTGTTATAACTTTGTATAATATATGTGGATTCCTACTTTTTGATTTCTCAACTCTCAAGAGAAGCTATTATTTCCTGGAGAGAAGCTATTATATGAGAGCTGAGAAGTTTACTTATTTATATTGCTATCTACTTTTTATTTCCCCCTCACCTCTGAAATTTTGTTAGCTTGATCATTATTTTTGGATCTTTTACTGGTTGTCTTCACAAATTTAAGTAATATAACTAAGGTCTATTTCATGATTTAGCACCTTTAGACAGTTACAAAACAGTATAAGGAAAATGACACTAATGCAGCCTTCTACCCACAAATTTTTCTTTCCTCTGTAATTATTTTTATACGATCTAAATTTGTTACATCTGCATTATCTTCTGTCATTGTAAATACATTTTATGTGATTATATACTACACGGATTATTTTGAAAAGAAAAGTAATATCCAGAATTAACAATATAATGATTATGTAAATAATATTCAATGCAGAACTAGAAAGTGTAGATAAAGTCATAGAGAAGAAACAGTTCTATGCCACTCACATTTCAGGTAAAGGAGACCCTCTAAATGTCCTATCTAGTGGATTCTCTCTTACCTGATTCCAAGTCTCCCTTACGCACCAGCCATTCTCGGCCGCTGCCTCTTCTTGTATCCCATTTCATCTTCTTTCTCAAATTTTGGTTCTATTTTGGTAGAAGACCACATCTCAAGTAGTATATTTTCAATTAGTGTAAGGGCAGTAAACTTCTTGAGTTTTTGCACATCCAAAACTGTCTGAACTGATGGTTTGACTGAGTATAGAATTCTATGTTCAAATCCCATTCCCTCTGAAATTTGAAGTTTTCATTGTCTTCTAATACCCAAAAGATGCTGACAAGAAGTCTGATATTACTCTAAGTTTTGTTCCTATGTTAGGGACCACCTCCCCATCACCCTGACGTCTACATAGCCCCCCGTCCTTGGAGTTTCCAACTTCTACCGTGATGTGTCTATTTGTCCTTTCTCACTGGTCCTTCTCGGCATTTAGCACCTGTGGGAGTCAAGTTGATGATAGTGAGAGGAAATGTGGTCTATTGGACTGAACAAAGGATTTTGAGTCAGACGATTTGAGTTCAAGTCTTGATTTTGCCACTTCTTTTTGTCTGTCTGTGAAACCTTGCAAAGTACTTTATCTTCACTTAGAAACATTTTTTTTTTCTACCAGGACAAAATAGTAATCACCCCTGCTCTTTCCTCCCATGGCCCACTTATGTTGCAAGGTTATTGTTATTGTAAACTATTGGGAGTAAAATGGTTTTACAAATTCTAGAGTTGTGTATTAGGGTCAATATTGTTGCAATGAATGTGAACACAATGAAAAGTGTTCATTGGTGTTATAGAAATATTGGGGTCTTATTTTTCCTGCATTTATTGTTTGTCGCTGCCTAGATGCCTGGATTCTGGATATTACGGTGAGGTCGTAACTTGGCAATCTTGCAAGGCAAGCTTGCTACTTAGTAGACTTGGCCCCTGGACACCTGCCAGGCAGCTATGTAGAGCATCTCTCTCACTCAGCAAATCTCGAGGTAAGGCACATGGGTCCACTCAGCATGAGGCCTGAGTGATTACTGATCTGTCTCTTTATCCTTCTTAGAATAACTCCCCACTGCCTAGGAAATAGAAATTGCACACATACTGACATACTGTATAGCTCCAAAATTCAGCCAGTCACAAAAGGGGTAAGAAGAAATAATCTAAATGACCATTTGAGGCATAAGCATGAACGCTTCCAGGAACTGCAAAATTTAGCTTTCTGAAGTATACTTTTCATCTTTCATATATTCTGGGAAATATCAAACAATGATGTAAGCTGGAGGAGGAGAGAGTAAATTAGAATCACAAATCATTAGATTAGGAAAGAATCTTCCAATTAACCAAGATCCCTGTTTTACAACTAAGGAAACTGAGACTGTGTCTGGTTTACACACGCACACACAGGGACTTGCCCAAGGTCATATGAGCTAGCTGGAAGTAAATTCTAGGTCCCTTAACCCCATTTCACAGTTCTTTTACCCAAAGAGTCCATTCTGCCAATAGTCTTTTGAACTTTCCAATAGGTTGCTTTTTAAACGGAGAGCAGAGAGAGTCCCTGCAACAGAGTGATCTGGAGGCTGTTCTCAAGGCAGGTAGTGGCAGTACCTCAGAGCAATTCCTGCTGCAGACCCCGTGTGGATGCTACAAGCATTGACCACAGGCTTCTCTCCACAGTCATGGGAGGCAGGAATTACTGCTTCTACCTTAAAGATTCAAGGAACTTTCAGGGAGGCAAGCAAGGTCACACAATCTGTAAAATTTGTTTTTGTTAAATGGCAGAGGCAGAACTTGTACCCAAATTTGATTTTAATCATGGGACTGGTTCTCACAATTGAGTTGAAAAGATAGTCTAGGAAATCTAGTACCCTAAATACTTCATTCTGCCTCACAATTTTTCAGCACATGCTGTGATAAATAAAGGCACAGGAACCAGTTTTAAGATAGCCAGTCCTGGGCACAATTTAAAGGAATTTTAATGGGCTTAACTTTACTGGATCTTGGTTTTAGTTTCCTTTGTCTGGCATATGGATTCCTTTCATATGGTCTTTTTGGCATACTCATGGGGCTCGGTAGATTTAAAATTCCTTGAGAAAGAGATGAGCTGTGCTTTGCCTTGGTGAGAGCACTGCTTCAACAGTGCATTCAGCCCTGGGTACCACTCATGGTGAAGATAAAGTGTGTCCAGGAGGAGAGGGGCCTGGGAACAAAACATGAGACAAGCCATGGAAGGCAATGGACATGTTCAGCTTAGTGACCTCAGTCAAAAGAAAGCTCGCGGAGCACTTACTAGCTGTGTTCAAATTCCTGGAGGACCATGGAGTGAAGATGAGATTAGACTCGCATCATGCACCTTCAAGAGGCTGCATAACCAACAGATGAAAATTATAGAGAACAACATTTTAGCTGACAATCAGAATGATTTTCTAACAGCTGAGCTCTCTGAAGATGACATGAGCTGCCATTACATGAGCTCAGTTCTGAGAGGCAGTGTGAACTGTCCTTGGCAGAGGAGTTGTGGTTGAGTTATTGAGACAGCCAAGTGTAAAGGGATCCCTGGAGAACCTCTGACCTGCCTGCACACTGGGAGGACTGTGCATTTGGGTGGAGCCTCGGGAAGCTCATGCCGGTTGCAGTAGGCAGGAGCCTGGCCCCTCCTCTTCCTGGGTGGAAGCTGGGATTCAATCTGATGTGAGAGCATGTTTACAGGAACCTATCTCGTGTTGCTGAGTTTTTTTCCTTTTCGCCCAATAAATTCCATTTTTCTCACCCTTCAAAGAGTCTGCGAGCCTAATATTTCATGGTCATGTGGCAAGGACCCAATTTTTAGCTAAACTAAGGAGAAAGTCTTACAACATTATGATGGAAATTAAGCTGGAGCCATCAGAAAGTCTGTCCAGCACAGAGAATGATGGTATTCCTTCGTTTAAGAGTTCAAAATCTCTGCAGCTCAAAAATCACCTATCTAGCATAACTAAACACACACACACACGTTATTTTATCTTCCTGATTACAATCATGACAACCTAAATTGATTGAGCATTTACTATATGCCACAGAAGTTTAGCTCCTCATATGCTTTATTAAATTTAATCCTTCTCACTGTCCTATTGAAAGTTTATATTATTATGTATTTCATAGATAATTATGAATATTATAAATTAAGTAACCAATAATATTCAGATATTACTAAACATCATAGGCATGTAGTGAGGGAGCCAGGATTTCAATCCAAGTGTGTTTAATACCGGGATCCTAAATACTCTGCTTTTCTGCCTCTTTTCTTCATGAAGCTTAGTACATTGGAAATGCCAAAAATAACCTGGTTTGCGCCCAGAATAACTCAATGAGAATTGGAGGGGTGCTGAAGATAAACTAAAATAATATTATGATTTCTCTGTCATGAATAAGAGACAGCTATGCTCCATTTTGCCCAAGGAAGTAAAATTATCTTATTAATGAGAGAAGCAGAAATTCACAGCCCCAGAGGAGGAAACCTTCCCAGTTTTTGTGGTTCTCCATCAGTTTTAGATGGAGGGGGCTTCTAGATGTCAACCTAATTTATGGCTGCGTCCTTGAAGTTCTTGTGCAGGAGTTGAGGTTGGGGAAGAGAGTAGGGAAAAGAGGGTCAAGTCTGCTCTCCCGAGGAAGAACTTGTTTAACTTCAGAACCTTTGGGAGTTTGAATAATTAAAGGTGTGTGTGTGAGTGTGTTGTTTCCTGTGGAAGATTTTCTGGCCATGACTTCCGGTCATCACAGCTGCTTTAGCACATGCTCAAGGAGGAGTCACTTCAAGTCTGATTCAATTTTAAAATACTAAAAGAGAAAAGAGAAAACAGAAAAGCTCTCCTGCAACTCCTCAAGACAATAAGAAAAACAAACACAGAATTCCCTATGTCAGAAAAGGAGCTCTAGAGGCTCTTTTATCAGTTTGATGTTTGCAGCCACCCTGAGATGATGTTGCAAACTTTGGATTTTTCAAACAATTGATGATTTGCATTCCAAGAGAAGCTTTTCATTTTCTCTACTTTTCTAAAGGTCATGTTATACAAGGGATTCTTGAAGCTGCTTGAGTCATTTGATTCCACAGAGACTCAGGAGCACTGTGGAAATAGCCTCAACTAAGGAATCTGGATATCTTCAAAAGTTTTCAAAGCAGGGCCCTGGAAAGCATGAGAGTTTTAAATGTTGCCTTAAAACTAGTCTGGATTTCCCTTAAAAATACTGGAAAATATTGAAAAATATTTCCTCCTAGCACTTTGGAAGGCCAAGGCAGGAGGATCACGTGAGCCCAATAGTTCAAGACCAGCCTGGCAACATAGTGAGATCCTATCTCTATTAAAAACAATTTTGAATTGATTACAGACATGCCCTTGTCCCAAGGACAAAGGAGCACAGGAGAGGCATCCACAGCAAGAGATGCCAACATATTTTGAAAAGTCTGAAAGTGGGGTAAAGACCATGCCAACACAAGGACCCCAAAAGTGGGGTGCTATGAGAAGTGAGCTGATGTGACCCACAGAACCCTTACGAATCTCAGCTGTGGCAGAAAGAGCAGGGAGAGGGTGCTGGGAGCAAAAGCAGGGAGATTAGCTGGAAGCCTGAAAAAGAATCGTGAGCACTCCGGTTCCCTTTCTTACTACAGACTACTAGGGAGTTAGCCGTGCCTCACAACACTGGAGACCTGAGGCTTGCTCTCTTGGAAAACAGAATCATTTCATTCCTGAGTTGGGGCACCACACATAGTGCAAGGCTGATGTCTAATATATGGCCTAAAACACGGGGAAGGGGAAGGGAAAGATTTGCATACTGAACCAAGGAAGTCTCATTTCACTTTCTAACCGCATCCCACCCGCCCCCTGCCCCTCCCCCTGGGCCTTGGTAGCTGGAGCTCTGGCCACAGGGCAGAATGTGTTTTTCTATGGGGAAACCAAAGGAATTCATTTAAAAAGACTTGTAGATTTTATATAAAGTGCCAAACAAAAGCTAACCAGATGCCTGAGAACTCCACAGAAAAGATAGAGAGTCGGCATGTCCCATCCACAGTCACAAAGAAGTATGAACGTATGAATGGGTTGCCAAGGATACCAGGCATCTGAAAAGCCTTCAAACATGAGTGTAAAAGAGATGATTACAACAAACAAACAATAATAATAATGAATTCAGAGGACACAGAGACAATGCAGGGCAGAAGAAAATTAAAATATAATAACTTACAATTAACATCCCCGGAGAGATAAGAGCTGAAACAAGAATAGGAAGCATAAAAACCAGAAGGAGGCCTTGGAATTAAAAAAAAAAAAAAATCATTTCTGAAATAAAATCCCAATAGAAGAAGATGAAATCAAAAGAATCTATCAGAAATAGAATAAGAAGATAGAGATGTAAAAGATATTGGCGATTCCAGAAAGTGAACAGAAAAAAAGGAAGGAGAGGATATGATGAAGGATATAATTCCAGAACTGAAAGCTTAAGTTTTCAGATTGAAAAGCACCACTGAGTGTTCAGCTCAGCAAATTTAAAAAGACTCTCACTAATACACAGCATTATGGAATTTGTTGATTTTTTTTTTTTTAGATGGAGTTTTTGTTCTTGTTGTCCAGGCTGGAGTGCAGTGGCATGACCTCAGCTCACTGCAACCTCCACCTCCCGGGTTCAAGAAATTATCCTGCCTCAGCCTCTCAAGTAGTTGGGATTATAGGCGTGTGCTACCACACCTGGCTAATTTTTGTATTTTCAGTAGAGACAGGGATTCACCATGTTGGTCAGGCTGGTCTCGAACTCCTGACCTCAGGTGATCTACCTGCCTCGGCCTCCCAAAGGAGGTCTCCCAAGAGCCAAACAGAAGAATTTTATTGAGTTGAACCTGATCTTGTGATATTTTTACTTCATCTGAAACCTAATGTTACTTACTAGTTAATAGCAGTAACAGATAGACCCTAATAAGGGTAATGGCTCAAATACAACAGAGAATGGTTTCTCACTCAGGTAACAGTATCAGTGGGTAAAAACATCAGCATGATGGTTTATTCTATGCTGTCATTCTTAGACCCTCAACTGATGGAAGATCTGCCATCTTGAACATAGGGCTCCCAAGATTGTCCTGGGTACCACCTCCATTCCTGCTAGTCAGACATGAAAAAGAAAATGCTAAAGCACAACATGAAAGGGTTTATATGGGCCAGGTCTGGAAGTGGCACACATTATTTGCCTCAATATTCCACTGACTAGAACTCCTGAAAATGGCCACAATGAACTATAAGCTTGAGGTAAGGAGAGTGGAAAAGGATTGAGAAATGTAGTGCCTGGTTGGGTAGGCAGTTTCTGACCTAATCCTACACTAAGGAAGAGGGATCATGTTTGAAATGGACAGCTAGCCATCTTTCTCAAGTGGATATTTTGTTGCTATTTTTGGATTTGAGTCAAAGTAAAATAGAATGCTCTCAATTGATGTTCGTATTACTTAAATAGGATTTCCTTTAACTATTTTAATTTTTTCTTTTTTTCCTTTTTTTCTTTTCTTTCTTTTTTTTTTTTTTTTTTTTTTGAGGTGGAGTCTTGCTCTGTCGCCCAGGCTGGAGTGCAGTGGCGCTATCTCGGCTTACCACAAGCTCTGCCTCCTGGGTTCACGCCATTCTCCTGCCTCAGCCTCCCGAGTAGCTGGGACTACAAGCGCCTACCACCATGCCTGGCTAATTTTTTGTATTTTTAGTAGAGACAGGGTTTCACTGTGTTAGCCAGGATGGTCTGGATCTCCTGACCTCATGATCCACCCACCTCGGCCTCCCAAAGTTAATATATTCTATTCTTGATATGGTTTGGCTCTGTGTCCGCACCCTAACCTCATCTTGAATTGTAATCCCTGTAATCCCCAGGTGTTGAGGGCAGGACCTGGTGGGAGGTGATTGGATCATGGGGGCAGTTTCCCCCATGCCATTCTTGTGATAGTGAGTGAGTTCTCATGAGATCTGATGGATTTATAAGTGTTTGACACACGCATTCTCTCTCTCACCTGCTGCCATGTAAGTCATGCCTGCTTTGCTTTCCACCGTCATTGTAAGTTCCCTGAGACCTCCCCAGTCATGCAGAACTGTGAGTCGAGTAAACTTCTTTCTTTTATAAATTACCCAGTCTCGGTGGTATTCTTTATAACAGTGTGAGAACAAACTAATACAATTGTAATAAGCAAAGAATGACTATTCTGCATATCCAGCCAATTTTTACCTCTAAAACAATAGTATCCATCAATTTTTAAAAAAATCAATAGCTTAGTCAAAAAACAATATGTTCATCTACAACCGTCTGACCTTTGACAAACCTGACAAAAACAAGCAAAGATCAAATGATTCCTTGTTTAATAAATGGTGCTGGGAGAACTGACTAGCCATATGCAGAAAACTGAAACTGGACCCCTTCCTTACACCTTATACAAAAATTAACTCAAGGTGGATTAAAGACTTAAATGTAAAATCAAAACCATAAAAACCCTAGAAGAAAACCTAGGCAATACCATTCAGGACATAGGTATGGGCAAAGATTTCATGACAAAAATGCCAAAAGCACTTGCAACAAAAACTAACATTGACAAATTGGAATTAAACTAAAGAGCTTCTGCACAGTCAATGAAACTATCATCAGAGTGAACAGGCAACCTACAGAATGGGAGAAAATTTCTGCAATCTAACCATCTGACAAAGGTCCAATATCCAGAATCTACAAGGAACTTAAACAAATTTACAAGAATGAAACAAAAAACCCCATCAAAAAGTGGGCAAAGGACATGAACAGACACTTCTCAAAAGAAGACATCTATGCTACCAAGAAACATATGAAAAAAAGTTCAACATCACAGAAATACCTCAGGTCTCCAGTGTTGTGAGGCACGACTAACTCCCTAGTAGTCTGTAGTAAGAAAGGGAACTGGAGTACCCGTGATTCTTTTTCAGAAATACCATTTGACCCAACAATCCCATTACTGGGTATATACCCAAAGGAGTATAAATCATTCTACTACAAAGACACATGTACACCTATGTTTATTGCAGCACTATTTACAATAGCAAAGACATGGAACCAACCCAAATGCCCATCAATGATATACTGGATAAAGAAAATGTGGTACATACACACCATGGAATACTATGTAGCCATAAAAAGGAACAAGATCATGCCCTTTGCAGGGACATGGATGAAGCTGGAAGCCATTATCCTCAGCAAACTAATACAGGAACAGAAAACCAAACACTGCATGTTCTCACTCATAAGTGGGAGTTGAACAATGAGACCACATGGACACAGGGAAGGGAACAACACACACCAGGGCCTGTCAGAAGGTGGGGGATGAGGAGAGGGAAAGCATCAAGACAAATACCTAATGCATGCGGGGCTTAAAACCTAGGTGACGGGTTGATAGATGCAACAAACCACCATGGCACATGTGTGCCTATGTAACAAACCTGCACATTCTGCACATGCATCCCAGAACTTAAAGTATAAACAAAAACACTGTGTTAAACCTTATACCAGGTTTTGGGGATATACCAATGAGCAGGACAGGCAAGTCTTCTGCTTGCGTGGTCCTCAGATTCCAACAAGGACAGACTGGGGATAGACAATAAACAGATTTTTAAAATCAAGTAGCGCTAAGTGGTAAAAGTAAAATAAGACAAGGTAGTGAGAAATGGAATGGCTGGCTGCTATTTAGAATGTGAAGTTAGACACGTGCCCTTTGAGGAAGTGGCATTTAAACTGAGACCTCAGTGACTAAAGGCGGGCAGCCGTTTTGGGATCTTGGGTAAGAACTTTTCAGGTTCAGGGATTGGCTCATGCAAATGCCCTTACATAGTAATGGGCTTGACTGTGAGACAGAGACAAGGCAAGTGTGGTTAAAAAGTTGTGAGAGGAGGGTGTGATGGGGTTGAGAGCAGACATGGTGTCAGGGAATTAGATAACACAGTATCTTGAAGGCCATGATAAGGAGTTTTACTTTTATTTCACATGCAATGGGAAGCAGTTGGAGGTTTGAAGCAGGAGAGTGACTCTCCTTTCAGTTGTTGTTGTTGTTGTTAACTCTACTCTGCTTGTTATGACAAGAGTGGATGGAAGAGGGCCAGGAGAGGCAGGGATGGTACTTAGGAGGCCTTTGTTATGATCCAACATAGGGTAATAGCAAGTTTGGAATATGGAGGTAGTAGCAGAGATGAATGAAGGATGAAACTGATGAGTATTTTGGAGCTTCTGTGGTCCAAATTTCTGAAGGATTTGTTGTGGAGGGAGTGAAAAAGTACAGATTTCTAACTGCCTCTTATGTGGGATGCATTTGCCAACTTTCATTATTTTACTGAATCCAAGATACCTCTAGAAGAAGTTTCTTATGGTCTAGGTAGAGGGTCAGAAGATCTGGTTTCTGTTTGCTTTTCCTTGCTGTCTTATTTGCCTGAACAAACTCCTTGCTCTTTAATTTTTGTAAGAAAATGAAAATGGCCTCTAACACTTACCTAAGAAAACTGGTGAAGGGTGATAAATGTGATAACATTCTCTGCAACAAAATTCTAATAGGAACAAAGATGCTCTTCTGGCTGGGAGATACATCCTGAGCATTTGAATTTAATCAGACTGCAGCATATTTCTTTGACCTTTTACAATGATGATGACTAACTGGCTCCCATGTGGGTAGCTTATATTTTAGACAAAGGAGGGAAAATAAAATCATTCTTGACTTGGGGCAGTTGATATCATTTAATTGAGTCATAGCTGCATAGACTACAACTGAATATGCAGAGGAATCCAGGGAGAATTTGTTCATTAAAAGGGTGATTTCTTCCTTTTGCTTTTTTGCCCCTTTGTTAAGAAAGGGTCTTCTGTTCATTTTGTCTTTACCTGATTTGACTTGTGATGCAGACAAGAAACTCAAAAGAGCATGTGAGAAGGGATTTCAGTCTGTATATCAGCTGTCATTTTCTATAAGTGAGCAGGCACTTGTAGGACCCAGAGATTATGGAACTGGAATTTTAGGTACACTATAAAGCAAAGTAGAACTACAATTCACCCTTTCACATGTTAGAGTTTTGAGTTTGCAAAATCATTTACTCAGACTGCAGTCAAATATTAGTGATTTTGTGCAAACTAAATTCCCCCCTTGTAGGAAATATACAATGAAAACAATAGTTCTATAGTTGGGAGACTTTAGCTTCTGTGATTTCTATTTCCCCAGGTATGTATGATCATTCAGTACTGATGCTCTCTTACATTTTTAATTAAAACTATCTGAATTTTTGCACTTTGTAGGCCTTGCAATATATACTTCTAAAGGTAGTATTTAAGATCATACACCTCAGATCTTACATCACTCCCTATTAGGGAAAGGTGTGTGGCTTTTTATAGCACCAAGAGAAAAATTCTCCTGAGTATGACTGTCTATGTGTCTGTTAGAAGGAGAAGTTATAAAGATCTACAAAGAGACTTACAGTCCCAGACACTAATAGTGAAAAACTTCAACACTCCATTGACAGTATTAGTCAGATGATTGAGGCAGAAGATTAGTAAAGATACTCAGGATGTGAGCTCAACATTGGACTCAGTGGAGCTGGTAGAGGTCTACAAAACTCTCCATCCAAAAACAACATAATATACATTCTTCTCATTTGCACAGGGAACATACTCTAAAATTGACCACACAACCGGACATAAAACAATCCTCAGCAAGTGCAAAAGAAACTAAATGACACCTAACACACTCTCGGACACAATGCAATAAAAATAGAAATCAAGACTTTAAAAAATTGCTCAAAACCATGCAATTACATGAACATTAAACAACCTGCTCCTGAATGACTTTTGGGTAAATAATGAAATTAAGGCAAAAATCAGGAAGTTCTTTGAAACTAATGAGAACAAAGATACAACATATCAGAATCTCTAGGTCACAGCTAAGTCAGTGTTAAGAGGGAAGTTTATAGCACAAAACACCCACATCAAAAAGTTTAGAAAGATCTCAAATTAACAACCTAACATCACAACTAAAAGAACTAGAGAAGCAAGAGCAAACCAACACCAGAGTTAGCATTAGACAAGAAATAACCAAAATCAGAGCTCAACTGAAGGAGATTAAGACATGAAAAACCATTCAAAAAAATAAACACATCCAGGAGTTGGTTTTTTAAAGAAATTAGTAAGTAGGCAACTAGCTAGACTAAAAAAGAAGAAAAGAGAAAAGGTCCAAATAAACACAATTAAAATGACAAAAAGGATATTACAACTGACCCTAAAAAACCACAAATAACATCAGAGACTACTATGAACACTTGTACACACACAAACCAGGAAACCTAGGAGAGATGGGTAAATTCCTGGACACATGCACCCTCCTAAGACTGAACCAGGAAGAAATTGATTCCCTAGACAGACCAATAACAAGCCCTGAAATTGAATCAGTAATAAATAGCCTACCAACCAAAAAAAGCCCGGGACCAGACTAATTCACTGCCAAATTCTACCAGATGAACAAAGAAGAGCTGGTACCATTTCTACTGAAACTATTCCAAAAAACTTAGAAGGAGAGACTCTTCCCCAACTCATTCTATGAGACTAGCATCCTCCTGATACCAAAACCTGGCAGAGATACAATAAAAAAGGAAACACTAGGCCAATATCCTTGATGAATATTGATGCAAAAATCCTCAACAAAATACTTGTAAACAGAATCCAGTAACATAAAAAGCTAATCCATTGCATCGAGTAGGCTTTATCCCTGGGATGCAAGGTTGGTTCAACATATGCAAATAAATAATGTGATTCATCACATAAACAGAACTAAAGACAAAATCCACATGATCATCTCAATAGATGCAGAAAAGGCTTTTGGTAAAATTCAACATCCCTTTATGTTAAAAACTCTCAATAAAGTACGCATCGAAGGAACATACCTCAAAATAACAAGAGACATTTATGATAAACCCATGGTCAACGTCATCCTAAATGGGCAAATGCTGGAAGCATTTCTTTTGAAAACCAGCACAAGACAAGGATGCCCTCTTTCATCATTCCTATTCAATATAGTATTGGAAGTTCTGGCCAGAGCAATCAGGCAAGATAAAGAAAAAAAGAGCATCCAAATAGAAAGAGAGGAAGTCAAACTATCCCTATTTACAGATGACATGATTCTGTATCTAGAAAACCCCATAGTCTCAGCCCAAATGTTATTTCAGCTAATAAACAACTTCAGCAAAATTTCAGGATACAAAATTAATATACAAAAATCACTAGCATTCCTATACTCTGATATGGCTTGGTTCTGTGTCCCCATCCAAATCTCATCTTGTAGCTCGCATAATTCCCACGTGTTGTGGGAGGGACCCAGTGGGAGATGATTGAATCATGAGGGCAGGTCTTTCCTGTGCTGTTCTCCTGATAGTGAATGGGTCTCACGAGATCTGATGGTTTTAGAAATGGGAGTTTTCTGCACAAGCTCTCTTTGCCTGCTACCATTCACATAAGATGTGACTTGCTCCTCCTTGCCTTCCACCATGATTGTGAGGCCTCCCCAGCCATGTGGAACTGTAAGTCCAATAAACCTCTATCTTTTGTAAATTGCCCTGTCTCAGGTATGTCTTTATCAGCAACATGAAAATGGACTAATACATACACCAAAAACAACAAGGCTGAGAGCCAAATAAGGAACACAATCCCATTCACAATTACCACAAAAAGAATAAAATACCTAGAAATACAGCTAACCAGGGAGGGAAAAATCTCTACAATGAGATTACAAAACTCTGCTCAAAGAAATGAAAGATGACATAAACAAATGGAGAAACATTCGATGCTCATGGGTAGGAAGAATCAATATCATTAAAATGGTCATACTGCCCAAAGCAATTTATAGAGTTAATGCTATTCCTGTTAAACTACCTATGACATTCTTCACAGAACTAGAAAAATTGACTTTAAGGTTCACAAAGAACCAAAAAAGAGCCAGAATAGCCAAAACAGTCCCAACCAAAAAGAACAAAGCTGTGGGCATCATGTTCCCAATTTCCAACTATACTACTACAGGGCTACATAACCAAACAGCATGGTACTGTTGCAAAAACAGACACATAGACCAATGGAACAGAATAGACAGCCCGGAAATAAAGCTGCACAACTACAACCATCTGATCTTCAACAAAGCTGACCAAAACAAGCAATGGGGAAAAGAGTCCCTATGCAATAAATGGTGCTGGAGTAATTGGATAGCCATATGCAGAAGATTGAAACTGGACACATTCCTTACACCATATACCAAAATCAACTAAAGATAGATTAAATACTTAAAGATGAAACCTAAAAAGTGTAAAATTCCTGGAAGACAACCTAAGCAAAATGTAAGACTTCATCATTTCATGACAAAGATGCTAAAAGCTACAGCAACAAAAGCAAAAAATTAACAAATGGAGTCTAATTGATCTAAAGAGCTTCTGCACAGCAAAAGAAACCATCAACAGACTAAACAGACAGCTTACAAAATGGGAGAAAACTTTTGCAAACTATGCATCTGCCAAAGATGTAATATCCAGCATCTATTAGAAACTTAAATTTTCAAGTAAAAAAACAAACAACTCCATTAAAAAGTGGGCAAAGGAGATGAACAGACACTTCAAAAGAAGATATACGTGCAGCCAACAATCATAAGAAAAAAAGCTCAAAATCACTGATCATTAGAGCAATGCAAACCAAAACCACAATGAGATCACCTCACACCGGTAAGAATGGCTGTTATCAAAAAGTCAAAAAATAACAGGTGCTGGCAAGATTAGAGAGAAAAGCGTTTGCTTATACACTGTTGGTGGGAATGTAAATTAGTTCAGCCATTGTGGAAAGCAGTGTGGCAATTCCTCAAAGAACTGAAAACAGAACTACCATTCAACCCAGCAATCCCATTACTGGGTATATACCCAGAGGAATAAAAGTTATTCTGATATAATGACACATGCAGGCATGTGTTCACTGGAGCACTATTCATAATAGCAAACACATGGAATCCACCTAAACAACCATCAATGGCAGACCAGATGAAGAAAACGTGGTACGTACACACCATGGAATACTATGCAGCCTTAAAAAGGAACAAGATCATGTCATTTGCAGGAACATGAATGGAGCTGGAGGCCATTATCTTTAGCAAACTAATGCAGGAACAGAAAATCAAATAATGCATGTTCTCACTTATAAGTGGATGATAAATGATGAGAACATATGGACACAAAGAGGGGAGCAACAGACACTGGGGGATACTGGTGGGTGGAGGGTTGGAGGAGGGAGAGAATCAGAAAAAATAGCTATTGGGTACTAGACTTAGTATCTGAGTGATGAAATAATCTGCACAACAAACCCCATGACATGAATACCTATATAATAAACCTGTACATGTACCCCTGAACCTAAAATAAAAGTTTAAACAAAAAGAAGAAAATAATTTCTATTGTCTTTTTATTTAGCCCCATAATTGTTTTCATGAATGAACACAATGTACAGTGCAGCCACTATGTCTAGTTATTTTTCTGTTTTTAATTATTTTAAAATATAATAATTTTTATAGTCTGTAGCAGATAGTTCTATTATGTCAAGTCCTTGAGAGTATTTAATTTTCTGCCTTTTGTATCTATAATCTCGCTCTGTCTCTCTCTTTCAAGGTGGTTAATTTCCTTGTGTTTTCATAATTTTAGGTTTTAAGATCATCTTCTGTAGGGTTTTGTCTGTGAAAATATTGGGAGTCCTGGATTCGAATTTTTCATTTGCCTCTGGGAGGTATAACTAACTCTGTACAACTTCTGTTTTTTTTTTTTTTTCTTTCTTTCTTTTTTTTTTTTTTTGAGATGAAGTATCACTCTGTCACCCAGGCTGGAGTGCAATGGCACCATCTCAGCTCACTGTAACCTCTGCCTCCTGGGGTTCAAGCGATTCTCCTGCCTCAGCCTCCTAAGTAGCTGGGATTACAGCTGTGTACCACCACGCCCAGCTAATTTTTTTCTATTTTTAGTAGAGACAGGGTTTCACCATGTTGGCCAGGATGATCTCGAACTCCTGACCTCAAGTAATCCACCCACCTTGGCCTCCCAAAGTGCTTGGATTACAGGTGTGAGCCACCATGCCCAGCTTATTTAAAAACTTCTGTTTTTAAATAAACTTTTTATTGTAGAATAGTTTTTCATTTACAGAAAAGTTGCTAAGATAGAATAGAGGATTCTTGTATGCCCTATACTCAGTTTGTCCTATTGTTAATATCTTACAGTAGTATTATGCATTTACCACCACTAATGAAACAACATTAACAAGTTATTATTAACTGAAGTCCATATTTTACTCAAATTTCCTTGGAATTTACCTAATGTCCTTTTTCTCTCCCAGGATCTCATCCAAAACATCACATCACATTTAGTCATCATATCTCCTTAGGTTCTTCTACCCTGTGGCTTCTTGAGACTTTCTCAGCCTTTCTTTTTTTGATGATCTTGACCCTGTACCTCTCATGCACCTAAAATATGTCCTCAAAATACATGAGGAAAAATAATCCAAATTATAAGAAGAAAGAGTCAAAACCACAGTCGTGCTGAAAGATTTTCACACTCCTCCCTCAGATTTCATAAATCAAGTAGATAAAGCTTAGTGAAAATATCGAGAATATGAATAACACAATTATCAAACTTGAGCTAATGGAGATGCATAGATAGAGCTCTGTATCTCCAAATTTTAGAAAACCTACTGTTTCAAGCACATATAAAATTTTTACAAGAGTTGACCATCTGCTCCTCCACAAACCAGGTTTCAACAAATATAAAAATCAGGCCGTGTCCCTTGACCGTAGCACATCAGAAATTAACTACCCAAGATAATTAAAAATCCATGCTTAAAATACATTTAAAAATAAAAGAACACACATAATTCATGGATCAAATACAATATCAAAACAAACTTAGAAAGTATGTAATATTGACTGAACAAAAATGTGTCAAAACTTTTTAGATGAAACTAAAACAGAACTTAGAAGGGAAATTTTGGCCTTAACATTTATATCGCCAAAGAAGAAAGTTTTATCTTAAAGTTGATGCACAAAGACTATTTCTTAAGAAGTTAGAAAAAGAAGAAAATAAAACCGATGAAATGGGGGAGGACATTCTGCATGGCCTATGCAAGGAAGTACAAAGAATTGCCAGTACTTAGGGCTTTCTGAAGCACAGGTGTACACACAGACACACACACACATTGTATTCAGAAATTAGATATACTGTGGAAATGGTACGCTTAAGACATTTCTTCCATAAAAAAGTTAACATAATATTATAAAGTCACCTATATACCCTTCAATGAGATTCAACAATTTTAACATTTTTTCATATATCTTCTCTCTCTCTCTTTGTATGTATACTTTTTTCTGTACCATTTCAGAATAAGTTTTTGGCATTGACACCTCGCATATAAATACATCGACATTCATCTTCTAAGAATAAAAAAAATTCACTTTATGATACTGTTGTCACCTCCAAGAAAATAAATAATAATTTCATAATATTGCCCAGTATTAATACTTAAGTGTTCCTAATTACCCTGATAATGTCTTTTTAGCTGTTTCTCTTTTCTTTTCTTTCTCTTCCCAACCAGATCTGAGGCAAGCCTCATACATTGAATTTAGTTGTTATGTTACGTCTCTTTACTTTCTTTTAGTCTAGACGCTAAAGGAATTCTCCCACAATTTTTTTAAATGAGATTGAATTTTTTAATAGTACAGATGGTTGTCCTATAAAACATCCTATATTCATGACTTTTCTGATTACCTCTTCACAGTATCATTTAACTCGTTTTGCTGTCTCTCATATTTTCTCTAAACTGGAAGTGTGTCTCAAGGGCTAGATTACATCCAGATGAAATCCTTTGGGACAAGAAGACATCACAGAGAATCTTGTGAATTTTGCACTGCAGTACATAGACAGCCACTGATGCCAGCCTACCCCACTGCCAGTGATGTAAAGTTTGATCATTGGTGAACGTGCTGACCATCAAATCTCTCCCTTGCAATCATTTATTTTCCCATTTAAATTTGTAATTTGTGTGGTGATATTTTGCCACCATGAGAATATCCTGTTCCCCACAGCTTTTTACTTCACTGTTTCAGCTTTCTTTGACTATCCTCAACTGCATCAATTATTATACTGGGGCTTACGAAAAGGTGATTTTCCATTCTTATCCTTTATTACTTTGAAGACTTTGGATGTGATTCAAATTTGAGTTCTTTTTCTGTATGCAGAGTGGAGTCAATGGATCTTTATATAGCGGAGTTTGAAGAAGCGAGAGAATAAAGGTGTTTTATGGAATTTGTACCAGGATCCTGGGGTTCCAATATCATTTTCTCATCTTTGAGGCTCCTGGTGAAGAAAGTTACTTTAGTCTGAGCACTCTTTCTAATCTGCAGGGGGACCTTCTGTGGGAAAATGGGGGCCCTTGTACCCTGGATGTGAGGTTGTCCTCAGAGGAAATGTACAGTGTAAGCAGCCTTTGACTCAATTATGGCCTTTAACTTTACAAACAACTGTCAAGTCCTTGCTTATAGGGGAAATTATATGTGTGTATATGTGTGTGTGTATTATATGTATTATATGCACACATACATATAGCTCCTTCTGTGAGAGAATGCTTTGTCCATACCCGTTTCTACATCACAGCTTTGCACCTTCTCCCACGCAGCCTCCTGGCCGCCATCTCCTGCCTCCCTGGAGCAATTATTCTCTGGGGTCTATTAATCTCTCCTCTTCTTAGAGCAATTCCCTGTTTGCCAATTCTTTCCCACTTATTAATAGCAACTTTAAATAGGTCTAAGAACATTATAGTGAGGATGAAGGATTTTGTCTACCCTCCGTAGACAAAAGATCCTCCAGTTACCTGGACCTATGCTTTTCATATATACATATATATATATATATACACACACACACGTATATATATACACACACACATATACACACACATAATTTCCCCTGTAATATATGTATTATATTATACATATAACACATAATATATGCATATTTAATGTGGTATATATATATATGTGTGTATGTATGTGTGTGTGTGTGTGTGTGTATATATATATATCTCGTATAACTACAAAGTGAAAATAGACACACAGAATAGATTGCCTTAACACATAAGACTCATTTTTACTGACCCATAGTTGTTGGGTTTTTTTTTTTTTTAAACTTTTATTTTAGGTTTGAGGATACATGCGCAGGTTTGTCACATAGGTAAACTTGTGACATTATTTTTGTAAACAAAAATAATCTGTTTGTTGCACAGATTATTTCATCACCCAGATACTAAGCCTAGTACCAAGTCATTATTTTTCCTGATCCTATCCCTCCCTCCACCCTCCACCCTCCAGTAGGCCCCGCGTCTGCTGTTTCCCTCTTTGTGTCCATGAGTTCTCATCCTTTGGCTCCCACTTATACGTGAGAGCATGTGGCATTTGGTTTTCTATTCCTGCATTAGTTTGCTAAGGATAATAGTCTCCAGCTCCATCCATGTTCCTGCAAAAGCCATGATCTGGTTGATTTTTATGGCTGCATAATATTTCATGGCATATATGTACCACATTTTCTTTATCCAGTCTCATTGATGGGCATTTAGGCTGATTCCATGTCTTTGCCATTGTGAATAGCACTGCAATGAACATTCATATGCATGTTTCTTTATGGTAAAATGATTTACAGTCTTCTGAATATATACCCAGTAACGTGATTGCTGTGACCCATAGATTTTACTCTTAGAAATTTTTCATCAGGAAAATGTACAAGAACCTATCTACAACATCTCGGTGTGGTTTACTTCAATAAGTCAAATAAACAGTGATAATGCCAAGCAATATATATTGCTTAAATAAATTTTTGTGCGGCTCTATAATGGATATTATGAAGCTATTGAATATTATATGGTAGGAGTAGATTTAATGACAATTTTATAAGTTTAATATGTAAATTAGTAGATGCAAATACGTACAAGGACACAGACCTGCAAAAAGGACACAGACTGATTCCCTTCCAGAAATCTCCAGGCCCCAGCGCAGATGTGCACTTTGGAAACTTGGGGTTGCCAGACTCCACTTGCTGTCAACATTGTGGCTTCATTTCAGCTGCGATATAAGCAAAATTACTGTAAAGGGGATTATCCATTCCTCTACCCACCAGCGTCTGCATCCCAAGTCCTTTTAAGCCAAAATGCCTGATATATGTAAATGTATGCTTGCTGCTCGTTCCTGTTTCCCTGTTCTCTTTCTTTAAGCTCCCTCCAAACTGACTTCATTCTTAAGGAATAATGAGCAATGTAGAATATTGTAGAATTCACAGAGAAGGCAGAGAAGAAGACTGATGTTTCACAGTGCACAGGCCCTCATCTCAAATCCTCCCGTGAGAGGATGCTTTTTCCATACCTGTTTCTACGTCACAGCTTTGCACCTTCTCACACGCAGCCTCCTGGCCATCACCTCCTGCCTCCCTGGAGCAATTATTCTCTGGGGCCTCTTAAACTCTCCTCTTCTTTGAGCAATTCCCTGATTGCCAATCCTTTCCCACTCATTAATATCAACTTTAAATAGGTCTAAGGCCATTAAAGTGAGGATGAAGGATTTTGTCTACCCTCAGTAAACAAAAGATCCTCCAGCTACTTGGATCTATACTTTTCATATCAAGAAAGATTATAAATAATAAATATTTTTCTCCAGCCTGTCATGTATTAAATAAATGTTCTATTATTAATATGTTTCTCATGTAATAAATGTAAAACAAAAAGGGGAAAAGGTGGTCTTTTTCAATCTTTAGTCTGGAGCAGGTACTAGTGAATGTCCAGTCTCCAGGGTAGGGATGAGGTGAGGTCGGTCACAAGGTAAGGCCTCTCAGCAACAGAAGGGGGGACCAGGACACTCTCTGAGTGATGAGGTCAGAGACATGGGACAGGGATCAAGACAGTGACTTTGTTACTGGGACTAGATTAGAGGGGGATAATTACAGTTTCCGTTAGGATGCTTTTGGTCATAAGCAACAGAAAATCAGAAAAATCAAATTTAGGCAAAAATAGAATTTATTGACTTATCTAGCAAATATGATTTGATCCAAGGCTCACGAATGTCACAAAAATATTTTTCTTCATTTCTCTGTTCCCTTTCCTATTTTAACTCCATTCCTAGGCAGACTTTCTCCATAAAGTAGCAATACGGCTGTCAGATAACAATCAAGTAGAAAAGAGGTATCTTTTTTCCCCCCAGCATTACTGTACCAGCAAAGTGGGGTAAATTAAGACCCATGCCCATTCGCATGCAGGGGATGCATATATGATTGGCTTCTGTTTGGGTCGTGTGTTTCACCCCAAAACACTCAGGCTGGAGGTGAGGAAGGGCTGAATCCTTAAAGAAGAGTAGAGCTGTATCCAGAAGACTTCAAAATGGATACCAAGGAGGTAAGTAAAAGATGTTTCCTACACAAATCTGAGGTCTGACAAAGGCCTGAGCCATTGCGTATAACTGAGAAACAACAGAATTGCTGACTGGAGTTCCAGTTTGGGGCTTTATTTTTTGGTTTATTTTTATTGTAGGGTTTATTTTTAGGGTTTAGCATTATTTTAGGCTTTATTTCTCTTCCCTGAGTTTTCTAGCAGGTTTCAAGAGGCTCTAATTTTAGGAAAAAGGAACATATGATGCAGACTGGTCTTGACAATTAAAAAACAAAAACCAGTCTCAGAACTGAAAACAACATTACCTGCACCCTGTCTGTATAAGAAGCTTACATACAGGCTGGGCGTAGTGGCTTACATACAGGCTGGGCGCCTGTAATCCCAGCACTTTGGGAGGCCGAGGCGGGCAGATCATGAGGTCAGGAGTTTGAGACCAGCCTGGCCAATATGGTGAAACCCCATCTCTACTAAAAATACAAAAACTTAGCCAGGCGTGGAGGTGCCCACCTGTAATCCCAGCTACTCAGGAGGCTGAGGCAGGAGAATCGCTTGAACTCGGGAGGCAGGGGTTGCAGTGAGCCAAGATCACACCACTGCACTCTGGCCTTCTGGCCTGGGTGACAGAGCGAGACTCCATCTCAAAAAAAAAAAAAAAAAAAAAAGAAGAAGCTTACGTAGAGTATTAAAGAGGTAATATGTGAATTTTATTTATTACCGTAGTAGAACTCTTTTATATATATAAAGGTTTTGATTCTCAAACTGCCCCATAAGAATTATCCTCAGAAATATAAATCTTTCAGACTTCAATAATATTCAAAGCCCTCATGAAGACTGGCTTTCTAAAAAGCTGTTGCTCTTCCTACCAACCCCTGTCTTTCTTTAATTGAAAGAAACTTTGATCCAGGCAGGTGAGCAAGTGAGGCTGATGGGTGATATTTTCCAGATGCATTTTAATTGGAAGCTAGTTTTCCAAGGTATTTTCCTGGTTCATTATTTGTAATTAGTTTTGCTAAAAATTTTTGTGCTATTTTAATTCTGTTTAAAAACCTCCTTGTTCATAAGATATAATTGCTTTACAAGGAAAGGAAGAATAATAAGGGAAATTGTACCTTAAAATCCAATAGCCTGAATACAAGCCTCAACTCTACCATGTAATAACTTTGTGGTTTTGAGAATATGTATATCTCTAAGCTTCATTTTCATCATCTCTAAAATGGAGATAATATTAACATGCAGGGCAATTGTGAGGATTAAATGAGAAAACTCAAGTAAAAAGTCTCTGACACATCCAGAAACATATACAAGCTCAATAAATGTTATTTCCCATTGTCGTCTTCCCTAACTTCTAACAAAGTAGGGATCTTACATCAGAGGAGAACTTCTCAGCTCTATATTCCAATGCAGAAGGGGCATCTGGTGATCATTAAAATATCTGAGAAACATTTTTTAAAATCTTATTTTTTTTCCTCCTTTAAAGAATATCCAGAGAATTCACTGGAGTCTGTTCATAGGTCATGTTCAAACTAGGAAAATGACCGCTGTCTGCAGGGCACCCAGGTGAATTGGGAGAAGTTAAAGTGCCATCTCCTTTGAGAAGCCTCCCTTGATCCCCCAAGGCTGATCCAGGTGGCCATTTTTTCCCCCAGCTCCCTGGTACAACACCTCCAGAACAGGAGCTAGCAAACTACAAACCAGGGGTTAAATCCAATCCACCATCTATTTTTTTGTACAGCTTGCAAGCTAAGAATGATTTTTTACATGTTTAAATGATTGGAAAACATGAAATGAAGAATAGTATTGCATGACACATAAAAATGAGATGAAATCCGAGTTTCAGTCTCCACAAATCCTATGTTGTTGAAACATAGCTGTGCTCGTACATTTGAGTATTGCCTATAGCTGCTTTTGCATTACAATGGCAGAATCAAGTAGTTGTGACAGAGACCACATAGCCATTAAAGCTGAAAATATGTATTGTCTGTTGAACCCTTATAGAAAAAGCTTGCCAACTTCTCTAGAACATTCACAATTGAGTCATACTGCACGTGTTTCCTCCAGGCTCTATATCCCTTGAGGACTGGGACTGTCTTTCATCTTTGTGTCTTTAGCATCTAGCACAGTGCCTGGCAAATATTAGGCATCTGTAAATTTGCATCTTTCCCCTTTTTGGGTATCTCTAGTAAGGTGTCTTCTTACTGTAATCCACAATAGGTCTGTCCCAGGGTATCCAGCCTTCAGTCATTCTCTGCATCCCATGGGTACTTAAAGGTCTGATAATTGTAGGTGTGGCCAGAGCCTGTTGAACCTTTCAGGTATCTGAAAACTAGAGAAGGGATCACTGGAAGGTTCCTTTTCTCTGTATCCTGTTTTCTGAGGTGGTATAGTGTCAGGGAAGGAGCACTGGATGTTGAGACTTGGCCTGATGAGGCTGTCCTCAACTAACGACTTCCGGGTTGTGTGATCTTGGGAATAAACCACCTAAGTATCACTTTCTTCATCTGTGGTATAGAGATAAATATTACCCCACAAACCTCACTGGGTCTTGATTATGTTGGAGAATACCTGCCTCTGGTGGGTTCAGGGGCCTTGTCTGTTTTGTTTACCTTTATATGTCCTGGTTTGCACAATGCCTGGCACACAGGAAACCGGAGGTTCTCAGCTGAGGCTGAACATTAGAATCAGCTGCGGACTTTTAGCTGACCACCAACACAGAGCACCACCCCAGACCAATTCAAATAGAGACTCTGGGAATGGATCTGGACATCAGGTTTTTATTTTTCAAGCTCCCTAGGTGATTCTGATACTTAGGCAGGATTCACAGCCCCTGTTGTGGAGTGCTCAATAACTATTTGCTGAATGAATGAATGGGATGAAGTTGTTCCTGCAGATGCTTTGCTCCTCTGTGCTTTGAGATGCTAACTAAAGAAGTCAGGATTTTTTTTTGCGTCAGGGATAAAATGTACTGTTCCTCACTGATTGAGTCACTCTCTCCAGTTCACGGAGGTCTGATTCCTGTCTTCTTTACCCTTCACTGACTTGCATGACTGATAATTCTCTTGTTATGTATTTGACCCTTTTGCCACTCCTGCCTTTTGTCCTCCACTTCCTTTTCATCCTTGTTCTTGTCAGTTTCCCCTTCTCCTTTGTAATCTTCTCAGGCTATTTTTCTTGCTGTTAAGTTCACTAGTAGCACTCGCTTACCACCCATAACACCAGGTATTTTCAACTATTGCCATTTTTTTCTTGGGGCTAAATTAGTTTTACCCTGTGCTTCACATCAGAAAATAAATCTCTAGACACTTCCTTTTTCACTCTCTAAATTTCTGTGTCTGGGAATAAATAGATAGTTGCAGAAGCTTTCAGCTAGTTGAAGAAGTAGGAAATCCAACTTCTCACTTTGCAGAAAAGAAAACTGAGGCTCAGCAAGAGGAGCAGCCTGCTCTGGGTCACAGAGTGAGCTTATGGCCCAGCTGGGGCTGGATCAGAGATTTCATCAGGTCCAGTTCACGTGCCCTTCAGACTGCCACACAGCCTGATAGGTAGGCCCTAGGGTGTTTTGGACAATTCATTGCCTCTCTGTCACGGGGGTCGGCACCTTTCCAAAGCTGCATCTTGCCAGACTCTATTACTTTGATCTCTCAAAGGAGAAGGGAGTGTTGCTAGTAGTAGTCACATGTAGGTGTGGGAGGGCCTGGCTGACCACTTTGGTTTAGTGACACTCCAGAGGACCCAGCCCTGCATGTGTAAGCCTCCTGGCATACAGACCAGGAGAAGCAGGTGATGACAGATGTCCCGGAGGGGCAGCAGAGCATCAAGAGAGCTTTCCCCATAACCACGTCTAGCTGCACCCCCAACAATGACATGGTCATGAAGAGCTAGGCACTTTCCTGCCTGCAGAGACCTGCACTGTCCAATACAGTAGCCCCTAGCTATAATTAAAATTCATGAAAATAGGATTAAATTAAAGCCTCATTTATTTAGTTGCACTAGCCACATTTCAAGTGCTCAGTAGCTTCTGAATTACTGTATTCAAGGCTACCATATTGAACAACATAGATATAGAGCATTTCTAACATGCCAACAATTCTTTTGGACAGGCAGCTCCAGATGCTTGGGTAGGATGAGTTAGTCTACAGAATGAACACCACAGCTAAGGACAATTAAAAAGAGGTCTCCCCATGCTGTTCTTCTCAGGTTCTGAGATTCCAAGGCTGGTGGTGCAACCAATCAGCACCTTGTCTCCCCTCTCACATCCTGCCATCTCCATGTATGGTTTATTTCCCTATGAGACTCTGAGCTTCTTGGGAGCACTGTCTGTCATTGATTAATTTTGTTTCCACAGAATAAAGCACAGGACTTGATATAGGATAGGCCTCAGTAAAATGTACTAAATAAAATTGTGAGTTAATGTTCTTTAACCATTCAGTATTATTTTTAAAACAATTGTATTCAATACAATGGCAAAAGAAAAATCTGTCTTTTTGGTAAAGAGGAAGACATATTGAAACTAGCTGTTGCTTACGTGGGAATCAGTGTTAAGTTTCCTTCTCCTGGGGGAGAAGGCTCTGACACTTTGCTGGGGGTGAAGGGCAGTAGGACAGGAGGATGGCAGGGCTGAGCACAGGTTCTCAGTAAACATAGGCTTACAAACTAATCCTCCACTTGGGGATTAGCTCTGCCTCTTGCACAGGGTTCTGGGATGGAATTTCTACTGATAATTCTAAGCCAGAAGGCAATGTGGAGTGGTGAACTAGGAGGCCAGGGGTCCAAATTTAAATCCTGGCCCCAAAATCAATGAGCTGTTTCGTGAAATTTAGTCTTTTCATGACAGTCCAGGCTGGTAATAAACTCTGTCCTCCCCAGTGCACAGACAGGATTGAAGTGAGGCTCAAGTGAGATTAAGTCCTAGGAGAAGCTTTGTAGCCTGAACAATGTATGTCACCGTGAGGGATAGTGGTCCAGAGGGTTACTCTGAGCAAGTTTTATTAGACTATGGGGCCTACCATCGTCTAATTAAAAACTCTGGAAATGCTAGAAACTGCTCTGGAAATGCCAGCAACCCCTATGGAAATGTGAATTTTTCCTTTTGGCAAGTGATGTTTGTACTTGCCAATCAATTGCCTGGTTCAATCCTAGATTTATTAAAGTAATGCAACAGCCACAAAAATCTCTGGCAAGTCAACAACAACAAAAAAAGGGCTTAAAAAAAAGCTGACCTAAAAGACCCAGCACATCCCACTGCCCATGTTGTCTTCAAGCCAACCAGAAAGTGATAGAGCAAGGGTGAGATTCAAATCCATATTTTCTGACTGCAAACCTTAAGCTTTCTCCAGGGCTCTCTGGATGCCTGAGCTATGGCTCAAATCAGTTCTCTACCAGACATGCCATAATTTGGGTTTATGATAAGGCTAAACATTTCTTGTTCCCTTTAGAAAAATCTAGGTAATTTTGGAAGGTTTTCTGGTCTGAGATAATCTCATTCAAATATTTTGATCCTATTTTGGATTACACCAACTTTGCTGATAATTCTATGTAGTTATGGCAACAAATAAATGTTAATGTTCCCCAAGAGTACAGCTAACCTTTTCATTATCTAGTTAACTTTTCACAACCCCTATCTGGCACCATTTCCTAGTATTTGGAGACTGATGGGATACAGACCTGGCAATATTCCTTATTCCTTTTCAGGTTAAAATCCCTTCCAGGAGTGCTTCACAGTCAGGTGCTTTTATTAATTCAGTCATTTTCTCTCAGCCAGCAGTTTCTTGACAAGCCCATAGGCTGTGGCTTGACCCTTACTGAACCTACACCGTGGACATCAGTGGGGTTCCGTGTGTCCTAATGTAGCCTGAAGGTACAACTTGCAGTATTAAGTGTGGGATGGAGTGAGGTCAGGGACAGATCTGTCACTTACTCAGTGGTCCTGAGCCTTGATGATTTTACCCATCTTATAAATGAGAATAACAATCTTAGCTTTGCCTACCTCCCAGGGTAAAATGGATTTAAGAGACATTGATTGTTATGGGTTGAATTGTGTCTCCTCCAAAATTCCTGTGTCAAATATCTACTCCCAATAGCTCAGCATGTGACCTATGAATTGCAACAATTCAGTCACATCTTCACGCTCTGTCATGCAGGCTGGAGTGCAGTGGTGGGATCTCGGCTCACTGCAACCTCTGCCCCCCGGGTTCACGCCATTCTCCTGCCTCAGCCTCCTGAGTAACCGGGACTACAGGCATCCGCCACCACACCCGGCTAATTTTTTTGTATTTTTTTTTAGCGGAGACGGGGTTTCACCATGTTAGCCAGGACGGTCTCGATCTCCTGACCTCGTGATCCGCCCACCCCAGCCTCCCAAAGTGCTGGGATTACAGGCGTGAGCCACCACCCCTGGCCCCTTCAATAGCTTTTTATTTGTATTCAGAATTTGGCTAGAGGCCAATTTGACACAAGAGGCTTAGCTTTCAGCTTATCTTGGCTTTTGACATGCTTTCTTCACTAAGCTTAGTCATTTCTAACTTTTGATTTAAAGTGAGAGATGTGTGACTCTTCCTTTCACTTGAACACCTGGAGGCCATTGTAGGGTTGTTAATTGATCTAATTGTCTCAAGTTACAGGGAAATCCAAGGAGAGGGAGAGAGACATGGGAATGGCCAATTCATAGAGCAGTCAAAACACGCACATTTATCTATTAAGTTTGCCATCTTATATGGTGTGGTTTGTGATACTCCAAACAGTTGTAATATTAACTTCAAGGATCACTGATCACAGATCACCATAACAGATATGATAATAATGAAAAAGTTTGAAGTATTGCAAGAATTACCAAAATGTGACACAGAGACATGAAGGAAGCACATGCTGTTGGAAAACTGGCACCAGTGGACTTACTTGGTGAATGCAAGGTTGCCACAATCCTTCAATTTGTAAAAAACTCAGTATTTGTCAAGTGCAATAAAGCAAAGTCAACAAAACAATGTATGCCTGTATGTATTTTGCATTTGCTGGAAACCACATAAAATACTTTACTGATTTTGTGAAGTGAACAAAATGTCTCCATCAGCCAAAGGGGTAATCCTTGATTCATTCTTCCTCCTGAGATTTAGCACATAGAGCCCAGGAGCAGAAGCCAAGGGTGGCCTGCCTGGTTGGCCGCCCTGTGCCACCAGTCCACTTCCGGCTGAAGCCTTGGCCTGCCCCATGTTGGCTCCAACCCAGCTCCCACCAGTCGCTCATGCCAAAGGAAAAAATTCAACATATGCTTTTTTGACTCCTGATTCACCACCCTCTCCACCACAGGCATGGATCTCAGACTCTTCTTTAACACGCTGAAACTGAGTTTATTTAGCTTGTCTCATCTCTCTTTGAAAAACAATTGCTGCATATTCTGAGCTGCCTTCTCAGTCCCATGCTTCTCTGTTATGGATGACAATCCTACTTCTCCCAGACTTTGCCAATCATTTTAAAGAAGCTTTTCAAATGCTGTGAGCAGCTGTGTGTGTGTGTGTGCACATGTGTGTGTATAATGTCAGTGTGTTGGGCTCCCTCACCAGAGAGTCAGCTCCAAAATGTCAGAACCCCAGGTCTCTCTTGCTCAATCAGTACCTAGCGCATGATTGGGCTACAACATGATTACTGAATGCATAAATGAATGACTTTTATGTGAGAAAGGTGGTATGATCTAACTTTAAGAATTTAAGACCGTCAAAACCTGTGGTTTAATTATTACATCCAGAAATAACATTTACTAGCTGTGTACAAGTGAACAAATCACCACTCAGAAGAGCCTCAGCATTGGAATCTGTGGAATGTAGATAATGCTAACTTCTCTGCTTAGCTAAAAGAAATTGGGAAGTTCAAATGAGGTAAAGAATGGTGTGGTTGTTTTATGCACCAACTTGGCTAGGTTGTTGTACTCAGTTATTTAATCAAATACAAACTTAAGTTGTTGCTGTGAAGGTATTGTGTAGACATAGATAACATATACCATTAGTTGACTCTAAGTAGAAGAGATTATACTCTCCAACTGGATGGATCTTATCTAATCAGTTGAAAGGTTTTAGGAGCAAAAAACCGAATTTTCCCACAGAAGAAGAAATTCTCCCTCAAGACTGCAGCAGCCAGTCCTGCCTGAATTTCCACCCTGCTAGCCTGCCTTACAAATTTTAAACTTGCCAGTCCTCACAATTACATCAGCTAGTTCCTTGAAATAACTCATACATATATGATTATAAATAAATGATAAATATAAATTATTTATTTCAAGGAATATATACATAAGCATTATATGCATATTGGCCATCTACATATATATAGTTTTTCCTCTGGAGAACACTGACTGATACAGGTGACATCATGTTGGTCAGTATGGAGGGTTATGAAATGAAGGGCAGGGAACCAAGGGAGGAAGTCAGAAGTTTCACTGCCAAGCCAAGGGAAACCGAGAGGCTGGGAGTGCCAAGTACTGCAGTCTCTCTGTCTTCCTTGGAAATGTGCATCACTGCAATGCTTTCTGCAGGAAGGAAGGTGTCCCAGATGGTTTAAAGGTCCCACCTCCCCAGGTCCTGGCTGGGGCGGGGCTGGCATACACATTCTCAGGGGGTTGAGTGTGTAGGAAATAGATATTAACAAACAGGCCCCTAAGGTGGGAAAGAGAGGGCATCAGGGGCAGCAAAACTTGGCAGCTCCTTGCACCCTACCCTTGCAGAAAAGACACAGAGCTGTCTGTGTGGGCGTTCTCCTGGCCGACACTATCCTAATTAGTATAGGCCCCCTCTGGAGCTGCAGCTTCTTTTATTAATGCCTTCATTAAAAGGTCTCCCCTAATCAGTCAGCTGTGGAGCGTGCTTACAAGAAGAAGTTTCTCTGGGCTCATACACAGGCCTTGTATCTGAGAAAGAAAAGTATCCAGTTTATGTGTGCAGGGTTAGAGGGTCTTCTAGAAACCTTTTTGCAGACAGTGCTTGCCCTTAACCAGTCTCTTCCACTCTCTTTGCACTCCTCCTCCCACCCTACAGGCATTTGATGTGACAAATAAAAACTAAACCCTATGCAGCACATTGGACTCACACCTTATTCTCAAAAAGAAACAAAGTTTTGCAAAAGTTCTTAGCCAACCTAAATGAGCAAGTGGCTCATTGAAATAGGAAATGTTATATCTTATGCTCCTTCACTGTAATAATAACAGCAACACTAATTATTCTTCACATTAGTATATCAGCTGGTGATTTAAAACATGTATTCATCTCCATTATCTGCCCAGTGCCTGCTATGTGCCATTCTCTGAAGTTGGCACTGGGAAGTCAAAGATGATTGACTTGAAAGTAGGATATTTTATTCATCAGGAAAAAATGATCATGAAAACATTATGCTGAGAAGATGCACCGCAGGAAGCTCTGGGAAGGGATAGCCAATTGTCTGGAGAATTAGAAAAAGTCTTTAGAGGAAATGTGAATAAGCTAGGTTGTTTGAGAAAGAAAAACAATCATGCATTTAGGAATACATACACACATATACATACATTTAGGAAAAACTTTAGGATATTCCTCTCTTTCCCCACAGTTCCATGATGAAAGGTCTTTTTGGGATCAAGACCTTGGAGCGGGGCATGGTGCATAATGATGAAATTGTGATATGCAGCCTGGGTGGTGGCCATGTGTCTCTAGGCATTTTGTGGTGGGGCCCGAACCCATAGGAAGCTGTAGTAGAAGCAGTCCCGGAAGGGGAGGCAGGAGGCCTGGGTGCTAGATCTCGCTCTGCTGAAAAGTCAGCATTTGACTTTGGGGAAGTCATTTCTCCTTCTAGACTTCAGTCTCTTCATGTGTTAAATTAGTTCCGTTTTCTTTGTTTAATATTGAAAGCTTCTTTCCAGATATAGACAGAAAACTGAAAAGTAGGTGAAATTGATAGAACAGAGCTATTTTCATTCTTAGGCTCATTATTCTTCCCACTGAAGCTGGGGAATGGGTAAGAGCCACAGCAGCCTTTTTTCCCTTTTTACTCCCAAAGGAACCCCAGAAGCATGTCTCTTTCACTCTTGAGCACTGAAGAGCAGTTTGAAAGCCATAGGACCGAGGGCTCTTGGAATCCTCTACTCTGAAAGCAAGTACTTCTATGAAACTCACCAAGAAATCTGGTTTTTAAAAAAATGATAACAGCCAATAGCTAATATTTATGGAATATTGTTTATCAGGTTGTGTTCTAAGAGCCTTTCGCAACCCCGTAAGTTAGGCATATTGTCATCACCATTTTAGAGATGAAGTAAATGGAACATGAAAGGGCTGTGACTCACCCAGGGCCATGCAATTTTTAAGAGGCAAGATTCAAACCCAGACAGTACGGCTCCAAAGGCCATGATAATAAATAATAACCATTATGCTATACTGCTTTTTAACAGTCCCACAAATGTGTTCCTTGACATTTGCTTAAATAGCTCAAGCTATAGCTTAAGTTCATTTATTTTTAAGCCCATAACAGAAGTAACCAATTGAAGAATTAAATATGTCATCCTATAACCTAATTGCTGTTCTTTAGAACAAAGTTATGATGAGGAGTTTGTTTTCCTGAATGTAGCTGGGCGATATTTTTCTGCTCTACTGAATTCCATTTCTTCTTCCTCTCTCCATATTCCACAGGCCCTGATTTTTTTCCTTTGGTGGAGAGGAAGAACAGCTGGTCCCCATCTTCATAATATCCTCCATTTGGCCACCATTAACAAATTTATCAGCCTCCCCAGATCTAAGCAAAAGCAGCAGAAAAGATCTAGGTATCCCCATATCCCACAGCACTGGGCAGGGGTCTGCACTGAGTTGCTGGTTTCAGGACAGTCAGAGAAGTTCTGGGAAAGGGACAAGAGTAAGCTCCCTGCAAAGTCCTAGCCTCCAACCTCAGCTGAGCCCTCGCCACTCATCACTAAGTTTTTATTTCCTGTTTTCTAATGTCTGATTGCTTCCCAAAGCAGTCGTGCAAATTCTTCTCCACATTTCCACGTCTCAAACTGCACCCTATTTCCTCAGTTTCCCCAGTTCACAGCTTGTCTTTGATTTGCCAGCAGGGATCTTCTCTGCTCTGAGCTTCCTCAGCTTCCTGTGGCTCACTAGGAAAATCTTTCAGAGCTCCTCCCCGTTCTTTTCTCCTTTTCTTTTCCTTTTGATGAAGAAGTGCCCTGTATCCTTCCCCATGGACTCCTGGCCTTACCCTGCCCAGCTCTCCCCAAGCACTTAGCTCTGTCCACTCTCTCTCTTAAGTCTCCTGCTCCCTCAGTTGCTTTTTCTCCTCCCACTCTATGCCTTCAACCAACAAATAATGCAGGTTTCACTCATTTCAAACAGACCTTTCTTTGATCTAGTTTCCTAGTCTTCGCATCATCTTATTGTCCTTTCCGCTACCAAATCATGTGTTCATTTTTTCTTCTCGAGATGGAGTTTCACTTTCGTTGCCTAGTCTGGACTGGAATGGTGTGATCTTGTCTCACTGCAACCTCCGCCTCCTGGGTTCAAGCAATTCTCCTGCCTCAGCCTCCCGAGTAGCTGGGATTACAGGTTCGTTCCCCCATGCCCAGCTAATTTTTGTGTTTTTTTAGTAGAGACGGGGTTTCACCATGTCCGCCAGGCTGGTCTTGAATTCCTGACCTCAAGTGATCCGTCCGCCTCGACCTCCCAAAGTGCTGAGATTACAGGCATGAGCCACCGCGCCCGGCCGATGTTTTCATTCTTCCAGCACTTCTCTCTCCTCATTCTTCCTTGTAAACCCGAATCACAGCTCCTCCTCAAAAATCACTCCTGAGGTCTCAGCCGTCATCTCTAGCCACCATCATAAAACACTAGACTTCTGCCAACCCATAACTTCTTCCATGCCCTGTCACTAACTTGCTCTGTGATTCTGGGAAAGTCTGGCCTCTTTCTGGACCTCAGTCCTTTCAAATGTGAGTTTTCAAAGTTTTTAAAGCTTAATTCAAACAACGGTATTTTCAGAATCCTAACGTGTACAACAGATAAAAGGCACGGTGGTCACGGGTATAAATGTGTGTATATGTATTTATTTATACGTTAATATATATTCTTTGACCTGGTCAGCAGGAAGTATAAATGTGTATGTATGTATGTATGTGTGTGTGTGTGTGTGTTTATGCATGTGCACATGTGTGCATGTCTGTGTAGGGGCCAATGAGAACCTCGGATAACTTGAATGAGTAGCTCAGCTTCTTTCCCCTGAAAAATTCCCACTCTGTTCAGAATTGGGTTCTCAGCAGGTCTATTTTAAAATGTGACTCTGACCCATGGACACAGTCAATTGCTTCAGGAATAGGCACTGAACACCAGCAGAGCCAATCAGAACCCTTCTGAGGGCCTAAGAAATTCCAGTTTCAGTCTGATTTAATCCTCATGATAGACAGCCTCCAGGATGACCCTTAATAATCCCACCTCCTGGTGTTCACATCTTTATGTAATCCCCTCACTTTCAGTGTGAGCTGGATTTAGTGGATATCACATGGCTGAAGTTATGCCATGTAACTTCCTAGGTTAGATTACAGAAATAATGTGGCTTCTGCCATAGGGGCCCTATCTGGGGCTCTCTGTCTGTTATAGTTTGTACATTTGTTCCCACAAACCTCATGCTGAAATTTGGTAATGATGAAGTTGGGGCCTCATGGGAGATGTTTGGGTCATGGGGGCAGGTCACTCATGAGAGGCTTGGTGCCATCCTCAGAGTAATGAGTGAGTTATCATTCTATTAGTTCCTGAGAGTGAGTTATCATTCTATTAGTTCCTGAGAGTTGGTTGTTTAAATGAGTCTGGCACCTCCCCACTTTCTTTCCAGCCTCCTATCTTGCCATGTGATCTTTGCACATGCTGCTTCCCCTTTGCCTTCTGTCATGGGTGAAAGGAGCCTGAAGCCCTTACTAGAAGTAGATGCTGGAGCCATGTGTCTTGTACAGCCTGTGATCCAAATAAACCTCTTCTTTATAAATTACCCAGCCTCAGGTATTCCTTTACAACACTAAATGTCTCTCTCTTTCTCAGATCAGTCATGTGGAGGAAAGTAAGTTGCCATGTTATAAGCAATAATATGAAGAGGGCTGTAAGGCTTAGCAAGGCACTGAGGTTTCAGTCCTACAGCCCACGAGGAACTGAAGCTTGCCAACAATCACATGACTGGGTTTGGAATTAAATCATCTGAAGCCTGCCAACAGTAATGTGAGCAAACCTGGAAGCAGGTCCTTTTCATCCTTTGCCCAACCCACTCCCCACTTGAACCTTCAGAAGAGACCAAAGTTGTGGACAACAACTTAACTGCAGCCTCTTTGCAAACCTTGAGCCAGAGATACTCAGAGAAACTTGGCCCACAGAAACTTTGAAATAATACATTCTTGTTGTTTTAAGCCACCAAGTGTTGGAGTAATTTGTTACATAGCAATAGATAACTAAAACAACCCTTGACCAGGGAAGTGTCAGCCTGGGAGCTCTAGGAGACCATGTTTTACTGTGTCCCAGAAAGCAGACACAATAAGTCTGCAGTGACAGAGAAGGTGAAGTCAATGTGAAGTAATTCCTTGTGGCCTTCAGCGCCTTGGTTCCAGTTTACTTCTGAGACATAGTTCACCCTTGCCTTTGAAAATTCTGTTACTCATAATTGAGGACTGAAATGAAAGCCCTAAGCCTCTCCAACAGACTAATGGATGCTCCTTTGGTTAAAATAGACCCTACAAATTTTAAGATCTTGACATAACAAGATGAGAGGCTGGTCATGTTCTCTTTGCTGCCATGACCCACCCCTCACTTTCCATTACTAATCATTAATAGATTTTCTCAAAAGCAAGCTGGGGAGAACAAAAGACTGGAAGAACCCCTCACTTACTTCATCCAACCACCCAGTGCCCTTCTCCTATTTTTTGGCTCTGACATGACTTCTATCCCAGTGTACAAACTTCTCCTTGATAGCTGACAGCTGGCTGAAGACTGATTTTGGTTTTCTTAAGATGCTCAGAAAGCAGCCCTATGCATCATGCTTTACCTTTGTACATATAAGAGCTAATTATAATGTATTTAAATGTTAAGTCTCCACCCCAAAGTGAACATGGGTTATATGTTTCATACATGTAAACCTAATGTGCATGCACGTCTCCTTCATGAATATTAATAAACTCCTCCTATATACTGATGAATATGTATACTCTGCCATCCTGTTTAGCATACATTCCTACCTCTAATTCCTCCTCCTTGAAGCACAGATTTCTGATTTGCAGGAGGTTTCACTTCATGCCTGCCGGATATAGTCCTCCTTTAGAAACAAAGCTCTCCTTCCTAAAATTACTGACTTTGTGAATTTTTTGGTCAACATAATGAAAGTCTTTTTTTTCTCCGCTATTTGTATTTGTAATGAAATACAGGGGCTCTAACACATACATCCTCTTTCTTTTGCCATGCCATCCTGCAGGATGACCCAGGCATTGTCCATGCTGTGGAACTTTCCTTTCCTTGACCAGATGTCCCTCTCCTCTCCAGATAGCCAGAGACACTTTTCTGTGTGCTTCCTTAGACATCTAACATGTTTGAGATATTTACCACAATTCTGAGACTGTGCAATGCACCTGTCCGGTTTCCCAGTTAAAAGAATGAAATTGTTTCATTCATCTCTGTGTTCTGCCAACACCTTATGAAATGAGTTTGTTAGCCAATAAAATAGAGTAGTATTCAAGACACAACAGCTTTCCTCCTATAAAGCAGATTTTCAGTACGTATTATCATTTATAAATTCTGAAAATCTGATATCAAAAAATGCCTGTGTGCATGTGAACTTCAGTAGAGAGAAGGAATACATCCTGGGAAGGTTTCATGAAAACATCATTTGAGCTAGACTTTGACTAAGAAATAAGATTTTGACAGCTAAAGGTAAGGGGCCAGGTAAAGTCCTTCAGGTACACAGAACAGCTTGAGCAAAAGCATTGAGACATAAAAGTGCCTGAAGTATTAGAGGCATCATAAAGTAGTAAGTGGACTGAAGGGTTTGTAGTACATATCATAGAAAACAAGGCTAGAAAGGCTAGAAAGATAGTGGAGAGCCTCAAATTCCTTTGTCTGTGTTTATTTTGTGTTCTAGTATTAAGGAGAACTTCGTGGGGTGCAAGGATTAAAAGATGGCATCATAATAGCTGGGTTTTAGGAAGAGAACTCTGTAGTATAGATTAGGCAAGAGGATTGGTGGAAGACGGATACAGGAACAACAATTCAGTGACCGGTCTGGCAGTGTCAGTAGGAAAAGAGGCAAAGGGAAGACTGAAGTGATTTGGGAGGCAGGCTCTGTCCTGGTCTGCAACTGGGCTTGGAGTGTTTACAGTCCAGGGTAATGATTCCACCGGGCTGCCTGGTGGAGAATAACTCATGAGCTGGCACTGAGGATAGGACAGAGAGGATGTTGTCTTTTTTATCAGAAGTCCGCCCATAGGCAATAGTCAGATAAACCATGAAACATTCATTCAGTAGAATATTATATAGGCACTACAAAATATAAATGAGGCAGGTTATAGAAAAAAGGGGGCTAGTGGGAAACTATGAGATAGATCAAAATTGAATAATAAATTACAAAGGAGATGGGAAAGAAGTTGGAGATACAAAGGAAAAGTTGATGTGGAACAAACAGCTGGAACCATATGGATGAGCATGTAATGGATGTCTTGGAGACAGCATTTGTAACTCAGTGTGTGAGGGGAGGTGCCCTAGCCACTTCATAGAGCAGGGCTCATACACCAAAGGCTACAGGACTCCACTTGAAAGAGCACCCAGATAAGAAAAATGTCCAAAGTGTGTGCCCAATTTGATAACATAATAATAGCGCAGATGTAGAGTTCCGAGATGAACTGTTCCCATTCAGCACTGTTCAAGGAGGTGCCCACCTTGCACTTTACATTCCAGTTATAATAAACTGATTGTATTTTCCCAAATTCATCAGACATTATGCCTCTATGTCTTTGAAAATGTGGATGTCACTGTTTGAACTGATTTTCTCTGTGTTAATGTGAAACACTCTTATTTATGCTTCAAAACTCAACTGTAAAAAGAAAGAGACAGAAAGAATGAAAGGGAAGAAGGCAGGGAGGGGGAAAGAAGAGAGAGAGAGAGAGAAAGAAAAGAAAGAAGGAAAGAGAGAGAGAGAGAGAGAGAAAGAGAGAGAGAGAGAGAGGTATTCTCCCCTCCACACCAAAAAAGTAAGAAAAAAAAAAAAACCCAACTTACATAAATCCAACTCATAGAATTCTAATATAAAATCTGTAGCATCCCTAGATAAAGCATCATTATTTTTTCATATGAAACTTTCCTTACATAACATGCACAGAAAAAGGTAAACACAAAACACTAAAAACTGAGGTGATATCCTTCTAGGATGTTTTTCATCTGCATACTCAGGTTACCTCCTCACGAGGGAGACTCTTCCTGAATAAAAGTGCTGAATAAACATAATGTAGTATCACCATTGTATAAAAAGGTATGGGTTCTATGTTATGAAGCAAACAGAGCTTCCTATGTCATACATGGGTGTGCATGCACACAAACACCCACACACGCTACTTTCCAAGCATCTTTCTGCACTGAATTTAAAGACAGAAACTTTGAGAAAGCAACAAAACTGGGTATGATGTTTAAGTGCATAGTATAGGGGCATAGTGGGGAGTGCAAGGACTATAGAGGTGGAGATAGAGGTTGATGATGGCTGATGATATCTTTGGAAGTGTACATCCTACAGAGAAAGAGCTGTAGGTGGTGAGGAAATATTGAGCTGGTTTAAACAATATGCACTGGAGAAAAGTTGAGTCTTGGCATTCTGTTATTATTGGTTTAGAGTATATCCTTGTAAAAATAAGCAAGAAAATCAATCAGTAAACAGGTAAATGTAAATAACAATCTATAAAAAAGGTTCAAACTGTTGAAAAATATTTGAAAAAGTTAACATTATGCATAACTTTAAAACTCCAAATAAAACCTTGGATATCCATTTTTAGTTTTCATATAGATGACAATTTTGAAAAATAGTAATACTCAAGCACTCTCATACGCTACTAGAGATAATTAAGTGCTTTCTGGAGGACAATTTGACAATGCATATCAAGTGTCCAAAGATTAACTATGTCCTTTGATCCAAAAACTATATTACTAAAAAAATCATAATAGAAAAATAAACAAAGATGCATATTATAATTTATGAACAATGATGTTTATCACAGCACTACTTATGAGCAAAAGTTAGAAAACATCACAAATCCTTATTGATAGGAAAATGATTAAATACACAAAATATTTAAAAAGTTTTATGTTATTAATTACAAATAATAATTTTAGAGTAATGATACAGGAATATGTTCACATTATAATGTGAAAAAAGTAAAATATAAAAATCTGTACTTACAGACTAATCTTGATGTTGTAATAAAATAAAACATATATTTTATAGTTACATGCAAAACAAAAGACCTGAAAGGCATATGTAGTTTACAGATAATTATAATATTCATCTTTATTTTTATTTATTTTCCATATTTTTACAATTAACATTTGTTACTTCTCCAATAAAAGGAAAAAACAACTAATATATTACCTCCTCTTTACCCTAATCCTGACAGTCATTTTATTTGTTGTGCCATTTTTATGCTTATACAAACTTTTAATATTTTAACATTTAATGCTTTATTTTCATTTTAAAAATTAATTTGTCTTAACTCATTGATTCATCAAATACTTACTGAAACCTATTACATTCCAGACGCTGTTCTATGTACTGTCGATTAAGCAGGGACAAACAAAACCCTTATGTCTTTGATTTATATGGCCTAGAATATGGTTTATCTTGGTAAATGTTTCAGGTGCACTTGAAAAGAATGTCTGTTTTGCTGTTTTGGGGTGGAGTGTTCCGTAAGTGTTCAATTGTTCTCTGTCTTTTCTGGTTTTCTGTTGACTCGTTCCATTGATTACAGAGAAGGATGTGGTGAAGCCTCCAACTATATTTGTGGATTTGCCTATTTGTACTTTCACTTTTATCAGTTTTTGCTACATGTATTTCGAGGTTCTGATGTTAGGTGCATATACATTTAAGATTGTTATGTTTTCTTGGTGAATTGATCTTTAATCATTACAGAATGTCCTTTTTGAACCTGTTAATTCTTTATTCTATGGTCTTTTTTGTCAAATATTAATATAGCCACTGAAGTTTTCTTTTGATTAGTGTTTACATGGTATATTTTTCCATATTTTTACTTTTAACCTATAAACATCATTATATTTTAAGTAGGTTTCTCATAGATAGCATTTATCTTCTGCATTTTAAAATCCATTCTGACAATCTGTCTTTAAATTGGTATTTTTAGTCCACTTATATTTAACGTAATTATTGATATTGTTGAATTTGGGCCTACGAATTTCTTTCTAAAAAGTTTCTCTAATTTTTCCCTTAACATCTGTTGGACTTGATCTACCAACTTATTAATTGTTTCTTGTTTTTTCTCTGTTTTTCACTCCTCTGTTTTCCCTTTGCTTTCTATTTTGGTACTACCTATTTTTTAGTATTCCATTTAAATCTAGCTCTTGCATTTTGACCACATGTCTTTGTAAATATTTTCTGGTGGTTTCTCTAAGGACTGAGACATAGATATAAATATAGATACAGATAGGCACATGTGAATTAAATACATATTCACACATATTTTCACAGTATACTTGGAATTAATATTTTACTACTTCAAGTGGAAGATATAGAAATGTAACCACCACATAGCTCTTTTCAGCTTCCCCATTTTATGTTGCAATTGTCATCTAGAATACATCAACATACGTTGCAAACCTCACCAGTTGATGTCATTTTATTTGCTTTCAATTATCATTTTAAAGAACTTAAGAGAAAAATATTGTATCTTATTTACCCAGTCATTTATCATTTCTGTTGCTCTTTATTCAGAAAGTTCCAAGTTTCCCTCTGGTATTATTTCTCTTTTACCTGAAGAACTTCTTGCAGACCAAGTCTGCTGGTAATAGATCTTCATAGATTTTTTTTTCTTCTGAGAATATCTTACTTTTCATTTTATTTCTCATGGGCATGTTCATGGACATAGAATTCTGGTTGACAGCTCTTTTATTTCAGCATTTAAAAACGTTTTATTGAATTATGTCTACCATTATTTCTGATGAGAAATCTACTCCAATTCAAATCACTGGCCTTCCAACTGTTTTGTGTTGTTTTTACCTCTGGCTGCTTTCAGGTTATTGTATTTGTGTTTATTTTTCAGCAACTTTATTTTCATGTATCTAGGCAGACATATTTATTTGAATTTATCCTAATGGGATTCAATGAGCTTAAATCTTGTTGAATTTATATATTTTTCCAACATTGGAAAAATTTTAACCATTATTTCTTCAAAACTTTAATGCGCATCATAGTCTTTCTTCTCTCCTTCTGAAACCTTGATGATATCGTTATTAGATCTTTTGGTACTGTCGGAGGTCCTAAAGTCTCTGTTCATTTTTTAAAATTTTGTATTTACTGTTTTTAGATTGAATAATTTTTTATTAATCTGCCTTCAAATTTAATGACCTTTTTTTCCCTTGTCTGCATCCTGCTATTGAGTACATCCAGTGTATTTTTTTATTTTGGTTATTGTATTTTTTTTGGTTCTAAAATTTCCATTTGGATTGTTCTAATATGTTCTATTTCCCCTCATGCAGCTTTTAATCTTTCCATTTATTTTAACAGTGATCACGCTCACTTTTTGGAGCATGGTTAAAACAGCTTCTTTGATCATTCCAGCATTTGTGTTATCTCAGGTTAGCATCTGTTGAATGTCCTTTCCCTTGCAAATCATTGAAATTTTCCAGGGACTTCATATATTGAGTAATTTCAGACTGTAATTCCTGGACATATTGAATATTATGTCGTGAGGCACTTGGTTTTAAGTCATGGAAAATATTGATGTTAACTTTTTAAAGGAAGCAATTGATTAAGATGAATTTAGACCACAAGTTCCAGCTGGCTCAAATGTCAATTTAGTTTTCAGAGACTTTGAAGTGCTATTTGAATCCTCCTGCTTCTGTGCCACCCAGTAACCAGTATTAGACCTGCACAGTGGTCTACTTTATAGATGATTTCTCAAAGCTTTTGCTGTATTGTTTATGTTCAAATATATGCGTGTGAAGGTTGAGGGTAAGCCCAGGAGTTTATAAATAATGTTTTGGGATGGATTTCCGCAGCTTCCTCAGCTGAATACTTTTCCTGGAACTTTCCAGCTTCAAAGATTTTCCTTTCTCATCTTCTGCTGAGAAAACTGAGGCTTTGAATTGTCTACTCTGCTGTTTATATTTTGTTATTAGTTCTGCCAGCCAGTTCAAATGGTGAAAGAATTCAGAAAGGGGAAAGAAAGGCAATGAGGATTTCTCCTGTGCTCTTGGCTCAGAGTTTTGGGCATCTGTTCTACTAGTGTTGCCACCACATCCGCCATTGGCTCTGCTATTACTGCCACTGCTGCTACAATGGGTTTGCCTTGGGGCTGAGAGAGGATGGAAAAACAAACAAACAAACAAACAAATAAGCAAAACAAGCAACAAAACTACAAAATTCAAGGGAATTTTGACACTCTTTTTGTTCTTTAGGGGCCCAATTTCCTGCTCCTTCAACCAGAAAGAGAGGGCCTCTCTAAGAGCTCTTTCTGTCTGCACCTAGTGTGTACTTCTGGGTTTGAGGATTTAAAGATACTGCCAGTTCAGTGATACTTGCAGTTCATCACACTGCCTGCTAGCATTTGTTTTCTGGAGTCTTCAGATTAATGTTGCATGCATATTGTCCAGTATTCTCAGTTACCTTCAGTGAGAGGGGCAGAGAGAGGAGTGTTACTTTACCTTATATGTAACTGAAATTTCTATTTCTTTAAGGATACATTTATTTGTATGTAAGTCTTTCTTAATAAGCTGCTAAACTGTGAATTTATGTGGATGTGTATTTTTCTGTTTATTCTTAGCATTTAGCATAATATTTGAAACAAAATATGTGCTTTAAAAAGTTCAGATTAAATTTCTTTCCAACTTTTCTATGCTGAATGTATGGAGGTTTTCAGTTGTTCTTAATATCATATCTTTTAAATTGTTTTATTATTTTTTAAATTTATTTTAGAGACAGGGTCTCACCATGTCACCCAGGCTGGTCTTGAACTCTTGGCCTCAAGTGATCTTCTTGCCTCAGCCTCCCAAAGTGCTGGGATTACAGACATGAGCCACTGTCCCTGGCCTCAATACCATATCTTTAGGGAATGGTTTGTTGTATCATACTGCTCTTACCAAAACATATTGTGACCCAAATGCCCAAATGCACCACCCCAGGCACCTTACTTTCTCCCTGTGAATAATTTAAGCAGAGAACAAAATTCCTCCATTCACTGTCCTCTAGACTTGTAGGAAATGCAAAAGTGCTATCCATTTATTAGTGCTTTCTGTAACAGGCAATAAAATATGTCCTTCAATGCAAAGTGGTCTAAATACGTATATAGATGGAATTTTTCAAAAGCATCTCTGCTTTTCCAAAGATGAAAAGAAATAACTATAAAATGTGAGTCATATGTTAACTCATGCATTAGTGAAAGAAAGAAGTCAAACTAATAAAATAAAAATAATATGATCATTAAAAGAAGCAATGAAAAGTAGCATCTTACGTGGGAATTTTGCAAGGATAGGGCTGGTGTAAAGACACCCACTTCCAGCCACTTTGCCTTTCATTTTGGAGAACATTAAGGAGGACTTAGCGAAAGAATAATGGTAAAGTTATTTTCTCTATTTTCTTTTTCCCTAGTACCTCCTCCTCCAATAGAAGCAAACAAATAAACAAAAGAGACTCAATTATTGGTCAGCCTATAAGCTGTGTGCCTTGAGTTTGGGGATATACTGTAAAGTAAACACTAAGACCTTTGTAGCTGCTTACTAGTCTGGTGGCCAAACTTCAGGAAACTAATTACTTAAATGCTTAGGTAGCAGGATATGGAGTATTTAGGGTTTTTATTTTTTCCTTTTTTGCTTCTGGCTGTGATTTGTGATGTGAGAATGAAGAGGTTTTTCTTTTTTTTTTTTAATTTTTTTACGACTTTGCCTTCCCAGCAAGATATTGAATGAACCGAATGCAGGGACCCAAGGATGCCTCATTACCAGGAGTATTAAAAAGCCCTGCAGAATTGTTACTACAGCTAATGGAAATCATACTGGAAAGAGAGCAATTATTTCTCCCTGTAAACAAAACAAAACAGAAGGCCATAAGATTTTTCTTGAATTTTTTGAGACAGAAGTGTTCTTACAAAGATGTCTAGGTTAGTTTCCTACCTTTTAGAACTTGATAAGACCATGAAAGCAGTAATACAGGTTCTCAGGCAATTGTGTTTTAAAATTATTTTCTACTTTATTAATTCTTCTGATTACACAAATAATGTAAGATAATCACACCAGTGAGACTATGCAAAATATATGAAGAAAATGTTTTTAAAAATATCCTTCAATCCACTCTCACTATAACCCCAAACTATTTTATACATGTTTAAAGGAGCTATGTATTTACCTGTAATAAGGAGGCAAAAGCCATCTGAAGTATCAAAAGTTTCTTTCGTTTTGATTAGAGTTGTATCAAATTGATGCAATTATACCGACTAGGCAGATGCTGACCCCAAGTTCTGATTGGCAGTTCTACACGCTACTGATAAATACAAGTGGGGAACATAATTAGTACTTAACTAACAGTTTGGTAGCAAAGTAAGAGCCCATGTGAGAAGAATAAAAGATATCCTTGAAGGCAAAAAGATCCAGAACTTATCATCATTTGCCACCTGGCCCAGCATCCATGGGCATATCTAACTTGTTATACTTTCAGTAAATCTATGTAGGTTCTGACTCATACTCAAGTGGTAACTCATCAGTCTTTCCTTCACAAAGGTGGCGCAGTCTGGGGATATGCCTGACAGAGGTAATGGGTTATTGATTTTCATATTGCCATTGAGTAACAGTCATATTCTTCTGCATCCCATTCTTGTGGTAACTATGAAAAAGTAAATTTCTAGACTTAATAGGCTCCAATAGTTATTATTAAGGTGACATTTATGGTTCTGGAGACTGTCAATTCTTACATAATGAAATTAAGAACCATCCACCATTAAGCTAGAAGGAGTCTAAACACTCTCATAGTGACATGCACCCATCTCTGTACTCCCAGCTCAATGCCAGCTGAGTCAAGACATGAAAAGATCATGGATTTTGGAATCCTGAATCGTATTCTTACTACCTATATATGGTTCCTTATGTGTAAAAGAAAGAATACTAACATTTTTCTTGGGATCACTATTAAATGAAAAAGAGGCATACAAGTTTGGTAAATACCCTTTTCCTCCCCCTGGGGTAAGTTACTGTACCTGCAATCTTCCTGTGTATCTTAGCCCTGGTCTGACATCAGCAAAGGAGAAAATATTGTTTGCCTATCTCCAGAGAAAGATAACTTTACACAGATGAAAGCAGAATTAGACTGAATTCTTCCATTAAATCTTCACAAGTATATTATATAAAAGTTTTGTAAACAAAACTTTCGGGAAGTGCTGAGATGGTAAAGTGACATAGCTTCCTTTATTGAAGGAATTCTTGGTGATACAAAGCCATTTGCAGAAAGACTAGGAATTCGCTTCATCCAACAGTCCTAAAAGGCTTAACCCATTCCAGCATCAACCCAAGGGCAAAATCTCATATGTCATCAACTCAAATGGTCCCAAATGCCATCTAAGTGAGGTATAGGTGAGACTCTGGATATGACCCATCTTTGGGTAAAATTCCTGTACATCTATGGATCTATGGACTAGGAAACAAGTTATATGCTTCCAAAATGGAGTGCTGGAGAGGCATGGAGTTAACATTTTCATTCTCCTAGGGAAGCAGGAGCCTAGGAAAGCCAGGGTGACACCATTTTAAAAATGACCTCATCTTTAAACTAGCAAAACACATTCTTTGCTGGCCACAACCAATGGTCATAAGATGTTTGCAGTTAAGGGAGCAGATTAATAATGAGGATATTATGTGAAGTAGTTTCCACACTTATTTGACTCCAGAAAATGTTTTTCATCCAGAATAGTTTGTTGGACTAGAAATATGAAGAAAATTCTTTGGGAAGAATGATCACAAAAAAATCCATATAGCTGGCCTTTTGCTTATTTGACTGCTATGTGCCTGCCTCATACAAGCTTGGTACAATTGATGGCTACTGTACACAACAGTTTAGTAATCCTGTATTCTGCGTTTCTCATATCAGGTACACAGGGGAGGGTTTAACATTGGAAATGGGTGGAGTTCTAAGGGGAGTAGAAAAAGTTTGATTTAAAAAGTCGTGAAGATTTAAACAAGGAGTACAAGAGATGACTAAGATGTTTGCTCAATGGCAATGAAGAAATACCCTTAATTTGTATTGAAGCCAAAAGTCAGATCTCTGTGACTTCTCTAGTGGTATCAGCTTGGATTCAGGAGTGGAGATAGCAGGCAGGAAGCACTTTGAGGTAAGATGGAAACCATGAGAGGCCAAAATCAAACTTAGACAATAAATGCCAAGATACATAATCTGCAAAGTATTACGTGCTCCTAATGGGCTGCAACAATGACTACTGCTATTATTGTTATAAAAACAACTTGTGCTAATAAAATAAAACATCAGAAAAAGATTCTAGGGTGATGGCAATAATGTCATTAAATGATTGACCAAAGGATCCATGCTAGATGGGAGAAAAGTAAAGTCAGAACTGACATAGGTAGACAAGGAGGAGTGGTTGACTGGAAATCACAATGAGAAAAAAAGCATCATAAAGGGAAATGAGATACCATATTAGAGTAAGTAAGGCTAATTGCTATAATAATATCCCCAACTCTAGTGTCTAAGACAGTGACAGTTCATTTTTCTCTTGAGAAATCTTGTGCTGATGTGCTAGCAGAGTAGCTTTCCTACAGGCGGTGACTCAGACTCAAGATCTTTCTATCCAATTGTTTATTGAAATCCTCAAAAAGGCTGAGTGGTTGGCAAGAGAAAAACAATAGAGATTATGCATTATCTGTTAGCAGCCAGTTGGAAGTGGTATATATCACTTTTGCCAAAGTTTGCTTCAAAGCCACAACTAGACATATTGCAATTGGGAAATATAGCCTTTCTTTGTGCCCAGAAGAGAAATAAAACGACCTCCTGAAAAACATAACATTGCCCCCACAACACACAGTCACTGCCCTCACAAGCTAATATTAATGAAGAGCCAGGCAATCATCATTCATTCAATGAGAGAGTCATAGAGTATACACTAGGTTCTACCGAGTCACAGGGTCAGGAGTGATTAATTCTGGCTAGGTGAGTCCAACAAAGCATTATTGAAAGGTCGACTTTAACCTGAGCCTTGAAGGATGCCTGGGAGGCCACCTAGCAGAAAAGGCAAGGAAGAAAATTTCTAATGGAGAGAGGAGCATTAGCCAAGACAGAGAACTTTGGAAGAACATGGCATTCTTTTATATACAGCGGGTAGTGGAGAGAACACTGGAAGGATGAGGCTTCGGGGAGAGGACAGGCCAGTTTAAAGAATGGAGAGTTAATTTTAGGGTAAAATGAGGTCCCATGAAAGATTGTAAAGCAGAAGGAAGATTGGCATGATGAGACTGAACATTAAAAGAATAGCTGAAGCTGAAGTAGAGGAAGCAGAAGTGTAGAATACTGGAGAAGAGCAATATGGAAAATATTTTACAGTCTTCTTAGAAGTAAAGGATGAAAACGCACATGAAGCCAGCGGACAATAGGCAGGATCCATCAGTCAGTTTTGGTGATGGCTGAATTAACAGACTTGACTTCCCACCTTCATCTCCCATTCACTGACTGGAGGCTGTTGACCCTAAACTGAAATCACCCCATCTTTCACCATCTTCTAACATCTATAACCCCTTTCTCATACCTCCTCCTTTCTGTTCTTTCCCAAGTAACAAAGGACTTCATTTTGTTTTCAAAAACCCTACCAAGTTGCTGATTAGTTGGTTAGTTTCTGGTAAGAAAGACTATAAGGATTGACTATAATAGTAGAATTTTGAGCACTGGAAATCTAAAAAGTACATTGATTTTTAACAGAACATTCTTTTATGTTTTCATGAATAAAGCCATCTATACAAGATGCCTCCTTTATTTCTACATATAGTGCTGTCACGAACCCTGCCTCATAGGCAGTAATGGCTTGTTTCATAGACTGCACATTCCTGGTCACTAAAAACTGTTATCTTTTTTAGAAAAGTATCAGTTTGAACCACAATGCCCTATCATTTTCTTCCCTTCCCAAGATGTCTGTCATAGAAGTTTGATCAGTTTACATTGTCAATAATGTTGCCAAATTACTTGCAACACTGGAAAAAAGGGATCAAATAGCAAGATCAATGAGACATAGGGGAACCACATCTGGTGCTTTACATCAGTTGTCCACTAACTGCCAGTCTTAATTGGTACTGTGTTTAAAAATACAAATATTGCTGATAAGTAATGACACAAAGACATGCATTAATAAATGTGAAGTTCAGAGCTTTCTTTTGTGGCTTCATCAGTTTCTTTCCAGCTCCCAGACCCTTACCCTCTTCTGTCCCCCACAGACAACCATTGTTGTCTATTGTCTAAGAAGCATGCCATTCAGTCTCCAATGCAGAAGCTAGTCAGATTTTTCTATAGAAAGGCCATTTAGACTCCCACATAATAGGCTGAATATTAGCTTGAGGTTCTTGTGTGGATGGTTTAAATTGACTCTAAGTTACCAAGCTGTTTTCTAAGCATCAAATGACCACAAGGCATTATTACAGCACTCAAGACCCTTGAAGTTTTTAGTCTTAATACTTCTACCAATTGTACCAAGTTCTGCAATCAAGGAACAGAGGGGACAATCAGGTTCTGCAGAATGTCTTTTCAATCAATGTTTGTTGAATACTGTTGTAAGCCCAGCAGCATTCAAGATAAAATGGAATGGGAAGTGAAGATAAACCAAACTGTATATACACACAAGGAGTTTACCGTCTTGTAAGGAAGATACACACATATACTCCCGACAGAGATACACAATAGTATTGGAAGGATGGAGCAGAAGGGACAAAGTTAGGAGACATTTGAAAAATGGATTCAACTGGATTATGATACATGATTTTTGACTGAAATGCATTAAACATTTCCATAAGTAGGTACTTTGCTAAGCCCTTTCCATGCAAAATCACATCCAATCCTCACAATAACTCTATGACATGGGTATTACTATCCTCACTTACTTGCAAATGAGAAAACTGAAGCTCAGAAAGAAAAGATAGGCAGCTCTACCAAGCTTTAAAAAGGGGATAAAGTTAACATTTAAGCCCAGTTATGTCTGGTTCCTGAGTCTGCTCTCTTAACCATGATGCTATATGACTTTCTGAGATACTGGGGTTAGAGAAAGGGGAGATAAATATGTGGCTGAGTTTTCAAGTGAAGGCAATTACAAGAATGATGGTGTGTTTGCCACACAGCAGAGCAACTCCCATGTTCAGTTTTTATTATGAGGAGTTAGTTTGGGACCCAATTCAGGTGGTCTATACTCAGTAAATGAAAAGTGAATCAGTTTCCCTGAAAAATGAATGATTTTATTGAGCTGAAATTCACTTGATTTGGGAAAATAGAAAAACTTTAAACCCCTTTTGTTGAAAATACATGACTCTGGAGAAAAGTTAGCTTTTTTTTTTTTTTTTTGAGGTGGAGTCTTGCTCTGTCACCCAGGCTGGAGTGCAGTGGCAAGATCTCGGCTCACTGCAATCTCTGCCTCCCAGGTTCAAGCAATTCTCCTGCCTCAGCTCCTGAGTAGCTGGGATTACAGGTGCGTGCCACCACGCACGCTAATTTTTGTATTTTTAGTAGAGACGGGGTTTCACCATGTTGGTCAGGCTGGTCCTCAAACTCCTGAACTTGTGATCTGCCCACCTTAGCCTCCCAAAGTGCTGGGATTACAGGTGTGAGCCACCGCGCCCAGCCCTTATTCTAAACCTTTTATTAATAAGGATTCATTTAATTCTCATGATAGCCCCATGACATTGGTACTGTTTCCCCCCACTTTACAGATGAGAAAACTGAGGCAAAGAGAGGTTATGTTACTTTCCCAAGGTCTCTCTCATCTTGTAAGAGCTGTACTTGGTACTTGAGCTCAGGCTGATCTGATGTTAGAGTCATGACCACTGAGACTGCTGCATCTATTTCCAGTTGACGATGAAATGACCCAGAGCTACTGGACCCTTATTTGGAGGCTACCCCCAATTCCAGTTTCCAGAACCAACCATGTTTCATTTGGGGTTATTTTAAGGAAGCTTAGGTCAGTAGCTCAGGTTCATCTTGCTCTGCCCATGGACTGCTTCAGTTTTGGGAATCAGATTTTTCCTTTCTTCCTATAACTAAGCCCTTTTACATATTTCCTCTTGGGAAACTTTCTCTTCTTGGGCCCTATTCCCTTATAACCAGTAAGATGCTCTGCCAGAATACTTTTTCTAGGAAGCAGGCCTGCAAGGCTCAAAGCACTGCTTGCTCTTGTTAATCCTCAACCTGCCTCTAGGTTTATAGTAAACCCTAGAAAGATGGCTTAGGTTCTGCTACCCACTTACAAATTCCTTCTTGAATCCAATTCCTTCCAGATCTGCAGTCATGCTTTGTATTCAGGTTAGTATCCCATCACAATGTTTCAGGCAACCTTGGGGCAGCCCATGATCTCTTGTTAGGTCCCCTGGATGCCAGCTTTTGCGTGGATGCCTCTTGTCACTTGCCACCATGCCACATGCCACCATGATTTCTGTGCCACACCTTCTGAATGAAAGCATTTTCTAGAGCTGCTTCTCTCCTCCCCACCTCTCAGGTATTTATGCCACCTACCTTAGGTAGATCTAAACCCAGGGTTCAGATTCATGTAGGTAACTCTTTGATGTCGTACATTTTAACATAAATCACATGAGAGGGAGAAGGTGTAGGGGAAGCAAAGGAAGGAAAGGGTGCAGTGGGAGAGGCAAGAAGGAGATACAGAGGAAGAAAATGAAAGACTGAAGAGAAGGAATCAGGGAAGGAACTAGAGAGGGGGAGATAGAAAAAGAGTGAGGAAGAGTAGGGGAGACAATGGGGAGAAAAGAGAAGAGAAAAATGCAGCCACACCTTTTTAAAAAGTAGAGTTGAAAATATAAGAACACAATTAACCCTTCCCAGGTAGCAGATACTGTCTTTCCAGTCACCCAACAGAAGCAAAATAGTCACAATGGCTTCAAAAGTCCCACAGTTAAACTTGAACAAGTCGTGGAACTGTTTGACATACAGAATCCAAGAAGGGTTTCTCTTTGAGTGTTGTCACTACACGTTAGACTTCCTAGATTCTCCACTCCCAAAGGAGCCATTTAACCTCTGCTTGAATGTTAATGTTCTGTTGGGGAAAATTGTCTTATTTCCACTATTCTCACAAACAGTAGCAAGTATTTGGTAAATAAAGGAAATTTAAACAGCTTGGGGAGTGCCTATGCAATGCCAAAACCAACAGGCAATCTGATAAAAAATTTAATTCATCAAGCCTATTTATTGATCCTTTTATTCATTTGTTTGCTGAGCATCTGCTGGTGCAAGACAAGGTATGCATGTGAGGAGATCTTTAGCTGGACTCATGTTTTATCTGCCTTCAGAGAGACTTCAAGCTATTTTAGGATAGGGGACTTCACACGAATAATTACAACACAGGATAAGAAGGGATAACATGAGAAAGTGATGTGGATCTTACGAAGGGAAGGCCAAACTCAGTGGCTCACACCTGGAATCCCAGCACTGTGGGAGGCCAATGTAGGAGGATCACTTGAGACCAGGAGTTCAAGATCAACCTGGGCAACATAGTGTGACACTGTCTCTACAAAAACTGAAAATAAAAATAATTAGCCAGGCACAGTAGCATGCATTAGTAATCCCAGCTACTTCGCAGGCTGAGGACAGGGGATCTCTTGAGACCTGGAATTTGAGGCTGCAGTGGGCAATGATCAAATCACTTACTCGAGTCTGGGCGACAGAGCGAGACTCTCTCAAACTTTTTAATAAAAAAAAAAAGGAAGATTGTTTTTGGCTAGGAAAACAAAGGTGACACTAGAGTGAAACTTCAAGTTCACTGAAGTTGAACAGAATGCCATAGCCCCACCAGGGGAAGGAACACAAGTAAGAATAAAGGCCAAGTAGTAGAGAAGAAAAGTACACGCTCCAGGACCAGTGAACAGATTAGTATGGGAAGACTAACTAAAGTTATACCAATTTATTAATGGAAAATAACAGTTTCACTTTTCAGAGTAGTTGATGGTAAGGATAAATCAGAGGAGGGAGTCTTATTCTGAATAATTGTTTTTAGTTTTATTAAGATATTTAAATAGTGTTAGGATGTTTGAGGTGGTATAACTTAGTCTAGTTCTTCATTTTTCTATCTGTTTATAATTAGATCTCAAACTCTCTATTTTAAGAAGTTTGATAAATTTCTTGGGCTCCACTACTTGTATATGAGATAAAAGAATCATATTGTTCCCCTATACACTAGAGGCTTTTTTTTTTTTTTTTTGAGATGGAGTCTTGCTCTGTCACCCAGGCTGGAGTGCAGTGACGCAATCTCGGCTCACTGCAACCTCTGCCTCCCGGGTCCATGCCATTCTCCTGCCTCAGCCTCCCAAGTAGCTGGGACTACAGGCACCCGCCACCACGCCCAGCTAATTTTTTTGTATTTTTAGTAGAGACGAGGTTTCACCATGTTAGCCAGGATGGTCTCGATCTCCTGACCTCATGATCCACCCGCCTCGGCCTCTCAGTGAATACCCATTCCTTCACTGGGGGCCAAGGTAATTCTGAAGTGACAGTTTTTCAGGGGCTTAAAAAGATCAAGCAACAGTGTGGATTTGAGAAAGAGACTCATTCCACGAATGCTTATTTAGTGACCATAAGGGTTCTGTCCTAGGGATATACAGGTGAATAACAAATGTGAAGTGCTTATAGTTGGGACAAGAAGTCAAGTATCTTTTATAAACCATGCTGCCGTAAGAGCTTGGTGGGAGGAATGTTTAGTTTCAGCTGCGGGCAGTGTTGTAGTGAGGAAACCTTCACAGAGGAAATGGCTCAAATCTTGAAGATGCTGTGGCAGACAGATTATCTGGCCACCCTTGGGTGATGGTGAATACAGCCCGGAGTACACAGTGCAATGGTGATGCTCAGGCAGTTCAGAGGAGATGCTGTTCACTGCCGGCATTCCATGGAGGCTCTTCCTAGCAATGGGCTCCTGGTTGGGCGTGGTGGCTCACGCTTGTAATACCAGCACTTTGGGAGGCCGAGGTGGGCAGATCACAAAGTCAGGAGATTGAGACCATCCTGGCTAACACGGTGAAACCCTGTCTTTACTAAAAATAAAAAATAAAAAAATTAGCAGGGCGTGCCTGTATTCCCAGCTGCTCGGGAGGCTGAAGCAGGAGAATCACTTGAACCCGGGAGGTGGAGGTTGCAGTGAGCCGAGATCACGCCACTGCACTCCAGCCTGGGTGACAGAGCAAGACTCCACCTCAAAAGAAAAAAAAAAAAAAAAGAAAGAAATGGGCTCCTGTGCAGAAATGTCCCCAAGTAGTGACAGCTCAGAATTTTCTTGGTTTTGATGTTGTAAATATTGATTGCTTTAAGAAAATTCTGTATTCAGTCAGCTTACTTTTAAAACCTTTCATTATAGAGAATATTAAACATATACAAAAGAAAACAGAAGAGTGTAATAAGCATTCATCATGTACCCACTATTCAGATTCAACAACTATCAACTCATGACTAGTTTTATTTTCTCTATACCCCGATTTCACCTCTTCCCCTTCCATGTCATTTAGTATTATTATTATCATTATTATTTGAAACAGGGCCTTGCTCTGTTGTGCAAGCTGGAGTGCAGTGGCATAATCTTGGCTCACTGCAACCTCAATCTCTCTTCCATGTTATTTTAAATCAACTCCAGCCATCAGATTATTTTCCTTATTAATATTCCAATGTGTGTCTCTAACAGATACTTTTTAAATCACTCTTTTTGGTAATGTAGTTTATATGAGAACAATTTAAACTCTTATATTGCTATTTTGATTATATAAGTAACACATGATCACTATGGACAAATCAGAATATACAAATAAACAAAAAGAAGAATCTGATAACAACCCTATTCCTATTACCTAGAGAGCATTGTTGTTTTTATTTTGTCATATAATATTCTAGGCATTTTAAATTCATATATAATAGTTGTACATATTTATGGAATACATGTGATATTTTTATGCATGCATACAATGTCCAATGATCAAATCACGGTAAATGGGTTACCCATCACTGCAAACATTTATCATCTCTTTGTGTTGAGAGCATTCCAAATCTTCTCATCAGGTCACTTCCTCCGTGAAGACTACCTCACTACAGCACTGTCCCCAGCTGAACATTCCACATTTTGAAATATGCAATAAATTGTTGATAATTGTAGTCACCTTACTATGCTATTAAACACTAGAACTTATTCCCGTTATCTAAGTGTATTTTTGTAGTCATTAACTAATCTAGACATTTTTCTTGTGTATTAATCAAAATGAGCTTATACTCTATATAGTACATTATATTTTTCCCTTAATGTAAGTACACACATCCCTACATCATATACGATGCTTGTATACTATTTTATTTTGTGGATATGTGAGATTTATTCCCCTAGTCCCCTATTATTAGGCATTTTGTTTGTTCTCTAAATTTCCAGCATTCCATGTTCCTGCAGGAGTCTGCACATAGAGAGCTTCACCGCTCCATTCATCCTGTGCTGACAGGCTTGGAAAGCACCTGCTTGACCGTAATATAGGCTCAGTTATTGCCGTTATTTTTTGATACTTAATACTTTAGAAAGTTATTTCTTGGTATTTAAGTGAAACCATTTATAATATGTTCTATTTTGACTTATTTTTTCAAAGTTCTTGCTAATAAATTAGTTTATCTTCAGATAGAGAAAAAACTGCAAAATAATTTTTTATAAATTATGTTTGTGATGAACTGACCACAACAATATATATGGAATGGGCTCATGATGTAGCATTTTCAATTGACTTGTAGTCTAATTCTTGAGAAAGCATTTTAAAATAAAAATTATCCATAAATTAATATGAAGTCAACAATGTTTGTTCTTTCCTCATAGTTGTGTTCAGAAAGAAACTGTTTTACTATTCAAGATTTGTGCACTTTTAAAAATAATTTATTGAGGTATAATTACTGTACAATAAATTGAACCCTCTCAAAATGTAAATTGGATGAATTTTGACATACGTATGTATACACCAGTGAGACTATTGCCACAGTCAAGATTCAGGATGTTTTCATTACATACATTTTCCTCTATTTCTCTGATCTGTGCTTATTTATTTATTTATTTATTTATTTTACTAAGCCAAGAACTTTGTTTTCATTTTTTAAACATCATTTAACAAGAAAAACGTTCAACCAAATTTTTTAATTAAAAAATTTCTTCCCGAGTCCAGGTGTTCTCATCGTTCAATTCCCACCTGTGAGTGAGAACATGTGATGTTTGGTTTTTTGTTCTTGCGATAGTTTGCTGAGAACGCACACCGGGGCCTGTTGTGGGGTTGGGGGAAGAGGGGAGAGAAAGCATTAGGAGATATACCTAATGTAAATGATGAGTTGATGGGTGCAGCGCACCAACATGGCACATGTATACATATGTAACAAACCTGCACGTTGTGCACATGTACCCTAGAACTTAAAGTATAATTTTAAAAAAAATTCTTAATTCAAAAAATGTAAGGGCTACAGAAAACTTGTAAGAATTTTATTATACAAACTCTCATGTAACCTTTAATCTGACTGACTCATTCAACTATTGTTAACATTTTGCCATATTTGTTCACCTTCCTGCCCTCCATCCAGCCATGCCTAAACACGTCAACATGTATTTTTAAACAACAAAGCCTGCATCATTTTCAAAATCAGAACATTTCACATTAATGCCATATAAATATGGGGTACATAGTTTATATTCAAATTTTACTGACTTAACATTTTTTTCCCAAGCCAGGTTTCAATTCAGAATCTCACACGCATTCAATAGTCATGTCTCTTTAATTGCCACTAATTTGGAAGTTCCTCTCTTGTTCTTTGTTCATGGCATTAACATCTTTTTATTACACATTAAGTACTAGGGTACAAGTGCACCCCGTGTAGGTTTGTTACATAGGTATACATGTGCCATGTTGGTGTGCTGCACCCATCAACTTGTCATTTACATTAGGTATTTCTCCTAATGCTATCCCTCCCCCATCCCCCCACCCCACGACAGGCCCGGGTGTGTGATGTTCCTCACCCTGTGTCATCACTTAATTCCCACCTATGAGTTCAATTCCCACCTATGAGTGAGAACATGCGGTGTTTGGTTTTTTGTCCTTGTGATAGTTTGCTGAGAACGATGGTTTCCAGCTTCGTCCATGTCCCTGCAAAGGACATGAATTCATCCTTTTTTATGGCTGCATAGTATTCCATGGCATTAACATTTTTAAAAGTATGGCTTGTGTATTGTAGAATGTATTTCAATTTGTGCTGGTCTGATTGTTACCTCGTGATTTGATATCATTAGGTAGTTTTAGTAAGAATAGCAGATAAGTGATGTCTTGCACTTCTGAAGACATCACCTCAGGATACAACTAATATCAGTTTATCCCATTATTGGTGATGTTGGCTTTGATCACTTGGTAATGGCAGCTATCTGTCAGATTTCTCCACTGTAAAGGTCCACTTTTCCTCTTTGTAATTAATAGGTAATATGTGAATAATTACTTTGAAAGTTACTAATATCTTTATCCTAATAAAATTTTTCCATTGTAAATTTCCATAGTAAATTGATTAAGTGATGATTCTTGCTTGAATCAATTATTAGCATCATGATTGCAAAACAGTGATTTTCCAATTCTTCTATTTCTTATCCATTTATTGCCTGGCATCCTACTATAAAGAAGTTTTCTTTCTTCCTCCTTTGATTTGTTTCTTTCTTTGTTGCTTTGTGTATTTTTATGGACTCATGGATTCCTTTTTACTGAATATGTCATCAATTCTTACCATTTTTAATTGTGACGCTCAAATTCCCAGTTTGGCCAACAGATGTCCCATCAAACTGGCTCTTGTGTCACGGTGATAGAGCTCTCTCCTTCTGAGCACTTTCTTATTCTCTAGGATGAGATGCCTTTGCTGCCTAGTCCTGGTTTCAGACATTTCTCCAAGGATTTCTGATTCCTTTCAGTGGTAAATATTTAGAAACCAAGATCTCAGTGCTAGGTGAATTTTGTGTCTTAAACATTACCACAGTATCATTATCAGACCAAACACATTAATAATAATTCTTTAATGTCATTATATATCCAGCCAGAGTACCAATATCCAATTGTCTCAAAATGTCATAAGTCTTAGTCTACACAGTGTGTTGATTTATATGTCTTTCAAGTCTTTTTTAACTTTTTAACTTTATAGCTTTATTCACTATTTCTCTTTTTGTGTTCTTGCCACTTATTTGTTGAAGAAAGCAAGTTGCTTTTTCTATACAGTTTTGCATAGCCTGGATTTTGCTGGTCAAATTCCTGTGACATAGTTTAACATATTATTTTGTCCTCTGTATTTGTATAAATTGGCAGTTGGATCTAGACCCTTTATCAGATTTGGATCCCTCTTCCTCCTCCCCTTTCTCCTTGGGGCAAGACTACGTCATAGGTGGAATTGCATTCTATCAGGAGACACATAATTCTGTTTGTCCTTCATTCTGTGATGTGAGCAACGCTGATTATCAGTTAATTCATTTGCAGTTGCAAAATGGTAATATTCTATAATTTCTTCTTCAACTATTAGCTGGAAAGTTGCATAAAATGGAACTTTCTTCTTTTTCTTGGTTACCTAGTGATACAGTTTATTTAGTAAAGGCAAAATAAATGTTTGAATCTTTCCCTTGATCCATTTTCAAAATAATGAATGCAGTCCCTAGCATTCTCTGATAGTAAAAAACTATTTTCCTTTTTCATAGTACTATGAATGCATGAATTTAAGCATATTTTATATGTTTTAATCCATTGCAGTTAGTATCCTTACTGATGCTCAGATTGCCCAATTTGTGGTCAATGGGGGTCTATTGACACTGGCATGTAAGTCACTTGAAACAATCTTAGTAGGTTTTGATATCTTCCTTGTTATCTAGTATGGCAAGCTATACCAGGCTTATGTTTGTATTTTCTGCCCTGGATATAAAAATAACATCTGAGAAATAGAGATGGTTATTATTACTGGTTTGGTCATTGTTTGTAGGCTTTTTTAGTGGATCTTCAAAAAAGATGGTTCTTCAAAAAAATATGGTTCTTCAAAAAATAAAATATCTCACGAATTCATTGCAATAATTCCAGTTATGATTTAGTACTACTGATATTTTGCTTAACTTCTCAAACTTACATCTATATCTCCTTTCTCCCTAAAGAAAATTTTACTTCTCAAGGGCACAAGGGATGATAGTATTAGATTTCACATAATTACTCATTTGCTTCATCTCACATTACAAACAAAGCACTGTTAGAATCAAAATACCATCACCAATATGATTACTGGAAGCAGTTAGAAACATTTTTCCCCCTGCTCCTTGCAGACCAGGGCTAACTCGTAGGCAGTGGGCCCAGAGTCGGCCTGAAACATTTTTTACAATTACTTTTTTTCTTAGATTATATCCTCTTTAGAGATGCACATTCAAATTTATGTGTTTTAACGTTTCCTGTAATAGTTTCTCTCTATACATTTATGTCATCGGTAGATACAGAGTAGATTTATTTACTTTGTTGTTTCCGATTTATAGATATAGTTATTTTGTTTAAATTATATTTTAAAATTGTACAATATATTTGTACCTCTCCAAGATCAAGTCTACAAATAAAATATATTCAAAGAAGTCTACCTTCTAGCTCTATTTCTCCTCTAAAAACCACTTATCCCTTTATAGTTAACCTCTGTTTTTGTTATTTGCTTACACATAAGTAGAAAAAATACATCATCCAAAACCCTGGTTGGGATAGCGGTGATAATAGTAATATTAGTGGTAGTTGTAGTAATACCATTGAAATATTAGAACGCTCTCTTACATGTATGGTGTGTTACAATTTATACTCTTTTATTCCATTCATTGTATCATTTGTATAATAACTCTCTGGGACAAATGTTATTTTCATTTTATAAATACAAGCATGTGTCGCATAATAATGTTTCAGTCAACAACAGACCACAGTACAATGTCGGTCTCATAAGATTTTAATGAAGCTGAAAATTTCTATCACCCAGTGAAGTCACAGCTGTTGTAATGTCATAGCACAACTCATTACTCACATGTTTGTGGTGATACTGGTGTAAACAAACTTACTGCACTGCCAGTCATATAAAAGTATAGCACATACAATTATGTACAGTACATGGTACTCAATCATGATAATAAACAATTATGTTATTGGTTCATATAGTTACTATACCATATTTTTATCATTATTTTAGAGTGTGTCTCCTTCTACTTATATACTTTTTAAAATTTCACTGTAAAAGAGACCCAGGCAGGTCCTGCCGGAGGTATTTGAGGAAGGGTTGTTATGGACGGAGATGGCAACTCCATGCCTGCTGTTGCTCCTGAAGACCTTCCAGCGGGACAAGATGTGGAGGTGGAAGATAGACACTGATGATCCTGACCCTGTGTAGGACTAGGCTAATATGTGTATCTGTGCCTTAGCTTCTAACAAAAAAAATTTAAAGAGTTAAACAAAAATAGAAAATAATAAATAGAAAGAAGCTCATATAAAAAGGACATAAAAATATTTTCATGCAGCTCTTCAATGTGGCTGTGTTTTAAACTGTTTTTAGAAGAGTTAAAAAGTTAATAAAAGTTAAAAGCTTTAGAAAGTTAAAAATTTACAATAAGCTAAAGTTAATTTATTATTGAAGAAATTAAAAATTTTAAATAAATGTAATGTAGCCTAAGTGTGCAGTGTTTATAAAGTCTACAGTAGTGTGCAGCAATGGCCTAGACCTTCACATTCACTCACCATTCACTCACTGACTCGCCCAGAGCAACTTCCAGTCCTGCAAGCTCCATACATAGTAAGCGCCCTGTACAGGTGCAGCAGTTTTTATCTTTTATATTGTATTTTTACTATACCTTTTCTATGTTTAGATGTGTTTAGATACACAAATACTTTCGATTGGGCTACAATTGCCTGCAGTATTCAGCACAGTAACATGCTGTACAGGGTTGTAGGTTTGTAGGAGCAATAAGCTGTACCATAGAGCCTCGGTATGTGGTAGGCTATACCATCTAGGTTTGTGTAAGGACATCATAATATTTGCACAACAATGCACTCGCCTAATGCAGGGGTCCCCAACCCCCGGGCCACGGACAGGTATGGGTCTGTGGCCTGTTAGGAACCAGGCTGTACACCAGGAGGGGAGCAGCAGGTGAGCGAGCATTACCACCTGAGCTCTGCCTCCTGTCAGATCGGGGCGGCATTAGATAATCACAGGAGCTCAACGCCTACCCCTATTGTGAACTGCACACATGAAGGATCTAGGTTGCGGCTCCTTACGAGAATTTAACGCCTGATGACCTGAGATGGAACAGTTTCATCCCGAAACCATCCCCCCACCACCCGCACCACCCAGACCACTCATCCATGGAAAAATTGTCTTCCATGAAATCGGTACCTGGTGCCACAAAGGTTGGGGACTGCTGACCTAATGACACATTTCCCAGAACATATCCCTGTCATTGATACCTCTCGGGTTCAATTTTTATCTCTGCGGAAATGGGAACTGTGCAGGTTAAATGAGGTACTGTGACACTATGGGCCACATGAGACTGCACATGCCCCAAACTGCCGTAACCACGGAGGATTTCCTGGTGACGCAGAAGCTGTGTATTATAGAACACAGTGCTGCCAAATGAAGAAAAGATATTCAGCTCAAGCATAATCAAAAAAATTTTTTTTCTGCTAAAATTATGAGGGGTACAACCCCTTTCTCTTCAAGCAGCAACTGGGCAGAGCTCATGGGCATAGGGCCCAGCACACAGGCATGGATGCTGTCAGGACACAGGGGCACTGAGCCATTGTTCTCAGAAACCACCATTGTGACGTCATTCCCACATAAAAACTAATTATTGTCATGGATTTTATTTTAAAATATTAGACGGAATCAAAGCTTCCTAAACAAAACACTTGAACAAATCTATAAGCAAAACTTAGGACTATTTCTGCTAACTGAAACGAACCTCCCTGTTATGAAGAACTTGATCTTTTTTTTTTTTTTTCTTTTGAGACGGAGTCTCGCTCTGTCGCCCAGGCTGGAGTGCAGTGGCGCAATCTCAGCTCACTGAACCTCCACCTCCCGGGTTCACACCATTCTCCTGCCTCAGCCTCCTGAATAGCTGGGACTACAGGCACCCACCACCACGCCCGGCTAATTTTTTTTATATTTTAGTAGAGACGGGGTTTCACCATGTTCGCCAGGATGGTCTCGATCTTCTGACCTCGTGATCCACCCGCCTCGGCCTCCCAAAGTGCTGGGATTACAGGCGTGAGCCACCGCGCCCAGCCAGAACTTGATCATTTTATTGCCCCATGTGTGGCAGAGGACAGTCCAGGGAACACCAAAAGGATTATTACAGCATGAATTATTCTAGAGGTAGCAGCATCGGGACAAACTAACTTCTCTTAGCCACACTATTACCCATTTCTTGGTGATGAGGCAATCAGAAATGAATGCCAGAACCTCTTTGTATTCAGATTTACATTTCGGTCAACCATAGAGAAAAAGGAAATAGTTTTGTATTTCTTTGACTTAGTTTGGTCAATCTTGATCAAATTATCTTTTGCCTTTATAAAATCCTGAGTTTACAAGTCTTCTGGGTGTAGACATAGATACATATTCAGACTGGTGGGCAGTCCAAATGTGAGAATTTTATTTAAAATCTTGGCCCTCAGCTGGGCAACCATAGATTGCTATACGCCTTAGAGAAAATTGACTAAGTCAAGAGTTATTTCTGTCTTACTGAGCACCAAGCCTGATACATTCAGTTTCCTCTCCTTTTCTTTAAGCACCACAAAAGAAAAGGTTTCTTTTGATACGATTTATTATGGTACTTTTCAGGTGGACAAGGAGTGACACAGGGTGGAGGAGTCACATCACACTTCCTTAAATCAATGTCTTGTCATCAAACTCTCATTGCATGGGAACGTAAGTAGTGGGGCTTAGGCTATGAATATAAAGAAATGTCTTCTCAATAAATAACTCCTCCCAGGTGTTAGTACCATCTTCTGGAGTTGAAATAAGCCTTTGTTTTATGCCTTATGCTAGAAATAAAAGTCCTAACATCTTTAAAAACTCAACATACTATTTTCCTTTCCATTCTTCTGAGCTAAAGAAATAAAATGAGTTGTATGGGGCAGTCATAAGCTGGTTCTGATTTTAGGGCTAACAATATCTAAGCAGATGTCTGGAGTTAGACATCTCTTAATTTTCTTTGAGCCTCAGTTTTCTCATCTTCAATAGGAAATTGGGAATCTCAGTCCAATAATTTTTTTTTTTGCAAAAATCAAATGAGATTTCGCTCCAAAGGCAATCTGCAAAGTAAATTGCTATAGGAGAATAAGTATTATTATTATTAAGATCCATTTTATTAAGACCAAGTATACAGTTTCTAGGTAGCAAAGAGTCCTTATGGTTTGGTGAATAAATGGCCATTTGACTAAAAGACTATTTTCCTCCTCTTTTATTCCCCATTAGGGGAAGTTAATTTCTTTGGAAGCAACAATGCTCACTTGAAATCCTTTAAAGATTCTCCATTTCCTATGAATCAAGTATAACCTACTCATGTTGCCAAATCAAGGCATTCATAGTACTGTCCAAAACTCTTTTTCAGGACTTATATTTCAATATTTTCATTATACCTAACAAATAAGGTGAACTCACCTGTCTCTGTTCTCCGACTCTACCTTAGATGTCCTTCTGTGAATTTTCTCAAGCTGCTTCCTTAACCCAGGAAACTTTCCCATCAATCTTTCCTTAATTATATTTTCTATCTTCTTAAGGCTCATTTTTGAAATAATATTCTTCATGAGGCTAATTCAATAATTCCCTTCCAGACATGAATTTTATTTCCTTTTCTAGGTCCTTATTTTTCTTTTCCCATCTCACCAATCTCTTCCTGTCCCCTGGTTCCTCCCTGTGACCCAAATGTCAGCTTAGAGTCTCTAGTTTTTGATATTCAAATGAAGAGACTCCTGTCCCACACTACATGCAGTGAGACTGATACATTCCACCTTATTCACCGGTTATGGGAGGAGGAAGGATGATGATTTCTGCTATCTTTAGTTGCCTATGCCTCTGAATCTACTCAAGATAAATTCAGATAAGTTAGCATAGTTTGTAGTTTGTCTTGTCATTGTACACAAGATGTCCTGGCTCAGCTTCGGATTGCCCCAGGCATGGAACACAGCTTCCTTTCCTTATTTTCTCATGCCCTCCACCCTCAGCGCTCCCCAGGTATCACTCACGTTAGGAATGTGTGGTGGAGCAGAGGACCAGAGATAAGGAAGGCACAGAGAGAAACAGAAAGCACTTGAGAGCTACAGGAGGATCCCCTCAAATCCTGAACATTAACCTGCGCATACGTTGGGTGAAACTCCTAAGGCTGGACATGAGGTATTGGTAGAGCCTTTGAAAGGACATGCTGTAGTAGTAAGGCTAAATTAATGCCAGAGTAAATGCTGATCTGTACCCATTGTAACAAAGCTTAAAAGAAGGATTCAGAATAATCGAACCAATCTGCAAGTAATTTAACTGTGTGCCATAACAAAGACCAACACTCTTTAAAGAAATACAACTAAATCACAAAACCAACAAATACATGAGACCTGACATCCAATAAAAAATTTCCCAGCATGCAAAAAAGAAACATGAAAATATAACCCATAATAAGGAGAGAAATAAATCAATAGAAAAAGACTCAGAAATGACATTAATAAAGGTAATAGCAGACAAGGAACTTGAAATAGCTATTATAAATATTCAAAAAGATATATAATAAAACATAAACATGATAAAATACAAGATATTTTTAAAATATCTAAATGAAACTTTTAAGATGAAAAATATATCAAAAATGAAAAATACGCTAGATGAGATTCAGAACCATTTAGACACCACAGGAAAAAAACAGTAAACTTAAAAACATAGCAATAGAAACCATCCAAAATGAAGCACATATAGAAAAATAAAGACTGAAACAAGTGGACAAAGCTTCTGTGAGTGTAGGATAATATAAAGTTTTCTAAGATAAGTAAATTGGAGTTACAGAAAAAGAAGAGAAAGATGAATGACACATAAAAAGATCTGAAGAAAGAACAGCTAAAGGTTTTCCCCTCAAATTTGGTTAAAACTATAAGTTTACGGATTACGTGTTTCAGTGAACCCCAGGCAGACTATTAAACACACACGCACACACACACGCACACACGCAAATCATAATCAAATTGGTGAAAAGCACATAAAAATTTAAAAATATTAGCAACCAGAGAATACAGGGACATTATACAGAAAGGAGCAAGGATAAAAATTACAGCAGATTTCTTGTTGAAGATGACATAAGCCAGAAGGCAGTGGAGTGGGATGGAGAAGTCAATGTCCATTTCTACACCCAGAAATGAAACCTTCTGAAACAATGAAAGCTGAAAGAATGTGTCACCAACAGAACCTGACTACGTACAAGTCCTTAAGGGAAAAATCACACCTTTAATCTGGATTATTTCTCTCTTTCTATGATTGTGTAGTTTCCTCTATCAGACCCAGCAATCCATGTTTTATGTTGGTGGTTCCATGTTACTTCTACCAACAGGTACAACATATGTTGCAGACCTGGCCACTTATCCTGAGGTCAGGTTGGTTAATTTCCAGGATGTAAACCTGTATCTGAGTGTTCCTGGCTTCCTACTCCTGCAGATACACAGAACCCTCTGGAGGCCACACTCAGTGTCATCTTGTTTTACCCTATCCCATAGGCAGGTGATCCCTGCTTTAGGCAGTGCGCATGGGATCCACACATGGTCCTCTTTTAGACCTATTCTCTATAGAAACAGACTTTCAGCTATGACGGCTGTTTCCAGATTCAGAGCCTAGCATCCCTGGATCTTGTACCCTCTTTCCTACCTCCCATTTCATCCAACTTTTCTCTTCCTGGGTCCTCTTCTAGGTGAGTGGCACAAAAATGCACCTGCTATATCACACTGAAACCTGAGACTCAGCTTGACTCTTCCAATTCCACTGTGTGACTAACGGTTTTCAAACTTCTCTTGAGTCTGTCAATTTCTCTCCTTTTTCTTACCAGCCACCTTAGCTAATTCCCTCCCATTTTTTAGCTGTAGCTCAACAGTGCCTCCTGGTCCTCCCACATCCACTCAACTCATTGTCCAGTGATGCCATAGTGACCTCCTTGGTTCAAATCTGATGACATCACTCATCTGAGTAATGTCTCTTCATTCTCTTTAAAGTAAAGTTGAAGCTTTTTAAGATCTTTAATCAGCTCTTTTTTTTTTTATTGCTGCAACCTCATCTCTCATCATTTGTTGCCTCCAACTTTTACTGTGACCATTAAACGATGAAAATTTCTGAATGTTCCATGTTCTCTTTTGCTTCCAGGATTTGCAGAAATTGTTCTGCCTTCTTGAAGCGTTATCCTTCTTCATCTATTGAATGTGTCATCACCTCCCCAGTAAAGCCTTTCCTGATCTCCCTAGCCTTGATTAAGTGCTCCTACTCTGTTCTTCAGCTTGTGTTGCACTGATTCAGGTGGTGCTAATTGCACTATATTTACTTCTGCTTCCACAAATAAAACTGTGAACAACTTGAGGGCAGGAGCTTTCCATCACCTAGCATGGTATCTGATACATTGTTGGTGCTCACAGAGATTTGTGGAATAAATAATGGCCATTAAGTATTAACTTAATGTCATTATTAATTCTTATAACCCCACCACACCTATCACAGTGCCTGGCACATATTGATCACTTAGCACATTTAGTAACATTAAGCAGCCATTGATCACTTACTATGTATCTCACATATTATAATGCCCTTTTGTAAATGTGATCTCATTTAAACTTATCAGCCCATCCCTCCCTAAATAAAGCATGTTTTATTATCCTCAACTAAAAGGTCAAGAAACTAAGGCTAAGAAATATTACATAGCTTTCTCAGGGTCAAATCAACATCAGAAATGGTGTTCAAGCCCAGCTTCTCTTTCCAGTTGAAGAAAGTACCTGTCCAAGAAAACTCTGTCCAAACTGATCTTTATCAGGTTTATTTAAGGGAAAATAACTGAATGTCTTTGCTATATATTTCCCCAGTAAAAAGCAGTAGAAAAAGAAAGAAGCAAAATAATCTAACACTATGAAAACAGAACATTTATTTCCAGTACATATCTATGATGTCTATCAAAATGGAATGTAATTCTGAGAAGAGCCAAATTACAATTCTTATATGATTAAGTCTTTATCTGCAAGCATTTGACAGATCCTAAGAATCAACCAGGTAAACTGATGTAACAGTACAATGTCTTTCTTCAGTGCATTGAACTGGAAAAAAGTACTAATGAATGCTGATCATGATTTTGACTCCTGATTAGTATACAGAATGTTAATGTTTTCACAGTCAAGAGACAGATTAGTATGTATAGGTGGCTTAAGTGGCTATCTAGCTGGTGTTGCTAGGATTGGCTAAAAAAGAAAACTCTGAATAAATATTTCTCACATAAAACATTATCTGAATGTCTACTCAGAGGGATTCCAGTCAACCATTCTTTACAGTAGAGACTTTATATGAAAAATCCTAATACAACACTCCCAGGAGGCTGTGTGATGGAGAGAAAAGCATCCTGGCTTTGGAGGTCTGTTTTCCCTCTCTGCTAATTACTTGTTCTGTGAACTGGGCAGGTGACTCTTGCAACACAACCAATAGAGTTCTTTTCTCATCTGTGAAATGAGGAGTAGGACCACAGGACCCCTAGTCTTGTCAGCATTACCACTGCTGTGGATTTAGGGGTGATCTTATCACTGCAGTAGGCTGACCTCTCTGGTTCCTCCCCTCCTGGATTTTGATACTCTAATTCACTGTCAACAGTGCTGTGTGGCCCACGGGCTGAGCAGTAGTTGGGTGGTAGAACCGTGGAACTTACAGGAATCAGGGAAATAGTAATTATTTCTATTTATTTCTCTCCACCCCTTTTTGGCATTCAACATGGATTTCGAAGTTTTTGTCAGCTAAGAAGCATTTCTGGTCTTCACTGAGCCATAATTTCATCATCTTTAAAGTGGAGGTAAATAATACCTACTTCTTAGTCTCCATCACAGGCTTCTTTTGCCTTACCTTAAATTACTAGTGAGGTTTTAATGGGGAGTGCATTTGTGACAGTGCTTAACAGAATGCATGGCACATTGAAGGCAGTGCAGGAAGTCAGTTTCTCAATTCTACCTTTGCTTTTTTAGAGTAGCCTAAAGATCAAGTAAACCAACATCCTCACCCTGATACCAAACTCGGCCTATAGAAATGTGTAATGCCTGACTTTTGATGGTTCCTTTGCCTGGAGAAATAAACCAATTATATTTTCCTAACTCAACCACCTCTCAATAAACATCCTTCTGCAGAGCATGATTTCTCTCCTGTGTGTGGGAGTGGGACAGCATCTAATTAGATCTAGGTTCCCTTAATGAGAAGCTGCCCATATGTACTCTCAGCCTTGAATTGCCTGCCCTGATCTGGAGCTATCTACTTGGCCAAGGCTCCAACTGGTGCTTTCTGCCACCAAGAAATCTTAAACAGCTAGGGCTAGAGGATCTAACGACAATGTCAGTAGCGGCATCTTACTTCATATGGTAGATAATTATAACATTCATTCAGAAAAAAAATAAAGAGGCTTGTTGTCATAGTGATGGCTAATTCTCCAAGTTGGATGCATAGCTCCAATTGGAGCATCTGCCAGCACAGAGACACACATCAATTTGTTGTGTATGCTGCAGGAATAATTGAGATTATACTTGAAAGAAAAAAATTTGACATGGACAGGATTTTCTGCATTCATGCTGTATTGCATTCTCTTGTGTATGACGATGGTTTTCCTCTTATCTCTATTTTTCTTTTCCAAAAATATTAGTTTTCAGGGACTTGGTTATACTCCAGGAACCAGTGATGATATTGGCTCCTGATATCCAGGAAGCTTTGAAGGCCCTGAGACCAGTAACTGGGATGTTCAGGTAACCAAGCCTGGGAGCCAATAGGACTTTGTCACTTGTGCAATTAGAACAGATCCAGGCTGGGCACGGTGGCTCATACCTGTAATCTCAGCACTTTGGGAGGCCAAGGAGGGCAGATCACCTGAGATCAGGAATTAGAGACCAGCCTGGCCAACATGATGAAGCCCCGTCTCTACTAAAAGTACAAAAATTAGCCAGGCATAGTGGCTCATGCCTGTAATCCCAGCTACTCGGGAGGATGAGGCAGGAGAATCGCTTGAACCCGGGAGGCAGAGGTTGCAGTGAGCCAAGATCATGCCACTGCACTCCAGCCTGGGCGACAGAGTGAGACTCCATCTCAAATAAAATAAAATAAAATAAAATGAATAGATCCAGCGAGAGCCCCTGATTCAAATGGGTGAATTTAGAAACTTTAGAGAAAAAGGAGATATGGGGTCCTTACCCTTCTGATTCTCTTCTCATCTCCATTGCCAGTCCCAGGTTTCCGGCAGATATGCAGCTTATTGTCCAATTTTATTATTGGGTTAGAGCAGCTCTGCAGAAACTTTGTCTTGTTTTTATGCTGGAGGAACTACAGAAAATTAAAAGAAAGAGAGGGTTAACAGGTATCAAACAACATGTATGAGCCAAGTACTATCCTAGACCCTATTATATCCAGTTTCTCATTTTCCACACCAAAAACAAGAGGGAATTAGTTATTTTTCCAGGATTTATGTGGTTAGTAAGGGGGAAAGATCAGAATCTTCCCATAAACACTTTTAAAATTTATTTTTAATTTCCATAAAAGTTATTGGGGAACAGATGGTGTTTGGTTGCATGAGTAAGTTCTTTCGTGGTGATTTGTGAGATTTTGGTGCAACCGTCACCCGAGCAGTATACACTGAACCCTATTTGTAGTCTTCTTCCAATAAATTCTTAAACCATCTTTTCCCTATGATCCTCAAGCCCAAAACTGGCCCTGGGTAGTAATGTTACTGCCTCTTCTTCCTTATCTCTACTCTGTCACCATGAGACTCTTAAAAGCAAAAGTATTTCCCAAATAGGAGGTAGCACCAATTCGGGAAGAGAACAGGGATGGGGGATGCATGGGGGGAGGAGTTATCAGAACAGAGAAACAATTACTGGACCATATTGCGAGATGGACTGTCAGACGGTCTGCCTACACAATCTTCTATCTGTAGGGTGAAAGAGAAAAATACTAGACTGAAAGTCTGGTAATATGAATTTTATTTTTAGTTCTTATATTACAATTTCCTCCTCTTGTAAATTAAAGTGGTGGGACTAGGTCAGTAACTCTCCTGTGGGGAGGTGGATAGAGGCATCACATATGAAAATAATAGGGAATTGGGGTAAGATGGTACACTTATATATTCTCATTAAATCCCCCCAAAAAATAGATACAGCAAAGACGAATAAACTAAAATCCCACAGAAATAATATACAATCTATTTCCATGAACCCCAGAATATAAGCAGAGTATATATATATATCATAACAAGAATTGTGTTGTATTAAAGGCTATGTGGGAGAATGTGAAGGGAATATAAAGAACTTCCAATGGCGCTGAGAGCCCAAGGACCCCCCCAAATTGCCAATAATCACTCGCTGAAAAGCTTGACTGGTCATTTGTGGACAGTGGTTGAAACTGAGAGAATGCTTTGCAGACTCAGATTTATGGGTCAATACGAACAGCCCATGAAAGCTCAGATAATACCAGTGTGATCTGGAACCTGTAAACCATTGAAACTAACTAACCAAATATTCTTGTAGGAAGGAGCTCAGGACTGAGGACAGACCACTGAGAATAGAATCCAAATTGCTCCAAACAGGTACAATGGGAGCAAAGAAATGCAACAATCTAAGTAAAATAGAAGGAGGGGAGGGGAAACTCAGCACACTGTAAAAAATGTGAAGCAGCTTCCACACCAAAACATCCCATTTTCCAAAAACAAAAGAATAGGGTGCTTCAGAGCTTGGAAGCTAGACAGACTTCCCTGACCATATAGTAATATGATTCCCCGTTCAGTAGTCATTAGCCACATGTGGCTATATTAATTCTAATTAAACTAAAAGAAATTAGGTTAAGGTTTTATTAATTAAATTTCATTAAAATTTAATTAAATTAATATTTAATTTTTCGGCTGCACTAGCCACGTTTCAATTTCTTACCAGCCTGTGGTTGAAGGCTACTGTATTATGTGGTACAGAACCTTTCCATCATTGCAGGGTGTTTTACTGGACAGTGCTAGGCACCTAACAAATAACATGAGCAACAGAAAATGACCACAGTCAAATCCTACACAAAGTCATAAGATAAAAGAAAATATGGTGCAAAATAATGTGCCTATAGAACAAGGATTGGCAAACTCTTTCTGTAAAGATAGTGAATATTTTTAGGCTTTATGAGCCTAGAATAGACAGTAAATATTTTAGGTATATAGAAAAAGTTTTTGGCTTTGTGTGCCATGTGGTCTCTGACACAACTACTCAATTCTGCCAATGTAGAGTAAAATTCACCATAGACAATAAGTAAATGAATAAATGGCTATGTTCCAATAAAACTTTGTTTACAAAAACAGGTGATGGGCTGGATCTGGCTTGTTGGCTGTCTTTTGCCAACCTCTGCTACAGACCATGAAGTTATGTCAAAAAGACAGATCCACTAAACAAATGAAAATGGTAAACAAGGCCAGGTGCAATGGCTCACTCCTGTAATTCCAGCACTTTAGGAGGCTCAGACAGAAGGATCACTTGAGCCCAAGTGTTCAAGACCAGTCTGGGCAACAGGGCAAGACCTCGTTTCTACAGAGAATTTAAAAATTAGCCAGGCATGGTGGTGCATGCCTGTAGTACCAGCTACTTGGATGGCCGAGGTAGGGAGATTGACTGAGCCCAGGAGATCAAGGCTGCAGTGAGCTGTGATTGTGCCACTGTGCTCCTGCTTGGGCAGTAAACAACAGAGCAAGACCAAAAAAAAAGAAAGAACGAAAAGAAAAACAATAACTTAATAATCAAAATCAGCTAAAAGAAAAAAGAATGAGTCAAGTCTGTAAATTTAATCTGTAAATATAGTGGGCATGGAGAAATGTCAGGAGAACTGATAATCTTAGGCTATAAAACATCCTCAATAAATTTCAAGGAAGAGAAAAAATAGAAACAGTACTCTCTGACCATAATACATTAAAGGTGAAAATTTAATTTAAAGGAAAGATCCTTCTACTGATGAATTTTTAATGCTATTAAATAATTCCTGGTTCCAAGAAAAGATAAAAAAACAAACTATAGACTTTCTGGAAAAATTACTAATGTGACCACAATACAAGTCAGAATCTATGAAATATAGCTAAAGCAGTTACCAGAGGAAGTCTAATAGTATTTAATATCCATATGAATAAAAATTAAAGAATAAAATAAATAAGCTAAATACTCAAGAATTTAGAAAAAGAATAAGACAGTAAGCCAAAGGAAAGAATCAATGCAGATCAAAGTAGAAATCAATGAAACATAAAACAGAAAACCAGTAGAAGTAATGAATAAAGGTAAAATCTGGCTCTTTGAAAAAAAAACAACAACAACAAAATGTTTAAACCGCTAGCTAACTCTAACCCAGGTTTTACAAAAATGGGAGTATAAATATACAAACTTAGAAATGATAAGATAAATAATCAAAAGGCCAGAAAAATATTACAAATTTATGAAACTAATCATGACTTATAAAAATGTACCCCAGTAAAAATAGAAAGACTAGAAAGACCAAATACCACAAGAGAAATAAAGCATTTAAAGAACACAAAAGGCCCGGCATGGTAGCTCAGGCCTGTAATCCCAGCACTTTGGGAAGCCGAGGCAGGTGGATCACGAGGTCAAGAGATTGAGACAATCCTGGCCAACGTGGTGAAACCCCGTCTCTACTAAAAATATAAAAATTAGCTGGGCGTGGTGGCACATGCCTGTAGTCTCAGCTACTCGAGAGGCTGAGGCAGGAGAATCGCTTGAACCGGGGAGGCGGAGGTTGCAGCAAGCCAAGATCACGTCACAGGTCACTGCACTCCAGCCTGGCAACAGAGCTAGACTCCGTCTAAAAAAAAAAAAAAAAAGAACACAAAAGCACCAAGACCAGGTGGTTTCTGTTTCTGTCAATAGACTATGTTCTCCTTGAAAGGCATGTTTGCTTCCATTGTATACCCCTCAAAGTTTCTAGGAAGATCTTTTATACAAAAGATCTCTGTTCACTCACATTCTACGCGTATTTACTCGAGCACTTATTAAGTGCATTTTTGTGAAATTGACGCTAGCTGGGGGGTGGTTACAAGCAGCAGTGGTGGTAGCAGTTGGGGTCTGCGGTGGCATGGTAAAAACAAAAAAGCTGCATCAACCAAGAGAGCAGACACCTGCAACTAAAAGGAGCATCATCACTGGGCAACTATGGGCTGGGCAGACCTAGCTTTGAATTCCGATTCTTTCAGTTTATAGCTTTATGACCTCGGGCAAGTTATTTAATTTCTCCAAGTGTTACTCCTCTTACCTCTATGATGAGAATAATAAAAGTACTGACCTTATGTAATTGGTGTGAAGATGAAATGAAATAAAGTGTATAAAGTGCTGGGCTATGCAGTGCCATGAAGTACCCACTCAGTGGATGTTGGCTGCTGTCATCATGACAGGTGTGAGAGTGATAATAATGTGGTGTCTTGAATCGTGTTTCAAGGTTCACAAATGGGAAAAGCAAATTGAAATATGCATTTACTTTCAAAATCCAATCCCTTCAAGCTAGAAGAAACATTGCAATCTGAAACCTTCTCTTCTTGCCCACAGTCTTCCCAATTCAAGACATCTTCCTTAGGGAACACTGGGTAAAAATGATGAGTTGAAATGGACACATTCTTTTGCTCCATTCCTGAACCCCACTAAAACAATAGTAAAGATACATATTTTTAAAGGATATAATTCATAATTAGAGAAACTGAGAAGAGACACAAATTTACAAGAAATAAAATTTTGAAGGGTAAAATGCAAATGAATGAATGCTAACTAATTTAGCTGTACAGGAAAAGTTGAATCTTAAACCAGCACTGGTAAATGTTAAACAAAAAAACTATTTACATGCAGAACCCCTCAAAATTTTACTAATTTGCACTAAGTACCTTAGGAATTGTGAGTGAACAGGCTAGCTTAAAAAGTCTGCTTTTGACAATTATATCCTCTCTACCTTGCAGCCAGGTGAACACCCACCTGGTAGAAGACTAGAAATGTGGTCTCTGAACAGGGTAAATGGATGTTCCCTAAACTAGAGGGCACCAGGCACAATTGAGAGTGGGCTACCATCCTGAAGGACAATAAGAAAATATAAGTGCTCCAAACATTGAGGTCTCAGCTGACACTGCCAACACAGTTACAAAAATGCCAACGCAAGACCAGAGGATCCTTCCCCAGAAATAAAATCAGCCTAAGGGGAAAGATTTACAGATATTGATAAAAATTGGCCCAAACTCACCATTAGAGCCCACAGTCAACCTGTCCCACCCCATGAATCCAGAGCTTCCAATAAACTTTTCTTGTGACCTAGTCTAGTTAGTTTTTGTGGTTCCCCAAGGATCACTATTTGTAACTTGAAATACAGAGACCAAAACAAACACAAGGCACATTAGAGAAAAAAGAAAACATACAGGGAGAAGACAACTGAAAAATAATATATCTTTGGAGAGTTAAGAGATGATATTGCATCCATGCAAAAAGAAGAAGATGCAATTAAAAAGCATACTCAGAGACAAATAAAAGAACACCTAGAAATTGAAAATATAACAGCAGATAAATGAAAATTTAATAGAAGAAACAGAAGTTAAGGTTGAAGACATATATGATAAAATAGAAAAAAATGGCAAACAGAGAGATAGAAGAAACAACAGCCCTCAAAGTCTAAGGTCTAAATAACAGGGCTTCCAAAAGAAGGGAAGAGAAGAAATGGAAGGGAGAAAATCACCAACCAAATAAGTCAGGAAAAGGTCCTCTAACTAAATGACACTAGTTTCCAGATTGAGAGGGCCTGGCACCATGGATAAAATCGCCATAATGGGGGAAAGAGAGGGGAAGAGGGAGAGGGTGAGGCAAGGCCCTGATAGAGACAGAGAGAGAGAGAGAAAGAGAAAGAGGAAAAAGATGGAGAAGTGGGGAGAGAGGAGAGGAAAGAAGGGGAGGAAAGAGAGGGAAAAAACCCAATAACATACAAAGACTCATGAATTTGAATAATTTCAGACTTCTCTCAACAGACATGTTAGAAGCTAGAAGATTATGGAAGGGAGACTTCAACATTCTGAATGAAATGATTCCTGATGTGGAATGTCATAACCAATGAAATCATCAGTCAGGTGTGAGAATTAAATAAAGACAACTTCAGAGATGAATGTTCTCAAAATTTTACCTGCCCTATATTCTTTTTCAGAGAGGTTTGCTCTGCCAAGGGATGTAGTTCCTTTAAAGAAGGGAGAAAACCAATAAAGAGGAAAATATGGATACAGAAAACTGGGAATCAAAGAGAGGTGAAGGGGATCCTAATGATGACTTGAAACAGGAATTAAAAGAAAATAAAGAACATGTAAGCAAAAACTCAGTTGTATGTAAGAAAACCCAATTCCCCCTTAAGAAGAGAAAGAGCTGGCGTCCTTTAAAATTAACTGCCTGTTTTTCTGTGGCTAGTGACCCTTATCTCTCCCTTTCCCAGGCATTATGAAGACTGTTTCTCTAGCTGTGCAGCTGCAAGGTCACCAGACAGATAATCTCAAGTCATAAACCATGTTGTTCCTTAAAAAGTAAGAAATGATGTAATGCACGTCTCAATTAAATAAGTGTCTTTGTTTCTCCCTTCTGTAATATGCTTCCCCCTGCACAGATCTCCCCCCACCCCACAAAATGTTTAAAAGGTAGCTTGACTCTTGGTTTGGGGCTCAGTCGTTTGGATGTTAATCCGAGTGGGTCAGTGCACCTAAATAATTAAATAATTCCTCCTCAGCCCCTCGGTCTCTCTGATTCCTTAATTATCCCCCACCACAGACTGACCAGGCAGATCCAATGATGCAGCTATGCACCCAGCAAAAAGGTTAAAATCAGCACTCTGGAATCCAACAGAAGGCCCCCAAAAAATTCTTCAGAAAGTTATCATTGATAGAATAACTGATACTTTTGAACATTTTGAGAGAAAACCTGAATAGGTGGCAGAACTTTGGATGAATTAGGTTACCTACATTGAAAAAAATAAGCAAATTAAAAACTATAAGACCATCATTGGCTCTAAAAAATAATAAAAAGTTATTCAGAAAAAAGAATCAGTTGAAAGTACATGTTTCACTGTTTAAACAGTGTTTGCGCAGTCAAAATCATAAAGAGGATTTAAACCCCTGGCTAACCCTAACCCAATTTTTTACAAAAGAGGAAGTATAATATATAAACTTAGAAATGACAAGATAATCAGCGAACCAGAAAAAAATGAAACCTTATGAAACTAACTTATGAACTCTGTGCAGACACATTTAAATCTAGCCCAGGTTAGGACATAATTGTCATGAGAAGATTTGGATAGTATGAAAGGATGTGCATATGTGATAATGGAAGAGGGAGAAAACTGAAAAAAACATAAGTATCTCTATCCTGAATCAAATACCAAAAAGTAGTGGCTAAAATAGGTGAAAGTGGTGTGTTGGAGAGGTGGACATGAAAGAAAGGGGGAGAAGGGCGCTACTGCTTTCTGAAACGAATCTTGTGGACTTGTCAACCATCAGCGTATGTATAATCCTTATTAAAACAAGTACACAAACAAAAACTGAAAAACTGAAGTAAATCTCAATTGGGGCATAAGCTCTCTGCTTGTGAACTTCACTTCTGATTCTGAAGGGTTTCTAAGCAAGCCTAACACACGGTATATTTTCCCCACCAATCTTTTTTTTTTTTTTTTTTTTGATGGAGTCTCACTCTGTCACCCAGGCTGGAGTGCAGTGGCGTGATCTCGGCTCACTGCAATCTTCACCTCCCGGGTTCACGCCATTCTCCTGCATCAGCCTCCCGAGTAGCTGGGATTACAGGCGCCCACCACCACGCCCAGCTATTTTTTTTTATTTTTAGTAGAGACGGGGTTTCACCGTGTTAGCCAGGATGGTCTCAATCTCCTGACCTCATGATCTGCCCGCCTCAGCCTCCCAACGTGCTGGGATTACAGGCATGAGCCACCGCGCCCGGCCCCCACCAATCATCTTTTAAGCAAAAGAACGTGAGGGAGGATGTGTTTGTGAATGTGGTACACCTACGTAGCCGTATGACAGTGACTGGTGTTTGAAAACAACCAGTTTTTATATGTGCAAACGCCACATAATGTTTTCTAAGCAGTTATCCCTTATTGCCTACACTCAGATTTCTAGGCAGCTGCCCTGCGGGTGGAGGGCGGAAAGGAAAAGACTCTAACAGAGGGGAGTGGCCACGAGAAGCATCTAGACAACCCACCAGATAGCAGTTAACAAGGTGGTAACTGCCAGTGGTCAGAATAATATAAACAACAGCAATGACAACATTCATGGGAGTGTAGACATCTAGTTTACAAAAGACTCATATCCTTAAAAAAAAAAGTCCTAATTGAGGCAAGCATCGTTGTGTCTGTAAGACAGCTAAAGCATGGGTAATCTGGGTCAGCAATTCCATGTGGGCTCCCAGCCAATGGCCAGGATCATCTGCCAGCTGTGTGAGTGAACTGTCTTGGATGTCCACCCCATTTGGCTAGGTGATACCAAACCCAGCTTCTCTCTGACTATAACTCCAGAGAACTTCATGTGAGACTCTCCAGGCTGAGCCTATCAGTGCAGAGAACCATGAGAAGTAATAAGAAATTTCTGTTTTAAGCAACTAAATTTTGGAATGGTTTCATGCAGCAAAAAATACACAGAACAAGGATGATCTACACTAGTCCCCTCATTTTACCACCAGGACAATCAAATCCAGAATAGAGGGCGGCCTTCCCAGGGTCTCAGAATAGCAGGGTGGAGGTTGAGTCTGGAACAGATTCAGGCCTCCATGGCTTTAGGCCATGCGTTCATTGTCCAAGGCTATTTAATCTACACTAAATACTGCCAGTATTTTTTCCCCTTTCCCTTCCTTCTCCTTCTCCTCCTCCTCTCTCTCCTCTTCCTCCTTCTTCCTCTTATAACTCTTTATTTTGATACGTCAAAATTAAGAAAAGTTTCAGCAATAATGCAAGAAACTCCCATACACTCTTTACCCAAATTCACCAATTGTTGGCATTTAGTCTCCTTTGCCAATGTTCTTTTAAAGAGAACATTTTTCCATAGGAAGGCTGCCCACAAAATGAATTCCCACTGAGTGGTTAGTCACCAATCAGATAGATCATCCCAGCAGGAATGGGAGCAAGAATAGGCACCCAGGAATGCAAGGCACGTAGGAGGGAAAGCTATGGAGAAAAGAGGAATGTTAATCAGGAAGAAAGAGCATAAAAGGGAGACCAGAATCACCATAGACAAATTTGTCTGCAAGACATAGTCCCCAGGAGTTTCCTGAACTAGCCTGCCTTCCTGAATACACCACGAACCTGAAGTCTGCAGGCACACTCTTGAATCTTACCACTAGCTGCATGGCCTCGGGCGAGTTTCCTTCCTATCCGGGAGCCTCGGTTTTACCTCTCTTTATAGGCCATATTAAATAAGTCGACGTTACGTGGAAAGGCTTTATGAATAGTGCTGAGTAAAGGAATTTTAATCATTTGCATCTGATAGAATCACTTCACTTGGGGAGGCATTTGTTTGGTTGGTTGTTTGGTTGGTTTTTTGAGACAAGGCCATACTCTGTCACCCAGGCTGGAGTGCAGTGGCATGATCTCAGCTCACTACAGACTCAACTTCCTAGGCTCAAGCAATCTTCCCACCTCAGCCTCCCAAGTAGCTAGGACTACAGGCGCACCAACACACCCGGCTAATTTTTGTACCTTTTGGAGAGATAGAGTTTTGCCGTGTTGCCCGGGTTCACCTGGGGAGCTTGTGAAAACTTTTGGTTCTATATCCCCATCTTTGGAAATTCTTATTTAAGTGGCATGGGGTGGAGTCCAGGCACTACTGTTTGTTTGTTTTTTTAAGCTCCTGAATAGTTTTAAATTTTCTGCCAAATTTGAGAGATGGCTGAGATAGTCAATATGACTATCATCCAGTATCTGCCTAGACTCCCAGAACTCTTGCAGACTGGGCTAGATGTCCTCTGCCCTTTGCCCACTTCTGTTGCCACCCTCATCACAAAAGTGAAACATGATAGTTAGATGGGCTTCCTATTTCATTTCTGCATCCTCTGATAATTTGCATCAGAAAGATTGCTTCCTGGAAGTGCCTTGCAGATTGTCAGTCTCTCTGTAACTAGTCAGTTTAATCCTTGCGCAGAGGTTTTTTGTTTCCGCCACAGTTTAACAGCTGTCACTCTTCCCCTCCAGCAGTTTATAAACCTAATTGCTACTGTACAGATCTATGTAATTTGGGATTGACGGGAACTGACTCACATGCAAATACCTCTGTAAAGAAGTGTGGGAGGGATTTTATATTCCTTGGTGGTCTTAGGAAGGCAGAATAATAATTTCTCAGATGAATATCACTTTTTTTAGTTACAAAAATATCCTTTCTGATGCATTTATTTCCCTCTTTTTTTTTAACTACAAATATCTTTGAGATGAACTACTCATACATTTTGAAGTTGAATCCTTCCCTTTCTCCCTCCCTCTCTCCCTCCGTCCCTCCCTCCCTTCCTTCCTTCCTTCCTAGCATTTCTTGAGCTCCTGCTTTGTTAGGCATAGAGGATGCAAAGATGAATAAGAATGTATTCTACCTTCCGTGAGACTCATAGTCTAAGGATAGAGAGAGACAAACACAACACAATTTGAAAGATGTTATAATAGAGGTACACAGACTTCTGTAGGACCATCCTTTGATTAGGATATTTACAGGAGAGAGGAGATATTTTATTTGAATTTGGAAGGGTGAACTTAAGACTTCTTCAGGCAGACATCTGAGGAACGATATTCTGAGCAAAAGAACAGTATGTGCAAAACTCCTGGGCATTAACTAACAGAGTGTGTTAGGACAATTGTCATGGCAGTCCAGAGAACAGAAGGGTTTTCTTGGGAGAAGAGATATGATGAATGAGGATTATTGCCTAGCACTTGCTACTGAAGGAAATTCTTAAGGGAAACATCCATCTTAATCCAATTTATCTCGAGGTCTGGTTGGTCCCCCATTTCTCAGGTCCCCAAACTATTTTCTTGGCATCCATAGAGGCTCTCTGATTTGGATTTCTCCAACCTCACCTCATACTGCTCACCCGTATACTCACTGTGGTCCAAGCACACAGGCCTTCTTTTTCTTCCTGACTGTCCACTCATTCCTGCCTCTAGGCCTTGGCTCTTGATAATCCTTTTGTCTAGAATTTGGTTCTTCACATGGTTGCCTCCTTCTTGTCATTCAGGTCTCAACTCAAATATCACCATCTCCAGGAAGCCTTTCCAGAAGACTCCATCTACAGTTACCCTTCCCCATCCACTCACTTTCTGTGAACCTGCCCATAAAACTTTTTCTAAAGAGGTCATCATTATTTAAACTAATTTTGTTTACTTGTTCATATGTTACTGTCCATCTCCTTCTTAGAGAATATACACTCCATGAAAGGATGCTCTTTGTCTTATTTTCCTGCTGAATCCCCAGCCCTTAGCGAGTCCATGACACTTGGTAAGTGTTCAACAAATTTGCTGAATAAAACAGCTGACCCATATTTTTTATTGAAGCTATCTCTTCCCAGGGGCCAGAATACCCATTCTTCTACCCTCATTTTCTAGTATCAAGGTATCTCAGAAGTAAGATCAGAATTGTTATTGATGAGCATGGAAAGAAAACAAAGAAATTGAGAGCCCTAAGAATTATGCTCTGGCTAAATGAGGCCTGAGGAAATGTCCCTACCTTACCACAGGAACAACCCAGAGTACTGGTATCTCCCATCCTCTGCCTCTCTTCCTCCAGGCAGTGCTGGGGGCTCATCTGCCTCTGTGTCCTCATTTTCTAGTTTACTGCATCACTTCTGGTAGATTGGCTCCTTCACTCTGTCAGTTCTACAGTTGCATTGCTATGATTGTGACTCTGAAAGGCGCCACCTCTTCATACTCTCAGGATTCATGCCATGTGCACAACGTGACCCACGTGAAGGGAGAGGGAGCACGTTCCATGCCATATGGGGATGCGGGTGACACAGAGTCACAGGAGGCTGGAGTGAGGAGGGGAAGCCAAGGACGTCTATCACCCTGAGTGACTTGACTGTCTCATTAGTTGTTCATTTCTAACAAATTTTGAGGGTTTTAAGACTGTCCTTTTTTTATATACTTACAATTTAAGTAAATCCTATGAGTGAAAGCACTTTCCAAATTCATTTTCTTTGGTTAAAATGGAAATCAATTCAAAAAGCATATTTTAAAAAGAAAAAAGCAAAATAATCTAAGGAATGTGTTTATTTTATCTTGCATCCAAGGAAGGAAACCTTGCATCAGCTAAAGACAGAGTCTTCTCTTTCTCGGCCTTGGGTACTCAGGAGTGAATCCCGTAGCTAAAGGCAAACTTTGATTTCAGCCTCCTAGATGGCCTTAGTTACCTGGTGAAAATCATGGAAGGTGATGCCAAGTGGTATTTGAACTTGTCAGTTTCTTTTACTGCTTTGGGGATATAGATATTTTCCACTCTAATGTGGCAAAATATTCAATCAGCTTAAATTATGCATGCATTCCAGATCAAGCCAGCTAGATGTCAGGAGCAATTCAATATTTTTTTTGAATTTGGAAGCCTGAAAGCCAGCAAGATAAAAGTTTAGGAGAGCTAGACACAAATTAACCCTGCAAAATGAAGAAAAACAAGTACAGAAGTGAAAAAACTTTTACTCCCTGGCTGTGCCAATTAGTCACCGGGTACTAATGACAGTGGTAATACCACCACAGTGACAGTGGTATTAGTACTAATGACAGTGGTATAGTGGGATCACTAGTGGGTATTAGTACTAATGACAGTGGCACAGTGGGATCATTCTAGTAATATTGAACAGCCAGTTTTAATTTCCAGTGCCTGCCTCAAATTTCTGAGTCTTCTTCATTTTTAAAAATAGATGTCAGGTACATGTTACATTGTCACTTGCTTTGTGATTGTCACAATGATGTCACTTCTCTGTGTCAATGCATTCATTTTTCAGTGGAGGACACTTTATCAGGGTCAATTTAGCTATATAGAGGTGGGCACTGGTGTTTCTGGTTACCTTAAGTGGCATAATTTATTAATTCTGGGAATTCAGGAAACATTTATAAAACATCTACTGTGTGACAAGAAACTGAACTAGTGTGGACATAGATGAGACATTGGCCCTGCATGCAAGCCATCTCTAAACTCTTGATATATAGCCCAGTAATGCTGGTGCAAAGTAGAGTGGGGTAAGTCTTATGGAGGCAATGCAAACTAGGGGCTTGTGGTTGGGGCATGAGGAAAGGAAATTCATTATAAGTCGAGGATCCAAAGACAGTTTGGATTTTAGCTGAGATTGTTAAGAATATGTTAAATTTCAACAACATATAATGGCAGGGGAGAGTGTTCCAGAGAGAAGAAACTGCTTGAGCAAAGACATGGGACTGTACAAAAACCAAGTATCTTGTGATAACAGTGAATGTGGTTGGAGACCAGGATGTTAATGACACCAGGAGAGGCATTGAATGAGGGAAAGAGAGATGAGCAGAACATAGTGAACTGCTAAAGGGTTATAAAAAGCATTGAATGGTAGACTGAAGCATTCGGTCAATGTTTAGTAGGTACGAGAGTCTCCTAAGGCTCCTGTTTTAGACTATATGCTTGCGTCCTGTGATGTTTAGTACTGAGTGCCCACTCAACTGGATTGAAGAATACAAAGTATTGATCCTGGGTGTGTTTGTGAGGCTGTTGCCAAAAGACATGAACATTTGAGTCAGTGGGCTGGGGTAGGCAGATCCACCCTTAATCTGGTGAGCACAATCTAATCAGCTGCCAGCGAATATAGAGCAGGCAGAAAAACGTGAAAAAGAGAGACTGTCTTAGCCTCCCAGCCTACATCTTTCTCCCATGCTGGATGCTTCCTGCCCTCAAACATCAGACTCCAAGTTCTTTAGTTTTGGAACTCGGACTGGCTCTCCTTATTCCTCAGCTTGCAGACAGCCTATTGTGGGACGTTGTGATCATGCAAGTTAATACTTAATAAACTCCCCTATTTATAGTTCCTCTCTATATATACAGTTAGTTCTGCTCCTCTTTTAATTGGAACATTTAGCCCATTTACATTTAAGGTTAATATTGTTATGTGTGAATTTGATCCTGTCATTATGATGTTAGCTGGTTATTTTGCTCATTAGTTGATGCAGTTTCTTCCTAGCATAGATGGTCTTTACAATTTGGCATGTTTTTGCACTGGCTGGTACTGGTTTTTGCTTTCCATGTCTAGTGCTTCCTTCAGGAGCTCTTGTAAGGCAGGCCTGGTAGTGACAAAATCTCTCAGCATTTGTTTGTCTGTAAAGGATTTTATTTCTCCTACACTTATGAAGCTTAATTTGGCTGGATATGAAATCCTGGCTTGAAAATTCTTTTCTTTAAGAGTGTTGAATATTGGCCCCCACTCTCTTCTGGCTTGTAGAGTTTCTGCCAAGAGATCCACTGTTAGTCTGATGGGCTTCCCTTTGTGGGTAACCCGACCTTTCTCTCTGGCTGCCCTTAATATTTTTTCCTTCATTTCAACTTTGGTGAATCTGACAATTATGTGTCTTGGAGTTGCTCTTCTCAAGGAGTATCTTTGTGGTGTTCTCTGTATTTCCTGAATTTGAATGTTGGCCTGCCTTGCTAGGTTGGGGAAGTTCTCCTGGATAATATCCTGAAGAGTGTTTTCCAGCTGGGTTCCATTCTCCCCGTCACTTTCAGGTACACCAATCAGACATAGATTTGGTCTTTTCACATAGTCCCATATTTCTTGGAGGCTTTGTTCGTTTCTTTTTACTCTTTTTTCTCTAAACTTCTCTTCTCGCTTCATTTCATTCATTTGATCTTCAATCACTGATACCCTTTCTTCCACTTGATCAAATCAGCTACTGCAGCTTGTGCATGTGTCACGTAGTTCTCGTGCCATGGTTTTCAGCTCCGTCAGGTCATTTAAGGACTTCCCTACACTGCTTATTCTAGTTAGCCATTCGTCTAATCTTTTTTCTAGGTTTTTAGCTTCTTTGCGATGGGTTCGAACATCCTCCTTGAGCTCGGAGAAGTTTGTTATTACTGATCATCTGAAGCCTTCTTCTCTCAACTCATCAAAGTCATTCTCCATCCAGCTTTGTTCCATTGCTGGCAAGGAGCTGTGTTCCTTTGGAGGAGAAGAGGTGCTCTGATTTTTAGAATTTTCAACTTTTCTGCTCTGGTTTCTCCCCATCTTTGTGTTTTTATCTACCTTTGGTTTTTGATGATGGTGACATACAGATGGGGTTTTGGTGTGGATGTCCTTTCGGTTTGTTAGTTTTCCTTCTAACAGTCAGGACCCTCAGCTGCAGGTCTGTTGGAGTTTGCTAGAGGTCCACTCCAGACCCTGTTTGCCTGGGTATCACCAGCGGAGGCTGCAGAACAGGAAATATTGCAGAATGGCAGATGTTGCTGCCTGATCCTTCCTTTGGAAGCTTCCTCTCAGAGGGGCACCCGGCTGTATGAGGTGTCAGTCGGCCCCTACTGGGAGGTGTCTCCCAGTTAGGCTACTCAGGGGTCACGGACCCACTTGAGGAGGCAGTCTGTCCGTTCTCAGCTCTCAAACTCCATGCTGGGAGAACCACTACTCTTTTCAAAGCTGTCAGACAGGGACATTTAAGTCTGCAGGAGTTTCTGCTGCCTTTTGTTTGGCTATGCCCTGCCCCCAGAGGGGGAGTCTACAGAGGCAGGCAGTCAGGCCTCCTTGAGCTGCAGTGGGCTCCACCCAGTTCAAGCTTCCCAGCCACTTTGTTTACCTACTCAAGCCTCAGCAATGGCGGACGCCCCTCCCCCAGCCTCGCTGCTGCCTTGCAGTTCGATCTCAGACTGCTGTGCTAGCAGTGAGTGAGGATCTGTGGGTGTGGGACCCTCTGAGCCAGGCGCAGGATATAATCTCCTGGTGTGCCATTTGCTAAGCCCATTGGAAAAGCACAGTATTAGGGTGGGAGTGTCCCTATTTTCCAGGTACAATCTGTCATGGTTTCCCTTGGCTAGGAAAGGGAATTCCCCCAACCCCTTGCACTTCCCAGGTGAGGTGACGCCCAGCCCTGCTCAGTGTGCTGCATCCACTGTCCAACAAGCCCCAGTGAGATGAATCTGGTACCTCAGTTGGAAATACAGAAATCACCTGTCTTCTGCATTGCTCACCCTGGGAGCTGTAGACTGGAGCTGTTCCTATTCGGCCATCTTGGAACCTCCCCCATTAGTTCTGTTCCTCTAGAGAACCCTAATACATGTCCCTTCAAAATTCACATGTTGAAATCCTAACCTCTAGTGTTGTGATATTAAGAGGTGGGGCCTTTGGGAAGAAATTAGATAATGAGTGTGGGGCCCTCTTGAATTGGATTAGTGCCCTCATAAGAAGACACATGAGTGCCTCCTCTTTCCCTCTCTGCCCTCTGCCACCTGAGGATACAATGAGAGATGGCTATCTACAAACTAGGAAGAGTGCCCTCACCAGACACCAGATCTGCCAGCACCTTGATATTGGACTTCCCAGGCTTCAAACCTGAGAAATAAATGTTTGCTGTTCAAGTCACCCAGTCTATGGTGGTTTTGCTATAGCAGTCTGAACTAAGTTTCTGAGCCAAAGAATGACAGAATTGCTTTTGGAAAATAATTTAAGCTGCAAGGTCACAAGGGCTTGGGCTAAGGGAGTGGCAGTCAGAAAGGCATGGAGGACTGACAGCTCTTATTGCTGACCCCGTTTTCATCTGTGAGGACTAAGTGCAGGACACTAGGAACATGAGATAAATAATAAAAAGTTTAGCTTCACGATGTTTGCAGTCGACTAATATAATGTCCAACCAGCGTTGTTTCCAAGGACTCCTGCTCCTATAACTGAGGACCTTCTGATTGTATCTCTAGAGCTAATAACGAATGCTTAAACAAAAAGTGAAAATTTCGAACGTTCACCCAGAACTAGTATTTGCTAAAAACACATAGTTTGATATTTTGAACATGACCAAAAAGGAGATTGTGATTATTCTTTTTATTCAAGTATTTGCTAAAAATGAACACCAAAACCCAATAAAAAGAAGGCTAAATCTCCTTTATCTCCAATAACTTGGATTCAGGAAACCTGTGTTCTAATTGTATAATTTACCCACTGTGGACTTCATTTTTCTTGTTTGTAAATTAATGATAATACTTGGTCTTTCTGCTTCAAATAGGATGATGGATATTGTGTCAACTGTGAATATTAAAGAATGATCATAAGTGGTCAAATTTTTGGTAAAATCAAAGCTCCATTTTAAAATGTCTACAGAAAAAGATGAGCTGAGTTCCCCATTCCTTATCACACTGTTTAGGAGCTTGGATACTCCTGATCAACCTTCTATTTCCAAGTTGTATCCCCCTAAACAGACAGTAAGGTCTACGCTGCTAAGAATCAAGCCTGTTATTCACAAATATATCACACAACATCTAGAACAATTTTTGGCACATAGTACGCACTCAATAGAGGTTGATGGAGTGAAATAAAATGATGACTATGAGTGCCTTTTTCTTCACATTAGATGCAGGCTTTTTATTTCTGGCTTTTTAACCATTCAGTTATCAACCTGCATTCACATTATCTTTATTTTCATTCAAAAAAAAATTGTTGAATATCTACTATGTGCTGGTTACTATGAAAGTGGTAAAAAAAAAAAAAAAAGGCTTGGTGTCTGCCTTAATGGAGTTTTTAATAATTACATTTTTATTATAACCAGACTTATGAATCCTATCTTTTCTAAATTAATTCTATATATTATAATTTCTATGAAAATTACTTAAAATTAAGTTACATTTATGTCCTTTGAGATCATCTGAACCATCTTGGGATATCCCAAGCCCAAACTGAGAAAAGAAAAGAAATTTTATCCAAGGAATGCAAAGCTTTTAAATGATCAGGCCCAGAGAGTCATTAAAACAATCACATCCTGCCTCCCACTTGAGCTACATATTCATCTCTTGACTGCTTGCTATTGCCATGAATATAAATTAACCTAATAATGCCACACAGACACTAATCCACTATAACCTTGTAGCTTAACAATGTATATAGCCGATCACTAATCATTGTTATTTCTGTAAACCAATGAGAATTCCTGACAAATAACTTTGTATCAACCCACTCCATTTTTCCCTTTTAAAACCCACTTGTTACAAAGGCAAAACATTCTTCACATCCAAGGTTATTTAGATCTGAGTCGTCAGGGCAGCTGTCCTTATTTTGGCTCAAGTACACTCTTTAACTTTTTTTTTTTTTTTTTTTTTTTTTGATATGGAGTCTCACTCTGTAGCCCAGGCTGGAGCTGGAGTGCAGTGGTGCGATCTTGGTTCACTGTAACCTTCACCTCCCAGGTGTCCGTTCAAGCAATTCTTCTGCCTCAGCCTCCTAAGTAGCTGGAATTACAGGCATGTGCCACCATGCCCAGCTAAGTTTTGTATTTTTAGTAGAGCCGGGGTTTCACCATGTTGGCCAGGCTGGTTTTGAACTCCTGACCTTGTGATCTGCCCTCCTCGGCCTCCCAAAGTGAAACTCTTTAAATTATATTTTGTATCTCAGCCTCTTCCTGTTAAGTCAATAAAGTTTTTTTAAAAAGCAAAATAACTCTGTCATAATGATTAATAACCATAGGTTTTTTAAATTACCATAATCAATACACTACTGATACTTAAAACATAATTACATAAAAGTTTTTTTTTGGTTGAGGCTTTTTAAAAATGGATTTTAATTATTGACAGAGTCCTTTATGCCCAGGCTAACACTAAAAACCGATTTTTTGAATTTAGCTTCTTTTTAAAATTGAATTCTATCAAACAACCAAAGAGTGAGTGTGCACATACGCATGCTATATGGCACTTGAGAATCAATTTATGAAACACTGACGCTTCAACCAAATATTTTGGTTCAAGAAAATAAAACATAAAGCAGAGTGTTCCAGAAAATGATGAGATATAAATTTATCAAAATTGCCAATCAGCAAAACCTAAAATAAAGATTTGAAATACATGTGTGGATGAAATAAAAATATTTCACCCCCAAACATACTTCTTTGACATATTTTGAGATGACCCTTCAGAGGGCCAGCAAACAGCAGTAGCCCTGCAAAGCTGTCTTCTGTGGTGGAGATTTGCACCTGTAGACAATCTGCACTGATGCAGCTGGGCTTTCTTTGGAGCCCTCCCTTGTCCAGGTAAAAAAAAATTAATTTAGAGTCTGAAACCTTTAAAATTCTGAAAGAAACGCTTACCATCGCTGCTACCTGCAAGGTTCTATCTCCGTAAGAAGACCACCTTTGCTAGCCAAGCCTCTCTCTCACCTCTCTCTCTCTCTCTTTCTCTCTGTCTCTGTCTTTCTCTCTCATAACCTGTACTGCCAAACCATAACCTGATTTTCCACCATAACCTGTTTTTGGCCATGCACTGAGTCCCCATTCTATCTGTAGCCTCAAGATGGTTTATAAGCTTCTGTACCCCACTGGGAGACTGGGATAATCACTGATTTCCCCTCTTTGCATGTTAATAAATTTGTATGCCATTTATCCTGTGAAAGGAAAATAAGTCTCAGCACCCCAAAATCACTAAGTCAAAGGGAAAAGTGGAGCTGGGAATTGTGTGGGGCAAACCTCCCATTATGCCTCCCATTCCTAAATAAGATAGGTGTAAAGATTGTAAAAAGCTACATACCTCCGTCACAATTTGCCCACTAGAAAATTCCTTGTGGGCCTCAAATCTTTACCCTAAAATGGTTCTGTTGAATTTTACCCTGACAATGTAAATTGATAGCTTATCTTCACAGGTGTGGGACAAAAGACAGAACTCTAAGTCATCTCTCTGCTCACCTGAGACAAAAGGGCATCTGATTGATTCCTATGATGTAAAAAAGCAGATTCACTGAGCCAGACTAAGGCGGAAGTGACTATTCCTCTACCCCCACTCACAGGAAAATTGTGTATTCAATAAAAGCCTGATCAAAGACTCAAAAGAACACAACCATTTGTCTCTTACCTACCCATACCTTTAAAAATTTCTTCCTCCTTCCCAATATCCACCGTTTCTCCTTTAAAGGTTGAAATATTTCTCCAAAGATGTTTGGTTTACACTTCTATTAATCTGCCTCTTTTCAGCTGATTTTTCAGTGAATCTTAGGGTGAAGGGGACATTTTCTCTTAGCCCTTACACATGTTGTTAGAAGAATTTCTGCTTCCAAAAATCCACTTTCTTAATATAGATGTCAAACTTATTTGCACTGTGATCAGAGAATGTAACCCAAAAACTCATGAGAATTGTATTGAGACCTCTCTGGTCTAACATGAGGCCAATTTTCTGCAAGATTCTATGTGAGATCAAAAACAAGTACTTTCCTGTTGCTGGATGTTGAATACATGTTTTTCAATGCTTAAAAGGTCAGAATTATCTTTGTGGAGATCTGTAGTTTTCAAAATATTTAAGAAACCTCTTTATCTCTGGCAATACTTTTAATATAAAGTCTACCGTTTTGACATTTCCCTAGAATTTATTTTTCCATCTGCTTATTTTAATGTCTTTATGCCTTTGTGTTTTAGTTATGTCTTTTGTAAACACCATATAGCTAAGTTTGTAAGTTTGCTTTTAAATCCACTCTGAATATTCCTGTCTTCTAACTGGAGTTTATTTCACTCTCATTGATTGTGATAACTGATATGTGTAAGTTAATGCAACTGAGCTTTTATTATAAAGGTCATAAGATGTTTGTTTTACTTATTTTCCTTTTTCCTTGCCCTCTTCTTCCTCCATGCATGATTGCTTGCACGTAGTCACATTGGTAGAGGGTAGTCACTGGTCATTGATTAACTTCATATTCTGACTCCTTGCGCTGCCCACAAGATTGATGAACTTGTTTTTCTTTACAAGAACAACGATCCTTAGGTCATGCAGACCTCCTTGATAGCATCCAGAAATTTAATCAGGACCGATGAAATCTAGAGTCCAAGGGATGCAAACAACTTTGGTCATCAGGGGGTCCCATTTCCCGTATCCCTATCTTACTCATAAAAGCCTTCAGTTATGTTGAAAGGCAGATCAGATTTGAAAGACTGCTTCTCCTGCCTTCTCACTTTGGCCAAATCAAACAAACCTTTCTCTGCTCCTGAGCGCTGATCTGCCAGTGTTTGGCTTACCATGTATCAGGTACATGAACCTAAATTTGGGGGTTCAATAACGTTGATTTCTTTCATCTTGTTTCATAATTTCCATTTGTTCTTCTTTTTACTGTTTCTTTTAATTCTTTTTTCATGTTTTGGATTGATTGTGTCCCTGGTTCCCACTCCATTCAACTTATTTTCCTCCACCAGTTTAGGAGTTTTACATTCCACTATTCCAGCTACCCTTAAAATTTTACATGTCCATTTAACATAATATTGTCCAAAGTAAATGGTCTTAGCATATTTGTCTTCTGAACAACAAAAGGAAAGTGAAATGGCCTGAGGCAATCACCCTGTTTACTTTACATGCCATTGCTGTTTAAGATATGAGTTTTGTCTTGATTTTTTTTAACACTACAAATTGAACGACATTGTTAATTTCTTTTACAGTCAATATCTGTTTAGTTTTAGCCACACAAGTCTACACTTTGTTTGGTATTCCTTTCATTTCTCAGAACTTAATTCTGGGATTCTTTTTTTTTTTTTCTCTGAAGAACATTACCTAGATTTTCTTCTATGAGAGTTTGCTGGAAGTAAATTCAGTTTTTGTTTGTTGAAAATGTCTCTATTTCTCAATTGTTCTTGATGGATGATGTCGTTACACATACAAAATTATTTTGACAATTATTTTCTCTCAGTACTTTGAAGACATGTCTTCTGATTTCAACTGTTGCAGTTGAAAAGTAAATTACCAGTTTTGTAGGTAATATTTTTTTCTCAACTGCTTTTAAGATTTGTTTGTGTTCTACAGTTTCTCTACAGTGTGTTTCAGTGTGAATTTCTTTTCATTTATTCTGCTTGGGATTTATTAGGCTTTCTGAATCTAAGTCCTTATTAATTCCAGAAAATTTCAGCCATTACCCTCTCAAATATTTTCTGTCTTCCATTCTATCCATTCTCTTGAAATTCTGCTAAGTACATTAGAGACATGTACTCCAGCCTCTGTGTGTCTACATTTTTTTAAATGTTAATTTTTTTGCCTCTCTATTCTTTCTATCACTTCATCAAGTCTGTCTTACAGTTTAGTAACTCTTCCTTCTGCTGTGCCTAATACACTATTTAACCCATCCATTAATCTTCTAATGCCAATTTTATATTTTTAATAAATAAAATTCATAATTAAGATCTTCAATTCCACCTGGTCAAACTTCATAATCTTTACTTTTCTTATTTTAATTACGCTTTTTTTACTTTAGGAATTTTAATGATATCTATTTTATATTCTGTTTCCGGTAACTCTAATATCTGCCATTCTCATGGATAAGACGTGGGAGCTTGTTGGTTTTGCTAATTCCCATATAAACTAACCCATGTGGACAGTGCTTTCTGCATGTGAGGTCATTTTCCTTGAGGATTCTGTGTAGAAATTCTTTGCTGCCTGAGTTTAAAATGCTTTTCTTCAGAAGACTTGTATTTGCTCCTTCTAGCCATCAAGAGGCCCTGTCACCCTAGGACCACACTTTAAACTCAGTTTTTGGCTTGGATTTTTTTGGTGCCACATGGTAGGGTAAACTCAGGCCTCCAACTCATTTGAACACTGCCCAGGTTTAGGAATTGTGAGAAGAAACTTTTGTTTTCTTTTCTGTATTTTCTGCTCTACCCAGAATCAAGCCTGTTGTCCATTACTTCCCTCTGCAAGTTGTGGAGATCTTCCCCATCGGAGAATTTAGGTTTGTGTGGTCGTCTGCAACCCCAGTCCCCACTCTGCTCAGGCTCCAGCTTTGGCTCCAGTTAGGAGCCCAATCTTAGGTCACCCATGGTGAGAGGTCACACAATGACAAAACTGTCCCGGAAGATCCACACCGTCTTTCACGTCTGGCCTTCTTTACTTTCCAATCTCATCCATACATTGAATTTTAGGTGGGTTATACCATGAGAGGTTTATCTAAACATCTATTTTACCAAAGGTTGGTCCTCAACCTTTCCCTTAAAACCCTCTTCTTGGCCGGGCGCAGTGGCTCACGCCTGTAATCCTAGCACTTTGGGAGGCCGGGGAGGGCGTATCACCTGAGGTCGAGAGTTTGAGACTAACCTGACCAACATGGAGAAACCCAGTCTTTACTAAAAATACAAAATTAGCCGGGCATGGTGGTGGGCGCCTGTCCCAGCTACTCAGGAGGCTGAGGCAGAAGAATGGAGAATCGCTTGAACATGGGAGGCGGAAGTTGCAGTGAGCCAAGGTCGTGCCACTGCACTGCACTCCAGCCTGAGCAACAGGAACAAAACTCTATCTAAAACAAACAAACAAACAAACAAACAAACAAAACACCTCTTCACTTTTTTCCCTCTCTGCAAAGACATCATTAAGGAAAAATAAAATGCAGTTTATCTTGCCATAACACAGTTTTAATTTGCTTGCCGCTTGTTTGAAGGAAATTGTCTACCATATGCATGTTTGTAAATTGCTGTTCTACTGTTTTTCCAGTCCACTGTTTGTGGTGAGGATGTGCTTGTTGGCTGCTCTCAAGCCACTTTTGTGTCTGCTGCACCTGTGTCCACAGATCTAACCCATCTCTTCTTTTTCATCAACCTCTGGTGGACCTGCCACCAAATTTTTGTAAAAACCCTTACAAGAAAGACGATCACTCTCCTAGGTTAACACTATCTTTTCAATGTCTACTGACGTATTTACCCTACAAGCTATTTTGGGGGGTTAACCTCAATAAGTGAATACATGTCATAATGCCATGTACCTAAAAGGCATTTGCTGTTTAAGACAAACAATAATGGCTTATGGTAAATATGTAGCCCGTGGATATACACAGCCACTGTCAATATTAGTTCTAAATTCCATGTCCCTACAACTTCTAGATGCCTTTGCTAATATCATTTTTCTACTTTCTAGAAGATTCCAAACACTAATTATGTTCTAGGTGGCTGAGCATGGTAGCTCATGCCTGCAATCCCAGCACTTTGAGAGGGTGAGGTGGGAGGATCACCTGAGCCCGGAAGTTTGAGACCAGCCTGAACAACATAGTGAAACCCCATTTCTTAAAAGAAAGAGAAATAATAATAATGTTTTAGGAGTGGAAAGTGAGACCAGAAGAGGGGCCAACAAGCATTTATGGAATGACTACTCTAAGCAGGGAATTATGCTTCATGTTGTCAGCATCAGGGATGAGTAATAGTCTCTGCTCTTAACTAACTTACAGAGATAAGGACTAGCAAACACGGTATCTAAAAACCTCTAGGATCCATTTTTATTCATCTCACAGTCTCTGTAGGAGGAAAGACGTAAGAGATGGATGTTGAGTGGGAAATCAGCAATGCCTACTACCAGGGATTGCAAATGGTATATCTGACAGGTTGGAGGAGATTCTGGAAAAAGCTAAATTGCAGTGATGGACAACGGGCTCATGGAATACAGAAAACTCACTGTTACATAAAATCTAGCAAGGAGGCTCCTACTCAGTAGTAGGCCCCAAAGAGAAGGAACATAGACATCTGGGGAAAACAAAAGAAAACAAAACACAGATGTTGTAGTTTAAATCCTTGCTGCTCAAAATGTGGCCCTATCCCAGACCCATTCTATTAGAATCTGCATATTAACAAGATTCCCCTACAGTCCAGAGCAAACCAAGGTAATTGTTCACCCTACAACAGTTTCTCAAATTTTAATGGGCTTAATGAACTCTGGGGATCCTGTTAATATGAAGATTCTAATAGAATGGATCTGGGGAAAGTCAGTGCTAAAACTGGATAGTCTCAGGCAAACTGGGACCTTGGTCACCCTAGAAGTACTACTTTACACTGCCTCATCCTGTTTCCCAGGATGCCTATACACTGGGTGAGAGATAACTACATGTGAAAATATAGAATTTTCTCGCTGTGAATCCAAGTGGCACACAGGAAGGAGAAAGTGTATTGTGAAGGGAACCAAAATATTTCATCCCAAAATATACTTTTGATATATTTTGAGATGGCTGTTCATAGGGCCTGCAGACAGAAGTAGTCCTGCAAAGCTGTCTTTTGTCAGGAGATCTACACCTGTAGAAGAGATAAAGTGAAGTCAACAGCAGATACAACAAACTTTCTTGGAAGCACCCCCCTAGTCTGGACTTAGGAGAAATTAACTGAGAGTCCGGTTAAGAGATGGTAAAGAAACATTTACTGTCTATTCTCTCTCGGTGCTGCTACCTTTGAGGATTAATCTGTATAATAAGACCACCTTTGTTAGTCAGGCCTCCTTTTCTCTTCCTCCCACAAACTATGTTGCAAGTTGAAATTTAAAAAATAAAAATAAAAAAACCAAACACCTATCTTCCAGCCTGAGCAACATGGCAAGACCCCATCTATACTAAAAATAGAAAAATTAGCCAGGTGTGGTGGCATGTACCTGTGGTCCCAGCTACTCAGGAGGCTGAGATGGGAGGGTCACTTGAGCCCACAGGCCAGAGGTTGTGGTGAGCTGAGATTGCACCACTGCACTCCAGCCTGGGCAACAGAGTGAGACCCTGTCTCAAACAAAACAAAACAAAACACCTATCTTGCCACCATAAACTGGTTTACCACCATAATGAGTTTTTTTCCATGCTCTGAGCCCCTATTCTTTCTGTAACCTCAAGGTGGCATAGAGGGAGTTAGCTCCCCTATCTCCCAGTTCCTGTGGGAGGGTAAGAGCCTAATTTCAGTGGAGACTTTCTTACAATCTGCAAAACTACCTCTTGTCATAAAGATATAGGAAGTGTGGTTTCTTCTTCAGATAAAGCCAATTAGACAACGCAGGTGGTCTTCTCAATGACCATGGTAAAGTTAGAATGAACCATGTGTGACAAAAGGTCCTGTCAAGTTTTCTTACTTGAGAAATAATGATAGTTTATCTTGACCATGTGTATGTAATGGGTTGTGTGTGCTTGACTATATAGGGGGATGAGCTTTCTTTCCGTCTTTGCAGTCCTTTAGCAAACTGCCTGCGATGTCCATCACATTCTGGTTGAATGCTTGTTCAATAATAAAAAGTGTTTTCTTTCTCTTCTATTTCTGTGGAATTGTTATCTGGATTGAGAGGCGATTTTGTTTTTAATTATATTTCCCCAACACCTTTAAGAAGGTGGGTGTCCCCACCCAAATCTCATGTCAAATTATAATCCCCATGTGTCAGGGGAGGGGCCTGGTGGGGGCAGATTTCCCCTTGCTGTTCTTGTGATAGTGAGTGAGTTCTCATGAGATCTGACGGTTCAAAAGTGTGGCATTTCCCACTTCGCACTCTCTCTCTCCTGCTGCCATGTGAAGGTGTGTCTTGTTTCCCCTTCACTTCTGCCATGATTGTTAGTATGCTGAGATCCTCCCAGCCATTTAGAACTGTGAGTCAATTAAACCTCTTTTCTTCATAAATTACACAGTCTCAGGTAGCATCTTTATAACAGTGTGAGAATGGACTAATACACCCAAATAAACTCCTTAAACATGCCTGGACTTCTTGGTTTCTTTCACTGAGCTTTAATGTCCAGGTGCATGGCTTCTTGACAGTAAAGTTCCCTGTTAGCAATGCCTTGCAGGGGGGTGTAAGCACTTTTCTCTATCCCAAGATGCCTTTCAGAGGCTAAAGCAGAGACAGAATTTGAGCTGATAACCAAATGGCATCCCATCACAGGATTTTATTCAACAAAAACTTACTGTCTTTTGTGTACCCGCCAGTGTGCTAAAACTCAAATATGGTCCAATCTACAAGCTTACTGATTTTTTTTTTTTGAGACAAGGTCTTGCTCTGTCACCCAGGGTGGAGCACAGTGGCACAATCTTGGCTTACTGCAGTCTTGACCCCCTGGGCTCAAGCAATACTACTACCTCAGCCTCCAAAGTAGCTGGGACTACCGGTGCACACCACCATGTCTGGCTAATTTTTGTATTTTTGTACAGATGAGGTTTGACCATGTTGTCCAGGCTGGTCTCGAACTCCTGAGCTCAAGCAATCTGCCAGCGTTGGCTTTCCAAAGTTCTAGGATTACAGGTATGAGCCACTGCACCTGTCCAGGCTTGCTGATTCTTAACCCAACATAATTTTTTTCTTTTGCTATTTAACAAAGCTATAATAAACGTTTGTGTCTTTTGGTCTACATAAACAACATACCACATTAAGCAGATTAACCATCAGCTCTATTTTGACATTTATACCGTGTTTTTTTTTTTTTTTTTTTTTTTGACAGAGTCTTGCTCTGTCACCCAGTCTGGAGTACGATCTCGGCTCACTGCAACATTTGCCTCATGGGTTCAATCAATTCTCCGGCTTCAGCCTCCCAGATAGCTGGGATTACAAGTGTGTGCCACCATGCCTGGCTAATTTTTTGTATTTTTGATGGAGACAGGGTTTCACCATATTGGCCATCCTCGTCTTGAGCTCCTGACCTCAGGTGATCCACCCACCTCCCAAAGTGCTGGGATTAAAGTGAACCACCACTCCCGGCTTATACAGTGATTTTTTTTCTTTCTTTTATTTTTGAAACAGAGTGTCACTCTGCCACTCAGGCTGAGTGCAGAGGTGTGATCACAGCTCACCACAGCCTAGGCCTCCTGGGTTCAAGCAATCCTCCTGCCCCAGCCTCCCAAGTAGCTGGGACTATAGATGCCACCACACCCAGCTGATTTTTTTTATTTTTTTTGTACAGAGAGGGTCCTGCTCTGTTGCCCAGGCTGGTCTCAAACTTCTGGCGTCCAGCAATCCCCCAACTCCAGCCTCCTAAAGTGCCCAGATTACAGGCATGAGTCACCTCACCCAATTGATTTTTTACTTTTATCAAATTTATTCTGATGTATTATAACATTTGAGTGTCACAGAGCTTCAATAGGCAGGGTGGATGTTATTATCCCTGAGTGTTAGGTGAATGCACTGTTTCAAAGAGAATAACTTTCTCCAGGAAAAACAACGAGTTAATATTATAATAAAGCCCAACAAGCAGGTCTCTTGACTGATCTCAGGGCTCAGACTCATTCTGCAGAGCCAAAAGGCTCTAAGTTTTTTAACTCTTTAAAAGTAAGAAGTAACTTACTAATGAATGGGTGCATGTCTTCACAATGACAGATAAGAAGAATGGAAAATCCCAAGGCATTTGAACTCTTGACAAGATGAAACTTTGGCTCTCTAGTGGCAGGCAGTGATAGGTCTTTCAACAGTGCTGTGATAGGATCCACGGTGATGCTTTTATGTTTCCTTTATCTTCACTGAGACCTTGGGAAGAGGTTTGGAAGCCCGAGGAAGATTTGTTATTGAAAGAGGAGACTTTTCTGGAGAATCTGGCACACAACTTTGTTTTGCTAGGCTTTCAGGAAATTAATAGTCAGGCTGCATTCCAGCCTCAGGACCTGGGCTGGTGGCAGCTGCTAGATATTTGGTCTGGCAATTAAAAATGTCACTATTAGAAACCTTTTGCAAATTAAGACAAATACTAGGTTTGTTCCTGCTTGCTGGGGGACACACTTTTGCCTTTTCAGCTAGAGCTAATTATCTGCACCTGAGAAAATTGCTATCCAAGTGATGATCAGCCTGGGGGATCTGTGAACTGCCCTCCAGAACTTTCTGTTCTCAGCAGTCTTTATTACCTGAGAAAGCTAAAGAATTTCTACATTGCATGGAAGACCGTGTGAGAGAACGACTTTCCTCCTTATGTGTGTGTTAACTCATCTATCTGATTACACACTGAGTTAAGCTGATGATCTATACCACAGCTTTTGTGAAATGCTTGTCTGATGATGGGTGAGAGTAATTGATGGATATGGTGGACAGAGTTGATTATCTGAATCAAGGAAGTTTGTTTTGCCTCAGCAAAAACTGCTTTTGGGGGCCAGGCACGGTGGCTCACACCTGTAATCCCAGCACTTTGGGAGGCTGAGGCAGGCAGATCACTTGAGCCCAGGAGTTGGAAAGCAGCCTGGGCAACATGGCGAAACTCCAACTCTACTAAAAATACAAAAACTAGCCAGGCATGTGTAGTCCAAGCTACTCAGGAGGCTGCGATGGGAGGATTGCCTGAAGTTGAGGCTCCAGTGAGTCGAGACTGCGTCACTGGACTCCAGCCTGGATGGCAGAGTAAGACTCCATCTCAAAAAATAAAATAAAACAACCAAAAAAAACTGCTTTTGAATTCAACTTTAAAGTGAGAATTGACCTCCAAGGAGGTCATAAATGTTTGAACCTGAAAATAATTTGTCTCCTAAAAATAAAGACCACTTGGGCTTACTGAATGAGGGCAGGATCTCGGTATTATTTATTTCTGTATGCACAGCTCTGTTCTTGACACATGATATACTTCAGTATGTGTTCATTGCTGATTGTTTACAGACCTGGGGACATGTTCACCAAAGTTGGTATTGGGTACACAGAGCAGAGAACCCCTTGGCAAGGCTGGGACCACTGCAAGGCTCTTAGAGAAATGTCTGAGGACTCTGTCCACTTTTCAAATGTGACTTTCAAGAGGAAGAGGTGGGTGCCCGAGAGCCCTTAGGGTAACTGAGAATCAGAATGAGGGGACACAGAATGGAGTGGATCTTAGGAGTGGCATAGAAATTACTAATATCAATGTTCTTCCCCGGGTGCAGCAACTCGTTCTGAAACTGCTCAGACACTGGAGGCAAGGTAGTCTGCTTTAGTAATGATGGCCATCCATCTCCTCATGAGAAGCCTTGAAGAACTTCTACTTATTTATGCTTTTATCCAGTTTCACCAGAGAACTGTGCTAACAATGAAAGACTCACAATAGGCTGTGCTCAGGAAAATACTCAGTTTCCTGGCAAAGCTGCCTAGAGCCCCACCAGCAGCCTTGCCAGGCTGACCTATGATCTCAATGAGAAACCCTATGAGAATGCATGGAACACAAGGGAACCCATCACCACTTGTGAAAACAATGTACCCATTTAGAATCGAGGTATTGAGCAGCCTTCAGGTACAGGCCCAGGAAGGGTAGGGGTGAGAGATGGGCAAGGAGCTTATTACCTAGTAGGTAGTATGAGACAGGTATCTGATAAACACAAGACATGGTGGAAAGCATTGAGTACCATGAAAAATACACTAGAAAAATTACTGTGAGATGGTGGCAGAGAGAGAGAGTAACTGAGGATTCTTTGGAGATATCATATTTCACACAGGCTTTAAATGATTAGTAGAATTTGTACAAGCAGCTTTGGAAGTAAGAGGCAAGGGGATTCCAGACAGAGAAAAGAGAATGCGTCAAATTACTGAAGTGAAACAGCACAAACTGTGCTTTGGGATAAGCAAGCAGTTTCATTTGGCTGGAACATATGTCGGATGAGAGAGGGTATTGAGAGACAAGATTAGAAGGCTTTAAACATCAGAGGAAAGCAGTCAGCTCTTATTTGGAATCAAATTGAAAGGCACATGTGGGAATAGTCACAGGTCAGCATTTTTATCCATAGTAGAAATTTATCAGAGCTTCTACGGAGCTCACAGCTCTTTCCAATGAGATTTTCACCAGTCTCTCTGAATCTTTATAAAGAAGAACAGAGACTGTGATTAACCTTTTCTCATTTCAGGAGGAAAAGAAATAAGGTAAACTTTGAGCATGGAATATTAGATGCCAGTTATTTATCAGAGTGGATTCTGTTCTTAAGGGTATGTAGCCATCTTTTTCAGATATTCAGGCCACACAGGCAACCACTCTGTTCCCTAGGGTAAAACTAGCACTGGAATTCAAGTTCCATGTCTGACCTTTTTTTATGTCAAGCTCTTGAACAATGAAACTAGAACAGCCTCACCTAAGGCAGTGGCAGTGAAATTGGGGAAGAGGAAACAACTTCAAGAAAGAGTTTGAGGATAGACTCAATAGAACTTGGAATGAAGGAATGAAGAATGTGCATGTCAGTTCAAGTCCTCTAGAAAGTGGATGGATAAGACAGAGTTAGAAGTGCAACAGATTCATTAGCAGTAATGTCTATGAAAGACAAAACAGAGGGAACAGAAAGGGGTAGGAAAAGTCTTTAGACCATGAGGTAGGTCTGATATCTGTGAAAGGAGAGGAGAAAGGAAGGTTGATTAGATAGGAAGAGCCTCAGATTTTGGTGAAGCTCTGAGATTTGACCAACTTATTGGAGAGCTCTGATCCAAGGAATGTCAGGCAAGGAATCCTTCATTGGACAAAAATGGTGAGGCTCATTCATTGAGTAGGTGCTACAGGAAAGAGAATGACCTCAGCTCAAATGTTGTGATGGATGAAAAGGTGCTACAGGTGTAGGCTGTCAGCTAACTGCACTCCTTGCCGCAGACTTCTCTTGAGGGAAGATCTGGAAGGGTCTCTTCCATGGCTGCCACAGGGGTGAGAAGAGATAGGAATCAAAGATCAATCCAAAGCTCCTGGATAGATGGCTGGATAGTTCCTGATATTATGAACACATTTTAGAGAAATGGGCTGTGGAACACTGTCTTCTCCAAATGCCTCTGAAATAAACCTTGCTTGGAGGTAGAGAATGTGACAAGGTGACACTTTTAAGCCTGTGATTTAATATTCTTTTTTCTTGTACTCTGCACAGCATCATGTGTCATATTGCAGCTCATACTCTAAAACCACAGCTTAAGCCTCTTCTCAGATTACCTCTTCCATAAAGCTAATCCGAATGAACCCAGGATTTAAAAAAAGGTTGACACAATGCTATTGATTCAAAGCCCTTTTTAATAGATCATTGCTTTTTCTTGAATTCTCTTTCCACCAATTCCTCAATATCTTTCTTATATGCCTTTCTCACTGAGAATTCTGTCTAGCCCCCTGCCAAAAATTTGTCTCCCTTCCTTCCTTCTTTTGTTTGTTTTATAAAGGCATTTACAATTTTATTAAGGGATAAATATGTATGATAAACTGTATATATTTACTGTACAAAATTGGACAAATGTTGTAATATGTATAGACCCTGTAACCATGCCACAATTAAGATGAAAAAGATTTCCATTAACCCAGAAAGTCTTCTCATGCCATTTGGTAAAATATTTATCTCTCTTTCACCAGGAAAACATTGAATTGCTTTCTGTCACTGTAGATTAGTTTTCATTGTCTAGAATTTTATACAATGGAATCATATAATTGTACTTTTTGTCTGGCTTCTTGGACTTAGTATAATTACTTTCAACTTTATCCATCAATCAATAATCTTGTTGCCAAATACTGTTCCATTTTATGGATTTACCACAATTTGTTTACATTAAGCCATTGATAGACATTCAGTGGACTTCAATTTTTGGCTGATAAAAATAGTGCTGCCATAATTATTTAAGTGCACCTTTTCTATGAATGTATGTTTTCATAGCTCTTGGAAAAATATTTACTTAGGAATGGAATAGCTGGATTGTATGGTAAAAGAATGTTCAACTTTTTAAGAAAGTGCCAAACTGTTTTCCAAAATCGTTGTACCACTTTATATATTCAAACCAGTAGTATTTGAGAGTTCTAATTTCTCCACATCATGTTAACATTTGGAATTATCATTTTGTTTCATCATATTTTTAAATTTTGGCCATTCTAGTCAAAGTGTAGTTGTATCCCATTTCGGTTCAATTTGCATTTCACTAATAACTCATAATGTTCAGCTTTTTTTTGTATGCCATCTATGTGTCTTCTTTGGTAAAGTGCCAGTTGAAATCATTTGCCCATTTAAACAAATTATGTTCCTTGTCTTCTCATTTTACAGTTGTAACAATTCTTTATTCTGGATAAAAGTCCTTTGTTAGATATATATTATGCAAATATTTTCTCCCAAATCTGCAACTTAGATATTATTTTATTTTTTTATTTCAGTAGGTTTTGGGGAAACAGGTGGTTTTTGGTTACATGAATAAGTTCTTTACTGGTGATTTCTGAGTTTTCGGTGCACCCATGACCCGAGCAGTACACACTGTACCCAATGTGTAATATTTTATCTCTACCCTCCCATCCTTCCCCTCGAGTCCTCAAAGTCCATTATACCATTCTTATGCCTTTGCATCCTCATAGCTTAACTCCCACTTATAAGTGGGAACATACGATATTTGGTTTTCCACTCCTGAGTTACTTAGCTTAGAAAGTGGTCTCTAACTTCATCGAAGTTGCTACAAAAGCCATTATTTTGTTCCTTTTATAGTATTGCATGATGTACATATACGACATTTTCTTTATTCACTTGTTAGTTGATGGGCATTTAGGTTGGTTCCATATTTTATCACTTGTGAATTGTGCTGCTATAAACTTGTGTGTGCAAGTGTCTTTTTCATATAATGACTTCTTTTCCTTTGGGTAGATAACCAGCAGTGAGATTGCTGAGTCGAATGGTAGAAGTACTTTCAGTCCTTTAAGGAATCTCCATACTGTTTTCTACAGTGGTTGTACTAGTTTACATTCCCACCAGCAGTGTAAAGGTGTTCTCTTTTCACCACATCGATGCCAACAATTATTATTTTTTGATTTTTTAAATTATGGCCATTCTTGCAGGAGTTAGGTGGTATACTGAATTGTGGTTTTAATTTGTATTTCCCTGATAATGAGTAGGTGTTCTTTCCCTACTTCATGTTTTTGAATGCTTTGTCAATGATCAAGTTGGGTATAAATCTTTGGCTTTATTTCTGGGTTCTCTATTCTGTTCCATTGGTCTGCATGCTTATTTTTATACCAGAACCATGCTGTTTAGGTAAGGATAGTCTCGTAGTATAGTTTGAAGTCAGGTAATGTGATGCCTCCCAATTTGCTCTTTTTGCTTAGTCTTGCTTTGGCTATGCAGGCTTTTTTTTGGTGGGGGGGGTTCCATATAAATTTTAGAATTTTTTTTTTAGTTCTGCAAAGAATGATGATAGTATTTTGATGGGAATTGCATTGAATTTGTAGATTTATTTTGGCAGTATGGTCATTTTCACAATATTGATTCTATCAATCCATGAGCATGGGATGTGTTTCCATTTGTTCACGTCATCTATGATTGCTTTCAGCAGCTTTTTGTAGTTTTCCTTGTAGATGTCTTTTATCTCCTTGGTTAGGTATATTCCTAAGTTTTTGTTTGTTTGTTTGTTTTGTTTTTTGCAGCAATTGTAAAGGGGGTTAAGTTCTTGATTTGATTCTCAGCCTGGTCATTGTTGGTATGTAGCAGTGCTACTGATTTTTGTACATTGACTTTGTGTTCTGAAACATTATTGAATTCATTTATCAGATCTAGAAGCTTTTCAGATGAGTCTTTAGGGTTTTCTAGGTATACAATCATATCATCAATGAACAGCGACAGTTTGACTTCCTCTTTATCGACTTGGATGCCCTTCATTTCTTTCTTCTGCCTGATTGCTCTGGCTAGAATTTCCAGGACTACGTTGAATAGAAGTAATGAAAGTGGGCATCCTTGTCTTGTTCTACTTCTCAGGTGGAATGCTTTCAACTTTTTCCCATTCAGTATAATGTTGGCTGTGGGCTTGTAATATATGTCTTTTATTACCTTAAGCTATGTCCCTTCTATGCCAATTTTGCTGAGGGTTTTAATCATATAGGGATGCTGGATTTTGTCAAATGCTTTTTCTGTGTCTGTTGAGATGATCACGTGGTTTTTGTTTTTAATTCTGCTTATGTGGTGTATCACATGCATCAACTTGCGTATGTTAAACCATCCGTGCATCCTTTGTATGAAAGCCATTTGTTCATGGTGGATTATCTTTTTGATATGCTGTTGGATTTGGTTAGCTAGTATTTATTTGATTTTTGCATCTATGTTCATCAGGGATGTTGGTCTATAGTTTTCTCTTTTTGTTATATCCTTTTCTGATTTTGGTATTAATGTGATACTGGCTTCACAGAATGATTTCGAAGGATTCTGTCTTTCTCTATCTTTTGGAATTGTTTCAGTAGGATTGGTACCAATTCTTTGAATATCTACTAGAATGCAGCTGTGAATCCATCTGGTCCTGGATTTTTTTTGTTGTTGGCGATTTTTTTTATTACTGTCTCAATCTTGCTAATTGTTATTGGTCTGTTCAGAGTTTCTATTTCTTCCTGATTTAATATAGGAGGGTTGTATGTTTCCAAGAATTTATCCATCTCTCCATTTTTTTAGTTTGTGTGCATAAAAGTGTTAATAGTAGTTTTGTTGACTTTCTGTCTTGATGACCTGACTAGTGCTGTCAGTGGTGTATTGAAGTCCCCCACTATTATCTCAGCATCATTTGTCTGAAAAACTTGGTAGTGGAGAATTCTCTCAGCATTTGTTTGCCTGAAAAAGACAAAGGCCAGGGAAGTCGTCCTCAATTATTCCCTCAAATAAGTTTTCTAAAGTTTTAGATGTCTCTTCTTCCTCAGGAACACCAATTATTCTTACGTTTGGTCATTTAACATAATCCCAGCTTTCTTGAGAGCTTTGTTTACTTTTTTATTATTCTTTTTTGTTTGTCTCTGTCTAATTGGGTTAATTTGAAAGGCTTGTCTCTGAGCTCTGAAGCTCTTTCTTCGACTTGTTCTAGCCTATTGTTGAAATTTTCCATTGCATTTTGTATTTCCCTAAATGTTTCTTTCATTTCCAGAAGTTGTGATTGTTTTTCTAATGATATCTATTTTTCTTCAATATTATGCATCCGTATCCTGTATTTTTTTTAATTTCTTTAAGTTGGTTTTCACCTTTCTCTGATATCTCGTTGAGTAGCTTAATATTTAACCTTCTGAATTCTTTATATGGCAATTCAGAGGTTTCTTCCTGGTTTAAATCCATTGCTAGAGAGCTAGTGTGATCTTTTGGGGGTGTTATAGAACTATGTTTTTCATGTTACCAGAACTACTTTTCTGGTTCCTTCTCATTTGTGTAGACAATTTCTTCAAATTGTTCTTGAATTCTTTTTTGATTGGACTGTGTTTTGTAGATTTAATTTTCTTTTCTTTTTTGTGTTTTCCTCTTAAGAATCAGACTTCAATGTTTATTATAGTCTAATTTGATTCTTGGTGCTTGTAGGGGTAAAGACTCTGTATGAGTTCCTTAGTTATAGAGAGTCTTTGTGTGCTGGTTTTCCCCAATGTTGGTTGTAGTAGTTATATTCTTGGTGTGTGGGTGAGTTCGACGTCTCCTCTCAAGTTGAAATGGCAGGGATCTCTTGAAACTTATCTCGTTCCCTAGTGGTGTACAATTTATTTGTTTATTTATTTTTTCCCAGTGTTTTATTTACTGATTTGATGATTCAGGCTTCAGGTCAATAGGAGAGGTAAGCCTGGTTAGGCTCCAGGTGTGGCTAAGGCAGGTGGGAAGATATAATACCCAGTGGTGGGCCAAGGTCCAAGCCTTGATGAGTAACTGGGGGCACTCTCAATTAGACGAGCTGAGGTTTTACCTTGGTGAAGAGTGGGAGCTACCTCAGCTCTCTTGCCAGGTCAGCAGGAAAGCTCTTCACCTCAAAGCCTCACTCCTGTCCTAGTGTTGCAGCTCTTCAGATGAGACAGGCACCTCTTTTAATCTATAGGAATGTTGAGTTCCAAGTAGGAAGGAATTGTGACACTGCCGCTTGTATAGGCCTGAATCTGGGGGGGTGCTCCTCCTGTGGGGCTCCACTCAGCCTGGATTGTTCCAGAAATGCTGCCTACAGGTGCCTCCACACTGCATTCTTGTGGGGGAAGCCCCAGCTGCATTTGTGGTGGAGTGGCAGTAGGGAAGAAGGACCCCTTCTCCAAGGCCCTTCACAATCACAGAGGCAGCCTGCCTGTTGGTGTAGAGGTGCAGACTTTCCCTACTGTGCCCAGCACTGCAATTGTATCTCTTCTGTGAGAAACTACCCACCAGTGGAAGGATGTGGAATTCAAGGCCTGCTGTTCAGATTCTTTTGTCCCATGGGGTGATCCCTTGATGTGGTGCTCTCCCCCTTCCTCTAGAGATGGGGCTCCCTGAGAGTTGGACTGCAGTGATTGTTATTGCTTTTCTGAGACTAGTCACCCAGTGGGGCTATGGGGCTCCAGACTGCTGCTGATGAATGTCCACAAAGAGTTCAGTGATGTGATCATTTTTCAGCTCTCCCAGCTGTGGATACCAGCACCTGCTCTGGAGGAGGCATCAGAGGAGTGATGAGATTCTTTGGTTGTAGAGAGGTTTAGTGTGCTGGCTTTCTCAAATGCTGGTTATGCTAGCAGTGAAGTTGGCATGTGGACAAACTCAGGACCTCTAGTTAACTAGAATGCTGCAGGTGGTGGAATTAACTATTGTTTTCTCTTTCCTGAGAGCAGGATCATTCTGTCATGAGTTGCTATAATGGCCTGAGTTGTTTGGCCTCCAGCCAGGAGGTGGTTCTTTCAAGGCAGCACCAGTTGTGGTATTAGCAGTGGGATTTAAGCTTGCCCTAATTTGGCCAGGGGAGGTATTCTGACTTCTCAGGCACTCGGCAGGGCCATAAAGCTCCCAAGAGCTATAGTTTTTTGTTCAGCTACTAGGGTGGATAGAGAAAAGCCATCGGGTGGGGACAGGGTTAGGTGGGTCTGAGCTCAGACTCTCCTTGGGCAGGGCTTGCTGTGGCCACTGTGGAGCATGGGGGTGGTTCTCAGGCCAACGGTGTTATGTTCCAGAGGGAAGTATGGCTGCCTCTGCTGTGTCATATGGGTCACCAGGGAAGTGAGGGATAGCAGGTAATGATAGGCCTCACTCAACTCCCATGCAGTTGTCGAGGCCAGTCTCACTCCCACAGTGCCCCACTAACAGTGCTGAGTTGGAATCCAGGCAGCCTGCAAGCAGAAATCAGACCTGCCCCAGGCTATAAGCTTCCCCATCGAGAAAGCAAGCGCGGCTTTCGTGACACACTCCACCCCATCTGCTCATAATGGCTGTGGCTCCTGCACTTGGATCTGCAGCAGTCCCTGTTCACCCCCAAGATTCTGCTCAAGGAAGTTCATGCCCACTAGAAATTATCACAAAATTCACTTGGAAGCTTCTTTCATCTGGGCCCCTCCCTAATTCTACCAGCTGCCTTCCCTGAGGGCCTCTGTGAGATAGTCAGATATAGTCAGGGACGGCTTCCCTGGGCTTGAGCTGGAGACTGGGAATGCCTACAAAGCTCTTCCTGCTGCTGCTTCTACTTTTAAATTTTGCATGGCTCCCTAAATCTTTTCAAGCTTTAAGTAAGGTTGAATCCTTCTCCTCTGATCTAGATTTGCAGATTCCCTAGTGAGGAAGTGTGTTCAGAGGCAGGGCTCCCCCCTCACACTTTGGGGACTCACAGTTTTTTGCCTGTCTCATGGAGTTTGCAGTGGTGTGCTGCTGCTTGTTTCAAAGGCTTCGTTTATTCTTTTGGTTTTCCTGGTGCATTCCTGTGGTGATTCTTGAAATAAAAGTTCACAGTGTGAATCTCCACAAACTGTTCTATCCATCCAAGTGAAAGATGCATGTTAGCCCTGCCTCCTATCCACCATCTTCCAGCTTTTATTTTCTTACCAGTAACCTCTGAAGAGCAAGCTTTCAAAATTTTGATAAATTCAATTTATTAATTTTTAAATCTTATACTTTACACTTTTAGTGTCCTATTTAAGAAAATATGGGATAACTTAAGGTCACTAAGATTTTTCCCTCTGTTTTCTTCCAAATGTCTTATAGTTTTATTTCTTGCAATCAGGTATATATTCCATGTAAGTTAATTTTTGTATATGGTGTGTTATAAGATTTGAGGTTAATTTCTTTTTTTTTTTTACACTTGGCTATCAAATTGTGCCAGAACAATATGTTGAAAAGACTTCCATTTTCCCCATTTAATTTCCTTTACACTTTTGTCAAAAACCAGTTGACCATGTATCTATATGTGGATTTACTTCTGTACTCCATCTTGTTCCATTAGTAGGTTTCTCTAACTTTATGCCTATCCCACATTTTCTTGATTATTGTAGATTTATAATAAGTTCTGAAATCATGTAGCACAAGTTCTGAAATTTTGTTCTTGCTTTTCAAATTTGCTTTGGCTATTTTAAGAGTTTTAAATTATCTTCCAGATTTTGGGATCAGCTTGACAATGTACAGAAGTATGAATAATACTTACAGTTGGCTGGGCATGGTGGCTCATGCCTGTAATCCCAGCACTTTGGGAGGCCAAGGTGGGCAGATCACTTGAGGTCAGGAGTTAAAGACCAGCCTGGGTAACATGGTGAAACCCTGTTTCAAAAATTACTAAAAATTCAAAAATTACCCAGGTGGTGGTACACACCTGTAATCCCAGCTACTAGGGTGACTGAGGCACAAGAACTGCTTGAACCCAGGAGACAGAGGTTGCAGTGAGCCAAGATTGCACCACTGCACTCCAGCCTGGGTGACAAAGCGAGACTCTGTCTCAAAACAAAAACAAAAACAAAAAAATGCCTCCTGGAATTTAATTGGAATTGCCTCGAATCTATAGGTTAGTTTAGGAAGAATTAGTCTCTTAAAAATATTTAGTCTTCCTATTCCTGTGTTTTGTATATCTTCATTTCTTTAGATATTTTTAAATATGTCTCAATAATGTTTTATAGTTTTCAGTGTATAAGCCTTGCACATTATTTGTCAAATTTATCCTTCATTACTTAATATTTTTGATGTTATTGGAAAAGTTGTTTTTCAGTTATTTTTATAATTGTCTATTGCTTTTATGGAAATAAAATGATTTTTTATGTGTTTATCCTACAAACCTGATAAACTCACTTATTGGTCCTAAGTTGTTTTAGAGACTCCTTGGGATTTTTTCCAAAGACTTTATGCCATCTGCCAATAAAGACAGCTTATTTTCTTCTTATCCAATAAGTTTGGAAATTTTCTTATCTTATTGCAGTGGCTGGGACTTCCAATACAATGCTAAATAAAAGCTTTGCAAACAGATGTTTTTGCCTTTTTCCTCAATTGCAGAAGAAAGGAATTAATCCTGTCACTATCAAGTATGATGTTAGGTATAAGTTTTTCATAAATCTCTTTATAAGATTGAACAAGTTTTCTTCTATTTCTAGATTTCTTGGCACTTTTATCACAAATAGACATTGAATTTGGTCAATGCCTCTTCTGTCTCTAATGAGATGATCATAGTCTATTAATATAGAAAATTCCATTGATTGATTTTCAAATGTTAAAAGAAACATATTACTGAAATAAACCTCACTTAATCATAAAATGTTAACTTATTTTTGTATTGTTAAATTTAATTTGCTAAAATTTTGTTGAGAATTTTTGTGTGTAGGCTTAGGAGGAATGTTTATAGTTTCCTATTTATGCAATATTTTGGTCTGATTTAAGTATTAAGGGCAATCCTGGCCTCATAAAATGAGTCAGAAAGTACCCCTTCTGCTACCATTTTTGAAAGAGATTGTGGAGAATTAGTATCATTTCTTCCTCCAATTCTTTGTAGAATCAACCTGAGAAACCATCTGGGCTTGGTGATTTATTTTTTTGGAAGATTATTAATTATTTAATTTCCTTAATAAATATAGAGATATCCAGGTTATCTTTTGTGTGTGTGTGTGTGTGCACTTTAGTAGTTTGTGTCTTTCAAGGTATTTGTCTATTTCAAACAGAATGTAACATTTACTGGTATAAAGTTGCTGTATTAGTTCATTTTCATGCTGCTGATAAAGACATACCTGAAACTGTGAACAAAAAGAGGTTTCATTGGACTTACAGTTACACATGGCTGGGGAGGCCTCACAATCATAGTGGGAGGTGAAAGACACTTCTTACATGGTGGCAGCAAGAGAAAAATGAGGGAAAAGTAAAAGCGGAAACTCCTGATAAACCCATCAGATCTCGTGAGACTTATTCACTATCAGGAGAATAGCATGGGAAAGACTGGCTCCCATGATTCAATTACTTCCCACTGGGTCCGTCCTACAAGATGTGGGAATTCTGGGAAATACAATTCAAGTTGAAATTTGGATGGGGTCACAGCCAAAACATATCATTCCACACCTGGCCCCTCCCAAATCTCATGTCCTCACATTTTAAAACCAATCATGCCTTCCCAATAGTCCCCCAAAGTCCTAACTCATTTCAGCATTAACTCAAAAGTCCAGTCCATTGTCTCATCTGAAACAATACAAGTTCTTTCTGCCTACGAGCCTACAAAATCAAAAGCAAGCTAGTTACTTTCCAGATACAATGGAGGTAGAGATATTAATGTTAATCTTGGGGATTAACATTAGGCTCCTTGCTACTTATGCAAATTTCTCCAGCTGGCTTGAATTTCTCCCCAGAAAATGGTGTTTTCTTTTCTATCACATGGTCAGGTTGCAAATTTTCTGAACTTTTATGCTCTGTTTCCCTTTTAAAGCTGAATGCCTTTAACAGTACCCAAGTCACCTCTTGAATGCTTGCTGCTTAGAAATTTTTTCTGCCAGATACCCTAAATCATCTCTCTTGAGTTCAAAGTTCCACAAATCCCTAGGGCAGGGGCAAAATGCCGCCAGTCTCTTTGCTAAAACATCACAAGAGTCACCTTTGCTCCATTTCCCAGCAAGTTCCTCTTCACCTGAGACCACCTCAGCCTGGATCTTATTGTCCATATCGCTATCAACATTTTGGGCAAAGCCATTCAACAAGTCTCTAGGAAGTTCCAAACTTTCCCACATTTTCCTGTATTCTTCTGAGCCCTCCAAACTGTTGCAACCTCTGCATGTCACCCAGTTCCAAAGTTGCTTCCACATTTTCAGGTATCTTTTCAGCAACTCCCACTCTACTGGTACCAATTTACTGTATTAGTTCGTTTTCACGCTGCTGATGAAGACATACCTGAAACTTGGAACAAAAAGAGGTTTAATTGGACTTACAGTTCCACATGGCTGGGGAGGCCTCAGAATCATGGCAGGAGGCAAAAGGCACTTCTTACATGGCAGGAGAAAGAGAAAATGAGGAAGAAGCAAAAGCAGAAACCCCTGATAAACCCATCAGATCTCATGAGACTTATTCACTATCACCAGACTAGCATGGGAAAGATCAGCTCCCATGACTCAATTACCTCCCACTAGGTCCCTCCCACAAAACGTGGGAATTCTGGGAAATACGATGTGAGTTGGGATTTGGGAGGGGGCACAGCCAAACTGTATCAGTTACTCATAATATTTTTTATCATTTTAATGTATATAGAATTTATATTGATGCCCTTTCTTTTATTCTTTATTGGTCATTTCTGTATTCTTTTTCTTTTCCTAATTAGCGCGACTAGAGATATATCAATATTTTGTAATCTTCTCAAATCAGTCATTTTCTCTATGTATTTCTGTTATCTATTTCATTGACCCCTACTTTGATCTTTATCATTTGCTCTCTGAGGTTTATTTTGCTCTTTTTAAAACATTAAGGTGGGAAGGCAATTAGATCTCTGTGACTGTTATGGCCCAAAAGAAAAGTTTCTCTGCTCAAATTTGCCCTGAAATCATCTTCACTCCCACACTCTTTCCAATCATGGGGCATTTTATCAGTAATCATGCTCTAAGTTGAAAGCATTATAGATGTTGGAGTGTGGGCAGAGGCATTTTGCTTGGGTAGTGAGGGAGTTTACACAGATCTAAATGGAGAAACAGGGAGATAATTGGGAACCTTAACTTAGAGAAGGTGCAGAATAATGGTCATGTAAGCAATCCACCCCTACCTAAAGAACTACTTTATAGAATGTGTTAGACTTCTTCTGGTGGTCTTAAAGTATCACTGGATCAATGGGTACAAGCTACAGAGAGGCAAGTTTTACTCCAATCAGAATGTTCCAAATGGGAGTGATCTCTGTGGAGAGGGTGCGAGTTCCCAGTCTCCAGAAGAAGTGGATAGAACTCATATTTGAACATTTGTCAACCTTAAAATTTCCATTTCTGAAGTCAGAAAAGGTATATGTTGAGACTCCACTGTCAGCATATACCAATTGTGTGATCCTGAGCCAGTTACTTAACCTGAGTCCCAGCTTTCCCACATGTTTACTGTAAAGTAAACATGCCTACTTTACAGAATTGCAGAGATTAAATGAGATATTACATAAAAATATGGTTATCAGACTGTTTGATATATAGTATGCACTCCATAACTTTTATTTATTTATTATTAAATTAGTATCAGGATACACTGAAGTCATAATTATACAACTTTGGAACTGGGAAGAACCTTGTAGTTCATTTAGTCTAAACCTATTATTTCATGGCTGGGGAAGGTGAAGCAAAAGCAAATGGCTTCCCAAAAGCCCCATAGTTTGTCATTTGATAAAATGAGCTCTGGAGCCCAGGTATTGAGATTTATGGTCAACTGACTTTCTCCCCTCTCCACATCACATACTACATAGTGGACTCAGGAGGCAGGAAACTCAGTTCTAAATTCCAGCTTTTTTGTTGGTGAACTATGTGATTTTGGGCAAGTCCTTTCTCCTCTCCAGATCTCAGTCTCCTCATCCATAAAGGGAGACAAGCCAATATTTCCAAAGGCTTTCCTGAGTTCAGTGTCTTGTGTTTTAAAAAGGTAATTTAGGCTGATATGGAAGGAATTGGTCCATTTAAATTGCTTTTCTTGAGAAGGCACTTCCATTGCTTTGCCCACAGTGGAAAAAAAAAAAAAGAATGCTTTTGTTTCATATTTTATTTTTAAAAGTAACTCTATCATTCATTTCTAAGCTTGCTTGTTTACAGCTGCATTGAGTGAAATAGCATGCCAGGCTTAAGGCAAGCCAGCGCTTCCCGGGAATGCAGTGTAAGGCTGATACTTTGCTTTCCTTATCTCCGTTTAGGGTGCTGATAATACAGCCTGCAGCATGCCTGTCCCCATCCTTGTCATTGGCTTAGGGATTTGCAGAGACCACACTGTTCCTTCTGTTCCTGGGACCCTCGTCACCAAGTTAGAGATAATCACTCATTCCAGCTGTTCCCACTTTGATGGAAAGCTGGCTCCACTTGCCTGCCTAATGAATGCCTATGTTTACCCACAAAAGAGAAGCAATATTCTAAAAAGACATGTCAATTAACATGCTGCCTCCAAACTTTCTTTGGCTGCTATGAAAGAGATAAATCTTTCCGTTTGTCTTATAGTGTTCATTTTGCAAGTTTTTCTCTATTGTCACGTTAAGTAGATATGCAGCCTATCAGATATGTGTCCTCCCTCCAGGATGTAGTGGGCACCCACGCTGTGCCCAGTGCTCTGCCAAGACTCCGTGCCTGTCCTCAAGTAACTCAGAGAGCAGGAGTAAGGGGAAAATGAGGAATTCTTGGGCTTGCATTGGTATTTTAACGAATATAAATTAAGTGCTAAGAGAATACGGTGTAAGAGGGAGATGAACTCTGCCTGCAACTCAAGAAAGGCTGTCTGGAAATGGTGAAATTTACAACTTTAAAAGATTAGTAGAATATAAAAGAGCAAAAAGAAAAGTCTGCACCACTAGTTTCTTTAACAAATGTCATAACTGATATTAATTGAATGTCAACTTAGTGGCATGTTCTGTGCCAATGAGTTGTTGGAGGGCTTACTTTAGAGAGGGAAAAGATGAACCTTGTGGCCTAAGACAGCATCCTCCCTGAATGGAAGGCCGTTGCACACTTCATGTAGGGAAACTGAGGCAGTCTAGGAGAATTGGCCTATGTAAGGTTTTCTGGCAGTCCAGAGGAAGGAAGGAATAAAGGAGGAATATCTTGCCTTTCCAAGTGCCAGACTAGGGTTTGTTTGTTTGTTTGTTTCGAGACTGAGTCTCATTCTGTCACCCAGGCTGTAGTGAAGTGGCGTGATCTCGGCTCACTGCAACCTCTGCCTCCTGGGTTCAAGCGATACTCATGCCTCAGCCTCCTGAGTAGCTGGGATTACAGGCGCCCACCACCATGCCCGGCTAATTTTTGTATTTTTAGTAGAGATGGGGTTTCACCATGTTGGCCAGGCTGGTCTTGAACTCCTGACCTCAAGTGATCTGCCTGCTTCGGCCTCCCAAAGTGCCAGGACTATAGGCACAAGCCACCGCACCCGGCCCAGACCAGGGGTTTTCAACCTCAGCCCTGTTGACACTATCAGTAGATACTTCTTTGTCGTGGGGATTGTCCTGTGCGTTGTGGAATGTTTAGAAGCATCCCTGTGTTCTACCAACTAGATGCCAGTACAACCCCTCCCCAGTTGGAAAAACTGAAAATCTCTCCAGACATTGCTAAGTGTCCCTAAAGGGCAAAATCACCCATAGTTGAGAACCACTTTGAGATGCAGCTTGATACGCTGGAAAGATCATAAAACCAGGATCAGGGGACCAAGCCTTTCCTTTTTATAGTTTTTGACAATTCACTTCCAGTTTTGGGCCTCAGTTTCTCCACATTAAAAAGAAAGGAGTTGTACTAGACTTATTCACACATTCATTCATTCACTCAACCATTATTTTTAAGTTTCTGCTTTGTTCCAGACACTGTTCTAGGTGCTAGGGATATAGCAATGAACAAAGAAAGCAAGTCCCTGTCCTCAGATGCTTGCATTTTAATTGTGGAAGGCAGATAATAACCAAGTAGACATATACAAATGGAATACAATTTTTTTTCTTTTTTTTGAGATGGAGTGTCCCTCTGTCGCCCAGGCTGGAGTGCAATGGCACGATCTCAGCTCACTGCAACCTCCTCCTCCCCCTGAGTTCAAGCAATTCTCCTGCCTCAGCCTCCTGAGTAGCTGAGATTACAGGTGCCCGCTGCCACGCCAGGCTAATTTTTATATTTTTAGTAGAGACGGGGATTTCACCATGTTGGCCAAGCTGATCTCGAATCCCTGACTTCAAGTGATCCACCCGCCTTGGCCTCCCAAAGTGTTGGGATTACAGGCGTGAGCCACTGTGCCCAGCCACAAATGGAATACAATGTCAAGTAATGATGCATTCTGTGAAAAAAATAAAACAGGGCAATCTTACAGAAAGTGTCTGAGGGTAGAAGGTTACTATCAAAGAATTACTCTGAGATGACATTTGGACTGAAATGTAAGTGATGGAAGGAGTCATCCATGTGAAGCTCAAAGGAAAGGATAGTCCAGGCAGAGAACAGGACTTGCAAAGGCTCTGTGGTGGGAATGACCATGGCCTGTCAAGAGCGTGGTGAATAATGAGGAGAATGCTGAGAGATGAGGTCTGAGGAGTTGACAAGGGCCAGGTCCTACAGGGGCATGTAGATCTTATGTGGATTATTGGATTTTAATTCAATTGCAATGGATGTCACTGGAGTATTTTAAGCAGGTGAGTGATACAATCTAATTGTTTATTTTTATAAAGATCATTCTGGTTGCTTTGGGGATAATGGATTTTAAGGCAGCAAGAATGGGAGCAAGAAACCAAGGTATGAGAAGGTTGCAGTAGACCAGGAGAGAGATTTTGATAGCTTAGCCTAGACTTACAGTAAGGGAGATAGAATTGGATATAGTTAGAATGTCTTTTGGAGGTAGAATCCAATTAGATTTGCTGATGAATTGGATGTGAGGGCCAAGGGAAAGAGAGGTATCAAGGATGATGCCTAGGCTTTGAGGCCAAAGAATTGAGTGGATTGCTTTCCTTTTCCCATTTACTATCAGAGAAAAGCAGATTTAGGTATGAAAGGCAAGATAAGTGTAAAATAATTTCCAACGAGACTTTGGGAGGCTGAGGCAGGAGGATGACTTGAGGCCAGAGGTTAGAGAACAGCCTGAGCAACAGAGCAAAACCCCATCTTTACAAAAAAATAAAAATAAGCTGGGCATGGTGGTGCACACCTGTAGTCCCAGCTACCTGGGAGGTCAAGGCAGAAGAAATGCATTAGCCCAGGTGTTTGAGGCTGCACTGAGCTATGATAGCACCACTGCACTCCAGCCTGAGTGACAGAACACAACCCTGTCAAACAAACAAAAAAAAAATCCAACCAGAAAATTGAATTCTATAATTCAGTATTGTGTTTGTTTTGCTTTCTCCAGAGACCTCAGTCTACCCCCTCTCACTTCCACAACACACAGACACACACCACAGATGCACACACAAAAAAAGTGTAACAAAAACAAATACTTGGGACAATGTAATAGCAGGAAATTAGTGTGGTTTTAAAACTACTTCATGCAAGCAGAGATAGTCTTGTGTCTGACAAGCAATAAGGGACTTTGGAAAATCATATTAGATGAGATCTTGTCAATGGGAGGTTTTGCTATCAAGAAATCTAATGAGGCTTAAAGAAAACTGATAATTCATTAGCATTCTTGAACGTGCCCCCACTTTGCTGCGTGGTAATTATTGAGTAGCTACAGACCAGCTCAGAAATATAGTGACAAGATAGACTACTCCATCCATCAAATCCCAACAGCTATAATCATCTAATGAATGCTACACGAATCAGACAGTGGAAAATAATAATAATATCTTTGCTCCCTGCTGAGCTGTTCAGCACAATTTCCAGTCTACAGTGAATAGACTTACTGGAAAGTTTGGATCCCTCTAGGGTGCAAGGCCACAGCTGTCTAACATCTATAGGACAATGGTACTCCTCAGACCCAAGGCAGAAAGGGGATGGAAGAGGGGAGATAATCTTTCAGCTGAAGAGAAAGCAATCCTTCAGCTTCATCATAGTAGGAAAGCAAGAAATCAGGAGCAGTAATGGCTCTTATGTGAGGCTTGGGGTTTTCAGGATTCCAAAACAAGAATGGGCTTCTCTTTATGGATGGCAAAAGATAGATATTCCTAAAAGCCTTAGATCCATTCCATCTAGCACTGGATGGAGAGACTGCATTGAATGGTGCCAAGCCCAGTGTCTGGAACTCCGAAGACATAAGAGCAAGCCCTAGCTCAAACTCTTCTGACGTAACTGTAGACAAATGACTTCTATTGTCTAAAGCCTTATTTTGTATCAGTAACATGGAGATACTAAAATGTACTCTAAGTTGTCATCATGGAACTGCATATACTTTAGAAATATTCAAGTTTTAGAAAATGTAAAAGGTGTTTATGATGGCTACTTTTTAAATCAGAACAACCTTTGTAAAGAATGTACCACTGATTGACAACAAATCCTTGATACAGAAAATTCTCATGCCCATTCCCCCAATATATTTTTTTCCTTATCAGCTGTGCATCAAAGCCCAACAGTTACATCAGAAAAATATACAGATCTTGGGGTTAGAAACTACATTTCTGTGACCTTGGATAAGTCCTTATTACATACAAATATGTTACCTAGCAAGGGCAACACATTGACCTGATTGATGCCATTTTTACTTTGGCAGAGGTGAGTTTCTCAGAGCATCTAACAGGTCACCCAAAAAAGGAGGATGGAAAGAGACATCAAGTCAGAAGAATGGCACTCACATTCTCTCTCTGCTGGAGATTAACCACATGCCCTTCTATGATGATACAACTGCAGATGAGCAGAGACCTTTAAAATATGAGCTCCAGTCCCCACCTTCCTGGCCTTGTTGTGGTATAGGCATTACGGCCCTGCTCCCCTTCTTTCCTGAGTCAATCCTAGAGATCTGGCACATCCTTCAGGGGAGATCTAGAATAATTCACCTTCTTTGACATGCTATTCACTATGCCTAGGTGAACTCTTTTCCAGCATGCTCCCTCACTCAAGCTACAATCTTTACTTGCTTCTAGCTATGCTTGCCCAGTCAATATAAACACACTTTGATACCATAATTTCCTGCTGAGTCTGTAATGTTTATATATACTAGCCACTGTGACTAGGCCTCCACACTCTGGGTCTGGACATTCTCCTCCTCTTGGGTTACTAGATCCTTTTTCTCCTGCCCACCCTATTTCCCTCCAGTTGGTCCTGGGGTCCTGCTCAAACAAGCTGTTCATCTGGACTGTGTCACCATGTTGTTGCAAGTACCTGAGTCAACATCACCATTGCCTGGGTGCTCCTGATTCATGCCCCACAACTCAGGTGGAACTTTGTATTCTGGCTCTACCAGCTCATATGAGTTGAGTTCTCACATTCATCTAGACCATGCAGTTTGAACTGACAGCCACCACATTCAGTCAGCTTGCAAGTCAGGTAAACTCCCAGAGTGGCCTGATTCTGTCCCTTCCACCATCAGTTTCTCTCAAGGTCCTTGGCATGGGATCTCAAAAGAGTCTACCCATAATCTGGCTTTGAGAGAGTGATTCTGACTCTTTTGCAACTTTTTTCTGGAACTCTACTCTGAAAATTGCCATGCAAACAAATCATTCTCATTGCTTTTAAGATACGCCTCTTCTATGATGAAGATGAAATATCTTTGCTTTCTCAGCCCACATCTCCCTTTTGTAATTTTCTCATAAGCATGGGAGAATCTGAATTTGAAGGGCAATTCAATGTATTACCATTTCTGAGACATCCTGTCATCATTGCTCAATAAGTTAGTATTATATTTAAAATAGTTAATGAAATGCTAATTTGCTCTTGGTCAATCCTTTTATTGGATGGAGCTGAGCAACTTCAGCAAGTTTAACACTGCTAAATATATTCTTAAAAGTATAGATAATAACAGCATCATAGGCTGAGATTGCAAAGAACTATAGTGCCATCTGAAATAATGTCTGAGATGAACAGCACTCAAATGGGAGATTGCATTAGTCTGTTCTTGTGTTGCTATAAAGAACTACTTGAGACTGGGTAATTTATAATAAAAAGAGGTTTAATTGGCTCATGGGTCTGGAGGCTATACGAGAACCATGGCTGGGGAGGCCTCAGGAAACTTACAATCATGGCAGAAGGTGAAGGGGAAGTAGGCATGTCTTACATGGATGGAACAGGAGGAAGACAGCCAAGGGGGAGGTGCTACACTCTTCTGAAAACCAAATGTCATGAGAACTCACTCACTATCATGAGAATAGCATGGGGGAAATCCACCCCCATGATCCCATCACCTCCCAACAGACCCCTTCTCCAACATTGGAGATTATAATTCAATTGCAATTTGGGCAGGGAAACAAATCCAAACCATATCAGAGGTGTATCCAGTCAGTGTGGCAGAAAAGACTGCTTAAATCTTCTTGGGGAAGCTGGTGGTATTGCAGTTCAGATTTCAGATATTCCTCCTTTTGTGTGAAATACACTTCAAGAAAACCCATGGATCATTAAGCTTGTTGTAGTTAAAATTTTCTAATTGTTACACAGGGTTGCTATAATAGCTCAGGGCAGTATTCTATGTCTGGGTCACCACACAACTCTTGACCCTCTCTTGGCCTCAGTTCACTCATATATAAAATGAAGGTGATGGGCAATGTGATCTCTCAAGTCCTTCCCACTCTAAGATATATACATATTTTCTGGTTCATTGGCCATGGCAGCCTCAAAAATTCAGCTTAACTCCACATCAGAGTTAGCCTCTAAGTTAGATGTAGGCATGTCTTCAGATTACACCTGGTGGTAAGTTTCCCAAGTTTTAAACTCTTTATTTGCTCCTAAAAATTATTAGACTCACAATACATATAGGACACTAAGTGTTTTGCATGTTAGAGAGTTGTTGTGGAACTGAATATAATTTTCATTTAGCATCTGTTGCTTCAGGGCTCAGAGACTGATCCAGCTCACTCCTTCATAAGACAATCCTTCCAACTTGAAGACAGAGCTCCTTTCTCTCCAGAGAGAATCAGAAAGAGCAGAAGGCAAGGAAGACAAGCTCCATCCTAAACTCCAATCTGCACTGTTGGATTCATATTCTTCCAGAGCTGAAAAAGACTTGTGAAGTCCTATGATCTGTTGCACTGCCTCATTTTACAGTAAAGAAATTGAGGCTCAGAAAGAAATAAAATGGTTAGAACATTGGTGTTTAGAACACAGCTTGAATCAGACAGACCTGGGTTTGAGAACTGGCTCTGAAACTGTCTTTGCAAAAATTATATCAGTGAGAAAAATTATAACAGTAAGCTAAGCCAACTCTCCCCACCCCTTGCCTTTCCCTTAATTATTTCTGGGCTGCTGGGCTAACTTTGGAAGACATTTAGGCGACAGTGTAAATGATAATAGGCCTTGCCCAAAACTCAACTGCTTTTGTAAAGCTAATGGGAGGCCTCCATACTTGGGGGAGGAGAGGGGCCTGAGTCCTGCTAAGGCACAGACATAAATGAAGGCCAGCCATTATTCCGGAGGTTATAAGATATGTAACTTCCCCAATTATTCCTGAAAATAAAACCACTATTATAGATTGGCCTTTTGAGATATCTTTCCAGGTTTTTTTGTATGTCTGAAATCCATGGCTCCAACCCCCTCCTGTGCCCAGAAGCAAAGCAATTCAGAAGGACAACTTAGACTCCCTATGATTTTATCTCTACCCAGCCAATCAGCAGCAAGCACCTGTTACCTGGCCACCCCCACCTTTTCCCTCAAACTGCCTTTGAAAGTCGCCTAACCTATGAGCTTCTGATGAGATGATTTGAGTAGGAACTCCATCTCCCATGTGGTGTGGCTGGCCTTGTGCCTATTAAACTCTTTCTCTACCACAATGCCATGGTCTTTCTTTATGCATTGGGCAGGAAGAACCCCTCAAGCAGTTATAGCTCCATCAATTATTACCTCTATGACTGTGAAACCCCAAAATTTGAGAGAGGTCTCAGTTAATTTATAAAGTTTATTTTGCCAAGGTTGAAGATGTGCACCTGTAACACAGCCTCAGGAAGTCCTGACAACATGTGCCCAAGGTGGTCAGGGCACAGCTTGGTCTTACATATTTTAGGAAGACATGAGACATCAATCAATATATGTAAGAAGTACATTGATTCCCTCCAGAAAGATGAGGACAACCCGAAGCAGGGAGGGGGCTTCCAAGTCACAGGTAGGCAACAGGCAAATAATTGCATTATTTTGAGTTTCTGATAAGATTTCCCAAAGGAGGTAACCGGATATGCATTTATCTCAGTGAGCAGAGGGATGACTTTGAATACAAAGGGAGGCAGATTTGCCCTGAGCAGTTCCCAGCTTGACTTTTTCCATTAGCTTAGTAATTTCGTGGCCCCAAGATTTTCCTGTCACATTTCCCCTCTTTTCTTTTAAAAAATCTTTTGGAGAAAGCATTTTAGAAGGAAATTAGTTTCTGGTCTCAGGTTTCATCTGATCTCTCATGGCTAGGACAGTTTATTTCTAGATGGGTAGCTCCTGAAAGCTCATTTTTAGCAGATTGTGAAGTCTCATGTCCTATGAAGAGAAAGGAGGGGGAGGAAAGGAGAAAAACAACAACAAACAAAAGAAGGATCCTGGAAAATTGATATAGGTCACATTACTCTGAAGTCCATACATTAGTAGGCAGATATGAAAGTGGCTTATGTATGTAAATAGGTTGCTGTTATTTTCTTCTGAAGTTTAAGGTGTCTGGCTTCAGTTCACAGGGTTTTAAGAAAACACAGCTTTGTTTTCAGTGATTTCAAATTAGGACAAAAATGGGGGGAAAAGGAAAAGAAAGAAGAAAAAAATTAAAAATATTATTTTGAAAACTTGTAGCCAGGAAAAATTATAATTTAGCCCAAACTGTAGAAAATAATAAAAATTGAAAAACATTAGGAAAGACTCAAATCTAACAACAAGTGTACAATAGTTTTTGAAACATAATTTTTCTCTCTCCAGTTTTCCATTTTTACTAAAGACAAATCATGGTAGGACTGATTTGCTTTATTATATTTGGTCAGATTATTTGTATAAAGTGCAGCAAGAATAATTATTTTTCACATATGTTTTTAAAATTTGGCTTTGATGGAAGTTTTTACTATAGAAGGAATCTCAGATAAGACTTTTAAAGCTGAACCCAACCATGGACTTGTACCATCAAATACCTATGAGTTGGGTGAATTTCCCCTCCTCTTGAGGTTCCAAGATAAATTTGGGGCTCCTGGGCCTTTCTGAAAATGACATTCTTTACTTACCATAGGTCAGAAACCCTGTAGAGGGACTGTGTAAACTATGAGGCCAGTTTTCCCAAGGACTTTTTTGGTTCCATGAGTCAAGTTTGATTCCTTAAAGGACAACACACCATTCCAGTCAAAGCCTTGGTAAAATAACAAATTTCTCCAATTGTGTCCTGTTACAAATGAAAACAAATTCTTGTTGCACTTATGCAAATAACTGGATTGCCATAAATTAAGAATACTCACAAATAGTTTCCAAATTCTGGAGAAATCAGGTAGAGAGAAACAAATGTGCTCCAAATTTTGTTCATAAGAGTATACTAAATTGCCAAAACTGTCAATAGCTCAGAAGAAAAGTTTCAAGACTCTGAAAAACAAAACAAATGATCAGCAACATTTTAAGCAAAAAGTCAAAAAGATTAGTTCAGTCCATGCAGTTAATTCCTGTTCTGGTTGATATTCATGAACATTTTAGCACTCTATGCATGAGTCCTGAAAGTTTTTCCTTTATTCTGATGTCACAGTCTCCAAAGTTATCAGAAACCTGCATTCGAGAGCACCTGTTATAGTTTTATAGATGATTATAAAACCACCTTCCAAAGAGGACCAAAACAACACAACCATTGTCCAAGGATGACAAAAAGTTTTAGGGAACCCATAGTCAAAGACAAAATTGACAAGGAAATTTGTTACCTCTGTGGCAGACAATAATTTTAACAATTATCATTATTACTGGTAAAGTCATATCAGAATTACAGGAGTGTCCCAAAATTTTAGAATACATATCAACAACGTATTTATACAAATTAACAAAGAAAACCAAACACCATTTTATATTTGATAATGCTTCCTATATAATTTTTGTACTACTAAATGTCAAAATTATGTCATTTTTGGACTTTAGGGAAACTAATATCTTAGAGGATTAATTAAGTCAGAAAAAGACATAATTTATAATTTGATTTTGAAAAGTTTGTCAAATATCAAAGGTTTAAAACACTTGATATCACAAAATAGGATCACAAGTCATTGTAAAATAAGTCATTCTTTTAACCAAAGTAATAACTCAAAGATTTCAAAAACAGGCAAAACCTTTATTCTTTTAGAGAGGAGATTTAATTTCCCAAACAATAAGCCCTAATAAAAACAGTATGAAGCCAATTAAATTTGTTTTTCAAAATGTATAAACAATCTATAACATTTAAATCTTTACCATAAGATATAACTTCCAGAAGCCTTTTATAACCTTTATAACCATTATTAAGGAATCAGTTAATGCCTCAAGAAAACCTTGTTAATCTGACACAGGGGCCCATATGCTGGTCTTGCATCAGTGTGCCTTTGACATTAATGATTAATTTATAGAGAAACTGAACTTATTTTTATCTTTTAAAGTTGGCCCTTACAATCTCACATGCCCACCTCTACTGAAATAGTCCCTGGGCCTTGAAGAGCTGAATAGATTTAATTTCTGGCCCTGGGTCTCAGTAATGCAGTTAATTTTATGTGCCATCTATTACAGGGCTGTCAGTGTTTAAGATTTAGCCGGACTTGGTGGCCGTTTTAGATCCAGGAGTCAAAGTCCTGTAACTCAATGTCACAAGGACTTTAAAAGCACATACAGGAAGATACATGAATATAATAAACTTAATTTTTTAAAAAAATTAAATTTCAGTTTTTTCCTGGGAAGCAAAACAAAGTTAATAATAATGGCATACTAATTATTTTGATAAAACATAAAATCCATTACACAAGTTACCAAAAGGCAAAAGAAAATATCTTCCACAGTGCACAGAATATTATGTTGGAAGAAAACATTTCCCTTAGACCTTTAAGAAAATGTACCTTTTAAAAGGGGAGAGAAACAGCAAGATGCAACAAAAGTTAAACTTTGGGTTAAAAAAAGAATTAAAATCTCTTATAATTTATTAAGAGTGAATCAACCTCTTAAGAAAATGTCATTGTTCTAATCAATAACTTAGTGTATAAGTGGTTTTTTTTGCATCAAGCCAAATCTCTAGAAAGAGCATTATAATTTCCCTTTAATTATAAACAACTTGATCATATAAAAGTTTTGGGTTTTTTAAAAATTTTATTTAAGAAATACTTATTGTGACTTACACATACCATTCATGACATGCTTGGACTTTCTGGTTTGTCCTGAACATCTCTATTTCTTAAACAACCAGACATTTTATTTTAGGTCTAAATTTGCCATACAAGATTATTTCTCATATAAAATTATTTCTCTTTCTTTTTTTGAGATGGAGTCTTGCTCTGTCACCAGGCTGGAGTGCAATGGCACAATCTCGGCTCACTGCAACCTCCACCTCCCAGGTTCAAGCGATTCCCCTGCCTCTGCCTCCCAAGTAGCTTGGACTACAGGCGCGTGCCACCACACCTGCCTAATTTTTTGTGTTTTAGTAGAAACAAGGTTTCACCATGTTGGCCAGGATGGTCTCGATCTCCTACCTTGTGATCCACCCACCTCAGCCTCCCAAAGTGCTGGGATTACAGGCGTGAGTCACTGCACCTGGCCAAAATTATTTCTCTTTAAGCTTTCTTACCACAAAAAAAAACCCTCTTTTTTTTTTATAACTTTCTTTACGTCCCTCTTATTTCCTGGTTCCTTTACCTTGTTTTATACATAACCTTTAAATAAGCTTTGAATTAGACAAACTTGTTCGCCTTTTCTTAAAAAGGACAGAGGACACACTATTTTTTTTAGCAAGAATGTTTTCCAACAACATATATTTATTGGAAAATACCCAAATAATGAAATATCTATTATTTAATTTAATATAACTTTATATTCTAAATTATGAAAAGTTAGTCTACAAGTGTTTATCCCATTACGTTTACCTAATTGTTATTTTAATTGTTTACCTAGATTATTTATGAAAACTACGATAGTCATAATTTAAAGTTATGAAACTGCCATTGCAAAATTATAACTGAGGCAGTGAAAAAGATTTGGCCTAGCTGAATCTGTCTTGCTTTTAACCTCCAAGCTGTCCTTGTTCATTCCTGGGCATAGGCCAAACTAAATTTAGGAGGAACTTAGTTTATAGTTTAGCTTTGAAACAAAGATGGTAACAGTTGTTTCCCAAAACAAACCTCCTTACTGCCTGTGGACTAGACTGTCTAAAGCCATGGGATGAGAAGTTATGGTAATCTTACTAAATTTAAGATGCAGCTATTTTCATTAAACCTGTATCAGTGTCTTATTTCTTAAAAATTACATAAGCAAAAATCATTCTGTTTGGGGTTGGGTTTATAGTTTTGTTACCCCATGCCACATTTTGACACCTTGTAGTATTTGGAAGGGATAAGTATGAAATTGCTTGATCAATAAATGCAAACAAAAATGTATGCTGGCAATTCTTAAGACATTTCTAACATTACCAATAATTTTAAAGCTAGCTTATTTATTAAAGATTTTACTTAAGTTACATAAACTTGAAAAAGCATTTAACTAGTCTTTTCTTTTTTTCCTGATAAACCATTCAAGTCAAGTGCTTTTATTTTCTTAAGCCAATTAATTAGAACTCTTTCTATATTTTCAGTAGTGACGCATGTATACAACACATAAATACATAGATGTATTAGACATGCCAATAGAAGCGTATCTTACAGATTTCTAAGACTTCCTTTTTTTTCCTATCTTAGACTTGCAAACTCTTGATAACCTGTTTCCTTACTCTGGCAGTTGTCAGCTAAATAGCGCTAAATCTGTATATTGAAGGAAGTAACTCTTAGATGAAAAATCAGATGGCAAAATTTCCATCTCAAGATTCACAGAGAAAAAGTCTGGTGGTGCTAGAAGAAGACTAAGATTGATGCCAAATCAAATATAAAATTATAGAAATTTTTCAAAGAATTGTATAAGGAGACCAATCTTATTTTGGTAGAAACTACCTTTAAAAAAAAAAAACAAAACTGGGTCTCTGAGCTGTGGGCAGAGCCCACACTGAATCCTGGGTCTCCAAAAAAGGAGAATAATTATGAGGCTAGACCATGTGATGTTTTTACAGTGCATTTAAAAAGTTTTTCTTTAAACAAAGACATTTCTAAGTGTCTAAACTACACTCTGTCAGCCCTCTGAGCCCAAGCTAAGCCATATCCCCTGTGACCTGCATGTACACATCCAGATGGGCAGTTCCTGCCTTAACTGCTGACATTCTACCACAAAAGAAGTGAAAATGGCCTGTTCCTGCCTTAACTGATGACACTGTCTTGTGAAATTCCTTCTCCTGGCTCATCCTGGCTCAAAAGCTCCCCCACTGAGTACCTTGTGACCCCCACTCTGCCCGCCAGAGAACAACCCCCCCTTTGACTATAATTTTCCTTTACCTACCCAAATCTTATAAAATGGCCCCACCCCTGTCTCCCTTCACTGACTCTTTTCGGACTCAGCCCACCTGCACCCAGGTGAAATAAACAGCTTTACTGCTCACACAAAGCCTGTTTGGTGGTCTCTTCACACAGACGTGCATGAAATTTGGTGCCATGACTCGGATCGGGGGACCTCCCTTGGGAGATCAATCCCCTGTCCTCCTGCTCTTTGCTCCATGAGAAAGATCCACCTATGACCTCAGGTCCTCAGACCAACCAGCCCAAGAAACATCTCATCAATTTCAAATCTGGTAAGCGGCCTCTTTTTACTCTCTTCTCCAACCTCTCTCACTGTCCCTCAACCACTTTCTCCTTTCCACTCTTCAATCTCTCCCTTCTTTTAATTTCAATTCCTTTCATTTTCTGGTAGAGACAAAGGAGACACGTTTTATCCGTGGACCCAAAACCCCAGCGCCGGTCACGGACTAGGGAAGGCAGCCTTCCCTTGGTGTTTAATCATTGCAGGGACACTGCTCTGATTATTCACCCAGGTTTCAGAGGTGTCAGACCACGCAGGGATGCCTGCCTTGGTCCTTCACCCTTAGCGGCAAGTCCTGCTTTTCTGGGGTAGGGGCAAGTACCCCAACCCCTTCTCTCCATGTCTGTACCCCTTCTCTGCCTTTCTGGGGGACAAGAAACCCCCAACCCCTTCTCCTTCACTTTTAGTGGCAAGTCCCACTTTTCTAGAGGAGGGGCAAGTACCCCAACCTCGTATCTCTGTGCCCCAATCCCTTATTTCCATGCCCCAACCTCTTACATCTTTGTACCCCAATCCCTTATTTCTGTGCACTGACCTCTTATCTCTGTGCCCCAATCCCTTATTTCCATGCCCTGACCTTGTATCTCTGTGCCCCAACCCCTTTCCCACTTTACTGGAGGGTAAGAACCCCCAAACCCCTTCCCTCCATGTCTCTCTCTTTTCTCTGGGCTTGCCTCCTTCACTATGGGCAAACTTCCACCCTCCATTCCTCCTTCTTCTCCCTTAGCTTGTGTTCTTAAGAACTTAAAACCTCTTCAACTCTCACCTGACCTAAAATCTAAGCATCTTATTTTCTTCTGCAATGCCGCTTGACCCCAATACAAACTTGACAGTAGTTCCAAATAGCCAGAAAATGGCACTTTCAATTTTTCCATCCTACAAGATCTAAATAATTCTTGTCATAAAATGGGCAAATGATCTGAGGTGCCTGATGTCCAGGTGTTCTTTTACACATCAGTCCCTCTCTAGTCTCTGTTCCCAATGCAATTCCTACCAAATCCTCCTTCTTTCCCTCCCACCTGTCCCCTTAGTCCCAACCCCAAGCGTCGCTGAGTCTTTCCAGTCTTCCTTTTCTACAGACCCATCTGATCTTTCCCCTCCTCCTCAGGCTGCTTGTCACCAGGCCAAGCTAAGTCCCAATTCTTCCTCAGCCCCTGTTCCTCCACCCTATAATCCTTTTATCACCTCCCCTCCTCACACCCCGTCCGGCTTACAGTTTCGTTCCTTGACTAGCCCTCACCTGCCCAGCAATTTACTCTTAAAAAGGTGGCTGAAGCTAAAGGCATAGTCAAGGTTAATGCTCCTTTTTCTTTATCAGACCTCTCCCAAATCAGTGAGCGTTTAGGCTCTTTCATCAAATATGAAAAACCCAGCCCAGTTCATGACTCATTTGGCAGCAACCCTGAGATACTTTACAGCCCTAGACCCTGAAATGTCAAAAGGCCATCTTATTCTCAAAATACATTTTATTACCCAATCTGCTCCCGACATTAAATAAAACTCCAAAAATTAAATTCCAGCCCTCAAACCCCACAACAGGATTTAATTAACCTCGCCTTCAAGGTGTACAATAATAGAAAAGAGTTGCAATTCCTTGCCTCCACTGTGAGACAAACCCCAGCCACACCTCCAGCACACAAGAACTTCCAAACGCCTGAACCGCAGTGGCCAGGCGTTCCTCCAGAACCTCCTCCCCCAGGAGCTTGCTACAAGTGCCAGAAATCTGGCCACCAGGGCAAGGAATGCCTGCAGCCCAGGATTCCTCCTAAGCTGTGTCCCATCTGTGCCGGACCCCACTGGAAATCAGACTGTTCAACTCACCTGGCAGCCACTCCCAGAGCTCCTGGAACTCTGGCCCAAGGCTCTCTGACTGCTTCCCAGATCTTCTTGGCTTAGCAGCTGAAGACTGACACTGCCCGATCGCCTCGGAAGCCCCCTAGACCATCACGGACGCTGAGCTTCAGGTAACTCTCACAGTGGAGGGTAAGTCTGTCCCCTTCTTAATCAATACCAAGGCTACTCACTCCACATTACCTTATTTTCAAGGGCCTGTTTCCTTTGCCTCCATAACTGTTGTGGGTATTGACAGACAGGCTTCTAAACTTCTTAAAACTCCCCAACTCTGGTGCCAATTTAGACAATACTCTTTTAAGCACTCCTTTTAGTTATCCCCACCTGCCCAGTTCCCTTATTAGGCCGAGACACTTCAACTAAATTATCTGCTTCCCTGACTATTCCTGGATTACAGCTACATCTCATTGCTGCCCTTCTTCCCAATCCAAAGCCTCCTTTGCATCCTCCTCTTGTATTCCCCCACCTTAACCCACAAGTATAAGATACGTCTACTCCCTCCTTGGCGACCGATCATGCACCCCTTACCATCTCATTAAAACCTAATCACCCTTACTCTGCTCAATGCCAATATCCCATCCCACAGCATGCTTTGAAAGGATTAAAGCCTGTTATCACTTGCCTGCTACAGCATGGCCTTTTAAAGCCTGTAAACTCTCCTTACAATTCCCCCATTTTACCTGTCCAAAAACCAGACAAGTCTTACAGATTAGTTCAGGATCTGAGCCTTATCAACCAAATTGTTTTGCCTATCCATCCTGTGGTGCCCAACCCGTACACTCTTTTGTCCTCAATACCTTCCTCCACAACTCACTATTCCGTGCTTGATCTTAAAGATGCTTTTTTCACTATTCCCCTGCACCCCTCATACCAGCCTCTCTTTGCTTTCACTTGGACTGACCCTGACACCCATTAGGCTCAGCAAGTCACCCGGGCTGTACTGCCGCAAGGCTTCACAGACAGCCCCCATTACTTCAGTCAAGCCCAAATTTCATCCTCATCTGTTACCTATCTCGGCATAATTCTCATAAAAACACACGTGCTTTCCCTGCTGATCATGTCCGATTAATCTCCCAAACCTCAATCCCTTACAAAACAACAACTCCTTTCCTTCCTAGGCATGGTTAGTGCGGTCAGAATTCTTACACAAGAGCCAGGACCGCACCCTGTAGCCTTTCTGTCCAAACAACTTGACCTTACTGTTTTAGCCTAGCCCTCATGTCTGCGTGCAGCTGCCACTGCCGCCCTAATACTTTTAGAGGTCCTCAAAATCACAAACGATGCTCAACTTACTCTCTACATTTCTCATAACTTCCAAAATCTATTTTCTTCCTCATACCTGATGCATATACTTTCTGCTCCCTGGCTCCTTCAGCTGTACTCACTCTTTGTTAAGTCCCACAATTACCATTGTTCCTGGCCCAGACTCCAATCCGGCCTCCCACATTATTCCTGATACCACACCTGACCCCCATGACTGTATCTCTCTGATCCACCTGACATTCACCCCATTTCCCCATATTTCCTTCTTTCCTGTTCCTCACCCTGATCACGCTTGATTTATTGATGGCAGTTCCACCAGGTCTAATCGCCACACACCAGCAAAGGCAGGCTATGCTATGGTACAAGTCACTAGCCCGCCTCTTAGAACCTCTCATTTTCTTTCCATCGTGGAAATGTATCCTCAAGGAAATAACTTCTCAGTGTTCCATCTGCTATTCTACTACTCCTCAGGGATTATTCAAGCCCCCTCCCTTCCCTACACATCAAGCTCGAGGTTTTGCCCCCACCCAGGACTGGCAAATTAGCTTTACTCAACATGCCCTGAGTCAAATAACTAAAATACCTCTTAGTCTAGGTAGACACTTTCACTGGATAGGTAGAGGCCTTTCCTACAGGGTCTGAGAAGGCCACTGCAGTCATTTCTTCCCTTCTGTCAGACATGATTCCTCAGTTTAGCCTTCTCACCTCTATACAGTCTGATAACAGACCAGCCTTTATTAGTCAAATCAGCCAAGCAGTTTTTCAGGCTCTTAGTATTCAGTGAAACTTTTATATCCCTTACGGTCCTCCGTCTTCAGGAAAAGTAGAATGGACTAAAGGTCTTTTAAAAACACACCTCACCAAGCTCAGCCACCAACTTAAAAAGGACTGGACAATACTTTTACCACTTTCCCTTCTCAGAAGTCAGACCTGTCCTCAGAATGCTACAAAGTACAGCCCATTTGAGCTCCTGTATAGACGATCCTTTTTATTAGGCCCCAGTCTCATTCCAGACACCAGACCAACTTAGACTGTGCCCCAGAAAAACTTGTCATCCCTACTATCTTCTCTCTAGTCATACTCCTATTCACCGTTCTCAACTACTCATACATGCCCTGCTCTTGTTTACACTGCCGGTTTACACTGTTTCTCCAAGCCATCACAGCTGATATCACCTGGTGCTATCCTCAAACTACCACTCTTAACTATTGAAGTAAATAAATAATCTTTGCTGGCAGGACTATGCTGAATCTCCTCAGGCACTCTCTAATCAGATGTCCCGAGTCGTCCCAATATTTAGACCTTTTATACCTGTTTTTCTCCTTATTCCATTTAGTTTTCAATTCATACAAAACTGTATCCAGGCCATCACCAATAATTCTAAATGACAAATGTTTCTTCTAACAACCCCACAATATCACCTCTTACCACAAAATCTTCCTTCAGCTTAATCTCTCCCATTCTAAGTTCCCACGCCGCCCCTAATCCCGCTCGAAGCAGCCCTGAGAAACATCACCCATTATCTCTCCATACCATCCCCCAAAATTTTCGCCACCTCAACACTTTACCACTATTTCATTTTATTTTTCTTATTAATATAAGAAGACAGGAATGTCAGGCCTCTGAGCCCAAGCTAAGCCATCATATCCCCTGTGACCTGCAGGTACACATCCAGATGGCCGGTTCCTGCCTTAACTGCTGACATTCCACCACAAAAGAAGTGAAAATGGCCTGTTCCTGCCTTAACTGATGACAGATTGTCTTGTGAAATTCCTTCTCCTGGCTCATCCTGGCTCAAAAGCTCCCCCACTGAGTACCTTGTGACCCCCACTCTGCCCACCAGAGAACAATCCCCTTTCGACTGTAATTTTCCTTTACCTACTGAAATCCTATAAAATAGCCCCACCCCTATCTCCCTTCGCTGACTCTCTTTTCGGGCTCAGCCCGCCTGCACCCAGGTGAAATAAACAGCTTTATTGCTCACACAAAGCCTGTTTGGTGGTCTCTTCACACCGACGCGCATGAAACACTCTTCCTTAAATTATTTCTCTTTAATTTAGAGAAAAAAAAAAGCTGGGTTTGACTATATGGTAGGCATGTGTTTGGTGGGTCATTACATTTTGTCATATAAATAAAGGCTTACAAACACAAAAGTAGCCTCTGTTGCAATAACTGTTTTAGTCAAAAAATCAGGTGAAAACCAAATTCAGTCAACAGAGAAGAAAAAGAAACTTTTGCTCAAAATAAGACAAGGTCCTAAGAGAGAAAAACAAAAACATGAAGACATGAAGGCCTTTTAAATACAAACATGCACATACACACACAAACACACACACATCTTGGATGTTAACCTTTTAATAAAGGTGACTTTTAACCATTGAGCTCCTTTAAAATATACTTTTAAACCTTTAAATGCTTTACTCCTAAGTTTCTCATTTGTAAAATGGTGATATTGAAACTGGCTTTGCAAAAATTATATCAGTTAGAAAATTATAACAATAAGATGAAATGTCACCCCCCACCTTCTTGCCATTCCCTTAATTATTCCTGGGCTGTTGGGCTGAGCTAACTTTGGAAGACATGTAGGCTATCGTTTAAATGATAATAGGCCTTGCCGCAAAACTCAACCACTTTTATAAAGCTAATGCGAGGCCATCAGGCTGTGGGGCGGAGAGGAACCTGAGTCCTGTAAAGGTGCAGGCATAATTGACATAAGATTGTTAGCCATTATTCCAGAGGTTATAAAATATGCAAATTCCCCAATTACTCCTGCAAATAACACCACTATTGTAGATTGGACTATTGAGATATCTTTTGAGGTTTTTGCATGTCTGATACCCATTGTTACTGGGAAGGAGTCCCGATCCAGACCCCAAGAGAGGGTTCTTAGACCTCATGTAAGAAAGAGTTTGGAGTGAGTCCATAGAGTAAAGTGAAAGCAAGTTTATTAAGAAAGTAAAGGAATAAAGAATGGCCACTCCATAGGCAGAGCAGTGGCATGTACTGCTCAACTGAATATACTTCTAGTTACTTCTTGATTACATGCTAAACAAGGTGTGGATTATTCATGAATTTCCTGGTAAAGAAGTGGGCAATTCCTGGAACTGAGGGTTCCTCTCCTTTTTAGTCTATACAGGGTAACTTCCTGATGTTGCCATGGCATTTATAAACTGTCGTGGTGCTGGTGGGAGTGTCCTTTAGCATGCTAATGTATTGTAATTAGCATATAATGAGCAATGAGGACCAATGGTCACTTTCAACACCATCTTGGTTTAAAAGGGTTTTGGCTGGCTCCTTTGCCGCATCCTCTTTTATGAGGAAGGCCTTCGTGACTGTATCTTGTGCCGACCTCCTATCTCATCCTCTGACTAAGAATGCCTAACCTCCTGAGACAGCAGATCAGTAGGTCTCAGTCTTATTTTACCCAGCTCCTATTCAAGATGGAGTCACTTTGGTTTGAACACTCTGATACCATGGCTCCACCTGGACCCGATGGCTCCACTTGAACTGCCAACCCAGCTCCTGTGGCCCACCCAGAAGTGATTCAGTCTTCAGGAGGACATCTTTGAGCCCCATGATTTTATCTCCACTCCAACCAATCAGCAGCAAGCAGCTGTTACCTAGCCACCCCTACCCCTTCCCTCAAACTGCCTTTGAAGATCCTCTAACCTAGGAGCTTCTGGCAAGATAATTTAAGTAGGAACTCCATCTCCCATGTGGCGTGGCATGCCTCGTGTCTATTAAACTCTTTCTCTACTATAATACTGTGGTCTTTCTTTATGCAATGGGCAGGAAGAACCCCTTGGGTGGTTACAATAATAACTACCAATTTAAAAGAGTTTTGTAAGGATGGATAAGAAAGTGAAAATAAAAATATAATAGAGTGCCTAGCATATCTAAAAACACTAAAATAAAGATTAAATGTATTTATCAGATGCCTTAGGACGAAACCTCTGCCTCTTGCTCCCTTTGATTACATGATGGAGCCCTCTGTTTTATGGATGCAGAAGAAAAAGCTAAGAGAAAATGCCAGTGTCTTGAGTGTCAGAAATGGTTGATTTTCTTGAGATCAAACACCTAAAAAAATAAAGTGAGGCCAATGGCTAGAATTTGATATAAATAAACAGTCCAAGCATGAAGACTGCTGATGAATTGCTTGTAATTGCAGAAGTTGCTGGAGGAGACATCAGGGTGATCTTCTAGAAACAGTTGCAGAGGACATGAGAGGGTTGTGATAAATGGACCATAGGATATGCAGGGTATGGAGACAGATGGCAGTCCTGGCATGTGACTTGGGGAAGGAGAGTGGTAAGGCAGGTGTCTGAAATGGGCAGACAATGGTGGCGACATCAGTCAGCAAGTCCCGGGACCTCAGATATACAGTTGGAGAAAGGGTTGGAGAGAGACGACAGAGCTTTAGTCCTAAGGAGTTTGAGACCTCAAAGCTTGTTTATACATTCCAGTGGGAAAATGTCCAGTTATCATTGACTGGAAAGAGGCCCCCTTCCACAGAGAAGGGCAGCCTTCATGTCCAAGCACTGGAGGAACCCACTTGAGGCAATGAGGAAGGAAGGAGCCACCTACTTAAGTAGTCTGAAGAGTGCAATAAGCCCTGGTCCTAGATGAAGACTCAGATGTTTCAGCCAGATCCCCTTCTTGTTCATCCCAAACAGAGAGAGATCAGTGTACTTTCCAGAGAGTCTGAGCAGGACCCAAGGCAGAGGCTGTAATTTCTGGACCAATTATATGAGATGGGGCTTGATCAGAAGAGTTGGGCAGGAGGAACCCATTTAGAGAGCATGGATCTACACAGGATGAGCCGTCAGGCTGTCTTGATGCCAAGTGTCCTGCACTGCTGGCATAAGAAGCCATAAATCCCCCTTACAGTGATAAGAGTTGGTCTCTGGGTCAGATATGGGACAAGGTCAGCAGGAAGCTAGTGAGAATAGAGTGTGAGGGACCAAGAAGAGTAAGTACCAGGATCAGAAAAGTGCAGGGACCCAGGCAGCCAGTACAACTGTTCAAACTCTGCTTCTTTACAGTACTTTGTCTATATCCCAACTGCAATAATCATTATAATCTACCATGACTATTTGTCTGACTTTCTGGACTATGAAATACTTAAGGCAGAGATTTTGAAAGGCGGTGGTTAATAGTATCCACTCTGGAGCTATACAGCATAGATTCAAATTCCAGCTCTAAATGTCACTAGCTGTGTGATCTCAAACAAGTTTCTTAACTTTTCTGTATCTTAGTTTTTTCATCTGTGAAATGAAGATAATAATATGCCTCTTATTATTGGAGTGAAGATTAAGTTATGTATTAATAATAAAGCAATTAAACCAGTGCATAGCATGTAGTAAGTGTTGTGTAAGTATTTGCAAAATAAATGAAAGTTTACCCCCGTATTCAGCTTTTGACATGGTGTTGATTTTCAGTGCTTGATAAGTAATTGTTAGAGTGAAAAATTAAATGATAAGGCTGGGTATATTTGCTGAGTGATAGTTGGAAACCTAAGTCCTGGCCCACACTCTGTGACTTCACCTTGCCCCAAGACACTGGCAACTAAGGGACTGAATTGGGTGGATGACCCCAGTGCTCAGTCATGGAGGTAGCAGAGCTGTCACCATGAATTCAGTGGACACACACGTTTCAGCCTGTGCATCCCTGTGAAAAATCTATCCCATCAGGCTGCCACAGGAGACAATGGCTGCTGGTCCCCCAGCTCCCACCCCACTGGCCTTCTTTTCTCAATTGGATTCTGAACATGGGTGCAGGCAGAATTACAAGGGCTCTGCGAGGAGAATATCTGCAGTGCACAGTCTCTTGAGCACATAATGGGTTCATAATGAAAGAGCATAAATCTGGAAGATGAGGGAGATGGATGTCATTAAAGGCTAAAGCACAAAGCAAAAGGATGAATCCCACCACTACTCAGACAAGTCTTCACCTCACTTCAAAGGACTTTGTCATCTGAGCCTTCTGCCCCACTAGGGTTCCCTCTCCATGCCACTCCACTTTCCAGTCCTTACTTTTCCCATTTTCCCCAACATCTACCACCCACAAGATCTGCCACCCACCTGCAGAACTGGGCATGGGTCACTAATTTGACTTAGTTCCAGAACACAGAGCCTCAGCTCCTGCTACCCCATGTCTAATGGGGAAAGTGACACCTCATGGGACTCCAGTGAGAATGAAAGGTACTGCATGTGAGAAAGTTTTTTTAAAAGTGTTCAGTGTTGTGCAAATTCAGCACAACCATTGAAAATTGTATTATTTATATAGCCATAGCCAATGGTTCACTTTTTTCCCCCTAAATTAACACTCCTTCCCTACCATGGATTATTTCAGTTTGTATAAAACTAAATACATGGTTTGTATAAAACTGATAAAGTTCAGTTGTGTTTTGAATCAGAGTAGGTACAGCTATATATTACGTGAGTCAACATAAAGCATTTTTAATGGCGTCTTATACTGGCGAACACTATGTAAGGGAAGGCTAATATTCATGCAAAAATGACATGAACTAGAGGCTCCCAAACAGGACTCTAGATCTGATTCTGCGTTTCTGTTTATCTTTAAAAAAATGCTGATATGTGTACTTACCCTGCCTACTTTGTACATGGAGTAGTGTTCAGGAATAAATTAGCAATGTAGGTGGGTAAAATTCCTTTATTAACTATACTATAAACATTGTAAAGATAATACATGTATCTATGTTCATATGCCCCTCTTTTTTCAAATATTTCCATTTTTGCTCCCCTTTTCTTTGTTTTTGTTTTTTCTTTCTTTCTTTTTGACAACTGGAACACAAAATATCAATCAGAGTGATTAACCAAGTTTAAGACATTTAAAATTTACTATATAATAGCCAGGACTTGAAAACAGTACAGATATTCTCTCTCTCTCCATCTCTCTCTCTCTTACACACACACACTTTTGAAACACTGATGCTTACTATCCACAAGGAGTCAAATACTTAGCCTGAATGAGAGCAAAACAATAAAATCTTTCCCCTGCAGTGTTAATTTTGACCTACAATGTAATTGAACTTTGCCAGCTGAGTGGGGAATAGGAGTAAGCCCTTGATAGGATTAGAAAGCTTATCTAAGAATTTTTGCTTAATAACCTGATTGTTGAAATCTGTATTGCTTTTTCAAACACTGCACCTCCTGTGACCTTTCGCCACCCACCAGAATGGCTTCCTGGAGCTTCTCTATTCAGAGTGGTGTCAGATTGTATTCAGTACAGAAGTTGAGTTCTACCATGTTTTATTTTTCTAAGAGAAATGAATATTAAGGTTTAAGGATTCGAGGTTAGATGATAAAAGTGTGACTATGATCATAGGGATACTGGCATGACTCAAGTCTTAATGTACAACGTGATATTGGACTGGACAACAGAACACCCAGATCTCATCCAAGTATAATTGTTACTTAGCTGTGTGAGCTTGCGTAAGTCATGCACACTCTCTGAGCCTCAGTTTCATGAGTATCTGCAAAATAGAAACAACAGATAGTGTCAGCCCCACCTATTTCAGATTTGCTATGAGTGCCATATGAGATCCTATCCTTTGTTAACCAGACCCTGGAAACAAATCCAGAAGTTTATGAAGACACCCACACTTGCTAATAAAGAAAATGATTGCTTTGAAGAGCTCTCCTACTAGAGAAGGGAATTCTCATGATGCATGATTCAGTTTTCAGAGAAACTGAGGACAAGTATTGACCAGTTTTGGTCTTCAGAACAGCTAGAATTATTGCCTAAAAAGAGAGAAGTGCCGGGCATGGTGGTTCATGCCTGTAATCCCAGCACTTTGGGAGGCCAAGGTGGGCGGATCGTCTAAAGTCAGGAGTTTGAGACCAGCCTGGTCAATGTGGCGAAACCCCGTCTCTACTACAAAAAAAAAAAAAAAAAAATTAGCTGGGTGTGGTGGCACACACCTGTAGTCCCAGCTACTTGGGAAGCTGAGGCAGGAGAATCACTTGAATCTGGGAGGTGGAGGTTGTGGTGAGCCAAGATCACACCGCTGCACTCCAGACTGGGTGACAGAGCGAGACTCCATCACAAAAAAAAAGAGAGAGAGAGAGAGAAGCATGCTCCCAATTTTTCTCCAATTTTACCTATGGATCAAAAATATAATTCTCTTTTAGATTTTTTCCATGCATTTCATGCATTGGGGGTAGCTACAATGTAGAAGGTGTCTATTGACATAACAATGAACAACAAGGAACATTTAGTGAAGTTTTGAAGATACAGTAGTCATGCTTCCTGAACTGTGATGCGGCTGAGATGGGTCCTGCAGAGCACTTTCCTGGCTCTGCCTGGGTTAGAAAAGGTTTTATCCTCAAGGAGATTTGTGTTGGCAACACTACCAGGTAGATTGGAATTCTGGATGTGTCTCTCCCAGGCCTTTCTGTCTTCTGTCTAAGGCAGATGCCCAGACCATTACCTCTGGTGAAGACGCTGCTTGCCTGCAAGAGTCACAGAGATTCCTTCCCTGAAGACACCTCTTCTCTGACACCACATTTGCTCATCATGCTACCAGCTCCTCTGGGCCTGGGCACTGCCCTGAGTGTGTGTGTTTGTGTTTGGTGTGCACTGTCTCAAGGAACTCACAATACATGGGAAGAGACAGGCCTGTGGCCAAGTGTAGCCTTCTGGCTGCAGTAACAAGTGCTTATTCAGCCACAGTGGGGATCCCAGGAGAGAGTGACAGGTGGTGAATATGTTGAATAATAAGCCACTGTAATTTTTCTTCTCTATCAGATTGTCTTGGGATTCCTTTCTCAGTCACTTCTTTCTACCTTCCCTGCCTCAGCCCCAAGACAACTGCCAAGGGGAGAACCAAGTATAATGGATAATATTCAATTCTGAAATCACAAGAACTGTGTTTGAATTCCGGCTCCACACATTGCCAGCTCTGTAACTGTGGACAATTCACCTAAGTTCTCTAAGTCTCAGATTCTTCCCCGCTAAATTGTCAGTTGTAAAGATTAAATATGAACACATAGGAAAAACTCCTGGCCCTTGATAGAATCTCAATAAAGCTTAAAACAACAATAGTAAAGTGATCCTTCAGAATACCATCATTATAGTTTAACAACCTTTTTCACTTGCAGAAATAATAGGAGAGTGGCTCACCCACCGTCTGTATGAAGTGGATGAATGCTTGCATCAGCCCTTTGCAAACAGACTGATCGATGGAGCCAGTGATCAGGAAAATTGAATTCCACTGAATACACACTGCTGTCTGCCTGGCATCATCATATTTCAATGAAGTGGAATTGTAAATAGTGGGAGGTGTTTTTGATGAGCTATGTGTTTGGGAATAGGGGATTTTGAAATGTCATTTTGAGCTCAAATTAATCAAATTTTGAATAACAGAGTTTGGAGAAACAAGTTCAATAGCATCTAAGTAGGGAATAAGGGAGAATTTAGTCTGAGCCATAGAATAGCCACAGACAATAAGGACTCCTTCATGCTTCCTTGAACCTTAGGAAAAAAAGCCTATATTATATGCTTTTTATGTTATTCATTCTCCAAAGATTTATTTAGAGCATCCCATGTGCCAAGACTTGTGCCCAGAAAACTGGGATGCATGGAGATAGGCCCTTCCATCGGAAAACCCACAGTTCAGTGGGCATAGAGACTGCTTAAAAAGAATTCCGATAATGGATGCAGCCTCTCTGCTCATTATAGGTGTGGCCAAATCTGGCCTTAACACACATTCCACAACCTGTGATAGTCTAAAGCCCTCTCTAAGGTTTCTGTGAGAGCCCTCTGCTTATTCTTGTCTTTATGCCAGTGCTCATGTGACCTGTTTTTCCCTGCAATTCCCTGGACACAGACACACTGGCAGTGCCCTAAGAAATCTACTCTTATAAAATATTTTGTAATAATTTTATAGAATACACTCAGGATTTTGAGAAAATCATAGTGTAGGTCATATTGCAGAGTGGATGACCTCCTTTCTTCTCTCTGGAATGACTAGCAATCCCTCTTTGACTTTGAAAATGCATTTCTGAACTGTTTTTTACTCCTCTTGGTATGAAATTTTGCCCCAAGCACTCATATTTTTTTCCACAAGAAGTTCTTACAGCTGCCATGGCAGCCCCTCTCCCTCGACTTGTTATGCAGATGAAATGTCATAACATGTGAGGTTAGTGCTATTAGAGAATCAAGAGAAAAAGGGTTCATCTACCTGAGCCTGGGATAGTCAGAGGTGGCTGCGCAGGGGAGGAGAATTCTGCATGAGTTCTGGCAGGATAAGTAGGCAAGAGTAAGAAAAATGCTGCAGCAGGAGCAAATGGCAAAACAGTTTGAAAGACAGTGGCATGTGTGATCTTCTTTTTCCAAGACAAGGAGAAGCTATCCCAGGTGTCCTGCAGGCTTGGACAGAGCAGTGAGTAGCACATCAATGCCAAATGGAGACAGGTAAGAGGCATCAGGGCATCAGGAAAAATCCCAACAGAACAAGGAAACCTGCTGAGTGGACTCAGCCAAAAAATTAGAAAGAGAAGAAATTCCAAGATAGAAGGCACGGGATGGAAACTAGGTTAGGGAGAAGATTTGAAGGGATTTGGGGGAAAGTGGATCTAGAGCAGTGGTTCTCAATTTGGCTGCACATTGAAATCACCAGGCAAGCTTCCAAAACCCCAATGCCTGGGTCCACCTGGGGATCCCTACTTAATTGGTCAGGGGTTTGGCCTGGGCATCAGGATGATTGAAAGCTTTCCAAGTGATTCTAATATGCTTCCAAGGTTGAGAGGTACTCTTCTAAGAGGTATCCAAAGGTGATGCTAATGATAGTAGCAGCTTGTTTTAAACAACTGCCACTTTTGTCATGCTTGGAGACAGAGGAGAAGGGAAAGAAAGGGGAGTGGGACATTTTTAGGACATAGGCCTAACCTAGACAGTTTTGACAGCCATGAACCAAAGCCAGGTTTTCTATTTAATATATAATTCTCCAGCAATATTTTTCCAAGTATGATCATTGAATGACTTCATCAAAATCACCTGAGAATACTCACTAAAATGCATGTTTCAGGGTCACCCCTCAAAATCATTTGAAGTGAGATGAGACTGAGAATCCATATTTTTAACAAACTCCATAGGTGATTCTCATGCACGTTAGAATTGACGAATCACTATTCTATGGTAGTTAGTATATTTTATATTGTGGAGGATAACACATGACACCAAGAATAATGCCACCTTTAACTGAGCACTTACTATGTCCAAATGCTGTGTACACAGATCATCTCATCTTATCCTTACATAAATAATTTGAAGTAGGTATTTTTATCTTTGCTTTACAGATGAGAAAACTGAGGGTCAGAGAAGTTAAATACTTACATAGAACCATGGAGCTACTCTGCACAGTCACCTCTGACTGTCCCAGGCTCAGGTGGGGATGGACCCTTTTTTTCTTGACTCTCTAACAGCACTAACCTCACATCTTACGACATTTAATCTTTGTAACAAGTCGAGGGAGAGAGGATGCCACGACAGCTATAAGAACTTCTTATGGGAAAATATAAGCCAGCCACTGAGCCAGTGCCACTGTGTCAGAGGGCTCCTGCAGCCAGCCCACCGTGAGCTGGATTCTTGAGCATTTACTGGTGTGCCCTGAGTTGCTATATCCATTCATAAAAAAATCTGTTGCACAGAATTGAAAAGGGACCTCTGGCTTTGCTTGCCTGGGAGAGAGATGGACCCTTTCAGAAAATATAAATGACTTGGAAGCCTCTGCCTCCCTGTACCTTCAGCAGGGACACCAAGTAAGCCCAGTTTCCTTGTGGCCTGGCTTATTCTACCTAGTCCAAGCTACAGCCACGTGCTGTGTTCTCTCTTGCTTTTTTGCCTGAAGTCCAGGAAATGTCTGGCTCCAGGCCAGATTGGCCAGCTTTGTTGGTCTTCAGCTCAGCTTATTAAATGAGTTTAAGGTCCCTCTGGGACCTAATTCTCTTTCTCTCTCCATGGGTATTTCTAAATGTATTAGTCCCAGATTTGGTGCTTAGGAAGGCAGTCAATAGGCCTAAATTACATTCTCTGAGTCAGGTTTGACCAGATAGCCCCTTATCATGGATTATCAGGCCCCAGCCTCAGTGGCAAAGTGGCAGTTTTCTTCCCATGCTGCTGTAATTTAGTGTGTGTTTAGCAACATCCAAGAAACCTGTGCTCAAGACAAGAGCCAGGCATTCCTGCGTCATGGGCCAAAATATCCTCATTATGCAGCCAAAGCTTCTTTCTTTATTCCTAACCATGTCCGTATGTTTGCATCTGCCACATCCCCACGTCTCATTCTGACTAACAGACTTGAGATGCTGTTGTTGTTGTTTTGTTTTGTTTTGTTTTTTAATCTTCCCCATCCCCAGCTATTCAGTCAGTGCCTGAAACATAGCAAGGGCTCAGTGCTACTTGATGGGTTAAATAATGCCTGAACCTACTAACAACTCTAGTGAACACAATGCACACACACACAGACACACACACATATCACCATCATCATCAAAGGACAAAACAAGAAAAAAATTGATGCTAAGGGAATTTGGACCTCATGCTGTCATTTCTCAATTGGCTGATTTTGGTTGATTAAAATCATGAGGAGTCCAAAAGTGGAAGAATTCGTCATATTTGACGTGGGCATATTTTAACCAATTTTAAAGATTGCTTCCGCATCAGCAACATGACCAATTTACATGTACTTAGGTAATGAAGAAGAAAAGATGCAGACACTGAACGTG